>NC_000012.12:47460128-48710128 GCF_000001405.40 Homo sapiens
GCCATTACTGAGCCACTGACTTCTTAATGGCTGCTCCTTAATCTCCATAGAAGCTAAATTAAAGCTCCAAAATTATAACAGGTAAAAGCCTGATTAGTTTTCCTATAAAGCCTACTTTTTATTTGGGGAGGCTGAATAGAGAGTGTTTTTTATTTTTTAATACTTCTAGTTACACTTATTTCAGAGTTCAAGTTGAAATAGAGGGTTAGTCACATCTCTGAGAAAATTGTGGGTTTTGGTTGATACTATCTCTTTTCATCTATTAACAATGTCAGTCCCACTTCTACTGTCTTAATACTGTGATAAAGAAAGGATATAGGAATTTTCTCTTGACATAGGATCTGAAATTCTTACCCTTCTACTGTTTTCATATTCTGAATTGCTTACTCTTAAGAATGAGAATGCAGTTCAAGCACAGCTTTAGTTTCCCCAAAGAGCCTTGGGAATGTATTAGAGAACTGAGTTAAAAATAATTCCCAAAGTGTCATATTTTGAACCTATTTTACATTTGCTATTTGGAGGGCCTGAGAAAGATGTTCCTATCTCACTTTAATAGAAAGGTCATGCTTCAAGAAAAGCTTTTGTCTGAATATTGGGGAAAAAGTTATAAAAAAGGAACACATTTACATCAAACAAATTTGCAATGTTGTTACATGTTATCTGTAAGTAGAGTGGCAATGTAATATATTGTACAAACCAAGACATTTTGAGGATGAAAAGGGGAACTATTAATAAGAGCACCCAGACTTCTATACTGGCCTAGAAGGAGCAGTGGGGACTGAGCTTAGTATCTCATCAGAAACACTAAATAATCAAACAAAATATACGAAAAAAAACCCCCACAGTTTTCAAGACATTGGATATCAGACAATGGACAGGGATGGAAAACAAATGAAGTGGGCTATGGTTGTCCCATATTACTGCCTGGAGAGACTTTTTAGTCTCTGTCACAGGGAGGGGGGACCGAGAAGGAGCCAGGTGGTCTCCCTGAGTTGAGGAGACTTTTCTGGGAGGGTAAGAAAGGAAACTGGAGTGCACAGGGCTGAATGCTAAGGAGGAAAAATGAGAGAGAGTGAGAGAGAGAGAGAGAGAGAGAGAGAGAGAGCCCTGGGGACCTTCAGAGGGTTCCCCCTGCAATCATCTAACTACTGATCAGTGCACGCAGTTGGTGAAGAAACTCAAGGTCAAGAAACTACCTCCTGAAAAGATTAAAAAGAATTTCTGGAGCTCACATAAGGCAAGGAATTGTTCTTCTTCCTATCAGCCAGAGTGGAAAACTTCTTCATTCTTGAGGTATTGGGTAGAGTACTCACAAGAATTTAACATCAGTAGTGGAGTATGGTATTCTTCTAGTCCCACCTAACAAAGCTTAAAAGCAAGACCTGAAGGACTCAAACTGTTTACAGTACTTTAATTCTATCCCAAAGCAAAGTTTAAGGATTTTTATAGGAATAATATAAAATAGGAATAATATAAAATAAATATAAATAATAAAAATATCCAGCACTCAACAAGATAAAATTCACAGTGTTTGGCACCCAATCAAAACTTGCCAGCATAAAAAGAAGAAAAATACAACCTAGAATGAGGGAAAAATCGATGTATTGACACTAACTCAGAACTGATATATAACCAGTAGACCAAAGATTAAAACAGCTTTTATTACTGTTTTCCATATGTTCAAGAAAATGAGAGGAAACATTTAACATACTAAGTTAAAAAATCAAACTTTCAGTCATGAAAACTACAATGTCTAAGGTGAAAAATAGAGTGGATAGGATTAACATCACTTTACACACTGCAGAAAAAAAGATTAATGACTTGAAAACACCAATATAAACTATACAAAATTAAACACACAGAGATAAAAGACCAAAAAAAAAAAATTGAAGAGAGCCTCACTGAGCTGTAGGAAAACTTCAAGTGGCCTAATGTATGTGTCATTGGAGTCTCCAATGGAGGGAGGACAGAAAAAATATTTAAACAAATAAAAAGACAAAAAATTTCCAAATTCAGTGAAAACTATAACCCACAAATCCAAGAAGCTCAACAAATCTCATGTATAAGAAATATCAATAAAACTATACCAAGATACATCATAATCAATTTACTTATAAACAGTGATTTTAAAAAGTCTTAAAAGTAGTCAGAGATAAAAGAAACATTAAAGAAAGTCCTTTGGGCAGAAGAAGAGTTATATCAGATGGAAATATGGATCAACCAATGAAATGAGGAGTACCCGAATTGGAAACTATATTGCTAAATATAAAATACTTTTTACTTATTTAAATCTTATTAAAGATAATTAATTTTTAAAGCAAAATCAACAGCAATGTGTTGTGGGGTTCATAACATATGAAGAACTAAAATGTATGGCAACAACAGCACAAAGATTGGTGGGAGGAAATAGAAGTACTCTGTTCTAAGTTTCTTATGCTATATGTGAAGTTGTATGATATTGAAGATAGAATGTATTACATTAAAAATATGTAATTCCTAGAACAACCACTAAAATAACCACAAAATTGTACAGCTAACAACTTAATAAATTATGTAAAATGGTATCATTAAGAAAAACTCAATCCAAAAGAAGGCAGAAAAAAGAAAAGAGGGAACAAAGACAGATGGAACAAGTAAAAAACAAATTGCAAGATAGTAGATTTAATCAAAATCATAACCTTACTCACAATAAAAGTAAATGGACTAAACACCACAATTGAAGACAGTGATTTTCAGATTGTATTTTTTTAAAAAAAGCAAGAACCAACTATATCCTGCTTCCAAGATAGAGATAAATAGCTTAAAAGTAAAAGGATGAGGTTTAAGACTGAGGCTTGAGCCATACCATCTAGGACTTGCAGCAATTTCTGTAGGGGATCAGGCCACCTGTTCCCACAAAATCATAGAATCATGAAATGTAACCAATTCTTCAAGCTAAAGGAAACTCATTAATGAGAGCTCAGGTGCCCCGTCAGCCTGGAGCAACCCCATTGACTGGATATCTTTCAGTAGAAACTGGACAAGGACAAATGTAAGAATGATCCAAAATTAGAAAAGATTTTAAAAGACTGAAACTATTTCTATATTGACATAATAATCATGTGCAAAAATAAACTATCACAGTATAAAGAAAATGTTTCTCTAGGCACGGGTGAATTAGAAAAATACTTGTACAAAGAAACAGAAGTTTTATCTTGTAGGTTAAGATAATTTATCTAGAGCATCTACACTTGGATGCTAAAATTCAATATATCTTTGATAGAAGTGGATATTTTTATGTAAGGGATAAAGAGAATAAATTACTTCAGATTTGTATGAAGAAAGGAGACACAATAATTATTCCTCAAGGGATTTATTACCACCTCATATTGGATGAAAAGGACTATGTAAAGACAATGAAGCCATCTGTTGGAGAACCAGTATTACCATGTGTAACTGACCAGCTGACCAATTTGTTGCTCAAGGATAGCTCATCAACTTTTTGGCACAAACAACGTAATGGTGCTTTCTAGAAATGAATGCATTCTTTAGAAAATCCCAAATATGACAGTTAAGCAGAAATGTAATCATTTTCCCTTTGCTTTATCAGCTTGAAGCTATATTATTTTTCCTTTGTTAGATTGCTTGAGCAGTTTTTTAAAAAAATTTTTTATTATTTTTAAAAATTTATTATACCTAAAGTTCTGGGATACATGTGCAGAATGTGCAGGTTTGTTACATAGGTATGCACGGGCCATGATGGTTTGCTACACCCATCAACCCGTTATCTATGTTAGGTATTTCCCCTAATGCTATCCCTCTCCTAGCCCCCCACCCCACGACAGGCCCCAATGTGTGATGTTCCCCTACGTGTGACCATGTGTTTTCATTGTTCAGCCCCCACTTATGAGTGAGAACGCGTGGTATTTGGTTTTCTGTTCCTGTGTTAGTTTGCTGAGAATAATAGTTTCCAACTTCATCCATGTCCCTGCAAAGGACATGAACTCATCATTTTTCATGGCTGCATAGTATTCCATGGTGTATATGTGCCACATTTTCTTTATCCAGTCTATCGTTGATGGACATTTGGGTTGGTTCCAAGTCTTTGCTTTTGTGAATAGTGCTTCAATAAACATACATATGCATGCATCTTTATAGTAGAATGATTTATAATCCTTTGGGTATATAACCAGTAATGGGATTACTGGGCCAAATGGTATTTCTGGTTCTAGATCCTTAAGGAATTGCCACATTGTTTTCCACAATGATTGAACTAATTTACACTCCCACCAACAGTGTAAAAGAATTCCTGTTTCTCCACATCCTCTCCAGCACCTGTTGTTTCCTGACTTTTTAATGATCACCATTCTAACAGGTGTGAGATGGCATCTCATTGTGGTTTGGATTTGCATTTCTCTAATGACTAGTGATGATGAGCTTTTCTTCATACGTTTGCTGGCAGCACAAATGTCTTCTTTTGAGAGGTGTCTGTTCATATCCTTTGCCCACTTTTTGATGGAGTTATTTGATTTTTCTAGTAAATTTGTTTAAGTTCCTTGTAGATTCTGGATATTAGCCTGTTGCCTGATACATAGATTGCAAAAATTTTCTCCTGTTCTGTAGGTTGCCTGTTCACTCTGTTGATAGTTTCTTTTGCTGTGCAGAAAGCTCTTTAGTTGAATTAGATCCCATACGGCAATTTTGACTTTTGTTGCCATTGCTTTTGCTGTGTTAGTCATAAAGTCTTTGCCCATGTCTATGTCCTGAATGGTATCACCTAGATTTTCTTCTAGGGTTTTTATGGTTTTAGGTCTTATGTTTAAGTCTTTAATCCATCTTGAGTTAGTTTTTGTATAAGGTGTAAAGAAGGGTCCAGTTTCAGTTTTCTGCATATGGCTAGCCAGTTTTCCCAACACCATTTATTAAATAAGGAATCCTTTCCCCATTGCTTGTTTTGTCAGGTTTGTCAAAGACTAGATGTTTGTAGATGTGTGGCATTATTTCTGAGGCCTCTGTTCTGTTCCATCAGTTTGTATATCTGTTTTGGTACCAGTACCATGCTGTTTTGGTTACTGTAGTCTTTTGGCTAGTTTGAAGTCAGGTAGCATGATGCCTCCAGCTTTGTTCTTTTTGCTTAGGATTGTCTTGGCTACAGGGGCTCTTTTTTGGTTCCATATGAAATTTAAAGTAGTTTTTTCTAATTTGTGAAGAAAGTCAGTGGTGGCTTGATGGGACTGGCATTGAATCTATAAAGTCAGTATGGGCAATATGGCCAATTTCACAACATTGATTCTTCCTATCCATGAGCATGGAATGTTTTTCCATTTGTTTGTGTCCTCTCTTATTTCCTTGAGCAGTGGTTTATAGTTCTCCTTGAAGAGGTCCTTCATATCCCTTGTAAGTTGTATTCCTAGATATTTTATTCTCTTTGTAGCAACTGTGAATGGGAGTTCACTCATGATTTGGCTCTCTGTTTGTCTATCATTGGTGTATAGGAATGCTTGTGATTTTTGCACATTGACATTGTATCCTGAGACTTTGCTTAATTTGCTTATCAGCTTAAGGGGATTTTGGGCTGAGATGATGGGGTTTTCTAAATATACAATCATGTCATCTGCAAACAGAGACAATTTTACTTCCTCTCTTTCTATTTGAATACCATTTATTTCTTTCTCTTGCCTGATTGCCCTGGCCAGAACTTCCAATACTATGTTGAACAGGAGTTGTGAGAGAGGGCATCCTTGTCTTGTGATGGTTTTCAAAGGAAATGCTTCTAGCTTTTGCTCATTCAGTATGATATTGGCTTTGAGTTTGTCAGAAATAGCTCTTATTGTTTTGAGATATGTTTCATCGATACCTAGTTTATTGAGAGTTTTTAGTATGAATGGGTGTTGAATTTTATCGAAGGCCTTTTCTGGATCTGTTGAGACAATCATGTGGTTATTATCATTGACTCTGTTTATGTGATGGATTACGTTTATTGATTTGCATATGTTGAACCAGCCTTGCATCCCAGAGATGAAGCCAACTTGATCATGGTGGATAAGCTTTTTGATGTGCTGCTGGATTCTGTTTGCCAGTATTTTATTGAGTATTTTTGCTTCGATGTTTATCAGTGATATTGACCTGAAATTTTCTCTTTTTGCTATGTCTCTGCCAGGTTTTGGTATCAGGATGATGGTGGCCTCATAAAATTCGTTAAGGAGGAGTCTCTCTTTTTCTATTGTTTGGAATAGCTTCAGAAGGAAGCTTCTCTTTTACCTCTCATAGAATTCGGCTGTGAATCCGTCTGGTCCTGGGCTTTTTTTTTTTTTTTGGTTGGTAGGCTATTAATTACTGCCTCAACTTCAGAACTTGTTATTGGTGTATTCAGGGATGTGATTTCTTCCTGGTTTAGTCTTGGGAGGGTATGTGTGTCCAGGAATTTACCCATTTCTTCTAGATTTTCTAGTTTATTTGCATAGAGGTGTTTATAGTATTCTCTGATGGTAGTTTGTATTTCAGTGGGATCAGTGGTGATATCCCCTATATCATTTTTTACTGTGTCTATTTGATTCTCCTCTCTTTTCTTCTTCATTAGTCTGGCTAGAGGTCTATTTTCATTAATCTTTTCAAAAATCCAGCTCCTGGATTCATTGATTTTTTGAAGGGTTTTCTGTGTCTCTATTTCCTTCAGTTCTGCTGTGATCTTAGTTATTTCTTGTCTTCTGCTAGCTTTTGAATTTGTTTGTGTTTGAGCAGTTTTTTGGTGGAACAATAAAATTGATTTTGTTGTAAACTGTGAAAATATGGATAAATCATGTTTGAAACTCATTGAGACTGAGACTCTAACTTAATAAAGACTAGTGTTTTATTTAGTACAATGGTCTCCAACCTTTTTGGCACAAGGGACCAGCTTTGCAGAAGACAATTTTTCCATGGATGGCATAGGGGGTTTCATGATGAAACTCTTCCACCTCAGATCATCAGGCATTAGATTCTCATAAGGAGCAAGCAACCTAGATGTCTCGCATGTGCAGTACACAATAGGGTTCATGCTCCCATGAGAATCTAATGCCACTCATCTGCCAAGAGGCAGCGCTCAGGTGGTAATTCTTGTTCACCCACTACTTACCTCCTGGTGTGCATCCTGGTTCCTAACAGGCCACAGACTGGTACTGGTCTGCAGTCTAGGGGATGGGAAGCCCTGGTTTAGTAGAACTGCAGTAATATATGCATTAACTGTGATCTGAGTGATAGCTTAATCTCCCAAATTATAACTACTTAGCATATTTTATCTGAATATTATTCTTAGCTTATAAGTCAAATGTAAGTCAATTACATCCCTGTACTATACAGTATAATGTAGATAACAAAAGTAACCAGATAAAAGACACTTCCTAGCCCCAATCCCACAATTTCCTTGAGTCAAAGTGTTGGGAGATAGCCTATTATGGGACACACTCTCAGTTACTTACACCATTTACCTATTCAAAAATAAAATAATTGTCTCAATTTTATGCAAATGAATGCTTATGCCTTAAATTAAGATGTGTATAGCACTGTTGTCTGGTTCCTTAAAGTTTCCTCTGCTTAGATTCCTTGTTTTAGAGTCTATGCGCCTCTGTGACAAATACGTGGTGACAGCTTGGAGCAGGGCACCTAAACTAATCTCCCATAGTGATGAGGAGATAGGGTTGCTGTGTTTCTCAATATTCATATTTCAGAAGAGATGGGTTCCAAGACCTTGAGCAAAACATTTCTGGCTTTTGAAGCTGGCAAAAAGCTTACCTAGCCTTTGCAAAGATTGACATACACATCAAAGGAGGGGAGGAAGGATTCATAGATATTAGGTTTCTTGCGGAAATGCTTTAAAAAAGAGAGGAGGAGATGAAGTCTCTTTCCCTTTTGGCAACAGGGAAAATTCTAAATGTTTTTACTTACCTTCATAATACCCAGGAACAAGGTGGACAGGGGGCTAATGCTGTAGAGAAGAGAGGAGGCGGAAGACAGCACCAGGAATAAGTCAAGTCTCAGAATCATCATGATATTACAGAATCCCTTTCTTACACACCTGGGTGATATCGTGAAGAGTGAGGGAGAAGAAAATCTGAAGGTCTGAACATTTATCCTGTTGTTACAGGAGTTTCCTTAAAACTGCTTAAAAGATTAGATAGAACAGAATTTATCAGATTGGGTTAAATTATTTTTTCTCCTGATATCCAATGGAGTAGGGGCCCATGAAAAAAAAAACAGATAGGTTTTGAGAGATGTAGAAATTACATTTTTTTTGCCAATTTGTGTCTAATGCATAGATTGTGCTCCTGTAGGATACCTTTCTATAATTCACTGATACCATTGTTTTTAATTTGCATCATTGGCCATAGCTTGGCTCGTTTGTGTGAAAACAAAACCAAATCAAATCAAACCAAAGCACACAAAACCTTTTTAAGCATGGGAGGAGTATCTGATATATACATGACCAAAATATGAGGTAAATATATATATTTAGAAGCGAATATCAAGTCTGGAGAATTGTAGTATACATAGTATAAACTATATGTTTATATATATCTTAATATAAAAAATTATTAAGGCTTTGTTTGTTATTTTTTTTTTTTTTGACAGAGTCTTGCTCTGTTGCCTGGGCTGGAGTGCAGTGGCATGATCTTGGCTGACTGCAACCTCTGCCTCCTGGGCTCAAGCAATTCTCCTGCCTCAGCCTCTTGAGTAGCTGGGATTACAGACACATGCCACCACACTTGGCTAATTTTTGTATTTTTAGTAGAGACGGGGTTTTGCCATGTTGGCCAGGCTGGTCTTGAACTCCCGACCTCAGGTGATCTGCCCGCCTTGGCAGCCCAAAGTGCCATTGCACCCAGGTGCCATTTTCCATTTTCCAGGGCTATCCTACCTCCACTAAAAACAAACAAATAATTACATTATCATACATATCCTACTATTTCAGAGAGGGGGAACAAATATTGCATATAAATATTTGTTCAAAATTTGGCTCAAACGGATCTCAGAATTGGAAACTCTTCTTTGCTATTAACATCAAAGACTCACAGACAAAAGGGTACAATTTGGCTAAATTTAATGGTAGAGAAAAGATTCTTAAACAGAATAGAACTTAAGCAAAAAAGAAAAACATTTTTTCGGAACTGGCTACAAGAAAAGGAGCTCCCTTGGACAATGCTTTTGGTGCAATTATTTTAAGCTTCCCCTTAAACATGATGTGCTCTGGAAATTCATTGTGCCTGCAAATATCTGAGCTGATAGAAATCCACATGAATGGCCTTTTCATCTTCTTGTGTTGAGTCCAAAACATGGGATGCTGGATGTAGCTGAACTTTTCCAGAGGACTGGGTTACTACACCTATTTTCTTTTTAGAAACAGTGAATCCAATTTCTTGAGAAGTCCAGAATAAATTGTACCAAAATGGCTGGAATTTTTATGTTAAAAGTGCAATCATTGAGCTAGAAGCAGTGGCTCATGCCTGTAATCCCAACGCTTTGGGAGGCTGAGGCAGGAGGATTTCTTGAGCCCAGGAGTTTGAGACCAGTCTGGGCAACATAGCAAGATTTCATTCCCTTAAAATATAAAAGTAAACTAAATGTAAAAAGATTAGTAATAGGATTGTATTACAGAGTTTCCCTCAGACTGTGTTAACTCCACAACAATTTAGAGAAAAAGGTCATGCAGAGGCCTGAGGCTGCCTACCTCTTAGGTGAGAGTCCTTGATTTGCCCTGTTTTATTTTGTTCAGAAATAGTAAGCAGATCTAAATTTACATACAAAGCATCTTCCATTCTAGAATTTTGAGAATTCATTTAAAAAATCACATTATTTTAATAAATTTTACACCAAAAAATTTCACTGCCACACTCAATGACCTGGCAAAATCAAGAGACTGCTTTATCAAACTTTGTTTTGGTTCTTGGGAAAATATGATTTTGTTATTTAAAAAAGTTGAACATTGCCTGTCAAGAAATATCTCACAACTTCAAACATTAGAAAAATTCCTTTTGCTTTACTACTTCATTTAGAAAGTATTTGCTGGTAAATGTTCTTAATTTTTATTATACTATATGCTGAAGAGGACATATCTTGTCACTTACTGCCTAAATGCTGGGATAAGCTCACAAACTCACATATTTTTTAAGCAATAAATGTTCAGATAGTCCAGACAAACAGGAGATAGGATTTAAAAATAAATCCTGGACAGTGCAGAGTACTCAGTGGGAAACTCAATATTGACTGATGGCAGATCGTCTGATATGGTTTGGCTGTGTCCCCACCCAAATCTCTTATTGAATTGTAGTTCCCATAATCCCCATATGTCATGTGAAGGACCCAGTGGGAGGTAATTGAATCATGGGGGTGGTTACCTCCATGCTGTTCTTGTGATAGTGAGTTCTCATGAGATCTGATGGTTTTTTAAGGGGTTTTCCACCCTCTATGCATGGCACTTCTCCTTTATGTCATCATGTGAAGAAGGATGTGTCTGCTTCCCTTTCTGCCATGATTATAAGTTTCCAGAGGCCTCCCTAGCCATGCTGAACTAACTGTGAGTCAATTAAACCTCTTTCCTTTATAAATTACCCAGTCTCAGGTATGTCTTTATTAGCAGCATGAGAATGGGCTAATACACCATCCTTTGCTGGAACCTATGTAGTAAAAAAAAACCTTTAAGCAAAATACTTAAAATGTAAAATAAAAGCTAGATGGTAGCTACCTTTGATTATTTTCTCAAAGAACATTTGTAATTTCATTCCAAAGTCTGCTTCTAAGGGACTAGAACTCACTAATGCTATTACTCAAAGCCCAACATTAACTTTGAAAATAAAATAGGCTTTAAAATTTTTAAACCAGGTAAAGAGAGATTCTACACTTAATTTTTAATGAATACCACTCCTGAGAAAAAATTTTTAAATGGAATAAGAAGTGGTGAGAGAGAAGACTGGAAATATGATCTAAGGCATATCACAAAACCACATTTGACACCAAGTTCTGTGGAACAAACTCTATTCTACGTAGAAAAGGCAGCCATCCTCATGCCTGTAATCTCAGCACTTTGGGAGGCCGAGGCGGGCAGATCCCGAGGTCAGGAGATGGAGACCATCCTGGCTAACACGGTGAAACCCCATCTCTACTAAAAATACAAAAAATTAGCTGGGCGTGGTGGTGGGTGCCTGTAGTCCCAGCTACTCAGGAGGCTGAGGCAGGAGAATGGGCTTGAACCCAGGAGGGGGAGCTTGCAGTGAGCCGAGATGGCGCCACTGCACTCCAGCCTGTGCGACGAGTGAGACTCCGTCTCAAAAAAAAAAAAAAAGAAAAGGCAGCCATCAAAGATTTTTTCAATGAGCAAAAGAGGAAAAGGGTGACAACAATGCTTTAGGAATAGCAGTCTGACCTTTAGAGACCCCAAATCCTTGATTCCAGTTCTAGGTTTAACTTAGGCATGGAAAGAAATTGGTCAACTATGAATCTCAAATGCATTCTGCTGTCTCACCTCTGCCAACCCATTAGGGCATCTTCACTGTATTTAAATATGCAGACTTCATGCCCATGTTAATATCCTTGAACTTGACACCCCCCCCCCCTCACTTGGCATATACTACATTTTAAATTGTGTTTGCAAATCCTGCCATTTCTTTAGCCCCGTTTAAGCCTCACCTCCTCCAAGGAATTTTCTCATCCCGTATTTCCCACAGGAACCAGGGATTTCTTTCTTTAGAGAACTCCGATAACTCTTAGCTGGGTCATTCCCATAATGTTGATCACAAACTGCCTTGTAGTGTGGCCTTCTGCATGTGTTATCTCGTTTTTACAGTGTCCTTGAGCCGAAGGACTATGACTTACTTATGTGAATTGAACATAACCCTGACCCCAACATTAAGTTACACACAGTACTTCAGCTTGGTAGATTCTCTTTATTACTCTGTATGTTCATGCTATCTGTAATAACGTGGTTTTAATTTTCTCTAAAGAAGATTATAATTCAATACTAAGGAATGAATGATAACACTATATTTTCAGTTCCTCCCATCAAGAGGTGGAGTCTATTTCTCCATTCTTTGAATCTTGGTTTGGCCATATGACTTGTTTTGGCTAACAGGACATTAGCAAGCATGGCATGAGCAGAGGTCTGACAAATGCTTGTGCACTGGGACTTGTTCTTTACCTTAGTGCTTTTGGAACCCAGTTGTCATGTGAAAAAGCCCAGCTGGACACTGGAGACATGTGGCCCAGTCACTCTGTTACCACAGCCGACCACCAGACATGCAAGACCAACCCCTGGCCAATCCGCCAGCCAGCTGCAATAGCATGAGTGAACCCTGGTGAGACTAGCAGGGGAACTGCTTAGCAACACCCAGGTGAAATTGCTTGACATACAGAATCATCAGCTAATAAATGATTATTTTTAAGCCTCTAAGTTTAGAGATCTTTTATTACATAGCAAAATCAAAGCAGGATATTAAAAAATCTCATTTTCATATATATTTGACAGAAAGCTTACTCTGCTTTAAGGAAGAGCGTACTGGGCCAGAATTAAATTATTATTCCTGGCTGAATCTAAGTAAAAACAAAGAAACAAGCAAACAAACAACAACAGGAAATCTACCACCCTGGCAAACTCATTAAGTCAAATAAACCAGGAGTCCTCAACCCCTGGGCCATAGACCAATACTGGTCCATGGCCTGTTAGGAACCAGGCTGCACAACAGGAGGTCAGAGGCAGGCGAGTGAGCATTACCACCTGAACTCCGCCTCCTGTCAGATCAGCAGTGGCATTAGATTCTCACAGGAGTGTGAACCCTATTGTAAACTGCTCATATGAGGGATCTAGGTTGCATGCTCCTTTTGAGAATCTAATGCTTGATGATCTGAGGTGGAACATTTTCATTCCAAAACCATTCCCTACCCCCCAGTCATGGAAAAATTGTCTTCCATGAAACCAGTTCTTGGTACCAAAAAGATTGGGGACTGCTGAAATAAACTGTTAGATTCCATAACTAAATGACAGGAACAGCCTCTTCCCTCTCTTCCTAGAAGGAAAAATAGAAATAAAAGCAGTCTATAACGTGCAAGAAAAGGATAGAATTTCAGCTTCCCATTCGGCTGATGTGATTCTTTCTTTTCGACTGTAAAATGCTTTAACAACAGAACACATAAACAGAGCTCACAGAGTCTAGGCACTAAGCCAAGAGCCCCTCATAGATGATCTTGTTCAATTCTCCCTGTGATTCTATGAAGAGCACTGCTCTGATGCTCATGTTAGAGATGAAGAAATTGGATTTCAAGTGCTTGAACAACTTGCCCAAGAGAATATTTAACTAATAAAGTTGTGAAACTGTGATTCAAACCCAGGAAGCCTAGATTCTTAACCAAGAGCTTACATTCTTAAAGAAGGTGCTATACTACCTCCCAAGTAAAAAGCTAAAACAAAACACCTTATGAGGACAGCTTTATATTTTAATATCCTACTTCAGATAATAATAAAGGATAGCTTCACTTTCATTTCAACTGTAACTCATAAACCTTGGAGCTAAAGATAAAAGGTGTAATCATTAGGCTACTTTCACATCAAGTACCATAATTTTCCACTTCCCACTATTTAAAATTATTACCCATTGTCTCCATGTGTAAGAGTTTAGTCATAACAGGGAATAATGTTTCTTTACAGTAATGAAGTTCTTGTGAATATCAGAATATGAGAGAAAAGGGTCTCTTCTGTTCCAGAAGAATCATAGTAGAGTCTGAAAGCATGAGATTAAGGGAGTTTAAGAGGTTTATACATCCACACAGTACCCATAAACACAAACCTAAACACTATAGAATCCACTTGTGGTTCAGTTTACTAAGTGAATCAATAAACTCGCATATTTGAAGCGCTCTGCCTATTATAAAGTGCTATACAAGTGTTGATTGTTTTTTCTAAATCAATTCTTCAGAAATGTAGACACTATAGGAAAATAAGATGGAAAGGCCATAATGCTAACAGAGATTGTACTTTATTGTTGATTATATTATGAGGCTCTGCTTTATGGCAAATACTCCTGGGAATATGTTTAGGCACCTTTAGTTCAAATGACTATGTGATGTCAGTCTGACAACCCTATTTGTGGGACAAACTGCATGCTTGAGTCAGTTGCAGAGCTCTGTGTAGTGTTATAAAACAGAGGTTTTTTTTTTTTTCCCAAGATAATTGATTAGAGGTTTTCAGCATGCCTTAGCCACTTGGAAATAGCAAAATCAGTCATAAAGATCAACTCTGTGGGCTTTAATTCAAGAAGGAAAACAGGAATCCACCAGAATAGTGAAGGACATCTCATCCCAGGTGCCAGGGAAGAGAAGGTGGGCAAGCTGCCCCGATGATGGCATTTGTCTGACAAAAGTGAGTGAAGCCCTAGAACAGGACAGGAGGAGGTAGAAAGCCTCCCTCTGTGACTCACCTTTCCACTGGGGATCCATGCAACCAGGCTAAGGGAGAGCACTTTGTTCCTCCAAAGCCTTGGCGCCAACTTGGAGAGAAGCTTGGAGACACTGAAAGGGAAGGACACCAGACAAAGTTGTAGGCATTTTCCCAGGCCTGATTTGGAGACTGTGGCACCATTTTTAATCTGGGTGCATACAACATCAGTCATTATTTAGTAGCCTGGCACCATGGCCATACAGCATTTTAGTCTTGGACTAGAGATTGGAGCACCTGCTCTGGAGCTGAGTAGGAGCCTCCACAGCCAGAACAAGTATGGAAAGCACCCAAGCTGTAGGAACTGGAATTGTGCTCTACCCGATCACAGGTCTGGTGCAGGAGGAGAGTGCTGACAGCCAGTTTCTCCTTGGTGAGAAGATGGACAGCCAGGGCCAGTTTGGGGACCTGGAACTGGTCTACATGTGCCATTGCTGGGTGCCCCAGCCTGCTCCCCTGAGATTGTGATGTAGTAGAGCCCTTTCTACTCCACACCCAGGCTGATCTCCAAGCATTCAGAGCACCCACTCTTCTGGATTAGCATCCTGAGCTGCTCCACCCCTCCTGTGCATAGATTGGGGTGCCATGGGGCCTCTTCTGTTCCATATCCGGGCAGATCTCCAGGCAGTTAGAGCACCCCCTTGATGGGATCTGCAGCTAGAGCCACCCTACCCTTCCTGTACATAGAATGTGGTACAGCAGGGCCCTCTCCACTTTACTTCCAGCAGATCTCCAGGCATTTGGATCTCCCACCCACCTACACCAGCAGCCTGAGTTGCCCAGTCATCCTATGCATAGATTGTGGTGCAGTGGTGCCATCTCTGTCCCATGCCCAGGTTGATCTCTAAGTATTTGGAGCACATCACCTGGGTAAGCAGCCTGAGACACTCCACCCTCCCTATGCAGAGATTGTGGTGGAATGGGGCCCTCTACACTCCACACCCAGGCAGAGCTCCAGGCATCTAGAGCAGTCATTCTCCTGGATTTGGAATTTAGGTGGCTGCATTCCCTGTGCAGAGAACTTGAAGCCAAAGAGTTCCTATTCAGCCCCAAGGCACACCTAGACACATCTGTGGGCACTTGGTGGCTGTGCACTGGACCCCCCTTGGTGCTGGTTCTTGTGCCTGCCATTGGGTGACCTGTAAGCAGGCCTGGTCTAGCCCCAACCATCTTTATCCCTCAGCTATGGTGCTGAGCAGGGTGCTCAGGCCACTGTGAACTCCACAGATCTGCCATTTGCTTCCAGAAACAGAGACCTTCTCCAGTAAACAAGGATTAAACATATACCCATCTATGTTGGCCACATCTGGCTCTTACTCATTAGAACCATGAACTTGTCTGTAGGTTGAACTGCCCAATATAAAACTGGCTGACAGAAGTGCATAGAGATATTGAAATGAAGCCAAAAGGTTTTACCCAACATTCTCTAAAGTCATATCCCCTAGGGACATGGGCAAAGGGGAAGAAAATAATAACACAGGAAAAGAGAGAAAGGAAAAACAAATCCTATCTGCATGAAAATAATGACAAAATTTAGAAGTGTCAGTGGCCTCAGATGAGAAGGAACCAGTGCATGAATTCTAGCACCATGAAAAATCTGAGTGCTGTGACATCATCAAAGGATCACACTAGCTATCCAGCAACAGTCTGTAATCAAAATGAAAACTCAGAAAGGAAGGATGAAGAATTCAAAGCATGGATTACTAGGAAGCCCAGTGAGATCCAGGACAAGGTTGAAAATCAACACAAAGAAACTTCTAAAGCAATCCAGGAAATGAAGGCAGACATAAACATCTTAAAAATAAATCAATCCAAGCTTCTGGAATTGAAAAACTCACTTAAGGAATTTCAAAGTACAATTGAAACCTTTATCAATAGACTAGCCCAAACAGAAAAAAGGATTTAGAGCTAGAAGACTGATCTTTTAAACTAACCCAGTCAGACAAAAATAAAGAAAAAAGAATTTTAAAAATGAATAAGATCTTCAAGAAAATGGATTATGTAAAGCAACCAAACCTATGAATTAATGGCATTTCTATGAGAGGAGAAAAAGTAAACAACCTGGAAAATATATTCGAAGTAATAATCCAATAAAATATTTCCAGTTTTGCCAGAGAGGTAGACATCCTGTACAAGACATCCAGAGAACACCTGCAAGATACTATACAAAACGAACATCACCAAGGAATATAGTCGCCAGACTGTCCAAGGTCAATGCTAAAGAAAAAATTGTAAAGGCAACAGAAAAGATCAGGTCACACACAAAGGGAACCCAATAAGGCTAACAGAAAACTTCTAAGCAGAAATCTTTCAAGCTACAACAGTTTGAGGGCCTATTTTCAACATTCTTAAATAAAAGAAATTCCAAACAAGAATTTTATATTCCACCAAACTAAGCTTCATAAGTGAAGGAGAAATAAAACCTTTTCCAGACATGCAATTGCTAAGGTAATTCACTACCACTAGACCAGCCTAACAAGAGATCCTCAAGAGAGGTCTAAACATGGAAAAGAAAGAACAATACCTACTACCACAAAAACACATTTAAGTACATAGTCCAGAGATGCTATAAAGCAATTATACAATACAAACTACAAAGCAACCAGCTAATGACTCCATGATAGGATCAAAATCTCACATACTAATATTAACTTTGAATGTATATGGTCTAAACACCCCACTTAAAAGGCACAGAGTGGCAAGTTGGATAAAAAAAAAGGAAGAGCCATTCATCTGCTATCTTCAAGAGACCCATCTGACATGTAATGACACCCCTAGTCTCAAAGTAAAGGGGAGAAGAAAAATCTATCACTCAAATGGAAAACAAAAAAGAACAGGAGTCACTATTCTTATATCAGATAAAATAGACTTTACACTTACAGCAGTAAAAAAGGACAAAGAAGGGCATTACACAATGATAAATAATTCAGTACCACAAGAAGACTTAACTGTCCTAGATATATACCCTCCCAACATTGGAGCACACAGATTCATAAAACAAGTACTTCTAGACATACAAAAAGACAGTCACACAATAATAGTGGAGGACTTCAACACCTCCACTGACAGCATTTGACAGGTCATCAAGGCAGAAAACTAACAAAGAAATTCTGATCTTAAATTTGACACTTGACCAATTGGACCTAATAGACATTTACAGACTAATCCACCCATCAGTCACAGAATACACATTCTGCTCATCTGTACATGGAGCATACTCTAAGATTGACCACATGCTCGCCATAAAGCAATAAATAAATTCAAAAATTCAAAACTATATGAACTATACACTCAGACCACAGTGGAATAAAAATAAAAATCAATACCAAGAAGATCTCTCAAAGCCACACAATTACATAAAAATTAAGCAACTTTCTCCTGAATGACTTCTGGTAAACAATGAAATTAAGGCAGAAATCAAAAAAGTTTGAAATAAATGGAAACAGAGACACAACATATCAAAATTTCTAGGATGCAGCAAAAGCAGTGTCAAGAGGAAACTTAGTAGCTCTAAATACCTACATCAAGAAGTTAGAGAGATCTCAAATTAATGATCTAACATTACACCTAGAGGAACTAGAAAAATAAGAGTAAGCTAACCCCAAAGCTAGCAGAGGAAAAGAAATACCTAAAATCAGAGCAGAACTGAATGAAGTTGAGACAAAAAATCCATACACAGAATCAACAAACAAAAAGTTGGCTTTTTGAAAGGAGAAATAATATTGATAGACTGCTAAGTAGATTAACAAAGAAAAAAGAGAGAAGATACAAATAAACACAATCAGAAATGACAAAGGTGACATTACAACTGATACCACAGAAATACAAGAGTCCCAGAGATTATCATGAACACTTCCATGCACACAAACTAGAAAATCTAGACTAAGTGGATAAATTTCTGGACACATACACCCTCCCAAGACTGAACCAAGAAGAAATTGAATCCTTGAACAGACCAACATTGAGTTTTGAAATGGAATCATTCATAAAAATCCTTCCAACCAAGAGAAACCCTGGACCAGATGGATTCACAGCTGAATCCTACCAGATGTACAGAGAAGAGCTGGTACTACTTCTACTGAAACTATTCCAAAAAATCGAGAAGAGACTCCTTCCTAATTCATTCTTTGAAGCCAGCATCTCTCTGATACCAAAACCTGGCAAAGAGACAACAACAAAATAAGAAAACTGCAGGCCAATATTCATGATGAACATAGGCAAAAAGAAAAAAAATCCTCAACAAAATATCAGCAAACCAAATCCAGCAGCACATCAAAGAGTTTATTCACCATGATCAAGTAGACTTTATTCCTGTGATGCAAGGTTGGTTCAGAACACACAAATAAATAAATGTGATTCACCACATAAACATAATTAAAACAAAAACCATCTGATTATCTCAATAGACTCAGAGAAAGCTTGTGATAAAATCGAACATCGCTTCATGATAAAAACCCTCCAGAAAGTAAGCATCAAAGGAACATACCTCAAAATAATAAGAGCCATCTATCACAAACCCACAGTCAACATCATACTAAATGGGCAAATACTAGAATCATTCCCCTTGAGAACTGGAATAAGACAAGTATGCTCATTCTCACCATTACTATTCAATATAGTAATGGAAGTCTTAGCCAGAGCAATTAGCAAGAGAAAGAAATAAAAGTCGAACAAAAAACCAAACACCGCATATTCTCACTCATAGGTGGGAATTGAACAATGAGATCACATGGACACAGGAAGGGGAACATCACACTCTGGGGACTGTTGTGGGTGGGGGGAGGGGGGCAGGGATAGCATTGGAAGATATACCTAATGCTAGATGACGAGTTAGTGGGTGCAGCGCACCAGCATGGCACACGTATACATATGTAACTAACCTGCACAATGTGCACATGTACCCTAAAACTTAAAGTATAAAAAAAAAGGTCATCCAAATAGGAAAAGAAAAATTCAAATTCTCTCTCTTTGCTGATGATACGGCTTTATACTTAGAAAACCCTAAAGACTCCATCAAAAGGCTCCTAGTCTTGATAAACCACTTTAGTAAAGTTTCAGGATACAAAATTTATGTACAAAATTAGTACTATTTCTATATATCAATAGTGTTCAAACTGAGATCCAAATCAAGAACACAATCCTATTTACAATAGCAAAAAAAAAAAAAAAAAGAAAGAAAGAAAGAAAGAAAACCCTATGAATACACCTAACCAAGTAGGTGAAAGTTCTCTAAGGAAGAGCCACAAAACTGCTGAAAGAAATCAGAGATGACACAAAAAAATGGAAAAACATCTCACACTCAAGGATAGGAAAAAAAATCAATATTATAAAATAGCCACACTGCCCAAAGAAGTCTACAGATTCAATGCTATTCCTATCAAACTATCAATCTCATATTTCACAGAACTCAAAGTGTTCTAAAATTCACATGAGACCAAAAAAGAGCTCTAATAGCCAAAGCAATCCTAAACAAAAAGATCAAAGCTGGAGGCATCACATTACTCAATTTCAAACTACACTATAAGAAGACAGTAACCAAAAAAGCATGGTATGGGTACAAAAATAGACACATAGACCAATGGAACAGAATAGAGAACTCAGAAATAAACCTAAACACCTACAGCCATCCAATCTTTGACAAAGTTGGAAAAAATAAGCAATGGGGAAAGGAGTCCCTATTCAATAAATGGTGCTGGGATAGCATCAGAATGCAAGGTCTGAAAAATACCTCAAACATCAATCTTAGGTTTCACAATTGCAATGTTATCTAAAAGAGAAATTGGGGAGGTTACAAATCTTTTGACCTCTGGCTACATGACTCTTGAACCATAATTCTAATCTTGTGGACAGTTTATTAGTTTTACAAAGGTGGTTTTTATACCCAAGAAAAGAGAGGGTTAGTTTTGGGAAGGGACTAATATCTTTGTTTTTGAAGTTAAACTATAAACTAAATTCCTTCCATAGTTAACTTAGCCTGTGCCCAGGAATGAGCAAAGACCATTAGCTTGTGAGGTTAGAAGCAAGGTGGAGTCAGTTACGTCAGATTTGTCTCACCGTCATAATTTTTCAAAGGTGGTTTCATTCCTGCTATTGTCACCTCTTTGTGTGTGTGTGTGTTTTGTTGTTGTTGTTTTGCCTATATGCCTCTCCTTGCTTCCATTTTTCACTTTGATACTTGTATGTGCCAGATTTGAGACCCTGGGTTGCCCTGAGAGGGAGAAAAGGCATTTTTACTACCACATCCTGCCATCTCTGTGACTGGACATATAAGTTCAATAGACAGTAAGAGATGCTGAGGTGGCTGTGAAACCTGTGAGTTTAAAATGGATTAGGATGAATAACCATAGCACCATTTGTTAGGGTTCAAAGTATCAGGGCCCAGGGAAATTCTCTGGCGTGGAAAGAAGGAGGACAGCAGGCCCACCAACCCAGAGGGTCAGTGGGCACTTCTTAATGCTTGTAAAGCTTGCTGGTGGGTGCCCTGTCCCCTACCCCTCAGGTACTCCCCATCAAGGAGCAGAAGCTCAGAAATATGCGCAGCCTGTTCCCTGGAGATAAATGACCCTAGGGATGATTCACACCTTATTTGCCTCCTTCTGCTCATTTTCATATTACCTGTCAGTTCAGATTCATATGCTGTTTGCTGCTTAAAGCCTTATTTCCTAAAATAATGAGAACAGAACGATTTTCTATTCTTTTCCAGTGTTATGGCTATATTATGGGCTTATTTTATTTTGTACCTGTGGGTAGAGTTCAATTATATCCCTGTCTTTTTCAGATATATAAAAAATAGGGCTTTCTTTATGATTCAAGATAGCTTTCTGTAATGACAAAAGTAGGGAAACAAATCAAAGGGATGAGAAAAATATTCATAGAGAAATGATGTTCTGGACAGGAGGGTCCCCATTTTATGAACATCAGAGTAGATGGATTTCACCTAGGTCTAGAGGGGAAACAAATGGGCTGATGGCTTGTGCACTCTCTCTTTTTTTTAGGAAAACATTTGCTGAGCTCTTAAAGTACACAATGTTTCTGAAGATAACCGTGAAATATTTGGGGTACGAATACAAGCACAGAAAAAAACAAAAAAGCAATTATTTTTTATTCTGTGAAGTCTCTTGGGATACAAAAAATATATGCTTTTTCCTCAAGATGACTTCTCAAGATAAATCCATTTGAATTACAACATGAGAGAGAAAGAGAATTATTCCAGTGAATTAAGGCTAAGGAGAAAATTAGGCATCAAAAACTTTTCTGTCATTCTGTCCTCTAAAATAGAATGCTAGATAACAAATATCTTAAAGAATGCATTAAACACAATGTAGAGAACTTGAATAACGAAATTGGGAAAAAACAGTGAAGCCCGATATAATCCAATGTCTGGTTATCAGTAGAATGAGAATTGTAGAACTGACTTCGCAGAGTTTTAAATGTTTAACATCATAATGAACCAAGGATACAGTAAACTGTGCCCTAAAGTCTAGGGAGGAGATAGGATACATTTTCTCCAGTTATTACTATTACAGGTGTAATACAGTAGACCATTCACCTTGTAAAAATTAAAATGTTACAGGAAAGACTAAATTCTTTTCTGCCTACTTCCTCAAATCCTAGTGCCCTCTGCACAGGAAAAATTTGTGTGCATTCTTGAATATGTTTTCTCATGCAGTTACAAACATTTAGTACATGTAGAAAATATATACTATTTTGGGGAAATACGTATTTTTAACAAACACAATGATTACATTCTATATGTGTAGTTTTGCAACTGCTTTTTTCCATCAGCAGTCTGTGTTCAAGATCTTCCATGTCAGTATGTGTAAGTGTATCTTATATAGTACATATCTCATATTACCCACTTAAACATCAGCTATTGTAAAGATGTACTTATTTGGCTGTTTCTCTATTGGTGGACATTTAGCGTGTTGCCAATCTCACTCTTACATACCTTGAACATAAAAAACAGAATTACCAGAACATAAGATATGCCCCATATAGAATCCTGTTAGCTGGCTATGAGAATACACATTTACCTATACTCTCTGCTAGAGCTGATATCATCAAACAATTTTTTTTGCCAACCTGAAGGATATAACAAGGTAGGTGATTGTTTAATTTTCATTTTCTTGATTTCTAATGGAATTGAGCATTGTTTTCTATATGTTTAATGCCCTATTTGTGTTCCCCTTCTGTCAATTGCCCACTTGGTTTTTATTTTGGTCCATTTTTACATTAGATTATTTGTACTTCCTTCCATTTTTAGAGACTTTTCCTTTGTCTATCCAGAAACCAATATTTTATCTATTGTATGTTGATATATCTTCTCTTAGTCTTCCATTAAAAAAAAACTTTCTGTATATTATTTGTCATATAAAAGTTTTATTTTAAAGTAGTCAATTTACCAGTTCTTTCTCTTATGACTTAAAAAAAATCCGAAGAAGGATCTATCTACTCAATGTCATGCATGTATTTTCATTTATTTGTTTTGAACACTTTTATACACTTTTTTTCCTTTTCTTTTCTTTTTTTTTTTCTTTTTTTGAGATGGAGTCTAGCTCTGTCGCCCAGGCTGGGCGATCTCAGCTCACTGCAAGCTCTGCCTCCTGGGTTCACGTCATTCTCCTGCCTCAGCCTCCCAAGTAGCTGGGACTACAGGTGCCCGCCACCACGACTGGCTAATTTGTTTTTGTATTTTTAGTAGAGACGGGGTTTCACCGTGTTAGCCAGGATAGTCTCGATCTCCTGACCTCGTGATCTGCCCACCTTAGCCTTCCAAAGTGCTGGGATTACAGGCGTGAGCCACCGTGCGTGGCCGAATATTTTCATAAAATTTTTAATCTCACCCTTAGGATTTTAATCTAGTTGGAATTTACTTTGTAATTAGCATGAAAAAGATATATTTTATTTCTTTTTACCAATGGATTCCCAGTTGATATAACACCACTTATTACATAATTGTCTACCCAGATTTGAAATGCCATCTTTAGCATATACTAAATTTCCATATACAGTATATGTGTACTTTCTGCTCTATTGCAAAGATCCACTTGTCTATTCTTACTTCATTACTATATTGCTTGTTATAATAAAGTTTGGTATTAGAAATTAAAGAACTAGAATTTATTCTTTATTTCCAAAATTACCTTGATTACTGCTCTGCATTTACTCTTACATATGAATTTTAGCATGATCCTGCCAAGTTATATAAAAAATAAGTTGGGGATTTTTATTAGAATTGCATTGAATTTACAGATAAATTTGTGGACAATTGAATGTTTATAAATATTGAATCTTGTCACTCATAATCTGATATACTTTTCAGTGAAAATTTACAGTGTCTTGCACATTTTGGTAAATTCATTTGAAGTACTTTATAGTTTTGTTGTTGTTGCAAATGGCGTTTTAAAAATTACTTTTTCTTGAGGTACGTAGGATAGGATAGTACCTTTTAAATCTTTTTTCATAATAGAACTTACTCTTTTCAATGCTGAGAAAATGTCTTTAAAGCTTTAGAAGGGTGGACAGAAATGCATACAAGCATTTGTATGCATTTTTTTCATTAAGATGTCAGGTCTATTCTCCCCAGTGTTTGAGTAGCCCTGAAGTTGCCTATTGCTCAAATTGTTTTAAATGCAGCTTCTGCTGCTCCTCTGATCTCTCATATGAAGGTGTTCTGACATTTAAATCAAATAAGGCCAAATAGATATTAATTTTAAATGCACTAACCTTAAATGTAGATATATTTTAAAAATAAACCAGTAAATATGTATTGAAAACCTTTTATGCAAAACACAGTTACCGTTAAATATATAAAAGTGAATGTTTCCCCTGTGCTCAGGTGCTTACAACAGAGTTAGCAGTGGATGTGTTTTGAAGTTCAGTGACCACAAATTCAGTAAGATAATAATAATAGCTAACGCTCAAAGAATGAGCATTATATGCCAGAAATACATATTACTTTAATCTTTATGAAATGCCCATGCAAGGGGCATTATTATTCCCCTCATTTTAGAGATGAGTCCTCTTTGTATAGGAGTATATAATAAAGAATTTGGGTGGCTCTTCCTGTGTGACCTGAGCCCCTGTCCTGGTCCCCATTGTCTCCTGGAGTCACAGCCTCTCAGCCATTGGTGCCATATTGTCTGCCCTGTTTGTTGGAGCGGGTCTTGCCAGAATGCTTTTTGTCTGGCTGCTGCAGGGCAGCCTGGGGACATGGAGAAGGACAGGGGCATAAGGAAGGACTGGAACATAAAACAAGAGAAGGATGCTTCTCTTGGGGAGGGTGCGGTTCTGGGAGACAATCAGGGAGTCAGTGGTGAACTTAGCCCTGGACCTTCCAGGCAGGAGCTGTTCACCAAACCAGAGCATCTTCAAGAAAACAGTGGACATTTGATTTCTAAAACCAAAGACCCACAGGAACCAGGATGGAAACGTCTGTGACAATTCAAGAGAACATGTTCCTGCTGGACAGATTTCAGACACAGAAGCTCTAGTTACATTTGAGACTGGTAACTTGAGTTATTCTGAAGCTTCAAGAAATGAAAGACTTGAATCTCCTATAGGAGAATGGGGATTCTGAAAAAGGAC
The DNA here is from genome assembly GCF_000001405.40 of Homo sapiens. Lineage (NCBI taxonomy): Eukaryota > Metazoa > Chordata > Mammalia > Primates > Hominidae > Homo > Homo sapiens. The sequence continues at coordinate 47,485,150 of NC_000012.12, forward strand.
AAGAGATATCTGCTAAAGCAGCTACGTGTTTTGCAGAGAAGTTGCCTTCTAGCAACTTGCTCATAGACAGAGCCAAAGAAGAAGTGAGTCTAGCACAATTGGACTTGGCTGACTATGAGAACTGGAAAATGTTGTCTAGGCACTCTTCCTGGGGAGATGCTGGTTTGGGTGGCAGTCTTGAGGCTCCAGGTTTAAACCTAAAGCAGGAAATGGATAATGGCAGAAGTACTCTTGTGGAAGAAAGAGTGCATGGGAAACAAAGAGGGTAGTAGCAATATCTTCAGAGTCTCAGCAAGTTGGTGTCAAGTTCCAGATCCATTATATCACAAGCATGATATGCAATTCATCGCAGTAACTGGAAACCATGAGAGTCTTGGGAGATGGAACACTTACATCACACCCTACTATTGCAAGGGTGCATTCTAGTCTCATACTGTTTTCCTGCCAGCAGGTGCAGTGGCGGAGTGGAAGTTCATGTTGGTAGAGAATGGGAAAGCTATCTGCTGGGAAAAATGCTGCAATAGATTCCTAGAGAATGGCCATGAGGATAAAGTGGTTCATGCATGGTGGGGATTCACTCATTGAGTTTGCAAAGTATTGCAGAGGCTGTAGAAGAATGTGGGAGATGCTGAGGTTGTGGAGTGCATTGAATAGTTTTAAATAAGATAAAGGCAGTGCGACTCCAAATTTAGCCATCTGAGTTGTTTCAAATTTGCCAATGGCATTTGTCTAATGTGCAGAAAAAATATATTAATATACACACACATGTGCAAATAATGCTTCCAGTGAGCATGGACTTTTTGTCCCCCTCTGGTATCACTGAGTGATGAATTTGTATGGATCCATTATTACTTTAGGGCTTGATCCTCCTGGGGAGTGACTTGGCTAAGCTTCAGGTAAGGACTGTGGTCATGGAGCAAAGAAACTAACCAGCTGCACAGGGTTCACGCTTAAGCCTTTAGGTGATCCTTAGACCAAAGTAGCAAAATAAGGCTCACTCAAACGTAGCTGATCGCCTACTGATACACCTTGGGAAACACTCTTTATTACATGCACATTTTATATTAAAAAATAGTTAACACCATATGGAACTGTGATCAGAAAATAATGTGGTCTAGACGTGATTAATAAGGATATGAAGTGATACTCCAAGACTTCCCAACATTTTTTGTTTGATTTTACATGCCAGGCATGGGTTTGAAGGTAGCAAGTATGTCTTTGTCTTAATGATCTAAGGCTGATAGAGAAACCAGGGGCCTAATCAGAATCAGTCATGATGGAAGTCAGGCACAGAAGCAGCCCAGGAGGAAAGGGAACATGAATGGGATTAGGGACTGGGCTGAGCGAGGTGGCCTGAATGACACCTTTTAGAGGACTGGGAAGTATAGGTACAGCCTGACTGCAGAGAGGGACACACCCATCATTTACCCACGGGAACCTCTGTGGGACCATCTCTCTCCCACCCCCACTCCCCTGTCCCAGTAGATTTGGATGGATGGACTGTCATGTAGCAATCATTTCCATCCATTGCCCTCTGCCCTCTCCTTTCATACAAGTAGCTATCTTGGGTAACAAATTTATACAGGATTGGCCGGTCCCAGTGGCTCACACCTGTAATCCCAGCACTTTAGGAGGCTGAGGTGGGTGGATCACGAGGTCAGGAGATCGAGACCATCCTGGCCAACGAGGTGAAATCTCGTCCCTACTAAAAATACAAAAATTAGCTGGACATGGTGGTGCATGCCTGTAATCCCAGGTACTTGGGAGGCTGAGGCAGGAAAATCCCTTGAACCTGGGAGGCAGAGATTGCAGTGAGCTGAGATCATGCTACTAAACTCCAGCCTGGAGAAAGAGCTAGACTCCATCTCAAACAAACAAACAAACAAAAAACAAATTTATACAGGATAGTAATACAGAAGTACATCTTTGCTCTGAGAAGAAATACAGCATACATTTAAACTCTAAGTTTTTATAACTGAACAAATAAAAGCTGAGTTTTAATATCTTTTAAAAAACAAAACCAAACAACTGCAACAACAAATAATTTGGCTAGCATTTGTCCCCCATTCCTGGGAAGGGGCCTCTAAACTCTGGACATTTCCTTGAGTGGTAGGATTATCTACGTTATGCATGGTGGGCCCCTCTGATCACACCTGATAGTTTATGCTAATGTGGTAACTCAGCATGGGGGCTGGACACACTGGAAAGACCAATCCTGATTAGAGGTTTGGGGCTTTGAGCCCAACCTCCAGGGAAGGGAGAGGAATTGAAGATTGAGTTTAATCACATTGCCAATGAATCAATCAATCATGCCTATGTAATGAAGCCCCAATAAAAACTCTGCATGCTAAAGTTTGGGTGAGTTTCACTGTTTGGCAAAACTCTTTGAGTATTATCACACATGGTATCCTGGAGGAGGTAATACTGTGTGGGACTTTGCAGAGAGAAGATGATTGCGACCCTCCCAGAGCTCCCACTCTGTGTCTCTCCCTTGGCTGGTTGTGACTTGTATCCTTCTGCCATAACAAAATTGTAATTGTAAGTATAGTTCTTTCCTGAGTTCTATGAGTCATTCTAGGGAATTATTGAATGTGAGGGGCTTCTTGAGGACCTCTAGATTTGTAGCCAGCTGATCAGAAGTGAGGGTGGCCCTGGGGACCCCAAACTTGCAGCTGGTGTCTGAAAATGAGAGAAGTCTTATAGAGGACTGTGCCCTTAACCTGTGAGGTCTGGCTTAACTCTGGGTAGTTGGTGTTCACAAGTAACACTGGGAAGTTTGCTGCTTACAAACACTTGCTGGAGGTGCCTTGTGCAAGGCAAATGACCACCCTCGAATTTGTCTGTTACACCGGAAATGTGTCAAAGAAAACTTCAGAAAATGCACAATTTCAACGTTTGTATGTTTCATATTTAGATGGGGGGAGGGGAAATTCCCCTCGCTAACTATTTTCCATTCTCTGTGGTGGGTGTAACCATGCTGTGGCTTTCCTGTTTGTATATAAGCAGGAGTCAGTAAGGGGAGAAGCTCACTTTATATTGTCAGTGCATCCCAGCCCCAAAGCTAGATTTGACACACCAGAAATGTGTTAAAGAAAACTTGGCATCCAGGCTACTGGAGAGCTGTATACAGACTCCTTAAGAAAGAAAACTCCCAGGCGAGAATTCTGTGAACCTCTCGAAACTTATCCATCTTGAGCCTTAATTAATAGGCGCTAAACACAGAATGTGTAAAATGCAATTAAGATGCAGATGTGAGTCAATTTTATAGCCACTGGCTCAGAAATATGTGCTTTTTCATTTGAGAACTAAAAGACTTTATTTTATGCCATACAGCCAGAATGATACACATTAAACTTGCTTTCAGTTGATGGTTCCGTTGAAGTGTCCTGTGTTCAGTTTGCATTGACTAAGCCCCTATCTACATACATACCCCAGCATGCAGAGCAGCCTCACCTCCAAAACAAAACCACTGATATGGTTTGGTTGCATCCCCACCAAAAGTCTCATCTTGAACTGTAATCTGAATTATAATCCTCACTTGTTGGGGGAGGGACCTCGTGGGAGGTGATTGGATCATAGGGGCGGTTCTCCCATGCTGTTCTCACGATAGTGAGTGAGTTCTCATGAGATCTGATGGCTTTCCCCTCCTTGGCTCTGCACTTCTCTCTCCTGCCACCATGTGAAGAAGGACATCTTTGCTTTCCCTTCCACCTTGATTGTAAGTTTCCTGAGGCCTCCCCAGCCATGCAGAACTGTGAGTCAATTAAACCTCTTTCCTTTATAAATTACCAGTCTTGGGTATTTCTTCATAGCAGCGTGAGAACAGACTAATACAACCACCCTCCCAGGGATTTTTGTGGGTTCCAAATATTATTAATCACACTGCCAGTGAATTAATCAATCATGCCTATGTAGTGAAGCCCCAGTGAAAACTCTGTATGCTAAAGTTTGGGTGAGCTTCTCTGGTTGGCAAAACTCTGAGTAATATCACATATTGTATTCTGTAGGAGGTAATGCTGTCCAGGACTCTACAGAGAGAGGATGACTGCAGCCCTCAGAACTCCCAAACCAAATACTGATATAAAATATTGGACAGAGTTCCAGAAAGTCTATTCATAAAAGAATTCCAAAAAGTGTTTCTTTTTTAGCCAGTGAAAGTTTCTTGAAAATGTTATGAGTTTGGGTGTTTGAGTTCCTGGGCTGGGTTGGGACTCTTGTGCATTTCACTGGGGACTGAAACACCATGGACACCTCTTCTGAGTGAAGCCTCTGTGAGTCTGTCTCATTCTTGATGGCTGAGACAGCAGAGGTGATTTCTTTAGAAGCCACAGGAGCTGCAGCTGATTCTGTGCTTCATTCTTTGCGGAGGCTGGTTTTATAGAACATTTTTGAGCTGTGACCATCAAGCGTATAGGGAAGAAGCAACGAATTAAAACAAATCTCCATATGTGACATCTATCTTAGTTTCCCAGGACTGTTCTAATAAATTACCACAAATTTTGTGGCTTAAAACAACAGAAATGTATTCTCTCACAATTCTGGAGAAGAGAGAAACCAAGGTGTCAGCAGTGCCACATCCTCTCCAAAGGCTCTAGGCGAGAATTCTTCTTTGATTCTTCCAGCTTTTGGAGGCTCCAGGAGTTCCTTGTCTTGTGGCTGCGTCACTCCAAATTCTGCCTCTGTCTTCATATCTGTGCCTCCTTTTCTGTGTCTCTGTGTGTCAAATATCTCTCCCCTTTTTCTTAACAAGACACCAGTCATTCAATTTAGAGTCTACCCTAAATCTAAGATAATTTCATCTGGAGTTCCTTAACTAATTACATTTGCAAAGACCCTATTTCCAAATAAGGTCACATTCTGAAGTTCCAGGTGGATGTGCATTTTAGAAGGACACTATTCAACCCACTACAGCATCCACAGATGCAGATTTGAGTGACACATTTGTTTCATCTCATTTCCCACGTTTTTAAACCAAGGCTGATAACGACACCTACTCTAACCACCTCACAACGTTGTTAAGATTAAATGAGATAATTGGTGTGAAAATCCTTTGTAAACTATTATAGGAGTAACAGGATGGATATAAAACAAAAGATCTTAACAGCTGGCCATAGGATTTACTATTTTTGTTGAAGAAAATAACCTAATGAGACTGCTTGCTGTGGCAGGGAGAGGCTGAGGCTCCCAGGTGGGCAAGAACTGAAGTAACAAATATGCATGCCTGATCTGCCTTGTATATGGCAAAGAGAGGAAGATTTTATTTTGTTTTTCATTTCCCCAAAGAGGGGGTGTGACCTGGCAGAAGTTAGGACACTTTCTGGAGCTAAAGGCGGTAGCACCTAAAAGCAGGGAGGCTGCAATTATTCTTAAAAACAGAAATTGCTGATTTGTGTCTTATGTTGTTTGCTCCGTGGTGTGTAATGTGGCCCTCTTCCTATGATGATTAAGTCCTCAGAAATGTCAACTGCACTCAGGTCTGTTTAGAGCAGGTAGAATTTTTTTGGACAAGTTTTGGAAATCATGTCAGGGGATCAGTTTCAGGTTTCGGCAAACATGACTTGGGAAAGAAAATGCACACATATAAGCTGGCACCAAGAGATAAAGAAGACCATGAGAATGTCATCCTTTCCCTCACCACTTGAGAATTAGCAGAAACTTGGGGGAGGGCTTTGGTTTCAACCAAGGCGTGGAATTAGGACGGAGCTATCCTACATTTCCCAGGGCAGAATGGCCCCAGGTAACATCGGGTTACTTAGCACTAGACGTAGGTATTGAGAAAGAAACTAATGTGGTTTGGAGAGGGACACAAAACATTTACAAGTGGCAGTGGAAGGTCCCTCCCCAAGATTGTAGCCTTGTTTAAGGTACTGGGCTCATAGCTCTTAAAGGTATATTCTAGAGAAGCTCAAGTTCTAGACGAGATGGACTCGTGACCAGGCAGTATCCCACGTAATGATGAGCGCATGGAGAGTGGTAAGTAGGTGCAGCTAAGGAGCAGGTGGGACTTGGCTCACACACTAATCCAAGGTTGGATTTTGGGTAGAGAGGTGTCATTACAGCTTTCTGGAGCTTGAGACTTCCAAATTGTCTTAATTCAGAGTTGGGTGGGGAAAAAACAAAGTGCAGAAGATACTTCCAATATCCCTTGCCTGACTTGCCTATCCGTTAACACTTTCCTTTTAAGTAAGAATATCAAGAGCTCAGGAAGAGATGTTTTGGAGATGGCAGGGTCTAGTTGTGCCCCTTAAATCATACTTCACTGGGAGTACCACCTCCCTGTATAGCTAATAATCAACTGTATTCAAATTCATTGATTGCCACTTCACAGAAGCTAACATAAAAGATGGCAAGAAATTCCAGTGATGGTTATAATAAAGCAAAAATAGTTATAAGGAAAAATAAAAGCAATGGAAATATATTAATATTTGAGCAGTTAAAATTTTGTTAGGAAGCTAAAGAAGTTGTGTAAGAAATAAATTACTGAACACTAATCACTTGCTTAGTCATGAAGGAAATAGCTACTGATGTTTTGAAAGCTTTGTAGTACCAATTGAACAGCCCTTCTTTCCAAAAGTGGCTCATTACTTATCCAGCTTTGATTGCACCAGCTGAATCATTAGTTGTTAGGGTGGATCCTCTTGTCATTTGCTCTGGAGAATGAGGCTTCTATTCCCCAAACTGTGCATATATATACATATACATATACATATACATATACATATACATATATGTACATCTGTATGAATAAAAGCTGGTAGCTTATAAATACAGACATAAAAGTATGTCATATATGTATATACAGTCAATCCTCATCATTTACAGATTCCATATTTGTTAATTTGCTTACTCATTAAAATATATGTGTAATCCCAAAATCAGTACTGTTGGTGCTTCTCCAGTCATTTGTGGATGTATGCAGAGTGGTGAAAAATTTGAGTCGCCCAGACATGTGCATTCCCAGCTGAGCTCCAACAGAGAACTGTTCTGCCTTCTTGTTCAACTCTCTCATACAGAGATGGCCAGAAGCTGGAGCCAGTGCAGGGTGGTGCAGGACAGTGCAAGAAGCTCTGGTTCTGGGGCCAACTGGATCAGGCTTGAATCTCAACTCTGGCACCTGATGGTGGGGCGTCCTCAGGCAAGTCATTGAACACTTCTGACCATAAGTTTCCTTTCTGTAAAATAAAGTAAAAAGAATCTACCAGGATGAATTGTTCTCAAGAATTAATACTATAATCTGTGTAATATACACACATACAAATAAAATATATATTATAGATACGTAGTTTCCCTGCATGAAGTGGTTCAGTTTTCACTAATTTTGTGCCTACAGCAACTTCATAAAGTATAACTACCATAAACAACATACTATATACATATATATGTATGTATACATACACGCACATACGCAGTTACATGGAGAGAGGAACACATACTTGCGGTTTGTCCGTCTTTGCTATTATTCTCAAATCAATACAGGTATAATCAACAGACTATTGTTAATGGCTCTTTTTTCTTCCATTTTTAGTAGTGAAGAAATGATCTCTCAGAAGAACTTTCCTCCTTATGAAAAGGAAGTAAATTGCTCACTTTTTATAGACGCATTCAGTCTCTTGGGGAATACCTACGTGAGCCCATTCAGTAAACTACCTCTTTCAATACACTGAATAGTATCCCATTAGTCTGACCATGTTAATGCAACTTCAAAAGGAAAATAATTCACTCTTTTATCATAAGTATGATGAGAACTATAACGCACATATTCTCCGACTCTTTTTCTATTCATTGGCTAGGACTGCTAAATGAGGCTTACATTATTACTGTAAAAGGATGGCTGCCCATGACAAGTCAAAAATAATGTCACTAAATTCACAATAGCATGGAAATTTTGAGAATTTTTTTCAAAAGTTATAGTAGGTTTGGAATATTCTATTCTCGCTTTTCCTCTAAAAACTCTCGGTGACCCAAGGAACACGTTTGCAAGACAGCTGAAAGGCATCGGGGCATCTAACCTTGGAACTGAGTGAACTAACTAGTCTACGATGGCTATGGACCTTCAGTCTGGACCTCTGTAACCCTATAATGTAAAGCCCTTGAACTAGTGGAAAGTATTCAGACATGGAAGTGTGGCATTTAACTTGCCACAACTAAGGGTAAAACCATTTTATATTTATATTTGATGTTACAAAGAAAGAATTCCTGTACACAAGCCTTCTTACTAGATGGGAATTAAAGTTGTGTTCTAAATGTATTAGCTGGAATAGATTAAGTCAAAGAATAAATAGGCCCCCAAACTAATGATGGCTCAAATATGAGAGGAATTAGTCTCTCATTTATATGAGTTCAAATGGGTGTTTCTGGATGACAGGTGCATTTCCTCTATGAAATGTTTAAGGGATCCAGGCTTCTTACATCTGTGGCTCTGTCATCTCTTAGGCCCTCATTGTCATCTGCATCTACCAGGCAGAAAGAGGAAAAGAGTGTGGGGCAAGTAGTCACTTTGTAAAAGCCTTGGCTGAGAAACTCTGTGCAACATTTATGGATTCAATTGGCTAGAACTCAGTTCTGTGTCCACACCTAACTGCAAAGGATCCTGGAAACTGTGGTTTCCTTATGTGCCCAGGAAGGAAAGGAGATCATGGATTTTGGCAAGCATCAGGCCATGTCAGGCATGGGTGTCGTTATGCTATTGGACCTGAAGGAGGAACATAGACCCTTCCCCCTCTTCCCCCCACCATGGCCATAGGTAAGGGATGAGATTTCAGAAGAGGGATAGAGAGGCATTTATGGGGTAAATATCCTGGGGAAGATGCTAATTGCTATTCAGAAGCAAGAACCGAGATAAAAAGATCAAAGTCAGAGGGCAATCCATCATTGTCTGTCTCTCACTTGATTTCTCTCTTAATCTTAAAATTGACTGAAAAAGGAGTTGAGATGCTTAAAAAGCAGTTCCTCACATGAAAGTGAGGAACGCAAGCAACATGTTTATGAAATTATGCCAGCAACTTGGAACTCAAAGCTTCTCCCTCCTGGCATGTGGAAAAGTAATGCCATTTGTAGGAGTGAGTGGACATTTTCATAGTTCTCCATGTGTTGAGACCTCCCCACCCCTCAACAAAGCAATTATGTTTTCCAACCTCCCTTGCCCCTAGGATGCAGATACGTACCTTAGATTCTTCCAAACAGATGTATGTACCTAAAGGCACACTACCTGAGGAAACTGGCAGAGCATTGGGGCACCTGAGTCACTGGGGTGGGAATGAACAAGACAAGGTATTCCGGGGGTTAACAGTAGTGGAGGCAACCTCCTGGTCACAGAAAAGTTTGAGTGGTTCTGGAGTTGGTGACAGCAGCTATCCCATTACTTGGCCAGCTTTGTGGGCTGGTTCTGGGAGTTGTTTTTGGTAGCTTAATCTAAATGCTATTCTTCCAGATCTTCCAGTGATTCTGTGACCTTTCTAATATTATTTAATGCATTTCTTCTGCTTTAACTAACTAGAGTGAATTATGTTATCTGCAACTAAGAACTTTGACCAATACTGAGATCCAGCTAGCCATGGTAAAATCAGAACTCATTGCTTTGCCTATAGAACGATTGATCTTCCTTAAACTGTTTATTCACATTTTCTTACTCCAGCCAGAATTAGTGCTGTGCTAAAGATATGCAAAGGAAGAGTTTTGTCTATATTGTACAGAATGTTAAAGCTAGAGCAAAATACACTTGGAAGGTAGCACATTTGTGGCTGAAATTATGAAAGCAGGAGAACCCCAAGAGGGGATGTTACATTTCATGAGACTGAGTCAAGACCACTTGTTCAGCAGCCCCTCTATCCCAGGGAATTTTCCTTCCTTAGTTAAACCCTGGAGATTCTGGAGTGTGATTTATTAAAGAAGAAAAATCCCTTCAGAGATGGACTACAAAAAGAAATCAGCTTACTCCTTACAAATAGATATCTCACATTTTATTCTGATTGCTCTAAAAGGCAATGATTACTTGGGCATAATGTTTGGAGAAGTTATTTATTTTATTCAAAAATTTTCCACACCAAATAATGTTCCTTGTGTAATATAATCTTGCCAGAGACTGAAACGAAGGGCATGCCATGAGTATTGGATATGCAGACGAGAGATGGCCTTGGTTTTTGAGAGGAAACTTGGTGTAGTGGAAATAGCATTTGGGTTCTGTTACTTAGCAGCTGCCTGTGACCTTAAGCAAGTCATTTAATTTATCTGGGTCTCATTTCCTCATCTGTAAACTGGAGATAATAATCATAGGACCTTACTCAAAGGGTGATTAGGCTTAATTAAAAGTGTGTCATGACTCTTTGTTACAGGCAGTAGAAACCAATTCTGGCTGACTTAATCAGAAAAGGAATTATTGGGAGGCCATCGAGATGCTCACAAAATTGAGAGAAAGGTGAAAGAACCAGGACCAGAAAATGAGCAGATGCTGAGGGAAGTCAAGCAAATAAAAATGAAATCCATTGTCAACACTAGGAATGGCTGGTTGAGATTCCCCCACTGGCTCCCCACAACTGGCTCCTCTACCACTGAGGCTAGTTCTCACTGCTGCTGCTGCCTGTGTGGGTCAGACATTGATGCCATGGCACTCTCACCTCCACTGACTCTAGGCATCATCTCCTCTCGATGATGACTTGAACCTGAATGGAAATTGCTTATGAGAGACAACTGCTAAACATTCAGGAATTTCACCAGCTGGTGTTAAAGAGTTTTAGTTTGAAATCAGCCATGGCGGGAATTATTTACACCATGGAAATTGGCAAACATTACAAATCAGGTCTGGTTTTGCTTCCCGCCCCCCTGCACCCCCACCCGCCCCCTCCGCCGCCCACCCCCCAAGAGCCAGTTTATCTGCAAAATACTTCCTTAAATGCCAAATTTCCAGGTGTGAGTGCCTGATTGGCTGAGTCTAAGATACATGTCTGTGTTTTAGCTATCAGGGGATGGGGAGAGGAAAAGATGGGCTTTTTAGGTAGTAGGAGGAAGACCTCTCTCTTACCAAGACTGAAACAATTGGAGAGTTCCTTTCAAAAGGATGAGGATTTCAATACTGAATAGCCTCCTGAAATTTCAAATATTCTCTGTAGTATGCAAAGGGTTTACCTCAATCTATGTATTTACCTATAACGAGTACCCAATACATTCTGTGTCCTTTCTCATTTATTTTCTCTTTTCCCTAGTTTTTGCCACATGTATAATCCTTGCTTTTCTATTTGATACATGTTTTTAAATTCTGGCCATAACAAAATAAAGCCTTAATAAAGCCTGTTCTAAGTTCTATCTAATTAAGGAGAAAGGTTAGCTCAGTGGTTCCAACTTTAAATTGATGACTGTAGCATGCTGTACTCTGTGAAGGAAATGTGCACCTTTAGAAAGACTCATTCTTCACATGTAAATGTTTTTCAGATAAAAATAATGAAATACAAACAAACATTTACACCAAGATAAATTTCTTACCAAGATACTGAAGGTCTTCCTATTTGTTAAATCATCCAAAATCCTATCAAAAGAATTTTTATTTTATTTTTTAAAGTTTCAACCTCTGGGAGCACAGAACAAGGAATTTTTATTTTAGAAAATTTAAAGTAGAAACTCTTCAAAGTGATAGGATATGACAGGCAGCTACTATTATTTTTCCTCCAAATTTATAAGTGTAAGGTACCTGTTTAATCAGCTGGAGGTTAGAAAAAAAGAATATAAATAAATTATTTTTCATGAAAACTGTTTCTTTATATTGGCTACAAATGATTTATGTCCTCACACTAGGATGAAGGGGAACAAAAAATATTTTAATAATAGAAATTGCATTGCAAAAATTTTTTCATATGTATCTTGTTTAATTCTTCATGTTTCATATTCATCACTCTATCCATATAACTGGTGGGTGCCTGAACTCACATTTGAAATTAGGAAAATTTGTCACTGTTAGGAGTCAGCTTTAATTTTTCTAAATGACTCAAAAAGAAAGGAATTTTTTTCTAGGTGAAGATTATGCATTCTTAAAGAGGCATTTGGAAGTTCCTTTACCTGCAGCTTTTACTAAAGTGTTTGGAAGTGGTGAAACAAAGATACTGCTGTGGTTTGAGGGGATGAAGCATCTCACTGGGTGCTGGAAGAACAGAATCTACTCTGACCCCAGAGAGGTCAGTGACTTGAGCCAGTTTCTCCCTTCCTGGGTTCATTCAGTTTCCCCATTTGAAAACTGAGTGCCCATCCAGAAGTTCTTTATATTTCCTTCATCCTTAAAAAATTCTGCATCCTGAGGGTGGAGCATCACCTCACCTGGGAAGTGCAAGGGGTTGGGGAACTCCCTCCCTTAGCCAAGGGAAGCCATGAGGGACTGTGCCATGAGGGATGGTGCTATCTGGCCCAGATACTATGCTTTTCCCATGGTCTTCACAACCCACAGACCAGGAGATTCCCTCAGGTGTGTACACCACCAGGGCCCTGGGTTACAAGCACAAAATTGGGTGGCCATTTGGGCAGACACTGAGCTAGTTGCAGGAGTTTTTTTAATACCCCAGCAGCACCTGGAACACCAGTGAGACAGAACTATTCACTCTCCTGGAAAGGGCTGAATCCAGGGAGCCGAGTGGTCTTGCTTAGCAGATCCCACCCCCACGGAGCCCAATAAGCTAAGATCCACTGGCTTGAAATTCTTGCTGCCAGTACAGCAGTCTGAAGTCAACCTGGGACTCTCAAGCTTAGTGGGGGGAGGGGTGTCTGCCATCACTGAGGCTTGAGTAGGCAGTTTTCCCCTCACAGTGTAAACAAAGCCGGGAAGTTCAAACTGGGCGCATAATCTACCGCAGTGCAGCAAAGCCGCTGTAGCCAGACTGCCTCTCTAGATTCTTCCTCTCTAGGCAGGGCATCTCTGAAAGAAAGGCAGCAGTCAGGGGCTTACAGATAAAACTCCCATCTCCCTGGCACAGAGCACCTGGGGGAAGGGGTGGCTGTGGCTGCAGCTTCAGCAGACTTAAACCTTCCTGCCTGCCGGCTCTGAAGAGAACAGCAGATCTCCCAGCACAGTGCTCAAGCTCTGCTAAGGGACAGGCTGCCTCCTCAAGTGGGTCCCTGACCCCTGTGTGTCCTGATGGGGAGAAACCTCCCAGCAGGGGTCAGCAGACACCTCATACAGGAGAGGTCCAGCTGGAATCTCGTGAGTGCCCCTCGGGGACAGGGCTTCCAGAGGAAGGAGCAGGCAGCAATCTTTGCTGTCCTGCAGCCTCCACTGGTGATACCCAGGCAAAGAGGATCTGGAGTGGACCTCCAGCAAACTCCAGCAGACCAGCAGAAGAGAGGCCTGACTGTTAGAAGGAAAACTAACAAACAGAAAGCAATAGCATCAACATCAATGAAAAGGATGCCCATGCAAAAATCCCATCTGAAGGTTGCCAACATCAAAGACTAAAGGTAGATAAATCCACGAAGATGAAAAAAACCAGCACAAAAAAAACTGAAAATTCCAAAACCCAGAATGCCGCTTCTCCTCCAAAGGATCACAACTCCTTGGCAACAAGGGCACAAAACCAGACAGAGAATGAGTTTGATGAATTAACTGAAGTAGGCTTCACAAGGTGGGTAATAACAAACTCCTCCAAGCTAAAGGAGCATGTTCTAACCCAATGCAAGCAAGCTAAGAACCTTGATAAAAGGTTACAGGAACTGCTAACTAGAATAACCAGTTTAGAGAAGAACAGAAATAAACTGATGGAGCTGAAAAACACAGCACAAGAACTTCGTGAAGCATACACAAGTATCAATAGCCAAATCAATCAAGCAGAAGAAAGGATATCAGATATTGAAGATCAACTTAATGACATAAAACATGAAGACAAGATTGGAGAAAAAAGCATGAAAAGGAACAAACAAAGCCTCCAAGGAATGTGTGACTATGTGAAAAGACCAAACCTATGTTTGATTGGTGTACCTGAAAATGATGGAAAGAATGGAACCAAGTTGGAAAACACATTTCAGGATATAAACCAGAAGAACTTACCCAACCTAGCAAGGCAGGCCAACATTCAAATTCAGGAAATACAGAGAACACCACAAAGATACTCCTCGAGAAGAGCAACCCCCAGACACATAATTGTCAGATTCACCAAGGTTGAAATGAAGGAAAAAATGTTAAAGACAGCCAGAGAGAAAGATCAGGTTACCCACAAGGCAAGCCCATTAGACTAACAGCGGATCTCTCTGCAGAAACCCTACAAGCCAGAAGAGAGTGGGGGCCAATATTCAACATTTTTGAAGAACAGAATTTTCAACTCAGAATTTCATTTCCAGCCAAGCAAATTCTTCATAAGTGAAGGAGAAATAAAATCTTTTACAGATAAGCAAATGCTGAGAGATTTTGTCACCACAAGGCCTGCCTTACAAGAGCTCCTAGGGAAGCACTAAGTATGGAAAGTAAAAACTGGTACCAGCCACTGCAAAAACATTCCAAAGTGTAAAAACCATTGACACTATGAAGAAACTGCATCAACTAATGCGCAAAATAACCAGCTAGCATCATAATGACAGGATCAAATTCATACGTAACAATATTAACCTTAAATGTAAATGGGATAAATGCCTCAATTAAAAGACACAGACTGGAAAATTGGATAAAGAGTCAAGATCCATTGGTGTGCTGTGCTCAGGAGACCTGTCTCACATGCAAACACACACACAAGCTCAAAATAAAGGGTTGGAGGAATATTTACCAAGCAAATGGAAAGCAAAAAACAGCAGAGGTTGCAATCCTAGTCTCTGATAAAACAGACTTTAAACCAACAAAGATCAAAAAAGACAAAGAAGGCCATTACCTAATGGTAAAGGGATCAACACAACAAGAAGAGTTAACTGTCCTAAATATATATATGCACCCAATACAGGAGCACCCAGATTCATAAAGCTGGTTCTTAGAGACCTGCAAAGAGACTTAGACTCCCACACAATAATAGTGGGAGACTTTATCACCCTACTGTCAATATTAGACAGATCAATGAGACAGAAAATTAACAAGGATATTCAGGACTTGAGCACAGTTCTGGACCAAGCAGACCTAATAGACATCTACAAAACTATCAACAGAATATACATTCTTCTCAACACCACATAGCACTTATTCTAAAACTGACCACATAATTGGAAGTAAAACACTCCTCAGGACATGCAAAAGAATGGAAATCATAACAGTTTCATAGATCACAGAGCAATCAAATTAGAACTCAGAATTTAAAAACTCACACAAAACCGCACAACTACATGGAAACTGAACAACCTGCTCCTGAATGACTACTGGGTAAATAACAAAATTAAGGCAGGAACAAATAAGTTCTTTGAAACCAATGAGAACAAAGAAACAATGTACCAGAATCTCTGGGACACAGCTAAAGCAGTGTTTAGACTCAAATTTATAGCACTAAATGCCCACATTGGAAAGGAGGAAAGATCTAAAATTGACACCCTAACATCACAATGAAAAGAACTAGAGAAGCAAGAGCAAACAAATTCAAAAGCTAGCAGAAGACAAGAAATAACCAAGATCATAGCAGAACTAAAGGAGATAGAGGCACAAAAACCATCCAAAATAAATCAATGAATCTAGGAGCTGGTTTTTTGAAAACATTAACAAAATAGGTAGACCTCTAGCCAGACTAATAAAGAAGAAAAGAGAAAATAATCAAATAGGCACAATAAAGTGATGAAGGGGATATCACCACTGATTTCACAGAAATACAAACTCCCATCAGAGAATACTATAAATACCTCTATACAAATAAACTAGAAAATCTAGAAGAAATGGATGAATTCCTGGACACATACACCCTCCCAAGACTAAACCAGGAAGAAATTGAATCCCTGAATAGACCAATAACAAGTTCTGAAATTGAGGCAGTAATTAATAGCCTACCAACCAAAAAATGTCCAGGACCAGACGGATTCACAGCCGAATTCTACCAGAGGTACAAAGAGGAGCTGGTACCCATCCTTCTGAAACTAATTCAAACAATAGAAAAAGAGGGACTCCTGCCTAACTCATTTTATGAGGCCACCAACATCCTGATACCAAAACCTGGCAGAGACACAACAAAAAAAGAAAATTTCAGGCCAATATCCCTGATGAACATCAATGCAAAAATCCTCAATGAAATACTGGCAACTGAATCCAGCATTAAAAAGCTTATTCACCATGATCAAGACAGCTTCATCCCTGGGATGCAAGGCTGGTTCAACATATGCAAATCAATAAATGTAATCCATCACATAAACAGAATCAATAATAAAAACCACATGATTATCTCAGTAAATGCAGAAAAGGCCTTTGATAAAATTCGGCATCTCTTCATGCTAAAAACACTCATTAAACTAGGTATTGATGAAACGTCTCTCAAAACAGTAAGAGCTATTTATGACAAACCCACAGCCAATATCATACTGAATGGGCAAAAGCTGGAAGCATTCCCTTTGAAAACTGGTATAAGACAAGGATGCCTTCTCTCATCACTCCTATTCAACATAGTATTGGAAGTTCTGGCCAGGGCAATCAGGCAAGAGAAAGAAATAAAAGATATTCAAATAGGAAGAGAGGAAGTAAAATTGTCTCTGTTTGCAGATGACATGATTGTATATTTCAAAAACCCCATTGTCTCTGCCCAAAATCTCCTTAAGCTAATAGGCAACTTCAGCAAAGTCTCAGGATACAAAATCAATGTGCAAAAATTACAAGCATTCTTATACACCAATAATAGACAGACAGAGAGTCAAATCGTGAGTGAACTCCCATTCACAATAGCTGCAAAGAGAATAAAATACCTAGGAATACAACTTACAAGGGATGTGAAGTACCTCTTCAAGGAGAACTACAAACCACTGCATAAGGAAATCATAGAGGACACAAACAAATGGAAAAATATTCCATGCTCATGGATAGGAAGAATCAATATCATGAAAATGGCCATACTGCCCAAAGTAATTTATAGATTCAATGCTAGTCCCATCAAGCTACTATTGAATTTCTTTACAGAATTAGAAAAAAACTGCTTAAATTTCATATGGAACCAAAAAAGAGCTCATATAGCCAAGACAATCCTAAGCAAAAAGAACAAAGCTGGAGGCATCACACTACCTGATTTCAAACTATACTACAAGTCTACAGTAACCAAAACAACATGGTACTGGTACCAAAACAGATATATAGACCAATGGAACAGAACAGAGGCCTCAGAAATAACACCACACATCTACAACCATCTGATCTTTGATGAATCTGACAAAAACAATCAATGGGGAAAGGATTCCCTACATAACAAATGGTATTGGGAAAACTGGCTAGCCATATGCAGAAAACTAAAACTGGACTCCTTCCTTACACATTACACAAAAATTAACTCAAGATGGATTAAAGACTTAAATGTAAGACCTAACACCATAAAAACCCTAGAAGAAAACCTAGGCAATACCATTCAGGACATAGGCATGGGCAAGACTTCATGACTAAAACACCAAAAGCCACTGAAACAAAAGCCAAAATTGACAATTGGCATCTAATTAAACTAAAGAGCTTCTGCACAGCAAAAGAAACTATCATCAGAGTAAACAGGCAACCTACAGAATAGGAGAAAATTTTGCCATCTATTTATCTGACAAAGGGCTAATATCCAGAATCTACAAGAAACTTAAACAAATTTACAAGAAAAAAACAAACAACCCCATCAAAAAGTGGACAAAGGATATGAACAGACACTTCTCAAAAGAAGACATTTATGTGGCCAAAAGACATATGAAAAAAAGCTCATCATCACTGGTCATTAAAGGAATGCAAATCCAAACCACAATAAGATACCATCTCACACCAGTTAGAATGGCGATCATTAAAAAGTCAGGAAACAACAGATGCTGGAGAGGATGTGGAGAAATAGGCACACTTTTACACTGTTGGTGGGAGTGTAAATTAGTTCAACCATTGTGGAAGACAGTGTGATGATTCCTCAAGGATCTAGAACTAGAAATATCATTTGACACAGCAATCCCATTACCGGTTATATACCCAAAGGATTATAAATTATTCTGCTATCAAGACACGTGCACATGTATGCAGCACTATTCACAAAAGCAAAGACTTGGAACCAACCCAAATGCCCATCAATGATAGACTGGATAAAGAAAATGTGGCACACATACCCTATGGAATACTATGCAGCCATAAAAAAGGATGAGTTTGTGTACTTTGGAGGAACATGGGTGAAGCTGGAAACCATCATTCTCAGCAAACTAACACAGGAACAGAAAACCACACACTGCATGTTCTCACTCATCAGTGGGAGTTGAACAATGAGAACATATGGGTACAGGGAGGGGAATGGCACACAGCAGGGCCTGTCAGGGGGTGGGGGGCAAGAGAAGGAATAGCATTAGGAGAAATACCTAATGTAGATGACGGGTTGACGGGTGCAGCAAAGAAACCACCATGGCACATGTATACCTACGTAACAAACCTGCACGTTCTGTACAGGTATCCCAAAACTTAAAGCATCACAAAAAATAAACAAAACTATAAAAACAGAGAAGAGACACCAGAAAGTCTGCCAAAAAAAAATCTGCAACCTAATTACTAATTCTAATCTCATTTCTCAGTTGAAAAACACACTTAATTATTAGTAGCTCAGCTGGGGACTAATGAAAACTTGTCAAACAGCCGTGAAAGGAACAGAATCTCCAGTTCACACCTACATTACAGAAATCCCCTCCTCTGGCCTTTTTCAATGAGTAAACACTTATTTTTGGCAGTGTTGGCTTGGGAATAGTGTCTCTATAGAAACCACTGCCTGGGTGAACACTTTCCTTGGGAATGAGCAGCTTCTCAACGTTTATATGTCATCTTAATTGATAGAACAAGTAGATCTTTCAAGATCTCCAAGCCTTTTTGTCAGCTGGCAGGTTAAATTCTAAATTAGACGCAACACCTGAATGAGCATGCGAGCTGAGAAGCTTCAGTGTTTTCATGACAACCAAGAATGCCACGTCTCCATACAAATGTTAATTCAACTGTCATCGTGGGTTTTTATATACCATTAGTTTTATTTTCAACTTTGAGTGGAAATGAAGTGACATTTTGGGATTTCCTTTGGGATTTCAAAGCCATTTTTGGTTATTGTTGTTGTGTTTCTTCCTGTGCTACCACCCCAAGCTGGGTGCTTTCAGAGCTGTAGGTGTCGTGGGACTCAGTTCCCTCAGTACATCTCCAGAAACTCTGAGCAAGCTTTGGGGACTGGATCAAGAACAGTGAAGATCTGGAGCACCTCCCATTTCATGCCTTGGAGTCTTGACAGATTCTCAAACAGAATGCTGTAAACCCACTTTATCAGTTTGTTAAGAATAAAGAGAAATATATGAAAGCCCCCAAATGTATCACCCCAGTGCCATTATACCCAGAAATATCTTCCATTTGACACCTAAACTATAAGATGTACAATGTTATTGCTTTTTTCCTCCCTCCACCCCCCAATGTATGGATAATTGTCAAAGTTCCAGAGTACCACCTGGCCTCTGGGGAAAGTGGAATGGTAGATTGGGGGGAGGAACATTTTCTTATAGGTCAGCTATAATGGCCAGTCTTAGCGAGCTGAATATTATTGTGCCTGATATGTTTGAGTGAACCAAGAAGCAAAAACAACTCTATGCTCTGGATTGGAAATCCTAGCGAGGTTGGTATCCAGGCAGGATGATAGGAAATATATCTTAATTTTGAACAAAGCACTTTGCTTAGAATGCTAGGTGAATAGGCAAATCGCGATGCAGAGCTGCTCAGGGCTTTCTGATTCGTGGCTGTGGCACGGGTAGCTTTGGCCTCGTTTAGAAATGGCAGTTTGAATTCTCACCATGAAGTGCTCCCAGTGTTCTGATAAGAAGAGCAACACTCTCTGTTCTGAAGCATATGTTGTTTCTGCTCTTCAGGAGGGATGGGGACAAAGAGCCCAAATGAACGCACACACTTTTTAATATTTTGGAAGCAGTGTGTGCCTCTAAATTCACTTGAGGCTTGCTCACTTTTTCATTTCCTGTGTAGATTCATTCTTAGATTGGAAATGACTTCATTACCCACATATTCAGATTAATTCCTGAGTCATGCCTGGCTTCTTCTCTTAAAAACAGATAACAAATCTGGACTTTGAGAGCTAGAGCTTGACCATTTTTCAATCTGAATATATTCAGGATAAGATGTTCCCTAAAGATCACCTGCGACGGGACCACTTCTGATTTATTAGGCAGGCTGAGCATCCCAAATCACGCAGAGAAAAGAAACAATAATAATTCAACAAAATGACTACCATTTATTGTCTGCTAGATTCCAGGCATTTTGCACATATTAACCTCACGTTAGCTGCACAACAATCCTGTGAGTTAGATTTTATTTTCAGATGAAGAAGCTTGTTTCAGAAATTAACTTGCCCAGGCCACACGCAGCATGCAGTGGTCAAGCTAAGATGCGCACCTGAGTCAGACTGACTCTTGAGACAGACGGTTACATACTGCCTTATGAAAGGACTATTTATGCAAAGCAACTCTCAAATGCTGAAGAGCCGAGAAACCAAAGAAGGCAGACAAATCCAGTTTGTCTGAATTGGGTGATGTATTGAGAGAACTTACAGACAGAAGCATGGTCTTGGGTGGCTGCAAGACAGGTAGGTCTCCGTGCTGTTGTCCCTCAGACCCAAGGCCTATATATCACAGGAAAGGGGTGTATGTGTTCTACCAAGACAGTTAAAGGCAATTCTCCACAACAGGCAAGAATGCTGTGTGTGTCCTAGCCTGTAACTTGTGTGATAGCATCAAGGTTGCTTTTTTCTTGCACTAGGAACAGTAAATAAAGTAGAAACCAGGAGGCATTGACAGGACTGGGGCTAATCAGAAGTCAACATGGCGGATTGGCATTCAAGATGGAGTCACTTTTGTCTCCACATATACTAAGCAATGCTGCATCACCAGTCAATAAGCCACATGGCATGGCGTACTTTTGCTTGTACCTGTGAGTTTAGTATTTAGTATTTTTGTTTGTGTTCTAGAAGACTGTGGCTCTCTATTACAGCTAAGCCTACTAGAATCCTTCATAATAATGGAGATGCAAACACTGGATGAAAAGAAATTGAATGGTGATAAATAGAAACCATATTATGTGAAACTCAGAGAAGATATTCTTATTAACTAAATGAGACTGTAGCCTGGAATATGAGAGCCAATCCTTCGTAGTTATTGAAATGCCAACATGAACAGAGTCCTATAGTATGGTCCTTAGCAGAATTCATTATAAGTTATTGGTTAACAACTACTAGAGGAGGTTCGAATGTTTGTGAAATACAACTACAAGGGGTCAGTTGTACTCTGTGAGGTACAGTTGTTTGAAATTGTGAAACAACATACAGTTGTAACCGTGTTTGAAAGAAGACATTTTAGAAAAATACTGGAGAATGAAATCTCATTTTAAAATATCTTCCCTTAGTTTTTCTAAGAAATAGGATGAAGTATTGTAGGGCAACTGTGGCACACAAGAAAAAGGGTTGTCATTTGCACAGATTGCAGTGCAAGTGGTGCCAGCTGGATTTGCACAACAGGGGCAGCCCTCACTGAATTAGGAGAAATCCTAAGAATCTTCTCTACTTAGACATATGTGGCTTTATGTTGGTTTCTGAGCAACTGGGTAGATGATGGTGCCATTTAGTGAGATGCAAAATATTAGGGAAGGAATGAGTTTGCTTGGGGGAAAATAAAGGGTTCTGTGGGGAGGTTGAGTTTTAGAGGATGACTATGCTGTTGGGTACATGAGACTGGAGTTGTGGGGAGAGGTTGGGACAGGAGATAGAATTTGGGGAGTTATCAGTTTATGGATAATCCTTAATGCCATGAAACTGAGGAAGATGTCTTAGGGAGAATGGAGAGAAAAAAGAGGCTCAGGACTGATGTCTTCCAACATTTAGAGGTCAAGAAAAAGCAAAGGAGCCAGCAAAGGAGACTGACAAGGGAGCAGCCAGTGCAGTTCAAGGAAAACTAGGAGTTTAACGTCTAGGATGGAAACAACTGAGAAGAGCGCATCAAGAAGGAGAGCCAAAGTCTGGGGCACATGCTGCTGAGCATTAGCAGAGTCCCACTGACTCTCTCTTCCTTGTTTTTCTAAATATGCTTCCTTCTCCCCAAACCCATGACTCTTCTCTTAGTCCAGAAATACAATGGCCTTTCAATGAAGTGCCTCGCCTCTTGATTCAGCTTCCTACAATCCACACTGCATGCTATCCTGTGTGGGCAATTTCTCTAAAATGCCAACACTATTATGTCACACCCAGATTTAAAACTGTGCAATGGCTCTCCATTACCCATAAAATAGAATCCTAACTTATTAATATTTCCTATGAGGCTATCACCTGGAGCTTAACTCCCTCCCCAACAGATCCAGCATTATCGTCTCCCACACATCCTGTGCTATACCCCAATTCACCACATCTAATGTGCCATGCTTTTTTTCTTTAACCTCCATGGAGTTCCTCTTGGCTGGTACTGTTCCATCTGGCTGAAATACTTTTCCCCACTCTAGTCCTTCTGACACGTCTCAGTATATAGTTCTCAGTTCTAGAGTTATTTTCTCTGTAAAAGTTTCCCCTGATCTCCCCTAAACATATTAGACATTGTCCATTCTACTATCCCATAACTTGCCATAAACACCTCAATTATAGCACTGTCCATGCTCAAATGGTATTTCTTGAGCACTGGTTTTTAATGAGTCGCTAATCCCCCGAGAGAGAGAACATTTTCGTGGAAGTATAGTCATATAGACATTAGAACTTTTATAAAATCTTTGAGGTCTTGTTCTTTCAATGTATACGTATGGGCTTCTCACAGGAACCAAATGCTGTACATGGCACTGGGAGCATTAAAAAGAAAATCCATGGGCCCCACTCGTAAGGAACTTATGGTTTAATCATATTATAAAAAGCAGTTGCAATACACATGGAGAGTGCTATAATTGAGGTGTTTATGGCAAGTACGGGACCATTTGACCCAGCCATACCATTACTGGGTATATACCCAAAGGATTATAAATCATGCTGCTATAAAGACACATGCACATGTATGTTTATTGTGGCACTATTCACAATAGCAAAGACTTGGAACCAACCCAAATGTCCAACAATGATAGAATGGATTAAGAAAATTAAGAAAATGTGGCACATATACACCATGGAATACTATGCAGCCATAAAAAATGATGAGTTCATGTCCTTTGTAGGGACATGGATGAAGCTGGAAACCATCATTCTCAGCAAACTATTGCAAGGACAAAAAACCAAACACTGCATGTTCTCACTCATAGGTGGGAATTGAACAATGAGAACACATGGACACAGGAAGGGGAACTTCACAAACCGGGGACTGTTGTGGGTTGGGGGGAGGGGGGAGGGATAGCATTAGGAGATATACCTAATGCTAAATGACGAGTTAATGGGTGTAGCATACCAACATGGCACATGTATACATTGTAACAAACCTGAACGTTGTGCACATGTACCCTAAAACTTAAAGTATAAAAAAAACAAAAAACAAAAAACAGTGCTAACTAACCTGGCTCTTACCTGCACGTTTGGGATGAATGTAGTGCCCAAATAGTGCCAGATTACGGGCCCCTGGTCATTGTTCTGTTTTGTGATTCACCAGAGGCCATTTCTGACCATTTCCTTCAGGTGCTCAAAATTGTGAGCCATGCAGCTAGCTCCTTACATTAGGAAAAAAACCTGCTCATCCCATTTATTGGAAGCCCAGAGCGATATTACTTCAATTAAATTGATTCAGTATTTGTCAAAGTTCTCCCAGCTACAGAAATCGCGCCTTGAAACAATCAGAAGGAAAATTTAACCTGGCAAGACTCTACATTTTTATTAATATAATTTTTAAAGACAGTGCCTTATATAACCCAGTCATAATCCCTCTAGGATAAGATAGAGAGAGGGGAGGGAAAAAGACTACATTAGCTTGGAGTTGAAATCATTTATTGTGAAGATTCATGGAAAGCACTATAAAGTCAGATTCTGGCATTTAAGAAAATAGAAAATACTTTAGTATTTCCCTGGCACTAGGTTACATAATAGTAGGCACATGGTCACCCTGTCTTGTTTTTTTCTGTCTTTGCACCTAAAAAAAAGCTATTTCAAGATAATCTACTGCTGAAAAATCAAAAAGATAAAGTTCAGGCTTCAGAGTGTTATTAAAGCAGGCACTTTGACCTCTCAAAACTTGACCTCTTAGAGGCCAACTATTCTAGCTCTTCCCTCTGTGTTTCATCAGAAGTAATTGAAACATACCAGAAGACTGAGAATCTGTTCTATTTTTAGAGGCCTAGAAAATAAATCTCCATCATTAACTCATTTCCCTCTACACTAACCCTCTGAAACTTCTTCCGCATGTCCAAAGGCCCTCAGGCTTCCTTTGCCTTCCTCCAAACCTGATCAACACCATCCATAAAACCACTTCTTGCTATTGGAATGCTCTTGGCTGCACTTAACAGAAACCCTGATGTAAACTAACTCAGGAAACTTACCATATCTCCCCACAGCAAATCTGAGGTCATGTGGACTCTGGAGTTGTTTGATTTTGTGACTCAAGAATATCCTTGAGGATACCAAGCTCAGAACTTGTTTTAACTTGTTTTAATGTCAGGCTGGTAGCAAGATCCAGTACACATGCAGACAGGACAAAATCCAGAGAGAGAAGAGCCATCGCTTCTTCCTACGTATCCTCTTAGAAAAAAGAAAGCCTTTTTTGGAAATTCATCAGCAGACTTCCTTCCACGTTTCTTGGTCACAATTGGCTATTCTTGAACCAGGTATTGCAAAGAAGGACAAAATGTTCACATTCAACTGATCACAAGTAGCATAGACCACAAAGACCACTACATCTGTTTGTCCTTCCTTCTGCTGTTTCTATCTGGCCTCCGGCCCTGGTATAGGGTATGTACCCTATACAGTTTACTCCACTAATTGGGAAGAAAGATGAAAAAGAGAAGGAAAAGAGAACAAATAGGAGTGCAGGGATAGATCAAGACTGTAATTCGGTATACAACTTAAAAGTGGAAGAACTGAATTTATTGAACAGAATCTTTTCTATATTTTTTTAAGTAAGTGAGTTAGATCACATGTTACTAGAGTTTTCATTTAACCTTAAAAAGTTGTGATCTGACTATTGATAGGAGCATTGGCAGTGAAGTCAGACAAGCACTTGTGTCTTTAGGTCAAGTAGTTTAATTGTATTGAGCCTTGGTTTCTTTGTCTGAAAAATAGAAATAATAATCACCTTGTTGGTTGCTGTTAGCACTAGAAATATCATACGACCAGTGCTAGCATCACACCTGGTACTTTATATATAGACAATTAATTTTTTAAAAAAGTTGTTTACAATAAAAAGACAAGGAATTTGAGATGCTGGAGAAGTCACCAAGAAAGTTGACAACAGGGACCCCGGAAAGGCCAAATACTTTTGATTGATGATCATAGAGGGTAACTGCCAATATTGAATCATTCATTGTACTAAATGCTTTACTTATGTTGTCTCACCTAAACTTGTATTGCTTTCCTCGTTTTGCAGATGGGCATTCAGAAGGTCATATGACTGGTAAGTGGATGAGCCTGCTTGGAGATCTGGATTTGCCTTCTGCCGAAGCGCAGGCTCCTGACCAGCACAGGGTCATGTTTCCAGACATACGTCCCTTTATTCAAGGTTACCTGGGTTGTGCATTCTGAACAAACCAGGCTAACACAGTATCCTAGTTTTTAGACTTCTTTGACTTGTGCTTTATTTATATATAGAATCTTTTAATAAACGAGGTATTGACGGGACATATCTTAAAATAATAAGAGCTATTTATGACAAACTCACAGCCCATATCATACTGAATCAGCAAAAACTGGAAGCATTCCCTTTGAAAACTGGCACAAGACAGGGATGCCCTCTCTCACCACTCCTATTCAACAAAGTATTGGAAATTCTGGCCAGGGCAATCAGGCAAGAGAAAGAAATAAAGGGTATTCAATTAGGAAAAGAGGAAGTCAAATTGTCCCTGTTTGCAGATGACATGATTGTATGTTGAGAAAACCCCATCATCACAGCCCGAAATCTCCTTAAGCTGATAAGAAACTTCAGCAAAGTGTCAGGATACAAAATCAATGTGCAAAAATCACAAGCATTCTTATACACCAATAACAGACAAACAGAGAGCCAAATCATGAGTGAACTCCCATTCACAATTGATTCAAAGAGAATAAAATACCTAGGAATCCAACTTACAAGGGATGTGAAAGACCTCATCAAGGAGAACTACAAACCACTGTTCAAGGAAATAAAAGAGGACACAAACAAATGGGAGAACATTCCATGCTCATGGATAGAAAGAATCAATATTGTGAAAATGGCCATACTGCCCAAGGTAATTTATAGATTCAATGCCATCCCCACCAAGCTATCAATGACTCTCTTCACAGAATTGGAAAAAAACAACTTTAAAGCTCATATGGAAACAAAAAAGAGCCTGCATTGCCAAGACAATCCTAAGCAAAAAGAACAAAGTTGGAGGCATCATGCTACCTGACTTCAAACTATACTACAAGGCTACAGTAACCAAAACAGCATGGTACTGGCACCAAAACAGAGGTATAGACCAATGGAACAGAATAGAGTCATTGGAAATAATACCACACATCTACAACCATCCGATCTTTGACAAACCTGACAAAAACAAGCAATGGGGAAAGGATTTCCTATTTAATAAATGATGCTGGGAAAACTGGCTAGCCATTTGTAGAAAGCTGAAACTGGATCCCTTCCTTACACCTTATACAAAAATTAATTCAAGATGGATTAAAGACTTAAATGTTAGACCTAAAACTATAAAAACTCTATAAGAAAACCTAGGCAATACCATTCAGGCCATAGGCATGGGCAAGGGCTTCATGACTAAAACACCAAAAGCAGTGGCAACAAAAGCCAAAACTGACAAATGGATCTAATTAAACTAAAGAGCTTCTGAAACAGCAAAATAAACTACCATCAGAGTGAACAGGCAACCTACAGAATGGGAGAAGATTTTTACAATCTACCCATCTGACAAAGGGCTAATATCCAGAATCTATAAAGAATGTAAACAAATTTACAAGAAAAAGTCAAACAGCCCCATCAGAAAGTGTGCAAAGGATATGAAAAGGCACTTCTTAAAAGAAGACATTTATGCAGCCAACAGACACATGAAAAAATGCTCATCATCACTGGCCATCAGAGAAATGCAAATCAAAACCACAATGAGATACCATCTCACACCAGTTAGAATGGCGATCATTAAAAAGTCAGGAAACAACAGGTGCTGGAGAGGATGTGGAGAAATAGGAACACTTTTATACTGTTCATGGGACTGTAAACTAGTTCAACCATTGTGGACGACAGTGTGGCAATTCCTCAACGATCTAGAACTAGAAATGCCATTTGACCCAGCCATCCCATTACTGGGCATATACCCAAAAGATTATAAATCATTCTACTATAAAGACACATGCACACGTATGTTTATTGCGGCACTATTCACAATAGCAAAGACTTGGAACCAACCCAAATGTCCATCAATGATAGACTAGATTAAGAAAATGTGGCACATATATACCATGGAATACTATTATGCAGCCATAAAAAAGGATGAATTCATGTTCTTTGTAGGGACATGGATGAAGCTGGAAACCATCATTCTCAGCAAACTAACACAAGGACAGAAAACCAAACACTGCATGTTCTCACTCATAGGTGGGAATTGAACAATGAGAACACTTGGACACAGGGTTGGAAACATCACACACCAGGGCCTGTTGTGGAGGGGGAGGGGAGAGGGATAGCATTAGGAGATATACCTAATGTAAATGATGAGTTAATGGGTGCAGCACACCAACATGGCACATGTATACACATGTAACAAACCTGCACGTTGTGCACATGTACCCTAGAACTTAAAGTATAATAATAAAAAATAAAAATAAAAAAAAAACAAAAAAATAAAAATATAAATATAAAATATGCCCTTGCTTCTTCTTTGCTTTCTGCCATAATTGTGAGGCCTCCCTAGCCATGTGGAACTATGATTCCTTTAAACCTTTTTCCTTTATAAATTACCCAGTCTCAAGTATGTCTTTATGAGCAGCATAAGAACAGACTAATACAGTAAATTGTTACTGCAGAGAGTCCATCGCTGCTGTAAAGATACCTGAAAATGTGGAAGCATTTTGGAACTGGGTAACAGGCAGAGGTTGAAACAGTTTGGAGGGCTCAGGAGACAGAAAGATGTGGGAAAGTTTGGAACTTCCTAGAGACTTGTTAAATGCCTTGACCAAAATGCTGATAGTGATAGAGATATGGACAATAAGGTCCAGGCTGAAGCAGTCTCGGATGGAGATGAGGAACTTGGGAACTGGAATAAAGGTCACTCTTGCTATACAAACAGTCTGGCGCCATTTTCCCCCTGCCATAGAGATCTGTTGAACTTTGAACTTGAGAGAGATGATTTAGGTTATCTGGTGGAAGAAATTTCTAAGCAGCAAAGTGTTCAAGAGGAAGCAGAGCATAAAACTTTGGAAAATTTGCAGCCTGACAATGTGATGGAAAAGAAAACCCCATTTTCTGGTGGAGAAATTCAAGCCAACTGCAGAAATTTGCATAAAGTAACAACGAGCTGAATGTTAACCACCAAGACAATGGGGAAAATATCTCCAGGGTATGTCAGAGGCCTTCACAGGAGCCCTTCCCATCACAGGCCCAGAGGCCCAAAAGGGAAAAATGGTTGTGTGGGCTGGGACCAGCACCCACCCCCATTTGCTGTGTGCAGCCTAGGGGCTTGGTGCCCTGCATCTCAGCTGCTCCAGCCATGGCTAAAAAAAGCTAAGGTACAGCTGAGTCCATGGCTCCAGAGGGTGCAAGTCCCAAGCCTTGGCAGCTTCCACAAGGTGTTGAGCCTACAGGTGCATAGAAGTCATGAATTGAGGTTTGGGAACCTCCATCTAGATTTCAGAGGATGTATGGAAACACCTTGGTATCCAGGCAGAAGTTTCCTGCAGGGGTGGGGCCCTTTGGAGAACCTCTCCTAAGGCAGTGCAGAGCCCCCACACAGTCCCCACTGGAGTACTGCCTAGTGGAGCTGTGAGAAAAGAGCCATTCTCCTCTAGACCCCAGAATGTTAGATCCACTGATAGATTGCAGATGGCCTATTGTGGGACTTCACTTTGTGACTGCATGAGTCAATACTCCTTAATAAACTCCCTTTCATATATACATCTATCTTATTAGTCCTATTTCTCTAGAGAACCCTGACTAATACACCATCATTTTCAGAATGATTATAAAATCTTTATTTCATCAATGCATAGTTATGGACAGTGCATACATTATGAATACCTGTTACATTCTGCAAGCATGGGCACTACCTCTGCCAATCTAAATTGGAGTTTATTACCCATAATTTGATTCACAAGTTAGAGTAAGTCCTACTCCCAACTCAAGAAATTTCCAAATTCTCAATACAAAAGGCACAAAGCAAGTCTGCAGAAAGGCATTATATTTTGTTTACAAATTGTTCCCTATCACTGTGTTTTCTGATGTTTTAGTGAACTTGATGGTTCTTCTGAATTAAATTCATTGATCCTACCAGATCTGACAAGAGGGGATTTGAACCGTAATGTGTACACATAAAGCAGCTGGAGGCTTACTTGAAGAATAAATTCAGCCTTTGAAAGAAGGTGTTGGGAAGAATAAACCCAATATCACAGCCTATGAGGAACACTTGTCTTTTGTAAAATGCCAAAGTCATTTCAGAGTGGTGATTTCAAGCAGATTACTTTGGAGGGAACAAAAGCAAGGATCAAAATAACAATCATGACACACAAAGCAGAAAGACTAATGTGAGGAAGAGAAAACACTGTTCTTGTAACAATCAATGGCTCATATATTTGAATTATAGGCCAGAAAGATCTTAGAGTCTCCACTGCTGACCACAAAGCTCAAAAAACTTTAAAGACTATAAAAAAATTTTAATTCCTTTTTATTGTGTTATCACATAGGGAACTAGAGAAGACTTGAAGGTAAAGACCAACAATGGGCAGTAATGTTAAGGAAGGAATGTTCTGGATTCTGATTGCCCAGTAGAAAACCTGGCTCCATTGCTCACTGGCTGTGTGACCTTGGAGGAGTTAACCACCTTTGGCTTCAATTTCCTCATCTCTAAAATGGGGATAGGCTGGGTGCAGTGGCTCATGCCTGTAATCCCAGCACTTTGGGAGGCTGAAGTGGGCAGATCACAAGGTCAGGAGATTGAGACCATCCTGGCTAACACGGTGAAACCCAGTCTCTACTAAAAATACAAAAAATTAGCCAGACATGGTGGCGGGCACCTGTAGTCCCAGCTACTCATGAGGCTGAGACAGGAGAATGGTGTGAACCCACGAGGCAGAGCTTGCAGTGAGCCAAGATTGTGCCACTGCACTCCAGCGTGGGTGACAGAGTGAGACTCCATCTCAAAAAATAATAATAATAAAATAAAATAAATAAAATAAAATGGGGATAATAGCACCAGTCTCATGAGATGTTAATAGATTAAATAAAGTACTATCTCTTAAGTGCTTAGAATAGTGCATGAATATGGTAAGTTGTACTCAGTATGTGGTAGCTTTAAAGATATTATTTTTTGATAAATTCAATAAATGTTAATACTACATTACTAGCTTCATTGTTATTTAAGCACTATGAGACATTTGGTAACAATCCATGAAGCATTTCTGTCTTACATTAAAATAATATGGCCAGACCTGTATTAGTCCATTCTTATGCTGCTGTAAAGAATTGCCCAAGGCTGAGTAATTTGTAAAAGAAGAGATTTAATTGACTCACAGTTCCACAAAGCTGGGGAGGCCTCAGGAAACTTACAATTATGGTGGAAGGGGAAGCAAACATGTCCTTCTTCACATGGTGGCAGGAAGGAGAAGATGAGCTAAACAGGGAAAAGCTCCTTATAAAACCATTAGATCTCATGAGAACTCACTATCTCAAGAACAGCATGAAGGTAGCTGCCCCCATGATTCAATTACCTCCCATCGGGTCCCTCCCACAACACAGAGGGGGTTGTGGGAACACAATTCAAAATGAGATTTGGGTGGGGACACAGCCAAACCATATCATTCTGCCCCTGGCCCCTCCCAAATCTCATGTACTCACATTTCAAAACACAACCATGCCCTTCCAACAGTTTCCCAAAGTCTTAACTTATTCCAGCATTAACTCAAAAGTCCAAGTCCACAGTCTCATCTGAGACAAGGAAAGTCCCTTCTGCATATGAGCCTATAAAATCAAAAGCAAGTTAGCGACTTCCTAGATACAATGAGGGTACAGGCATTGAGTAAATACACCCATTCCAAATGGAAGAAACTGGCCAAAACAAAGGGGCTACAGGCCCCATGCAAGTCCAAAATCCAATAGGGCAGTCATTAAACCTTAAAGTTCCAAAATGACCTCCTTTGACTCCATGTCTCACATCCAGGGGACATTGATGCAAGAGATGGGCTACGACAGCCTTGGGCAGCTCTGTCCCTGTGGCTTTGCGGTTACATCCCCACTCCTGGCTGCTTTCACAGGCTGGCATTGAATGTCTGTGGCTTTTCCACTTGCATGATGCAAACTGTAGGTGGATCCGCCATTTTAGGTCTGGGGGACAGTGGCCCTTTTCTCACAGTTCCACTAGGCAGTGCCCCAGTGGGGACTTGGTGTGGGGGCTCCAACCCCACATTTCCCTTCCACACTGCCCTAGCAGAGGTTCTCCATGAGGGCTCTGCCCCTGCATCAAACTTGCCTGAACATCAGGCATTTCCATACATCCTCTGAAATTCAGGCAGAGGTTCCCAAACCTCAATTCTTGACTTCTGTGCATCCACAGGCCCAATGCCACATGTAAGCTGCCAAGGTTTGGGGCTTGCACCCTGTGAAGCAATGGCCTGAGCTGTACATTGGTCCCTTTTAGCCACAGCTGGAGCTGAAGCAGCTGAGATGCAGGGCACCCTGTCCTGAGTCTGCATAGAACCGGAAGACCCTAGGCCCGGCCCATGAAACCATTTTTCCCTCTTAAGCCTCCAGGCCTGTGATGGAAGGGGCTGCCGTGAAGGTCTCTGACATGCTCTGGAGATGTTGCACATTACATGAGAATTGTTATAGATCATCAAATAACATTTTAAACGTGTTTTTGTGGCTGGAAGTTACTACCTAGTTTTACTAATGCCTTCAATTTCTCAAATTATTCACTGCAGCATTGACTAGAACAAAAGACTGGAGATAACCAGCATTTCCTAAATATTTGACTACTGAAAGCAGAGCACCTCATTTGACGAGAGCACCTCAGAATTCGATCTGGAACCCTGGACCACTCAGAGTCATGCTGCAGATACAGAGGCAGTGCCTGAACTTACACACCACACATGGACTAGTAACTGGTGCCTAAGAAAGGCACTTCCTCCCTGTAGACCTCAACTTTATCTAATCTGCATAATGGAGGACAGCTACACATATCTTCCTCATCCTTCCCATAATTATAGTGTTGAATTTGTAGTAAGATGTGACATTTTTCTTATTCTGTCTTGTGTTACATTTACCTGCATCCTTGTCCTATTTAAACCCAGTAGGCTGCAAACTCCTTGAGTACAAAGATTTTGCCTTTGCTTGCAAAGCACTAAAAAATGTTTAATGGATGGAATAATCTAATTATGCAATAGACAATAAATATAAAAGAATTAGGGAAGGAAAAAGCCAGTGGGGTCTGGTGATATTCTGGAAGCAGAAACGTGAAGGACAAAAAATGCAGAGTGAAGTGGTAAGGAAGGGGAGGGAACAGAATCAGGGGGGCTCACCTAAGTGAATGAAAGAAGCAGTAATAATAAGATCTATAGTGGTCACAATACCAGTTTGAGCTATTCTGGGTGGTGGTGGTGGTTGTTGTTGTTGTTGTTGTTGTTGTTGTTGTTGTTGTTGTTGTTGTTTGAGACAAGGTCTCACTCTGTTGCCCCGTCTGGTGTAATCACAGATCACTGCAGCCTCCACCTCCTAGGCTCAGGCAATCCTCCCATCTCAGCCTCCCTAGTAGCTAGGACTACAGGCACATGCCACCATGCCCAGTTAATTTTTGTAGTTCTTGTAGAGATGGGGTTTCACCATGTTGCCCAGACTGGTCTCAAATTCCTGAGCTCAAGTGATGCTCCTGCCTTGGTGTCCCAGAATGCTGGGATTACAGGTGAGAGCCACTGTACCCAAATACCAGTACTTAGTATTATGGTATTTAAAAGTATATTTTATCTTAATAATTTACACATTGAAATGCTCCCAGAGAGTTATAGGCACTTCTTTTTTGTTTTATTTTTTTAAGGATGGTATTCTGACCACAATCACAAGCGAGGGTTACCTTTTCTTCTACCCCACCTCCCCTATCAGTGCTCTGAGTCACCATCCCTCAATCACCCACCCCTGTGCTGGCTGTGTCAGATCCTTCCCAGGGAGCCTCACCTGGACTTGTCTTCCTAACGCTGTCACCCACCAGCTATTCCCCTACAGTAATACAAGTGTCCTATCCCAGTTCCTCCATAATAGTTTAACTGTAAACTCAGTAGGTAAATGGGCTTAATCTGCTAAGAGAACTATTTACATTTTTAAGAAGACCATAGTAGTTCCATCCAAGGGAATATTTTTAATGGTAATAATAATATCCACCATTGAATGTTAGACATTTGTCTAACATATGCTAAGTATTGTAAAGATGTTGCCTAAATCGCATTAAGCCCTGGACTTA
The DNA here is from genome assembly GCF_000001405.40 of Homo sapiens. Taxonomy (NCBI): domain Eukaryota; kingdom Metazoa; phylum Chordata; class Mammalia; order Primates; family Hominidae; genus Homo; species Homo sapiens. The sequence continues at coordinate 47,519,042 of NC_000012.12, forward strand.
GGTTATAATTATCTCAGTTTTTATGTATGAGAAAAATGAAGATGTAGAGAACCAAGCTTTTGTCCAAGGTCACAAAGCTGATGGATGGCACCAAGAGCCACTGTGCTCTAAATGGTGCTATCTCACTGCATTTTAGTCACTGCAGGAAATGAGGGAGAGGGTTGGGGTCTCACAACATCATCCAAGCCATAAAACAAAACACTTAGAATTAGAAGGCCTGAATTATAATCCTTGCATCTGCCCATATTTCTTTCAAAACCCTGGATAAATTACAACTTTTCTTGCCTAGGTTTCCTCAACTGAAAATTAGCATAGTAACACCCGCCCTGTCTACCTTGAATGACAGAAAAGGCTACAGTGAGAAGGGTAGGTAGCAGCGTTTTCTAGCTCTTAAATTCTACCAAATGTAAGGCATTTTTCTTCAGGTAGCAAAGCACTCTGCTTGTAGGATGAATGCTGGTCAGCCCTTTAAGGTACTAAGTTTCTGAGCTCAGGATGTTGATTTTTGGTGGAAAAGCATTTGCGATCCAGTTTCCAATTGTCCATGCTTTTTTTTTTTTTGTCTTTTTACATCCATAAATATGACAGTTGACATTATAAAATTATTTCTAGTACTGATAACTCAATATATTTGTTTTCCCTGAATTGTGCCCATATTACAAGTAAATCAAATATATCAAATATTTCTTGTCTCTTTTACTTCCATTCAAATGGATCACAAAATTGACATTTTTATTTTGATATAGTTTTTTTGGTGGTTCATCACTTTTTTTTTACTTGTACAAATGTATGGTGTGGGGCACATGTGAAATGTTGTCATGTTTATGTAATTTGTAGTGATCAAGTCAGGGTATTTAGGGTGTCCAAGTTTAATACATTTTTGTAAACTATAGTCACCCTACTGTGCTATGAGACATTGGATTTATTCCCTCTATATAATTGTATATTTCTACGCTTTAACACACTTCTCTTCACCTTCCCCTCTCCCCCACATTCACCCTTGTCAGTCTCTGTTATCTGTTTTCCACTTTCTACCTCCATGGGGATTAAATATTTTAGTACCCACCCACATACAAGTAAGAACATGTGGTATTTGTCTTTTTGTGCCTAGCTTATTTAACTTAAGATAATGACCTCCAGTTCTATTCATGTTGCTGCAAATATGATTTTATTCCTTTTCATGGCCAAATAGTACTCCATTATATATACATACCACATTTTCTTTATCCATTCATCCATTAATGGACATTTAGATTGATTCCATATCTTTGCTATTGTGCTTCAATAAATGTAAATATAATAGTGCAGCAATTATGGGAGTACATGGGAGTGCAGGCATGCTTTTGATATATTAATTTCTTTTCTATTGAGTAGATAGATACCAAGTGATTGGACTGCTCCTATCTGTAATTTTTTGAGAAATCTCTATACTGTTTTTCAGAGTGGCTGTAATAGTTTACAGTACCACCAACAAAGTATAAGTGTCCTCTTTTCTCTGCATCCTCACCAACATATTTTTTATTATTATTATTATTTTACTTTAAGTTCTGAGATACATGTGCTGGTTTGTTACGTAGGCATACATGTGCCATGGTGGTTTGCTGCATCTATCAACATGTCATCTAGATTTTAAGCCCTGCATGCATTAGGTATTTGTACTCATGCTCTCCCTCTCCTCCCCCTCAACCCCCTCACAAACCCTGGTGTGTGATGTTCCCCTCCCTGTGTCCATGTGTTCCCATTCTTCAACTTATGAGTGAGAACATGTGGTGTATTTTCTGTTCCTGTGTTAGTTTGCTGAGAATGATGGTTTCCGGCTTCATCTATGTCCCTGCAAAAAACATGAACTCATTCTTTTTTATGGCTGCATAGTATTCCATGGTGTATACGTGCCACATTTTCTTTATCCAGTCTATTATTGATAGGCATTTGGGTTGGTTCCAAGTCTTTGCTATTGTAAATAGTGCTACAATAAACATATGTGTGCATGGGTCTTTATAGTAGAATGATTTATGATCCTTTGGGTATATATCCAGTGATGGAATTGCTGGGTCAAATGGTATTTCTGGTTCTAAATCTTTTAGGAATCACCACACCATCTTTGGTTGAACTAATTTACACTCCCACCAATAGTGTAAAAACGTTCCTATTTCTCCACAGCCTCACCAGCATCTGTTGTTTCCTGACTTTGTAATGATCACCATTCTAACTGGAGTGAGATGGTATCTTATTGTGGTTTTGATTTGCATTACTCTAGTGACCAGTGATGATGAGCTTGTTTCCATATGTTTGTTGGCTGCATAAATTTCTTCTTTTGAGAAGTGTCTGTTCATATCCTTCTCCCACTTTTTGATGATGTTGTTTGCTTTTTTCTTGTAAGTTTGTTTAAGTTCCTTGTACATTCTAGATATTAGACCTTTGTCAGATGTACAGATTGCAAAAATTTTCTCCCATTTGGTAGGTTGCCTGTTCACTCTGATGATAGTTTCCTTTGCTGTGCAGAAGTTCTTTAGTTTAATTAGATTCCATTTGTCAATTTTGGCTTTTGTTGCCATTGCTTTTTGTGTGTTAGTCATGAAGTCTTTGCCCATGCTTATGTCCTGAATGGTATTGCCTAGGTTTTATTCTAGAGTTTTTATGGTTTGGGGTTTTACATTTAACTCTTTAAGCCATCTTGAGTTAATTTTTGTATAAGGTGTGAGGCAAGGATCCAGTTTCTGTTTTCTGCATATGACTAGCCAGTTTTCCCAGCACCATTTATTAATAGGGAGTCCTTTCCTCATTGCTTATTTTTGTCAGGTTTGTTGAAGATCAGATGGTTGTAGACGTGTGTTGTTATTTCTGAGGCTCTGTTCTGTTCCATTGATCTATATATCTGTTTTAGTACCAGTACCATGCTGGTTTGGTTACCGTAGCCTTATAGTATACTTTGAAGTCAGGTAGTGTGGTGCCTCCAGCTTTGTTCTTTTTGCTTAGGATTGGCTTGGCTATAGGGGCTCTTTTTTGGTTTCATATGAAATTTTAGGTAGTTTTTTCTAATTCTGCAAAGAAAGTCAATGTTAGCTTGATGAGAATAGCATTGAATCTATACATTACTTTGGGCAATATGGACATTTTCATGATATTGATTCTTCCTATCTATAAACATGGATTTTTTTCCATTTGTTTGTGTCCTCTCTTATTTCCTTGAACAGTGGTTTGTAGTTCTCTTTGAAGAAGTCCTTCACATCCCTTGTAAGTTGTATTCCTAAGTATTTTATTCTCTTTGTAGCAATTGTGAATGGGAGTTCACTCCTGATTTGGCTCTCTATTATTGGTGGACAGGAGTGCTTGTGAGTTTTGCACATTGATTTCATATCATGAGACTTTGCTGAAGTTGCTAATCAGCTTAAGGAGTTTTTGAGCTGAGACGATGGGGTTTTCTAAATATACAATCATGTCATCTGCAAACAGAGACAATTTGACTTCCTCTCTTCCTATTTGAATACACTTTATCTCTTTCTCTTGCCTGATTGCCCTGGCCAGAACTTCCAACACTATGTTGAATAGGGGTGGTGAAAGAGGGCATTCTTGTCTTGTGCCAGTTTTCAAAGGAAATGCTTCCAGTTGTTGTCCATTCAGTATGATATTGGCTATGGGTTTGTCATAAATAGCTCTTATTGTTTTGAGATATCTTCCATCAATACCTAGTTTATTGAGAGTTTTTAGCATGAAGCGATGTTGAATTTTATCAAAGGCCTTTTCTGCACCTGTTAAGATAATCCTGTAGTTTTTATCATTGGCTCTGTTTATGTGATGGATTATGTTTATTGATTTGTGTATAGTGAACCAGCCTTGCATCTCAGGGATGAAGCTGACTTGATCATGGTGGATAAGCTTTTTGATGTGCTGCTGGATTTGGTTTGCCAGTATTTTATTGAGGATTTTTGCATTGATGTTCATCAAGGATATTGGCCTGAAATTTTCTTTTTTTGTTGTGTCTCTGCCAGGTTTTGATATCAAGATGATGCTGGCCTCATATTATGAGTTAGGGAGGAGTGTTTCTTTTTCTATTGTTTGGAAGAGTTTCAGAAGGAATGGTACCAGCTCCTCTTTGTACCTCTGGTAGAATTCAGCTGTGAATCTGTCTGGTCCTGGGCTTTTTTTGGTGGGTAAGCTATTAATTACTGCCTCAATTTCAGAATTTGTTATTGGTCTATTCAGGGATATGCCTTCTTTCTGCGTTAGGCTTGGGAGTGTGTATGTGTCTAGGAATTTATCCATTTCTTCTAGATTTTCTAGTTTATTTGCATAGAGGTGTTTATAGTATTCTGTGATGGTAGTTTGCATTTCTGTGGGATCAGTGGTGATATCCCCTTTATCATTTTTTATTGTGTCTATTTGATTCTTCTCTCTTTTCTCTTTTATTAGTCTGGCTAGTGGTCTATCTATTTTGTTAATCTTTTCAAAGAAAAACATCTCCTGGATTCACTGATTTTTTTGGAGGGTTTTTTTCTATCTCTACCTCCTTCAGTTCTTCTCTGATCTTAGTTATTTCTTCTTTTCTGCTAGCTTTTGAATTTGTTTGCTCTCGCTTCTCTAGTTCTTTTAGTTGTGATGTTTGGGTGTCTATTTCAGGTCTTTCCAGCTTTCTGATGTGGGCATTTAGTGCTATAAATTTCCCTCTTAACACTGCTTCAGTTGTGTCCCAGAGATTCTGGTACATTGTCTCTTTGTTCTCATTGGTTTCAAAGAACTTATTTATTTCTGCCTTAATTTTGTTATTTACCCAGTAGTCATTCAGGAGCAGGTTGTTCAATTTCCATGTAGTTTTGCAGTTTTGAGTGAGTTTCTTAACCCTGAGTTCTAATTTGATTGCACTGTGGTCTGAGGGACTGTTTGTTATTATTTTTGCTCTTTTGTATTTGCTGAGGAGCAGAATTATGTGGTCGATTTTAGAATAAGTGCTACACAGGCCCCTCTTCTCCATGTTTGGTGCTGAGAAGAATGTATATTGTGTTGATTTGGAGTGGAGAGTTCTGTAGATGTCTATTAAGTCTGCTTGGTCCAGAGTTGAGTTCAAGTCCTGAATATCCTTGTTAATTTTCTGTCTTGTTGATCTGTCTAACATTGACAGTAGGGTGTTAAAGTCTCTCACTATTATTGTGTGGGAGTCTAAGTCTCCTTGTAGGTCTCTAATAACTTGTTTTATAAATCTGAGTACTCCTATATTTAGGATAGTTATCTCTTTTTGTTGCCTCAATCCCTTTACCATTATGTAATGCCCTTCTTGGTCTTTATTGATCTTTGTTGGTTTAACATCTGTTTTTATCAGACCCTAGGATTGCAATCCCTGCTTTTTTTTTTTTTTTTTTTTTTTTTTTTTTTTTTTTTTTTTTTTGCTTTCCATTTGCTTGGTAAATATTCCTCCATCCCTTTATTTTGAGCCTACGTGTGTCTTTGCACTTGAGACGGGTATCCTGAATACAGGACACTGATGAGTCTTGACTCTTTATCCAATTTGCCAGTCTATGTCCTTGAATTGGGGCATTTAGCCCACCCATTTACATTTAAGGTCAATATTGTTAAGTGTGAATTTGATCTTGTCATCATGATGCTAGCTAGTTATTTTGCACATTAGTTGATGCAGTTTCTTCATAGTGTCATTTGCTTTATATTTTGGTGTGTTTTTGCAGTGGCTAGTGCTGGTTTTTCCTTTCCATATTTAGTGCTTCCTTCAGGAGCACTTGTAATGCAGGTCTGGTGCTGACAAAATCCCTCAGCATTTGCTTGTCTGGAAAGAATTTTATTTCTCCTTCGCTTATGGAGCTTAGTTTGGCTGGATATGAAATTCTGGGTTGAACATTCTTTTAAGAATGTTGAATATTTGGCCCTACTCTTCTGGCTTGTAGGGGTTCTGCAGAGAGTTCCACTGTTAGCCTGATGGGCTTCCCTTTGCAGGTAACCTGACCTTTCTCTCTGGCTGCCCTTAACATTTTTTCCTTCATTTCAACTTTGGAGAACTGATGATTATCTGTCTTGGGGTTGCTCTTCTTGAGGAGTATCTTAGCAGTGTTCTCTGAATTTCCTGAATTTGAATGTTGGTCTGTCTTGCTGGGTTGGGGAAGTTCTCCTGGATAATATACTGAAGTGTGTTTTCTAACTTGGTTTCATTCTCCCTGTCACTGTCAGGTACACCAATCAATTGTAGGCTTGGTCTTTTCACATAGTCCCATATTTCTTGGAGGCTTTTTTCCTTTTCATTCTTTTTTCTCTAATCTTGTCTTCATGCCTCATTTCAGTAAGTTGATCTTCAATCTCTGATATCCTTTTTTCTGCTTGATCGATTTGGCTATTGATACTTGTGTATGTTTCACGAAGTTCTCATGCTGTGTTTTTCAGCTCCATCAGGTTATGTTCCTGTCTAAACTGGTTATTCTAGTTAGCAGTTCTTATAACCTTTTATAAAGGTTCTTAGCTTCCTTGCATTGGGTTAGAACATGGTCCTTTAGCTTAGAGGAGTTTGTTATTACCCACCTTCTGAAGCCTACTTCTGTCAATTCATCAAACTCAGTCTTTGTCCAGTTTTGTGTCCTTTCTGGAGGGGAGTTGCAATCATTTGGAGAAGAGGCATTCTGGTTTTTGGAATTTTCAGCCTTTTTGTGCTGGTTTTTCCTCATCTTTGTGGATTTATCTACCTTTTGTCTTTGAGGCTGATGACCTTTGGATGGGGTTTTTGTGTGGGGGTCCTGTTTGTTGATGTCGATGTTTTTTACTGTTAGTTTTTCTTCTAACAGTCAGGCCCCTCTTCTGCAGGTCTGCTGCAGTTTGCTGGAGGCCCACTCCAGACCCTGTTAGCCTGGGTATCACCAGTGGAGGCTACAGAAGAGCAAAGATTGCTGCCTGCTCCTTCCTCTGGAAGCTTCATCCCAGAGGGGCACTGGCCTGATGCCAGCCAGAGCTCTTATATATGAGGTTTCTGTCGACCCCTGTTGGGAGGTCTCTCCCAGTCAGGAGGCATGGGGGTCAGGGACCCACTTGAGGAGGCAATCTGTCTCTTATCAGAGCTCAAGCACTGTGCTGGGAGAATCCCCCTTGACAGGTCAGCTGCTCTCTTCAGAGCTGGCAGGCAAGAAAGTTTAAATCTGCTGAAACTGTGCCCACAGCCACCCCTTCCCCCAGGTGCTCTCTCACAGGAAGATGGGAGTTTTATCTATAAGCCCCTGACTGGGACTGTTGCCTTTCTTTCAGAGTTGCTCTGCCCAGCGAAGAGGAATCTAGACAGGGAGTCTGGCCACAGCCACTTTGTCGCACTGTGTTGAGTTCCACCCAGTCTGAACTTCCAGGCTTCTTTAGCACTGTTAGGGGAAAACCGTCTACTCAAGCCTCAGTAATGGCGGATGTGCCCCCCACACACACACCAAGCTCGATCATCCCTGGTCGACTTCAGACTGCTGTGCTGGCAGTTAGAATTTCAAGCCAGTAGTTCTTAGCTTGCTGGGCTCCGTGGAATTGGGACCCACTGAGCGAGACCACTTGGCTCCCTGTCTTCAGCCCCCTTTCCAGGTGAGTGAACGGTTCTGTCTTGCTGGGGTTCCCAGGCGTCACTGGGGTATGAAAAAAAACTGCTGCTGCTAACTCAGTGTCTGCCCAAACAGCCGCCCTGTTTTGTGCTTGAAACCCAGTGCTCTGGTGGTGTAGGCACATGAGGGTATCTCCTCATCTGCAGATTGCAAAAACCGTGGGAAAAGCATAGTATCCAGGCCAAGTAGCACAGTCCCTCATGGCTTCCCTTGGCTAGGAGAAGGATGTCTCCCAGCTTTTTGCACTTCCCGGGTGAGATGACGCCCCACCCTGCTTCTGCTCACCCTCCATGGGCTGAACCCACTGCCTAACAAGTCCCAGTGAGATGAACTGGGTACCTCAGTTGGGAATGCAGAAATCACCCACCTTCTGCCTTGGTCTCACTGGGAACAGCAGACCGGAGCTCTTCCTATTTGGCCATCATGCCTCGCCAACCCAATATCTGTTATTTTTTGTCTTTTTGATAATAGCCAATCTGACTAGGTTAAAATGATATTGTGGTTTTGATTTGCATTTCCCTGATAATTAGTGATGTACAGCATTTTTTCATATACCTGTTGGCCATTTGTATGTCTTCTCCTGAGAAATGTCTATTCATGTCCTTTATCCACTTTTTAATGGGATTATTTGGGTTTTCCTGTTTACTGTTTGAGTTCCTTGGATATTCTAGATGTTAGTCCCCAGTCAGATGAATAGTTTACAAATATTTTCTCCCATTCAATAGGTTACCAATTCACTATGTTGATTATTTCTTTTGCTGTGCAGAAACTTTTTAGTTTAATTAAGTCTCATTGGCCATTTTTGTTTTTGTTGCCTCTGCTTTGATTGCTTAGTCATATATTCTTTGCCTAGATCAATGTCCAGGAGAGTTTTCTTAAGGTTTTCTTCTAGTATTATTATAGTTTCTGGTCTTACATTTAAGCCTTTAATCTATTTTTAGTTGATTTTTGTATACGGTGAGAAATAGGGGTCCAGTTGCATTCTTCTGCATATGGATATTCAATTTTCACAGCACCATTTATTGAAGAGGATATCTTTTCCCCCACTGTATTTTATTGTCAGCTCTGTCAAAGATCTGTTGGCTATAAATACGTGGCTTTATTTCTGGGATCTCTATTCTGTTCCGTTGGTCTACTTATCTGCTTTTCTACCAATACCATGCTGCCTTGGTTACTATAGCTTAGTTTTATTTTTATTGTATGTGTGTGTATATATATATTTAGAGATAGGGTTTTGCTCTGTTGCCCATGCTGAAGGATAGAGTTCAGTGGTGTGATCATAGCTCACTGTTGCCTTGAATTCCTGGGCTTAAGCAATCCTCATGCCTGAGCTTCCAAAGTAGCTAGGACTGTGGAAATGCATCACCATGCCTGGCTAATTCTTGGAATTTTTTATAGAGATGGGGGTCTCGCCATGTTGCCAAGCCTGCTCTCAAATGCCTGGCCTCAAGTGTTCCTTGCACATTATCCTCCCAAAGCACTGGGATTACAGGAGTGAGTCAGTATGCTTGGACTTGTAATATATTTTGAAGTCAGGTCACATGATGCCTCCAGCTTTGTTCTTTTTGCTCAAGATTTATTTTGACTATTAGGGCTCTTTTTGGTTCCATATGAATTTTAGAATTGTTTTTCTAATTCTGTAAAAAATGGCATTGGTAATTTGACAGAAATTGCACTGAATCTGTAGATTGCTTTTGGCAATATAGTCATTTTAATATTGATTCTTCCTATTTGTGAACATGAGATGTTTTTCCATTTGTTTATGTCATTTACAATTTCTTTCACCAGTGTTTTATAGTTCTTCTTGTAGAGGTCTTACAACTCCTTGGTTAAATGTATTCCCGGGTGTGTGTGTGTGTGTGTGTGTGTGTGTGTGTGTGTGTGTGTGTGTGTATTGTAATGGAATTGAGTTCTTGATTTAGTTCTCAGCTTAAGCATTGTTGATATATGGAAATGCAAATAATTTTTGTACATTAATTTTGTGTCCTGAAACTTTGTTGAAGTCATTTATCATGTCTAGGAGTCTTTTGAAAGAATATTTAGGGTTTTCTAGATATAAGATCACGTCATCAACAAAGAGATAATTTAACTTCCTCTTTCCTGATTTTTATTTCCTGTCTTTTATTCTTTTCTCTTGCCTGATTGCTTTGGCAGTGACTTCTAGGACTATGTTGAATAGAAGTGGTGAGAGAGGACACCCCTGTATTGTTCTAGCTCTTACAGAGAATGATTTCAACATTTCCGCCATTCAGTATGATGTTGGCTGTGGGTTTGTTGCATACAGCTTTTATTATTTTGAGATGTGCTCCTCCAATGCCCAGGTTGTTGTGGGTTTTTATCATGAAGGGATGCTGAATTTAATCAAATGCTTTTTCTGTATTTATTGAGATTATCATATGGTTTTTGTTTTAAATTCAGTTTATGTGATGAATTACACTTATTGATTTGTACATGTTGAACCATTTTTGTATCCTTGGAATAAAACCCACTTGGTTGCGGTGTATTATCTTTTTTATGTGCTGTCAGATTCAGTTCACTAGTATTTTCTTGAGGATTTTTATGTCTATGTTCATCAGGGATATTGGCCTGTAGCTTTTTGTTGTTTTTGTGACCTTGTCTGCTTTTGCTATTGGAGTAATGCTGGCCTTAAAGAACAAGCTAGGGAAAATTCCCTCTTCTTTGATTTTTTTTTGAATAGTTTCAGGAAGATTGTTTTAGTTCTTCTTTGTACATTTCATAGAATTTGGCTGTGAATCCATCTGGTCCTGATCTTTTCTTTGATGAGAAACTTTTTATTACAGATTTAATCTCACATTCATTATTAATCTGTTCAGGTTTTCTATTTCTTTTTGATTCAATCTTGGTAGATTGTATGTTTTTAGGAATTTATACATTTCCTCTAGGTCTTACAGTTTGTCAGTGTATACTTGTTCATAATAGTCTCTGATGATCTTTTGTATTTCTGTGGTATGAGTTGTAATGTCTCCTTTTTCATTTCTGATTTTGTTTGTTTGAGTCTTCTCTCTTCTTGATTAGTCTAGCAAGCAGTTTATCAATTTCATTTATCTTTTCAAATAACTAACTTATTGTTTCATTGATTCTTTGTATTGTTGGGGTTTTTTTCTCTATCTATTTCACTCTGCTCTGATCTTTATTCTTTCTTTTCTTCTGCTAATTTTAGGTTTGGATTATTCTTACTTTTCTAGCTCCTTGAGATATATTGTTATATTGTTAATTTGTAATCTACTTTTTTGGTGTAGGTGTTTATTGCTATAAACTTCCTCTTAGTACTCTTTCTTCTGTATCTCAGGTTTTGAAATGGGGTTTCCATTTTCATTTTTCAGTAAATTTTTTTATTTCTATCTTAATTTTTTCATTGACACAATGGTCATTCAGTGGCATGCTGTTTAATTTCTATGTAGCTGTAGTTTCCCAAGTTCCTCTTGTTACTGATTTCTAGTTTTTTCTAGTCTGAAAAGATACTTGATGTATTAATAATTTTGACTTTTAAAAATTTGTTGAGATGTGTTTTGTGACCTAATATATGGTCTTTCTTGGAGACTGTTCCATGTGCTGGTGAATAGAATATGTATTTTGCAATTGTGTAATAGAATGTTCTGTAAACAAATGTCTGTCAGGTCCATTTGGTCTAAAGTCCAGTTGAAATCCAATTTTGTTGTTGTTGATTTTTCTGTCTAGGTGATCTGTCTAATGCTGAGAGTGGGGTATTAGAGTCCCCCACTTTTATTGCATTGCAGTCTATCTCTCTCTTTAGATCTGATAATATTTGCTTTACAAACTGGGTGCTCCAATGTTGAGTTCATATATATATTTTGAATTGTTATATCTTCTTGCTGGATTAATCCCTTTATCATTATATGATGACATTTTTTGTCGCTTTTTTACTGTTTTTGACTTAATGTCTGTATTATCCGATATAAGCATAACTACTCCTGTCTTTGCTTTTGGATTCCATTTGCATGGAACATCTTTTCTAGCCTTTAACTTTGTCTATATGCATCTTTACTGATAAGATGAGATTTTTGTAAGCAGCATGTAGTTGGATCATATTTGTTTTATCTCTTCAGCCATTCTGTATATTTTAAGTGGAGAATTTAATCCATGTATGCTCAAGGTTATTATTGATGTGCAAGTCTATGTTCCTGTCATTTTGTTAATTGTTTTCTTTTTTTATACATTATTCTTACTTTCTTTTTTTCTCATTGTTCGTTGTTATGGTTTGGTGGATTTCTGTGGTGATACCATTTGAACTCTTTCTCTCCTTCCTTTGTGTGTTTGTTTTGCCAATGAGTTTTTGTGTATTTTCATGATGGTAAGTGTCATGCTTTTGCTTCCAGGTTTAGGATTCCCTTGAACATTTCTTGTAGGGCCTTTCTAGTGGTAATGAATTTTCTCAGCATTTCCTTGTCTGGGAAAGACTTTATTTCTTTTTCCTTTATAAAAGGAATTTGGGTAAACATAGTATTCTTGGCTACCAGATTTTTCTTCCCGCAATTTGAATATATCATCCCATTCTCTTCTGACCTGTAGTTTCTGCTGAGAAACCCACTGCTAATCTGATAGGGTTTCTTTTGTACATGATTACATGCTTTTCCCTTGCTGTTACTAGGATTTGCTCATTACCTTTGACTTTTGATAGCCTGATTATAATGTTCCATGGAGAATACTTTTTTGCATTGTAGCTGCCTGAGGACTGCTGAGCCTCCTATACCTAGATGTTTAAATCTTTTATTATACTTGGGAAGTTTTCACTCATTATTTTATTAAATAGGTTTTCTAATCTTTTTGTTCTTTTTTCACCCTCAAGGATACCAATAATTTGAATGTTCAGCTGCTTTATCTTGTCCCAAATATCATGAAGGCTTTGCTCATTCTCTTTTTTCCTTTTATTTTTGTCTGACTGGATTATTTCAAAAGACTTGTTTTTAAGTTCTGAGATTCTTTCCTCTGCTTGATCTAGTCTATTGTTGAAGTTTTCAAATGCATTTTGTATTTCCTTCAATTAGTTCTTCAGTTCCACAATTTCTATTTGGTTATTTTTAAAAATATATTTCTCTTTGATAAGTTTCTCATTCATATCCTGATTTTTTTTCTTATTTCTTTTTATTGTTTTTCACGATTCTCTTGAATCTCACTGAGCTTCTTTAAAACCAATATTTTTCATTCTTTACCTGATGTTTTAAAAGTTTCTTTTTGATTAGAGTTTATTATTGTGTAAATTTGGAGGCATCATATTTCCTTGCTTTTTCATGTTTCCTGTGTCTTCACCATGATTTCTGCACATGTGGTGTAACAGTTGCTACTTCCCAGTTTTGAATTTACTTTTGTAGGGAGGACCTTCTCCGGAAGACATATCTATAGTATTGCTGCAAGTATTGCACACTATAGATTTGATTCTGGATGCGTGCAGTAACGTAATCTCTGTATGATTTCTTAGGCTGTAAATAGTGTCAGTGGTATCTGTGACTTCCTGGTGGGTTAGGGTGCAGTTATTAATGGAAGCTGTGGTAAAATTGTGATGGGGACCAGGATGCTAATTGAGTCAGTCTTCAGGTCCCTGTGGTGGCAATGGTGAGCTGAGCATGCCTATCCTTATGCCCCAGAGCAGAGTATGCTGGCATCAGCATTGGAGGTTACCAGTGGACCAATTCTTGGGCCCCCAGATGGCTTTCTGTGTTGCTGGTAGTGGCAGCTGTGAACCAGGTGGGTGGATGGGTTTTGGGGCCCCTGGGCAGCTGATGTGGCATGGGTAATGACAGTGGCAGTGATGGGATGATTCTCTGGGTCCCAAGCAGTGTGTGTTGATGTTGGCAGTGGCTGTGATGGGCTAGGTGGGCCAGTCTCCAGGCCTGCAGATGGTTGGTGTTTGCAGACAGATACCAGCTGAGATGGTAGTAGCTGGGAGTTTAGGCCCAATCTCAGGCATCTGTGGGAGGTGCTTAGATATCTAAAGTGGTAGATTGGTTGGGGCAATCCCCAGTATATTGGGCTCTGTGCTCAGTCTCAGAGATGCGGGGGAAATGAAGCTGGGCTTGGAGGACTTGTGCTCAGGCACCTCATGAGTGAGAGAAGGCACCAGCTGTGGTGAAATGAGTGGGGTGTTCCTCAGGCCCCAAGAAAAGTGTTTGGGTGAGGGGCTGTAGCAGTTGCACTGAGATCCTGTCACTGAAGAGGGTGAAGCCTGCCTCAGTGGCCACAGCCTCGGCAGGGGGTAGTGAACCTGCATCCCTCTCATACACCAGTCTTCCCAGGGCTCACCCATCCCTGGTGGTGATAACCTGCACCTAGCTCGTGCCTCAATCCCAGCTGCAGGAGCTCCTATCTAGCTTGTGACTAAGCAACCTCTGCCCTGCTCAGATCACAGTCTCAGTCCTGGTAGTGGCTCACATCCAAGCACTAACAGCTACAGCTCACACCTCACTTGCTTCTCAGCCCCAGCTATGGGAGCCTGCTCCCAACATGCACCCCAGCAGCAACAGCCCAAGTATGCCTGACACCTCAGTCCCAGCACCACTGGGCCCCAGGACAGCATGCAGTCTGCCAAAGGCTAGGACTGAAAATGGCACCTTGCTGTAGTCACTTTGGTCTCAGAAAGTGTACAGATCCCAGCACGAGTTCTCTCCCTGGAGCAGTTGTATCTCATGATCTCCTGGAAGCTCCCTATGTTAGTTTCAGGGCTTGGAGAGTCAAGGGGCTCTCCTGTGTCCAGGATTGCATGATTCCATGGTTGGGATATGGGCCGCTGGTAGTCTCTTACTTACCCTTTCCCCACGTTGGAAAGATACTCCTGGTGCCCAGCCAATCCTGACCAAGCAGGCTGCCTCTCTTCCTTCTACTTCCTCGCTTTTGGTGTTTTCTTTCACTGTTCTTTGAATTCCAGTGTTCTATCTTAGAAAACGTATTTGAAGTGTGATTTTTCTATACACTATTTCAGCTCTTCTAAGTGGAGGAGATGAACATGATATGCTTCTAGTCAGCCATCTGGAAGCTCCTTCTAAATATTTTTTTTTTACTTATTCTCAATTAATCAAAAAGAAAATTGTTCAGCATTAACCTCTCTGGGGAACAATTTATTCTCTCTTTAGCCTGCAAATTTCCACTACAATGACTGTGCCCACAATCTGATATAGGCTTTAGAGAGCTACTCTTATTTTCTCTTTCTATTCAATTTTGAAAGTGGAATTGAAGAAAAAGAGAAAAATAAGACTGGGTCTATGCATATTAATGAATTGGAATTTTGATTTAAAAATAGATAAAGCTCCCCCAATAATAAAGCACTGGACTCTCACTTCAGCACTGACCCCTCTCTTTGGAAAATGAAGCTGCTTCAGGAAAAACCTCTTGTGGATAGATCTACCACTCTGAGAAGGCAATTCCAGTAAATTCTTTGGACTGTCATTTCATTCAATGCAACTCCCTTTCCTTGGCCACAGATAATTAGAGAAGAAGACATAGTCTGATTCACAGGCAGACAAACAATAGGCCAGACAGTGGTCCACAGTCCAATAAGAAGGATGGTGACTTCCTGGTTCAATAAGATTTTCTCTCTTCAAGAGTTTGAATGTAGCTTCATAATAAAGAGCTAGTAGTTGATACTGGAAAAAAATAGAAGAATCACACATGGATAACTCAGGTAATATAGGATAAGATGAAGCAGCAGTTTTGCGCCAAGAAGGGTCCCTGAGTGACTACATTAAGCAGAGTGCCTTGCCAACCTGTGTTGGACATGTTTTGTGGGTGAGAAATAAGCTTTTGTGATGTTTAACCACAAATATTTTGAAATTGTTTTTAGTACGGCATAACTTGACCTGACTGATACAATCCCTTTATTTCCTTTTACTCTCAGAGTGGAAATGGCTCTAAAGTTGTCCTCTTTTTCTTGTTTTATCCTTTCTATTTACTCTCAAGTGTGATCATCCTTTTATGTACCTTTCAGTATCACTTTTTAAAAGGAATGACTCCCAGGGAATCCATATCTCCAGCTGCCTCCAGCTTCACTTGACTTCCAGCCATTGCCATAAACTCCATACAATTCAATAATTCAATTCAATGAATATTTACTGAGCATTCACTGGGCACCTGGTTTTGTGCTCAGTGCTGAAGATGCTGAGGTGACTCTGTCCTCATGACACTTATAGCCCACTAGGTAAGACATTAAATAGGTAAATAAGCAGTTTTAATCTGGACTCAACAACTGCAAAGCAAACGTCATCATATCTCCTACAGAAATCCACACAATTATTAAAAGACCAGATTGCTACCATGGACAGCTCTTTTGCCTTCACCCAGTTCAGCAAGTATGAGAGGCAGTGTGGGCTCTCCTCTTTCCCCAAATCAAAATGGACACGAAGTCCTTTTGTCTCCTTTGGAAAATTTTAATAGAGTCCCCCTTTACTCTTCTTCCCTCCAACCCAGCTTAAGTCCATCTTGTTTGCACCACACTCAAGTTCCCCTTAACACACTCCTAGTTGGCTTCTCTGTCTCTCACATCTGTCCCAGCTTAAGATACCTAAACCAGTATTTCTAAAACATTATTCCTTAATACCCCTGTTCCAGAACACTAAATGTCTTGCTGAATGTTCCCAGCCCTATTAAATCTAAACCACTCATTATGAAAACATAATCTACCTTAAATATAATTTTTATTACTGTAAATAGTATACAATAATGCTAGCTACATTTATTGAGCACTTACTATGTATCTGGCACCATGTAATACTCTTTTGTTTACTCTTTCATTAAATCCTTACTAAAGTCCCATGAAACTTTGGGATTATTACCCTCGTTTTGCAGACAAGGAAACTAAGGCTAGGAGATGCTAACCAAGCCCAAAGTTAAATAGTAAGTGGTTTCTAAACTTAGGTCCTAAATCATGTTCCCTTCCATAACTTGGGAGCAGAAGCCATACTTTTTATTTGCTTGTAAACCAACAGTTTTGACTGCAGTGCTGGATAAACATTATGTTTTTAATAACTATTGATTGATTGGCATACTCTCTCTAATCTATTCTGGTAAAGGAATAAGATATTAGATTTCTGAGATCACCTCTGCAGGGAATACTGTTGCAAAGCAATATATGTTGAGTTGTTTTTATTTTTATTTTTCCTGAAAGGGCAAAGCCCATGAGAGATCAGGAGAGACAGGTCTGTGCAGTAGTCTGAAAGTTTACCCAAAAAAAGACAACATGGTCATAAAGGAGTCAAATTGTTAGTCTGTGCTCTCGACTTCTTTTTAAATATTAAGAGATTTTTACATACCAGATACTGCCTCAGAAAATTCCAGTAAAGGGAGCTTAGAAGGGCTGGAGACAGGGACTAATGGGCACAGAGATGGAGGTGGCAGGAAAGAGAAATGCGGCCCTGGCAGTGCCTATGAGCAAAGCTGGGAAACTCTTAATTCCTGAGGTATTAAGGTGTGGTTCTACAAGTGCAGATGCTGCAGTTTGATGCTTTCTTCACCCTGATCTATCACCGCCTGATTAAATGTCTTTCTAAAAGTTCTGATTAAGGACTTGCAACATGGGGGAATAAAGTATTGCCTGCCTAAAATAAGAGATATTATGAGTTCCACTGAGAAAAAAAGGCAGACAGACAGCAGAGAAGAAGGTGTGCAAAATCCTCCTAAAAATACCTCCTAAACTGGTCCGGTTTAGAATGAGACTGAGACTGAGATGAGGTTAGGAAGTGTTACCATGTGTAGCTTGCAAGAATGACCAGTTTCCAGGAGTTGGAATGTGATGGGATGAATCTAACACTAAACACAATCATGCCTTTTGGTCTCTTGGATCATCACTAGAAACATCAACCATCCTGATATAAGTAAACTGTGAAAATGCAAACTAGGCCAGGCACAGTAGCTCACTCCTGTAATCCCAGCACTTTGGAAGCCCAAGGCGGACAGATCACCTGAGGTCAGGAGTTCAAGACCAGCCTGACCAACATGGTGAAAACCTGTCTACTAAAAATACAAAAATCACCTGGACGTGATGGTGAGCACCTGTAATGTTAGCTATTTGGGAGGCTGAGACAGAAGAATCACTTGAACTCAGGAGGCGGAGGTTGCAGTGAGCTGAGATCTTGCCACTGCACTCTAGCCTGGGTGAAGAAGATAGACTCTGTCAGAAAGAAAGAGAGAAAAAGAGAAAGAGAGAAAAGGAAGAAAAGGAAGAAAGAAAGAGAGAAAGAGAAAAGAAAGAAGAAAGAAAGAGAGAGAAAGGAAGGATTGATCAAAAAGAAAGAAAGAGAAAGAAAAAGAAAGAAAGGAAGAAAGAGAAAGAAAGAAAGAAAGAAAGAAAGAAAGAAAGAAAGAAAGAAAGAAAGAAAGAAAGAAAGAGAAAGAAAGAAAGAAAGAAAGAAAGATCCCAGTTTGATAGATGTTGAATAGAATAGTAAGGGCAGTGAAAAAGAAAGAAGCAAAGAAGTCAGATCTGGAGACAGACGTGAAGAGCCCTTAGTAGCTTGCTGGATGGTTTCATGACTGTCACACCAAGGCATTAATTTTTACACTTGTGAAACAAGGAGTTTGGGCAGCCTCCAACTTCCTGTCCCTTACAACTCAAAAAAAGTTAATTAAGACATTATAAAACATGTTTTTAAAAAACCAAAGAAACTGGAATTAAAATAGCTATAGAACATTGTGATTCCCCCTTTTATTTACTAAATTACTTAATACCATTTGAGGAAGAATATTAAAACTCTTCAGCAAACTATGGGAAAGCCTACAGGATAAAGTTTTCTTTAGGAAATACATGGTAGAGAAAAGAGTAGACAGAAGGGGAATGAAAATGTATAGATTGGAAAGGTTTGAGAGACATATCAATCAATTGCAATGTGTGGACCTTGTTTCAATCATGGTTCAAACAAACCATAATAAATAATATATAAATCAATATTGAGAAAATTGGGAAAATATGTATACTGACTGTATATTAAATATTATTAAGGAATTTTTGTTAATCTTTTGCTTATGATAATTGTGCTTTTTAATAAAGGTCTATTACTTTCAAAGATGCTGAAATATTTACAAATCAGTAAAAAGATGCTGGAATTTGCTTTAAAATAATCCAGTGAGGAGAAAGGGTCATAAGGATTATGCATGAAACAAGATTGGCCAGGAGTTGATAATTATAGAAGCTGGGTGATGGGCCTATGGGTGTGAGTGTGGGGGTGAGGGATAGTACTACTTTAGTATATGATTAAAATCCTCCATGATAAAAGCTTAAATAAAACTTTGTTACTTTACAGATATTAGGAAATACTAAAATATGAGGCATTAATATATTATTACAAGCTTGCTTTTGATTTTATGAAAAGGCACATAAACATTCTGGAAAAGAAAACACTAGTCACTTAATCATGCACATTCTAAGTGCTATATGTCAGACTAATTTACAAGGTCTCTCAGTGCCTGCTCTGCATGGAGATTGCCTGTGACTGTTCTACAAGATGGCAATAACAGGCTTACCTGAAAAGTGGAGAGGCAGCATTTTCTGGAAAACAACTGAGATTGGCAAGTGAAAACCTGCCACAGTACTACACTTTTCCAAGAAAGGAAGTGTGTTAAGTGGGCTTGAGATGACTCAGGAAGCCCCCAAGAAGGTGCTGCACGTTTGCCAGTGGGAAGAATATCTGTGACTATCTTAGAATCTGAGCACAGGAATTTTTCTTTTAATAACAGAAAAAAATGCTTAGAAGTTAGAAGTTAATTCTATAACTTCTCAGAATTAATACTTACTTCTTCCAGAATTAAAAATAGGTACCATGTTGGTGCTTACTATATGCAGACACTGTACTAAGAACATCACATGCACAGTCTCATTTATCTTCCCAATTCATTCATTACTTATCCATTCATTCAGAAAATATTTAGTGACTACCTAAAATGAGGCAAACATCATTCTAGGCTCTGAGGACACATGATTTGCTTATAACAAAGACAGAAATTCAGATATTAACTAAATAGTCACCTACATATGTTGTTACAAACCGTACTAATGCTTGGGCATGGTGGCTCACGCCTGTAATCCCAGCACTTTGGGAGGCCAAGGTGGGCGGATCACTTGAGGTCAGGAGTTCGAGACCAGCCTGGCCAACATGGTGAAACACCATCTTTACCAAAAATAATAAAATATATATAGCCGGGCATGGTGGCATGCACCTATAATCCCAGCTACTTGGGAGGCGGAGGTTGCAGTGAGCCGAGATTGCGCCACTGCACTCCAGCCTCCAGCCTGGGCGAAAGAGTGAGACTCCATCTAAAAACAAAACAAAACAAAACAAAACAAAACCTATGAAAGAAAAGCACAAGCACTAACTGTAGGACTGTGGTGCCTGGTCTAGGGAGTGATCCTGGAAGTCTTTCTTGAGGAGGTGATGTTACAGCTGAAACGAGCAAGATAGATCAAAGTAAAACAGGTAAAGAGGGAGGAAAAGAGCATCTCAGACAGAAGGAACAGCCTGTGCAATGCCGTGGGCAGAAGGCAGCACAGTGGGTTTGAGGAAATGAATGAAGGCCAGTGTGGCTTTCCCCAGTGCACCTGGATCACAATTCAAGCTCTCATCATAGGATAGAGCGTGAATCTTTTATTTCTCAGCCTTGAAAAGAAGTTCTGGATTCATTCACTCTGAAAATCAATAGAAAGGTTTTCAGCAAGGTCTAGGAACAGGAAGGTTGTTACTGGGGCCATGATTGGAGTTTCATTTCCAAGAGGTCACTTCTCTGGCTGCAGTGTAGAAAGTGGGCTGGGGAAGAGCCAGAATGGGTCCAGGGAGATTGGCGGGAGGCCGGGTGGAAGTCGATGGCCTCTTGGACCATCTATGGGCAGTAGGGATGGAGCCATGTATAAGTGTGAGAGAAAGTTGGGAGGCAAAATCAATGGGATTTGCTGATGGATTAAATATTGGGACTGAGGAAAGGGAGGTACCAAGGATGACTCCCAGGCTGCTGACTTTCAGAGCTGCTGGATGATGGTAACACTTACTGATGTAGTGAACACCAGAAGAGAACCAGGTTTGCATGGGAAGAGCCGATTTTAGATATGCTGAGCTCTCAATGCCTTTGAGGTTGTCAAGTAGTTTCCATAAATGTCTGCTTAATGAGTGGATACACTAGCCCAGCCAATGCTGAAGGGGTGTGAAACTCAGTAGCAATGCTTCTTAAACTTTTTTGGGTCATGGATTCTCTTGTGAATATATTGAAAGCTGTTAGCCCTCAGTCTCACATAAACACAGTTTCTTATATAACTTCAGAGCGATTCACAAAACCCCTAGGGATACTTAGATGCCAGGTGAAGAATTTCTTGTGCCTTTTATTATTACAATTATATCCCTTTTATCTGGAACTTGATAGCTCTCTCTACAAAGTACAAATGGTAAAAATTAGGATGCTTGTCCTGAAATTAGTCTTTCTTGCATTTTTGTGCTCTAACACAATGCAAATCTCAAAAATTAAGGGACAAGTTCAGTCTTCCCTTGCTCTTTCAGCAAAGAGCCCGGTAACTGAAGACTCACCAAAAGTGAGACATTTCCCCACTTTAGTACAGCCACCTCTATGCTGCCATGTTTAAGAAGAAGAGAATGTGCTAGAATAGGGGTGAGGAAACCTGCCCAAGGGGGCTGTGAGACCTTAGGCAGGCCATTTGTCCTTCCTGCACTTCATGAGATAAAGATATTCCCAGCCTCACTGTCAAATTTGAAAGGTCCACTGGACGTCTTATTTATGGAAGTAACCTGAATTGTTTCCCTCCTGAGGGCTCAGGTACTTTATCTTGGCTTTTGGATTTGGAGGAAGTATCTGGGTCCTGTCTATGTCTCTCTCAATCTTGGGCTGAACAATCTTTTGAACCTAACAGAGGAAGCCCTATCTTGCCCACACCTTGCTGGATTTCCCAGCCATTGGTAGATAGGCTGATTCCATCAGCCTATCTAGTGGTTTTTAAATAGTCCAAGCATGTGAAAGCGTGTGATAATATATTTAAGGGGTCAGACCTGCCTGCTGCAATGGGTCATTCTGCTGCACCAGCCTGGCCTTGCCCCGACCTGGCCTGCCAGGTACTCTCCCTGGCTCGCCTCCAGCAGGAGCACTCCCAAGCTGACTTCCATTGAACTCCCAACTGCATGCTCATTCTTTTTCAATTCTCATGACCACATCCCATTTAGAGGGGAGGCCAAACAGTTTGAAGCTGCCTCTTGCCTTTCTAGTAAGCACCCTCATGCAGTCTCACATGGGTGTTAGAGATCTGGGATCTCACTCTACCAGCAGGAATAATAATAATAATAATTAATAATAATAATAATAATGCATATTTAGTAAGTGCTTACTATGTACCAGACACAAGCTAAATTTTTTTTTGCATTATCCTCATAACATTCCTATGATGTAGGTGCTATTATTTTCCCAATTTTATAGATGAGAAACCTAATGCTTAAAAAGGTTAGGTAACTTGTTCAATGCCACACAACAAATAAGTGGTAGAGATAGAATTTGAAAAAGCAGTCTAGCCCTATGTTTAACTACTCAGCTACTGTTAATTTCTCCCAGACTGAGAAAACAAAAACCTTTCTTGGTATGCAAGTAAAAAGAGAATTAATACAGGGAATTTTGTGTTTTCAAAACTGTTAGAGGGACTAAAAGAGCAAATGTCAGGGGGGCTGCCAATAGGAGGTTCTTTGGGTCATATGGCCACAAGCTGAGATCCAGAGCTCAAGAAGCTGCTGTTGCCAATGAGAGGTCAGAAAGCTATGGAAGTCACTACTGAAGTCAATGTTGTCACACAACCCCAAAGCCAGTGATTGTCAGTGGGACACAGAGTGTGGGAATCACTAAACTCACATCCACTGAAACCCGTATGTCAGCCGCCATTGATGCTGGAGGATGAGAGGCTTCCACTTCCTTCCGCCTCCCAAATATCATTTTGTTGGCCAAATCTAAACCATAGCCAGAACTCTGCTAGGAAGGGAGTCTTAGAAATGTGTTTCCCAGGCTTGCAGCTCCTGTGATACAGGAGGAAATGTGGAAGGGGATGGAAATAGTTACCAGACGGTAAGTATAGTGAACAGAAAATATCCAGTACCTACAGATGATGTGACAGCTAGCCTCCAAGGTGGCCTTCAATGACATGTGCCTCCTGATATTCACATACTTGTAGTAGGTGAAACCCACAGTTTACCAAGGTTAATCCCTGTGACCAACAAAATGTGGCAGAAGTGATGATATATCACTTCTGAGGTTAGATTTTTTTTAAAAAAAACTGTGGTTTCTGTCTTGGGAGTGCTCTCTTTATCTCTCTCTCTCTCTCTCTCTCTCTCTCTCTCTCTCTCTCAGCTCTGGCTCTGAGAAAAGCACACTGCCATTTTGTAGAGAGAATCAATTACTTACTAAAGAAAGGAGAAACAAGAGGATGCACAAAGAGGAACACAGAAGGAGTATGGCACAGAGTCCTGGAGCCAGGAAAGCATTCAAGTGAGGACCAGAAAACCCTAGGGCTTGCATCCCTGAGTGGCTATGGATTCTGAGGGACCTCTGGTCGCATGTTCTACTGGAAACTGGTTGTTTTTATCTTATTTCAGTGTCCATGAGGCCTGCACATGTCACTAAGTCCCTAATTCTCCCTAGAATCATAGATGCAACTTCCCCATTACTTGAGGTAGCATGAATGAGCCTCTGCTCCTGGCATCGGGACAGCCTAACCAGCGCATATTGTTGTGACTGCTTTTCCTTATTAGATATGCAGGAGAGCCTTTCAGCCCTCAGTGATTTGGTCAACAGAAAATCCGTGCTTGGGACACTGTGGTTCAGACATGCTTTCTTTGTTGCTGGCACGGAGTGAGAGGCCCTTGTTGGGAGAACTTGGGAGAACTGGCCTGGCTTCTTCGAGACCCAGCTTCCAAGGGGGTGGCTTTCTCTGCAGGAGAAAGATTTACCTCCAATACCTGAGAAGCAAGGGGCCAGGATGGATGTCCTCTGCAACCAGAAGAGCATATCCAGCCACTAACTATGGCACTCAGCTTCTTTCTTTACTGAATGAAGCTCAAATTGATACAAAAGTTACCTTGATCAAAATCCTTACAACTACACATTAGCTGTCACTCCCCCACCCCCAACACCACTCCCCGGCTTTGCCCTGGTAATCCTCATTCTTTAAGGGGTCTGGCCTTTTATTTACTTTTTTATTCAACGTTTTTGCAGCATCTGAATAGAAATTATCCTTGCTCTTCTTTACCCCAAGTGCCTTGGCTCTTGACCTCTGCTCTCATCCTCCCTGCCTGTCTCCAGGAAAGTACCATACACATCTATCCTAACAAGAACCATTCTGCTTTTGTGCCCTGAGTGCTACCTGCAGGGAGATAAATGCTATGAGTACCATTGGCAAACCTAGGGTAAAGAAGAGGTAAAAACAAAACGGAGGAAGCAGGACAAAGGCACAGAGAAGACAGAAGGAGGAGCCAGAGAGAAAAGGAGAGAAGAAGGTGTTTCCCAGCCTGAGCCATGTTGCCCAAAAGCAACCCCCAAGCCCTCCTCATGGCCACGGTGGTGTGAAATTTAACTCAGGTGGGACATTTTTCTCAAAGATATCCCCTTGCAAATGTTGGAAAGGCTGTATCATTACAAGCTCTGCTCTTCTCTTGTCGGAACAGAGATAGCTGCAATAACAACCATACCCACTCTTTCAGTCTTGTAGTGCCATCTTCCTCACATAAGGCAGGATCATAAAGGTTGAATGACTCCGATTCCCAAGTGAAGCTTCTGGGTGCATATCTACCCCTGCAACTCCCAGAGGCCTGGCTTTAGGAACATCGGGAACATGCTGACAAATGTGGAAGGATGGAGGAAATGGTCTGTGTGGGGGTTTGGGGTGAGAAGCTCCTTTAATAGTGCCTGAGTTTGTTGTCTGTTTTGGTGCTGCAGCTGCCTGTGTCAGCTTGGAGAGTGGGTAATCACCCACTTGAAAACTGCCTATTTTCATAATTATACTGTGTTTTCAGTCTGTTAATTTTGTTTTCCACATGTTCAACTTATTCATCAGGTTATAAATTTGCAGATCTAGAAATACATATAATTTTAAACACATCTTTACAAGTAAGCGAAAGCATTTTCCTCCTTCCACTTCAGAGAATAACCAACCAGTATTGGGAGATCCGGGGAAGTGGGCAGTATGCGGGCCCCCACTGCAGTGGAAGTTACTGCAAGACAGAGCTTCTTCTCTGTCTGGCAATGAAGGGCAGAGTGAGTGGCTGACACTCTCCAGGGTAATGGCCCTGCCTGGGCACGTGGGGCAGGGCTGGCAGCTGGGGAGGAGGAGCTGTAAGCTCATGCCTTGTCGTTGCAGTGCAGGGTAAGGAGGCCTGAAACGGCAGGCCAGCTAACACTTTTAGCCACGGGCCTGTCACCGGGGGTGGAGGTAGGCAGAGAGACCCAGTGGGTACCACCAAGAAAGAGGCACATACGTAGCTTGGCGGCAAGGAAAGAGACTCCCAAGGGTGAGAAGCCAGAAGATACTTTCATCTTGGAGAAATGGCTATTTATATTTAGGAGAGCCACGGTGTTATTATGGAGGGGAAGGGCAGTGGCACAGAGAGAGGGGCTTTGGTCATGACCCTCATGGGGTCATAACCATGGAAGAATTCGGGTGGCTTATCCAAGGACAGTGGAAGCTGGCCCAGGAAGCGCCCACACTCTTACACCAAGAGCTCAGCGAGGCCAGGGTCAGGGATTTTGTCAGTCATTTCCTGACTTTGTGCCAATTACATGCCTTTTTTCTGTAATTAAGCTTTTATATTATTATTACGTATAACCCATATGTGTGCATCACAGAAAATTAGAAATCCAGTGTTTTTTCTCTTACTTACATCCTTCTGGGACCTAGACATTGGCCTCCCTGTGCCCATTCTGTCTGGTTCTGTCTTGGCCCTGTATCAATGACTATTCCCCTTTACCAGTTTTCACACAAAAATCCGATCATTTTTGGCATTTTAAAACTTTGTTAGGATTAACTGAAGGTTGGGTGAGGGGAGGTTGCAAGAGGGATTACACTGCACAGCACACATCATTTCACTCTAAAGGCCTCCCTCTTGCCCCCCATCCTCCACCCCACCCCACCCCAATGCACACACTGCTTCTCTGAAACCACAGAGCCACCTTGGGAAGCCCAGATTTCTCACCAAAGCAAGCTTATGACAGTATCTTCTCAAAAAATGTAGGTGGCTCCATAGAGGGACCCACAAACCATTTGTGAAGGAGCAGAGATTTCTCCATTATATTGCATTTCCAATAATCTGGGAGTAAGAGTTACAGCAGATGAGTTTGGTTTTCTCTGCCTATTCCATACTTCTGAAGTTTCCAGGAGTATAGGGAGAAGAAGAAATGTGTCTGCAAACATAACATCCCATGAGATAATTACCTGAGAAATTCACATATCAACATGAATTAGAGGCCAGGCACAGTGGCTCATGTCTGTAATCCCAGCACTTTGGGAGGCCATGGTGGGTAGATTGCTTGAAGCCAGGAATTCGAGACCAGCCGGGCCTACATGGCAAAACCCTGTCTCTACTAAAAATACAAAAATTAGCCAGGCATGGTGGCGTGCACCTGTAATCCCAGCTACTCAGGAGGCTGAAGCAGGAGAATTGCTTGAACCCAGGAGATGGAAGTTTCAGTGAGTCAAGATTGCACCACTGCACTCCAGTCTGGAGGACAGAGTGAATGAGACTCTGTCTCAAACAAACAACAACAACAAAAGCACATGAATTAGAGACATGGGAGAGGCAGTATTGGAGGTTGTGAATTATGATGACCTTGAGTCAAACACCCACAGTGCCACTTACTAGCTGCATGATGTTGACAAGTTACTTAACTTCTTTGTGCCTCAGTTTCCTCATCTGTAAATTGGGGTTATTATTAGTATTCCTCTTACATAGGTGTATAAGAATTGAGTTAATAAATGTGAAGTGCTTAGAACATTGCCTGCCACATACTGAATGCTTAAAGGTGAGCTATTATGATGTTATTTTTGTCCATATTAGTATACACAATTCCCTCCAAGATATGTCACTTACATCTGCTAGGTATATGGAGGAGTCTGAGAGTGACCTTATTTTGTCAGCTGCCACATAGAGCACGATTAGTGCCTCTTACTCCCGCCAGTAGCAGATGGGGCAGATGAGCACCTCTGACCTCACACTCACTTGGGTGGCTTTGGGAACAGGGTACACCGAGGTCCTGCAAAAAGAGATTAGCTAAAGCAAGTAAAAGATAAAAATCAGCATGTTACAAAGTTGCCAAACACTTCATGTGACCTTTTTGGCCATAGATACTTTCTGAAAGTATCATTTCAGAAACTAGCCTGTTCTTTCAACGATCATCTGAAAAAGCTACAACTTCTACCTGATGGTTAATGGAGTTTCCCAGGGTTAAGCAGAACAAGAAAGTTAACTTTCCTTGCATTTGCCAGTGCTGAATAGAGTTCAGAGGAGTCACATGTTTTATATGAATGAGCATGTTATCAACTGTGAACCCATGCAAATGTTACCACCAATGTGTAATGGAATTTCTCCCACCGTCTTCTCTAAGGGAGAGGAAGTGTGGGCCCATCTCTCACCACTCTTGCCTGCATGCCTCCTCTGTGCTTGAGTGACCCCTGCTTGGAGTTCTCTGTCCCTCTCCCACCCACCTATCCCTGGTGATGCCCATCAGTTGGCCTAGCTTAAATGGCCCCTGTTCTGGGAAGCCTTTCCCAGCAATTCCCGGAGGATGTATTGAGCCACCACTGTACTGGGCATGCAGTTTTATTTCAACACTCAACTCTCTCATCACCTAAACCACGAGTTCCTTCCTCTCATGCACAGCTCTAACCAGTAAATGGCTAAATCCTGTGGGACTGGCCCTGGACTTGCAGTCCATGGGCTGATTTCTGACCTTCTACCAATGTCATTTCACTTTAGATGTGTCGTCTATAAAATGATGATGACCGAGCTTCCTTCAGGCTTTAAGAAGATTCCATGAGCCACAGTGGGGGCAAGTCTATTTGGCAGAATGCACAGAATCCACTCAAACCACCTCTCCAGGGACACAGGGTGTGTTGTAAAGACACAGAGACTTCTCCTGGAGCCCAAGAAGAGTGTAGGCAGGTTTCAGGAGGGGCAGGGATCGGGAACCAGAAAACCCTCAGACACCAGGCAGCTTCTCTCACACACATGCTCTCTGTAACACGCCTACGACCACATGCACTCATAACACACAGCCATCTCTGTACCTCAATTTCCTCATCTGTAAAATGGAGATAATATTAGGAACCTATCTCATGGGGTTGTTGTATTAGATGAACTAATGTATGCAAAGTTCTTGCAACAGTGCCTGGAACGTAAGGAAGTGCAAAAAGAAGAAGGAAGAAGAGAAGGAGGAGGAGGAAGAAAAGGTATGTTAAAGGGATGCAGAAACCAAACTGAAAGAGCTCTGAACGGCCCAAGCTGTAACATTTTGAGCAACAAAATAAACAACATAGTATTAGATTATAACCCAAAATATAATGTATTTATGAGTCCACATAGATGTAAATAAATGATTGAAGAAACAAATAAATGGGAAAGAAAAAACAAATCTTTCTTATAAATTCCAAATATGTGTAGCTCCAGCACCAGCCATGAGATGGAGCTCAATTCCCCTCTCCTTGCATGTGGGCTGGACTTAATGACTCACTTCCAAAGAATAAAGCATGGAAAGGGATAAATAGTAACTTCACAGGGAAGAAACCTGGAAGAACCCACTTCATCCAAATGATCAATGTTATTACCACCTGTGAAAGTCGTGTCGATGTCACGCACCCCCAAAACGATGCGATGAGGAGAGGACTTCACCTCTGTAGTGTTCTTCCCAGAAACCATTAAACCCAATGTATCCATACAGAAAACATCAGAAAAATGCAAATTGGGATCATTCTATAAAATACAGGCCTACCTCGGGGATATTGTGTGTTCAGTTCCAAACCCCATTATAAGTGAATATCACAATAGAATAAGTGACCTTTTTTTATTCCTCAATGCATATAAAAATCATATTTATATTATACTCTACTATAGTCTATTAAGTGTGCAATAGCATTTTGTTTTAAAAAAAACCACATGGGCACCTTAATTTTAAAATATTGAATTGCTAAAAAATACTAACGATCACCTGAGCCTTCACCAAGTTATCTTTTTGCTGGTGGAGGGTCTTGCCTCCGTATTGACGGCTGCTGACTGATCAGGGTGGTGGTTGCTGAAGATTGGAATGGCTGTGGCAAGTTCTTAAAATAAGACAACTATAAAGTTTGCCATATTGATTAATTGTTCCTTTCATGAAAGTTTTCTCTGTAGCGTGCAATGCTGTCGGATAGCATTTTACCCACAGTGGAACTTCTTTGGAAATTGGAGTCAATCTTCTCAAAACCTGCTGCTATTTTATCAATTAAGTTTATGTAATATTCAAAATCCTTTGTTGCATTTCAACATTTGCTGCTTCACTTTGCGCTTTTATGTTACAGAGACAGCGTCTTTCCCTAAACCTCATGACCAACCTCTGCTAGCTTCCAACTTTTCTTCTGCAGCTTCCTCACCTCCCTCAGCCTTCATAGACTTGAAGAGAGTTAGCGCCTTGACCTGCATTAGGCTTTGGCTTGAGAGAATGTCATGGCTGGTTTGGTCTTCTATCCAAACCACTCAAACCTTCTCACTATCATCAACAAAGCTGTTTCACTTTCTTATCATGTTTGTGTTTGTTGCAGTAGCACTTTTAATTTCCTTCAAGAACTTTTCCTTTGCATTCACAACTTGGCTAACTATTTGGCACAAGAGGCCTAGCTTTTGGCCCATCTCAGGTTTTGACATGCCTTCTTCACTAAATGTAATCAATTCTAGCTTTTAATTTAAAGTGAGAGACATGCAGCTCTTTCACTTGAACACTTAAGTGCCATTGTAGGGTTATTAATGGGCCTAATTTCAATATTGTTGTGTCTCAGGGAATAGGGAGGCTGGAGGAGAGGCAGAGAGAGGGAGAAACAGCTGGTTTATGGAGCCATCAGAACACACATGAGAATTACCCAAATGTAACACAGAGATAGAAAATCAGCACATTAGCTTAGTGTAAAAACTGGTGAGATCCAAATAAAGTCTGAAATTTAGTTAATAGCAAAGTACCAGTGTTAATTTCTTAGTTTTGACAAATGTACTATAGTTATCTGAGATGTTAACATTAGGAGAAACTGGATGAAACACATACAGGCATTCTCTATACTATCTTTATAATTTGCTGTAAATCTAAAATTATTCCAAAATAAATTTTATTTAAAAAATTAATACTAAAATATTTTTTAGAATTACCTGGCACATAATAACTGCTCAGTGAATGTTGGCTGTTATTATTACTCTCCCTCATCTCCCATTCTCTTGGTAAGTCTGTTTCTTCTCACTCACCATCCTGCAGCTTGGCTTTCTGCTTTTCAGGCACATGGCAGAGAATGGGCGTGCCACAGCTCCGTACCTATACAACTCAGTTCATGAAACCAGCAGAGATTGACTAGCATTGCTGAATCTGAATTCCAAATTCCCAAGAGAGAAAATCCGATTGGTCCAGCTTGGGTCAGGCCTTCTCCTATGGTCTAATTGCCTATGGCTGAGGGCAGGGGTCATGGAGTAGTACATACCTTGCCACAGGGACTTATTATTTTGGAATAAGAACAGGAGGGTCTCAGAACAGGAGTTCATGAATGGGACAGACATTGGAAAGCTGTCTATCTCAGCAATGCTACAGGAAGTGTGGTCCATGGGCCACAGCATCAGCATCACCTGGGGGTTGGTAAGAAACGCAACTTCTTGGCCTCGCTCCAGAACTTTTGAGTCAGAGCCTAGAAGGAGAGTGATGAGGGGGGCGTGAATCTATGTTTGAAGACAAATTCTCTGAGTGATTCTTATACATGCCAAAATTTGAGAAGCATAATAGCACAGGATTATTCAGTCCATGACAAAGAAAAAATCACCTTAATGACATCTTCTAAATATGCTAGAGGAGAATTAGACTATGATATATTAATATAAATTAGAATAATTGTTTAACAATAAAAAGACAAAGTATCCAATTTTCTAAAAAATGGGAAAAGTACTTGAATAGACACTTCTCCAAAGAATATATACAAATGGCCAACAAGCACATGAAAAGATGCTCAATATCATTAATTTTATGAAATATCACTTACCATCCACTAGGATGGCTAGAATCAAAAAGTCAGATAGGCTAGACACAGTGGCTCATCCGTATAATCCCAACACTTTGAGAGGCCAAGGCGGGAGGATTGCTTGAGTCCAGGAGTTTGAGACCAGCCTGGGCAACATAGTGAAAGCCTGTCTCTACAAAAGAAATAATAGTAATCTTAAAAAATAGCCAGGCATAGTGACATGTGACTGTAGTCCCAGCTACTTGGGAGGTGGAGGTGAGAGGATCACTTGAGCCCAGGAGGTCAAGGCTGCACTGCATTCCATCCTGGGCAACAGAGTAAGACTGTCTCAAAAAAAGAAAAAAAAAAGTCAGACAATAACAAGCATTGACAAGGATGTTTAGAAATTAGGATCCTTATACATTACTGATGAGAATGTCAAGGGTTCTGCCACTGTGGAAAATAGTTTGTCAGTTCCTAAAAAAATTAAACATTGAATTACCATATGACCCACCAATTCTCACTCCGAGGTATATATCCAAAGAAGTGAAAACAGGTATTCAAATGAAGTTATGAACAGGCAGGTTCATAGCAACCATATTCACAATAGCCAAAGGGTGAAAACAGCCCAAATAGTCATCCACTCATGAATGGGTAAACAAAGTGCAGTATATCCAGATAACAGAATATTACTCGGCCATAAGAAGCAATGAAGCACTGATACATGCTACGATGTTGATGAGCCTTGTAACATTAGGCTAAGTGAAAAAAGCCAGACATAAAAGGTCACATATAGCATGATTGCATTTAGATGAAATATCCAGAATACAGAAACTCATAGGGAAGGAATACAGATTGGTGGTTTCCAGGGACTAGGGAGAGGGGAGGATGAGGAGAAACTGCTAAACAGGTAAGGGGTTTTACTTTGGATTGATGAAAATATTTTGAAACTAGAGAGAGGTGGTGGTTGTACAACATTGTGAGTGTACTAACTCCACCGAATGGTTTGCTTTAAAATGGTTAATTTCATGTTGTATGGATTTCACTTCAAAAAACTATTTTTTAAAATTTCTAATGTGTTTTTTTTCCTGATTCCCATTCCATTGGCAGGCAGAAAAAGATCTAGACAGATTGTCAATTTTAACCACAGCCAGAACTGGCCTTAGCTCAAGCATCATTCAATTTAAGACAACACAAGGGTTGTCTCTGGCCCCCTCAAACTCCTTTCCACCAGCCTGTTTCTAATTCCTAAAAAGTCACTAGTAGACAGTTATTTCTGCTGGTTAGAGATGAAGGATGAAACAGATGCTGTCATGAAAGTATGATGCTAAGATCCTACACAGTTCTTTGGGGAAAGATGATTTTTCAATGTCACCTAGCACCCTCTATATTTAGTTACCATAATGATGAAGACACCATTTCTTACTGCAGTTGAAGTCCATTTCCCCTTAGTCGGGCCTCTGTTGAGGTGGAGAATTATGGCAGTTATCCTGGTGGGGTATAAATACAAGACAGCTATCACATCACTTCCAATCTTTCTCTTCTCTAGGCTAAAGACCTTTAAATGCTTTTTCTCTTTTTTTTAAAGGAATAATGTTCTAGCCTTTTAATCACTCATGCTGCATTTCTCCAGTATTCACTCCTGTTTCTCCTCACTTGTCAAATTGTGGGGTTATGAACTACAGAAAGTACTCATGTTGGGGGCAGACTAACGTCAACTAAAGTGGACAGTGCATTCCCCAGCTCTCATGTATTACGTTCCTCTTGGCACAACCCAGTATGGCTTGGACTTGAAATAATTATGTTTTCTTAGCTTTCAACCCAAGCATCTGTTCCAGATGGCCCTGGAGCACAGGAGTCGTGCTGCTCATGGTTAGGGGCTTGCCCTAAAAGAGTCAGTCATTAGTCTCCTTCATAACACAGAGGGCTGATTGTTGTGATTTAACAACAAACCAAATGTTTGTCATCACAATCCTGAGGAAAAATGATGAGTCACAGTGCATTTAAGAGAAAGTTCCACTTTGCCTCCCAAAAGGGCTCAGACTAAGTCCTTTGGTTTTATATATTAGGTTGAAACATTTGCAGTGGATTTTTGTAAGTAAGAAATAATAAAAAAGCAGCAATTTAATATTGTTCAATCTAGTCCAAAAAAATGAGCAATAATTCACAGGCAGCCACATAGACTGTATACAGCATTTCTTCAGAAACACAGCCTGAGCTGACCAGGAAGAACAGGCAGGTGCCATATTGGTTTCATTACAGAGTTTGAGAAAGCCCCCTGCCTTTTGGAAAACCTTCCCTACCTGTCTGCATAGGGTTGAAATTCAACTTGCCCTTTTGGGGATCACTGACCTCTTTAAGGATCTGCTAAAAGCTATGGACCCTTGACATAGTAATTACTACGAAAACATAATTACCACTGAAATTAATAGTATATTATTTAGCCAGCATATAGATCATATATGCAATACTCATAATCTTAGACCTTTAGCACAAATAAAAAAGGCAAAATATATTTTTAAAAAATAATCCACAAGACAATCACTATTACAAACTAGAAGCCAGCAATGCTCTGACAGCAGATCTTTGTGTGAGATAAGCCAAATATACAACTGCCCAGAATGCAGTGTGGTAACTCACATTTATTGGCATTCAGTGGCTTGAGAAGTTCCTGAATCCAAATTGGTCTTCATAGGTACTAAGAAATGCCTCTTACACGAAAGTAGGGAGCTTAAGTGATATATTCTGTAAGGTTGAATTGTCTCAACTCAAATAAACATATACTGGGGTATAACTGAATTTGTCAAAACTTAGGAAACAGCCACATATGGTGGTTAATGCCTATAATCCCAGCACTTTGGGAGGCTGAGGCAGAAGGATCTTTTGAGCCTAGAAGTTGAAGACTAGCCTGGGCAACATAGCAAGATCCTATCTCTACAAAAAATAAATAAATAAATAAAAATTAGCTGGGTGTGGTGGCACATGTGCTGAGGCAGAAGGACTGTTTGAGC
Source organism: Homo sapiens (assembly GCF_000001405.40). Taxonomy (NCBI): domain Eukaryota; kingdom Metazoa; phylum Chordata; class Mammalia; order Primates; family Hominidae; genus Homo; species Homo sapiens. The sequence continues at coordinate 47,552,815 of NC_000012.12, forward strand.
CCAGGAATTTGCAGCTGCAGTGGGCCATGACTGTGCCACTACACTCCAGCCTGGGTGACAGAGTGACACCATCTCCAAAAAAATTGTTTTAATAAAAATAAAGAAATAAGTATCTTTAAAAACCTAAGAAACAGAAGAGCTCCCTAGGATCCTATGGTGCTAAGCTTGGAAACAAGACCTCTTACTATTCACTATCCATCAGACCAGCCTTCGGTACACAGGAGGTCTAGAAACTTTAATATGAAACTGACTCAATAGTCCTATAGACAGGTTTAAAAAAAGAAAACATAGAAATTGACCCTTCTTGTCTTAAAGCTTGAAACTTACATTTGTTGTATCTGAATTTTTTTCCTCAGGAAAAGACCCCAGCCTCTCAAAAAGTATCAAAGAACCAAAACGCACCAGATCATGGCACCCAAACAATAAAATGCCAGGTCCCTCCTGCATCAGGATTGCTTCCTTGCCCCTCCCTAGTTCCTATTTTCTTACACATAGTTACATTTCTTCCTTGCTATATAAACCCCTAATTTTAATTGGTCAGGAAATGGATTTGAGATTGATCTCCCATCCCCTCAGCTGCAGCACCCAATTAAAGCCTTCTTCCTTGGCAACACTCGTTGTCTCAGTGATTGGCTTTCTGTGCAGCAAGCAGCAGAACCTAGACCAAACCCCTTGTGTTTCAGTAACAAGTAGACACCGACTGGTATTCAGGGACAGGTCTGCTTTGGAGGCACGAGGCAGGGAAAGGACCATCCTCTTCTTCATGTCAACCCCACCCTGCAGAAGTAACCACCTTTAACAACACAATTTAAATTGTGTGTTTTACCTTGTCTGAATCTTATATACCATAAAACAGGAAATGAGGCATAAAGTTGACTTTTTATGCAACAATTTCTCCTTTTAGACCCACTCTAAATTTTGTTTCTCTCTTTCTCAGCATTTGTTTCATGTTTTATATTAGGGTTTTCTATCTTCTCCAGATATAATTTCCTGTGGACTACAACCATGTCTTACAATCTTCACTGCTTAGCATCATCTCTGGCATAAACTGAACACTAAAAACTTTTTTGAGTGAATAAATATAAACACATGAAAGATATGGACCCTCATCATAGTAATTAATATCAAAAGTTTACTAAAATAAGCATTAGAAAAATATAAAGCATTTCCTATAGCCCTGTCATGCTGAGATGTCCTTGAGAGATTTCATTTCAGGAAAAAAAGGCAACAATATTTTAAGTGGCATTAATGTTTTAGCAATTTCCTTTCTTCGCCAAGAGGTGTCATCTGGCAGGCAAGGGAATATCCCACTCTCTCCTTGCCTAGTTAAAATGTGTGGCTCTCCTGAGGAGAAGAAAGTAACATTTGGCAACAGATTGATAGATTTAAACACCAACTAATAGAAATGGTATGTGAATAAGTCAGCAACATCTACCCCTCACTTGTGTATTAATTGATATGTACAATGCACTCAAAAACACAGCTGCTAAAGGTCTTTTAGGTTAAACACAAAAACATTATGACTCTCACCATTTTTTTCATTTAACAGTAATCTGATTTCAGCCACAGCAGCACATTAAAATCCCACTTCTAGAAAACCTCTTCCTGTCATCTTTTTCTCTCCAGGGCACTTGATGTACCACTTTAAAGAACCCCACTGTTAGAATGAACGCCTCCAGATATCATTGTCCATTGAAGCTAGCTTAAACAGACATGGTAAGTTGAAAATACATTGTTCAAACTTGTATTTTAAATAAGTGCATTTTACCAATAAACATACGAATAAATATTCAACCTCATGGTAACCAGTGAAATACAAGTGAAATCTAAAATGAGATCATATATAAGCCTGTTAAGATGGCAGGAAAAAATAGGTACTATATGTAGTGTTTTCAAGAGTTTTGGGAGTTTAAACTGAGCTTTTGTGGCAATTTATTAAACTGGTAAAAAGCCTTTTAAAAACCACATGCCTTCTGACCCAACAGTTACACTTATAGGAATTTATTATGAGAAAGCAATTAAGAATGTGGGTAAGAGATTCAACAGTAAGAATGCTCATTGCAGCACTATAGCAAAAAGATGGAATCTACTTAACTATCCAATAATAGAGGATTTATTGAGTACATTATGGCACAATGAAACACCATGTAGCCATTTGAGAAATGTTATAGACATATCTTTATTGACTTGGAAAGATGTGTATGCTACATCTTGAATGGAGAAACCAGTTCACAGGAAATTGAGCATGGTGAGAGATGTACGAAAAATGTATACTACAAAATAGATGCAGTGATAATATAGCTCTAAGATAGAATTATTTTTTAATCTAATTTTGGCTTATTTGATTTTATGATTTTTCTGAAATAAATGTGAATTCCTTGTATAATGAAAGTTATTGAAAAACAAAATGCATTACGGTGCAGCTCACATGCCAATAAGCCAAAAAATCTGATAGCCACTGAAATCTGATAAAGACTGAGTACATCCCACAAATTCCCTTATGTTAGGGATGATGACATTATCTGAGACAGTTGCAGAATCCATGTGGGTGAGTTCTACCCTGTTATCAAGGCAAAACCCTAGGAATAATCAGTGGCTTTGAGCAGTATTGGAGGGTGAGCCTTTCCACCCTCCTTGAAGCACTGTATTCCTTAAGGGTTTCAGTTAAGTTCTTGAAAGTCACTCTCTAAAAGCACAATAATGCTTATAGCTTTTCACTTGAAAAATTAATGAAATTGCATAAGAAAATAATTATACCTTATTCTGTGAGCATGGAGATGAAATACAAAGACTCAGATCATTGGCCGGGTGCAGTGGCTCACGCCTGAATCCCAGCACTTTGGGAGGCCCAGGCGAGTGGATCACCTGAGGTCAGGCGTTCAAGACCAGGCTGGCTAATGTGGCAAAACCCTGTCTGTATTAAAAATACAAAAAAATTAGCCGGGCATGGTTGTGCATGCCTGTAATCCCAGCTACTTGGGAGGCTGATGCAGGAGAATCACTTGAACCTGGGAGGCAGAGGTTGCAATGAGCAGAGGTCACACCACTGCACTCCAGCCCGGATGACAGAGCAAGACTCCATCTCAAAAAAAAAAGAAAAGAAAAGAAAAAAAAAGACTCAAATAATTGACAAACTCCAACACTGCACAATCTTGGGGAAATAGTCTGGCAAATACCTATACATGAAGAGGAACTGGGTAGCACTAACAGGAAGCCCATATACTTTCAAGTCAGGATGACCTGGATTTCAATCCCAGCTGGGCCTCTCAGTGGCTATGTGACCTTGGACAAGCTACTTAATTTCTCTCAGCCTCAGTTCTCTCATCTGCAAAATAGGAATCTAATAGTACTGTTTTCTTGGTGATATTGAGAAGTTATAATAAAATATATAGACACTCGGTAACATAGTGCCTGGCACTGAACAGACACTTAGCAAACAGGGGTTTTTATGGGGGGTTATTAAGACAAATATTTCTGTGGCTAGATGCTGGTGAGAGAAGAGAAAGGAAGAAACCAGTCAGGCAGGTAGTTAGGGTGGGTCTTTGGTTGAACTCTTTCAAACAAAAGAACAGCCTCAAAAATCAAGCTGCAGGCACAGGGGTGCTTGCCTAAGACATGCCCACAGCCGCACAGATAAGAAAGGCTACACAGGTGACTTGCCCAGACACGCCCACAATGGAAAATTCCATCCCCTGACACATGCACAGTAAGGCAACAAAGTAATATGGAATAACTTAAGCTAAGAGCCTGCATGCGCTTTAGGAAGACCAGAAATTTGCACCTTATGCAGATGAGATGCCCAGCCCTCACTGGTTTCTTATAAAAGCCTTTGCATTCAACTGCAAAAACAGCAACCCTCTTTCAGGCCCCCTCTCCACAGCAAAGAACTTTCTTCTTTTGCTTATTAAATTTGCACCCTTAGTGTTTGTGCTCCTTAATTTTATTGGTTGTGAAACAAAGAACTTGGGGTGATGACTCAGGCAACGAGAGACTGCTACATTGTGGTGCATTGGCAAGGCTGTAACCCTGGGCCTATTGAGTGTAAGCTCTGTGACTTTCATCTGGGACAATTCAGGGCTTAACACAGCAGACTCTTGGTGTTTGTTAAGTGAATTGTGCATCCCTCAAATTATTCTTACTCTTTGACTCACTAATCTAACTCTTTTGAATTTATTCTGGGGAAATCATTCAAAAGAATAAAAGAATTGAAGGTATCCATTTTTCAAAGCAGTATTACTAATAATGAAGAAAAATCGGAAATAATTCACACATCAAAAAAAAGGAGAATGGTTAAATAAATCATGATATAGCAGTGGTATGAAACATTATACCATAGCGAAATATGATGATTCTGAAATCTATGTAGCAACATGATAAATTAATAGAATGTAATAGATAAAAGCAGAGGGCTGAATTGTAGATGCACTATGAGTTACTGCTCTAAAACATGCAGCATATGGGCAGGAAACTCAAAAGATGAAAACAGTTGGCATGTTAGAGGGTGGAACAGTGGGCGTTTTTTTTTCATTTATTGTTTTCATTATACTGTTTTACAATAAATACAATTCATCAGAGAGATAGGCAAAGTTACCATGTGGAACAACAAAGACATTGGGCGTTATTGTTCTTGAATTTCTCAGTAAGAGCAGAGTTCTATCGAAATGGGTGATGGGAACTACATATTGGGATGCAGGAAGGGAGCCAGGAAAGGCTTGGAACTGCAGGAATTTCTTGTAAAGCTGCCTCAGGGCGCCAGGGCAACATCAAATGGAGACGGAGGTAGATGAAGGAAGAGAAAGCGCCAACATTACAGAGAAAGCAAAACACTCAGAATGAGGCCCTAAAGACCAATTCCTTCTTTGTGACAATCTTGGCTGTCCTTTCTCTCCTTGTCTTCTGTACCAATAGGAGGGGAGGGACAGGAGCTTAGTCCAACACCCTGCTCCTTCATGCCCAAAAAACATTTTCTTTTAATGGAAATGCCTTAGAAACAACTCATTATATAAATGCTGGGGGCTGGGGGCCACAACAGCACTTTCATTGTCCTCCAAGACAATCTTGTCATGAGAGTCAGCCTGGGCTACTCGTCTTCCTCCGGGGCTCAGCAAAGTCAGAGTCAAGACGGCATCACAGACAGAGGAACGACCAGAACTGAGAATCAAACAACCTGCAATCCAGGCCGGGCTTTGCTCTGTTTGGCACTTTGCCCCAGGACAGTTCCTGCCCTCAGTTTTCCCATCCAGAAAATAACATGGTTGGATGAGAATTTTGACGGTCTCAAGGAGCCTGCCAGAGGCAATATTCTGAGGGTTTAAATGTTTTCTAAATCTGTAAAATACAATTTATTACATATCTATTTCAGGGCCCAGAGGTGGCATGCCATGAAGTCACAACCATGCTAACAGGGACTATAAATCTGAATGTCTTTTGTTCAGGCCGGCTGTCTTCCTTTTGTGTGTGTGTGTGTGTGTGTGTGTGTGTGTGCCTTGCATTTCTATAATCATTGAAAGTTTATAAAGCATATCCATCCAAACCCACTATCACCCATTGTCGTTCCAAGGATTGTAAACACCCATTACTAATCTACTTTACAGTTGGAAAAACAGAAGATAAAGCCATTTAAATGGCAGAGTCAAGGCTCCAACCTAGGTTTTCAACTCTCAATAGAACCTTCTATTTATTGTAAATTGGGGGTGTCGGGAATTAGAGCAACAGATGAATGTTTATGGAGAGCCAGATATACTAAGGACAAGAACTTTGGAGAAAGACAAGTATATACAAAAAGGAGGAAAGAAACTAAGCCAAAGAGAGAGTCCAGAGAGGAAATCAGGGATGTTAGGGTGGCCCAGCAACAAAAAGACCTTGACTAACCTCAAGTTTTGTTTCCCAAGGGTTCGGGACATTTGATGAGCCAGTGACAGAGTCCTTATCGAATGGGTGATAATTTTGCAGAGGCCTCCTGTTGATGGAAAAATTGAGCACACGTTTTAAAAGCCTCAGTCTTTTCCTTTTCACATTTAATTTAACAACCGTGCAACATGTTCTGTTCTGAATCAGACACCTCATTGTCCCTTTGTTCAAAGGAGGAAATTAAAGTCTAGGAAAGAAGACAAGCTCTGATCTGCTGATGTGTTTTCTATTTGGCCATAGAAAGGTCATTAAAATGCACTTCCAGCACCTGCAGGAACATTTACATTTGAGGTAAAGTTAATTTACTTCTCTGCCCACTGATTTTCATTTATTTCCATCTATTAATGAGCTATACTCTTGTGGTCTGCACTAGTACCTCACTCACTATCACCACAAACTTTTGATAAACTCACTCTAAGATTGACAAAGCAAGATGTCTAAGGTAGCATACTAAGGGGAAGCACTAAAGCACAGAACAGTCTGTATAACAGATCCTTTTTAAAGTAGGTACATCAGCTGTATCCTAGTTCTCTGGCCTTTTGGGGCCACCGGTTCCTTTGGTATCTAATTAGAACAATTCAAGCCTCCATCCTTAGAATGGTAGCCCCCAAATCCCAGTGACCTCCCTGATATTTCTGAAGATTATCAGTGAGTCCAGGCTTATACCAATCTCCACCCTGTAAAGACATCCTTTTATTTTATCATTCAAAGCAGCATAGTGCTTCTTAGGCACAACTTCACTGTGGACTGGGCTCTGCACCTTCTCTCTACATTTTCAAAAACCCCACAAAACGGTTTCATCTTCCCAAGAAAATAGCAGTCTCTTTCTATTAGGTCGGTTCGAAAGTAATCGTGGTTTGGTTTTTGCCATTACTTTTAATGGCAAAAACAGCAATTACTTTTGCACCAACCTAATAGAACCATGGGCTCACACTGCTAATGGCTTTTGAAAGATCGAGTTTTTCCATCTCTGCTAAAACTATATACAGAGCTAGAAAATGAAGATTACATTTACATAAAAGACAGTTTAGAAGGCTCCCAGTCCTGGTGCTGGAGTTGCTGGTGTTGAGAAGATATCAAATCTCAACCATTTTTTACCCCTATGGATTGCGCAGAACTGATGAACGTAATTCAGGGTTATCTTCACACATTCTGATCTTCTCCATGACAGGCATCTCCAGCACTGAAGCACCTCTGCCTCACCGTCACTTATGGAGCACCAAAGCATTTGGATAAAGACCGTTATAGGAAATTGGGGGGGAAATGGCTAAGAGAGAACAATTCGTTTACAATTACAAGATATTAGCTAATTTTGCCAGGGGCTGTTATATACATATCTTCAACCAAGGTGTGATCTGAATTTAATCCACATTTGGTGTTGCAGATGAGTTGTAAAGCCAACTGAAAGAGTTCCTTCAAGAAGTTCCTCTAACAGGAAGCTAGAAGTGTGGAATGAAGTTTTACTTGAAAGAAGGACCTTTACATGGCAGCTAACAATGCTTTTTTGCTGACCGGGATTGGTTTATATGATTAAATTAATATTTGCTTAATAATACACTAAAAGTACATGAACAATGTCATCAATGCCACTTAAAAGTGAGAAAAAAGAATATATACATAATTTCTGATGGAAAACCTGTACCCTGATGCTGAATAATTAATGTATGTTGAATGTGGTCCCAGATTATTTCTGTAAGAAGACACTCCATGTTGTCAGCTTTGTACTCTTTGTTGATACTGCTTGTTTAGAGAAGGGTTCATATAAACACTCACTCTGTGTCTTCAACAGCATCTTTCTTTCCCCATCTTTCCATTTTCTGCACCCTCTGCTTGTTCCCTCATATTCTGTTCTTCCGACTCCTGCTAACACACACGCAACAAAAAAGGGAAGTGAGTGCTTATTTCACCTTGTGTAAGGACTGTGAAATCATGATGTCAAATAAACATGGTGAAACATTAAAAAAAAAAAAAAGAAGGCTCCAAGTCCATCTTTTAAAGCTGGTCTTTTAAATCTGGTGAGAGGCACTGAGGGAGAAGAGGGGAGACATGGACACTAATCTTTTATTTTGTACTTCTATATTGTTTGAATCGTAATAGAATGCAAATATTAAATTATAAGTACATTATTTACTATTTCCTTCTCCTTTCTTTTATGGAAATTGGGCCTAGAGATTGCACTATTTGGGGAAAGAAAAAAAAAAAGGTCCTAGCAAGAGAAGTGGGGAGGGGGGAAGCAAGGGGAGACACTGCTTAGAGATAATGAAGCAGAAAAGGTGGAAAGAGAATTTGGGGCCAGATTTCATGAGATTTTGGAGGAGGGAAAGACCTCTAAATGTGATGAAGAGGCAATGAAGCCATATGTGGTGCTGTGTAACATCTTCCCCTGGACCCACCAGCAGGGTTTTCTCTTTTTCAAGAGTAGACATATTTCCTTTAAAAGTGCTCGAGCACCTGGGTCTGTCTGGTGGGAGTGGCAGAAATTTCACAAGGAGACACTGGCAGATCTATTGCAACCCTCCGGAGCTCAGCGTCTGAGGCAACACTGCGGAGTGAAATAGTGCTGTGCTGTCTTCCCATCAGTTCATGAGATGGGCTTATTTCTTTTATAGCCTCTAAGACAAAAACAAATGAGGGGAATGTGGTTGGAAATGCAGTTGAGTCAGCCAAGCCCCAAGATCTGCCATATCAGCTCTTTGAACATTTGAAAATGGGAGTTTTCCTCAGATTGAAACAAACTCCCTTTCCCTTTACAGGAGACGTTATTTCCAAAATTGTAAGTTTTATACCCATAAGACCATTTTTCTCTCATGTTGCAGAAAACTTTCCCCTCTCAGCAGCCTCCAAGCCTATGAATCTTGGGGGAGCTGCTTAGACTGTGCACTCCATGTCTGTTGGATTAAGACAAGGCCAGCTTCTTATGTTTACATAGCCTTTTGTAATTTGCAAGGCATAAGGTGTTCCACAAAAAGACAAGTAGCACAGGGGAACGTGGCAGGTGAATCTCAGGTGTGAGGGTATCCAAGCCTTTCTGAGATTAAAGTAAGAACACCTCATAGAGCCAGTCTGAGAACTAAGTAACAGGACATAGCTGAAACACCTGAGTCAATGCCTCACGCCCACAATTATTCATCACAAATCTCATAGTCACCCTTCTCAAGTTTACTCCACTTTCCAAGGCAAGGATCAAACCAAGTGGTCCGACCCTACACCAAAACTCTATCCACTACACAACTCTGGTTTCCCACATTTATCACTCAGCAAACCAAGAATCCATCCTGCCACATAAAAGGCATTTGGGTAAAAGGTCATGCCAAAGATTACTCATATGTTTGGTCCCTGAAATTCCCAGAGATAATAAATATCCCTAACATGTAATGAGGCTGTCAACATTTTAGTAGGCAACTTTCACCAATTTAATGTGAACTCTATTAAGAAGACTTAAATTGATTTATCCAAGCCTCAAAAGACATCTGTAATTAATATCCTCCCATGTGAGATACTGAAAAATAGTCAAGATAAAGTAGCCTGTACATAGTAATCAGCCACTGTTACATCTCAACTTTGAGTAAGGCAGTGAAGTTGTATTTAACGATGTGAAAAGTGTTTTTTAGTGCCTCAACTTAAAGACTCAGGACATCAGAACAACCATTAATTTTCCCCTCCACCCCCTACCACTGTTTGAAGTGGATGCTATACAGATGTTTTACAAAAATGCTTCTCCTTCTACTCCTTGTTGTCAGCAGTTTACATGATTCAGGCAGCAGCTTCCAAAGAAACAAGATGGGAATTTTCCAGAACCAAAGAGGATGTTCCTGGGCCTTTCGTGGGTCTGCCTCTGAAGCGGTGTGCCCTTTATAGAAACTACATGCCACAGGAAGCCCAAACCACTCTTGAGCCTATACCTGCTGTCTCCATAGCTGAAAGCCTGCTATGTTTATTATTATTATTATTAAGGCAGCCCCTTAGGTCCAGAGCTAGAAATATGAGTGTCTTTTTCTCTAAGCTATTACTGTACCTCTGCCTTCCTGTAAGAACTGCCCTATTTAAAACTGTAGATCCAGGCAACCTCAACCAGAGGTGTGCACAAGGCAGTAAATGGTAGCCACAGTTAATGTCTTTTCAGATTTAGCCAGACACAGTTGGCATTAAAAGTAATTGTGACACTGCATGTGCCAACCAGGTTTCCCCACCAGCACACAGAAATCTTGATGGAGGAAAGGGAGGAAGAGAGGGAGGCAGTTGAGCATTTGCTGACTATTTGTTGACTCTTTATTGAAGCCTTTTGCATGTTCCATTTGACACTTACAGCACGTATGTCGCACACCCAGGTCTTCCAGCCCCAGGCCCATGCTTTTTCAAACTCATAGGTTATTAAATAGGTTATTATGGTTTAGATTAAACGATTAATTTAATCAAAAGACATCTGTAGCCAGTAGATGTTAATTGACCTACAAAGCCAATGATTAATTTAACTCGATTAATTTAATTTAATTAATTTAAGCATCGGCTTTGTAGGTTAATAAATATTTATTCTCCCAAGACCTAATATCTTTAAATAAAAGAGGAAACCTAAGACCCCAACACAAATATTATTGCATCTTACTGAAGGAACCAGCACTAACCCAAGCCAATATGGGTCCTGTTGTGCACTAATTTGTAATCTTTCTTTAAACTAAGCTGAAGACTTATGCCCCCTCCTGATTAAGGGAAAATGGAAAAGACTGCTAGCTGCCACCCAATATCCTTCACAATAACAAAACACTAATTTTTTGTTGGGCATATTGCCATCCACCTAAGATTACTTTGTTGTTGTTGTTGAGACAGAGTCTCGCTCTGTCGCCCGGGCTGGAGTGCAGTGGTGTGATCTCGGCTCATTGCAAGCTCCGCCTCCCGGGTTCCCGCCATTCTCCTGCCTCAGCCTCCCGAGTAGCTGGGACTACAGGCGCCCGCCACCACGCCCGGCTAATTTTGTTTCATATTTTTAGTAGAGACGGGGTTTCACCATCTTAGCCAGGATGGTCTCCATCTCCTGACCTTGTGATCTGCCCGCCTTGGCCTCCCAAAGTGCTGGGATTACAGGTGTGAGCCACCGCGCCCGGCCAAGATTACATTTTTTAGCCTCCCTTGTAGACAGCTGTAGTTGTGTGACTAATTGTTGGTCGTGACATATAAGAAGCATTATGTAGGCCAGGAGTGGTGGCTCAACATTTCACATTTTACTTTTGTGTAAAAGAGGCCCGGAAATAGCAAGTCTCCTTAGCAGCACTGTCTTCCGTCAAGCCTAGGGTTTGGCACTTGTTCTCTTGGTTGAAGATGGCTGCCAAAGCTTTAGCCCTCGGCCTTCACATCTGCATTCCAAGTGGAAGGACTGAGAAAGAGGAAGAGAAGATCTTGCCCCCTTTTTTAAAAAGGTCCCTGTAAATAGAATATAATCTTTTTTTTTTTTTTTTAGACTTCACTCTGTCCCCCAGACTGGGGTACAGAGGTGTGATCTCGGCTCAACCTCCACCTCCTAGGTTCAAGTGATTCTCCCACTTCAGCCTCCCAAGTAGTTGGGATTACAGGTGTGCACCACCATGTCCAGCTAATTTTTGTATTTTTAGTAGAGACAGGGTTTGCCATGTTGGCCAGGTTGGTCTTGAACTCCTGGCCTCAAGTGATCCACCTGCCTTGGCCTCCCAAAGTACTAGGATTACAGTGCTAGGATTATGTAGGCCACCATGCCTGGCCTACATAATGCTTCTTATATGTCATTGACCAAAAATTAATCACATGACTACAGCTGTCTGCAAGGGAGGCTAAAAAATGTAATCTTAGATGGATGGCAATATGCCCAACAAAAAATTAGTGTTTTGTTATTATGAAGGATATCGGGTGGCAACTAGCAATCTCTGCCATATTCCCTTAAACAGGAGGGTGCATAGGTCTTCAGCTTAGTTTAAAGAAAGATTACAAATTAGCGTGTCACAGTACCCATATTGGCTTGGGTTAGTGCTGGTTCCTTCAGTAAGATGCAATAATATTTGTGTTGGGGTCTTAAGTTTCCTCTTTTATTTAAAGATATTAGGTCTTGGAAAAATAAATATTAATTAATCTAAAAAGCCAATGATTTTTGAGACAGGTTCTTGCTCATTGTCCAGGCTGGAGTGCAGCGGCATGATCTCGGCTCACTGCAACCTCCACCTGCTGGGTTCAAGTGATCCTCCTGCCTCAGCCTCCCAAGTAGCTGGGACTACAGGTATGGGCTACCATGCCGGGCTAATTTTTGTACTTTTTTGTAGAGATGAGGTTTCACCATGTTGGCCAGGCTTGTCTCAAACTCCTGGCCTCAAGTGATCCACCCACCTCAACCTCCCAAAGTACTGGGATTACAGGCGTGAGCCACTGCACCCAGCTGTAGTGTCAGAATTGAATGAAATGATTATAGACACACAGTTGGAAAATTGCTTGGTGTGTGGAAAAAAACCTACACACATTTTGGTGATCAGGTGTCTTCTGTGCTGTGTCGAGCATGGCAGTAGGAAAAATAGTTTGGTCTTTCCTATTTCATACAGTAGGAGTGGGAATCAAGGAATAACCATCATCAGAGAAATTATTAACATGTTACTATTGTAGCTATTTTCTTAAAAAATATTTTTACTTTAAAAGTTTGGAACTAAAATTTTTGATAACAAGAGCAAGAAAGGTGGAGAGAAAGGTGTATAATGAATACAAAATATGCTATACTTCTAGTTTTGTTTAAGCGGAAGATTAGGGTTGCCAGATCTAGCAAACAAAAATATAAAACATCCAATTAAATTGGGATTTTGGATAAACAACAAATCATTTTTAGCATGTCCCATGCAGTATTTGGGACATATTTATACTAAAAAATGATTTGTTATTTATCTGAAATTCGAACAACTGTGTGCCCTGTATTTTATCTGGCAGCCCTAAGAGAATAGAAACAATGTTACCCTTTGTTAGAAGTATATACATTAATTTTTTAATTAAAGAGGGATACTGAAAAAGTAGTGTAAGCCAAATTAAGATGGAAAGTATAAGGTTACTAATATATTAATTATCACATCATAATATATTAGTTATTAGTTACATTAGTTATTACATCAGAACTCATTAACAGTTGCATTCATTCTAATAGGAAGAGAGACACTAGAGTGATTCCAAACTTAAGGTTCAATTATTGATTTAATAAATATTATTGAGCATCTATTATTTAAACAGACCTGGGTTCAAATCCTGGCTTGTTTTAGACTTTATATAGATGGCAATTTAACCTGTACCAGGAGTCTCCCTATAAACCAATTTTCTTTCAAAAAGTTGTTCATCATTTATTAATAGACAATAATTTCTGCCCCATGTGTTAGATACATTTTTGTTCTGAAATTGCATTGCAGAGAAGTAGTGAAAAATACCTTTCAAAATTTCTTTTTATTTTTGTCTTTCCAGACTGAAAACTAGGATACTTACTTAACCCAGGAAAACAACTAATTAATAAATAATAAAAACATATGATTCATATAATATAATATTGTAACTAAAACTACATAGCAATTTGGAGTTTATAAAGTGCTTCTCACCTGCATGATTTCAGGAAATCTGCCCAATAGTCTTATAAGGCAAGTATTATTTGTGTCCCCACTTGTCAAATAAGATGAGCTTAGGGCAGGTAAGAATGATCCACATCCACGTACCTCTCTAGCAACAGGACTGGCTCTGAAACCCAAATCCCCCGCCTCCATGCTATGTACCTAAAGCAGAAAGTGACTGAGGGCGCAAGAAGCAAGGATTTTGAGATCCAAGGATTGGGCTTCCCATAGTTTCTCTGCCATATTGTCTGTGTGAAAATGATAATATCTATTCAAGAGATGACTGTTTATATATGTAGTGTATATGTTCAGTTATCTATTCCTTTATGATCAATCAACCCAAAATGTAGTGGTACCGAACAGCAACATTGATTACCTCACAGTTTCTGTGGGCACAGGTCAGCTGGATCCTTTGGTTCAATGTCTCTCCCATGCCTACAATCAAGATGTTGGTTTGGGCTGGGAAACGACATCCACTTCCCAGCTCACTCACATGGCTGTTGGCAAACTTCAGTTCTCCAAGGGGTGTTGGACTAAGGACTTCAGTTCCTTGCTGCTGGCTTTTGGTGGAGGCTGCCCTCACTTCTTTCCCACGTGGGTCTGTCCACAGGGCAGCTTACAACATGGCGGCTGACTTTCTCAACAGGAGCTAGGGAGAGAGTGGGAGCAAGACAAAAGACGCAGTCTTCTGTAGCCCAATCTCAGAAATGACATTCCACTACTTTTGCCATATTCTATTCATTGTAAGTGAGTCCCTAGGTCTGGCCCACACTCAAGATGGGGAGATTATACAACGGCATTAATACCAGGAGGTAAGAACCACTGGGGCGTCTTAGAAGGCTGCCTGCCATGGCATGTGAATCTTACTCTGCCAACTCAGGGGTCCAAGCAATATAACCTTTATTTTCCTGTAACGCTTTCTAGTTTGAGCCCATTTTTAAATGAAGAAAGTTTGATCTTTGTTAATTCCGGGCTTTCTGACCCTTTCCTCAGGTTGAAGTTTCAGTGAGATTACAGTGGGGAATTAGAAGCATGCCACAGGGAGGGAGAGTTGACAAGCCCTTGATGTCATCTGTCTTCATGGGTCACTGCTGCCATTCCTGCCTTCACAGTCCTTCCAGGCCCTGCTGGCCTCCTGGAACCTCCTAACAATGACTCCAGCTCAAGAAGGGAGATGCAAAAACTTGGCATTCTGTATTTCCAGGCCCTTTTCAGGTCCTGCCTCCGCTGCTGAATGCTGACTAGAAGGAGCGGCACTGGCCCCTTCTCTAAAACCCACTTGATGTCTTTTCTCTCGCTCCCCAGCCTGATGATCTTTCTCCAGCCTTGGGAAGGAGGGAAAGACCTTCTCACTCCCTCCATATTTCTCCAAATATTTGCTTTATATCCAGAGTCCTCTCAGTAGCCCTCAGAGCTTAGACTTTTGAAAACCAAAGTCAAACAATTTATTTCCCAGCTCTTTATTCTGACTGATCTCTGGAAACAAGTTGCTCTGTACCTCCTAAAAGAAAGTGTGCATTGGGCAATACCAAAAAGCTGGGAAAACTACCCTGAAAAATCAGCCTAACACATACATTTGGTCATGAGAAGAAACTGAAATAATCAATGTCAACAAGTGACTTGGTGTGTAAATTATAACAACAACTGACATCTTTTAAGCATTGATCACATGCCAGGCACTATTTTAAGCACTTTACGTATAGTAACTCACGTAATTCTTATAATATCCTTGAGATTTAGGAAGATTCATTTTATGGATGGAGAGACTCAGGCACAGAAATGTTAAGAGACTTGCCGCATGTCACACAGCTATGAGTGTTGGAGTAAGGCTTGGTGCCTAAGAAGTCTGGCACTGGAGTCTAGACCCTCAAGTACAGAAGCAGACGTTTGTTTGGAAGCTCCAGCCTAGAGTGAAGATTGCTAATTACAAACTCCATTGCATACTTTTATTTTTTATTTGGAAACATTTTAGATACATAAAGATATACACAATAACATCAAACCCCGTACACCCACCAGTCAGCTTAACAAATAAACCAAATATACATAATGCCTAATTGAGACCCCTTGCCTTACTCTGTTGAGACTGCTAAAACAAAATATCGTAAACTGGGTGGCTTGTAAACAACAAAAACTTATTTCTCACAGTTCAGGCAACTGGAAAGTCCAAGATTAAGGTGCTAGCAGATTCCATGTCTGGTGAAGGCCCGTTTTTGGTTGACAGGTTGCTGTCTTCTCACTGTAACTTCACACAGTAAAAGGGGAAAGGGAGCTCTCTGGGTTCTCTCTTATGAGGTACTAATCCCATTCATGAGGGCTCCATCCTTGTGACCTAATCACTGTACAAAGGCCTCATCTCCTAATACCATCACCTTAGGGGTCAGGATTTCAACATACAAATTTGGGGGACACAAACATTCAGTTGACAGAACCCCTGTTTTCTCTTCCCAATTTTATCCCCTCACTTTCTGCCAGATGTAATCACTATCCTGTTTTATATTTCCATTCCCATTCGTATATTTTTTTTGATACATAATAACTGTACCTATTTATGGGATACATGTGATATTTTGAGTCATGCACACGGTGTGTCATGATCATATCAGGGTAACTGGGAGGGTCCCATGCATATCTCTGTTTTTCACTCTACATGTATGAATCTGTATGCAGCATATACTAACATTTTGCATGTTTTCAAGCTTTTAATTTGTCAGTACACATCCTTCTTCAACTTGCTACTTTCACTACATGGATAAAAACTTTAAATCAAAGATTTTTATCTCAAAAGAGGAGTTGCCAGAGAAGTGTCTACTCAGGATAATTTGCTGTAGAAACAGCAACACTAAGCCTTGCTGGCATGCAAATTCTTCTTAACTAAAGAGAAAAATGCAATAGGACTTCTCAGGGCCAGGTACATTCCCTCTTCTCCCTCTTACTTTGTGAGTGTTGTGAGTTGAGACCAAGATTCTGGAGAAACCAAAAGACATCTCCAGGCATGAACTCCCTTAACTCCATCCATCCTACCTCGAACTAATCTATATCTTCACTCATCCCCTGAGGAAAGGAAATCCAAGAAATAACATACCAACTTTGGAGTCATTCAATCATTTGATAAATATTTACAGTTGGGGTGGGCATGGTGGCTCACGTCTGTAATCCTAGCACTTTGGGAGGCCAAGATGGACGGATCATTTGAAGTCAGGTGTTCAAGACCAGCCTGGCCAACATGCTGAAACCCCAACTCTACTAAAAATACAAAAATTAGCCGTGCATGGCGGCACGTGCCTGTAGTCCCAGCTACTAGGGAGGCTGAGGCATGAGAATCGCTTGAACCTGGGAGGCGGAGGCTGCAGTGAGCTGAGATTGCACCATTGCACTCCAGCCTGAGTATCAGAGCGAGACTCTGTCTAAAAAAAACAAAAAAAATTTACAGTTGGACACCATCTTTCATTTGCACTACTATTTTAATAATTATGCACCCTGGTCTGTTTACCCTTTTTCTTTTCTCCTATATCTTGTTCCTCTCCCTCACTGCCACTTGAATGATATCTCCAAAACCCAGGTGCAACCCTATCACATCCAGAGTAAGGACAATTTCCTTACCAGCAAGACTTTCCTAACCAGCTTCTGCCACTTCTCCACGGCCTCCTCTCCATCTACTCTTCCTTCAGGAACCCCAGCTCCAGCTCTTCCCCAAATATTCCAAATCCCCATGCACCATGTTGTCTATGCCAATGTCTCTGTCTATTGTCTAGGTCTACAGTGCTCTTTCCTCTGCACACCAACAAAAGCACTACTTTCCATCTCCCACGGATTCTTCAAGCCCAGCTCCTGAGTTAGTTTCTTGGTAAATCTTACCTGATTCTTCCAAATAGCATTGTCTCTCGACCTCCCTCTGTACTGTCATGGATTTCCCACCTACCTACCACTAAGCTGGCAGCGATCATAGCACTCTGCACAGTAATTCTTTGCAGATCTGAATCCCCCGTGCCAGGCACTCCCTGTGGAAAAGGACTGTGTGCAGTTTTCCCTTGTGTCCTGGCTCACAGAATGGTGGCTGGCATGGGTCCATACTATTGAAGCTTGCTGCATTGATGAAGCCTGTGATGCCAGATGATGTCTGGGTAAGCCAGCTATCTTAAATGAGATTTTGGTATTATCCATGGAGGGGCCCTTAGGAAATGTTACTGAGGTCTCTTTTATAAAATGGCAACCAAATCACACCATTCCAGAGCACTGAAGATGGTTAGATGGTTGTGGTGAATAAAGTAGATGTATCAACAAAAAGCACACTATATAAAGGACTGGGCTTCTATGCACTTTTTTTTTTAAGGAAAGCAAGTTTATGAGAAAAGTAAAGAAACAAAAAAATGACTATTCCATAGGCTGAACAGCCTCCTATGCACTTTTAAAAACAGCTGTATTGGGACCAGTACATTGGCTCACACCTGTAATCCCAGCCCTTTGGGAGGCCGAGGCAGGTGGATCACTTGAGGTCAGGAGTTCGGGACCAGCCTGGCCAACATGATGAAACCCCCAACTCAACTAAAAAGTACAAAAGTTGGCCAGGAGAGGTGGTACATGCTTGTAATCCCAGCTACTTGGGAAGCTGAGGCAGGAGGATAGCTTGAACCCAGGAGGTGAAGGTTGCAGTAAGCCGAGGTCGCGCCACTGCACTCCAGCCTGGGCGACAGAGCAAGACTCTGTCTCAAAAAATAAAATAAAAATAAAAAACAGTTTTATTGAGATATTATTCATGTACCATAAAATTCATCCATTTAAAATGCACAGTTCATTGATTTTTAGTATATCCACAGAATTGTACAGCCATCACCATGATCTAAATTTAGAACATCTTCATCACCCCAAAATGAAACCTCATACCATTAACAGCCACTTCACATTTTTCTCCTTCCTACCTAGGCCCCAGCCCTAAGCAACTACTAATCTACTTTCTATCTCTATAGATTTGCCTATTCTGGACATTTTATAGAAATAAAATTATAAAATATTCTGTCTTTTGTGACTGGCTTCTTCCACTTAGCATAATATACATGTTGTAGCAACTGTTAGTACTTAATTCTTTTTATGGCTGAGTAATATTGCATTGTATGAATATAGGACATTTTGTTGATCCATTTTGATGGAAGTTTGGGTCATTTCTACTTTCTGGCTATTATGAATAATGCTGCTTTGAACATTCATGTACAAAATTTAGTCTGGACATATGTTTATTTATCTTAAGCAATTCACCTAGGATTGGAATTGCTGGGTCATTGGTTAACTCTGTTTAACATTTTGAGAAACTACCAAATTGTTTTTCTAAGTGGCTGCACCATTTTACATTCCCGCCAGCAAAATATGAGGGCCCCAATTTCTCCACATCCTACCCAACAACTGTATTTTTTAGCGAGCCATACTAGTGGGTGTGAAGTGTTATGTCATTGTAGTTTTGATTTTCCTAATAATTAGTGATGTTGAGCATTTTTCCATGTCCTTATTGGCCATTTTTATATCTTGTTTGGAGAAATGTCTATTCAAACCCTTTACCCATTTTTTTCAATTGGGTTATTTCTCTTATTATTATTGAATAGTAAGTTTAATTATATATTTTGGATACAAGTCCCTTATCAGAAATATGAATTGCAAATATTTTCTCACATTATGCAGGCTTTTCTTTCACTTTCTTCATAATGTAATTTAAAGCATAAATATTTTAATTTTGATAAAATTCAGTTTTTGTATTTTTTGTCACTTGTGCCTTTGATTTTGTGTCAAAGAAATCTTTGCCTAATCCAATGTCTAGAAGATTTGTTTTTACAGTTTTTTTCTAGGAGTTTTACACTTTTAGATCTTCTGTCAACAATTTTTAGTTTGTCTATGATGTGAGGTAGGATTCCAACTTTATTCTTTTGCATGTGAATATCCATTTGTCCCAGTATAATTTCTTAAAAATATTGTATTTTCTCAACTTAATTGGCTTGGTGCCATTGTTGAAAATCAGTTGAGCATAACTGTAAGGTCTTATTTCTGTACTCTCAATTCTATTCCATTTATCATATGTCTGTTTTTATGTCAGTAACACACTGTCTTGATTATGTAGGTTTGTAGTAAGTTTTAAAATCTGGAAGTGTCAGTCCTCCAACTTTGTTCTTTTCCAAGAAATTTTCAGTTACCCTAGGTCTTTTTCATTTCTATATGAATTTTAGGATCAGCCTGTCAATTTCTGCTCAAAAAAGCCAGCTGTGATCTTGAAAAAGATTGTAAGGATTGTGTTGAATCTATAGATTAGTTTGAGTAGTACTGCCATCTTAACGACGTGAGTCTTCTCATCCATGAACATGAATGTCTTTCCATTTACCTAGATCTTTAATTTCTTTCAACCATGTTTTGTAGTCTTTATTTTACAAGTTTTGCACGTCTTTTGCTAAGCTTATTTAAACGTATTTTATTCTTGTTGATACAGCCGTAAATGGAATTTTCTTAATTTAATTTTTGGTTTGCTCATTGCAAGTGTATAGAAATACAAGTGAAATCTGTATACTGATTTTGTGTCTTGCTTCTTGCTAAACTTGTTTATTCCTGCTAATATTTTTAGGGGACTCCTTAAGATTTTCTATATACAAGATCATGTCCCCTGCAGATAATATGTATTACTTCTTCTTTTCTAATCCAGATGTCTCTTACTTCTTTTTCTTCCCTAGTTGTCCTGGCTAGAATCTCCAGTACAATGCTGAATAGAAGTAGTACGAGTGGACATCCTTGGCTTGTTCATGACCTTAAAGGGGAAACATTTAGTCTTTCACCATTAAGTAAGATGTTTATACTGGATTTTAATAGACATCCTTTCTCAGGTTGAGGAAATTCCCTTCTATTCCTAGGTTATTGAGTGTTTTTATGATGACAATGTTGAATTTTGTAAAATGCTTTTTCTATGTCCCAAGTGCTTTTGTATCAGTTACCTATTGTTGTATAACAAACAGCCCAAAACTTAGTGACTTAAATTAACATCCCTTTTACTGACTATTGATTTTGCACATCAGCAATTTGAGATGGACTTGGCTAGATTGTTCATCTCCTGGTCCTGCCTGGGACTGGAGCTGGAGAGTCTTAAGATAGCCCCTCTCACATGTCTGGTAGTTCATGCTGGCTGTCATCTGGATCTCTTTTCATGTGGTCTGTCATCTTTAAGGTGACTAGACTATACCTCTTTCCATGGAAGTCTCAGAGCAATGATGCCTGCAAGAAAGTGAGAGCAGAAGTTGCAAGTACTCTTGAAGTCTTGCTTGGAAATCATACGGTGTTTGTTATCCCACATTCTACTGGCCAAAGCTAGTTGCAAGTACAGCTCAGAAGAGTCCCAATTCATGGGATAAGGTACTAGGTGCCACCTCCTCATGGAAGGAGTAGCATTTTAATTCACCACATCTTTCAAAGATGTGGTCCACTGGTCTTTTATTCCCTCCTCCTGACACTGAATTGTATCTTTCCATAGTCATGCTTTCTCACTCTTCTTTACTTGGATTTCCGTGTGCAGCATTTTCTTGGATAGAAAAGAACCAGTAAAGATCATCTGCTCTGTGACCTCCTACCCAAAAGAGAGAAAGATGCTAAATAAATTTCTCTCTTAAAAGATAAGTGGAAACAATTAAGTGATAAAGTACAATTTGCTGTTTGGTACCAGCTCCCATAAACCCAATTGAGAAATATAATCTGGAAAGTTGTAAATATAATTCTGTTTCTTCTGTATTTTTTGTTGTTGTTGTAGGGAGCATGGTGTTCCTCCTAACCAAAAACATTTACGTGATCTATTTGTTAATTGTTCAGAAGCAGCTGATCCATAACTCATGAAGACAATGATAGCAATTTTCATATTTTTTATTATGATTAAAGTTTCAGAAACAAGTTTGAGTTCTTACAGTGTACAGCAATATGTAAGACTATTTTACAAAATGTGCTCATGGAAAGTAAAGAATACTAACACATTGGGTCTGTCCAATTGTCTAGAACCTTAAAGCTAACTTGAGTTTTAGCACTTTATTATGAAAAAAGGAGCAAATTATTAGAAAACATTGACATAATTGGCTTATTAAAAACAAAACTAAACTTTCCAGAAAGAGCATGCATGCAGTTTCAATCTCTTGTAATCAAAGAGAGGCACCTTAGGCCTGCAAATGACAAAAAGTTTCAATTTTAATCAGTATAAAGATGGATCAGGCATGTTTAAAAGATGTCATCATCAGAATGGAAACAAAACATCCTCTGACACTCAGTTAACCAGAGAAATCAATTAATCTTCATAGCCTTAATAATCCAATAATGCAAGTGAGTTAAGATTCATTCCTAATTAAAATAGAGCCAATCTTACTGCTATTGCTAATTATAACAACCATATAATGAACATTATCATGTGCTTTACTGCATCATATAAATTAGATGATTTTATCCTCTCAAAAACTCTGTAGATTAGTTAACTTGAGCTGTCATAACAAACTATCACAGACTGGTTGTCTTAAAAAAAAAAAAAGATGTATTTCTCACAGTTCTGGAGACCAAGGTGTAGGCAAGGTTGGTTCCTTCTAGGGCCATGAGGGAAGGATCTATTCCAGGCCTCTCTCCCTGGTTTGTCTTCTCCCTGATTCTTCACATCATCTTCCCTCTGTACATGTCTGTGTCCAAACTTCCTCTTATTAAAAGGACACCGGTCATATTGGATTAGGGCCCACCGTCATGACCTCATTCTAACTTAATTACCTCTCTAAAGGCTCTATCTCCAAATACAGTCATATTTTGAAGTGCTTGGAGTTAGGACTTCAATATATGAATAGGGGGGCACAATTCAGCCCGTAGACATAATCCCCTTTTACAGCTGAAGAACTAGGCCCAGAAGGATTGCTACTTGTCCAGAGTCTCCAGTTACTGGTGGCAGAGTCAAGACAAACTCAGATCTGTTGGAATCCAAAGCCCTGCAGTTAACCGTAACACTACATACATGCCCTTAATAATAGTCAGGTGGATCTTTTCCCATCAGTGTCCCCACGCAGTTGCAGGTTCCTGAACTCCTGAACACCACACACCCAGGAGCTCTGTAGCCAGGGGCTCTGTGACTGCTCCTCTCACACTGGCCTCCAGTGATTCCCCTTCTCACCTCCCCGAGGTCTAGCTGAATGTTTTAGCGAAGGCTTTCTTTCCATGAGCGTCTCTGAATGCCCCCCACCCCCCACCATTCCCAGTCCCACCAGCCCTGCTTCCAGGGCTATCATCACCACCTTCCAGGGACTCATAAGAGGGAGACCACCAGCAGCCTTTGCCTCATATTTACATTATATTTCACAAAGGTTCTCTGGATCTTCCAAGGTGTTGCCCAACTAGCCATAAATGAAGCTAAGATATTGGATTCAAGAGAAGATTTAAGAGTCCTCCAAAGTAATGTGTGCACTTACCACACACCCTTTCTCTCTCATGACACTTCCATTAAGTGGCTTTCCCAGCTGCCCACACATGCCCTCCCTTATGCCCTAGATGCCCCAGATAGACTTTTATCAAACACGTGCAATGCCTTATTGTGAACATTTCTCTTTATATCTGCCTCTCCACCAGACTGTGAGGTAGCAACATTGCCATATTTGTCTCTGAAACCCCAGTACTTAGCATTTTGCCTGGTACTCCCTGGTGAGTATTCAATAAGCACTCAATGAATGAATGAACAAGTTCTCTACCCTACCCTACCCTACCCCTCAAAATGCTTTCCCCACCCAGCCAAATGATGCATAGAATTATAATATTAGACTTTCTGATATGGCATGTCCTTCTGATTGCAGTATGTCTTATTCAAGGACAATGCCTCTGTGGGGAGTAGTGCGGGAAGGCTCCTCTGTTGTCAAATCCTCATGTTGTGGAATGACTTCCTTGTGGCGGGGGAGGCAGATGGGGTTCTTAGGAGAGATAATCACTTGAGGTGCCTCATAAGGGCTGAAGAAAGGGGAAGACACAGAAAGATAGATCAAAAGACTCAAGGAGCTTTTCCTCTGGAACAGCTTTTCTGAGGAGCAGCTCTGGTTGCCATAGCAACGGCTGCAATTTGTGGTACCTCCTTCCAGCTTCCTACCTGCTGGTGAGAAGGAACTGAAAGCCACAACCTCTTAACCCAGCAGGGCATTTTCCTTGCATCCTTTGAAAGCAGGAGCTGGGGTGAGACCCAGGGAGACAGCAGCCTGGGCTGCACCAACAGGAGTGGTGAAGGAAAGAAGCCGAGAGGGGCGGGGGGTAGGGAGGCACAGTGCTGCCAGGAGGTGAAGGCTAAAGTGGGGGCCGAGCAACACAGGAATAAAGGAGTAAGCTGCCACCGTTGGCAAATAATCGCAGCTGGGGCGACAGTTCTCAGAGCTGATTACCTAGAGATCCTCTGGCTTAATTGATTTTATATAACCTCCTGGCTGCAAAATTGGGAGGCTCAAACAATAAGACAATTTTCAAAGGACAGCTGCTTGCTTAAATGGACACTCCACACAGAATTGTTTCCTGGAGCTTTTAATGACTTATTCTTCTCAACTGAGCCAGAAAATACTTTTCTAAAGAAGAAATAGGAAGAATGCCCTATCTGTGAATAGGAGATTGTGCAGGAGGGTGTTGCTACGGTGTGTAATTATTAGTCTGCCTAATCAAATCAGCAGCCTTATTGTAAGATTTGCCCATTTCTGCAGCAGAAATATGATTTGGAAATGCTAACAGACAGTATCATCTTTCTAGGTTCTACTTTCTGTATAGTCTAAGTCTTCAGCATAAATCAACAGTATTTTTTTTGTAAGGTATGAAGAAAGGGGAGAATTAAAGGCAATCAAATTATATTTGATAAATTTATTTATTAATCACTTTTATTGATGAAGACCTAAATAAATTGTGAGTTCAGAAAAAATATTTGGGCTTAGCAAGATTTTCTTTTAAAGAGAATTATTTTTTCTTTCAACACCAGAGGGAAAGCTTATCCAAACAATTCCTAGAGTCGATCATGGTTCGTTGAGGAACAAAACAGCAGAAACATGTAATTTCACAGCAGCTCCCACCAACTACAGCCTCTCATTACCAGCAACAAGCCAAATAATTTACTAAGCAACCCTGCTGCTGGCATTTAGCCTTTGTCTTTCTCACATCTGGTGCTCCAAGTATGATGCATTTAATAAACATGTTTATAAGCCAGTAATTTATTTCTGGCACTATTTTTGCTTCTTTTTACACCAAACTTCATTCGTAGGGAGGGAACATGTTAATTGTCCTATGTTAAGTGACCTTTCTTACTATGTTGTTAGGAGATTTTACAAAGCCTGCAGATGAACGTGACCTTAGAAATCAAGCCTAGTGTAAGCCGTAGGTTTAGATCTTCGCACCACAATAATCAGAAGTGAAGCATCAAGCCAAAGTGGGGTGGGAAGGAGATCCATCTCAAAACATTCCCTCAGGCTTCCCAGAAAGTCAAAACAATGTCGGGAAATTACTCTGATGGATCTCATGACCTCTGGATGATAATGTGTAGGGTCTCATATTACTGCTACTAAGATGAAAAATCAAATAAAGTACATTTGATTTTGGTTTATGAAAATTTTATGTAAAAAACAGGCAGATGGAGATGCCAGATAGTTACAGAACAACCAAAGACTGTTTGATATTTCTTCTAAAAAAGAGATTCATTTTACAAAATTTAAATAGATCTTCTTTGCCGAAGAATGCTCATCCATCCACCCATGTAGCCACAATCGACTCCCTGAGGGACAGAATGCACCAGAGGTTACTTTTCAGAGGACAAGAGGTCAGCTGGTCAAGGGGAAGACAGGCAGATGAGTTCAGTAGCAGAGCATTGTATCAAACACCTTGACCAAGAATAAGCAGCAGCCTAGGGGATGGATAGCCCATTTTCCTCGATGTGATTATTACATATTACATGCCTGTATCAAAACATCTCATGTACCCATAAATATATACACCTACTATGTAGCCACAAAAATTTAAAACAAATTTAAAAAACAAAAAAAAGCAGCAGCCTGACTCTACTCCTAGCTCTGCCACCAATTCTGTCACGTAACCTAAGTCTCTGAGTCTCTGTATCAGGTGGCAATTGCCGTGTAATGAACCACCCCAAAACATAATGGCTTAAAATAATAACTACTTACTATTTCTCACAAATATGTGGCTAGGTGGGTCTGCTGATCTGAGCCAGGCTCAACTGATCTCAGTGGGCCTTGGCCATCCATCTGTGGTCAGCTGATGAGTTGCAAGGGGGCCAGTGGCCTCCGCTGTGACAACATGATTCTACTTCATGCAGTTTATCTCAGCCCCAAGTCGGCTAGTCCTGGATTGTCCTCATAATAGCAGAGAAGCAGCAGCGGGGGTCAGGGGAGGAGGAGAGAGAGAAAAGAGATGGGAGAGGAAAGGAGGGGAGAAGATGAAGAGTGAGGAAAGTAAGGGAATAAGAGAGAGAAAGATAAGGAAAGAGGGAGAAGAAAATGAGAATGAGAAGAGAGAGAGAAACAGAAAGTGTGAGTTCTTGAGACTTGGGCTCAGAACCGAACTTTGACACATCTACCAAATTCTTCGAGTCTGCCCTTTTCACAGGGTTATCATGCTTATTAAATGAGATGGTTTCTGTGCAGCATTTCATAAATCACGAAGTATCATAAAGCAGATCTAATATAACAAGACGTCACTGACACAGCTGTTTTGGAGCTGTCCTTCACAAAATACCAGATTTAATCTGCTCACTAGAGATGAAGCCAGTAATGACATGTGGGGCAGAGAAGGTCATGTGAGATATTTTATTTATTTATATCCTTTGCCTTGTTCTACAAGGCTTTGAGATAGCTTGACACAAGAATACAAACACAAAAATAACAGTATACTATAAACAAGAACTAGGAAAAATATAATTGGAAGGAGACAATCAAGGCCTAGGCCTAGGAGTGGTAAGGGACTATCCCAAATATGCAAATGTTGCCATAAGGGCAATATCATGACTATACTGGAGTCTTATATTTGCCTCTATATTTCCTAGAAATAAAATAGACCAGGCGTGGTGACTCACGCCTGTAATCCCAGCACATTGGGAGGCTGAGGCAGGTGGATCACAAGGTCAGGAGATCGAGACCATTCTGGCTAACACAGTGAAAACCCGTCTCTACTAAAAATACAAAAAATTAGCTGGGCGTGGTGGCGGGCGCCTGTAGTCCCAGCTACTCGGGAGGCTGAGGCAGGAGAATTGCTTGAACCCAGGAGGTGGAGGTTGCAGTGAGCCGAGATCGCGCCGCTGCACTCCAGCCTGGGTGACAGAGCAATACTCCATCTCAAAATAAATAAATAAATAAAAATAAAAAGAGCTGTTTCCCAAAGGTTGTGCACAAGCTGATCTGGGCTGGTACAAAGCTGGCCAGCACACACCTACCTTCCCAACCATCAGCATAATACCTGCTGAGAAGCTCTTCAGCAGGTGCCAATCCAACGTCCTTCCTGTCCAAGGTGTCACCTCACCTCCTGAGTGCTGGTTATTTCTGGGTATTGCAGTGGGCAGTGCAAGAATCGGTTTGACCTCCGCTGCAAGGTCAGGAGAGCTCAGCCACAGGTCAACAGCAGGGACTGTGTTCAGGCCATGGTAAGAATAACTGATGTTCATGGACGAAGAAGAAGGAAAATAGTATGGATTTCTCCATCCCTGTCAGGAACGTGGTGTTTCCTTTTTAAATAAATTTAAGTTTTAAAAGTAAGTCCATAGAGTTACCAATATTAAGTAGATAAAAGTATAGATAGTATATAGGTGAAGCAAACCTGTGCCCGTATTATGTAGATGCCCAGAGTTTGGGACATCCATTCATGAGCAGCACCGGTTCCCAGTGAACTTCCCAGAATGAGTTAGTAACAAATATTTCTCCAAATGGAGTCAGTACACCACAAGGGCCATGTGAGACTAGTATGCATGAAAAATATTAGAAGTTATCCCTATATTTATATGCAACAGTATGAAAGAAGGTAAACTTCAATACTGCTTACATATTCCAGTTGACACAGAGGCACCCCACCTGCTCAACTTGCAAGATGGTTACCTGCCCAGGTTGCCCCTTGCAGTTCTCTGGGTATCTTGAGGGAAAAGTGGAAGTTCCCTATGCAGAAGGTTGGCACATTTTTGTTCACTGTCACCAAATGGGCACATATTAGATTCAGAAGGGTCTAGTTAAGTGGATGTATGAAATATAACATCCAGTTTTAATGAAATGAGCTCTCATGAATGTAGAGGATTAAAGGTAGTATCAGTAATACAAGCTCAAGCAAACAGAAAGCTTGTCTGGCAGAGCCATACTTCTCCAATTCTTAGAACAGACAAGCTTTTTATCAGCGTCTTAATGAGGAAAACAGTGATCTGATCATATCTGACAGAAAGTCAACCTCAAATCTAATTAACCTCAAATCTGAAATTAACAAAAAGCTATTTAAAATATGGATTTACTTCCACTCTTATTAATTTTGATCCTCGCTTTGAGTGTGTATTTTGCCTATGATATTAGCTAATGAGAGCATGAAGCCATCAAGATTAGCAAGAGATTTTAAAAATGAAGCAGCCAGAATATTCATCATCATAATAGAGTGATATTGTTCTATTAATAAATAAAATAAGAAAAATCATTTATTTCATTTTTATCTCATTTATTTAAATTGCTACTTTATGTATCTTTATAATATAAATAATATACTAATATAATAGCACTGTGTATCATTTATTAATGTATCCATATAGATTGGGAGAGCATATTGACACTTTCCTTTCACTAATGAGGTAGGTAATTTATGCTTAGCATTCCAACAATGGAAGGCTCTAAGCATGTGGGAGTTATTTATATCCTACTGCTCAAGGTTATCACCAAGATCTGATTGCAAAAATTCAAAAAATTGCAACCTCAGGCATGAATGGGTTAAAACAGTTGGGATACTGTTGCTTTAAATAACTAAAAAAATTAGCTGGTTGAATGGAATTATTAAATTTAGGACCGTGACATTTGGGGAACACCCACCACAATAATTATTTTAATTGTAAAATCGTTTATCTAAAACTAATCGTTCTGGTAGTGGTCTCATCACATGATGAACCACCCACAGAGGCCACTTCCAGGCTGTGAAATTAATATTGGTATACAGAAGGAGACTTATTTGCCTATTTTTCCATAGCCAGGAGAAATTAATCAAAGTCAGTTTCAAATTATTAATGTTTAATGTGTAAAAAGGGGGCACAGAACACAGCCCTGATTTATGCCACCAGACAATATTAGCTGCATCATCAAAAGATGTGCCAGTTGATTCCAACTCTCACTGTCGTGTAAAAAGCTGATTTCTCTGAATACCAAAAACTATGAATCCACAAGGAGGTCATTCATGCTGACCCAAAGATGGCTACTGTCATATAGTCAAACGTCACGGAAAGGTCAGTCAAAGGTCAAGCTAGTTGGAGGGCACACAGGGGTCATGGAGAAGCCAGCACTGAAGCTCACTTGCTCCTCATGTAAAATGCCAGCCTTGGAAATGCAGACCTGCAGGCTTGAGAGAAGAAAGGCGAAACATTGAGATGCAACGCCTATAGCCCGTGACATGGTTGTCATATTTTAAAATGAGGTCCAATGTTCTTTGAGTCTAACCAGATGGGACTATGTCTATGAAGTACACTGAAGTTATGAGGTTGTTGATTGGTGCTTACCAGTATGAAAAAATGTTAGACTAGACCCAATGGCTAAAGACACTCATCGGCAATTTCATTTCCTTTAAGCAATGAGGAAATGTTCTCAGCTGAAAACTGCAAGGGAGGCTATTACGCTTGAAACACTTTTCGCAGGACTTTAAAAAAGATGGGCCTCTTAGCGAAGAGCCAACTAAAGGAAAGTCAGTGAAAGAGAGTCTGTAGCATTTAAGACTTGGAAAGTGAAAGTGGGAAACGATGAAATGAAGGCGCTGTCAATGGCAAAGGCACACACAGATGATAGCCCACACCTAACAAAGTCAGAAAGTAAGAAGTAACAAAGAAAGAGGCTTTTGGTATTTCCTTATTCTCAGACCAAAATAACCGTAAATACAGATGAATCATAAATGATAAGTGTCTTTTAAGAATAACTCTTTTTGGGGGGTGGAGGGAGGATAGGGTCTCTCTCTGTCGTCCAGGCTGGTGTGCAGTGGCATGATCATGGCTCACTGCAGCCTCCACCTCTCAAGCTCAATTGATCCTCCCACCTCAGCCTCCTGAGTATCTGGGACTACATTTGCACGCCACATGCACAGTTACTTTTTGTATTTTTTGTAGAGACAGGTGTTTGCCATGTTGCCCAGGCTGGCCTTGAACTCCTGGGCTCAAGTGGCCTCGGCCTCCCAAAGTGCTGGGATCACAGGGGTGAGCCACCACACCCAGCCAAAAATAGCTCTTATGAATAAGATCTCTTTGCTCTAATTCTGTATGCATTGGGCACTCTCTTGAGGAGCCTTTGGGCTCCTGAGCAGACACGTACGCCAAGAAGTGAATTCCATTCTCCAGCAGCTGGTGCTAAATATGGGCCAGGTACGGCTCATTATGAAAAAACAAAAAACTAGAACAGACCAGCCACCTGTATGTTTAATTATTGTGACTGATTCTCCCAAGTCTGATTTTCTTCACAAGTACAAATACGATGGAGCTTCTTACCCAGCAAACTGAGACTCCAAATCATCAAAAGATCATGTCCCTCAAAAAATCCGCCTGCTCCACCCATTTCCTCATTAATTTGTTCATTCAGCCACTCAGCACACATTTGCTGAGTGTCCACTGTGTGTCAGGCACTGTTCTAGGTGCTAGAGAGAACAAAATAGACAAAAATCCAGAGATAGACAAAAATACCATTAATAAGTGAATTGTAGAGTTAAACAACAATAAGTATTAGAAATACCAGGGAGAGGCAGAATATAAAAGAGGAAAAGAGAATGCCATTTGGGGAGGGAAAGTCATTTCTTTTTTTTTATTTTTTGAGACAGTCTCACTCACGCTGTCGCCCAGGCTGGAGTGCAGTGGTGCCATCTCGGCTCATTGCAACCTCCGCCTCCTGGGTTCAAGAGATTCTCCTGTCTCAGTCTCTCAAGTAGCTGGGACTACAAGGGTGTGCCACGACACCCAGCTAATTTTTGTACTTTTAGTAGAGACAAGGTTTCACCATTTTGGCCAGGCTGGTCTTGAACTCCTGACCTCAAGTGATCTGCCCATCTGGGCCTCCCAAAATGCTGGGTTACAGGTGTAAGCCACTATGCCCGACTGGGAAGTCATTTTAAATAAAGTGGCCAGGAAAGACCTCACTGAGAAAGACACAAATTCCAGAAAGAAGTGAAAATTTGGGGGAGTGTTTCAGAAAAAGAGAGCAGCAAGTGCAAAGGCCCTGAGGTAGGAACATGCCTGACAGGTTGAGGAGGAACTCAAAAGAAGTGAGCAAAGCAGAGATTTATACATAAGGCATTGAAAGTAATGAGGCCATGAGGGAGTGGGGTGGGAGGAAGGCAGACCATGTAGGGCCTTGGGGGCCTTTGCTATCACCTTAGCTTTTACTCAGGGTGAGATGCAAAGCCCTTAGAGGGATTAAAACAGAGGAGTGAAGTGATCCAATTCAACATTTCTCATTTAACCATGGGGAGTCTGGGGCAGTAGCACCATGTAGAAGGAGATTACACTAATCTGGTATGTATAGGAAAAACTCGATTGTGACTTAGACCAGAATGAGCGTAGTGGATGTGATGAGATGTGGTCAGACTCTGGATATATTATTAAAGTACAGTCAGTCAGGTTTGCTGACACAAGAAGAGTCAAGCACAACCCCAAATACTTCATCCTGAGCAACTGAAAGGAAGGAGGTGCCCTGAGCTGATAGGGAGGGCCAGGGAAAGATCAGGCTGGGAGTTGGGTAAGATCAGGAGTTTGGTTCTGGACACATCAAGTTTGAGATGTCTGTTGGACATCCAAGTGGAGCTGCTAGGTGGGTGGGTGATATATGAGTCTGCAGTTCAGGAGAGAAGTCCAGGCCGGAGAGATAAATTGAAGAGTGTCCACATTTAGATATTAAAGCCAAGAGATGGATGAGCTCACTAGTCAGTGTAGATGGAAAAGGAAAGAGGTCCGAAGACTGAGCCCCAGGGCCTCCCAGCACTTGAGGTGTCAAAGTAAGGAGAAGACAACAAAGGAGACTGGCCGATGAAGTGAGAGCATAATAAGGGGCTCCCCAGAGGAGGGGACGCTGTGCCAAAGCCAGAGGGGGCTTCTCAGTGGCCACTGCGTTTGGCAATGTAGAGGTCACAGGGCTCTCAGCAAGAGCAGCTTAGCAAAGCCTGAGCAGAGTGAGCTCGAGAGAGCAGTGGAGACGAGGAGTCGGAGATCTGGAATACAGAGAACACCCCCTCTGAGTTTTGCTGTAAAAGGGAGAAGAGAGTTGGGAGAAAGGTCAGGAGAAGCTGGCAGAAAGAGGGTGGGAGTCTTGTTAATTTGTTTGAGTTGGTTTTGGTTTTTAAGGTGGGAGAAACAACCACCCATGTGTATGCCAACAGAAACGACCCAATGGAGAGTAAAACTGATGATTCAGGCTTCAGAGAATTGCTGCAATGATGTCCTAAAAAAGATGAAAGGAAGTGGGATTCTAATAATATTAACAACAATGAAAATAATAATGCTAACATTTAACAAATGCTGAGTATGCACCAAGCACTGTTCTAACCACTTTACCAACATTATATCATTTAATCCTCACAGTGCCCTATGAAAGAGGAATAATTATTTCCCCGGCTTTAGAGGTGAAGAAACAAAGCCTCAAGAGCCTGCTCAAGATCACGCACTGTGAGGTAGAACCCAGCTTTCAGGATTCAGAGTCCAAGCCCCAACCCTCGGGCCACACTGCCTCCTTTTGTTTTAAGACCACATAAAGGAACTGTTTCGTTTGTAGGGAGGTGGGTTCCAGCAGGAACCTAGCAAGCTGCCCTCGTCTGATTTCCCAGGAGTGGAGTTGGTGTCATGGGGGAGACTGGAGGTGAGGGGTCAGGGGGCAGGTAGGTTTGACACAAGGAAAGATGGGTAGGGTGTTTGATGAATGGCAAGAAGACCCAAAGAAGATCCAAAGAGAGGAGGGTCCCACTGAGGAGCAACCAGAGCTGAATCGGAAGGGGAGGCTGGCTGGGCCAGGGTCAGAGGTGGCAGCCTTCAATGCCAGGCTGGGGGCTGGCCTTCATCCTCCAGGCCCGTGGCTTTCAAACTTCATTTATTTTGTTCTGCTTTTTAGCAGTGGAACTCTGTTGATAAAATGAAATATTGCATGGGGTGTCCAATAAATAAAACTGACCAGGAGCAGAGCAGATGAGACAGCCTGACTTCCTGCAGATGTGGCCCCTCCCTGCAGGGAGCAGCATGGGGGCAGCGGAGGAGGCCTCAGGGCCAGCTGTAAAGCCCTTGAGTTAAAGCAGGAGAGTGAGAGTGAAGGTGGCTGGGAGGGGAAACTGAGGAAAAAAGGAAGCTGCTATGAATGAATGTTTGCTCACTCCTTCCCTTCTTCCCTTCCTCTCTTCCTTCTTCTTTCCTTTCCTCCCTCCCTCCCTCCTTTTCACTCCTTTCTTTCCTTCTTTCAAACAATTTTAGGCCAGGAGGTGATAAGGACTTGAATACCAGGACCCCAGCCTTTCTGATACTCACCAAAATGTTAAAACTATTGCTCTGAATGTACAAGTTTCAGAAGAAAGGAGTTGGTGGTGGCCTCCTCCTCCTCATTCTTTTCCTCCTCCTCCATTTTTATCTATTCATTATTTTTCTGTCTTTTTTTAACATTAGCAAAGTGTCCAGTACTTACAAAGGACACACTGTCTTTTCAAAACAAGAAAGGCTTTCAACCTGTACCAAATAAGTCAGAAGTTCTTTCCTCTTTTCTCCAGAAGACTGGGATAGCACCTGCTTTGGGCCAGCATGTCCTGCAGCATAAGGACTTTCTCATCCCTTTAAGGGCATCCACACCGTACTGAAGAGTGCCACTGACAGGTCCCTGCTGCAGCCCAGGCTCCACATGGGCACTTTGCAAACATTTCTAATTCTCATACATGGCAACCTATAAAACTTACCACGAGGCCAGGCGCAGTGCCTGATGCCTGTAATCCTAACACTTTGGGAGGCCGAGTCGGGCGGGTTGCCTGAGGTCAGGAGTTCGAAACCAGCCTGGTCAACATGGTGAAACCTTGTCTCTATTAAAAATACAAAAATTAGCTGGGCATGGTGGTGCATGCCTGTAATCCCAGCTATTCGGGAGGCTGAGACAGGAGAATTGCTTGAACCCAGGAGGCAGAGGTTGCAGTGAGCCGAGATCACGCCACTGCCTGGGTGACAGAGATGAGACTCCATCTCAAAAACAAAAACAAAAACAAAAAAACACAAAACTTACCACAGCTTGTCACTCCTACCCACAGAATGTCTCCAGCCCTTCACCGTCTTCTGTACCCTTAACTTCCTTACTTGAGACGGTGGTCTCTCAATTACTGCAGCAGCCAGTCCATCAGTCTCCTTGCCTCGTCTTGCCCTTCCTACACTGACTCCACAACCACCTTTCTAAAACTCCATCTGATGTTATTTTTTGCTTAACACCCTCCCATGACTCCTTTGCCATACAGGATAAGGTGCCATCCTGAGCACCCTATTCTCTGAGAAGCCTTCTCTGACTTCCTCCCATGGGCAGACCAGCTTTTTCTCCTTGGAGCCACTACCGTAACACAGACATTCCACCGTGTAGCATCCGTGTCCAGTGCTGCAGTTACTGCCCAAGCATCAGTGTCTCTACAATGCTGTGAGTGCCAAGTGGGTAGAAGCCATGTGATATGCTGCTGTACCCTCAGGCCTAATACAGTGCTGGGCATAGAGTAAGTACTCAGTAAGTGGCTGTTGAATTATGAATGACATAAAAAATGGTATGTGGAATTCTTTAAAGTTTATTAACTTCCAATACTAAGTTCTTTATTCTCATATTTTAAAAAGAAAGAAATGACCGCAGCATTTCTCAGGTGTACAGTTCCTGATGACTGACTTTGCCATTCTCTCAGTCCAAGATTCTAATAACCAGTTCTGCTTTACTTCTACAAAATAATGGTTGTTTATATTCCTAGTCATGAGCCTGCAGTTCTGCAAAACTTTAAACCATTACAAGAACACAAATTACCTTCAGTGGAATTTTAGAGCTGTGCATTGCATTGTGCCTGGATTATGTTGATGATGACTTCAATGCCCCACTGAAGATATCAGACCAAAACTGAATGACCATCTGATATTGGCAGAGGGGACCCTGACAGCTGCAAAGTGAGAGAGGGGGCAACTAGATATTGTTGTGACCCAATAATTTAATATTCCATGGCCATGACTTATAATATTTTTAAATTAGCAATAAAATACAGCTGCTGTTTTTTATCAATAGGAATCTGGTTAAATATATTCTGCTCTCCCCACTGAATTCCCACACAAGGAAAGAGGTAGAGCTATATATACGGATATGGAGAGAAACCCATGACCTATTTTTTACTGAGAAAGTTACAGAAGACTATGTATATTGTAAAGAATTTAATTTTCATTTTATAAAGTAAATTCTGCATTTGAGAGAAGAGTTTTTTGTTTTTTGTTTTTTTTTTTTGAGATGGAGTCTCGCTCAGTCACCCAGGCTGGAGTGCAGTGGCGTGATCTTGGCTCACAGCAAGTTCCGCCTTCCGGGTTCATGCCATTCTCTTGCCTCAGCCTCCCAAGTAGCTGGGACTACAGGTGCCCACCACTACGCCCGGCTAATTTTTTGTATTTTTAGTAGAGACGGGGGTTTCACTGTGTTAGCCAGGATGGTCTCGATCTCCTGACCTCGTGATACAGGCGTGAACCACTGCGCCTGGCCGAGAGAAGAGTTTTAAATGTGGATAGAAAAATCTGGATGGGTATGTACTGGGCTATTGTGATGATGAGCTCTGAGGACTGGGACTGGAGGAGGCCAGGAAGTGGTGGGCTTTCATTTTCATACACTTTTATACACATGCACAGTGTTTGGAATTTTAACAAGTTTGTAGCATCATTAAAAAATATCATCAGTCCTTCATGTGTGGGTAATTGAATAGCTCTCTATTAACTGATGTATAAATATCCTGTTTCCTATTTCCTATAGCTGTTTCCTGTTTCCTGTTTCCTACGAACACTTGCTGCATTTGGAGTAGGAACGACAGCCCAGTCAGAGTGAAGAGACCATGTCTGTTCCCACCTCCAACCAACTACCTGTGTGGACTTCAGCAAGTCACTTCACCTATGAACCTTTATCAAAAGGATAGAACTGAATTTCCTCTGAAGTTCTTCCGAAACTCAAAATTCTTAAAGAAGAAATAAACTTTATGTAAATGTCCACTGAAAAACTTTTATGTAAATGTCCACTGAAGAACTTGATTCACCTGCAGCTACCTAAATATAATGTTTCATTAATGAATCACACATTTCAAAATGGAAAGAAAAAAATTCACTGAGAGTATTTTTTAAATCTATTGGATGTTTAAACCCAGTGCTGATTTTCCAGTAAACATCCACACTCATTTGCCCACAAGACTGAACTTTCTCAGGTGTCCGATGCTATGCGTGGTTTGCCCAAAGTTACCAACAGCTGCAAAGTGTTCTTTCCCATAGCTTTCCACTCTGTGCATATTTATCACTTCCTGTCCGCTTCTGAAAATAAAATGTGGAGTTGCAAAAAGTTTCTTATGGGGGATATTTAACCAGCTATTAAGCCAAATAAACTTTATGACAAAATAAATGTTAGAAAGTAGGACAAAATGATTTTTTTAGAACCTAACTAAATATTTAAATATTGGAGCGGATGATATATCAACACCATGGGATCTCATATAAACCCTAGAAACCTGGAGATTATATTTCAGTAATGTTTTAATAATAAATAAATTTGACTTTGAACTGGCTTAACAAATTGTGTTTGTCAGTCAGAGGAGGCATAACTAATAAATAAGACTGCTTAAATGCTCTTTTTAAAATGACTACTATGTGAAGAAATGTGGCCTGGATCACAGATATATTAAGTGGTCAATAGCAAAATTAATATGGGGTTTCCATGAACCTCCATAAAGACAGGCACGTGTACTTCATCAAAGAATGTTTGTAGACATTGGGATGATTAGGCTGGAATTGGAATTACACCATCGGGTTGAGATTGCACAGCCAGGACCACCCTTATTTGAGGAAAGCCCTATTTTGATGGCCCCACAGGAAAAGTAGAGTGGACAGTTCTGCTGCATGATCCCTGGCAGTTCTGGACTTTGGAGTGAGAGAAGACAGAGTTTAAATCCATCTCTTCCTCTTCCTAGGGCAAGCCACATAACCTTTCTGAACCTCGGTATTTCATTTGTAACATGGTAATGTGAAATGATAAATTGATAATATGTAACACCATAGGAATATGACCACACACAGTGAAAAAATCCAGGTAAAATAACATATTACTGATGCCTTGGACAGAGTAAGCACTCAATAAATATCAGTCTCCTTCCTTCCAAGCAAAGACTATTTCCAAAGCCACTGGATACCAGGGTGAAGGAACCATCTGATACTTCTAGTCTGATGATATTACTGAAGCAAATTTGACTATCATGTGTTCCTAAGTAGGTTGCTTAAGCTCTCTAAATCTACTTTCTTAATTGTAAAATTGGAATGTCTCCTTGTCATTCTACTGCATAGGGATCTCATGAAGACTGAGGTTTTCTATTTTCTATTTTATTAGTAATGAAGTATTTATACAAGCATAAGCAGTCACATCATCATTACTGTGCCCTTCCAATGAAATGGAAGGTACTGCTTAAAACTCTTAAGAATCTTATAGAATGCATAACTCTTCCAGATTTTGCCATTGGAAAACTGGGTCCAGAGAGGTGAACTGACCTATTCATGACTACACAGCTTGTGAGGGGGAGAACTAATATTAGAACTTAGCCTCCTGAATCTCAGAACAGTGCAGGCACCACTGGATGGTGAGTCACCCCATAATAAGCCCTTACCCTCCAAACTCCCTCTCAGAGTAATAGTAATAATCCAACCTGCAACATACAGCTACATACAGATGCTCAGATGGCTGGAAAATGTAGTATTTTCCCTGTGGCCATGTGTACCCCATACTATCCCCATAGTAGGCTTAGCATAATGTCTAATATATAGGAGGCATTTAAAAATACTTATTGAATGAATGAGAAAGTGATTGAATGAATGACATGAATCACCAGATAAAGGACAAAGAAGCCAACTAAATGTATTGGTTACATACCTATGAGTTCACATGAGTGTATATATAAACACTTTAGTTACCAATAATCAGAAATATATAAATAAACTTTATTATTAGAAACTCATTCTAATTTCACTAGAAAAAGGAAGGAAGAGAAGAAATGATAGTTTCAAAGTGACTTACCATATTTGTAAGGAAGGAAAAGAAATTTTTGTGTCTCATTTTCAATGAGGATTGCTCATACATCACACGACTAGTTGAAAAAAGATGTTTGTTTATTTACTTGTTTTTGCCAAAGCAGAGAGAATTTAGAAGAGAAGTCTGCTGTCTGCTGGGAATATTCATTCCCAGGGACAGAAGAGAGAAGAAAGCTCTTGTACTTTTCAACACATGTGACATTCCAGTGATGTTTACAATAAAAAAGAAAGCAATTCATCCATAAAATGTATTTCACAAAGAGAAAAGTACTTACACTTTTTTCAGGGGGGAAAAAAAAACAGTTGTCAGATTAGGCATTTAATGAAATACACATGAGCAAGGAGGAAAAGGAAGGGAGAACTGGGAGCAGTGTGCAAAAGAGTGCGCTAAGGCCACAGGGGCCCTGATGCCTCTGAGCCTCAGGAAGGAATTTGCTGGAGCCCAGCTGCAACCAATCCAAGGCAGGGAACTGAGTCAATGGGATGGAACACCCCGCACCCCCCATCCCCACCCCCACAGCATTTCAACATTGAACTTCTGCAGATAATGGCTAATGACAGAACTTTAGTACGATGGGCAGGGAAGATATTCAGGGACATGAGGGTCTCCTGGTGCCCCTTGGAGCAGCCTAATAGCCTCTACTCGTTGGGCACACAGCCTGCATTCAAATGAGCACCACAGGGAGAAACAATTGTAGACAGAATTCAAATTAGGAACGTGGCCAAATAGCTTTTAGATGCAACAGACTATTTGAGAAACTTCCAGAGAGAAATAGCCTGTGCTGTTAGCTCCTTCTGGGAGGAGCCACTCTTTCCAGTGTCACAGGGGCCAGGAAGCTCACGCTTGGAAACCCCACAGCCAAAACTAAACCTTCTTGCTGACATTCCATCTCAATTTGACTCTTTTATTTCATGTCCAGCCCAAGACTGACAACATGACACACTTTTGTTTTTGTTCCAGAAAGCAAACAAATGTAAAGCTTTGTACATGGAGAAAAAGGCCAAATGTGGCTATTATTCCTCATTAAAACTTCAAGTGTCAAGCTCTAAACCCCCAGGAAGATGGTAAGCAGGAATAGCTGAGAGACATTTACTGCCCGAGAGAGGAAGTGAAAGATAGACAGGGAAGGACAATACAATTGTGCTGTCCCCACCAGTGCTGCTATTTCCAGGGTCTTGCTGAGCAGAGCCTGGGCTGTAGAGTGAGTTCCAATCCCATGCCTCGAGCCATATCTGTCATCCTGTAGCCTCAGCTGCTGCCTTCAAGAAACACATCTCAGCCTCACGCTGGGAGGCAGGAGGTGGGTGTCCTTTCAGCACAGCTGTGCCTCGGATTCAAGACCTTATGTGACATTCCAGACTCATCACCACCAAGAAAAATAAAGATGCATGATTTCATTTAATCCTCACTACAATCCAGTGGAAAGGTATTAATTTAATCCCCATTTTATGTGTGAGGAAATTAAGGTTTAGAGAGATTAAGTAACTTGAAAAGGATTAAAATTATGAAATGAGGACCTGGATGCAATCGGGATGCCTCCTGTCTTGAGAGAGAGAGAGAGGAAATGGCAAAAATGCATCCCTTTTATTTTTATTTAATTTAATTTATGTATTTATTTGAGATGGAGTTTTGCTCTTATTGCCCAGCCTGGAGTGCAATGGCACGAACTCAGCTCACTGCAACCTCCGTCTCCCAGGTTCAAGCAATTCTCCTGCCTCAGCCTCCCGAGTAGCTGGAATTACAGGTGCCTGCCACCACAGCGGCTATTTTTTGTTGTTGTTGTTGTATTTTTAGTAGAGACAAGGTTTCACTATGTTGGCCAGGCTGGTCTCGAACTCCTGACCTCAGGCGATCTACCCTCTTCAGCCTCCCAAAGTGCTGGGATTACAGGCATGAGCCAATGTGCCTGGCCGCCTCCCTTTTAAAAAAGCTGACGTATCCTACATTTTGTATTTGCTCATCAGTCACATGAGAAGGTAGACTTGGAGAATATATGTGAGCTGTGGAGGCACAGTGGCATTAGGTCACATGTAGGTGTCACCATTACCTGGCACAGAATCCCTGTGAGAAACTGGTGTCTTCCCCCATTTACCCATGAAGAGACTAAGGCTTCACCAAGTCAAGATGGGCCGAAGCCATCAAGTTAAGAAGTGGAGACGCTAGAAGAAAAAGCTCATTTCCCACCCAGTCTAGACCCCTTCCAGCCAACTTCAGCTGCCTCCCAAATTCTTTCTTCACTCCTGTGGTGTGCTCCAAACTGTGCTGTATATTTATTATTTTATTTAATGCACACAACAGCTTGGATGGCATCATATTATTGTGCATTGAAAATTACCAGAGTTCCATCGAAGCTGGGAGTTGAGCCGTTGTTCTTGTGCACTGCTGCCATTGCCATTGACAATGCAGAACTTTGTGAACACCTTGACAGGTAAGACCATTACCCTTGAGGTCAAGCCCAGTGACACCATTGAGAATGTCAAGGCAAAGATTCAAGACAAGGATGGCCTTCTCCCTGACCAGCAGAGGTTGATCTTTGCCAGAAACAACTGGAAGATGAGCACACCATCTGACTATGACATCCCCAAAGGTCCACTTGGCACTTGTTTCTGTACTTGAGGGGAGGTGTCTAAGTTTTCCCTTTCTTTTGAGCTTTCAACAAATCTCATTGCACTTTTCTTTTAATAAAGTTGTAGCCCTACCCTCCCCCAACAAAAATTGCAAGTGTTAGAGCTTTGAGACTTTCAAATAAAATGCATGAAGCTTTACATTTCAATCCTTGTGTTGGTACCAAGGTTTGGCCACTCTGAGAATACACAGGCAGAGAACACATTATCCATTTCTACAGTATTTCAGTTCTGGGTCTGAAAAGACCTAAGTCTGAAGGTAGAAAAAAAAATCATATAATGGAGGATAATATTGAAGTTTTTTAAAAAGATAGAAAAGCTTATTTCCCATTTGATCCACCAGCCCAGGTAACAAGCAATGCCTTGGGTCACCTTTCAACACAACTACAACATAATGAAGCTTCTGCAGACAGTCTCTCAGGGCCTTAACTTTACTCATTTGAAGCTGGTACTGAGGTATTTTAAATTATGTTTTAATTTCTTTATCCCACCATGACAGAATTATGTGTCTGGGAGATTCGTTGTGACATTATGTCCGCAGAATTAGCTGTGAATCAGGAATGAGTGTGCCCCCAAGCAGCTCCATTTACTTGATATTATAAAGTGAAAATGTCATGGCTAATAATGCATGTCTGAGTTGTACTCAGTTTAGTGAAAGTCTGAGGCTGAAAACCTTCTGAACCAAAGAAAAAAATTTAAGATCTCACTTTTGGGGGGTACAGTAGATAGAAGAATTTTAAGGGCAGAGTTCTAAACTTTGTCTCTGCTCCCTGCAATGGCATTCTACACGATATACTCTTGAAGGGGGGGCTTGTGCTGGGGTGGGGGTGGGTGGTACATGGGAGACTCTTGACTGGCTGGCAGGGTACTAGGTCTAGGGGGAGGATTACAGGGAAGGAGGTTACTTTCTAAAAATTCACTAAGCTGCTCATGTATTTAATGCAGTTTTCTGTGTTTGTTATTTTTAACAACTTTTAAGGTATTTTTGTTTTATTAAAGGGGCCCACTATGGGCAAGGCAGGGTGCCAAGCTCCATGGGTTTAAGATCCCCTGCATCTCTTTTGTTCACTGCTGACTCTTAAGCACTCAGAAAAGTGCTTGGCACATAGCAGACACCCAGTACATATTTGTTGAACATTGTTGAAGATCACACAGAAGAAAAAGACATTCATCATTAGATATTGTCAAAACCCACAGGATATACATCAAGAGTGAGCCCTAATGGAAACTAAGTACTTTGGGTGATAATGATGTCTCAGTTCATGTTACATCATGGATTGTAACAAATGTGCCACTCTGGTGCAGAAATGTTGACCATGGAGAAGGTTGTACATGTGTGTTATGGGTATATGGGAAATCTCTGTAATGTCCTCTCAATTTTGTTGTGAACTAAAACTGCTCTAACAAATAAAGTCTATTTTTTAAAAATGTTAAGACATTAATTTATTCATTTCCTGCTAGAGATACTTGATAAAATGAATACACCTGGTAGGACTCAGTCTCATTCGGTAAGTCAAGGGGCCTAGGAGCCAGAATTATTTTTAATTTTGTATTATGAATATTTTCAAACACATAGAAAGATGGAGAATTGTTGGCCCGACGCAGTGGCTCATACCTGTAATCCCAGCACTTTGGGAGGCTGAGGAAGGTGGATCACCTGAGGTCAGGAGTTCAAGCCTAGTCAACATGGTGAAACCCCGTCTCTACTAAAAATACAAAAATTAGCTGGGCATGGCGGCAGGCGCCTGTAATCCTAGCTACTCTGGAGGCTGAGGCAGAAGAATTGCTGGGACCCGGGAGGTGGAGGTTGTAGTGAGCTGAGATCGTGCCATTGCACTCCAGCCTGGGCGACAATAGCGGGACTCTGTCTAAAAAAAAAAAAAAAAGCCAGGCACAGTGGCTCCTGCCTGTAATCCCAGCACTTTGGGAGGCCAAGGCAGGCGAATCACCTGAGGTCAGGAGTTCAAGACCAGCCTGACCAACATAGAGAAACCCGGTCTCTACTAAAAATGCAAAATTAGCTGGGCGTGGTGGCGCATGCCTGTAATCCCAGCTACTTGGGAGGCTGAGGCAGGAGAATTGCTTGAACCCAGGAGGCAGAGGTTGCAGTGAGCCAAGATGGCACCATTGCACTCCGGCCTGGGCAACAAGAGCAAAACTCCGTCTCAAAAAAAAAAAAAAAAGAAAAGAAAGATGGAGAAGTGTCTAATGACCACTCATATATCCACTACCTAGATTGCCAGTTAACATTTTTACCATGTTTGCCTCAACTTTTTTGCTAAAGTATTTTGCACAAATTATATAGACACCATGAAAATAAGAACATTTTCCTTACTAAAATCAATACCATTGTAGAGCTAACAAAATTAACAATTATTTATTATCCTCATCTAATACCTGACTCATATTTAAACCTTGCCAATAGCTTTACAAAAAAGTGTTATTCCTAGTTTATTCTTACCAAGATCCAATCAAAGTCCATGTATTACATTTGGTTGTTATATCTCTTAAATCACTTGTAACCTTTATGAGTGCTCTCCCAACTCCCTGTACCCTTTATTTGACATAACATCAACTTGGTGAAGAGACCAGGCCAGATGTCCCTCAGAATAGCTGATATAGTTTGGATATTTGTCCCTGCCCAAATTTCATGTCAAATCGTAATCCCCAGTGTTGGAGGTGGGGCCTGGTGGGAGGTGATTGGATCATGGAGGCAGGTCCTTCACGAATAGTTTAGCACCATCCTGATGCTAAAGTTGGTGTTGTTCTCCTGATAGAGTCCTCACACGATCTGGTTATTTAAAAGTTTATGGCACCTCCCGCTTCTCGCTCTCTTCCTCCTGC
Source organism: Homo sapiens (assembly GCF_000001405.40). Lineage (NCBI taxonomy): Eukaryota > Metazoa > Chordata > Mammalia > Primates > Hominidae > Homo > Homo sapiens. The sequence continues at coordinate 47,596,276 of NC_000012.12, forward strand.
TCCAACCATGTGAAGGGTTGGCTCTCCCTCTGCCTTCTGCCATGATTCTAAGTTCCCTGTGGCCTCCCCAAAAGCTGATGCTGCCATACTTCCTGTACAGCCTGCAGAACTGTGAGCCAATTAAACCTCTTTTCTTTATAAATTACCCAGTCTCATGTATTTCCTTATAGCAATGCGAGAAAAGACTAATAAGCTACTTTCAGATTTTGTCCAACTGCTGAATTTGTAGTGTCATTTAATTTATTCCACTAACCCATGCATTCCTTACACTTAAATCTAGAGATTGTAAATTTACATTTTAGATAAGACATCACTACTGATGCTGTGTAATATTGCAACACATTGTGAGGTGTGTCATATTTAATTGACCCATTATCAGTAAGCCAGAGACAGCTTCAGCCCTCCATTGTAAAGTTTCATTTTTTTTCAACCATCAAATAATCTATGGAGTAATACTTCAGCAGCACTAGTGTTTCCAAGTCTCCACTTATCTGTCACCTAATGGTTTCATCATCCACTGAATGATTCTTATCTCAATCAATTACTTCATTAAGGGTTGCAAAATGGTGATTTCTTCCATTCCTTCTATACTTATTAGCTGGCAGTCTTTAAGAGAGAGAGAGAGAGACTGGGGCTGGGTGCAGTGGCTCATGCCTGTAATCGCAGAACTTTGGGAGGCCAAGGCAGGCGGATCACAAGGTCAGGAGTTCAAGACCAGCCTGACCAAGATAGTGAAACCCCATCTCTACTAAAAATAGAAAAATTAGCCAGGCATGGTGGCACACGCCTGTAGTCCCAGCTACTCAGGAGACTGAGGCAGGAGAATCACTTGAACCTGGGAGGTGAAGGTTGCAGTGAGCCGAGATCACACCACTGCACTCCAGTCTTGGTGACAGAGTGAGACTCTGTTACATAAAAAAAAAAAAGAGAGAGAGAGAGAGTAAAAGAGAAGGAGAGAAATTTGTCTCATTAACTGCTTCTACTGAAAAGGCAAGGTAAATAATCATTAACTTTGAATTATCATTTTTCAGAATAAGGAGTAGGTGACAAATGATATTTTGTTTTCCTTTGTTCTCTGGTTTTCTCTTTTCTGAATATCATTTTACAGACTTGCAGATTTTTATACATTCAGTGTGTTTCATTCCATTGCAGTCATTTTTTTGAAGCTCAAATAGTTCCATCTTTAACCATTAAGAGCTCTTAATAAACTGGCTCTTTTTCTGGCACAAAGCAAGATGTCCCAGGCTCACCTTGTACAATCCCTCGCCCACACTCAAAATCAGCCATTACTCTAAAGACCCTGGTTTCTTTTAATGGGGAATGGTATTTAGTCATCAAAATCTAAGTGCTAGGAGTACTTACCTCTGTTGGGTTGTCAATGTTTCTAGGCCCTCCCTTTCAATGAACAGAGGTGAAGGGGGATATCTATGTATACATGTGTAGGTATATATATGTGTATATATATATATATATATATATATATATATATTTTTTTTTTTTTTTTTTTTTTTTTTTTGAGACAGAGTCTTGCTGTCACCCAGTCTGGAGTGCAGTGGTGTGATCTCGGCTCACTGCAAGCTCTGCCTCCTGGTTCATGCCATTCTCCTGCCTCAGCCTTCCAAGTAGCTGGGACTACAGGCTCCCACCACCACATCTGGCTAATTTTTTGTATTTTTAGTAGAGATGGGGTTTCACCGTGTTAGCCAGGATGGTCTCGATCTCCTGACCTCATGATCTACCCGCCTTGGCCTCCCAAAGTGCTGGGATTACAGGCATGAGCCACCATGCCTGGCCATATGTATATATTTTTAAATTATGTATTCATATTGAAATTTCCAATACAAATTTAATAACATGGGGGTTTTAACATTTTTTGTTTTTATACTTACATTGCTTTTCTCTTATCCTAAAAATTTTAGTGGTTAACAACATGAACATAGTACTTATTTTCTTATCTTGCAATATACATCAAATAGTTTCAAAATAAAAAATTCCAATATAACTTGCTTTAAGCTCCTGAATTTAAGATCTCTTGTCCCAAGAATATATCCCACTAAGCATGTACAGTTATTGTCTTCTAAAGGATTTGAAATAATTATTTTCTTGCTATGTTTGTTGTCAATTTGATCTATTATTAGATTTATTTATTTTCCATTTTAGGGACTTCTTTTTGAATATTAAAAGATTTACTTAGTCAAAACAATCAAAATTATCAAGTCTTGTTTCCGTCTCCTCCATCTTATAATATCATTAAAAAGTTAACATTTTTACACTTTTTCATATTCCTTCTCTTCCTCTCCTCTCCCTTCCCTTCCTGAACAATTCAGTCCTAATGCCCATAAGCAGGTCAGACTAAAGCAGGTGGCTATGGCAGAGAGTAGAGGGAACTGTGGTTCTCCACAGCAGGGGCCAGAGCCCAAGCTGGGTAAGGGGGATGTCCACAAATGGGGGTGGCTCAGCAGAAGTTGTCAGAGCTGGGGTGGGATGAAGAAAGCTTCCACACAGTGTTTCCACCTGGTGCAAGTATCAGAACACAGGAGGAGTAAGGAGAGTATCTGCATGGGAAGAGGGCAGAAACAGTGATGGAAGATTGGCTACATACAGGTGGGTTGAGCAAATAACTTAAATATAGTAAGGAAAATGGGAGACAGGTTTCTCAGTATCCAAGAATGGAGTTACTAATATGGAAAGGGAGAAAACTAGAATGAATCTTGTGATATTAGATAGAAAGCAGAGGAATCAGGCTAAACTCTGTTTTCAAAATATGTGCATATATATAGAAATAAATGTAGATGTAAATTTATATACACACAAACACATATAGATATTCATCTGTCCACTGAGACAGCATGAGTGCAGTGACACCCCAATAGTAATGAGCACACCTATCACTTAAATCTTAGTTTCTAAACACCATTCTCCACTAAAAGGAACCAGGTGTCTTTGTAGAAATGACTGATTCCAGGGCTAAGGCAGAGGAAGTACAACATTAGTTTAGAGCATCTTGTACCAAAAAAAATAAGGAAGTACTCCAAGAATAATGAAATCATCTCAAAAGGACACAAAAGCCAGCTTGAAAGGGCTCTCATAGTCAAATCTAAGATAATTTGGGCCTCAAAATAAATAACGATAGTGTGATTTGGCCGTTCTTGCATTGCTATAAATACCTGAGACTGGGTAATTTATAAAGAAAAGAGGTTCGATTGGCTCACAGTTCTGCAAGCTTTTGAGATGATGCTTTTGAGTTCTGTCCTTTTGAGATGATTTCATTATTCTTGGAGTACTTCCTTATTTTTTTGGTACAAGATGCTCTAAACTAATGCTGTACTTCCTCTGCCTTAGCCCTGGAATCAGTCATTTCTACAAAGACACCTGGTTCCTTTTAGTGGAGAATGGTGTTTAGAAACTAAGATTTAAGTGATAGGTATGCTCATTACTATTGGGGTGTCACTGCACTCATGCTGTCTCAGTGGACAGATGAATATCTATATGTGTTTGTGTGTACATAAATTTACATCTACATTTATTTCTATATATATGCACATATTTCAAAAACAGAGTTTAGCCTGATTCCTCTGCTTTCTATCTAATATCACAAGATACATGGTGCTGGCATCTGCTCAGCCTTTGGTGAATCCTCAGGGAGCTTTCAATCCTGGTGGAAGGTGAAGGACAAACAGGCATATCCCATGGTGATGAAAGCAAGTGAAAGATGGGCAGGGGAAATGCCACACACTTTTAAATGACCAGATCCCACGTGAACTGAGAGTGAGAGCTCACTTATCACCAAGGGGATGGTCCAAGCCATTCATGAGGAATCCACTCCCATGGCCCAAACACCTCCCGCCAGGCCCCACCTCCAACACTGGGGATTACAGTTCAACATGAGATTTGGGTGGGGACAAGTATCCAAACTAGATCAGATAGTGACATTATAACCCATGAATACAATAGGAAATCATGATATTCATTAATTAATCAATAAAAAGTTTGTTGAGGAACAAGATACTGTATTTACATGGCGTAAAAGCACCTTCCTGCAAATGTATATTAATTACAAAGGAGAAAAAGCTTAACTCCAGTGGAGGAGGACTCCTCCAAGTGATCAAGCTCAACATGATCAGTAATAGAACAACCCAAAATTATGCACCACCTGATAAGGTGCAATAAGAACACACATCATTTCTGTGATATTCCTGCCAAAAATGTACAGCCCAAATGTAATCATGAGGAAATAGGAAACTCTTCAACATAACTGGCCTGTAATCTTCAAAATCTTCAAAGTGTCATGAAAGTGAAGACTGAAGAACTGATCCAGATGTTAGAAGACTAAAGAAACTGGACTCTAAATGCAGTGTGTGATGCTCAACGTGATCCTTTTGCACTAAAGGACAATACAGGCACAAGTGCTGAAACTGGATGGGGTCTAGGGATTCGATGGCAGTCATGTTTTGATGTTAATTCCCTGATGTAATGAGCATACTGTGTCCCCGAAAAAGGCACATTAAACATTTTGGTGTTGGAAGGATCACCATTTCAGCAATTTACTCAAAATGATGGTGAAAAAGAGGTATTTGTACCAGACTTGTAACTTTTCTTTAAATTTGAGATTATTTTAAAATAAAAGGTATTTTTTAAGTTTTAGATAGCTTTATTAGCTATTTTTATTAGTTTCTGATTTAACCTTTCAGTGATTGGCAGAGCAAATTTAAGAAAAATATACATAAATTCTTATTTCCTCCCTTCTTATGCAAACCTAGGATGTTCTGCAACCTCCTTTTAATTTTTTTCACATGTAACAATATATTCTGGATAACATTTCACATGAGTACATGTGGAGATCTTCCTCACTCTCTTTTATGGTTGCATAGTGCTCCATGCCCTCAAATGATGCTCATTTGACATATTTCCAATTTTTTCCTATTTAAAAATAAAAGCCACACTGAATGACCTTTGTGCATGAGTCATTTTGTACTTATTCAGGTATATGTCTAGAATACATCTCTAGGAGTGGAATTGCTGGGTCAAAAAGTAGGTGATTTTTTAATTTATGATATTGCCACATTCTCCTGCAGAGTAGCAGTTTGCATTTCCACAACCCCACAAATAGAATGGGTTTAGATTTTTGCCAATCTGACAGGTAATTTAAATTTATTTTACTGTTAGTGTGGTTGACAGTCTTCTGATATGTTTGAAGGTCACAGAAATTTTGTCACTCCCCAGAAATGTTGTTTCCTCCCCACAAGTGTCTGATGGGTGCCAGGTTTGAAACCTGGTTCATTGTATTCTATGGTTTTGGTAGCTAAGAAGGAACACAATTAATAAATATTGGGTTTATTGGTTTTCACTGGAGTTTAGATAGACATTGGAAGATAAGTCTAATATACTCAAATATTATCTCCTCTACGAAATCTTCCCCAACAGTATCCAGCTGGGCTTAGTACGATTTCCCTAGCATTTTGTACATACCTCTATGAGCACATATCTTGCCATATTAAGCTTACTTGTTTAGATAATTATACTTACTGGGGTTTTGCACCTAGGAAGATAAAACACTACGCCTTATTCATTTTCCAATCCTTAGGATCAAGCCTAGTTTCTGGCACATACTCAATATGTGTGTGCCAATACAGATACCAATATAGATATTCAATAAGTATGTGTTTGAATAAATGAATAAGCAATTGATCAATAACCCCAGTGTTAAATTTATACTGAAATCTGCCGGGCATGGTGGCTCACGCCTGTAATCCCAGCACTTTGGGAGGCCGAGGCGGGCGGATCATGAGGTCAGGAGATCAAGACCATCCTGGCTAACACGGTGAAACCCCGTCTCTACCAAAAATACAAAAAATTAGCCGGGTGTGGTGGCGGACGCCTGTAGTCCCAGCTACTCGGGAGGCTGAGGCAGGAGATGGCATCAACCCAGGAGGCGGAGGTTGCAGTGAGCCGAGATTGCGCTACTGCACTCCAGCCTGGGCGACAGAGTGAGACTCCATCTCAAAAAAAAAAAAAAAAATTATACTGAAATCTAGCATGTCACTTCTCTGTAAAAACACACACAGCAGAAAGGAAATGATTTTTCTTTCTTGGATGCCATGAACTTTGAAGGGCTGTTTATTTCCAGCTTCTGATCTCTGCCTAGCTTTAGTTGGCTTCACTAAGAAAATGAGTCAGTCTCCAGAGTGTCTGATCCCCTTCTTTAGCCAGTGAGCAAGTGTAGGAGTCCAGCTCCTTTCACAGAGACATTTTCTGGTGCTGCTCACAGGGAAGGCCCTACAATCTGAAGCCCTGCCTTAGCAGCAGCATCTATGACTAAAGTAAATAGAGTTGTCATGGGACGCCACTCTGCTATGTTTTTCTTTCCTCCCTCCATACTCTAAGGAGTTGTACTCTGGCAACTCACTTGATCTTTGAAATTTTCATTACATTCATCTTAGAGCCTAATCTTTTGACAGAAGGTTCTAAGTATGATGTTCTGCCTTGACTACCGTGGTTCCATTTTTCTCCCTAAGGAGGGAGGGTCTTCAACACAAAACACTTGCTTACTAATGATGCACCTTAGGAAACCAAACTCAGTCCTAACAGTCTCCTTCTCAGTGGATGGTTTATGTTATTCTGAGAAATATTTTAACTCTTTCTTAGAAAACAGCCATGCTTCTATGACCAAAGACATTAGCTAGATTTCCAGTTTTGTCATAAAGAATGTTGGGCCATCTCATTTGAGGGATAAAAGAAAGTGAAATGCAATGAGGGGTAAAGAAAAAAAAGAAAGAAGCAGTGTGGTTCTGGCCCCAGCCTGGCTCAGAGACTGGTAAGCCAACAGAGGGCTCCAACGTGGCTTCCTCCTACTGTCCTACAGGTCAGCAACGTTAGATATGCAACAGCCATTCTTTCCTCCAGCAGGCGGCAACGCTCTTGGAGAAGGGAAGAAACAACGTCATGGAGCCTAGGATCTTCTTGCCAACACCTTGTATCATACGAAGCCGGAATCTGACAGCAGAGTGCTGGAGGCACAGGTACACACCCCCACACCTCCTTCCACACACACACCTGGCACAGGATCACCAACACCCTCGTACACCGCCAGCACCACTGTGCTCACAGCACATACCTCAATCATGCCTCTGCCACTGCCCCGCTTGCAGTCCTGTGACTCCCACCGCTTCACCCTGCTCCAGAAATCTGGGAGCCCCTGCTTTTAGCTTCCCCCAGGTCTGATCAGGAACAACCCTGGGTTTCTGAGATATTTCAGAGCCTCTACCAGAGAAGCAGGATTCTCCCACCCATTCCAGAAGACAGCACCAACACTCCGAGGTAACTAGAGCTGTGATGCAGAGCCTGTGCTGGTCAAGCAACTTAATTTTTGGCTACCAGCACCAAGTACAGATGCAGCAAGGACAGCAGAAAGTGCATGAGCTCCAGGAGCCTGGCAGCTTTTGTGCCACCAGTTACCAGGTGTATGGTCCTGGGCAAGTAACTTGATCTCTTTGAACTCCAGGTTCCTCACCTTTACAATGGAGATAATAAGAGCTATTTTCTAGCAAATCAGTCTGTGTGCCTAGTGTATGTGATACTACTATCTAACAGCATCCAACAACAACAATAACAACTGTGGTTTGAGCTCCTAATATGAAATAGGCATTATGCAAAGCATTTTGCATCCATTATTTTATTTTATTCTCTAAATAAAGCTATGAGGTAAATGGCTTTGAATTGAATTACTGTCTTACAGATAAGGAAATGAAGCTGGGATATATGATGTGACTTCTTCCCCCGAAGTCACATCATATAGCTAACACCCCGTATCATAAGAAGCTGGAATCTGACATCAGGGTGCTGGAGGTGCAGGTACACTAGTACCTACTAGCTAGTAAGTAGTGAAGTGGACTTCCAGTGGTGTGCTGGTAAACCAGCTTACTGTGTGGAGGGAGGGGGGAAAAAGGCCTGACTTGTAGTAACTGTCAATTTCCATGGGGTAAATACTCCCACTATGGCTGATTTCTAGTTACCAATGATTTTACAACTGGCTTGCAAAATTCCTGTATATTTGACAAGCGGCTTGACAGCCTGTACAGGCTGGCTCCAGCACACCACTGCTTCAAATGCAAGTCTGATGCCAAAGCCCTTTCTGCTGAATATTACAGTCTACTGCCTTCCAGCAAACAAACACAGTGGCACATTATAGGTGTTTAGTGAGCATGTGCCAAGCTCTAAAGAGAGGGAGGTTTCTATTTTAAAGAGCACTCCCAAGCCATAGCCTCTCAGTGGTATCTCTTCTCCTTCTGGATCACTACAGACCAGCCCACATGGTGCACAACTGATCACTACAAAGCTGCTCTGAAAACCTGCAGATGAAATATGTGACTACAAAATCATGTGATTTCATGTATTTTTATGGTTTTATCAAAATATGTTTAATCAGATATGGGTGAGACTCAAGGTATGATTCATCTGAGAGGAAATTCCTCCCCAGCTATGAACCTGTGAAACCAAACAAGTTATGTGCTTCTAAAATACAGTGGCTATGTGTATTAGTTCATTTTCAAGCTGCTGGTAAAGACATACCCAAGACTGGGCAACTTACAAAAGAAAGAGGTTTAACTGGACTTACAGTTCCACATGGGTAGGGAAGCCTCACAATCATGGGGAAGGCAAGGAGGAGCATGTCACATCTTACATGGTTGGCAGCAGGCAATAAGAGAGGGCTTGTGCAGAGAAACTCATGTGTTTTAAAACCATCAGATCTCATGAGACCCATTCACTATCACAAGAACAGCACAGAAAAGACCTGCCCCCATGATTCAATCATCCCCCCCAAGGCCTCTCCCACAGCATGTGGGAATTATGGGAGCTACAAGATGAGATTTTGGTGGGGACACAGAGCCAAACCATATCTTTCCGCCCCGGCCCCTCCCAAATCTCGTATCTTCATATTTCAAAACCAATCACGCCTTCCCAACAGCTCCCCAAAGTCTCAACTAATTTTAGCATCAACTCAGAAGTCCACAGTCCAAAGTCTCATCCAAGATACAGCAAGTCCCTTCCACCTATGAGCCTATAAAATCAAAATTAAGTTAGTTACCTCCTAGACACAATGGGAGTACAGGCATTGAGTAAATATACCCATTCCAAATTGGAAAAATTGTACAAAACAAAGGGGCTACAGGCCCCATGCAAGTCCGAAATACAGCAGGGCAGTCAAATCTTAAAGCTCCAAAATACCTCTTTTGACTCCATGTCTCATATCCAGGTCATGCAGATGCAAGAGGTGGGTTCCCATGGTCTTGGGTGGCTCCATACCTGTGGCTTTGCAGGGTACAGCCTCCCTTGCAGCTGCTTTCATGGACTGGCATTGAGTGTCTGCGGCTTTTCCAGGCAAACTGTGCAAGCTGTTGGTGGATCTACTATTCTGGAGTCTGAAGGATGGTGGCCCTTTTCTCGCAGCTCCACTAGGCAGTGCCCCAGCAGGGACTCCATGTGGGGGCTCCAACCCCACATTTCCCTTTTGCAGTACCCTAGCAGAGGTTCTCCATGAGCACCCCATCCCTGCAACAAACTTCTGCCTGGACATCCAGGTGTTTCCATAAGTCTTCTGAAATCTAGGTGGAGGTTTCCCAAACCCCAATTCTTGACTTCTGTGCACTCACAGGCTCAACAATATGTGGAAGCTGCCAAGGCTTGGGACTTGCACCCTCTGGAGCCACTGCCCAAGCTCTAAGTTGGCCCCTTTCAGCCATGGCTGGAGCGGCTGGGATGCACAGCACCAAGTCCCTAGGCTGCACACATCAGAAGGACCCCGGGCCAGGCCCATGAAACCATTTTCTCCTAAGCCTCTGGGCCTGTGATGGGAGCGGCTGCTGTGAAGACCTCTGACATGCCCTGGAGACATTTTCCCCATTGTCTTGGGGATTAACATTCGGCCCCTGGTTACTTATGAATATTTCTGTAGCCAGCTTGAATTTCTCCTCAGAAAATGGGTTTTTCTTTTATATCACATCAGGCTGCAAATTTTCCAAACTTTTATGCTCTGCTTCCCTTATAAAACTGAATGTCTTTAACAGCACCCAAGTTGCCTCTTGAATGCTTTGCTGCTTGGAAATTTCTTCCACCAGATATCCTAAATCATCTCTCTCAAGTTCAAAGTTCCACAGATCTCTATGCCAAAGGGAAAATGCTGCCAGTCTGTTCGCTAAAACATAACAAGAGTCACCTTTGCTCCAGTTCCCAACAAGTTCCTCATCTCCATGTGAGACCACCTTAGCCTGGATTTCACTGTTTATGTCATTATCAGCATCTTGGTCAAAGCCATTGAACAAGTCTCTAGGAGGTTCCAAACCATTCTATATTTCCCTGTCTTCCATATTTCCCAGCCCTCCAAACTGTTCCAACCTCTGCCTGTTACCTAGTTCCAAAGTCAATTCAACATTTATGGGTATTTTTTCAGCAGTGCCCCACTCTACTGGTACCAATTTACCATATTAGTCTGTTTTCAAGCTGCTGATGAAGACATACCCAACACTGGGCAATTTATAAAAGAAAGAGGTTTAACTGGACTTACAGTTCCACGTGGCTGAGGAAGCCTCACAATCATGGCAGAAGGCAAGGAGGACCATGTCATATCTTGCGTGGATGGCAGCAGGCAATAAGAGATGGCTTGTGCAGAGAAATTCCCATTTTTTAAAACCATCAGATCTCATGAGACCGATTCATTATCATGAGAACAGCATGGGAAAGACCCGCCCCCATGATTTAATCTTCTCCCACCAGGCCTCTCCCACAACACATGGGAATTATGGGAGCTACAAGTTGAGATTTGGGTGGGGACAGAGAGCCAAACCATATCACCATGCTAGACTTCTTTTGCTGTCATAATCTTTGCAAAGGGGGTTTCAAAACCATGGGGGCATGGGGTGCCCAGAGGTGTGGGGGGAACATCCCTACCAGGTAGAGCTGTAGGGCAGCACCTCTGCCCTAGTGTGTCCAGAGGTGGGACTACTGCCCCAGTGGGCCTGAAGGGCAGAACATGGAGTCAAAGAGGATTATTCTCAAGCCTTAAGCTCTCAAGGAGTTTGCCTTGCTACATTTTACACTTGCTTGGGACCCATTTTTTTCCTCCCTATTTTTCTTCTTTTCTTCTTCCTCATTTCTCTCTTTTGGAAGAGGAGTGTCTATCCTATGCCTCTCCCACCACTGTATTTTAGAAGCACATAACTTGTTTGGTTTCACAAGTTTAGAGCTGGGGAGGAATTCTGTCTCAAATTAATCATACCATGAGTCTCACCCATATATGAGTTCATCCCCAACCAATCAGCAGCACACATTCTCTAACTCCCTGCCTACAAACTTCTCCATAAAACACTAGCCTCTGAATTCTTGGAGACACTAATTTGAATAATAAACTCCTGCCTTCCATGTGGCTAGCCTTGCTTTAATTAAACTCTTTCTTTACTGCAATACCTCTGTCTCAATGAATCGGCTCTATCTGTGCAGTGGGCAAGAAGAATCTATTAGGTGATTAGAGTTTTGGGTGGCCCTGTCCCCATGGCTTTGGGTTGGGGCTATCTGGCCTGTGGAAAGCAAAGCAATGGTCCTCCCCTTTGGAAACCAAAGAAGCAACCCTGATGACCTCTGAGTTGCCTTCATGGTCCTTCTTCCCTTGTCTTGAAGAACAGTGCATGTTCACAGTTGAATAGCTCTATGATCCATACAGTTAAATATAAGTTTGACAGCCTTCCTTCCTTCTTTCCCTTCTTCATCCTCATCAGTTCAAACTGACAATTTTCCTGCTGGGATGGCTGATTAGGTCCATGGTTCCCACCCATACTAATCTCCTTATCAAAGGGGATTTGGCCACACCACTGGTGTTCTCATTTTTTGCAATATGAACAGGCTGAGAACTTTCCAAATTTTTAAGTTCTGCTTTCTTTTTGCCCAGAAATTCTGTCTTTAAGTCATTTCTCTTGTGTCTTATTTTACTACAAGCAGTCAGGAAAAGCCAAGCCACATTTTTAACACTTTGCCTAGAAATCTCCTCAGCTAAATATCCAGTAAAATCTCTCACAAGTTCTATCTTTCAAAAAATACTAGAATATGAACACAAGTCAGCCACGTTCTTCCCTCCTTTATAACAAGGATGGCCTTTCCTCCAGTTTCCAGTAACATAGTCCTCATCAGAATGGCCTTTACCATCCATCAATGTTCTGTTCAGGATTACTTAGGTATTCTCTAAGAAGATTGAGGTTTTCTCTCCAGCTCTCCTCTTTTCTTTCTGAGCTCTCACCAGAATGACCTTTAACATCCATATTTCTAATATGCACCTCAGAATTCTTCCAGCCTCTCCCCACTATGCAGTTTCATATTTTTAGCTATTTGTTACAACAGTACACCCACTTTTTGGTACTAATTTTCTTAGTTCAGGCTGCTATAACAAAATACTATAAACGAGGTGACTTCTAAACAATGGAAATATATTTCCCATAGTTCCACAGTTCTGGAAGTTGGAAGTCTGAGATCAGGGTGCCTGTATGGTCAGTTCCAGTGAGGGTCCTCTCACAGTTGCAGATTGCTGACTTCTGTCAGCAGAAAGCAGAAAGGGGAAGCAAACTCTCCTGTTACTTCTTCTTTTTTTTTTTTTTTTTTTTTTTTGAGACAGAGTTTCACTCTTGTCACCCAGGCTGAAGTGCAATGGTGCAATCTTGGCTCACTGCAACCTCGGCCTCCCAGGTTCAAGCGATTCTCCTGCCTTAGCCTCCAGAGTAGCTGGGATTACAGGTGCCCACCACCACGCCCAGCTAATTTTTTGTTTTTTTTAGTAGAGACGGGGTTTCTCCATGTTGGGCAGGCTGGTCTCGAACTCCTGACCTCAGGTGATCCACCCGCCTCGGCCTCCCAAAGTGATAGGATTACAGGCATGAGCCACAGTGCCTGGCCTCTCCTGTTACTTCTTATAAGGGCACTAACTCCATTTATGAAGGCTCCCTGACTCATGAGCTCATCTAATCCTAATTACCTCCCAAAGGCCCCACCTACTAATACCATCATAACTGAGTATAGGGTTTCAACATATAAATTTGGGGGGACACAAACATTCAGTCCATAACCTATATATTCAAATGAGTTTTTCTCCCAACTTGTCATGTTGGGCAGACATTCTTCATCCAATGATGCTGTTTGGTGGGTGCCCACCCCAACAGGCTCTATGGATGCCCCACTCACAGTGATGCTATTCATAAGAGGTGCTATCTGGAACAGCAAATGGAAACAAGCCAAATAACCAAAATGCATAAACCACATATTACATTAAAATAACATAATTTATTCCCACTGCTTTCTAGTAAGACAGAGTAAAATTTTAGTTTATTAGCCTTTTTGTGACATCTTGTAAACAATACTTATTTTAATGTAAAAGTGTACACAAATCAGAATGGCTGCACTGAACTCAAGGAAACACATGCTGCTTATTTTCTGCCTGAAACCTGGAAGGAGGAAGGAGGGGTCATCCTCAGAGCCTTCCCTTACCTTCATTCCTGTGATACAACTCCCTAGTCCTGCGCACAGCATCTCCTTTGTAACTCTCATTTCCACCCTCTCCTCACTAAGACCTCATCATTGCATATCTAAATTATTCCAATTGTCTAATAATTGGCCTCCCTGCAGCCACTCCACAAGTCTCTCTGCAGTCATAAGCCAGTGACCTTTCTGTAATGCAAATCTAGGTCCATATCCTCTTCCTGATGCCGCTTAATGCATGAAAGGCCTTCTCATGGCTGGCCTTTTCTACGTTCTCCAGTCTCATCATTTTTCACTTGTTCCACCCCCACCTCCAACATGCAACCTTTGCCCCAGCCCTACTTAAAGACATGCAGTTCCCCAACACATAATATGCAATTTGATTTTTTAAGTTGTGTATTTATTTGCTGATTCCTTATGGTCTGTCTCCCATTGTTAGAATATTGGGTAATGAGAGTGGGAGACTTGTCTGGTTTATGTATAGTGGTATTGCCAACATCTGGAATGACTCCTGATACCTGAAAGGCACATCTGTAACGATTTTTTAAATGGATGAATGAATTAATGAATACCTCAGTGCCTATGCACACACTGTTCCTTCCATTTAAAATGTCCTTTCCCACTGCCTTTTATGATTTAAACCCCATTTTTCTTCCAAAACTCAGTTTCAGTATCAATTCTTCTGGAAAGCTTTTGCTATACTTTCCCTTCCCTACCCACCACACACACACACACACACACACACACACACATGCCAATGGGTTTACCTCTCTTCTGAGCTCCCATTACACCCCTACCCCATGCATAAGTCTCAGAAACAGTTGGCTCTTGATCAAAGACTGATGCTCCCCTTCCACAGTGCAAAGCTGTTGCCAGAAAGTGGCTACCTAGCCATGGCATTACATGAGGCCAAGAGGACTAAGCTCTAATGAATGGCTTATGGCCACCTCTTCCAAACCTATCCCCCAAAATCTTCCTGTGCCACACTCCAGTTTCCTCTTTCTTTCATTTGCTGACTGGTTGCAGAGGATCCAGAAGAGAACTCTGAGACTATGGAGATTGTTGGAGCTATGTGAGGACTGTCTGCCAAGCACCTGCTCTACTCTGTAATAGAGGACGGAAACAAACATCTACTATGCTAAATCATGGGGCTTTAGGAGCTGTTTGTTACAGAAGTTAGCCTACCCTACATTATACAGCATATCATTACCACAGTGCAAAGTACTGTCATAGTCCATGTGTCAGTCTCCTTTTCTGTACTCAGTGCTCTTGAGGCAGGGACTGTGAGTCACTTCTCTATATTACCAGGGCCTAATGCAGGGTCTGGCACATAACTATGTGCACTTAGTATGTCTGGCAATTGGCATGACTCCAGGAATAAAAAAAGAAAAAAACAGACAAAGCCAAACCTTGGTTTTCTCCCTAACAAGCTTTCTCCCACAAAATCCCTTTGCCATTTTCACAATAGGGAATTTCTGAGATGATGTTTTACCACGAGCAGCATTTGGACCCCTTCTTCTCTACTAAAACACTTTGGGTGAAGAGGTCCTCCTGAGAACCTCTGCCCTGTACATCTTATTACCAGACTGTTCAGCTGTCAACCACTACACAAAGAGCTCACTGATGAGAATTACTTTTGAAGGAGCAATCTATGCCTGTGATTAATTCCATCCTTCCCTGGAATGTTTGTTTCGTTTTTGTTTTAATAGCACCTTTTCCTGTTAAGAATGAAATAAATGATGCCTAATTTTCCCTCTCCTTGCCAACCTAAACTAATCATGACTAATTCTGACTTAGGTGAATTTATCCTGGTGAGATCTACATTTAACTGAGATCCTAAAAAACCTAGGTGGAAGTTAATTACATTTCTGAAACAACGAATGAAATCTAAATGGATTCTGGAATGTAAAACGCAAATGGACTTTTTAGTTCTAAGCTACTGTCCAGACTCACAAGTATTGTCTTCATCTGTTTGGTGCTCTATAACAGAATACCTGAGACTGGGTAATTATGAAGAACATAAATTTATTTCTCACAGTTCTAAAACCTGGGAAGTCCAATATCAAGGTGCTGACAGGTTAGGGCTCAGTCTCTCTATTTCCAAGATGGCAATTTGAACACTGCATCCTCCAGAGGGGAGGAACATCATGTCCTCATATGGAAGTAGAGCAGAAGAGAGAGAACCTACTCCCATAAGCCCTTTTTATAGCAACAAGCTATAGTTTGGATGTTTGTCCCTCTAAATCTCATACTGAAATTTGATCCCCAGTGTTGGAGGGAGGGCATAGTGGGAGGTATTTGGGTCAGGGGGAGAGATCCCTCATGAATGGCTTGCTGCCATCCTCATGGTAATAAGTGAGTTCTCACTCTATTAGTTACTGCAAGATCTGGTTGCTAAAAAGAACATAATACCTTCCCCCTCTCTCTCTTGCTTCCTTTCTTTCCATGGGATCTCTGTACATGCTGACCCCTCTTTCCCTTCTGCTCTGAGAGTAATCTGCTGGAGGCCCTCACTAGAGGCAGATGCTGGGTACCGTGCTTCTTGTACAACCTGCAGAACTGTGAGCCAAATAAATCTCTTTTCTTTATAAATTACGCAGCCTCTGGTATTCCTTTATAGCAACACAAATGGACTAAGACATAAAATTGGTACCAAGGAGTAAAGTGTTACTATAAAGATACTTGAAAATGTGGAAGCAGCTTTAGAACTGGGTAATGGGCAGAGGTTGGAAGAGTTTAGAGGGCTCAGAAGAAGACAGGAAGCTGAGGGAAAGTTTGGAAATTCTTAGAGATTGGTTAAGTGGTTGTGACCAAAATGCTGATAGAAATAGAGAGAATAAAGGCCATGATGACAAGGTCTCATTGGGAACTGAAGCAAAGGCCACTCATGTTACATCTTAGCAAAGAACTTGGTTGCATTGTGTCCATGATCTAGGGATTTGTGGAAGGCTAAACTTAAGCATGATGATCTATCTTGCAGAAGAAATTTCTAAGCAGCAAAGCATTCAAGGCATGGTGGGGCTGCTTTTAACAGCTTACAATCAGATATGGCAGCAAAGGAACCTCCTAAAAGTGAAATTTATATTTAAAAGAGAAGCAAAGAGTAAAAATTTGGAAAATCCACAGCCTGGTCATGTGTTGGATAAGGAAAGAACATTTTCAGGAGAGAAATCCAAGGGTGCTGCAGAGCAACCACTTGCTAAAGAGATTGGCATGACTAAAAAGGAGCCAGGTACTAATAGTCAAGACAGTGGGGAAAAAGCCCCAAAGGCATTTCAGAAATCTTCGAGGCAGCTCCTTCCATCACAGGCCTAGAGGCCTAGGAGGACAGAATGGTTTAGGTGGACAGGCCCATGGTGCTGCTGCCCTGCACTGCTTCAGGATGCCATTCCCCACATTCCAGCCACTCTGGCTAGTATAGCCCAGGCTCAAATGGCCTCAGGTATTGCTCAAGCTTCTGCTCTAGAAGGTACACACCATAAGCCTTGGCAGCTTCCATGTAAAGAGTGTAGGCACCCAAAATGCAAGAGTGGTAGAGGCATAGAAGCTTCCATCTAAATTTTAGAGGACGTGTTGGAAAGACTGGGTGCCCAAGGCAGAAGTCTGTCCCAGGGGTGGAGCCACCACATAGAGATTCTACTAAGGCAGTAGCCTATTGGAGCTGTGAGAGTACGGTTTGTGCCCTCTAGACCCCAGAATGATAGAGCCAGTGGCAGCTTGCAACCTGAGCCTGAAAAAGGCACTGGCATTCAACTCCAACCCATGAGAGCAGCTACATGGCCTGTACCCAGCAAAGCCATGGCCTTGGGGGCCCACCCTTAGACCAGTGTGCCAGGGTATGAGACATGAATCAAATATTTTTTTTTATCATTAAGACTTAATGTCTGCTCTTCTGGGCTTCAGACTTGAATGGGTCCTATTACCCTTTTCTTTTGGCCAATTTATCCCTTTTGGAATGGGAATGTTTACCCAGTGCCTGTACCACCATTGTGTCTTGGAAGTAAATAACTTTATTTTACAGGCTCACAACTGTAAAGAAGTTTCTTGAGTCTCAGTTGAAACTTTGGACATTGGAGTTCATACTGGACCACAAACATACTTGATTACATTTCCAAGACATAAATTTTGGGGAGTATATTCAGACCATAGCATTCCACCTCTGGCCTCCCAAATTCATGTACTTCTCATACATGAAATACATTCATTTCATCCCAATGGCTCCAAAAATCCTAATTCATTCCAACATCAACTCAAAAGTTCAAGTCCAAAGTCTCAACTAAATCAGATGTGGTTGAGACTCAAGGCACAACTTATCCTGAGGCAAATTCCCTCTATCTGTGAGCCTAAGAAATCAAACAAGTTATGTGCTTCCAAAATACAATGGTGGAATGGTTGTAAAAGGGGAAATAAGCCAGAAGAAGAAGAAACAGTTTCCAAGTAAGTCTAAAACTCCACAGGGCAAACACTAAATCCTAAAGGTTGAGAACAATCTTTTTGTTCTCCATGTCTCACCTTCCAAACATCCTGGGGTGGGGTTGGGCTCCAAGCCCCCAAACAGCCATGTACCTAAAGCTTCACAGGGCAAAGTACATGCTTCAGCTCTCACACATTAAAGTCACATGCCTGCAGCTCTCCCAGGCTAATGCTGCATACTGGTGGCTCTACAGTTCTAGAGTCTTGGGCATGGCCCAAGCCATACTTGGGCCCCTCTGAGCCACAGCTGGGGCAGCTAAGGAGCACTACTGCACTGGAATGTAGGGAGCAGAGACCTCAGGCAGCCCTGGGCAGTGAGCCCTGAAGTCCCATGAGTGACCTGGGCCCATCCCCACAAACCATTCTGGCCCTGGTACCCTGAGCCTGTGATTGGAGGGGCAGCTCAAATACCTCCAAAACGTCTTTTGGGTCATTTCCCCTTTGTCTTGATAAATAGCACTTGGCCTCCTTCTATCCATACTAATCTCTATCAAGTAATCACTTGGCCACACTCTTGGCTTTCTCTCCTAAACACACGTTTAGTCATTACATGACCAGGCTGAGAATTTTCCAAATATTTGCTTTCTCCTTCCCTTTTAGTTATAAATTCCATCTTTAATCATTTCTATTTTCTTGCATTTTACTATGAGCAGTTGAGGGAAGCCATGCAGCATCCTGCTTGAGATTTCTGCTTTGAGATTTCTTTTGCCAAATATCTTAGTTTATCACTCTTAAGTTCTGCCTTCCATAAAGTTCTAGGACATGACCATAATTCAGCCAAGTTCAATGTGGCAGCAAATTCAGTGTCTGATAAGGGCAATCTTAGGGGCTTGAAGATAGCCATCTTCTCATTGTTCCCTCACATGGCAAAGAGCAGAGAGAGGGTGCAAGCTTGCGAGTCTTTTTGTGTAGGGGTACTAATCCTGTTGAGGAGGGCTCCATCCTAATGACCTAGTTATCTCTCAAAGGCCCCACCTTCTACTACCATGACATTAGAGGTTAGGATCTCAAAATATGAATTTGGAGGGACAAACATAACACTATTACATATACATAAGGGTTTATATAATAAGGCTTCTACTTTAGCAAATGTTTATGACAGGTTAAGAAAATTATCTTGGTTATGTGGAATATATTATTTCAAAGCAACTGCTTTTTAGAGAAATGTTTGACTTGTGCATTTTAAATTTACTGACATGCCTTGATTGCATCTGGAGAAATATGAAAGGGAAAGAAATGATAACTTCTTAAACCGAAAAAAAAAGCAAAAATAAATCAGTCACTCCCAAGGGGCATCTTATATGTCAGTTCAGACTATGTAGCTTGATTGATGTAAATCTGTGTATCACTCTTCTAGTGCTATAAACAGATATTTACTTCTCCACTTCACTCCACACTCTGACACATTGGTTCAGGGAAAGGCTTAATTACTACAGCAATTAAGCTTACCAAATATTAAAAGTGACTTACAAGACAGCAACATGGAAACTGGATTTTGAAAGCTTTAGAACAGAAAGACTTGATAAAGAAACTACCAGAAAGATTAAAAGAGAAAAGAAAAGAGAGAGAGCAACATAAAGAAATCTGCAACACAAGTTAGGATGGGTTCTAGGACCATGAGGAAGGAGGACTGGGGAGGAAGGCTGGGTTTTCTGTTTATCTAATGGCTGGAGGGTCTGATAGCTGACTCCCTTGCTTATCAGTTCACTTCTGCATTAAGTCTCTGAGGTCCCTGCAAAGTCAACCCTGGTAATACATGAGATGCAGTGAAACAAATAATATTCATATTTTTTAAACAAACTCAAAAATTGTTTAAAATGGCTACTACTTCCACTAATATCTAGCTTCTATTCCTACCTTTCTGTCTGGTTACATCTTAATATTTTCCTATTTTAAAGGTGCCAGAGCCTCCCCTGAAACTCCCCTGCCCAGCTCTGCTTTATTAATTCTTTTTTTTTCTCCCTCTGAGCTCAGGGATCTAGAGAAACCAGGCAAGACTAGCTCACCATTTGCTAATACTGTGACCTAGATTGGATCTGTTTCACTTAAACAGTAAGAGTTTTAGCCTTGGGCTATCAATACATCTAATGCTGCAGTGGACCCACAGTTTGTTTACAAGGGATGTTTTTGCCTGGGATAAAACATGAGCTCTTGATTTCTTCTGAGTTTGCAGACTGGACCAAGATTTGGGCAATTTTTTTAGGCTTTTTTCAAAAATGCTCACGAAGGTGTTATCTGTGTCTCAACATATTCAGCAAAATTTGTAAATTTCTTGCCCAGATAAATTTGGAAGTTCCCATCCCCTTCTGATAAATAACTAGAAGATACTGCCACTCAGCACAGAGATAGTACTCATTACATCATCTTTGGTTCAATGATTCATTTCCAAATCTCCTTGATTCACTTAATAATATTACATCATACTTACACAACTGCAGTAATAACTAAGTCATATCATAAGTGTGCTATGAGGTAGATAAATTATCCCTTTTTATGGATACTCAAGAACACACATCTATTAAGTAGAAAAATTAAAATCTGAGTTTGTCTTACTCCACACAGACTTAACTTTCATAGCACTATTCTAGGAGTGCATAGGACTATATATTCTAAATCATTTTAACCATTGTGATCTTATTTGATCTGAAGCACAGCACTCTGCAGTAGCTATCATTATGTCCAGGAAGAAATTGAAGCTCCAAGAGTTTGAAGAATTTGCTCAAAGTATGGCTGCCATGTCTGGGGGTGCAAATATGGGACTTTCAGTTAAATTTGATTTTCAGATAACAAATAATATTTGGGAAACATACTAAAAACTTATTTGGTACTTATCAATTTCAGTTTATTTATTCCATTTCAGATAAGTAACAAAATAATTTTTTAGTATAAGTTATATCCCAAATATTATTCTTTATCTAATATTCAAATTCATCTAGGTGTCCTATATTTATATATGACAACCTTAGCCTAAAATCACACTACTGGTGTGAGGCAAGGTTGGGACTACAAGATAGGTCTTTGCTCCTAAACCCAGGGCTCTTTCCACCACACCAGAATAAGGGGACTAAACCCCCACCCAGATTTGTAAATGGACTATTATATATAACTGCCTCTGATCAGATACTCAAATACTCATATAAACTAGTATTTTTCCTACATGTAAAGTAACCTTGTAGCTGGTGTGAATCTCAGTCCATACACGCTGATGTCAAAAATTAGAACTAAATTTGGTATAAGTGAACTTAGTTTCCATTTTAAATCCTCCTCCTTGCTGGAATAGCGGAAGTACTACTTCTAGGCTCTCTCCCTAATATGGGCTATGATTCTGGGATCTTACTCAGTGTCAGGCTCCATGGGAGCAGGGTCCCATCTGGTCACCGTGTTGTCGGCCCACACAAGATGCTGCCTGTGAAGCCTCGCAGCCCTGATGCTCCAGTGACAGGCTGAACTCACAGGCTTTTGGCAAACTGCTAAAGCTTGCATCCTCTTTTGCAGGGTCTCTGGGAAACTGGCTGCCTCTGAGAGCCTCTGCCTAGGAAATGGGGCAGAGGTTCTCTCTGTTCTCATCACCTCTTACCCTCTCCCCAACCTGGGGACAAGATGGATATTTTTCTTTTTTTTCTAGTCTTTGAGAAATCATACTTCTCTTCAGTTTCTGGCAGAAACTTTTATCCATTCTTCAGAATTTGTTCCTTGTTCCTTTGGGTTTGGACTTTCAAAGATAAAAACCAGAAAGATTTCCACATATATACATCTCTACCACACTCTCTTCCCTGGGGTAAGAAGCACAAGACCAACTAATTGCTTGAATGCAGAAGAGACAGAAGGAAATTCTGGGTGAGAAAAAAATTCATTAGTATCTTAACATATTCCCCTGACACAACACAATATAAGAGTTATACTTTTGTCAACAAATCATATGTTATGGTTTCTCCATTTAATACACTGCTCTATACATTTCTGCAACTAAAATTGATATAATCATCCTACGTAGCCAGACCCGTTTCCTGAAACCAGGCTCATCAGATTACTTCCTAGCTCAAATTCCTCCAGCAGCTCTCCCTTGTCTACAAAATATAGTTTAGTCTCCATGGTTTGGCACATGAAGATGTCCAGTCTGCCCATTCTGTTTTTACCTCCATCTTCCAAAGCTCCTCAGCATGGGCAGTCACAAGCCCACCATATTACCCTGCCTGCAATGCCTTCCTTCTTCCCTTGTTCCTCTCCAAAATTCCCAACTGTTGCCATAAATGTTGACTTCATATCTCCACCATCCCTCCACTACAGCAGCCCATACCAACCCATTTCAGTTCACATCAACTAATTCCTCTGCCAACCACCTTACTCGGTATCCCTTTAGATCTCTAAGAAGGATACATTGCTATTTTAAACATGAAAACATCACATGTGGTAGCAGAGCATAGGTTAATTAATATGTAGAAGTTTCTTTGCTTAGGACTGGAATTGTACCACCTCCATGCAGTAACACTGGTTGTGTCATAATAATGAATGCCTGACCAGGTCCTGAATGGAAAAAAAAAGTGAGAAAGCAAATGCTTTATTAAATGCAAATGTCTGATTGAAAAATAACAGGCCCACTGAGATATGAAAGAAGACTTTAAGAGTGAAAAGGTTCACATCCAGTTCAGCACAACCCTTCAACTTTCAGTTGAAGAAATACCTTCCGCCCTCACCCACACCCACCACCACAAGTTTCCGCCTGTTGTAATGAAAGATGGTACTCCTCACGTGCTATACAATGTGGAAAGCCCACTGCTACGGACTGAATGTTTGTGTCCCGCCAAAATTCATATGTTACCTCCTAATCTGTAATGTGATGGTATTTGGAGGAGATTAGGTCATGAAGGTGGAGCACTCTTGGGCACATGAACGGAATTAGTGCCCAGTAAGCACCTTTGCCCCTGCCACCATGTGAGGACTCACAGAGAAGACGGCTGTCTATGAACCAGACACTGAATCTGCTGGCATCTTGATCCTGGACTTCCAGGCTCCAGAACTGTCAGAAATAAGTTTCTATTGTTTATAAGCTACCCAGTTTATGGTATTTTTGTCCAGTAGCCCAAGCAGATTAAGATACTCACTTGCTAAGAAGCTTATAAAAGCTCATGGGCATAATTAGTGACAATCAATAAATGCATTACATGTGCGAATATGATGTATGAAGCCAAAAAAGAGATACTCTGAGAAAGACAGAGAAGAAGAGGGAAAGGTTTCCAAACTTTCTAGGCTTTCACTCTTCACATTTGCTCCATTGGAGCATCGTCTGTCAGTGAATTCCTCTGAAAACTTTAAGTGGGTAGTTCTTATAGGCGTTCTTATCTATCGCTTTATCCTTGGACCTGTTAAGAGCAAAGCTGCTTTCTCAAAGTAGAGAAAGGGTCTCACCTGAAATACACCATCTTCTTGGGTGGCTGGAGAAAAACTCATATTCAGACCAGAATCTAGAACTGAGGGGAAGGCCCTAGGTGAGAGGCAGAATTAGCATTTTTCCTTGGCCCTGACCTTGAAGAACCTTAAGTGTCCGGGAAATCAGTGCTGACATCTAGGAAACCAGATTCCAGCATCAGGGAAGACAGAAATTGTCCTCCACATGGAGGCAGTGTAGGAACTGGATTGGGGCACTCAGGAGGACACAGAAGATAGGCATAGGTCTGGGAATCCGGTGAGAGAGCTATCCAGGGTGGCATCAGAGACCTGGATCATGTATGCTGAACTTTTCTGCCTCTAATATCTTTATTTTACATTTGCCCCTAGAATTTGGTGAAGTCCTCCTGAAACTGCCAGCTTGTCTAAGCTGGACTGAGGGGAAGCAAAGGAAAGGGCTTATATCCACTCATGGGCCTGTGTTTTTCACAGCCTAATCCCTGTACCCTAGGAGCCAGGCTCAGGGGTGGCAGTGGACATCCTAATATGAGTGCTCCAAGAGAAAACCAAGCCACAATCCTTTGATCCCACCATACTTCCTCACCTGTCAGGTCCCTCCAGCCCTGCAAGAAAGATCTCTACAAAAGCACCCTCAGTTCTCCACCCCCAACCCTACCAACAAGTGTTACTGAAAATAGCAACAGGGTCCAGGACTGTTGATAGCTGGTCTTTCCCAATATCTTCAACACAGTCCATGACTCTGAGCTTCCAGGTTCACTTCTTCCCTCTTGCAACTCTAATTTGCATGTCATTCTCTGTTGGGCATCTATCTACTCATCCAAAAAAGAGCCAGACAAGCATAAACGGCAGAAACTCAATGCTGACTTTGGGACTCTGGCTTCAGAGCCTGTTGGGGAAGTCCCACCATTACTGGTGGACCAGTGCTTGGCATTAAGCCACCATTGGTGTCTTGTTGAACAATTTCCCCGTGGCAGGCAAAAAAAAAAAACAGTAACCCTCAGAGCCATGCAGGTCTGGCTGAGTATGCAGAGCGGGCAGAGCCTGGGGGGACTCAAGACCACAGCAGGAGCCCTGGGGCCTCCCTTTCTGGAGATCTAAGTCTTAACTACTATTCTAAAAATAGGATCTAAAAGCCAGAGGGCTCCCCAGTAGAGATTTAATGTAGACAGAGTGTGCAGAAAAAAGCATGAAATCAGAACTGACAGCAGATGGAAGGGCTAGGATGTTACTTCAAATACATGACCTGGACTCAAAATAGAGAGAAAATGATTCTCCACCACATCAGATTATTAAAGTCACCATCGCATCCCTAGCCACAGGTGCTCACTGCTCTAGGGCTGCTGTCTCCACTGTAATGAAGAGTCTGATTCTCAGGCTATAGCTAAGTGGACAAGAGCTACTCAGGGCAAGGGAAACTTGGGTATGATTGTTCTGGTACTGTGATGCCATTTATTACATTTTATTGTATTCTCATTAAATTCACTCCCAGTAATAATAAAACACAACATATACTGTCATTGACTATGTTGCAAACCCAATGCCAAGTAATTTAGATGAATTATCTCATTTAATCTTCACATCAACCCTGTGAAGTGGGCGCTATAATTATCCCCTTTTTAAAGATTATGAATCTGAAGTTTGGGGACTTTGAGTCATTAGCCCCATTGCTTGACTCAAACCCCTGGCCATCTGACTCTTAAGTCTAAGCTCTGATGCTATACCACTTCTGTAGACTGTAAGTACAAAGGCAGGAAAAGTGTCATTCATTCATCCATCCAACAAATATTTTGAGCAACTACTATAGACTACTATAAGCTATTCTAAGTGTTAGGAGTACAGTAAGCAGACAACGTTGCTGTTTGTAAGAAGCTAACATTCTGCACATGGGAAAACAGACAAGAAACAAGTGACCCAATCAATGAAAAAGATAAATCAGGTAGTGGTAAATACTAAGATTGCAATAAAATAAGCAGATATGCTGGCTAGAGAATGACTAGGTTCAGGTGTGTGGCTGAGAGGGCGAGTGTGACTTCAACCTCAGTGACTGGGGAAGATCTTCCTTAGGAGATAACATTTAAGCTGAAACCTGCAAGTTAAGAAAGAAAGAGTCATGTGAAGATCTGGGGAAAGAGAATCCCAGGCAAGGGCCTGAGCCATGTTTAAGAAATAGAAAGAGGCTCATGTGGCCGGAGCAAAATGAACAAGGAGGATATTCCACCTGATGCTGGAGATGAGGTTTTATTTTCAGTGTAACCGTAAGCCAATGTTGTCTCCTTTACCACTGAATCTATAGCACTTAGTGATGTGTTCAAGGTATATGTTAATTGTCACTGAATAAAATGTTTGCTGCATGAAGAAATGAAAGAGTGAACAATACCCAGCTTTCAGCTCAAAAGAAAAAGTTACAGAATGATGTACCCTGTAGAGGACTAAGAACCTGATCTAAAGCCCAAGATGCAGAGTCCTTCCTTCCCCCTCTGCTGCACACTGAGTGGGTGGCTAGACTCCCCAGAGATACTGCAGAACTGTGAACAGCAAGTCAAAGTTTATTATGTTACATATAAGGAGTAGAAGATGGTCATGCCATTGCTGTGTGTGTGTGTGTGTGTGTGTGTGTGTCCCTGCTCAAAATCTGCACAATAGCTTCCTTGCTTGGCCGGGTGCATGATCCTTTTCAAACTCTGAAGAACAAAATGTATATAACACATAGGAGGCAATATCCCTGGGGACTGTAGCCCTCATTTCTGGGTGACAAATTCTGAAGAGTCATGCTTGCTACTTCCAAGGGATCCAAGCATGAACAGGAAGGAAACTTGGCAAAGAATCACACCAGCCTTCTCAGGGACAAGGGATGACACGCTTAAGCCAGTCTATACCTAACACAGTTTGTCTGGCTCATGTTTTGCCCTCCTTCATAGTGCTTATGATATGTCAATGTGATAAAAATGAGTTTCTGATGATCTCCAAGCCACAGATTCATGATAGGAAGCAAGCATGCAGGCCATTTTAAATGGTTGCCTGACACTTCCTTATTTTACCAATAATTTTATCAGCCTGTTTAGATAATGCTTCTATCCCTCCAAGTGCCACAGAGAGATAGCACATCGATAAGGTCAAAGAGACAACACCTGGACCAGAGAGACAGGTCTCAGGGCCAAAGTGTGACTGTGAACCTAGGCAACATAGCAAGACCCCAGCACTACCAAAAAAAAAAATTTTTTTTTTAATTAGCCAAGCATTGTGGTGTACATCTGTTGTCCCAGCTATTCTGGAGGCTGAAGCAGGAGGATGGCTTGAACCCAGAAGTTCAAGGATGCAGTGAGCTATGATGGCACCACTGCACTCCACCCTAGGTGACAAAGCAAGACCCTGTTTCTGAAAAAAAGTGTGACTGGGAACTCAATGAACTTTAATTGCCTTATATCTTTTCCATTTTTTCCCTACCATGCTCCCACCTCCACTGGCACTCCAAGTTGGAAGCAGATCTGGCTTTTGAATTAGTTTTACTACAATTAGCAGTGCAACCTCAGTCAAACTACTCAACTTCTATGTGTCTCAGTGAGCCAGATTCTGTAAAATTAAGAGAATAGTGTTGAGAAGATAAAATGCATAAAGCACCAGAGCACCTAACTCACTTCTGGCATCTATTCAGCACTCCTCCTTCCCATCCTTCTCCCCAAATCCAAAGGCCCCACTCCCTTTGTTCTCTAAGGACATTAAATAGCACAGAGAGAAGATACTCACAAAAAATATTTCTCATGAAGGTGTTATTAATAATATTCAATAACATCAATTTTATGTTTCCTTTCCAAGCAATATTTAAAGTTTAATCCACAGCAAAGAATTCCTAGCTAAGGGATTTTATGCCATGTAGTCATATTGGCAAAAAGTAAGAAAGTCTTTACCAAATACAGTACAAGCCAACTGGGGTTATGAATGAGTTTACCATGCCATTATCCCCACTTCCATATGATGCTATCATAGTTCATTCAAATGAAGAGGCTATCATAGTTCATTCAAATGAAGAGGAAAAACCACCTAAAGCTTGGGAAGTGCAAATCTTAGGCAGACCAAACATAATTATTGACTCTTGGAGATAAAAAAAATTCATTAACTCAGAAAAGAAACTCTATTCACAGTTCTTCAGCCAGATTCACATTCATGCTGACTTTAATAAATGTTGTGAGGGGATCTGGCAAGATGGCCGAATAGGAACAGCTCCAGCCTGCAGCTTCCAGCACGACCAATGCAGAAGGTGGGTGATTTCTGCATTTCCAACTGAAATACCCTGTTCATCTCACTGGGCCTGATTAGGCAATGGGTGCAGCCCACGGAGGGCAAGCAGAAGCAAGGTGGGGCATCGCCTCACCCAGGAAGTGCAAGAAGCAGGGGGCCTCCCTTTCCCAGCCAAGGGAAGCCATGAGGGACTGTGCTGCTCGGCCTGGATACTAGGCT
This sequence comes from Homo sapiens, assembly GCF_000001405.40. Lineage (NCBI taxonomy): Eukaryota > Metazoa > Chordata > Mammalia > Primates > Hominidae > Homo > Homo sapiens. The sequence goes on from NC_000012.12 coordinate 47,624,122, forward strand.
TTTCCCACAGTTTTTGCAATCCACAGACAAGAAGACTCCCTCGTGTGCCTATACCACCTGGACCCTGGGTTTCAAGCACAAAACTGGGCAGCTGCTTGAGCAGACACCGAGCTAGCTGCAGGAAGTTTTTTTTTTTGTACCCCAAAAATGACTGGAACCCCAGCAAGATAGAAACGTTAATTCCCCTGGACAGGGGGCTGAAGCAAGGGAGCCAAGTGGTCTCGCTCAGTGGGGTCCCAATCCCACAGAGCCCTGCAAGCTAAGAACCACTGGCTTGAAATTCTAACTGCCAGCACGGCAGTCTGAAGTCGACCTGGTATGATCAAGCTTGGTGGGCTGGGGGCGGGGGGTGGGCGCATCCGCCATTACTGAGGCTTGAGTAGACCGTTTTCCCCTAACAGTGCTAACGAAGCCTGGAAGTTGAGACTGGGTGAAACTCAACACAGTGCGACAAAGTGGCTGTGGCCAGACTGCCTCTCTAGATTCCTCTTCACTAGGCAGGGCAAATCTGAAAGAAAGGCAGCAGTCCGAGTCAGGGGCTTATAGATAAAACTCCCATCTTCCTGTGACAGAGCACCTGGGGAAAGGGATGGCTGTGGGCACAGTTTCAGCAGACTTAAACATTCCTGCCTGCCGGCTCTGAAGAGAGCAGTAGATCTTGACAAGGAGGGTTCTTCCAGCACAGCACTCGAGCTCTGCTAAGGGACACATTGCCTCCTCAAGTGGGTCCCTCGCCCCCCTGTCTCCTGACTGGGAGAGACCTCTCAAAAGGGGTTGACATAAACCTCATACAGGGAAGCTCTGGCTGGCATCAGGTGCCCCTCTGGGATGAAGCTTCCAGAGGAAGGAGCAGGCGGCAATCTTTGCTGTTCTGCAGCCTTCCCTGGTGATACTCAGGTAAACAAGGTCTGGAGTGGACCTCCAGCAAACTGCAGCAAACCTGCAGAAGAGGGGCCTGACTGTTAGAAGAAAAACTAACAAACAGAAAGCAATAACATCAACATCAACAAAAAGGACCCGCACACAGAAATTCCAACCAAAGGTTATCAGCCTCAAAGATTAAAGGAAGATAAATCCACGAAGATGAGGAAAAACCAGCATAAAAATGCTGAAAATTCCAAAAATCAGAATGCCTCTTCTCCAAATGATCACAACTCCTCTCCAGCAATGGCACAAAATTGGACAGAGAATGAGTTTGACGAATTAACAGAAGTAGGCTTCAGACGGTGGGTAATAACAAACTCCTCTGAGCTAAAGGAGCATCTTCTAACCCAATGTAAGGAAGCTAAGAACCTTGACAAAAGGTAACAGGAACTGCCACCTAGAATAACTAGCTTAGAGAAGAAGATAAATGACCTGATAGAGCTGAAAAACACAGCATGAGAACTTCATGAAGCATACATAAGTATCAATAGCCGAATCAATCAAGCAGAAAAAAGGATATCAGAGATTGAAGAACAACTTACTGAAATAAGGCGTGAAGACAAGATTAGAGAAAAAAGAATGAAAATGAACGAACGAAGCCTCCAAGAAATATGGGACTATGTGAAAAAACCAAACCTACGATTGATAGGGGTACCTGAAAGTGATGGGGAGAATGAAACCAAGTTGGAAAACACACTTCAGGATACTATCCAGGAGACAGGCCAACATTCAAATTCAGGAAATACAAAGAACACTACTAAGATACTCCTTGAAAAGAGCAACCCCAAGACACATAATTGTCAGATTCACCAAGGTTGAAATGAAGGAAAAAATGTTAAGGGCAGCCAGAAAGAAAGGTCAGTTTACCTACAAAGGGAAGCCCATCAGACTAACAACAGATCTATCAGCAGAAACCCTACAAGCCAGAAGAGTGTGAGGGCCAGTATTCAACATTCTTAAAAAAAAGAATTTTCAACCCAGAATTTCATATCCAGCCAAACTAAGTTTCATAAGTGAAGGAGAAATAACAGCCTTTACAGACAAGCAAATGCTGAGGGATTTTGTCACCACCGGGCCTGTCTTACAAGAAGCTCCTGAAGGAAGCACTAAATATGGAAGGAAAAACTGGTACTAGCAACTGCAAAAACACACCAAAATATAAAGACCAATGAAACTATGAAGAAACTGCCTCAACTAATGTGCAACATAACCAGCTAGCATCATAATGACAGGATCAAATTCACACATAACAATATTAAACTTAAAAGGGCTAAATGCCCCAATTAAAAGACACAGACTGGCAAACTGGATAGTAAAGACCCACTGGTGTGCTGTATTCAGGAAACCCATCTCACATGCAAAAAGACACACATAGGCTCAAAACAAAGGGATGGAGGAATATTTACCAAGCAAATGGAAAGCAAAAAAAGCAGGGGTTGCAATCCTAGTCCCTGATAAAACAGACTTTAAACAAACAAAGATTAAAAAAAAGACTAAGAAGGGCATTATATAATGGTAAAGGGATCAATGCAACAGGAAGAGCTAACTATCCTAAATATATATGCACCCAATACAGGAGCACCCAGATTCATAAAACAAGTTCTTAGAGACCTAAAAAGAGACTTAGATTCACACTCAGTAATAGTGGGAGACTTTAATACCCCACTGCCAATATTAGATCAATGAGACAGAAAATTAACAAGGATATTCAGGATTTGAACTCAGCTCTGGACCAAGCAGGCCTAATAGATATCTACAGAACTCTCCACCCCAAATCAATAGAATATACATTCTTCTCAGCACCACATAGCACTTATTCTAAAATTCACCACAAAATTGGAAGTAAAACACTCCTCAGGAAATGGAAAAGAATGGAAATCATAACAAACAGTGTCTCAGACTACAGTGCAATCAAATTAGAACTCAGGATTAAGAAACCAACTCACTCAAAACTGCACAACTAGATGGAAACTGAGCAACCTGCTCCTGAATGACTACCAGGTAAATAATGAAATTAAGGCAGAAATAACAAAGTTCTTTGAAACCAATGAGAACAAAGAGACAACATACCAGAATCTCTGGGACACAGCTAAAGCAGTGTTTAGAGGGAAATTTATAGCACTAAATGCCCACATGAGAAATCAGAAAAGATCTAAAATCACTCTAACATCACAATTAAAAGAACTAGAGAAGCAAGAGCAAACAAATTCAAAAGCTAGCAGGAGAGGAAATAACTAAGATCAGAGCAGAACTGAAGGAGATGCACAAAAAACACTTCAAAAAAAAAATCAATGAATCCAAGAGCTGTTTTTTTTAAAAAAAAATTTAACAAAATAGACTGCTAGCGAGACTAATAAAGAAGAAAAGAGAGAAGCAGCAAACAGACACAATAAAAAATGATAAAGGGGATATCACCACTGATCCCACAGAAATTCAAACTACCATCAGAGAATACTATAAACACCTCTACACAAATAAAGAAAATCTAGAAGAAATGGATAAATTCCTGGACACATACACCCTCCCAAGACTAAACCAGGAAGAAGTTGAATCCCTGAAAAGACCAATAACAAGTTCTGAAATTGAGGCAGTAATTAATAGCCTATCAATGAAAAAATGTCCAGGACCAGACGGATTCACAGCCAAATTCTACCAGAGGTACAAAGAGGAACTGGTACCAATCCTTCTGAAACTAATCCAAACAACAGAAAAAGAGGGACTCCTACCTAACTCGTTTTATGAGTTTGGAATCATCCTGATTCCAAAACCTGGCAGAGACACAACAAAAAAGAAAATTTCAGGCCAATATCCCTGATAAACATCGATGTGAAAATCCTCAATAAAATACTGGCAAACCAAATCAAGCAGCACATCAAAAAGCTTATCCACCATGATCAAGTCAGCTTCATCCCTGGGATGCAAGGCTGGTTCCACATATGCATATCAATAAACATAATCAATCACATAAACAGAACCAATGACAAAAACCACATGATTATTTCAATAGATGCAGAAAAGGCCTTCAATAAAATTCAACACCCCTTCATGCTAAAAACACTCAATAAACTAGGTATTGATGGAACATATCTCAAAATAATAAGAGCTGCTCATGACAAACCCATAGCCAATATCATACTGAATGGGCAAAAGCTGGAAGCATTCCCTTTGAAAATCGGCACAAGACAACGATGCCCTCTCTCACCACTCCTATTCAACATAGTGTTGAAAGTTCTGGCCAAAGCAGTCAGGCAAGAGAAAGAAATAAAGGGTATTCAAACAGGAAGACAGGAAGTCAAATTGTTTCTGTTTGCAGACAGCATGATTGTATATTTAGAAAACCCCACTGTCTCAGCCCCAAAACATTTTAAGCTGATAAACAACTTCAGCAAAGTCTCAGGATAAAAAATCAATGTGCAAAAATCACAAGCATTCCTATACACCATTAACAGACAAGCAGAGAGCCAAATAATGAGTGAACTCTCATTCACAATTGCTACAAAGAGAATAAAATACCTAGGAATACAACTCACAAGGGACGTGAAGAACCTCTTCAAGGAGAACTACAAACCACTGCTCAAGGAAATAAAAGAGGACAAAAACAAATGGAAAAAAATTCCATGCTCACAGATAGAATCAATATCATGAAAATGGCCATACTGTCCAAAGTAATTTATAGATTCAATGCTATTCCCATCAAGCTACCAGTGACTTTCTTAACATAACTAGCAAAAATTACTTTAAATTTCATATGGAACCAAAAAAGAGCCCGAATTGCCAAGACAATCCTAAGCAAAAAGAACAAAGCTGGAGGCATCATGCTACCTGACTTCGAACTATACTACAAGGCTACTATAACCAAAACGGCATGGTACTGTTACCAAAACAGATATACAGACCAATAGAACAGAACAGAGGCCTCAGAAATAACACCACACATCTACAACCGTCTGATCTTTGGCAAACCTGACAAAAACAAGCAATGGGGAAAGGATTCTCTATTTAATAAATGGTGCTGGGAAAACTGGCTAGCCATATGCAGAAAACTGAAACTGGACCCCTTCCTTACACCTTATACAAAAATTAACTCAAGATGGATTAAATACTTAAATGTAAAACCTAAAACCATAAAAACCTTAGAAGAAAAGCTAGGCAATACCATCCAGGACATAGGCATGGGCAAAGACTCCATGACTAAAACACCAAAAGCAATTGCACCAAAAGCCAAAATTGACAAATGGGATCTAATTAAACTAAAGAGCTTCTGCTCAGCAAAAGAAACTATCATCAGAGTCAACAGCCAACCTACAGAATGGGAGAAAATTTTTGCAATCTATCCATCTGACAAAGGGCTAATATCCAGAATCTACAAGGAACTTAAATTTACAAGAGAAAAAAAACAAACAACTCCATCAAAAAGTGGGTAAAGGATATGAACAGACACTTCTCAAAAGACAACATTTATGTGGCCAACAAACATGAAAAAAAAGCTCATCATCACTGGTCACTAGAGAAATGCAAATCAAAACCACAATGAGATACCATTTCACACCAGTTAGAATGGTGATCATTAAAAAGTCTGGAAACAACACATGCTGGAGAGGATGTGGAGAAATAGGAATGCTTTTACACTGTTGGTGGGAGTGTAAATTAGTTCAACCATTGTAGAAGACAGTGCGGCGAGTCCTCAAGGATCTAGAACCAGAAATACCATTTGACCCAATAATCCCATTACTGGGTATATACCCAAAGGATTATAAATCATTCTACTATAAAGACACATGCACATGTAGGTTTATTGCAGCACTATTTACAATAGCAAAGACTTGGAACCAACCCAAATGCCCATCAATGATAGACTGGATACAGAAAATATGGCACATATACACCATGGAATACTATGCAGCCATAAAAAAAGGATGAGTTCATGTCCTTTGCAGGGACATGGATGAAGCTGGAAACCATCATCCTCAGCAAACTAACACAAGAACAGAAAACCAAACACTGCATGTTCTCATTCATAAGCAAGAGTTGAACAATGAGAACACATGGACACAGGAAGGGGATCATCACACACTGGGGCCTGTCAGGGGGTTGGGGAAAGAGGAGGGAGAGCATTAGGACAAACATCTAATGCATGCAGGGCTTAAAACCTAGATGACAGGTTGATAGGCGCAGCAAACCACCATGGTACATGTATACCTATGTAACAAACCTGCATGTTCAGTACATGTACCCCAGAACTTAAAGTAAAATAAAATATAAGGGCCAATAACAAGTTAAAAAAATAATAATTTAAAAAATTAATTATTTTTTAAATTATTATTATTAATTGAGAGCAGGCTTGCAAAAGTCCAGCCTGCTCTCAAACAGCTGACTAGCCACAATGTATGTTCTTACAAGTCTCTCTGCTTTCGCATTCCGTCTTCTCTCTGTCTGGAAAATTCCTATCATCTTTTCTGCACCTGGAAAAAAAATTCTATTCATCTTTGAAGGCCTAGTTCAAATGTCACCTTCTCTGTAAAACATTTCAAATATTCATGCAATTGTCCAGCAAAATTAGTCACATAACTCCTTACTTCTTAGTATTTCATTCCTACCTTTGGAATAAGGCTTACCAGAGTTTATTCACAAATCATATTGTAGTACAGTTAATGGTTGTGCTCTCTTTCCCACAGTAAATGGTGAGCAATTTGGAGGGTAAGAACCCTGCTTTATTTAAGTTTGTATTCCTGGTATCATGCATTGTGCCTGCATATGTGTGTCCTTAGTAAATGTTGGTAGAATTGAATTCATTAGCTTTAGGACAAGTACTGAATGTCTCCAAGTTGCAGTTTCCTCCTCTATAAAAGATGACAAAGATATCTACAACAAAATATTAGTGTCCAGACTCAATCACGTAGCAAATGTAAAATACTATCTTGTACCCAGGATTGACCCTTGTAATTAGCTCACAAGGAGCTTATTAAATTTATCTATTCAGTAAAATTATTTAGACATTTTCTTTAGCACATCCTCATCAACAACACAGGAATGACCTTGATCTCATGAAGTTCACATCTCAGAGGGATAAAACAGCTAACGGCTAAACAAATAAATATGCCAGAAAATATTAGAGATAAAGGCTTTGAAGAAAATTCAGAAGAGTACTGATAATGAAAGTTACTTGAGTAAAGAAAGTGTCAAGGAAGGCTTCTCAGAGGAGGTAATGTTTAAGTGGATGTTTAATCCACATGACCAAAAGTAACCCTGTGATCAAATGAGAGAAAAGCATGCGGGGCTCTGCAACAGCAAGTGCAAAGTCCCTGTGGCAGGTACAAGATTGGGGTACTCAAGAAAAAATGAGGCAAATGTGATGGGAGCATTTTCAACTTAAGGGAAGTGTAGAAGAGATGCAGTTGCAGAAGTAGATGGGGGACAGATCATGTTGGGGACTTAATAGGCCATGGTAAAGGATTCACATATCATTCAAAGTACAATGGAAAACTATATAGAGGTTCTTAATCAGAGTAGTGACACGAACTAATTTATGTTTTTAAAAGTTTAACAATTGTTTACAGAATGGATTATGGAGGCAAAAATTGAAGCAGAGAGACCAGCTAGGAAGATCCTACAGTAGTCCAAGATGATGTTTACTTGACACAGGCTGATAGAAGTGAATACTGAGAGGAGAGCAACTGAATATGTTACAGAGACAAAAGCATGATGACTTACCAATGGAGAGTGAAGAGAAGTAAGGAATCAAGGACAATGAAGGGTGTCTTAGTCTATTCAGGCTTCCCTAGCAATTACCATAAACTGGGTGGCTTATAAACAACAGAAATTTATTCTCACAGTTCTGGAGGCAGGGAAGTCCAAGATCAAGGTACTGGCAGATTCAGTGTCCATTAAGAGTCCATTTCCTCATAGATAGTGCCTTCTTGCTGCTTCTTCATATGGTGGGACAAGACAGCTCTCCAGGGCCTCTTTAAGGGGACTCCTCCTATTCACAAGGCTTCTGCCATCACGACTGTATTAGTCTGATCTCACATTGCTATAAAGGAATACCTGAGACTGGGAATTTATAAAGGAAGGAGGTTTAATTGGCTCATAGTGCTGCAGGCTGTGCAGCGGTTAGTGGCTTCTGCTTCTTGGGAGGCCTCAGGAAGCTTCCAGTCATGGCAGAAGGCAAAGGGGGAGCAGGCACGTCACATGGAGAAAGCAAGAGCAAGAGAGAGAGGGGCTACACACTTAAATAACCAGATCTCATGAGCACTCACTTGCTATGGTGAGGACACCACCAAGGGGGATGGTGCTAAGCCATTCCTGAGAAATCTGCCCCCATGATCCAGTCACCTCCCACTAGCCTCCACCTCCAACACTGGAGATTACATTTCAATATGAGATTTGGGTGGGGACACATATCCAAACCATCTCAATGACCCAATTATCTCCCAAAGCTTACCTCCTAATACCATCACCTTGGTAATCAGGTTTTCAACAAATCACTCTGAGAGGACACAAATGTTCAGATCATAGCACAGAGTTTTTGACTCAAGCTTCTAGGTGAGATTAAGCTTGAAAGTAAAGAAAATATTTTAAAACTATTAGTGGTAGATGTACTTCCCTATTTCTCCTAAGTACAGTTAAAAACACTGGACATTTTTTATATATATATATATATATATATATATATATATATACACACACACACACACACACACACACACACACACACACAATATATGTATATATACACATATATATGTATGTGTATATATGTGTATATATACATATATGTATATATTTACACATATGTGTATGTGTATATATGTATATATTTACACACACACGTGTGTATATGTATATATTTACACACACACGTGTGTATATGTATATATTTACACACACACGTGTGTATATGTATATATTTACACATCTATGTGTATATGTGTATATATTTACACATCTATGTGTATATATACATATATGTATATATTTACACATCTGTGTATATAGGCATATATTTACACATCTGTGTATATAGGCATATATTTACACATCTGTGTATATATATATATTTACACATCTATGTGTATATATACATATATACACGTGTGTATATATACATATATACACGTGTGTATATATACATATATACACGTGTGTATATATACATATGTGTATATATTTACACGTGTGTATATGCATATGTGTATATATTTACACGTGTGTATATGCATATATGTATATATTTACACCTGTGTATATACATATATGTATATATTTACACCTGTGTTTATACATATATATTTACACATATGTGTGTATATATACATGTATATATTTACACATGTGTGTATATATGTATATATTTACACATATGTGTATATATACATATATGTATATATTAACACATGTGTATATACACATATATGTATATATTTACACGTGTATATATACATATACACATGTGTATATACACATATATGTATATATTTTCACGTGTATATATACATATATTTACAGATATGTGTATATATACATAGTGTATATAGAGTATATATACATAGTGTATATATACTATATATGTATGTCAATACACTATATATACACTATACATGTGTAAATATATACATATGTGTATACACATACGTGTGTAAATATATACATGTGTATATACACATATAGGTGTGTATATACACATACGTGTGTAAATATACATGTGTATATACACATGCGTGTGTAAATATATACATATGTGTATATACACAGATGTGTAGATACATAGGTGTATATATACATATATGTATATATACACGTGTATATGTTTATATATACACATAGATGTGTAAATATATACATATTTGTCTATATACACGTGTAAATATATGCATGTGTATATACAATATATGTGGAAATATATGCATGTGTATATACACATATATGTATAAATATATGCACATGTGTATATACACATATATGTGTAAATATATACATATGTGTATATACACATGTGTAAATATATACATGTGTAAATATACATATGTGTAAATACACACATGTGTAAACATATACATGTGTATATACATGTGTATACACACGTGTAAATATATACATATGTGTACACACACGTGTAAATATATACATATATGTGTATACACACATGTATGTGTAAATATACACGTGTATACACGTGTGTATACATGTGTATACACACGTGTGTATACATATACGTGTGTATCACATGTGTGTAAATATATACACACGTGTATACACACATGTGTGTAAATATATACACACGTGTTTACACACGTGTAAATATATACATATGTGTATGCACACGTGTGTAAATATATACACTGTGTATATACACGTGTGTAAATATATACACTGTATACACACGTGTGTATATAGACACGGGTATATACACGTGTGTAAATATATACACGTGTATTATACACATGTGTGTAAATATATACACACGTGTATATACACGTGTGTAAATATATACACGTGTGTATACACGTGTGTAAATATATACACGTGTGTATATACACATATGTGTAAATATATACACGTGTGTATATACACATGTGTATACATATGTGTAAATATATACATATATGTGTATATACACATATATGTGGGACACGAAACAGTGTGTGAATTCCATGGGCTTCCTTTTTGACTCAAGTATCCCAGAGCTGAAGAAGCCAACGACCTGGAAACATCAATGGGCATAAACCAAAAGAAGTCCCCCAAAGCCTGCTCTCTCTAGCCAAATTATCAGGAAGGCACCAGACAAGCAAGATAGGCTTTTATTTTTATTTAATTTATTTATTTTTGAGATGGAGTTTTGCTCTTGTCACCTAGGCTGACATGCAATGGCAGGATCTCGCTCACTGCAACCTCCACCTCCTGGGTTCAAGTGATTCTCCTGCCCCAGCCTCCTAAGTAGCTGGGATTACAGGCGCCTGCCACCATGCCCAGCTAATTTTTGTATTTTAGTAGACATGGGGTTGCACCATGTTGGCCAGGCTGGTCTCAAACTCCTGACATCAGGTGATCCACCCACCTTGGCCTCCCAAAGTGCTGGGATTACAGGTGTGATCCACCACACCCGGCCAAGACAGATTTTTAGATAATGAATGTTCCACTCCAGGCAAACATCACAGGAAAATCTGTGGCCACACTCTTAGACACACCAGCAAAAGTTAAGTAGGAAACATGGGCTTTCACTATCACAAAGCTCTAATGAGGAGCTCCAATGCCCAAGGGGGCTGCTGTAAGACAAGGCCAAGTAAGGAACCAGGAACTGTATCCTCACTGGCCAGTAACAAGCACCTTCCCCCAGTGGCATCAATGGAGACCACATGAGGCACCTGGACTTCTACCTCCACCGGCAGTAATGAGGTGCCCATCCTTCTCCCAGATGGGGTGGTGTCTGAGGAGGATTAATGGAGAGTAAGGACTTGCACCACCATTCAGCAATAATGAGACCACTACTACCGCAGTGCCAGTGGAAACCACACAAGGAAACAAAAATCTCATCTCTACCCATCAGTAATGAAGGGCTCCCACCCCTAGCCCCAATGTGTCAGTGGAGGCTCAGTGGGGAACCTGGACATTTATCTTTACCTGGCACTCACACAGTGGTGTCCCCTCCTCTTCATCTGCCAGAGAAGTGTCAAATTAAAATAGGTTTTAAAAATAAGGTTGAAATAAGATCTAGAATCTCATATAGAATATGAAAATGTGCAGGTTTCAACTTTTAAAAATCACTTGTCACATAAATAGAAAACTTTTGAACTGAATAGGAAAAAAAGACAATTACTAGATGCCAACCCCAAAATGACAGATGTCAGAATGATGTGACAAATATTTTAAAGCAGCCACAATATAATACATATAAACCATGGAATACTATGCAGCCATAAAAAGGAATGAGGTCATGTCCTTTGCAGGAACATGGATAGGAGCTGGAGGCCATTATTCTTAACAAACTAATGCAGGAACAGAAAACAAAATACTGCATGTTCTCACTTATAAGTGGGAGCTAAATAATGAGAACACATGGACATGAAGAGGAAAACACAGGGACCTACTTGAGGGTGGAAAGTGGGAGAAGGGAGAGGATCAGAAAAAATTACTATTGGGTACTATGCTTAGTACATCTGGGTGACAAAATCTGTATACCAAACCCCTGTGACACGAGTTTACCTATATAACAAACCTGTATAAGTATCCCTGAAATTAAAATAAAATTTTAAAAATTAAAAAAAATTAGAACTTGTTGATCATTATGGTGGACAGAAGGCAGGACTAGATTGCAGCTCTGACTCAGACAGACAGAGCAGCATACAGAGGCTCACATCGCACATTTTAGCTCCAGAATGACTGCGAGAACAAACCAGGAATCCCGAGAGAACCCACAGACCCTCTGAAGGAAGCGGACTGCTCCTGCAGGACTCAGGAGACACCCCAAATACTGTGAGTGCTCAAACTGTGGAAGTGGGAAAGGGAGACCCTCCACTCCTGAACACACACCCGCACTGGGGAAAATGAAAGTCATACTCAAGAGAAGTTTCCAACCTTACCTGGAGCTGAGTCAATTTAGAGAGCCAAGCAAAATACATGGGTAGAAGAAACAGTGGGAAAGGCCCTGGGAGCTCACTGGGTCCCCAAGCAGCCACTCCTGCCTGGAACCACAGGGACCCTCCTGGAGGCACCAGAGGCATGGGGGAAGACGCCACAGGGAGAAGGAAGTCTCCAGCTGGACTTTGTAACAATTTGAACCGGGTGAGAAGCCTCCTGGCCAGAACTCGGGCTAGGGGGCGAATCCGGTGGGCAGACTCCACAGGCGGGGAAAGAATCAAAGCCCTGTTCTTTTGCAGCTGGGAGGCGGGGAGCCTGAGGCAAGTTCTCAAGCCCTGCTCACCTCAGCCACTGCCTGGAAACAGACTTGGGACTACTGGGGGAGCATGGTGGGAGTGAGACCAGCCCTTCAGATTGCATGAGCTGGGTGAGGCCTGTGACTGCTGGCTTTCTCCCACTTCCCTGACAACCTGCATGACTCAGCAGAGGTAGCTATAATACTCCTAGGTTCACAACTCCATCGACCTGATGGCTTCACCTCCAGCCCCCACAGCAGCAGCAGCAAGACTCCCCTAAGGAGAGTCTGAGCTCAGACACTCCTAGCTCCACCCCCACCTGATGGTCCTTCCCTATCCACCCAGGTAGCTGAAGACAAAGGACACATACTCTTGGGAGTTCTAGGGCCCCGCCCACTGCTGGTTCCTCTCCATACTACCACAGCTGATGCTCTCTGGAAAGCGCCACCTACTGGCAGGAAGCGAACCAGCACAAAAATAGAACATTAAACCACCAAAGCTAAAGAACCCTCACAGAGTCCATTTCAACCCCCTGCCGCCTCCCACAGCTGAGAGGCCCATAGATGGTTCACATCACAGGACTCTGTGCAGACAACCCCCAGTACCAACCCAGAGCCAGGTAGGCTTGCTGTGTGGCTAGACCCAGAGAGAGATACCAATCACTGCAGCTCAGCTTACAGGAAGCCGTATCTATAGGAAAAGAAGAAGAGTACTACATCAAAGGAACACCCCATGGGACAAAAGAATCTGAACAACAGCCTTCATCCCTAGATTGTCCCTCTGACAGCCTACCCGAATGAGAAGGAAAGAAAACCAACTCTGGTAATATGAAAAAACAAGGCTCTTTAACACAGCAAGAAGAAATCCCTGATTTACCTGAAAAAGAATTCAGCAGGTTAGTTATTAAGCTAATCAGGGGGGCAGCAGAAAAAGGCAAAGCCAATGCAAGGAAATCCAAAAGATACAAGAAGTGAAGGGAGAAATATTCAAGGAAATAGATTAATGAAAAAAAACAATCAAAATGTCAGGAAACATTGGACACACTTACAGAAATGCAAAATGCTCTGGAAAGTCTCAGCAATAAAATTGAACAAGTAGAAGAAAGAAATTCAGAGCTCAAAGACAAGGTCTTCGAATTAACCCAATCCAATAAATACACACACACACACACACACACACACACACACACACAAAGAATAAGAAAATATGAACAAAGCCTCCAAGAAGTCTGGGATTATGTTAAATGACCACATCTAAGAATAATCAGTGTTCCTGAGGAAGAAGAGAAGTCTAAAAGTTTGGAAAATATATTTGGGGGAATAATCAAGGAAAATTTTTCCAGCCTTGCTAGAGACCTAGACATCCAAATACAAGAAGCAAAAAGAACACCTGGGAAATTCATCACAAAAAGATCATCGCCTAGGCACATTGTCATCAAGTTAGCTAAAGTTAAGATGAAGGAAAGAATCTTAAAAGCTGTGAGACAAAAGCACCAGGCAACCTATAAAGGAAAACCTATCAGATTAACAGCAGATTTCTCAGGAGAAACCTTACAAACTAGATGGGATTGGAGCCCTATTTTCGGCCTCCTCAAACAAAACAATTATCAACCAAGAATTTTGTATCCAGCAAAACTAATCATCATATACGAAGGAAAGATACAATCTTTTTCAGACAAACAAATGCTGAAAGAATTTGCCAGTACCAAGCCACCACTGTAAGAACTGCTAAAAGGAGCACTAAATCTTGGAACAAATCCTGGAAACACATCAAAACAGAACCTCTTTAAAGCATAAATCACACAGGACCTACAAAACAAAATACAGTTTAAAAAGCAAAAACAAAAAACAAAAAAACCATGGTACATAGGCAACAAATAGCACGATGAATGCAATGGTACCTCACATCTCAATACTAACATTGACTGTAAATGGCCTAAATGTCCCACTTCAAAGATAAAGAACTGCAGAATGGATAAGAACTCACCAACCATCTGCTGCCTTCAGGAGACTCATCTAACACGTAAAGACTCACATAAGCTTAAAGGGGTGGAAAAAGGCATTTCATGCAAGTGGATACCAAAAGCAAGCAGGGGTAGCCATTCTTATATCAGACAAAACACACTTTAAAGAAACAGCAGTTAAAAGAGACAAAGAGGGACATTACATAATGGTAAAAGGCCTTGTCCAACAGGAAAATATCACAGTCCTAAACATATATGCACCTAACACTGGAGCTCACAAATTTATAAAACAATTACTAATAGACCTAAAAAATGAGATAGACAGCAACACAATAATAGTGGGGGACTTCAATACTCCACTGACAGCAGGTCATCAAGACAGAGAGTCTACAAAGAAACAATGGATTTAAACTATACCTTGGAACAAATGAACTTAACAGATATATACAGAACATTTCTTCCAACAACCACAGAATACACATTCTACTCAACAGCGCATGGAACTTTCTCCAAGATAGACTATATGATAGGTCATAAAACAAGCCTCAATAAATTCAAGAAAATTGAAATTATATGAAGCACTCTCTCAAATGACAGTGGAATAAAACTAGAAATCAACTCCAAAAGGAACCCTTGAAACCATGCAAATACATGGAAATTAAACAGCCTGCTCCTGAATGAGCATTGGGTCAAAAACAAAATCAAGGTGGAAATTAAAAACTTCTTCTAACTGAACAACAATAGCAGCACAACCTATCAAAACCTCTGGGATACAGTAAAGGCAATGCTAAGAGGAAAGTTCATAGCCCCTAAAGTTCATACCTACATCAGAAAGTCTGAAAGAACACAAACTGACATTCTAAGGTCCCACCTCAAGGAATTAGAGAAACAAGAACAAACCAAACCCAAACCCAGTAGAAGAAAGAAAACAACCAAGATCAGAGCAGAACTAAATGAAATCGAAACAAACAAACAAAAAGTACAAAAGATAAATGAAACAAAAAGCTGGTTCTTTGAAAAAATAAATAAAATTGATAGACCATTACCAAGATTAACCAAGAAAAGAAGAGAGAAAATCCAAATAACCTCATTAAGAAATGAAACGAGAGCTATTACAACTGACACCACTGAAATACAAAAGATAATTCAAGGCTACTATGAACACCTTTATGCACATAAACTAGAAAACCTAGAAGAGATGGAAAAATTCCTGGAAAAATACAACCCTCCTAGCTTAAATCAGGAAGAATTAGATACCCTAAACAGACCAGTAACAAGCAGTTGGTAATTCAAACATTACCAACAAAAAGAAGTCCAGGACCAGATGGATTCACAGCAGAATTCTACCAGCATTCAAAGAAGAATTGGGACCAATTCTTTTGACACTATTCCACAACATAGAGAAAGAGGGAACCCATTCTATGAAGCCAGCATCACCCTAATACCAACACCAGGAAAGGATGTAAGCAACAAAGAAAACTATAGACCAATATCTCTGATGAACACAGATGCTAAAATCCTTAATAAAATACTAGCCAATAGAATCCAACAACATATCAGAAAGATAATCCACCATGATCAAGTGGGTTTCATACCAGGGATGCAGGGATGGTTTAACATACACACGTCAATAAATGTGATATACTGCATAAACAGAATTAAAAACAAAAATCACACGATCATCTCAATAGATGCAGAAAAAGCATTTGCCAAAATCCAGCATCGCTTTATGATTAAAACTCTCAGCAAAACTGGCATACAAGGGACATACCTCAGTGTAATAAAAGCCATCTATGACAAACCCACAGCCAACATAATACTGAATGGGAAAAACTGAAAGCATTCCCTCCGAGAACTGGAACAAGACCAGGATGCCCATTCTCACCACTCGTCTTCAACATGGTCCTGGAAGTCCTAGCCACAGCAATCAGACAAGAGGAAAAAATAAAGGGCATCCAAATCGGTAAAGAGGAAGTCAAACTGTCACTGTTTGCTGACCATATGATCGTTTACCTTGAAAACCCTAAAGACTCCTCCAGAAAGCTCCTATAACTGATAAAATAATTCAGAAAAGCTTTCAGATACAAGATTAATGTACACACATCAGTAGTTCTTCTATACACCAACAGCAACCAAGCAGAGAATCAAATCAAGAATCAAACCAAGCACAGAATCAAATCAACCCCTTTTACAATAGCTGCAACAAAAAAATAAAATAAAATACTTACAAATATACCTAAGAAAGGAGGCGAAAGACCTCTACAAGGAAAACTACAAAACACTGCTCAAAGAAATCATAAGACGACACAAACAAATAGAAACACATCCCATGCTCATGGATGGGTAGAATCAATGAAGAATCAATGGGTAGAATCTGTGAAGAATGATGGTGGTATTTTGGTGGGGACTGCCAAAAGCAATCTTCAAATTCAACACAACCCCCACCAAAATACCACCATCATTCTTCACAGAATTAGAAAAAAACCATCCTAAAATTCATATGGAACCAAAAAAGAGTGTACATAGCCAAAGCAAGACTAAGCAAAAAGAACAAATCTGGAGGCATCACACTACCTGATTTCAAACTATACTCTAAGGCCATAGGTACTGGTATAAAAATAGGCACATAGACCAATGGAACAAAATAGAGAACCTGGAAATAAACCCAAATACTTACAGCCAACTAATCTTCAACAAAGCAAACAAAAACATAAAGTGGGGAAAGGATCCCCTTTTCAACAAGTGGTGCTGAGATAATTGGTTAGCCACATGTAAGAGAATGAAACTGGATCCTCATCTCTCACCTTATACAAAAATCAACTCAAGATGCATTAAGGGCTTAAATCTAAGACATGAAACTAAGTAAGTTCTAGAAGATAATGCTGGAAAAACCCTTGTTGTAGACATTGGCCTAGGCCAGGATTTCATGACCAAGAACCCAAAAGCAAATGCAATAAAAAGAAAGATAAATAGTTGGGACTTAATTAAATTAAAGAGCTTTTACACAGCAAAAGGAACAGTCAGCAGAGTAAACAGACAACCCACAGAGTGGGAGAAAATCTTCACAATCTATACATCTGACAAAGGACTAATATCCAGAATCTGTAATAAACTCAAACAAATCAGTAAGAAAAAAACAAACGATCCCATCAAAAAGTGGGCTAAAAACATGAATAGACAATTCTCAAAAGAAAATATACAAATGGCCAAGAAACATATGAAAAAATGCTCAACATCATTAATGATCAGGGAAATGCAAATTAAAACCATAATGTGATACCACCTTACTCCTGCAAGAATGGCCATAATAAAAAAATCAAAAAACAGTAGATGTTGGCGTGGATGCAGTGATCAGAAAAACTTCTACACTGTTGGTGGGAATGTAAACTAGTACAACCACTATGGAAAACAGCGTGGAGATTCCTTGAAGAACTAAAAGTAGAACTACCATTTGATCCAGCAATCCTACTACTGGATATCTACCCAGAGGAAAAGTCGTCATTATACAAAAGAGATACTTGCACAAGCATGTTTACAGCAGCACAATTTGCAATTGCAAAATCTTGGAACCAACCCAAATGCCCATCAAGCAATGAGTAATTAAAGAAACTGTGGTACATATATACAATGGAATACTACTCAGCCATAAAAAGGAATAAATTAACAGCATTTGCAGTAACCTGGATGAGACTGGAGACTATCATTCTAAGTGAAGTAACTCAGGAATGGAAAACCAAATATCGTATGTTCTCACTGCTATATGGGAGCTACGCTATGAGGACATAAAGGCATATAAGAATGATACAGTGGACTTTGGGGACTTAGAAGGAAGGGTAGGAGAGGTGAGGGATAAAAGACTACAAATAGGATGCAGTGTATACTGCTTGGGTGATGGGTACAACAAAATCTCGCAAATAACCACTAAAGAACATACTCATGTAACCAAACACCACCTGTACTCCAATAACCTATGGGGGGAAAAGGCCAAATACCAGAGAAAATAAATAAATAATAAAAATTAAAATTTTAAAAATTTAAAATAAAATAAAATAAATTTTTCTTCTTTCAAAAATAAATAATAAAGCAGCCACAATAAAAATGCTTCAACAAGCAATTACAAGCCTGCTTGAAACAAACAAAATATAGAAAATAGAAGATATAACGAACTAAATGAAAAATTTTAAAATTCAAAAATAAAATAATGGAAATAAAAGTCTCAGTGGATGGGTTCAATAGTAAGAGGAGGAAACACAGGAAAGAAATCATGAATTGAGAGAAAAAACAATAAAAATTAGTCAATCTGAAAAATACAGAGAAAATAGACTGAAATAAAATGAACAGTGTTTCAACGACCTGTGGGACTATTTAAAAAATAACATTCATGTAATCAAAGTTTCAGAAGGAGAGGAAAAAGGCAGTAAGACTGAAAAAGCACTCAAAGAAGTAATGGCTGAAAATTTCCCAAATTTGCCAGGAGACAAAGTCCTGTAAATTCAAGAAGCTGGGCAAACTCCAAACATAATCAACTGAAAGAAATCCATGCCAGCTTCTGAAAACTAAATACAAATTTTAAAATATTGAAAGCAGCCAGAGAAAAATGACAACTTACCTATAGAATTAAAAAAAAACAGATTTTTCATCAGAAACCATGTAGGGCAGAAAGAAGTGGCATGATATTTTACAGTGTTGAAAGAAAACAACTGTCCACCAGCCAACAGTGGCTCATGCCTGTAATCCCAGTACTTTGGGAGGCTGAGGTGGGTGGATCACTTGAGGTCAGGAGTTCAAGACCAGCCTGGCCAACATGGTGAAACCCTGTCTCTACTAAAAATACAAGAAAAAAATTAGCCAGGCATGGTGGTGCATGCCTGTAATCCCAACTACTCGGGAGGCTGAGGCAGGAGAATCCCTTGAACCCAGGAGGCAGAGGTTGCAGTTAGCCAAAGTCACACCACTGCACTCCAGCCTGGGTGATACAGCAAGACTCCGTCTCAAAAAATCAAACCAGAACAAAACAACTGCCAACCAAGAATTCTATGTCCAGTAAAAATATCTTTTAGGAATTATTAATATACAAATATTAAGAAATTACCAGACGAAAGAAAACTAAGATAATTTTTCACCAGCAAAACTACCCAAAAAAATGGGTAAAGGAAGTTCTCTAAACAGAAACAAAATAATAAAAAGAGGGACTTGAAACATTAGGAAGAAAGAACACAGTAAGCAAAAACTATGAACAAATACAACAGGTTTTTCTTTTCTTCTTGAGTTTTCTAAATTATGTTTGAAGGTTGAAGCAAAAATCACGGCATTGTCCTATGTGGTTCTAAATGTATGTACAGGAAATATTTAAGACAACTAGTAGAGGAGGATGACAGAACAAAAAGGAAGGTAAGGTTTCTATACTTCACTTGAACTGGTAAATAACAACAGTAGACTGCAATAAGTAATGTACATATAATGTAATACCTACAGCACCCAAACAATTAAGACATATACTTT
The DNA here is from genome assembly GCF_000001405.40 of Homo sapiens. Taxonomy (NCBI): domain Eukaryota; kingdom Metazoa; phylum Chordata; class Mammalia; order Primates; family Hominidae; genus Homo; species Homo sapiens. The sequence continues at coordinate 47,644,381 of NC_000012.12, forward strand.
TTCAGAACTATATAGACCAATCAAAGTGGAATTCTAAAATATATTACAGTAACACACAGGAAGGCAAAAAAAATGAAAACAACAGAAAACAAAAAATAAAATGGTAGACATACATTCTAAAATAACAATTATGTTTAATGTAAATGGTCTAAAAACAAATTAAAAGACAGAGATGGCATGTTGGGTTGCAAAACATGACCCAACTATATGCTGTCTATAACAAACTTGCTTCAAATATAATTATATAAAAGGACTGAAAGTGAAAGAATGGAAAAAGACATATCATGCAAACATTAATCAAAGGAAAGCAAGGATGGCTACATTAATATCAGATAAAGTAGACTTCAGAGCAAAGAAAATTACCAAAAACAAGGAGGGACATTACATAATGACAATAGGATAAATCAACTAAAAAGACATAGTAATTCTAAATGTGTATGCACCCAAAAATACAACTGCAAAATATGTGAAACAAAAACTGATATAACTGAAAAGACAAAGAGAAATCCACAATTATAACTGGAGGCTTCCATACCCTCTCAACAACTGATAGAACAACTAAACATAAAATCCGCAAGGATACAGGAAAACTCAATACCACCAACCAACAGGTTAGCATTTATAAACTATTCCACCCCACCACAGCAGAATCAACAGATTTTTCAAGAATCTGCAAATCATATACCAAGACAGAACATAAATTGGGAAATAAAACAAACCTCAACAAATTTAAAAGAACTGAAATTATACAGAGGAAAAAGAAAAGACACAAATTACCAATATCAGGAGTAAAACAGAGACTATCATATAGACTCTACAGATATCAAAGGATGATAAGGGAGTACTGCAAGAAACTCTACACACACAAACTTGACAACTCAGAAGAAATAATCAATACCTCAAAAGACACAAATTACCATACATTTCCTATTATGAAATAGATAATCTGGATAGCCTACAATATTAAGGAAATTTAACTTATAATTTTAAAACTCCTAAAAAATAAATCTGTAGGCCCAGACTGTTTCACTGGATAATTTGACCTATTTTTTAAATAAGAATTAGCATCTATTCTACATAATTTCTTCCAGAAAATAGAGGAGGAGAGGTTTCTTAAGTCATTTTTTAATATCATACTAACCTGATACCAAAACCAGACAAAGAATATTTAAAAAAGAAAGAAAACCAGACAATATCCTTCATGAACACAGACACAAAGTATTAGCAAATAGAATTCAGCATTATATAAAATGAATTCTACACCATGTCCCAATGGAATTTATTCCAGGAATGCAAGGCTAATTCAATATTTAAAATTCAATCAATATAACCTACCACATTGCGCTAATGCAAAGAAATATGGTCATATCAATTGATACAGAAAAAGCTTATGAAAAAATTCAACAGAGATTCTTGATAAAAACTCTCCGAGTAACAAATTGAGGGGACTTTCCTGGAGAGAAAAGGTAGAGTTGTTCCTAAATTTATTTTTGAAATAAAGGGAAAAGAAAAAGAAATAGAAGAAACTTCCCTCAACTTGATAAAGGATATTTACAAAAACCTACAGCTAGAGTTATACTTCATAGGATAAAAGAATGAATGCTTTCTCCCTAAGATCAGGTACAAGGCCAGAATGTTCATTCACACCATTCTTCATTCTGCATAATGCTGGAAGGTCTAGCCAATGCATTAGCTAGTGCAATTTTTTACGAAAACTAACTCGAAATGGACCATAGGCCTAAATGCAGAACACAAAATATCCAAACTGAAATGCAGAAACAAAAAAGAATGAAAAAGACAGGATATTCAAGAACTGTGGGACAATTACAAAAGATGTAACATGCATATAATGGGAATACAAGAAGAAAGAGAGAAAGGAACAGAAGAAATATTTGAAGCAACAATGACTGAGATTTTCCCAAAATATCAGCTGATATTTACCCAACAGACTATACACCCTTTACTATACCTAGTGTTCCCTAGTCCAGAGCCTCTCAAGAGTTCTAGAATGTAAGTACCATCTGTACTCGGTTGCTAGGGCTACCATAACAAAGTACCACAGACTGGATGGATTAAATAATAAAAATTTATTTTCTCACAATTCTGGAGGTTAGAAGTCCAAGATCAAGGTGCCAGTAGCATTGGTTTCTTCTAAAGGCCTCTCTCCTTGGCTTGCAGATGGCTGTCTTCTCCCTGTGTCTTCACATGGTCTTCCCTCCCTATGTGCCTGTGTCCTAATCGCCTTCATATAAGGACAGCAATCATATCGTATTAGGGCCTACCCTAATGACCTCACTTTAACTTGATTACCTCTTTAAAGATCCTATCTCCAAATGTAGTCACATTCTGAGGTACTGGGGGGTGGGACTTCAGCATATGAATTTGAGGAGAACATAATTTAGCCCATAATACTTTCCTCATGCTCCCTCATGCAAATCCTTTCTGTAACTCCCTCCACCTTCATCTTTCTAAAATGTATTAATAGTTTTTGTTTCCTAATGCAGTTCCCCTTCTTTTTGCTGTTTATGATTTATTCATTTGTAATTCTTTACTATTATTTTACTAGAATCTGAGGAAAGGTAAGAAGAAAAAATGTGGTTAATCCACCATCTTTTCCTAGGAGTCCCCCCAAACTTTTTAAGTATCACCTCCCACTAAGAAGTCTTCTTGCTGATGTTAAGACCACAGTAATCTCTCCTTTATCCTAATTCTTAATTCATTTAACACATATTTGTCTTGTTTCCTTTTTATTAGCCTTATGACCCCACTTACAGGTTTTAAGCAATGATGGCTTTTAAAATTTCTGTTTTACCACCAATGCCCAGTATTATATTAAATATTCATTATTTGATTGATAAAAATAATTTAATTTTTATGAATTTATAATATGACCCCACTCCTACAATTCAGATTCAGTTTTTATGTTTTAATGTAGTGGACCAATGAATACATCATGAAATTCACAATGCACCACCCTATTATACATGACAGCTTCTTGGGAATAAGAGGTAAAAAATTTCACATCCAAGTACCAAAATGGAAAGCACAGAGCCATCTCATGCCTGAAAATCCTGTCTTAGACTTCTCAGAAACACAAACATTTTAAACTCAGCCCAGGCAAATTAGATCAAAGCTAATAATGTAGTCCTTTAAAAAATGACCCATTGCTCCAAGCTAAGTAAAAAGCATATCAGATCTATGAAAAGTAATTATACATGAAAATGAGATTCTTTGCTTTCCTTCTAACAAGTGTTAAAGGTAATGTAATTAAAATCAACATTGATCACTATATTTATGGAAATCTTAGTCCTGAATTCAGGTCATTTACAGTTAGTTGAGCTGACCTATTAACAAGATCTTTGAAGTTTCTCTAAGGAGCCTCATTGCCTTACACGATTTTCCTTGCTTCTGAATTTCCACCAGGCTTAGGTTCAAAATCCTCTGGTGGTTAATGCTGTCATGTGGTTGGTTGGTGAAAACTTTGTTCTGCTTCTTTGTCAAATACAAGGACAAATCAAGTGTAATGAAAAGTGAGATGGCAAACATGCAGTGTAGCTTGACTTGATAACATTTCAGATTGTAAGGGCTGATATTCACCTGAGAGACTTTATACCCAATTTGAACATTTTGACTGACTTACTCTGATTATCCAAATCAAGCATTCTCGGATGGAAAAAGTGGTAAGGTGAGTAAAAAAGGACAAAATCGAATTCCAGGTACCCACTGCAACAGACATGAGAAAACAAAATTAAAGCCAACATTTGGGGAATCAGAAGCATTCTTTTTATTCCTGTGTTTCCTGGATTTTCTTTTTCCATTGGGAAGATCCTCCCATTGTTCTAGGAAACACAGTTTGTTTTGGTTAAGCAGATCTAAGGTAAATGCTTACTCACTCTTTCAGGTCAGGGAAGTCCTGAAAGCAGGGAGTAATCCACATGCACAGGCTTCAGACTCAGATGCTGACCCAGTCTTCACCAAGTGCGTAGTGAAGCTCTGCAGAGACTGTTAGAGGATGAGAACTGGTTTTCACTTTATCTGGCTTAGGCCAACTGGTGGAGAATTCTGGGCTTAAGGAGGGGCACTTTTGCAAAGAAGTACAGCCACTGGACTCCAGGAGCAGGGGTGCCTGGTTTTAAAGTTCATTTGTGTCCCATAAGGCCCCAGTGGTATCTTCAAGTATATGGTAAAGTATTGTTAAACTGTGCCTTCTAGTATCAGCTGTGTTTGGAAGGCTAACGGAAGGGACTGCATCCATGCCTGGTGTTAAGCAGGCCTGGGGTGGAGAGGAAGCCTAGAAACGAGGCTACAACCACAGCAGGGAAGCCTGGGCAGCTGCCCACAGGAGAGCTGACAGGGAACAGTATGGCTGGATTTGTGTGTGTGTGTAAACACTCCCTAGGTAGGTGTTGCTGGGACCCAACAAAGACTGATATCTTCTAGTGACACAAGAAAGAGGCTCAGGTTATGTTTTCCAGCATCAATGGGACAGATGACCCTCTAAAGCTAGAGCCCTTGAGGATATCCTGATGGTAGTTACAGAAGTTCATTTGAATCTGGTTCTTTATTTTTGCTTCTGCCCTTCCAGCAAATTGCGGGCTTCAGATGGCTTTGCTATTTGGTTTGCGGTGGGAGTTAAAGGCACATGGTAGCTGCCTTGCAACATCCTACTGAACCCTACCCTCCATTAAGCTCAATCTATCACTGAGGTAACAATAACCAGAGCCATAAGTTATGATTACCTAGTACTGAGTCTACTCAGGAAAACCTCTATGTCAAATTTATCAGCCTGGGATCTCAGCCTCTCCAGCCCCAACTAAGGCAAAACTCTGAGCCTGTGGGAGGTAAAAAGACTATCTATACCTACTTTCTTTATGCTTCATGTCCCCGGTTAAATCATCCTTTTTCACTTCTGACTTAACCTAAACCCTATCTTGGCTTTTGCCTCCCGAGGCCTGCTTTTAGTTTCCTTCAGGATCCTCCTCTCCAAAGCATGGGACTGATAAAATAAAATCGTCTTTGTTAATGGACAAATTAGCTCATATGTTACTATTTTCAAATTATAGTAATACCTGGGCTAAGTTTAAAATGTTTGTGTCTCTAAGAAGTCTAGGACAGGATTTTCAGGCATTCTGACAAGCCAGGAGGGAAACGTATTTGGCAGGAACCCTCTGGCACTTTGAGGTTGCTGGCTAGTTCAGGGCCAGAGGTGAGGACATTATGATAAAGTCTGTAACCATGCAGAGCTTCCACTACTGCCAGACTCTATGGATAATACTGCCCCAGGTCTTGAATTGTAGGATGTTAGGGTTAAAATAAGGTTGATAGCAACTTTATTTTATTATTTTATTTTACATTTTACTTTTATTTTTTTATTTTATTTAATTTAATTTCATTTTTCATTTTGAGACAGAGTCTCGCTCTGCCACCCAGGTTAAGAGTGCAGTGGTGTGATCTCAGCTCACTGCAACCTCCACCTCCCAGGCTCAAGAGATTCTCCTTCCTCAGCCTCCCGAGTAGCTGAAACTACAGGTGCGTGTCACCACACCCAGCTAATTTTTGTGTATTTCATTGAGACGGGGTTTCACTATGTTGGCCAGGCTGCAGTGGTGTGATCTCAGCTCACTGCAACCTCTACCTCCCAGGTTCAAGAGATTCTCCTTCCTCAGCCTCCCGAGTAGATGAAACTACAGGTGCGTGTCACCACACCCAGCTAATTTTTGTATATTTAGTTGAGATGGGGTTTCACTATGTTGGCCAGGCTGGTCTCGAACTTCTGACCTCAAGTGATCCACCTGCCTCAGCCTCCCAAAGTGCTAGGCTTACAGACGTGAGCCACCACACCCAGCCAGGTAGCAACTTCAGCTGGAAAAAAACACTGCCATCTCAGTCAACTCTATTTATTGTTGGACAGAATTGTGAGTGAGTCCTTTCCTTTGGTCTTTTCACCATCCTCATAAACTAATACCTGCCCAGTGAGCAATACCTCATCACAGATAATTCAAAGATGTTTAGCACTCACAAAAGGCTTGGTACAAAGTGTAGAAAAGACATAACTGAACATGGCATAATCTTTGAGAAATCAAATCAATGACCACAAAACTATGACACTTCTTGGTGTCAACTTGGCTTTTTGCCATTGCAAGTGTGCTACTTCATCATAATTCAGGGTCTGTGTTGACTTAATAGTTAAATATAGTTTTTCTCTGATGTTACAGAAATGCATATTCAATTATCCAAGTGAGACTAAACAAAATCACTGTATTTTACCACTTAAAGAGGCCTCATAAAGTAAACATCAAAATGACTCACTGATGTTAGAAACTGAGAAGGGGAAGTAGAAGAAAAGCAGGTATCTCTGTAGGCCAGTAAAGCCGACCTGAATATTACACACAAACAGCATTGCCCACCATGTCCATGCACACACACACCCCCCTCTCTCAAGGAAGAACAGCCCTTTCTGCACATTCCTTTCTAAATGCATTTTTGTGACACCTCCTCTTCAAAATTTAGTCAATATTTAGCTTAAATCTAGGTCTCATGCACTGAAGTACTGAGGGGAGGAAAAATGCTGCCCACACACTCCCCCACAAGTCCCTAGAAAGACCTTGTGACACATTAGGAAGGGGGCTGTCCTTGATGTAGGAAGATGGGAGTTCTGACCTAGCCATAGTTAGGCACTGACTTTGAGGTATGCTCCCTGTCTGGACACTCCACCATGATTCCACAGCTTCCCTACGTGACCGTGGCCCAGGACTGTCAGGCTACAGGACAGAGTAAATCCAATGTCTCATAACAGGGCCCAAATAAGCACTGACATCCCTTCCTGTCTGCCAACTACTCAAGCCAACCACCACAGTGACTGGCACAGAGAAGGCCACCAGGACCTGTATGCTGGCTGAATGAACTTGCCGTAACAAACTGTCTGCCGTACTCCCTCCTTTCACTATATCCTCCTCCCAGGTTTCAATACTGAACAACATGATCAAAGATTACATCTTCATTTTTGCTATATGCACTAGAAGGAGACTTTTACAGATACTAAGCAGTCAAAATCTTTTTTTGTTTGAGACAGGGTCTCACTCTATTGCTCAGGCTGGAGTGCAGTGGTGCAATCTCAGCTCACTGCAACCTCTGCCTCCCAGGCTCAAGTGATTTTCGTGCCTCAGCCTTCGGAGTTGCTGGGAATACAGGCATGCACCACCATGCCCAGCTAATTTTCTGTATTTTAGTAGTGATGGGGTTTTGCCATGTTGCCCAGATTGGTCTCGAACTCCTGAGCTCAGGCAATCTGCCCGCCTTGGCCTCCCAAACTGCTAGGATTACAGGCGTGAGCCACCGCGCCTGGCCGAAAATCTTAAGAAATTAAAATTCACTTTCATTTTTATTCCTATCAGAATGCTTTCTGCCACATGCATACTGTTATTTTCTGAACATCCAGTAGGTGGTAGTAATACCGAAGAAATGCCAGCTGCCAGCCTGCCTTCTCCAGCCGCTGTGCTCTTGTGTTATCCTGACAGTGGCTCAGCAACCACTGCAGTGTACGAGGAAGAATATGAGCGTCTAAGTCAGACTAGCTTCTGCTTGACCCCCAGCTTCACAGGAAAACCTATTCTGCATGTTTCTAGGATTGAGATAATATATGCAAAACCCTTGGTAAAGTGCCTGCCACACAGTAGGATGTATATAAATATTAGCTAATATTAGTCTATTTGAACTGCCATGAACAAGGGAGTTCCACATGAGAAACAGAACATTATAACCCTATTCCTTTTTACATTCATTTGGTATTCAAAAAACATTTTGGGGAGGAACACTCTGAACACAATCCTATAAAAGGGAATTAAAATAATCCTCATTGATGATGAAAAGGTCTTTAAATGTTCAGACAAGTGCTTTCAGCCAAACTTAAGGCTTCATCTGGATACTTCATTCTCATTCTATACTGCCTGCATTCGTTCCTTTATCTAGCAAACATTTATTAACTTCATATTACGTGCTAAGTACTGTACTTTGGAGATCAACTCTTTAAAATACACTGCACATTTATAATCCCACTGATAGGCAGACCAATTCTAGTTTTCATGTCTCTTAGTTCAGGAGGCTATTTTAAGAATACCATACACTGGGTGGCTTAAACAAGAAACATTTATTTCTCACAGTTCTGGACACTGATAAGTCCATGATCAAGAAGCCAGCAGACCTGGTGTTTGGTGAGGGCCCTCTTCCTGGTTTGCAGATGGCTGTTGTCTCACTGTATCCTCACGTGGCAGAGGACAGAGACAGACAGAAAAAGAGCCAGAGAGAACGGGGGTGGGGTGGGGGAAGAAGCAGCTCTTTCCTGTTCCTTTTTAATAAGGGTAGTAATCCCAGCATGAGGGCTCCACCCTCATGGCCCAGTTACCTCCCAAAGGCCCCGTCTCCACATACCATCACAGTGGGGATTAGGATTTCAACATATGGATTTTGGGTAGGACACAACATTCAGTCTGTAGCACCACTGAATCCACACTCAATGGTTTGCAGTGCTAGGGGTTTACTCAGTAAAGTCCACATCATTACTGGATTCCATAAGAGGGGACCTGATAGAGGTTACTGGAAACAGCACAGAGTCTGAGTTATGTCATTATTGACATAACTTTGGGCATGTAATTTAACCTTTTCAGCTCTTTGTTTTCCTATCCAAGTAACAGCTGCTCTAAATATCTCACTGAACACAGTTGCAAGGGTCAAATAAGATAAACTGAAAATGTCAAGAAGGGTCAGGCATGGTGGCTCACCCCTGAAATCCCAGCACTTTGGGAGGCTGAGGCAGGCAGATCACCTGAGGTCAGAAGTTCGAGACCAGCCTGGCCAACATGGTAAAACCCCGTCTCTACTAAAAATACAAAAAATAGTTGGGCGTGGTGGTGCACACCTGTAATCCCAGCTACTCAGGAGGCTGAGACAGGAAAATTGCTTGAACCCAGGAGGCAGAGGTTGCAGTGAGCTGAGATTGTGCCACTGCACTCCAGGCCTGGCAATAGAGCAAGACTCTGTCTCAAAAAAAAAAAAAAAAAAAAAAAAAACAAGTCAAGAAAACTATACAGCTCAGAGCACTTTGTTGTGATAAAAGCTCATCTTCTATTGCTCTTACTGGGACAGAGTTCCAGAAGTATTCTAAATGGTATTGCAAATTCTGTTCTAGTACAGGATCGATGGTATGACGGAGTCATCTATTTTCGTGTATTTCCACTACTCTGGTTACAGAATGGTTTTAGTTTTCCTTTTATAATATCAAATTAATTTACAATCAAATTAATTTATAACTTTTGCCTGGTGTTCATGGACAATGCATGGCCACAACAGTCTCCAGCTTTACTCGCTTTTCATTCAGTGAACATTTAGCAAGTGCCTCCTCAGTGCTCTGCCCGGAGCCCACTGGTCTCCATCCCGAGGTGGCAGAAACTAACTGCAGCGACTCATTCCTCAAAGAGAACCAGCCAAGGATCAGAAGAACGTTTGATATATTTCAGTAACTTGTTAGTAGCGGAGAATATTTTATCATTGATGACAGTTTTATATGTTTTTTAATATTTCTTATGGCCTATGCTCAACCCTTATTAATCTGCTTGTTTCATCCTGATTTCATCGGTTTCATCCACCCAAAGGATGCCCCTAGTTTTATAAAACATTTTCCCCCACGATCAGCTTCAGGATCATCATGAATGTGTTCACTGGCTTGGGTGATCTGAAATGTCAATAAAGCAAGCTATAAGTGGTAGGTTAAAATAGACCCCAGGACTCAGGCATATCTTCCTCATTTACACTATTCTCTGAAGAGATAGTAAACCAATAGAAAGATTCTAGTGAGGCCCAAATATTTAGTTTTACCCATGTCAACTGCCTGAGTGCCTGCACTCTTTATCTTCTTTTCCTCTGACCTCTCACGTTGGTATTTCGACAGCATGAAGTTTAAATGCTGAAGTGTCACATAAAATTTAAGAATCTTTAAGAGACAAACCAAATAACAATTCTACCACTGTTCTCCATCCCAAGATCTCTCCTGAGTGAACAGGTCTGGGCTTTGATGTGCCATTCAAGAAAGGTGCCACAGCAATTCCCATCCTACTATTCTGCTATCCATCTGTATCTCTCAGAAGTTAAGATGGATCCTGTTAAGAGAAGCCATCAACCCTCCTCCACCTAAACCAGATCTGACCCATCCTTCTAGGCCTCCTCAGACCCCACCTCTTCCATGCCACCTTCCCTGTCTGTTCCCCAGACCACCACCTCCAGAATCATCAAACCCCTGATTGAGCCTTTCATCACTCACAGTCTTACTTCTTTGCAGTTATCAGCCCAGCACCAGTACTGCAAAAGCACAGTACTGATTCCATAAGCCACAAGGGAAATGTCTCCTACCTCCCATTTGACTGGCTGCTTGTGATCACAGAAGTCAAACACACTGAAGGAGGGTCTTCTACTTAGGTACACTACCCACATACCTGGATCCTGGGATAGGCATCCAGGATTGCAGATTCCAGGTGAACCCAAGGCCAAGCCCTCTGGAAGCCCCTGCAGTGTTAACCACAGCCTCCTCCAGAGCTGCATTCAGCAGGACACCAGAGCAGGGCTTCATACACACATAAACCTTGGGTCTGTTATTGTTGTTTGGTGTTTTGTCTATTATAAAATATAAATGGATATTCTAAATTTGTTTTAGTCTATTTGGGCTACAGTAACAAATTACCATAAACTGGGTAGCTTATAAATAACAAAAATTTATTTCTCACCATTCTAGAGAATGGGAAGTCAAACATCATGGCAGATTTGATGTCTAGTGAGGGTTAATAATCTTCTTGCTATAACCTCCCATGGGAGAAGGGACAAGGTAGCTCTCTGGGGCTTCTTTTTTTTTTAAATAAGGTCACTAATTCCATTCATGAGCGCTCTGACCTCATGACTTAATCATCTCCCAAAGGTCCCACCTCCTACTACCATCACACTTGGGATTAGTTTTCAACTAATGTTTAGGGAGACACAGACATTAAGACCATAGCAAAAAAATATAGTAGGTGAACAGCGTTTATTAAATAAAATTACCAAGAGGCCTTTTTTGCTTAATTCAAACTCTAATTGTAAGCATCAGCTAATGGAGGCTCCCAGATCCCTGAGGTGTTCCTACTTTAGGAGTGGTCATTTTCAGAGATGGAATGTAAGGAATTTTGTCTCCTTGCTGCTACTAGGTTAAAATTACTGCTATATAAAATTTAAAGATGTCACAAATCTTAAAAGCCTTATCGCTAGACAGGCTGCCATTAAGACTAAATTGAAGTGAAGCTATTCATCCTCATGTTTGATGGGAAATAAGTTTTAAACTTACATAAGCTCAACAAAACAATCATGTTAAAAACTTTTCAACTAAGTCTTTTTGTTGCCCCAAATTATTATTTGACAAAGTAGAATTAAACTGATTGGGATAGCCTATATCATGTGTGGCTTCATTTTTCTTCTCTTTAAGTGATTACAATGAAAAAGTCGTGAAGAGTATAATTCTCTCATGAATTAGATTTGACAGTCCTACATTAAATAACCACAGTAAGAGGAGAAACTCACTAATTCTAGCCTAATGTCATAATAATCTAGACTGATCACTCAATAAACAGCTGAGCATCTGCCATAGAGAAGGCCAATGTTAGCACTAATGACATCTAAGATGATGTCACGACCCTCCAGGAGCTTAAAATCTAGTTATGTGCACACATGAAAAATTAACAAATAAAAAACGAAGGGAAAATGTACCAGTCAACTCAAACTCTATCCCCCATGTCACCTTCCACAGTATACAGAACTGCCTACACCCCAAGGTCAAGTCAAGGTGCTCATGACTATGCTATTAATACATGGCCTTCACCTATGCTGATCCTGCCACCTGGACATCTCCTTCCCCCTGTGCACCTGGACCATCCTTCTCAAGTCTCATAGCAAATGCTGCCTCTTCCTTCCCTGTCCCACCCAGTCTGATTCAGAGCTGCCCTTTGTGCTCTTTCCAAACCTTTATTAGGGCACTCATGACACTGTGCTGTAATTGCAGATTTATTTGACTCCCCAGCTACCCTGTGTGTTACTGAAGGACAGAAGTTATGTCTGTTTTCTGATGCTTAATCCCCTACTGGGTACATTATAGACACTTAAGAAGTGTTTGAATGAATGAATGCCCAGAAGTCCTGTGGATTTTCCCACCTACATATATTTTTAAAATCCATCTTGACGGCTGGGCATGCCTATAATCCCAGCACTTTGGGAGGCCAAGACGGGGTGGATCACTTGAGGTCAGGAGTTCGAGACCAGCCTGGCCAACATTGTGAAACCCCGTTTCTACTAAAAATATAAAAATCAGCTGGGTGTGGTGGCGCATCCCTGTAATCCCAGCTACTTGGAAGGCAGAGGCTGGAGAATCGCTTGAACCCAACAGGCTGAGGCTGCAGTGAGCAAGATCGCACCATTGTACTCCAGGCTGGGTGACAGGAAGACTCTGTCTCAAAAACAAGAAATAAAAATCCATCCTGTCTTCTTTATACATCCAAAAGAATAACATAGAATGGTGGTTGGGCATGTGGCTTCTGAAATCAGACTACTTGGTACAGTAGTCTTACTGCTCCACCACCTGTTAATCAGATGTCTATGGGCAAACTATATAACCTATATATGCCTCAGTTTCCTTATCTCTAAAATGAAATCCTTGAGTGATTCTTGATCACTTTCAGAAAATTGGCCTTTTTGTCACAGCAAAGGCCTTTCATAATCTGGCTCCTACTTCTTCACCATCTCCCCACAGCCAAGCCCCAAGTACCTCCACTGCCTGCAAATCCCTAAATGTTTCCTGTTTTCATACTCCTCTGTTCCAAGCTGTTCTACCTAAACCATGCTTTCCCTGCATCTGCCTGGATTATTCTTTCTAATCCTTCATGCCTGAGACTAGATGGCTCCTCTGCAGAGATGCCTTTCTCAATCCTACCAGTTGAGCTTTGAGTCCTGCCTCTTAGACTTCTATCATTATATTTGCCACCCTTTATTATAGTTCATGTTTCTTGTCCAATTCCCCTAATAGACTGAGATACTTCAGGGTAGAGGCTGTGGCTTAGCATAGCAGCTGGCACATAATATGTGTTGCTGAATTAAGAATTAAATCCACAAATCAGAAAGCCCTTGGTCAAACAAGTTGTCCCAACATTTAACTCAGAAGATGGCCATCACAAGAAGTCTCATGAGCAGTGAGGTGTCCTGCAGGCTGTGTGCACAGGTGACATAATAAGAGCAATGCTAAAGGAAGATTTAGCTGGCAGAGGCACACAGGTGGATTATACAGGAATACAGCCAGAGAGACTCAGTAGGGGTTACTGCCATCTTCAGGACATGAGGTGACACATGGCAGACACTGCAAGGGGAAAGCCCACTGGACTTCATGAGTTAGTGACTGGATGCAGGCAAAAAGAAGTAGCGGTCAAAAATATTGCTAAGGTTGAAATTTCTGTCTGAACCAACAATGGCCACATTAAAAGAGGGGCAGTCAGGAGAGACGGCTAGAATGGGGCTGCTGGATTGCAAGGGCAATGAGCTGCTATTTACAATGTTGGGTTCTGGTCAGTAATAGCACACCAAGGAATAACAGTTAGTACAGAACCAGGGAAAAAGACTAGCACTTGGGAAAAAGGACAGCAATTAAGAAACAAATGTGGGAGTTGTTAGTAGAGGTTCTGAGTAGTCAAGCTGTCAGGGGAGAGGAGAGGGCCAAGGACTAGACTAGACACACAAAGATGAAAAGGAAACAGAGACAGAGCTATGAGGAGGAGGCAAGGAACCAACAGGGTGAAATGTCACCAAGGCCAAGATAGCCAACCAGGTCAAATGCTACAGGGGGTCAAGGACAGTAAGAACTAAGGGGAAAATGACTAATTTTACCATCACAGAACTACTGGGGATAGCCAGAAGAGAGAGAGGACATGGACAGGGTCAAAGGACCATTCCTCTAAGCAGGGAAATCCAGACTTGCTTGTAGTCAGGGGAGGAGCCTCAGAAAATAGAGGACATCAGGATACAAGATAATAGAAAAGATAGAAGGGCATGGGCTCAAGGCCCACACTCTAAAATAACCTCTTCAGTGCTAGCTCTTGTAATTCATACCTAAAATGAAAAATCGATACCAGACAGATCAAGCCCTAAAAAGGCATAAGCCTTCAGTTGTTCACAAATTTGATAGTTGAGATGTATAGACTGTGCATCCAAAACCTCTGGTGTTGCAAAAGAAGAGATGCTTGCTAAATACTCATAGGCCTCAGGGTTATGGACTGAGAAAACAGCTGATTTACCCTGAAGTTAACAAAGGCTTAAGCCCCAGGAACTCTCACTTGTACAGGCCACTTCCACCCTGAGAGGGGCTATAGGGAAGTGTTTACATGACTATGTTTTTGCAAACTACATTTTCAAACTAAATTTCAAAACTAATATATTTTAACCACAATCAATCTAGACTGCTGTCCCTTTCTACTCTAACTTCCCTGCACCTAGTGTTTTGAGATCTAGACTATGAAGTAGCTGAGTGTTACAGAATATATTTACATGGTCTGCAGTCATTTTTGTACCAGGTTGAATTACTGCTCGCCATCTCAGTATAGGAAGATTTTAGCGATACTCCTACTACTGTCCATGCCATCAACTTTTCCAGTTTTAGGCCAGAAGTTGAACCATGATATAAATGCATTAGACAGTAACCAGCCCCAGAAGTGCATGTGCAGTGGTGGACAAGATTTGTAATGTATGGATCCCAAAGCTAATCTGTGGAGATACTTCTCAGTCTTCAGACATGTATTGTAACAGGATGCTTCATGGATGCCTGGTCAAAATGGGAGTTCTGCCTTACCAGAAATATATACTCATATAAACCCCAGAATCATATGGCTCAAATACAAAAGAAACACGGTAGAGATTTTCTCAAACTTGGCAACAATCCTAAAAACTTACATGACAGAACCAATAATTAGCTATGAAGACAAAGCTTTTAAATTATCAATAACAAAAAACTTAATTCCATCACGTGCTTTTTGCCAACGTCACCCTCTCTGTGCCCACTCTCCCTAGTCTGCTTTATGTGCTCCTTTTCCAATCTGTTAAATGTGGTTGTTAGTTCTGTTCCACTTACCCAGTCACCCTTTTCTCCTGATTCTATACTTCCAAGTAATCTCATCTAATCCTGAGACTTCACCTAAATGCTTTTTAATGTCCAAACCCAAATCACCATCCCTAATCTATTTCAATGACCAAAGGGATCACAAATCCAACAGATCCCAAATTGGACCTTTCTCTCAGCCACTCAACCAAACCTTCCAGTTCCACATATGGTGTCACCCGCTGTGGTTTATATTTTAGTGAATGAAAGCACTGCCCTAGGGGAAAAAAATCTGGGCATGACCATTAATGCTTCCTTCTGCTTCTCAACTTGCTTCCCAGCCCACACAGGATCACCAAATTGTACAAGTTAGGAAGCATTCACATTATGTTCCAGGGATGCCATTCACGCAGACCACAATGTAAAGGGTGCTCCTTGGAGTTAAGCCCTGAATGTGGGGGCCCTGAATCTACTGCCAAATCTTGCCCATTCTACTTCCCAAATATTTCTCCATTCTGGTCACTTCTCTCCATCCTCACGGCTAGTACTCTTGTTCAGGATACCATAATCTCTTGCCTTAGGTACCCCAAGTCCTCTGACAAGTTCCCCTGTCTCTAATGTCCCCAGGCAACTGTTCTTCCCATAGTAGCCAAAGTAAATTTTATAAAATACAAATTTCAGAATCACCCTCCTATATAAACTATCACTAGTTCCACAGTACCCTCAGGATGAAGTTCAAATGTCCTCTAGAATCTCAACCCTTCTGTCTTCACCAGCCTCATTTCTTACCACAATCCAGTTCCCACTCTGTGCTAAAAATTAAACTTAAGTTTTCTCAAACTTGTCTTGTCTTTTGCATCTGCTATTCCTGGTATTTCCCATGATCCCTTAGTATTACCTGTTTAGCATTTATTACGCTGTACCTCTTTATTTGTATCCCCACCATCCCATTCCACCTCCCACTTCGTTGTAAGTTTTGTGAGGAAAGAATCCATGTTTACTTTGTTCATTTTTGTATTTTCAGTGCCTAGCAGTGCCTGGCATTATATGTAGATTCAACAAATATTTGTTAAATTAATTAAATGAATGAATCAAACAAGTTTCATTAACATTAAATTTTTAATGTTTCTTTAAACATAACTCTGATAAAGGTCAAACATTAAGAAAGCATTGTAAAAAGGTAAAATGAGCCTTGGTACTGTGTTCAGAAATGCCTCCTGTTAACAGAGATAATGGATTTAGAGGTTGGAAGTAAAATTTTTTTCAAATGCGTTAGCACAAATTGTTAAAATGGTGAGGACTTGGATATGCCCCATCAATTTATTAAATTGAGTGTAACTAAAACCAGAGTCGGAGGCAGCCAATAAATGACGGGCATGGTGCTTCTGCCAACAATTCAAGAATAATTATGATGTAAATGTTGCTATCAAGTCAAAAGATACAATTAACAGTAAATAACTACATTTCCAGAAAGAAACCACTTGGGAAAATACTGCTTTTATACCTTTAAGGCAATAATATTACTATTATTAATAAAAATGACTGAGCACTATGTGACAGGCATTAATGTGCTAATACTTATAAGTATTAGCCTTTCTAAAAATCTTTGAGGTAGGCATTTACTAATATTCTATTTTATATGAGAGGAAACGGAAGCTTAGAGGTGCTAAGCAGTATGTCCAAATTCACAAGCTAGTTGAGTGCAATAGGTTGTATACGCAGGTTATTTGACCCAAAAATGACTTTATTAACCACTATGCTATTTTGCAATAAGGCAACAATATGACAGCCCCTAAAGACTGTTCTTTATTCTAATCACTTTTAGGAAATGTTGGTAATTGTAATAATAATAGTAACAGTAGCTTACTATACATCCAGCCCTGCTCCAAAAACAAAATGTGTGCATTCATTCAATCTCACTTATACCCATTCTACAGATTTCAAAAACAAAGAATAGAAAAGTAACTTGTCCAAGGCCCTAAAGCCAGATGGAGCCAGAATTCAAACTCAAGAAGTCTGAATCCAGAGCCTCTGGTCTTAAATCACTACATGAAAATGTCTCTGGGGAGAAATCAGGCTAACATCAGAAATTTTTTAAAATTCAAATTCTATAGTAAATCTTGTGATCTGTACTTCTTCAGTTAACAGTCTCTACACAGGTAACACAACATAAAAACTGCAGCTGGAAGTAGTTCAAATAGCTCTACATTAAGAGAAGACAGCACGTTCTGAACTGTTTTGGCCAATTTTTAGCTCTATAATCATGCAGAGAACATTAACCCTCTGAGCCTCCTTTTCTTATGTTAAGAATGACAATAACATTACCTGCCCTGACTACCTTGTAAGTTTCTTCAAAGGATCATACCGTAGTCCATTCGGGTTGCTATAATAAAATATCAAACTGGGTAGCTTACATTAATAAAAACAGAAATTTATTTCTTACAGTTCTGGAGGATGGGGAGTCCAAGATGAAGATGCCAGTAGATTCTGGTCTCTGGTGTCTGGTGAAGGCCCACCTTCTTGTTCGTAGATGGTGCCTTCTTATGTGTCCTTACATGGTGTAATTGGTGAACAAGCTCTCTGGGGCCTCTTTTACAAGGGCCTGCCCTCTTGACCCAATCACTTCCCAAAGGCCCCACCTCCGAAGACCATCGCCTTCAGGGTTAGGATTTCAACATATGAATTTGTGGGGGATATAAACATTCAGATCATAGCAGATAAAAAGCTAAATTCAATTGCCTGTTTATATATCATAATACATTTAGCAATAAACAAAGTTAATAAACTCTATCAAGTGTATTTTAAAGCATTCAAACTATCCAAATTACAAACATATCTCAATAATTTATACCACAATCTGAAGAAATTATCTTTGTAAATAAATTATGATTACTTCTCAAACAATTCATAAGAATAGTAATATGTATAATGGCAATAAAAATTAACCACAATATCGTATAAAATTGTAAACTGAACTGTCTTATTGATGCTGATAACAATTAAAGGATGGTGTCCTAATATTTTTTAACAACTTGATAGTCTCTAAAATTAACTGGTTTTACCAGTGCTTACACCATGCCCAAAAATTTGCTAGGCTGCTACTTTAAACATTTACTTAATATGATTCTTGCGTCAAATTCAATTAAATTTTATAAGTATCAGTTGAGCACCTAACTATGTGCAAACGTCTGTGCTAGGTACTATGCAGAGTACAGGGATGAGCAGAGTTCTAGCCCTACTTTCAAAAGTTTACAAACGCTACACTCACATCCAACAAATACATATGGGCTATATGCTAATTAGTACTTTAAACATTACTAATTTTTACATTTTTACACCTTGCATTAGATTATCTGTCCTTAACTGGTATGTAACATGGATATCTTAAGGGAAAAAACCCTATGGCATTAAAATGTAAGAATACTGTGATACTTCAATTAACCTAGTTTGAAAGTCTAGTTAAAAGTCTTCTTTCTTTCAACATAAATACTAAAAATACATACATACCCTGCAACTAAATAACTTCATGTTAGTGAATTGGCACAATAACATTTAAAAGTTTTATAAAGAAAGGATCTCACTATCTATTTAACTTCCTCTTTACAAAGGTAATTATTCATATGCTAATGAAGCAGCTTTGGCAAGTGGTTACAAAAACTCATGAAAATATAAAAATAATGTTACATTTATGGGTCACTGAAGAATGTATCTAAATTTAACATTTAAAATGACTCATAAAATAAAATGCTGATCCTTACAAATGTATCTCATTGTTTATATTTTTATTTTCAGAAAAACAGAGTTCACTTGAATACAATTCTCACTAGTTAAATCACAATTCACCTTATAGTTAATTAACTTATGTTCAAAGATAGTCCTTTCCTGCTATATAATTTCATTTTCTTAAAAAGCAAAACACTTTCAGTAGAAAAAATTTACATATGAAAGTCAAAAACAATTATTTCAGCAAAAATGGAAATCAACCACCGTATCTTTTCTTGAGTTCTTCGACAGAACTATCCTTCAATCCTGACTTGTCTATGTGATTAAATAATGCACGTGCAACTGAAAAAGAAAAAGAAATTCTCCATTTTAATCTCATTTTTTAAAAACCAAGCAAAATGTAAATTAAAAGGAGCAATCTATTTGTCAAAAACATTTTACATTTTAAAGCAATACATAGGTTTATAAATTCTAATTCAGATATTTAAAAAGCCAATCTGAGAACACAAAATTATATAGCAATCCAACAATGGTTCTTTCAGGAATATTTTGCTTTAGCAGTATAAAATTTGCCCTGCATTCTCAATGATATTAATCTTGCAGATTAAACTTAATTCATTCTGTACTACCTTAAAAATGTTTACCCTATCTGTGTAACAAGTGTATTTTTATTTACTTAATATTTTTATTTCAACTAAACTGTTTTTCAAACCTAAATCATTTTATTTTAAAAGAAAACTTTACATCACTACTGTAAATGAAAAACAGCAATGACACTGATGAAATCACACTTGATGGGACAGTTAAATATTTTTATATTACAAAATTAAAACTACTACATGTTAAAAATAAGATCATGGGCCAGGCGTGGTGGTTCACGCCTGTAATCCCAGCACTTTGGGAGGCCGAGGCAGGCGGATCATGAGGTCAGGAGATCGAGACCATCCTGGCTAACACGGTGAAACCCCGTCTCTACTAAAAATACAAAAAAATTAGCCGCGAGTGATGGCGGGCGCCTGTAGTCCCAGCTACTCAGGAGGCTGAGGCAGGAGAATGGCGTGAACCCAGGAGGCGGAGCTTGCAGTGAGCTGAGATCGAGCCACTGCACTCCAGCCTGGGCGACAGAGCGAGACTCCATCTCAAAAAATAAATAAATAAATAAATAAGATTATGAATCGCAAAAAAATCATATTTACTACCACTGATCGGTCGACACTCAACATTAGGAAAACACTGTTTATAGTTCATGCTTCTCAACATTAAAACTGGAGAACTAGCTAACAGTTATTAATGATAATGGCAATAATAAAATATAACAACAGCTAAGTATTTACTGAATACCTGGTTGCATGCCAGAACCATTCTAAGCGCTTTCCATGTTTAACTTAGCAGACAGTGGAAACCCCATCAAGACAGTACTATTGGTCAGCCAGTCTGAAGAGCCCACCTGCATTCTCGGATACCTTGAACTTATCACATTAGAGTAACAGTAAATTCATTCATTCAACACACTGACACTGAGGGGTTATTATGCGCTAGCACTGAGGCCCAGTGAACGAGGTAGACAAAGTTCCTGCTGTCATGGAGCTTTCATTCTATTAGAGAGGGAGATATAATAAACATACACATGAACCACTGTCAGCTAGTAATATATTACGAAGAGAAATAAAGCAGGGTAAGAAGAGAGAGGTTCATGGGGGGTCAGTGAAGAAAGACATCTTTGAAGTGGTGATAGGTGAAAACCAAATGAAGAAGCACACAAGTGAAGATATGTAGGAAGATATTCTACGTTGAGAGAACAGCCAAAGTCCTCGAGGCCAAAATAAGTTTGGCAGTTTGGTAATTTTTTTTTTTTTTTTTTGAGACAGAGTTTCACTCTTGTTGCCCAGGCTGGAGTGCAATGGTGCAATCTCGGCTCACTGCAACCTATGCCTCCTGGATTCAAGCGATTGATTCTCCTGCCTGAGCCTCCCAAGTAGCTGGGATTACAGGTGTCTGCCACCACGCCCAGCTAATTTTTTTCTTTCTTTTTTTTTTTTTGTATTTTTAGTAGAGACAGGGTTGCATCATGTTGGCCAGCCTGGTCTTGAGCTCTTGACTTCAGGTGATCCACCTGCCTCGGCCTCCCAAAGTGCTGCAATTACAGGCGTGAGCCACTGCACCCGCCTGACAGTTTGGTATATTAAAAGCTATATAAAACCACTATAATGGGGCAGAGTGGTTGAAAAAATAGTGGTAAAAGATGAGGTCAAAACAGTAATAAGAAACAGTAACATTTTTCAGGGATTTCAAGGAACATTTCTGGTTAACTAAAGCTAAAACCAAAACTTTTGGTTTAAACCCTCGCTATTAAAATATACATATATATATTTTAATATATATTTTTTTATTTTTATTTAACTATTTATTTGAGACAGAGTCTCACTCTGTTGCCTAGGTTGGAACGCAGTGCCACAATCATGGCTCACTGCAGCCTCAACCTTCCGTGCTGAAACGATTCTCCCACCTCAGCCCCCCTAGTAGCTGGGACTACAGATGCACGCCACTGCAACCAACTCATTTTTGTATTTTTTGTAAAGACGGGGTTTTTGCCATGTTGGCCAGCCTGGTCTCAAGCGATCCTCCTGCCTTAACCTCCCAAAGTGCTGGGATTACAGGCATGAGCCACCATGCCTGGCCTAAAAAATATATATATCTAAATTACATGTCCACTTCCCTAAGTGTAATTTCAAAAGTATCTTTCTTATTGATTTAAAATCATTCAACATCACTGCTAAAAAGATAAAGAAGAAATAAAAGAAGCCCATGTATGTTTAGTACAGGAGGTATCTGAAAATGGTACACTGAGTTTTGCTAATTATTAAAAAGAAAAAAAAAGACACACTGGTATGTGAATGACTTTTCTCTTTTTTCCTGAAATGAGTATAGCCCAAAACTCTGAGCAACTGAAGTTTCTGCATAGTGCAATTTTACTTTAATTAGGATTTCTCAAAACGGACTCTTTATGCCAAAAATTGTGATGTGGAAATAAAAAAGAAATACAATTCTTCAGGTTCATCACCTGCCACTCATTACTCCCTATTCTACAATCCAGCCATACCATTTTAAATTCTCTGGACTCAATTTGCTCTTTCCTGCCTCAGAACCACTACATGTATCATTCTTTCAGTCTAAAACTCTCTTGCCCAGCCTTTCCTCTGACTCTTGCACTTCTTTGAGAATTCAGCTAAAATCAAACTCAAGGAAATTACCTCTCTCAGAATGGATCAGACCTTTCCTGTACCTCGCCCAGTTACATGGTCCTGTGGCTTTGATCCTTTACATAGTAACAGTAGGAACTCCACCATTATACCATTTACTGCGTTTTCAAGTAGAAGAGCTCAGACTATGGAGTTGGACTGCCTGGGTTCGAATCCTAGGTCTGGCTTCCTAGCTATGTGACCTTAGCAAGTTTCTTAGCCTCTCTATACCTGTTTCCTCCTCTGTAAAAGGAGAGTGAAAACAGTACCTACACTTCATAATATTGTCAGGACTAACAAAACAATTTTAACTGTTCTTGTTATCCAATTTAATTAACTTAAATATAATTTAATATCATCCAATTTAAATATAAATATTTAATTAAATATAACCTTATACACAATAAGTAGTCAATAAATGTCAGCTATTATTTGTTGAATGAATACAGGAATGTACAAAAATAAACATGGGAAAACTTTCATAGAACTTACTCTTTTTCTCTGTTTCTGACATAAACATCACTGCCATATCAAACCTTTTTAGTTCAGAAAGTCTTTGTAAGATTTCAAAGATGAGTAATGGCTTTTCTTTCCTGAAATAATCCAAATATAGAAACAAATGATCAGTTAAAAGCAGCTCATTTATTAATAATTCTGTTTACTAACACAATACTTCTAATTATACATAAATGACATCATTTTTTCCCCTGGATACCTGTATTTTAAATGCCCAAATGAAGAGATTTATCAAGTCAACTGAAGAAATTACAATATTCTTAAATGAGAGCTTAGTACGGAAACTATTATTCTGTGAAAACACTGGTCATTTCCATACCCTACTTTTCTCTACAAAAAAATTAGAGTCCTTTTTCCTCCCTTTTAAACTTTTCCCTTTTTATTGTCTGTACTTGTCATTTCCTTGCAACTTCTCTAACAATGAAACTTACAAGAAAGCTAACTTTGCTATATGCTGCTAATTTGCTATATACATTCAAAGAGAATCAACTTCCCAAATCATTGGAAATAGCATAGCATCATAAGAGTACAGTAAATTCTCACTTAACATCATCAATAGGTTCAGGAAAACTGTGACTTTATGTAAAACGGCATACTGTATAAACAAACCAATTTTACCATAGGCCAATTGACATAAACAAGACTTATGTTCCTATGTCTTAATCATTTTAATTAAAATTGCAGTTTCCAAAAACCTATCAATAACATTAAGTGAGGACTTACTGTATAACTAAAAAAAACTTGACTTACTCAATGTAAAAGTCATGCAGAATTTTAACGATCTGGTTGAATACATCTGGATCCAGATTTTTCTGAAACAACTTAGGATACAAAGATGGTTCAATTTGCTTGAAAAAAAAATAAAAAGACAATTACTTGATGGCAACACTTACATATCACAAATTACACAACAATTGCTTGGGTAAAAATAGTAAAGAATAACTACTTTGGGAGGCCAAGGTGGGAGGATCACCTGAGGTTGGGAGTTCGAGACCAGTCTGACCAACATGGAGAAACCCCATCTCCACTAAAAATACAAAAAATTAGCCGGGCATGGTGGCACATCCCTGTAATCCCAGCTACTCGGAGACTGAGGCAGGAGAATTGCTTGAACCTGGGAGGCAGAGGTTGCGGTGAGCTGAGATTGCGTCATTGCACTCCAGCCTGGGCAACAAGAGCAAAACTCCGTCCAAAACAAAAAGAAAAGAATAACTACTATGCATTAGCACTTATGAATAATAATGGAGTCACATTAAAATGCAATTATGATAGAAGAATGAAAGTTACAGGAACTGCATGATAATCACTCTATTCTAGTCACAGAAAAATCTTATGAGCAGAAGAGATATACACCATCCTAAGAGAGACAGGAAACTTTAAAGGCTCTCAAAGAGCAATAAATATAACTAGAGATTTTTAAAAGTAGAATTACATGAGAAAACGTATTTGGAAGTAATTTTATATTGCATAATTATTAGGAAATGTTACTCTCATTACACTTGAAAAGGACCATGCTAATTCATTATTTGCTAAATTTCATGGGATTTGATTCTTTTTCTTAAAGCAAATATTAGAAGAATGATTGCCTACATATTGCAAGCACTGCTTGGCACACAGAAGACACTCAATGTATTTTAGGGTTTTTTTTGAAGGATTAAGCTTAAGCTAATATATATGAAATTAGATTACGTTATTTGAGACAATAGAATTTGACATAGAATCTATTGCCAAAGGAGAACATCAAGGTTCCCTGGTTGTAAATATTTTTAAATGGTCTGACCAGGGTGATGTATTCTACAATAATTTCTACAATAATATCCTATAAAAAGCAAATACGGCACCATTATTATAAAGTGACAGAAGTTCTCTGACCTTTTACTTACAACAGAAGTACTACCTTCCTCTCTCTTACCTTTAAATACTGATACAACATATCTGGAGAACTTTTCAATTGTCTGAAATCAGATTCGAGCTGGAACGAGTTTGCAGGAATTGGAGGAAGAACAGTTGTGGCAAACTGAGCAGGTTTTTGTTCTATCTCTATGGGCATTTTCTCGCTGTAAGACTGACATACATCCTGCTTCAAACTGGCTTGAGGTCTGAAATATTTCAGAGGTATCAAACAGAAAAGAACCATAAATAATCATAGCTCAATCAAGGAGACATCAATAAAAATTTTTAAATTTTTGACTATTAATATTGTATTATCTATTTGTATTATACAAGCATTCAATTATTTCAGCTAATAATATATAAACATTTTTTGGCAAAACAGATTATGCTCTTGCAAATTTTCACATGCTGGCTATGTAATGACTATTCTCCTCTGCTGGGCAGCTAACCTATCCACCTTTTGAGTATACCATTTCTATATATTTCAATTACCATGTCACATACACTAATGATTTAGCCTTTCAAAGATCTAAATGATCATTTTCAAGATATTCCAAAAAGGAAGAAATGCTTCTTCCAAAAAAAACTGCCTATATAGTATTGTCCCATGATCTATACTATCACTTTAAATAAAAGTACTACTAAAGTTCAAAGTTTAAAAGAAAAAAACAACTTTTAGCAGGTTTGTTGAGTGGCAATGTAAAAATATATGAGTAAGGTTTCCATACCTCAAAATGAACCTAATTAGTCTATATCTTCTATATTCTCATTATCAAGAAAAAACACATAAACTATTTTTTAAATGCCAAACAAAAGTTAGAGTCCACAACAGTCTTAAATACTAATGGATGAAATAATGGCAATCCATAAATTCTACATTTTTATGAAGCTTCCTTTTAAAAAACTAAAATTTTGCTGAACTAAATAATAAAACTGAAATCCTAGAAATGAAAATTTTTAAACAAAATCAATTTTCAAGATACCTTCTTATCTTTAAATTTCACACTGTGGTTAAAAAAAAAATAGTAATCATTCTTTAAGCAAAATCACCCTTACAATAAGTACAAACAAAAAAGAAAAGCTAGAAACTTAAGTTAGGCAGTTCAAAAAATTAGCATGATGAGTACAAATCAGAAGTCTCAGTAATATCAATTCTCCATTGGAATTAACCCATTCTGGATGATCAGCAAATAACAGTATTTCTACTCACTGCAGGGATGAAGTATCACTGACTTCTTCTATTTTCAATACTTTTGCTCTTGGAGTATCACTTGTGGGAAAAAGGTCATCTTGGCTTGAATTCTTCTTACTTGTGGTGCCTGTGGCTGCTATTACATTTGCTAGATTAATAGGATTATTCTCTGGAGCAGCAGCAGTAGTGCTATCTGGCACATCAATAGTCTGTATCAAATTACCAGTTTCTTCAATAATAACCTTCTTGAGTGGTTTCTAAAACAATTAAAATCAATTCCTTAAATCAAAATATTAAAGGTTTCCTATTTTAGGGTCACAAGTTAAAAGGCTGCAATGATCTTACAGCTAATATCCCAGTGATTAGTAAATTCAATTTGGTGGCTAGACAGACTTAGAAGTCTGAGAATACAAAAATAAAAAGCTATACAAAGCACTTATCCCAGGTAGGTCGAAACAAGGGAGAGAGACATGTATACGTAAATATATAAGGCCATGGTCATGTTTAAGAGATGAAAGCACAAAACGCTAAGAGAACACAGGAAGGAAGATAAACACTGGCATGAGGGAAGCCTTCACAGAAAAAGCACACAGGAATGGCAAAGTTGAAGGGTGCAGCACAGTCAGTGGAAAGGTGAGAAGTCCAGTGGGGCTGGTGCACGGCACGGCATGGTGGAGATGAAGCCTCAAAGGCAGTTTGAAGACAGCTTATGAAGGGACTTGGATGCCATGAAAGGAGTCTGGACTCTATTCTAGGGGCAATACAGCAAAGAAATTACCAAACCAACAGCAGTATTGTGGACTAACTGAAGGCAAGTGGAATAAGGGCAGACAATAACCAGCATTATGTATGGGATAGACTATCATTAAAACCTAAACACATTGTCTCAATATATAGCAGCTGGATAAAACTAGCCCAGGATTAAAAATCTGCCAAGTAATATTCACAAAGTTGGTAAAAGTAAACCCTTTTTTCCAATTTAATAAAATAAATGGCTTTCATTGTTTATCTCAATCACTACACACGTGTCATTTTCAACTTATGTTGATATTTAATAATATATGTATATCTAATAAAATATAACAATATTCTTCACTATATCATCATACCAAACACACAGAAATACACTGAGGAGCTATTGTTACACCAAGGGCATTGAAAAATGAAACAAGTTAAGAAAAGCTTCTTCTAAAATTTGCAAATATTGATTAACAGTTGCAGCTATATACTTTTGTATATGTTTGAAATTTGTTTTAGCTTTAGAAAAGAGAAGAAAACTTTCCTCAATGTACTCTAAGTATACATTCCAACTACATAGTTGAATTATAAATTGAAAAGTTGTAAATATAAGCACTTCTTCTTCTGCAATAGATAACAAACTCAATGTTAAAACCAGAAATTCCATTAATGCAGCTAAGATATGACCCCAATGGTAATAAATGAGTGTTACTAAACGAAGGTACAAAAATGAAAAAGCTGTAAGAAAATTTATAACAGAATTCTTCAAGCAGTTCTATTTTAAAGAATAATCATATTAAGTTAAGGCCTATGCTTTGCTAAGAACTGTATCAGCAAAAGTTTTTATGAAGATACTGATCAAGAATGGATATGTGTATTAAACCCTATCCTTGACAACAGATATGTAAATAATGATTTGAATTTATGAATTTCCTAATCATTGGTCTCTGTTAAGTGTAGACCCGGGGTACTGAGAGCCACTGAGGGTCACTGATGACAGCTGGAAGGACTGTGGGGAAGAACAGTATGCTAGTAACAGGAGTAAACCATAAAAGAAACCACTATAGAAAGAACTTAAGAAAATATGAAAGGTTCAATTCACTCCTTTTTTAAAATCATGACTCGGAAGCGTAACATTTTATTTAGTTGTATATTGTGACCATTTAAAAAAAAAGTGAGAGAGAGAGAGAAGAACAAAGGAATAAAGAGAAAAAGGGACCAAACAGGTGAAGTTTTGACATCAGGAAACAGACAAATGAAGAAAAAAAAAGGAAATAAAGCAAAATAAGATATTTTAGCAGAGACAAAAGGATCAGGAAAACTTTCACTTATTACCACTCTCAGGGGAAACCCCAGGCCCAAGTTCACCTACATCTCTGCTCTCCTACCCTCTGTCTAGAGGTTTGCTAAAAATACCTCCAAGCTGCCAGCCCTTCAAGCACAGACTACCCTGCCCTAGCCTTTCATTTCAATAATCCTGAGACTCATTCTCTTCTCTACTTTCCGTAGTCTTCCTTTCTTTCCTTACCACTTTCTCTGGTGACCAGGTGGTGTCACAAATACGTGACTAAAAAGGAAACTAAAATTTGTTTCACCTGAAATTGCCTCAGCATTTATGCACATTATTTCCTTTGATATAAACTAATCTGTGAGTTATTCTCAATTTACGGAGAAAAAGTAAGGATAACGCAGGGATTAACTAACTTGCTCAAGATTGCAAAGTTTATCAAGTGGGGCTCAAATCCAGTCTCAAAGGCATTATACCAAACTGCTATCCTCTACTTTTTAAAAATAATGCCGACATTTTTTTTTATCATGAAGATCCATTATAAAAATCAACAGCAATTTTTTTCCCTTCCCACTAGGATACTAACTTTGTTGATTTTGGATCATTTACAGAACAGTTTACCCCAAGATTTCTCATTTCCTAGAGGTGTTTTGTTTTGTCATATTGCCATAGAGATTTAAATTCACATTGTATTTTCACAACTATTAACATAAATTCATTTTTAACAAGAAGGTGGGCCCAACATATTTGTAAAAGCTACTTATGGTATATTAGTCATGGGATATTACACATATCACGTGGCAATGTCTTTATAATTATGGACAGTGACGTCTAACAAAGGCCTTCTGTAAACTTGTGAATTAATTTTTGTAAAGAAGTCTTACAAAGATGTAAAAGTTTAAACTACATTTAATTAAATAATCACTTTTACTGAAAAGAACAGTAAATAAATATATGAAAATGACCATAATGTGTGAAAACAACTAGATTTATGCCTAGCACACACAACACACACAACCAGTATTACCAAGAATACGGTCGTAATAGGCCAGGCATGGTGGCTCATGCCTGTAATCCTAGCACTTTGGGAGGCCAAGGTGGGCAGATCACTTGAGGTCAGGAGTTCGAGACCAGTCTGGCCAACATGGTGAAACCCTGTCTCTACTAAAAATACAAAAATTAGCCAGGCATGATGGCAGGTGCCTGTAATCCCAGCTACCAGGGAGGCTGAGGCAGGAGAATCACTTGAACCCAGAAGTCAGAGGTTGCAGTGAGCTGAGATCGCGCCACTGCACTCCAGCCTGGGGGACAAAGAGTGAAACTCCGTCTCAAAAAAAAAAAAAAAAAAAAAAAAAAGAATACAGTCATATTAAATGCACTGGAAAAGTATTAAACTAAGAAATCTATTTGCTACTACTAACTAGTACAAACATAGCAAAACAAACTTTCCTTTTCTGCCTTTATAAAAAGAGGATAAAAATACCTCCTCTGACTTCCTTATGAAATTGTTATTTCTAATGAAGAAAACTGTTATGCAAAGGATCGTCTATGCATAACAGTTTAAGAGGGCAGGAAGAGGATCTTGATCAGTCAGGGGTACATAGAGAGGTTTTTTAGGGGTGATGTCTTAATTTTCTGACTCGGTGATTTCATGGGTGTTCACTTTGTAATTATTCTCTAAATTATAATTTGTCTTGCGTACTTTTCTGTATGTATATTTCATAATTTACTTGATGCAAGGGTGTTTATCCCAACTTCAGAAAAGAACAGTAATAAAAATACAAAGACATTTAATTTCTATAAAATGTAAAACTGCTTGAAATTCCTTTAATATAAGAGAAATAGGCAGAAATATTTAAATTGATAGTGTTAAATTAAAATACTCACTTAAAAAGTTATCCCAAAACTCTAAACGCTGCTAAATTTCCCTTATACATCAGTAATCCTAGGAAGTATTTTTTAAAGATTCTAAAAAAAAAAAAAAAAAAAAAGTGCCCCAGTAAGACATTTCAACATTTCCTTTACGAGTTAGGGGGCGTTCCAAGATGGCCGAATAGGCACAGCTCCAATCTGCAGCTCCCAGCGTGATCAACGCAGAAGAAGGGTGATTTCTACATTTCCAACTGAGGTCACCAACATCAAAGACCAAAGGGAGATTAAACCACAAAGATGGGGAGAAACCAGAGCAAAAAAGATGAAAATTCTAAAAATCAGAGCACCTATTCTCTTCCAAAGGAACACAGCTCCTCACCAGCAATGGAACTAAGCTGGACGGAGAATGACTTTGACAAGTTGACAGAAGTAGGCTTCAGAAGGTCCGTAATACAAACTTCTCCAAGCTAAAGGAGGATGTTCGAACTCATCATAAGGAAACTAAAAACCTTGAAAAAAGATTAGACGAATGACTAACTACAATAAACAGTGCAGAGAAGACCTTAAATGACTGATGGAACTGAAAACCATGGCATGAGAACTTCGTGATGCATGCACAAGCTTCAGTAGCTGATTCGATAAAGTGGAAGAAAGGGTATCAGTGATTGAAGATCAAATTAATGAAATAAAGCGACAAGACAAGGTTAGAGAAAAAAGAGTAAAAGAAACAAACAAAGCCTCCAAGAAATATGGGACTATGTGAAAAGAGCAAATTTACGATTGATTGGTGTACCTGAAAGTGATGGGGAGAATGGAACCACATTGGAAAACACACTTCAGGATATTATCCAGGAGAACTTCCCCAACCTAGCAAGGCAGGCCAACATTCAAATTCACAAAATACAGAGAATGCCACAAAGATACTCCTCGAGAAGAGCAACCCCAAGACACAAAATTGTCAGATTTACCAAGGTTGAAATGAAGGAAAAAGTGTTAAGGGCAGTCAGAGAGAAAGGTCGAGTTATCCACAGAGGAAAGCCCATCAGACTAACAGCAGATCTCTCAGCAGAAACCCTACAAGCCAGAAGACAGTAGGGGCCAATGTTCAACATTCTTAATGAAAAGAATTTTCAACCCAGAATTTCATATCTAGCCAAACTAAGCTTCCTAAGTGAAGGAGAAATAAAATCCTTTACAGACAAGCAAATGCTGACAGATTGTGTCACCACCCGGCTTGCCTTACAAGAGCTTCTGAAGGAAGCACTAAACATGGAAAGAAACAACCAGTACCAGCCACTGCAAAAACAGGCCAAATTGTAAAGACCATTGATGCTAGGAAGAAACTGCATCAATTAACAGTCAAAATAACCAGCGAACATCATAATGACAGGATCAAATTCACACATAACAATATTACCCTTAAATGTAAATGGGCTAAATGCCCCAATTAAAACACAAAGACTGCAAATTGGATAGAGTAAAGACCCATCAGTGTGCTGCATTCAGGAGACCCATCTCACGTGCAAAGACGCACATAGGCTCAAAATAAAGGCATGGAGGAAGATCTAACAAGCAAATGGAAAGCAAAAAAAAGCAGGGGTTGCAATCCCAGTCTCTGATAAAACAGATGTTAAACCAACAAAGATCAAAAGAGACAAAGAAAGCCACTACCTAATGGTAAAGGGATCAATTCAACAAGAAGATCTAACTATCCTAAATATATATGCACCCAATACAGGAGCACTCAGATTCATAAAGCAAGTCCTTAGAGACCTACAAAGAGACTTAGACTCCCAAACAATAATAATGGGAGACTTTAACACCCCACTGTCAATATTGGACAGATCAACGAGACAGAAGGTTAACAAGGATATCCAGGACCTGAACTCAGCTCTGCAACAAGCAGACCTAATAGACATCTACAGAACTCTCCACCCTAAATCAACAGAATATACATTCTTCTCAGCACCACATCACACTTATTCCAAAATTGACCACACAATTGGAAGTAAAGCACTCCTCAGCAAATGTGAAAGAACAGAAATCACAACAAACTGTCTCTCAGACCACAGTGCAATCAAATTAGAACTCAGGATTAAGAAACTCACTCAAAACTGCACAACTGCATGGAAATTGAACAACTTGCTCCTGAATGACTACTGGGTAACTAACGAAATGAAGGCAGAAATAAAGATGTTCTTGGAAACCAATGAGAACAAAGACACAACGTACCAGAATCTCTGGGACACATTTAAAGCAGTGTGTAGAAGGAAATTTATAACACTAAATGCCCACAAGAGAAACCAGGAAAAGATCTAAAATTGACACCCTAACATCACAATTAAAAGAACTAGAGAAGCAAGAGCAAACAAATTCAAAACCTAGCAGAAGGCAAGAAGTAACTATGATCAGAGCAGAACTGAAAGTGATAGACACAAAAAAAACCCTTCAAAACATCAATGAATCCAGGAGCTGGTTTTTTGAAAAGATCATCAAAATTGATAGACCACTAGCAAGACTAATAAAGAAGAAAAGAGAGAAGAATCAAATATACACAATACAAAATGATAAAGGGGATATCACCACTGATCCCACAGAAATACAAACTACCGTCAGAGAATACTACAAACACCTCTACGCAAATAAACTAGAAAATGTAGGAGGAATGGATAAATTCCTGGACACATACACCCTCCCAAGACAACCAGGAAGAAGTTCAATCTCTGAATAGACCAATAACAGGCTCTGAAATTCAGGCAATAATAGCCTACCAACCAAAACAAGTCCAGGACCAGACGGATTCACAGCTGAATTCTACCAGAGGTACAAAGAGGAGCTGGTACCATTCCTCCTGAAACTATTCCAATCAATAGAAAAAGAGGGAATCCTCCCTAACTCATTTTATGAGGCCAGCAACATCCTGATACCAAAGCCTGGCAAAGACACAACAAAAAAAAGAGAATTTTAGACCAATATCCCTGATGAACATCAATGTGAAAATCCTCAATAAAATACTGGCAAACCGAATCCAGTAGCACACCAAAAACCTTATCCACCACGATCAAGCTGGCTTCATCCCAGGGAAGAAAGGCTGCTTCAATATATGCAAATCAATAAACGTAATCCATCACATAAACAGAACCAACGACAAAAACCACATGGTTATCCCAATAGATGCAGAAAAGGCCTTTGACAAAATTCAACAGTGCTTCATGCTAAAAACACTCAATAAACTAGGTATTGATGGAATGTTTCTCAAAATAATAAGAGCTATTTATGACAAACCCACAGCCAATATCATACTGAATGGGCAAAAACTGGAAGCATTCCCTTTGAAAACCAGCACAAGACAAGGATGCCCTCTCTCACCACTCCTATTCAACACAATGTCGGAAGTTCTGGCCAGGGCAATCAGGCAAGAGAAAGAAATAAAGGGTATTCAATTAGGAAACGAGGAAGTCAAATTGTTGTGTTTGCAGATGACATGATTGTATATTTAGAAAACCCCATCGTCTCAGCCCAAAATCTCCTTAAGCTGATAGGCAACTTCAGCAAAGTCTCAGGATACAAAATCAATGTGCAAAAATCACAAGCATTCCTATACACCATTAACAGACAAGCAGAGAGACAAATCATGAGTGAACTCCCATTTACAATTGCTACAAAGAGAATAATACAATTGCTACAAAGAGAATAAAATACCTAGGAATCCAATTCTCTTCAAGGAGAACTACAAACCACTGCTCAACGAAATAAAAGAGGACACAAACAAATGGAAGAATATTCCATGCTCATGGATAGGAAGAATCAATATTGTGAAAATGGCCATACTGCCCAAAGTAATTTATAGAATTCAATGCCATCCCCATCAAGCTACCAATAACTTTCTTCACAGAATTGGAAAAAAACTACTTTAAAGTTCATATGGAACCAAAAAAGAGCCCACATTGCCAAGACAATCCTAAGGAATAAGAACAAAGCTGGAGGCATCAGGCTACCTGACCTCAAACTATACTAGAAGACTACAATAACCGAAACAGCATGGTACTGGTACCAAAACAGAGATATAGACCAATGGAACAGAACAGAGGCCTCAGAAATAACACCACACATCTAAAACCATCTGATCTTTGACAAACCTGACAAAAACAAGAAATGGGAAAAGGATTCCCTATTTAATAAATGGTGCTGGGAAAACTGGCTAGCCATATGTAGAAAGCTGAAACTGGATCCCTTCCTTACACCTTATACAAAAATTAATTCAAGATGGATTAAAGACTTAAATGTTAGACCTAAAACCATAAAAACCCTACAAGAAAACCTAGGAAATACCATTCAGGCCACAGGCATAGGCAAGGACTTCATGACTAAAACAACAAAAGCAATGGCAATGAAAGCCATAATAGACAAATGGGATCTAATTAAACTAAAGAGCTTCTGCATGGCAAAAGAAAGTACCATCAGAGTGAACAGGCAACCTACAGAATGGGAGAAAATTTTTGCAATCTACCCTCTGACAAAGGGCTAATATCCAGAATCTACAAAGAACTCAAACAAATTTACAAGAAAAAAACAAACAACCCCATCAAAAAGTGGGCAAAGGATATGAACAGACACTTCTCAAAAGAAGACATTTATGCAGCCAACAGACACATGAAAAAATGCTCATCATCACTGGCCATCAGAGAAATGCAAATCAAAACCACAATGAGATACCATCTCATGCCAGTTAGAATGGCAATCATTAAAAAGTCAGGAAACAACAGATGCTGGAGAGGATGTGGAGAAATAGGAACGCTTTTACACTGTTCCTGGGAGTGTAAACTGGTTCAACCATTGTGGAAGACAGTGTGGCGATTCCTCAAGGATCTAGAACTAGAATTACCATTTGACCCAGCAATCCCATTACTGGGTATATATCCAAAGGATTATAAATCATGCTACTATAAAGACACATGCACACGTATGTTTACTGAGGCACTATTCACAATAGCAAAGACTTGGAACCAACCCAAATATCCACCAATGATAGACTAGATTAAGAAAATGTGGCACATATACACCACGGAATACTATGCAGCCATAAAAAACGATGAGTTCATGCCCTTTGCAGGGACATGGATGAAGCTGGAAACCATCATTCTCAGCAAACTATCACAAGACAGAAAACCAAACACCGCATGTTCTCACTCATAGGTGGGAACTGAACAATGAGATCACCTGGACACAGGGCAGGGAACATCACACACTGGGACCTGTTGCGGGTGGTGGGTTGGGGGAGGGATAGCATTAGGAGAAATACCTAATGTAAATGATGAGTTGATGGGTGCAGCAAACCAACATGGCACATGTATACCTATGTATCAGATCTGCACGTTGTGCACATGTACCCTAGAACTTAAAGTATAATTAAAAAAAAAAAGTTTATTAATACAATAGTTGGTTTCCAATTCTCCTATTACAACATATTTAAATGGCAAGGAAAAAATGAAAGTGCTTTACTTACAGTTGATCCAGGATGCGGTGGATTATCAATGGGTTTTACCACATTTTGTCTTTGTGTGGAATCAAGAAAGACATCATCCCAGTGTCCTTTCTCAATTAATTCCTTGAAAATAAATTTATAACCCTAACTTTCAAAATATTTATTATACAACAAATAAATATATTTATGTTTCAGAAAATATGACCATGTTTGGGTGAAAAGAATACATTACCTTTTTAATTTTGGAGAGTTCAGTTACTGCTTGCTTATTTCCAGGTTCCAGAAGTAAAACAGTTTCAAAATCTAAAGCGAATTTTTTAAAAACATTACAACATAGTTAAAATGTGGAGTTTTCATATTCGCATGTATATTCATGATATATTCAGTTAGTAATCACATTTTTAGCTCAAGCAGTTTTACTCAGATTACTAGGAAACAGGTGAGCTATAGTAAGAACATTTACTGAACACTGTTGTAGTTGTTTTATATGAATGTTCACGTAACCCTCACTACAACCCCACTTTAAAGGTGATAAAACTGAGGCCCCTAGAGGTCATCTAACTTAGCAAAGTTCACCATGTAAACAAATGACAGAGTAACTCACTAAATGTAAAATATTAATAGAATAAGAGAATTACATACAACAAAGTATTACTCAGCCTTAAAAAGGAATGAAATTCTGATATATGCTCCAACATGGACATTATGCTAAGTTAAATAAGCAGAGGCAAAAGGACAAATACTGCATGATTCCACTTACATAGGATATCTAGAACAGTCAAATTCAGAGACAGAAAGTAGAATGGAGGTTACTAGGGCTGGGAGGAGAGGAGAATGGAGAGTTATTGTTTAATGTGTATAGAGTTTTAGAATGGGATGATGACAAAGTTCTGGTGATGGACAGTGGTGATGGCTGCACAATGTAAATGTATTTAATGCCACTGAGCTATATATTGAAAAATGGTTAAAATAATAAATTTAACGTTACATATTTTTTTTAACCACAATAAAAAAAACACTGCTGTAGCTAACAGGCTTATAGAGAAACTGCCAGATTTTAAATGCACATACCAGGAAAGAACAGAGGCTGAAAATCAATTATCTAAGTACTGATCTCAAGAAGCTAGAAAAACAGCAAATTAAACCAAAAGAAAGTTGAAGGAATAAAATAAAAAGCAGAAGGAAATTAAATAGAAAACACACACAGGAGAACCAAGTTGGTTCTCTGAAAAGACTAATTCAATGAATACCCTAAAAGAGAAGACCATAAAAACAAAGAAAAAAAATAGTATCAAGAATTAAAATGGTATCAGATCTCCATTATCCTCCATTCCCTACCTGCTGATAAAACCACAGCCCGAAGAGTTTTTTAAAAAAAAAAAATCAATCACTAACAGAAATTCTTCAGTTTGTAGGATGGCAGATAGGAAAAGATACAACTTGCTGAAACAAAGAAACTTCCTCTGCTTACTGGGATTCAAAAAAAAACAAAAAAACGAAACAAAAAAAAAAAAACAGGCTGAAATCATTTGGAACCAAGATGGCCAAGTGGAGTTTGCACAAAAACGAGTTTGCTGATGTCACAAACTGAATTTCCACCAAGTTCTACTAACTACCCCAAATTTGCACCTGCAATCCCATTAGTTAGCAAGAAGAGATAGCTACATATGCCCAAGAACTTTTCCCTTTCCTTCCACTAATTACCTGCTAATTCCAGTATCCACCTCCCTAAACCCTTTCTAATAAAATTACTGCCTTAAGGCCAGGACAAGGAGACAGATTTGGGTTTGATTCCTGTCTCTTTAGGAGTCAACTTTCAATATAAATAAAGCCTTTTCTCAAAAACCTGATGTCACAGTATTGGCTTCAAGCATATCACACAGTGAGTCCCTTTCGCTCAACAACACCGATTCCCTTCCTTTCCATTCTGGTCTTTTTATCGTTTTCCATTCTCATGTATAATTAAAATTTTTCATTAATATTGACTGGCAATTAGCCAGAATGTACTAAACAAAATTAGCCAGAATGCTACTAAACAAAAAGATAATCTGGTACATTGCGGAAGCTGCATTCCTCCAAATCTATTCGTGATCTAAACTGTGGAAAGAAAACATAATTCCCTAAGTTCAGTATCTTTGAACCATGGGTAAGCTACATGAATCTCTGCTTCTTTAACTTGGGCACTCATCAGGATGACTGAGTGCCAGCTGTTATAAAGTCTTACCTTGTTTTGCCTCATTTAGCTTTCCCAAAAATGTTCTTGCAGTTCCTCTTCTGGCAAAAGCTTTAGAATATGAGCCATCTAATAAAATGGCTTGTGTGCAGTCTTTTTCAGCTTCTTCATATCTATTGAACATGATAAAATTACTGACTGGAAAAAAGGCAGCTTATGGAAAAATGTCATATAAACTAAGTTTCTAATTTAAAAAGCTTGTATATAATTTCAATCACTAACTTCTAAATCTGTGTTTGAAGTGGAGAACTATTTTATAAATTTTTTATTCTCACCAAATCCTGGAATCATTTGGTGAGGAGGGAGAAGGTACCAGATTGAGGGAATGTTAGGAGAGTCTGCTGGAGCGATGAAATAATAATGCAAAAATATGACTAGGGCAGACAAAAGAATGCCACTGCTTCTCTGCCTACCTCTTCTCCAAGTCTCAATATGCACAGGTATTACATTAGAATTTTGACTGGCATTAGTTTTCTAATAAAACTTTATTAACATTTACCCACAGTAAACCTCCCATACTCATAGAAAAACAAAAAAATGAGAACTTGGTACGAATGTGATAGCATATCATCTAATACTTTGCATAAATTCTACTCAGCCATGCAACCAGCAATCAATTCAGACTTACAGACTTACTCATTACTGCTCTACAACAACAAGGTGCTTAAGAAGAGCTCAACCCCCTCCACCAAAAAAACCCAATAACAAAAAAACTTCAGACATTCCCATATATTAATAGGACATTAATGAATTATTGTTAATTTCTTAGGAGTGCTAATGGTTGTGGTTATGTATAAAATATCCTTTCTTTAGCAATAAACGTCATAATGTTTATGATTTGCTTTACAATAATTCGGGGGGAAAATGCTGAAACAAATATGACCAAAAAAAGTATGGCTTGTTAGAACTAGATGATGGACACATGGAGTTTATTATACTACTTTTGTATAAGTTTGAAAAGTTTCATAAGAATATTAAAAAAAAAAAAAACACTCCTGTAATTGCATTCTCCCCAAGGCCTAAATGGATGTCATCTTGCCCTCAAAACAAAATCTCATATGAAAAAAATCAGAATTTCGAATGAACTTAAACATCTCTGATTTATTTAACTCACTTTCCAGCAAGAGATAAAGAATATATCTGTGTTCATGCCCTTATCAATGTTATTTTCTACTTGCCTGATTATATCATTCAAGATACCTGCATGGCCCCCATACTTTTCAAGATAAAGTCCAATTCCTTTGGAGCGCAAAGTCAGGGGCCTGCCTGAGTATCTGGCCTTCTCTCTGCCACTGTCCCCTGCAATAACAGCCATAATACGAACCACTCACCCTTTCCAGGTTGAGGTACCATCAACCTGCCTACTCCCACGTCTTTGAACCTGCACTAGAACACTTGACCTGTTTCCTGTTTTTTCACCTCACTAACTCATACTACTCCTAAACAATTTCAAGATGCTTTCCAGGAATTCCCCTGCCTGGACTCAGTCTATGCCAGTATTCTTCCCACTCTGAACTCCTATAGCACGTGTCCTTCATAGCGCTATCTTAGCGTATTTTCACAAATATTGGTCTCCTTTTCTGTCACTCCCTGCAAATTTCGGGTTTCTTAAAAACAACTATACATTTAATATTTGTATACTTAATACCTTCCACAGTGCCTCACAGAACACCTGATACATTTTAGCACAATAAATATTTGCTGAATAAGTAAATCAAAAAATTTCCAACACCCAAATTCAAAGAAAATTTAGAATATAAATGTTTAGGAAATCATTTTAATTGTATATTTAATTGCATATTTAATTGCATGTTCTACTGTACAGCTGAAGAAAACCCAACAATTTTTCTAAAAGTCTGAAGTTGCCACAGAGGTAGACGATTATTCTTTGAAAATAGACTCACCTAAGTCCTTTAAAATTATTACACGTCTCCTGTGCACTCCATTTGTAAAGTGAATTTAGAAAAATCCAATCAACAAACATCTTTTAGGTGGTTGGAGAAAAAGACAAACTAATCAAAAATAGAATAAAAATGGTGAGTGCGAAAAACTATCATCTCTGCCTAGCTCCTTAGCCCTGATTCCTTCTGATTTTCAGTCAGGTCCACTTGCCCTAGGTCTACTCTGGCTCTAGTGTAAATGCCGCCCCTAATCACCATTAAGTGAACCACCCTCTACTAAATCAAGTCTTAGTCTGGTTCCAGTTCCAGCAACCAAGATTCTACCTTATTTTTGTGACCAACTCTCAACCCTGTTTCCCAAATCTAATATCTAATACTACTGGGTTATTTTCTTCTTATCCTATCTCTAAATCTATGCTTTACTCCCTCTAAGAATAGGACTCAGATTTGTTCTTGGTCAGTCCTCTTCAAGGACTACAATGTTGGCCCAAACTTCTGTCCTTATTTCTGATTATCTTCTTATTTCTTCAGCCTTTCTGAAGCTAACCATCTACCAGCCTACATTCCACAATTTGCCAGCTCACAGGCACTCCATTATTGTAACTCAAGGATGTCTTGCTCATCTCCCAATGCAAACTACTAATTTAGACTATCACCTCCAGAAAGCACATTCTCTAGGAATCCCGGTTGGCCTAACTAGGTGAATTTCTTCTTACTCCCTACTGCTACCCCGCACACTGGTAGGTAAGACTGACTATACTGCTGGTTCTAATTAGCTCTAATTTGACACAGTTTATAGAACCTCAAGCTATAGGATGGTTACCTAAACTAGGAGTAGTCTAAGCTTGAAATGTTGCTTTTTTATGTTCCTCACATAGTCCGTAATACATAACAACAGTCTCCATGTACAGAAAAAAATTCTGATATTAACTGTGAATCTAAAAGATACACTAGGAAAAGATACAAGTAAGAGTCATAAGTTCTTTTAATTTAAAATATACTCTGCTAACTTGGTATAATATATTCCACTAATACGATTATAAACTAAAGAAATAAAACTGATACAATAAATTAGATATCTTATAAATGCATATATAATCTCTCACCTGTAAGAAGGCATTACTCTTAGCATTAGTCAAACCAACGAACTCAGGCTTTACAATTTTTAAACCAATGCACAATTCTTCGATAGCAAAAATCAAAATTTTCATAAGTGAGCAAGAGATGCAATGATCTTCACTCTGACTAGTCAACAAAAGAATCTATCTCCAGTGATATCTATTACTTTAAATGAGGTTAAATATATAATCAGAATTTATTTCTATGACAGGAGCTCCTAACCTGAGATTGTCTGAGGGATGTGGAAACTTGTTTAGGAAAAAAACTGTATCACTGTTTTCACTAAACTTCAAATAAAATTTAGCTATCTTTCAAATACAAATGCAGACAATAGTATCTATCACTTTGTCACCAATAAAAATCAGATATTTTGGCCGGGCGCGGTGGCTCCTGCCTGTAATCCCAGCACTCTGGGAGGCCGAGACGGGCAGATCACCTGAGGTCAGGAGTTTGAGACCAGCCTGGCCAACATGGCAAAACCCCATCTCTACTAAAAATACAAAAATTAGCTAGGTGTCATGGCGCATGCCTGTAGACCCAGCAACTTGGGAGGTTGAGGCAGGAGAATTGCTTGAACCTGGGAGGTGGAGGTTGCAGTGAGCCAAAATTACACCACTGCACTCCAGCCTGGGTGACAGAGGGGGACTCTGTCTCAAAAAAAAAAAAAAAATCAGATATTTCCATATCACATTATAACGGTTACTGGTATCTCAAAATATTGCTTATGCTCACCACTATTCAGAATTACAGTAAAAATTTAACCTGTTGCTTATTTGCATGTGATTGCAGTGTCTGGTTTATAGATACTCTTGTGACAAGGCTGGCAACTGTTGGGCAACTCTGCCCTAGTAGTTATTCAGAAGACAAAGAGCTAAGGCATGTGTTATCACATTGGAAATCTAATCATCTACGTTGCTTCAGGTATTCCCTATCCACACTTGCTTGTTGATCAGTACGTGGAAGATGTGTCGAGGATCATCCCAAAATTTGGTGTCCTTACTGAAACCTTACAATCATGTCTTTAAAATTTTTTTAACATTAACTTGTCTGTATTTTAAATGTAGTTTCAAATACAGTACAATCACATGCAAATAAGCAGCAGGTTAAATTTGTACTGTAATTCTGAATATTGGTGAGCATAAAATACAGCACTTGCCTGTATTTTAAATGTAATTTCTCATTTTGAGGTGTGTTAATAAAAAATCAAATATACTACTATATCACAATTTTTAATATTTTCAAAACTATATTTTGATATAATTGGTTTCCTTTGTAATCCTAGTTGTACAGTTAAGCATTTAAAAATATCCTGAGAAGCGTTCAACATACAGCTAAAGGGGAATTCATGGCACTGAAGAAGTTTCGAATTCCTATTTATACTATTTACAGGCTTTTTAAAATTCTGGCATTAGTCTGTAAAGTATAACAAGAGAAACAAAGTCTAAGTCTAAGTTTCTGCCATCGGATATAATTCTACTGATTGTCCAACTTGGGCACAACCAGAAAAAGCTGGTTAATATAGGATCAAATGTTTGTTACATATGTTATTAATCAGCAGTTTCAATGACAGCAGTTCTCTTTTGTTATACATGTATGTATATAAAACATTTCCAGATAAGACTTTGCCCAAGGGGCTCTGAAGTGAAAAATAATTTTTAATCAAGATCCAGAATACTATACATAAAGCGACTAGAGAAAAACTGGTAAACTGTGTAATGCCAGACTTAAAAGCGGGAAAATATTAACAAGAACATCTACTGAATACACACCTTGTGCCTGGAACTATGTATACCACAGGTACATAAACACACACATACACATACACACACACACACACACACACACACACACACTACTTTTCCCCTCTCATTTCACTTTAATTTAAATGCTCAAAAATACATAAATTAAATTTTAACTTACTTAAATTTACCATAAATTGGCATGTGAGCTAACCTAACACGCCATAATTGGCATGTTAGGTAACTTATGGTAAAAATTTACCAATTTATTGTAAATTTTTATCCTGAACAGCACTAAAATGTAACCAATACTTACTTCTGAATCTTCAGATAGGCCATAGCTCTGTTAGCTGGAAGAAGGGCATTAGCACCATCTGCTGCTATCCCTCGAGTATAGCATTCAATTGCTCTTTCATATTTCCCCTCTTTGAAAAATCCATTCCCCTGTTATTTTGTAGAGAGATATGGAGAATAAAAAAAAAATTTCAAAAAAAATAAATGAATTCAAATCTTATGAAACACTGCAAGGATATTCACCAACAGTATTTCAAGAAAGAATATTGTTAAAAATCTGGCCCATGAGACACGTTTTAAAATCTGTTGGTTTGGGTTGTTTCTTTTTTAATGGCATTATTCTCTTTTCAGTACTAAAAAGGAAAAACATGTATACTACATTACTTTGCAGCATTCACTATTATTCCATTAATTACATATTACGCAAAGCTTAAATTTAAAAACCTATTTTAACAAAGGTCCAAATAATATACTGTCTTAAGTTACATTAGAAGCTGTACAAAAGGACTTCATAACTCAAATAAATTTTGTGAAAGAATACAGTACCAGAATTATAAAGCCCACTCTTCAATAACTTTAATATGCCCAAATATAAGATAAATTCAGCTGTATTGGAATTTGTATACCTGATTTCACTATAACATTTACTTATAATCAGTCAAATATCACAATCAATAATCATTTCATAAATATTTATTAGGAATCCTCTGTGGGTCCAGGAAAGGCAATAAATAAACTAAACCTCAACTCATGATTAGTAGAGGAATTTCAATCAGAAACAGTCCAGTGTGAATTAATGAAAAAAGTACATTATAAGAATGGATTGTAATTAACTTCTATGTTAAATTTATAACTATGTATATGTAAATATATAAAACATTCAAAAGTAGTTTCCTAAACTTAAGTGTTTCTATAGTTATTTTTTTAATTTATATATAAAGTCATCAATTACCCAAATTTTGAATTAGTAGGTCCCAGAGGCTTTAGTGCATTTAATTCCCAATTCCTACTCAAGCAAAACTTTAATATTAGAGAAGAAAGAAATTAACTGATATACAAGAAATAAATCAACACTCAGCAAAACATATACATTGTACGTTGGAATAGCTTTGGATTACCCGATCTTTCTCTGAAATGGCCTGCTGCTTATTCTGTTGTGCTTCAATTTGCTTTCGCTCTCCTTCTGTTGACTTAATCACTATGTCAGCTTCCTTTGGATATGAGTTTTCTTTGGATGCTAAAGCCTAGGAGACATAGCAGTCAGCTAAAATAAAACAAAGTAATGCAAGATGCATATATATTTGACCTTAAAACATAAATACCTCAAATATATTAGAATTTCTGCCACATTTTAAATAATCAAAATAACATTTTCTGCTCTAATTCAAAATCTTTCTACTTATTAAAGTAAAAAGTAAAATAAGCATATAATAAATTTAATGTGCTTCTCATTTCAATTAAAATTAGTATCAAACGCCACATACTGCATGTTTTGACTTATAAGTGGGAGGTAAACATTGGGTACACATGGACATAAACAGAAACAACAGACACTATAGACTACCTGTTGGGGAGAGAAACATTGGGGTGGGGAGGGGAGGGGATGAAAAACTACCTATTGGGTACTATGCTCACTATCTAGGTGGCGGAATCATTCATACCCCAAACCTCAGTATCATACAATATGCCCATGTAAAAAGCCTGCACATGTACCCTTTGAATCTAAAATACAAGTTGAATTATTTTAAATAAATAAATAAGTAGCATCCATTAAAAGTAGTTGCTCATTTATTCAACAAATATTTATTGAATTTCTATACGGGCCAGACACTGTTTTAGGAGCTGTTTTCAGACATAACAGTTCATTACAACTACATCACCAAACTTCTCAAATTCAATATTCACAGTCATTATTTGACCTAAGGCAAAATTTTAAACATATGTAATACAGTTCACAACTATAATCAAGTTAACATATTTACCAGATCTTATGTGCAATAGTAGTGGTAATATTTAAAAGCACACTTTCCCCAATCACTGTCACTTTTCTCTC
Source organism: Homo sapiens (assembly GCF_000001405.40). Taxonomy (NCBI): domain Eukaryota; kingdom Metazoa; phylum Chordata; class Mammalia; order Primates; family Hominidae; genus Homo; species Homo sapiens. The sequence goes on from NC_000012.12 coordinate 47,688,811, forward strand.
AATGTTTCAGTCAGTGCATAAGCCAAAAAGGAAGAAAATCAGTGGGATAAAAAAATAATAATTCTGTCATCTGAGAAAGAGTAAAGCAGCAGTAGTTCTTAAAGATCTCAGGCAACTTCTAGAACAATCAAGGGTCTTTAAATACCATTACACTCCCTCTAGCATGCAAATTCATTTAGTAAAACTCTATAGTACAAAGAATTAAAATTAGAAAATCTCAATATTAAGAAATCTATAGTACAAAATCTATGCAAAAAGCTTTACTTCTTCAAATAAAGGTCATAATACACTTAATTTAAATAACTATAGTTTACCTGACTGATTTTCCTGAGTTCATTTGTTGCTTCAAAGTTATTTGGTTCTAGTTCTAATACTCTTTCATAATCTAAGTAAAAGAGAAGATAAAAAAAATTTTTAAAGATAGGTAATATTTTAAAACATGTACAAAACAATCTTTTGTTGCCTGTGACAATCAGGCAACTGTCCTACAGCAAAATAAAGGAGAAACAAAGAAATACTATCATTAGGCCACTGAACTTTCTTTTTTTGAGACAGATTCTCACTCTGTTGCCCAGGCTGAGTGCAGTGGCGCAATCTTGGCTCACTGCAACCTCCAGTTCCCAGGTTCCAGTGATTCTGTACCTCAGCCTCCTGAGTAGCTGGGACTACAAGCACACGCCAACAAGTTCAGCTAATTTTTGTATTTTTAGTAGAGACAGGTTTTCTCCTCATTGGGCAGGTTAGTCTCAAACTCCTGGCCTCAAGTAGTCTTCCCACCTTGGCCTCCCAGAGTGCTAGGACTACAGGCGTAAGCCACTGTGCAGAGCCAAGCCACTGAACTTTCTTCTTCTCCCCCCAGGGCAGACAAAATCCTATGACAAACCATCTTCCACCAGCCCCAGGAAGGATACCTGCTATCATAAGTTGTATATCATAAAACCAAGAAGCAGGCCGGGCGCAGTGGCTCACTCCTGTAATCCCAGCACTTTGGGAGGCCGAGGTGGGCAGATCACCTGAAGTCAGGAGTCAAGACCAGCCTGGCCAACATGGCAAAACCCTGTCTCTACTAAAATTACAAAAATTAGCCAGGCATGGTGGTGGGCACCTGTAATCCCGGATACTTGGGAGGCTGAGGCAGAGAAAATCATTTGAACCCGGGAGGCGGAGGTTGCTGTGAGCAGAGATCACACCATTGCACTCCAGCCTGGGTGAAAAAGCAAGACTCTGTCTCAAAAAAAAAAAAAAGAAAAAAAAAAACCTAAGCAGCAGCAAAATCCAATTAAATATCAGCTTTATTCAGATTTTGTGATTTGTAATACACAAACCTATTTTATGAAATAATAGAAGGCTTAGAATTTATAAGTGAACAAAAATGTGTTATGAGCTTTAAACACACTACCTCTTGCCTCACTAAAGCCAACAAGACATATTAATGCCTATTTTACAGATGAGAAACTGAAAATCAGAGGAGATATTGGTCACATAGTTAGTACTTAGTAACATGAGAATTTGAACCAAATTCTGATTGGTGGCAAATAATGCATTCTTTCTTAAAAACATCAAGATATCATTTCAGTTGCAAAAATGACCTTTGTTCAAATACAGAAAGCTCTCTGAAGGTAGTAACTGTGATTACTCAGTATTCTCCATATAGCATCTGTGAGATAACACTGTTAAAGAATTCTTTAGAGAGTGACTAGAAAATACCTTTTTTGGCCTCTTCTAATTTTTGCAAAGCAAATCGAGCAGCACCTCGTCTGGAATAAGCCTTTGTATAACTTCTATTCAAGGCAACTGCTAAATTACAATCAGACTCAGCAACAGCAAATCTGCAATTTAAAAACATTAAAATAAATAAAGTTAATAAAACTAATTTACTAAACCAAAACTTCAAAATTTGTTTCTGAAATCCTTGAAAAGAGAATTTACTTACCCACTGAAGGCATTTTTCCCACCTGCTTTCAGTTAATTAAGCATAATAAAAGCAATACTGCCATTGCTCAAAGATATTGTGGGTTTGATTCTAGACCACCACAAGAAAGTAAATGTCACAATAAAGCTAGTCACACAAATTTTTTGGTTTTCCAGTGCATACAAAAGTTTTATTTATACTGTAATCTAATAAGTGTGCAAAAGCTTTATGTCTAAATAACAATGTATATACCTTAATTAAAAAACTTTATTGCTAAAAAATGCTAATAAAATCTGAGTCTTTAGTGAATATTTATCTTTGTGCTGTTGGACGATCTTGCCTTGATGTTGATGGCTGCTGACCGATCACGGTGGTGGTGGTAGCATGTGATGCTATTTGATAGTATTTACATAACAGAACTTCTTTCAATATTGGAGTCAATCCTCTCAAACTCTGCCACTTTATCAACTAAGTTTATATAATGTTCTAAATCTTCAGTTGTCATTTCAAAAACGTTCACGGCACCTTCACCAAGAATAAATTCTATCTCAAGAAACCACTTTCTTTGCTCATCCATAAGAATCAACTGACCATCCATTCAAGTTTGAATACAAGATTGCAGCAATTCGGTGACATCTTCCTCCGCTAAAATCTTGAACCCCTCAAAGTCATCCATAAGAGTTGAAATCAACTTCTTCCAAACTCCTGTTAACACTGATATTTTGACCTCCTCCCATGAATTATGGACATTCTTAATGGCATCTAAAATAGTTAATCCTTTCCAGGTTTCAATCTACTTTGTCCAGATCCACTAGAGGAATCACGATCTATGACAGCTATAGCCTGTGAAATGTATTTCTTAAATAACAAGAATTGAAATTGAAAATGACTCTTTGATCCATGGGCTGCAGAATGGATATTGTGTTAGGAGGCATGAAAACAACATTCATGTCCTTGTACATCTCCATCAGAGATCTTGGGTGAGTAGGTGCGCTGTCAGTACACTACTTTGAAATAAATCCTTTTTTTTTTCTTTTTTTTTGAGACAGAGTCTTGCTCTGTCGCCCAGGCTGGAGTGCAGTGGCACGATCTGGCTCACTGCAACCTCTGCCTCCCGGGTTCACGCCATTCTCCTGCCTCAGCCTCCCAAGTAGCTGGGACTACAGGTGCCCGCCACCACGCCTGGCTAATTTTTTGTATTTTTAGTAGAGACAGGGTTTCACCGTGTTTGCCAGGATGGTCTCGATCTCCTGACCTTGTGATCTGCCCGCCTCGGCCTCCCACAAATCTTTTTTTCTAAGCAGTAGGTCTCAACAGTTGGCTTAAAATGTTCAGTAAACCAGTTCATAAATAGATGTCATCCAGACTTTGTTGTTTTACTTATAGAGCACAGGCAGAGTAGATTTAGCATAATTCCTAAGGGCCCTAGGACTTTTGGAATGGTAAATGAACACTATCTTCAACTTAAAGTCACCAGCTGCATTAGCCCCTAACAAGAGAGAGAATCAGACTGTCCTTTGAAGCCAGGCATTCTCTCTAGCTGTGAACGCCCTAGATGGCACTGTCTTCTAACAGAAGGCTGTTTAGTCAACACTGAAAATGTGTGTGTTGTTTAACACAGTAACCTTCATCAATTACCTTAGCTAGATCTTCTGGATAACTTTCTGCAGGTTCTCCGTCAGCACCTGCTGCTTCACCTTCCACTTTTATGTTATGGAGACAGCTTCTTTCCTTAAACCTCATGAACCAACTTCTGCTAGCTTTCAACTTTTCTTCTGCAGCTTTCTCACCTCTCTCAACCTTCACTAAATTGAAGAGCATTAGAGCCTTGCACTGGATTAGACTTTGGCTCAGGGGAATGTTGTGGCTGGTTTGATCTTCTATACAGACCAATAAAACCTTCTCCCCATCAACAATAAGCTTCTTTTGCTTTTAATTATTTGTGTTCATTGGAGTAGCCCTTTTAATTTCCTCAAGAACTTTTCCTTTGCATTCACATCTTGGCTAACTGGCACAAGAGGCCTAGCTTTCAGTCAGTCTTGGCTTTCGACATGCCGTCCTCACTAAGTTTAATCATTTCCAGCTTCCAATTTAAAGTAAGAGATCTGCAAGTCTTCCTTTCACTTGAATACTTATATGCCACTGTAGGGTTTTGTTTGTTTGTTTGTTTGCTTTGAGACAGAGCGTCACTCTCTCGCCCCGGCTGGAGTGCAGCGGCATGATCTCAACTCACTGCAACCTCTGCCTCCTGGGCTCAAGTGATTTTCCTGCCTCACCCTCCCAAGTAGCTGGGATTATAGGCATGCGCCACCACACCTGGCTAATTGTTTGTATTTTTAGTAGAGACAGGGTTTCACCATGTTGGCCAGGCTGGTCTCCAACTCCTGACCTCAAGTGATCCGCCCGCCTCAGCCTCCCAAATTGCTGGGATTACAGGTGTGAGCCACCATGCCTGGCCTCACTGTACGGTTATTAACTGGCCTAATTTCAATACTGTTGTGTCTCAGGGAATAGGGAAGCCCAAGGAGAAGGAGAGAGATGGGGGGTCGGGGGTAGCTGGTCAATGAAGCAGACAGAATGCACAACAACATATGGGTGTGCTTGATGGCTCCCCAAAACAATTACAATAGAAACATCAAAGATCCCTGATCAGAGATCACCATAACAGATACAATTATAATAAATCTGAAATACTGCAACAATTACCAAAACGTGACATAGAGACACAAAGTAAACACATGCTGTTGGACAAATGGCACCAATAGAGTTGCTTGACTTGCCTGATATAAGGTTGCCACAAACTTTCGTTTTGTAAAAACAGTATCTGTGGACGCAATAAAGCGACACACAACAAAACAAGGTATGCCTATAATTCCTAATGGTGAAACATTAGTAGCATTCCCTTTAATGAGAGAAACAAGAATGCCCATTATCACTGCTTTTTCTTGGTATTACATACAGGTCTTTACCAATGCAGTTCCACAAGAAAGAAACACAAGGACTAGAAACAAAGAAAAAGGCCTGAAATTATTCTCAAATGATAAGATGGTCCAAAAAGAAAACTCAAAACAATCTAGAGACATTGCTGGAAGTATTACAAGTTTAGTAAGGTGACTACGAGAGACCAACAAGAGACAAACAAACAAAACATCTAACAAAGACCTACCAAACACAGATGCAAAAAATTGTAAGACTGTTTTCAAAGACATTAATGACAATCTAAGTGGAGATATTTCACATTCATCTATAATAAAGTACAAAAACATACAATATGATTCTCTCCAGACTGATTTATAAATCTAATGCAATTCTAATCAAAATCCCAACAGGATATTTTAACGAATTTGGGAAGATGATTCTAAAAGTTATATTGATGAGTAAAAGTCCAAGAATACCCAAGACATTCCTGAATAATAAAAGGTAGGAGAATATGCAGTACACTAAATATTAAGACTTACAATTACAATGCTATAATAATTAAAGATAGTGTGGAATGGATGTAAGGACAGGCAACAGACCAGTGTAAAGAACAGAGATGAGAAAGTGATCTCGGCAAACATGACATATGACAATAGTAGCACGGCAGATCCACGGGGGAAAGTAGGGCTATTCCAAAAATAGAGCTGGAAAAACCTTCAGCATATGTGAAAACACCTAAATGTGAAAAGTAAATCTTAAAAATGTTTAGAAGAAATTAGAGGAGACTATTAGGAACTCAAGCAGCAAACTATTTTTTTGAACAAATCATTTTATAAAGTCCTAATCTTTTTAAAAAATCAAGAAGTTGAAATATATTAAAATTGAATGTTTCTATTCATTAAAATTCCATAAAGAAGATAAGCTACAAATTGAGAGAAGATAGTTATTATGGAAAAGACCAAAAGATTAGTTATCCAGAATAAAGAACTCTCAAAATAAATCAATAGGAAAAGCCCTAAAAAAAAAAATGGCCAAACACCAAATAGGCATTTCACAGGGAAAAAAAAGAAAAAAACAAAAATGGAAAATATATAAGATGCTTAACCTTACTAATAGTTGAGAAATGAAAACCTTACTAATAGCTGAGAAATGCAAAATGTCATTTCAAAGACACAATGAAATGCCATTTTACACCCACCAGATTGAAAACAATTAAGAAGCCCAATTATATCAATGTTGGTAAGGGTAGGAAATAGGTATTATTATACACTGCTAATGAGAATGTAAACTCATCCATTTACCTTTGTAACAACTGTGTAACAACAAACTACCTTTGCCATCATCCTGTGAAGCTGAACATCTACACATTTTATGACCCAACACCAAGAAACATGTACAAAAATGTTCATAGCATTGCTGAAATAAGGAAAGAAAGGACAGAAGGTGGGCAATAGAAAGAAAGAGGGACAGAAGGAGGGAAGAAAGAGTGGGAGGGAGAGAGAAAAAGAAAGGAAGAAAGGAACGAACCAACAATCCAGCAACACAAGAATAGACACATAATGGTATATTTCTAAAAAGAAATTATCCTATATAACAGTTACAATGAGAGCTCTAGAGCTATAAGCATCAAAACAAGAATGAATCATAAAAATATAATAAATAGGTGAGCCACAGAAAACTACACACAGTATGATATACTTTTAAGCTCAAAAATAAGCAAGATTATACTATATATTATTTAGGAACATATACATATATAATAAACCTTTTTTAAATCAAAAGGATGACAAATATATAATTCAAGATAGTGGTTAACTGGGAGGGAGGCAAGGGACAGGATACAGAAAGGAGCATCAAGGTAACTTCAAAAATAATGGTAATGTTCTGGTTCTTAAGTTGAGAGGGGTGCTTTATAGGCTTATTTTAAACTATTCTCTGTAATTTATGTATATGCTACATATATTGCAGATATCGAATATTATAAAATGTAAATATTCCCCTAATTTTTAGAGATTAATATCATGAGTTTCAAAGACATAAAAATGTTAAATAGTAAAAATTCAGATACCAATAAAATTTGTATTTCCAAATAATTAAAACAGTAAGAATGTCTTCCTTGATGGTGTTTATCTTTTTAAAAAACCCCTATGATAGGTTGGTTACCTGCATGTGATAAGACAATACCACATTTATATTCTTCCACATTATTTACTTTAAAAGTCAGTATGACTTAAAGACAAACAAATGTTGAAACATATTTTAAGTTTTCCATAATAAATGTTCTCTAGATTAAATAGTGGATAAATGGTTTTTCAAAATGACAGGATATTAATTTCTAAAAATATCCAACTAACTTTTTTAGCTTTGTGAATTAGAAAAGAACACTATTACTAAATCTTTAGAGGAATACCTCAGTAAAGTGAGCTATGGGAACAAGGTTTTAGCACCAGATGTTTAAAATGGCTTAAACAAAATAATTCAATAAAAAGGAGTGAGCTATAAGAATTTACAGTTGAAAAGAAAATGCAATACATTTTCAATCTGTCCTCCACACTTTATTCCACACTTTTTTTTAATAAGTCTCCATATATACATAAGACATTCACATTCACACACGTCACAGAAAGTCCTTACTTTTTCAGTCTAAAATATGCTGACGCTCTGTTCGTTGGCAACACGGGATTATATGGATCGGCATCCATGCCTTTTGTGTAGCAGTCAATTGCTTCATCATATTTTCCTTGTTTGAAGTATTTATTGCCCTGAAAGAAAATTATATAAAATGATCTTTTTTACAAATTCTGAAATTCACTACAGTTGACCCTTGAACGACCCAGGTTTGAAGTGCATGGGTCCACTTAAATGTAGATTTTTTTCAATAGAAGTCTACACCAAGTGTGCCTGCCTCCCCTTCCACCTTTTCCACCTCTTCTGCCTCTGCCACCCGAGAGAGCAAGACCAACTCCTCCCCTTCCCCCTCCTCAGCCTACTCAATATGAAGATGACAAAGATGAAGACTTTAGATCCACTTCTACACAGTGAAATATATTTATATAAATAAATACACATTCTCTTCCTTAAAATGTTCTAATAACATTTTCTTTTCTCTAGCTTACTTTTTTGTAAGAATACAGTATATAATACATATAACGCATAAAATTTGTGCTAATCAACTATTTGTATTATCCATACTGCTTCCGGTCAACAGTAAGCTATTAGTAGTTAAGTTTTTGGGGAGTCAAAAGTTATATGCAGATTTTTTACTGCATGAGGCACTGACCCCACACTGTTCAAGGGTAACTGTACATGGTCACTGTATGGGTACAACCCAAGAGCCCAGGCAGAAAAATGAGTAAAATACCCAGCATTATACTCCTTATTGACAATGCCAACCTACAGAAATGTAACCAAAAAAAAGCATCAAGAGTTTAATCTGAAAAGAGTTCCACCTTTGTGAAAGTAATATAGCTGGTTTTATAATAATGAGGCATCCCTCAGGGAGATACTGAACATTCCAAAAAGTAACCAAAGATAGCCTTTGATACCCGGGAGTGGAATATAATATTTACGCCAAGAATCACACACTAATTTCAAGTTACTTCAATCTACTACTAAAAACACTGGACAACTCCAGGTACAGTCCAAGCATTTTACATAGAATAGTTCACTTACTACCCATAAGAACCCGTTGAGGTTGGTAATATTATCATTTTGCAGATGAGAAAACTGAAGTTCAGAAGTTTAAAGAACTTATCAGAGATTTGAACCCAGGTAATCTGGCTCCAGAGCATGTACTCCTAACCACCATGTTACAATGCCTCCAGAGAGGGATGTAGCCAAAAACAACATAAAGTTTAAACACGTACTAAAACTATGCTCAAGAAACTTTACGATCCACATGATTTTCAACATCTCCTGCTTACATGAAAAAAAACAAAACCTAACTAATTAGTACCTTTTCTTTTAAAACAAGAGCCTTTTGTGAATCTACATGAATCCCATCTTCTTCCGACTCTGATTCTTGAGACAGAGACTCATGGGTACTATCGTCTTTGTCAAGCTCATCAAGGATACGGTCCTAAAATCAAAAGACGGAAAACAGGGGTCATAATTATATGATTAGGAAAAAAAAGAAAAAAAGACATACTAAAAAAATACACTCAAATGAATGTAAATTGTTACAATCTAAGGACCTACAGCCTTACAAAGCAACCCAAATCTCTCATTGTTAAGATTATATCCAGAGAAAAAGATGCCTTAGCTTAGAAAACCAAGATCAAAACCAAAAATCTGACTTTGAACTCATAAAGCTAAGTCAACAGATTGTACAAATCACCCCTAAATCACGAACTATTAGCAGTTAGGTCTTATGGCTTAAAGGAAGTTTGCAAATAGCCCTAAACTAATATAATTAGCACCCAGTAGCAGAAAAAGTTTAAAAAAAAATTTTTTTCTTCCTTATTTTAAAACAAAAAACTGCTATTTTAAAACTGCTATTTTAAAACGAACAAAAAAAAGAGCACATTAACTCCTAATCTTCACAATAACCTATGAGGAAGGTATAATTACCCATGTTTTTCACTTGAGGGAACTGAAATGCAGAAGTTAGTTAACTCATTCAAGGTCACTCAGCTAGTAAGTGACCAAGTCTACTTCCTCCAAGAGCCCTCAATCGATATGTTATACTGTCTCTCGGTGTATTCCAACATATAGCTGCCTCTACTAAAGGAAAAATAAAAAATGTGCTAGTCCCACGATTCTCAATCTCTTTTGACTCACACTACTTTCATGGTAATAAATAATTTCATAGACCTCCACCAGAATTTTCCTCTTATTTTTTATATGATAAAACAATGATTTTTAGTAAGATTTTATTTTTATTTTATTTTTGAGACAGCATCTGGCTCTGTTGCCTAGGCTGGAGTGCAGTAGTGTGATGTCAGCTTACTGCAACCTCCATCTCCCGGGCTCCAGCCATCTTCCCACCTCGCTCTCCCAAGTAACTGGGACTATAGGCATGCACCACCATGCGCAGCTAATTTTTTTATTTTTTGTAGAGACGGGCTTTTGCCATGTTGCCCAGGCTGGTCTGGATCCTAAGCCCAAGCAATCTGCCCGCCTCAGCCTCCCAAAGTGTTGGGATTACAGGCGTAAGCCACCGTGACGACCATTAGAGTTCATTAAAGCACATTTAAATACAAACTTTAATTATTATGTAAACAAAATTCTTTTTGCATTCAAACACTAAAGTTATTTACGTAGGAAAAAAATTGCTTATAAAAATAAAAAAATTATGCATAGTTTCATTAAATGAACATTGAAACATGGACTAAAATTTAGCTATGTGTTTTAGCATGAAGATTCTAGAAATACCACCAGCCTACCAACATTGCTGCCAGGATTATCCAACCCTGCTATGCTGACATGTATAGAAAACTAACAGCAGCAGAACACTAAAGCAGCTGCTCAGATCTGAACTAGAATGAAATGGGAATTAAACAACCATATCTTGTATACAGACACCAAAATGACAACTGCAAGCTATGCAGTACAATCTTGATGGCATTGTCCACATACAGCAGGAGCTCAATCAATATCTGTTGAATGAGTAAATGCCAGTGTAGAAAACATCTCTGTAAGAAATCATCTGAGATGATGCCTTTCAGGAAAGGGCATTATAAGAAGACACCAACTGATGAAAAGGAACAGGCTATATAACAAAAAGTCACACACACAAAAAATGAAGACAGGCTACGTGAACTTGAGAATAAATTCTATTTTCAGAAAGTAGTTCCAACAGTGATAAATTCAAGACTCAAAATTTTACCTCTCTTATATTGGGACAATCCTGAAGCAGATGGCAAACTAAATAAAAGTCCCAGCGCTCTTTTAATTAGCCTTAGTTTTATTAAGAAAAATACCACACAAATAATTTGGAAAACTGTTTGACAGTATTTTCTAAAACTACATGTATTTATAAACTATGACCCAGCAAATCCCCTCTAGGGTGCTTATATCCACCAAAAGACAAATACAAGAATGTTCACAGCAGGTTTATTCATCATAGCCCCAAACCGCCAACAATACAAAAGTATTATCAATAAGAGAATGGACACAAAAATTGAGACATCCACACAATGGAATTCTGGTCAGCAATGAAAAAGAACTGCTGCTACTCACAATATGGATCTCATATAATGACAGCAAAAGAAGCCAAACTTAAATAATGCATACGGTATAATCATTTATATGAAATTCCAAAACTATCTACAGTGTAAGAGGTCAGAACAGTGGCTACTTTTCAGAGGTCATCTACTGAAAGGAAGGCCTCTGCGAGGCTGGAAATGTTCTTTTTTTTTTTTTTTTTTTTGAGACAGAGTCTCCCTCTGTGGCCCAGGCTGCAGTGCAGTGGTGTGATCTTGGCTCACTGCAACCTCCGCCTCCCGGGTTCAAGCCATTCTCGTGCCTCAGCCTCCCAGAATGTTCTGTATCTTGATCCAAACAGTGGTTTCACAGGTGTACACTTGAGTAAAAATTCAGGAAGATGCACACTTAAGATTTTTGGACTTGATGCACATTATACCTCAGTAAAAATGTTAAACAGAAAAATGCAAAGAAAATAATAAACAGAGAAATCAGACAGTGGTTACCTCTGGGAGTAGAGGGGAGAAAAGAACATGGGATTAGAAAGGAGCATACCAGTAGCTTCAATAATATTGGAAAAATTCTCTTTAAGTTAGATGGTAGGCTCATGTATTCATTTTATTACTATGCTTTAGAACATACATCTCTACATATTCTTTGGTATGAATCAAATATTACGTAATAAACACTTGTTTAAAAACTAAAGAGGAATATATATTCCAAATTCATCAGTTGGTTATCACATCCCCCAACATACATACCCCTAACCACATCAACCCTTAAAGTAGATCACAGTGCAGAATAGGGCTGGCCAACAGGTTCTCTTTCACAGGCTGACACGACAGTGGCTGCTTGAAACACTGGTAAAGGGTTGTAAGGCAGAGCACTGATGGTGATTCTCCAAGTATGTTGTGTATCACATGTGGGAGATGGGAGGACACATATCTGCTATCCCAGTCTAGAAGGGTAAAGAAGCCCAACTTCCTAGGATCAAGATAGGCCTATGTTTATCGTCACACAGCCCCAGTCCTAAGACTAGACACAAAGGCATTCTCTTTTAGCACATTTCTACAGGTCCTTCAGTTTATGACAAAGACATCTGCACAGTCATTCTTTTCTGGGAGTATCTTAGAATTCTGACTGTTTAGGGGTTAGAGAAGGTGGCGTAGAGAGGAGCAGTATGACTATAAAGGGATGGCACAAAGGGAATCTTTGTGGTGGTGCCATATATCTGTATCTTAATTGCGGCTGGGTTATCCAAACCTACACATGGGATAAAATAACACAGAACCATACACACACTGTACCAATGTCAATTTCCTAGTTTTGATACTGTATACTACAGCTAAGAAAGATGTAACCACCAGAGGAAACTGGATGAAGAGCACACTGGATAAATAAATAGTAATAAGTAAACAGTAATTTTTGTAAAAAGAAAGAAAAAAGAATAAAATCCTGGCTGTTTTAGCCACCATTTGCTGAAAGAGGATTGCAGAAAAAAAAATTATCTCATTAACTAAAGAGCTATGTCATTAAATGTTTATTCCACATAAAATCATGAATAAGAGAAAAACACAGGCCATAACTCTACATTATTTTTCACTTAACCCATGATTATCAGCTAACTCCCAGAAAATTTTACTCAAATATTAAGAAGCAAATGACTAGATTAACTTACCACATCAAGTTTTGCCCATGCCTCATAATCATAAGATTTTATCCTGTTTTTTGTGTTTTCCTCTCTGGTTTTTTTGGAAGACTCTTTAGCTTTGCCTTTCTTCTTTTTCCTAAAATTCCCATTTCGAATAGGAGGTAAATTCTAAGGAGGGAAAAAAAAACACAAAGTTGTGAGTATTATGCTCTGTTACTCTTTGTATAACTAGCTATGTTTAAAATTCTCACTATATTTTCTTCTAAGAATTTTTTAATTTTAAAGTGTTTAAAAAGACCAATTTACCACCTTCACTTATAACAATTATACTTTAAAAGTTTAATTCATACTTTGATGAGTGTTGAACATTGTTCAATCACAAGAAAAAAGTATTACCTAGAAATTCTAATTATACCTTTAATTTGCAATCCTAAATTCAAACTTCAAAAACGACCTATCTTCAGCCTTAGTACGATGAACCAGCAGTAGTGCAAAGACAAACTGAACTGCCTCCATATTATGTACAGTATGAAAAACCCAGCCATATTTAAATGCAGTCTTAAGAAAAACTTTTGGTTGAACCTAGGTACTATCTGCATTTTTATGCCAATATGGTATGTTAATATATCATTAGTATATAACTACACATATTATTTTTATACACACACACCTCTACATATTTTATGATGCTAGTCATTTATTTACCTCTAAGTATTATCACATGATCATCCCTTCAGTAACTACTCACTAAGCCTTAAAATATGGTAATATATTTAATTATTACAAAGACTTTTTGAAAAGCAGAATTTCTAAAAACACTGACAGTGGGCCGGGCACGGTGGCTCATGCCTGTAATCCCAGCACTTCGGGAGGCCGAGGTGGGTGGATCACTTGAGGTCAACAGATCAAGACCATCCTGGCCAACATGATGAGACCCCGTCTCTACTAAAAAAAAAAAAATACAAAAAGTAGCTGGGCGTGGTGGTGCACGCCTGTAGTCCCAGTTACTCAGGAGGCTAAGGCAGGAGAACTGCTTGAACCCAGGAGGCGGAGGTTGCAGTGAGCCGAGATCGCGCCACTGCACTCCAGCCTGGTGACAGAGCAAGACTCCATCACAAAAAAAAAGAAAAGAAAATTGACAGTGAAGCAAGTCACTTCAATTTCAGTATTTTCACAAAACATTTTTAAAAGTTATGCTTTATTTTTATAAAATTAGTTTTGGTGGATCTTAATTACGAATTCTTAATTTACCTCTTCAGGAACACCATTCTGTCTTCTTAGTTCCATATCCTTTTGTTTAATGTCTTTTTCCCAGTTTTCTAAATCCCGCATAAAGTCTTGTAATTCTTCTGCATTTTGTTTCACTTGTAGTTGTAATTCGATTGCTTTATTTGCTGAAGTCATTATGGTCTGCAGAGTTTTGAACAACCAACCTCTGATAAGAATAGGCCTATTTGGTTTATTTTTCTGAAAGCTAGCTAATTATCTTTTACCACTTCATAAGTGGCCAAGATACATGGACAGAAGACAGCCAACTGATGCTGAATAAAGAAAAATCAATATAATATTTTAAAAATAAATCAGTTGCTGAATAAACAAATGAAAAATAGACAAGTTGAAGCATCCTTGAAAGGCAACATTAAAGAAAGGTAATGGGGAGAAAAATCACTGAAATTATCAGGTAGCCTGTGGTAGCAGACAGGCTGCTCATCTCTGGAGTTGAGCGATTACCTCCTTTATTTCTTTTTCTTCCAACATTTAACTTCTACTATGTGAAAGGCCCTGAATCAAGATTTAGGGATGCAAAAACAAGACAAGGTCCCTTGTGCAGTGGAGAAGAAAAAAATATATAAAGCACTAGTAACAAAATATGTTAAGCAGGGTTTCTCAACCTTGGGACTACTGACATTTTGGGCCAAAAAATTTATTTTAAGAGTGCTGTCCTGTGCATTGTAGGAGGGTTGGCAACATTTCTGTCCTCTACCAACTAGGTGCCAGGATTATCCCTTCCTCTCATGGATTGTGACAACGAAGAATCCCAGACACTGCCAAATGTTCCCTGAGAGGTAAAATAACCCCTGGTTGAGAACCCTGCGTCAGAGGTACATACAGATGCTATGGAACTGACTGCAAAAAATAGGCATGGATCAGATAGTAGGGTGGTGGTGTCACGGAAGGAGTCCCCAGAGGTGTTGGAACTTTAGCTGGATTTCAAAGGGGCCCGCCAAGTGACTAACAGGGAGGAGTGGGCAGGCAGAGTGAGGAATTATGAGGGAGAATGAAGGAAAAGAAAATTAAAGAGGTGGACATGGGACAGACTTGAAATGGCAGGCCATGAGGTCTAACCTATATTCTGAAAGTTATGTGAAAATATCAAGGTAGTAAAATAAAAAGAACTTGATGACTGACTAGACTGAGGTGTTGGAGAACAGAGAAAGACTCAAACAGTGGCCTAGATTTCTGGCTTGGGACCCCGGTAAGATTACTGATGCCATTTTGAGTCAAGAAATACAATGTTAAAAGGAAAAGAGGCATCAAAGTTGGAGGGCAAACGGAAAGTCAGATTATTTGTTTGGGATATGCTGAATTTGAGTGCTAATGGGGCGAAGAGATACCCCATAGGTAGCTATGTAGGAATAGAGATAAATTCCGGTGTCACTAGCAGAAAGGTAGAAGCTAGAATCAAGGATGTGGCCATGTTTAACCATTGTGACAACTGGGGAATGGGGTGAACCTGGAGAACACTAAACGGAGAAAGAGATGCCAAGGAAGAAAAAAGTAGGCAGTAGCACCTAGACAGTTGGGAGAAAAACCTAGAGTGTACTGTTACAGATGACAAAAAATGAGTTGAAGAAAGTGAGAGGTTAGCAGTGCCAAATGCCACAGAGGGAAAGAAAGTGCATTATATTTAGTCATAAAAAGACTATTCAGAGTTTTTGTTTTTTTTCTTGAGACAGAGTCTTGCTCTGTCGCCCAGGCTGGAGTGCAGTGGCGCAAACTCAGCTCACTGCAACCTCCACCTCCTAGGTTCAAGTGATTCTCCTGCCTCAGCCTCCCGAGCAGCTGGGATTACAGGTGCAGGCCACCACGCCCGGCTAATTTTTGTATTTTTTTTTTTTTTAGTAGAGACGGGGTTTCACCACGTTGGCCAGGCTGGTCTCGAACTCCTGACCTCAAGTGATCCGCCCACCTCGGCCTCCCAAAGTGCTGGGATTATAGGCATGAGCCACCGCGCCTGACCTCTATTTAGAGTTTCAATAAGATTTTTTTTAAAGGGTGGAAGGCCAACCGCAGGTGGCTCATGCCTGTAATCCCGGCACTTTGGGAGGCAGAGGTTGGGGGGCAGGGGGAATAGCTTGGGCTCAGGAGTTCCTAGATCAGCCTGGGCAACACTTCGAGATCCCCATCTCTACTAAAAACACAAAAATTAGCCAGGCGTGGTGGAGGGTGCCTATAGTTCCAGCTACTCAGGAGGCTGAGGTGGGAGGATCGGGAGATCGAGGCCACAGTGGGCGGTGACGGGCCCACTACACTCCAGCCTGGGACCAAAAAAAAAGGAGGGGGGGGAATGAAATGAGTTACGTAAATGAGATTATATGGAGATTACAGTACATTTGCCTTTGATAATATAAGACTTGTTCTTGAGCATAGTCTGGGGAAAAAGCAACAAAGTAAAAGATACAGGAAAAAGGATGAGTGATGGGGCAAAATCTCCAAAAAGGTAGGAGAAGAGTCAAAGCTTTAGGCGGAGGGAAGAGAAGTAAGGTGGGAGGGAGAGAGACGGAATTAGAAAAACATTTGTTTAGGACAGTGAAAAATACCTCACTAAGAAGGGACAGTTGCAGATGCAGATAGGTCTTCTGACTCGTAGCCTCAACAACTAAATTAGGTTTAAGCTTCTTTCAGGCAGTGTCCATGTTTGACCATATATGCACAACTCATTCAAAAACAAAACTAGTACAACGCTTTGTTGGGAACTCAAATAAATGAATAAAAGCGCAACAAGTCAGTGAGATGCTGACGGGGGTTAGATGCTTTTCCATTTCACCCATCACCGCTGCTGCTCGAGCAGGCCCAAAAACTCTCCCAGGGACCCTGCGATGGGGCGGGGGTGCGAGCCAGCAATCAAAAACTTCCAGCGCTGGGGGTATCACTTTCACACCCGCTGTCCCGGCGAACACCGCACACCCACGCCGCAAGGGGGCGGGCCCCACCTCGGTCTTTGCGGGAGGGCGGCTCTGCCTTCCCGAGCACTGCAAAATCGCAGCAGGGTGGAGGGTCCGCCTGCAAAGCAGAGCGCGCAGGCCCGGGTTGCGGGGGCGAGCCCCTCCGGGAACGCGCGACCCGAGACGCCGCTGCCCTGGACACCGACGCGCCGCCTCAACGCGCGCCTCCACCGCCAGCCCCGGCCCGCCCCGCCTCACCGGTACCCATAACCGCTACCCCTCCTCCCACCGGCCACCCCAAGGATCTCCTACGCTGCTCCGGGCAGCGAGAACCGCAACGCCCGCTCACCTGACCAGGCCGTAACCCGCCGCACTGCCACCCCGTCAGCCCCGCAGCGACTCACGCCGAGCCCGGCAGTGACTCACGCAAAGCCCCGCCTCCTGCGCTTCCCCACAAGCCCCCGCGGCCTCGCCCCGCCCCCTTTAGCCTGGGCTTGAGCGCGCGCAGAAGTCAGCTTCGTGACTTCCTTCTCAGGATGGAACCAGCTTGGTGGCTTGAGGGTATGTAAAAGCAATATCTGAGCCTTCTGCCTGCTTCCAATATGACTAAGCTTAAAAGGAGATAACCCAAAAACTGCAGGATCATCCTGATTTTCTGATCTCCAAAACAATAAAACCTTGAATATTTCCCTGGACTCCCTTAAACAGTTTAATCCCTAATATTTACCTTGCTAATCTCTGACCTTTGTGACATTAATTTGTCTGACCTTTGTGAGTATAATAACCATGTGAGAAAGTTACTGTTTTTCCACCATGAACAGACTACTGTCAACCGGTAATCCTGGTAATTTTAGGGGATTTTTTTTTCCCTTTAAGTACTGGTTGGCAAACTAGTCCTTCCGTCTAACTCCTCGCATCTTTTGCAAGTAAACCCCTTTTCTAAGTGAATCTATCTCTGAGTCTTTCTTTGACATGTGCCAGTGTTACAATCTGTCTTTAGATATGCTCTGGCTTACAGAGAAAAAAGAACGAAACTTTTAACACTTTTTGCTTCTGCTTCCCGTGTGAGGGAGTCTTCGTTGCAATGACAACTCTTAAACGAAAGCAAAACAAAAATAATTGCAGAAGTCCACAGAAGCAAACACAAACAAATGAAACTTTCCATTTAAAACAGGACTGTAACCTCAAATATCCTCAAAATCCAGATCGGTGGTTCTCAGTCTTGACTGAGCTTTGGAATCACTTAGGGAGTATATACATATACACGTGTGTGTGTGTGTGTGTTTGTGTCTGTGTGTGTGTGTGTGTGTGTGTGTGTGTGTGTGTGTGTGTGTATACTGATTTCTGTGTCCTATCCCAGAGATTCTGATGTAACTAGTCTTGAGTGAAGCCAATCAGAATTTTTTAAAGCATAGGATACGGCTGTGCATTTGAAGCTGGAAGCCACTAACCCAGGCGCTGATCAATGAAGAACTAGGCTGGAGTGCTGTCTTACAAGGTCATATCATTAGCACATCCTTCCCATTGCTTAATTATTGGTATCTTTATATTTTAAAATCATAGTAGTCAAATCATTAAGTGTACGTCAAAATATTTACTAATGAAATGATTCTTTGGTTGTATTAGGGAGATAGAGAACTGACTTTTAATAATTTTTTTATTAAGTATTTAAAAGCAAATATTGATTTACTGGTGTTTTTAACAAAAGCAACCACATTTGTTTTATTAATTCTGACAGAGTTGATTGAGAAGAGAGATAAGGGGGCTAGCTGGCTGCTCTAGTAAAACCTCATAGACCCTTAGGTGACCCTGCTTTTCTCTCTCTTTTTCTCTCTCAAACCATACAATAATCAGAAGTAGCTTAGTGAATATAGAGTCAAAGTGAGAAAAGTTAATCAAATGGTTTTGATGGTCATCATCACCTAATTCTGAGGCTCCTGCTGTCCCACAAAACCTGTGCCTGCAATGGCAGCCTTCTCTCCTGTGAGCTCAGACCTAGGCCACCTTAAGTTCTTTCCTAGATTCCTTGCAGACCTCCCCACTTCTATTGGCAGTTATCTTTAAATGGATTTCAACAAAATGTGTAAATAATGCCTTTCTTTTAAGTCTCTTTTATTCATTTACTCCAGTCATCTCAATTGAACTTATCATTAATACCTGAAGAGTTATTTTCAAAGAGACAAACCTCTTTATGTGTTTTATGTGTTGCAGTTGTAATGGTCAGTGGAAATAAACAGGAGTGTTTATTATTGCAACAATAAAATGCTGCAATTAATGATTGTAAATGCTATTAATTTTAATATCCAAAACAATTATTGGGCTCTTTCAAATAGTTAAAGAGTCTGACAGTTAATGTAAATCTTAAGAAAGGAAGTATTAGCTAAGTAACTTTAGGAAGAAAATGAACCTTGGGACTTCCTGTTATGGAGATACTATGTTAAGTTTGGTTGCATGTGACAGAAAGCCCAAAATAAGAGTGGCTTAAACATGAAAGATTATTTTTCTTTCATGTAAAACTGAATATAAGCAATCCAGGATTAGTGTGACAGTTTCGGTGTGAGACCCAGGCTCCTTCCTGGCTGCTCTGTGATCTTCAGCATATGGCTTTCATTCATGGTTCAAGCTGGCTGCTCAAGCTCCCACGATCTTGTCTGAAATCCAGTCGGCAGAAAAGGGCAAGAGTGGGAATAACGGTACCCCCTGCCCATTAAGAATACTTCCTTTTGCATGCCATTGGTGAGGACATAGACACACGCCTACTTCTGGTTGCAAGGGAGGTCAAGAGTCTGTACTCTTGACAGTCATTTGTGTACCTAAAAACTGAGACTTCAGTGAATAAGGAAGAAGAGGAGAGCAGATACTGAGGGGTAACCAGCAGCCTCTGTCAGGGGTCTTAATAAATATTCTTTAAAAAATAATGAATGAATAAGTGAGTAGATACTACTAGAAATCCAGGCTCACTACAACATGAGGAAAAGGGTTGAATTTTGCAATCCTGATTCTGCTACTGACTAAGAATGTGGCTTAATCTGATCCTCAGTTGTCTAGGTAAAATTAAAGTGGTGAAGATAAAAATACCCACCAGAGTGAGAAAATGAATATAAAAGGACTACTTAGCACAGCTTGGGACATGGTAACAGCTTAACAAATGTTAGTTCTTACCTTTCTCTCCTGCAAAGCTAAGGCCCAGACCCTGGAATACAGTACTCTCTCCTGCATTTCTGTCTTTCTGTCTCCTACTGGACTACCTGGAAGACCTCTGAAGAGGCCTATGAAGAGCACAAGTACTGGGCACCAGTAGGTGAAGGTTAAGGCTGATAGCAGGGATAGTAAATTGCCTCTCCCAGTATAAAATTAAATCTGTATAATAAGTGAGACAATAATTACTATAAGAAAGACTAGCATGTTATTTCACATTCCTTATCTCACAACAATGGTAATATTATCCCCATTTGACTGGTGAGGAAACAATCTGAATAATTAAGAAATTTGCTCATATGGCCAGTAAGCAACAGAGCCTGGCTAGGTACCTGGGCAACATGACTTCAGAGCCTGTACCTGTTACCCCTGTGCTCTACTGACTCACTGTCTTGCCTATTGACTGTGAACATCTCTGGGAAAGGGCAGGACAAGGCCCTGTTTCATCTATCTGCAGGCTATAAACTTGCCCGAGGTATCTCTTCATACCTGACCGTTTTCTAGCATTGTGGCTTGAGTAATCTGTTTACAGATAAGAAGTCTTTTTCTGTATCTCTTTAGCATCTCCTCTTCCCCCAGTGTGGTCAACCTCTGCAACCACAGAAGCTACATCCAGAAATGTCCTTATACTCCTGTGTATTTGATAAAGGGGACTGGTTATTGGGGATGGGGACCACCAATCTCCATTTACCACCCCCCCACCGGCCGCCTCACTATCTGTATGCAATGATCCTTCCACTCTTCATATTACAGAATTCTCTTCCCCTCTTGGCTAGAGAGACTTAGTGAGTCAACAGAGACTTCACCCAGATACCACATTCTTCAAGCCATTCTGAAAAGACTCTAGAGCAAAAGTATCACTGCCAGCCCTGCTCTAGGGAAAAGGCAGGGAGACAGACATTGGAGGGAGGCCATATACAAAGAAGACACTCATTTCAAGTTTTCTTCAATGACTTTAATTGGAAACTTGAACCTTCTAAACCATAGTTCACACCCGGCTCTGTGGTACAGCATTTAGTTCTCAGTGGGGTTGGGGGACAAATGCATAATTGAGGTTAAAATAGGGAACTACAGTCTCTCTGGTCTCGTAGAGTTATTCAAATTATGGCTGCTGGATAAGGCTTAAAATAATTATGTTAATGACACCAAGCTATGGGTTCCTTCTTCTTCTGATGCTGAATCATCCTCCTATGAGGAGAACTCTTTCAAAAAAAAATTGGGGATCAAAATACAAGTCTGTGGCTGCACTAAACATCCACAAGTGGGAAACTTCTTGTTGCAGATACTGAGCTGGACACAAAAACACTCAGGCCTGGAGAAGGCCACCCCACCCCCAGCCCATTCACTGCACCAACCTATTACCCTTCTCCATTCAGCATTGGAGTTCTCCCAGACTCTGTTCTGAGAGGATCTAACTCTGGAAAAAACCAAAGGCCCTTGCTTGATTACTGTGGCCTTACTTCTTTGAGGACCCCAACACAGGGCTGAGTGGTAGTTTACAGAGCTGTGTATAATAACAGCCATTATAGTAATCTTGAATTTCTATCAGCTGTTCTTCCTAAGAACAACTGAAAACACCTTCACAGTAAAAATATCAGGGTTTGCCCTCTCACCAACCCCAAAAAGAGGAAAGTGGGCAAACCCCTTCCCTTTACATTAAAGGGAAGCATGAGGCCTGGTGAGGTCAAAGGACTTCTTCCTAGTTCCCCCACACATCAGGGCAGAGAGCTATGGAGGGTTCCTACCTTCTCTGCTTGGACTCTGTTTCTTAGTCAACATTGCCAAAATTCTAGAGGATAAAGGTTTGACTGTTTATCCACATTTTTCTAATTTGTACATTTTATCTCTTTCCCATGTGGGCACTTTGGGATTTAGGAATGCTTCTCATTGCTTTGAGATTTGGTGATCCCTTCCAGTCCTCTCCCTCTTCTCTCTAGTCCAGAGAAGATAGCACTTCAGTCTCGCAAGAGCCCTCATGCCCCTTTCTGGCTCGAAGTTCTATTAGGTGGAAGACACTATGTAGGCTGTGGCGATGTACTTCTTGCCATTCCCATAGGTGGACTTGTCCCAGGTATATGTCCGGACAGCTAAGGGATATCCTCCCAGGCTTAACTGGCACCTGTGGGGAAAGAGCCTGAAATCAGAGGAGCTCCCCACTTCACGCTGCCTCTCCCTGGGCTGGAAGGATCAAGCCCAACTGAAGCAGAAGGGCTCCATTCTGCTTAAACAGCCTTAAAGACAGAGCTGGCACTGCTTTCTTCAGCAGCTGCCTCCAGCTCCCCATGTGCAAGGAGCCATTTCAAAATCTTTGCCTTATTTCTTGTCTTCTTAAAGAATGCTGTTCCTCATCTTTCCCAGAGCAATATTCCAAAATCCCAGATTCTGGAGGTGAAATCCTTAGAAATTAAACATTTGCTTAGGGTTTCAGAAGTGGAAGAACTCAACGTGTCCGAATGTTAGAGAACTTGAAGCCCAGTGGTTCCTAATGGTACTTTCTGGAGCTCTAGGTTCCCCTAAGTAGCCTCAGGGGACAAATAAAGAGGCTGAGAGCTCTAGGACAACTCCATTTCTATTTCATATATTAAGGTCCTGCGTAAGATTTCACTTTGGGGGAATGAGGGGAGATAATTTTGCTGCTAAGATGAAGTTTGGCAGCCACCAAACCAATCCAAAAACTTAATTGTTCAAGCAAGAGAACTGAGGCCCAAAGCACAGATTTGTCCAAGCCCTCTCAGCCTCTTTGTGGCAGAGTCCAGGTCTCTTGACTCTGTGATGGCTGAGGACAGCCTGCAGCCCCAGTCTGCCCCCAGGCCTGGCTGGCCCCATTCTTACACTTTGCCTGGCCTGGCGATGAAGCACAGGGAGTAGAGTGCAAACTCAAACTCAGGGCTGCTGCCGATGAAAGCAGAGCCCACTTCCTTATAGTAGCCGTCCCAGTTGAACTGCATTGCCAGCACATCGGGGTAAGAATCCCACTGTGGAGGGAAGGGCAGAAAAGGGGGTCTGGTGAGTGCCACAGAGTGGAGTAGAACGGGTGCCCAATGGCAACAGTCAGACAGTATTTGTTGAGGGTCCATTAGGGGCCTGTGTGAACCTTCCAGGGAGACTGGATTCTTTAAATAGAAGAGGCAGTCTGCCTTGCTAAGGTGTCTGAGCCCACCCGGACCCTCTGCCTGGAGCTGCCAGTGCACATCTACCAGAAAGGCCAAAATCACTATCCATAGGATCCACCTCTGGATATCAAGGATATCACTGTTCCCAGTGGCCCTCACACATGGAAGAGAAGGATCGTTTACTGCCCCCAAATTATTTCCTGGTACCGGGCAGCAAAGGTTTCTGTCTTATAAAGTGTATGAAGTTTAGCTCAAACTAGCCAGGCTGAAACTTTCAGCCACGTTCTAAGGAAACTGAGGCAGGGAGTAATTACATATCTTTGTTCTTCCCTCTGAGAATCCTCCCCAGGCCCCAGGCTCCCACCCCGATATGGTGCCTCCTGCCTCCTGTCCCCTGCAGTTCTAGAGCCTTCACTGTTTGGAAGGGAATTCCAGTGTCCTGGCTGGCTAAAGTGGCTGTCTAGCAGGTGAGGACGTGATAGTCACAATCACCTGGGGCTGCCCCCTGAGAGTCAGGCTGAGAGGCAAGTCGACAGTTTGGAACACAGAGTGAGAGCAGGATATCTGGGCTCTGACAAGGCTTTTCTAGTCCGTGTACTCACAGGCCCATCGTAGATGTGACTGTAATAGTCAACCAGACCCTCCTTCTCCTCCAGGTAGAAGCGGATCCAGTTATGGAAGCCAGTAACCTTGCCTTTTTTTACCTCACCTATAATAAAGAGTCCAAGATGGATAATCTGGGCTCCTTCCCCACCCTCCCCTCCAATCCCCTTTCTCCACCCCATGCCAAGGCTTCCCCCTTCTCCAGTCTCTGACTTCTAGCTGCTTGACCCCTTGCTGTGAGTCCCCAGAGTCTCTCACAGTCCTATCTCTCACCTCAGGAAGGCCCCCCTTCTGGCTCAAGCCCTTGGGAGAATCCTTCCTTCTGGTGATCCTGATGACCTCTCTCAGCCATTACTCCAGCAGCAAGCCAGGCTTGGTGGGAGTTTTATGGGGTAGAATAGGGGGGAACAGACCATGGCCCTCTTGGGAAGCAGCTGGCCAGGCCCTGGAAGCAAAGGACTGTTCAGAGGTAGGCAAACTTGCTCCCAGACACATGTCTTGTCCTAGATGTACCCCCTTGGGAGCCCCAGCATCTGGTCTTCTTTCCCCCTTAGGTACTCCAGAAAAGACTGTTTCTCAGAATGGCTCCTCAGACACCCCCCCGCCCCCCTGCCATATGGGCAGGGGAGAGTGCGTGGGTCCCTCCCTACTAGCTGGCTGGACTGCTGATTAATCCACACCCAGGGCTGCCCTGCTCCTGAGCAAAGCCATTCCTCTTCATCCCTCCAACTCTTTCTTTCCAAGAAAAGTGCTCCCACCTGAGAAGACATGTTCAAAGCCACTCGAGTCCCCCTCTTCATTGCCTCTTGAATAGAGCCCAAACCACATGTTCTTCAAGTCATCGACAAACTCTTGCTCTGAGCCATAGCGATCTGCAGAGGAACACAAAGGGTTTTGGAGAGGGGAGGCAGGGCCAGGTCCTGGGAGCGCTAAACAGAGACCTGAAGAGCTACTTGCTCCCACACGTCAAGAAACATGTGGGTTCAATCAACAAATGTGTTCGGCTGTTAATTCAATGATTATCTATGGGATGCCTATTTTGTGCCAAATCCAGATCTAAAGGCTGAGGATTCAGCTGGGAATAGCAAGGACACGGTCTCTATCTATATTACATTCCACTGGAGGAGTCAAATAATAAGTAAACAATAAGAAATATGATTTCAGATCAGTGCTATGAAGCAAAGTAGCCCGTAATGACGGGAAAGGGCTGGCACATAAGTTGGCGGGGGGGGGGGGTCTTCTAGAAAGGAACATCAGAAAGGCCTCTGTGAAAAGGTAGCACTGATCAGAGAGCTGAAGGATAAGGAACTTGCTACACAAAGATCTGTGGGGAAGATTCCTCCATGTAGAGGGAACTGCAAGAGCAAAGGCTCCAGGCAGACTTGAGTTTGCTACTCAAAGAACTAAAAGAAGTCAGTGAGGCTGGAGCAGGAGGGGAGAGTGGTAGGAGAGGAGGTTTGAGAAGCAGCCAAGGGTCAGATCCTTCAAGCCATGGCAAGAAGGTCAGGTCTCAGGCAAATAGAAATAAAACAAAAAATGTTTTAGATTTACTAATTGCTTTCTGTCCACCTAGTGCCTGCCATTTTAAGTGCTTTCAATGTAACACTGAATCCTCACGTTGAATCTTCATATAAGCTTGGTACTAATTATCCCCAACTTAGAAATGAAGAAACTGAGACGGACAAAGTATAAAACTCATGCAAGATCACAGTTAATGAAAGGTAGAGACAGCACTTGAGTCCACTCAGTCTAGCTCCAGAGACCAATCTCTTTAACAACTCTATAGCTTCTTGGTAGTGCAGAGCCACTGAAGGATTTTAAGCAGGGGAATTGTATGATAGGACCTTTTAAAAGATCACCCTGGCTGTGTATGTTAAAAAGGCAATGGGGTGGTATGAGTGGAAGCAGAGAGACCAGTCTTGAGGCTCATGCTTTGTCTACGTAAGAAGTTGATGGGGCTTAGATGGTGGTGTTAACTCCGGAGGAGGAGAGAGAAGCAGTAGGCCCAGGACATATTTTGAAGTGGGAGTGATGGACATTACATTACTGATGGAGGAGATGGGAGTAGGGAACTTTGAGGTAAAGAGAACAATTACATCTAACTACTAGGCTTTTGGCCTGAGCAACCGGATGGGTTATGCCCGCCATTTATGAAATGGGGAAGACCCAGAGAGGAGCAGGTATTTTTGATGGGAACCAAAAATTATTTCTACACTAGGTTCTGTGTGAATATCAGTTAGATAGCTAAGTGGAAGATGTTGAGAAGGCCCTTGGGAAAGTTCAGGGCTGGAGATTTCAATGAGGGAACCATCAAAGATTGACTGTTTACTGCCCACAATTTTATATGGTGAATACAAAAGAGATACCAGACATATTCCTTCCTTTCCAGGACTTAAAACACATTTGGAAAACAAGACTACATAAAATAACAGAGAATGGTTTCACACACTGAATAGTTCCCCTTACTGAGCAAGGACTGAGTGCCAGGCTTTCTACTGGGTGCTTTATAAGCAGTCATCCTCAAAAACCCCATTTCAAAGGGAAGTCCCAGAGAGGTCAAATAAATTGCCCAGGGTCAAGTCACTAGCAAGTGGCAGAGCCAAGATTTAAACCAAGTCTCTCTGGCCCAAGGCTATTGTGGACCACACTCCAAACTCTGCAGAGGTGCCGAAAGCCAGAGTGAGCTGGGGCAGGTGCAGCCTTCACAAATGCGGTGGGATATGAATTATCATAGAACTTTAAGGATAAGTGGGATTTGGACAAGGAGAGAGGTGAGGAGAGAGTTAGTAACGGGACAGCCTGGCCTTGGCATCGGAACCCTGAGTTCCAGCCCCAGCTCCGCTTCCAACTCATTTGTGGCCTCAGATAAGTCTAGCCTGTCTGGCCTCCGTTTCTCTCATTTGAAAAGCCCTTGCTCAGTCTAGACCTCCAAGATTCTCTTGTGTATTTACTACGAAGAGAACGCCAGGGGGCAGCACAGGATTGCAACTTCTTCATAGAGTCACTCTTGTGTCGCTGTCACTTTACCTAAAAACAGTGTCACCAACTCTTAAGGGAGGCAGCAGCTCTGAGCCAAGGCACTCTCAGGGACAACGAGGGAAGACCCGGACAGAGCCACCCCTGAGACAAAGCCCAGCTGCCTGGAGTTGGGAAAGGAATCTGCAGGACAGTAACAAACACAACTCCATGCCAAGAAGTCCTGCGGCCAAAATCTTTTTTGGTCTGACTCAAATGTGTCTCTACCTGGAGGCTTTCCAACCACAACTCTTCCCGATAGGACTTCCCGCTCTGAACCTTTGTTGATTCTCTGATGTTGTTTCCCCAGCCAAAAGGTGGACTCAGCCAACCCGATTCCTGGACTTTATTGCGGGAGGAGGGAGTAGAGTCAGCGACTCTACCTGTCTGAAACATGGTGCTGACTCCAGGATCGCGGAGGTGGCTGAGACGTGCTCTGGGTGGGGGTGGGATGTGAGGGGAGGCTCACACCTGGCAGAGAACCCTGAGACTGTAGCAGAGGGTGGGCGTGCATGAGGCAGTTAACATGAAGTCAAAGGTGGGGTGATATCCAAGCCAGCCAGCCAGAGGATGTGCCAGCTCCTGGTTGGGTTCCTAACCTCTCCTTGGCTTCCCCCTGGCCTCATCCCTCATCCCTCCCAGATGTACACTGACCTCCACAGAGTCCCCACCGCCTCCTCACCTGCCCTCCTAACCTTCCCCTCCCCCGCCCACCTGGCTTCGCTCAGACAGACTCATGCGCTCTGGGGCCTGGGGGTGCTCACTCACTCTGGTGATGGAGGAAGCTGTAGAGCTCCTTCATGACTGCTGTCTTCATGATCTCTCTGAGGAAGGCGTCCTGCTCGGCCAGCTCCTGGGCACTGAAGTGCTCCCCATGGCCTGTTGCCCGCTGGTAGTTGTTGAGGAGGTTGATGAAGGCTGCATAGGTGGGCTTGGAGAACAGCTTCTCATTGACATAAGTGAAGAGTCTGGGGGAGGCAGAGGGGAGCCCCACTGAGAGCCCCAAACACAGGGCAGCGACCCCTCCAGAGACTTCTAGACAGGCCAGGGGCAGACAGGCGAGGGCTGGGTTCAGGAGCCGAGGGGGCACTTCGGGTACTCTTGAAAGTCACACATCAGGTCACTTTTCTTCCACCTCATGTTTTGGAAGAGCTGTTCTATCCTCAGCCTGGCCAATCACAGAAACCCTCCCAACTGGATATCCACAGTCCCTCAAGATGGCTTTGTCTCTGGAGAACTATTTTTTTTCTGCTCTCCCTTTGATCGTGCCTGACTTGAGGATAAAAAGTCGAGACATCGAAAGAAGCAAGGATAGGGGCAAGATTTAGGGGGTAGAAAGAGGAATTGTGGGAACTCACGGCTTTGGGCAGCGATCCACTTGGTTTCTGGTCTCTGACGGGGAGATGCAGTTTTGGCTATTGAGAACGATGTCTTCCTTCTGGGCTTTGTTGGTGTCTGCCCTGTAGATCTTCTCAGAGATGCTCTGAATCTCCTCTTTTGTTATGGCATCACTGCTGTGGGAGACCTCTGGGAGGAATTGGAAGAGGGGTGGCCTCAGAGCCAGAGGGAAAGGGGGGCGGGCAGGAAATTATCTGTGTACCTCCCCTCCTGGGCACCTTCAAGAAGCCAGCAAGGAGGGAGGGGGGCCACAGTTGGACACCCTAGTGGTGGACAGGGGCCCAGAGCCTAAAGGACGTGTAAAATCACCACACGGCATTGCCCACAGAATGTCCCCCGCCCCTTCCCCCTAGAAGGGGTCTCACGCTTGAGCATGCATCAGAACCACCTGGAGGCCCTGGTAGTACAGGACAGTGAGTCCCATCCCTAGAGTTTCTAATTAAGTAGGCCCGGAGTGAAGCCCCAGAGTTTGTGTTTCTAACAAGTTCTCAGACATTGCTGAAGCTGCTGGTCCAGGGACCACATGTTGAGAACCTGCTCTAAAGTCCTTCTGTCTCTGCAGCTTAGCTAAGGGAGCAGAAGACTAACCGTGGTCACTACACAGGCTCTCAAAATCCTTGCAGCAGTTCCCAAACTCTTGGCAGCGGGCATTGCAGTGACATTGGTGGTGCTTGTCAAAGGCTTCGTAGCAGCGGCCCTGGCAGGAGGTGGGTGCCGAGTACAAGTCTGAGAAGAGAGGGGTGGTGTGTCCCGGGCTGACCTCTAGAGGTCGCTCTGAACGCCCCACAGGCTGTCGCTCCCTAGCCTGGCTGTCTTCACTCTGCCCAGTAAAGATCTCCAGGGAAGGAAAACAAACAAACCTAATTCGTGCACACCCTTCACAGTCAGGAAGTCCTTTCTGATGCCGAACTTTACTTTCTGGCCTGCTGTTTTTCTAATCTTCTCATTCTAAAAATAAAATCTCTTCCACTTCCCTCTCCAGGCCTCAGGCTCTCTTTCCTAGCTACCCTCCTCCCATGGCCCCCCAGGCTGGCTGAGCCCCCCCAGGCTTCTTCCTGCCCAGGTTCCCAGAATCCAACAAGCCTCTCTCATCTGGCTGAGGCCTGGGCCTGGTGCCACTGCCATGGCCGCCCCTGCTTGTCACCCTCATGTCCCTCCTGCTTTATCTTGAGGGCCCCCCTTTGGGGAGGCAGGCTCACT
This sequence comes from Homo sapiens, assembly GCF_000001405.40. Lineage (NCBI taxonomy): Eukaryota > Metazoa > Chordata > Mammalia > Primates > Hominidae > Homo > Homo sapiens. Next base: position 47,718,130 of record NC_000012.12, read on the forward strand.
GCTGGCGAGGGCCTCTTCTGTCTCTTCCTCCAGCTGTGGCAATGGCTCTGACTCTTTGTGGTCCTCTGCAGGTAGATAGAAAAATAAAGTCACCAACAACCTGAGAATTCCCCTGCTGCTTGGTTTCTGGTTCTCTGTTTCCCCAGCCTCAGGGGACAAGCAAGGGCACTGGAAGCAAATTCTGAACAGGGGCTGGGGTCCAATGGACAGGCACCAAATAATGATGATGAAAACAGAAAATGGAAGATGTTTCCAATGGAAGACACATTATAGAAAACTTATAAAAAAGGAAAATAATTTCCCCAGGTGACACATCTGGATTGAAAACTCTGACTTCGGTGATGAAAACTCTGATTTAACAAAAGTTGACAGATGGATAGAGGCTTGATGCTGTCCTAATGACAAAGCCCTCACTTAGGAACATCCTGTACCTAGAAAAACTTCTCGTCAGAGCTCAGGGTAAACTCTCAGGGCCTCAAGGAATAAGAGCTGTTTCCTGAGATTCCAACTTCCCTTCTTTCTTTGCCCCACTTGGAAATGGCCACAAAGACTGTGTCTAGGGAAAAGGCATGTTCAGAAAAGCACATTCCTATTGCTGCCCCTTTCCCTTCACCTGCAAGCTGAGTGACTGTAGCTCAGCTCTGGGTGGAGAAGGGTGGATTTGAGGTTGGGGGTGATGCAGGGGGGAGAAATGTTCCTGGGGACTCTGAGTTCCTCTCTCATCACACAGTGGAATAATCCCCCCACCAGCACCCCCTCCACACACCCAACAAACAGTACTGTTACAAAGTGATTCAGAATCTACTAGTGAGTTTGCTGGAAAGTTATTACCATCAGAACTACCAGTTAGGTTATTCTTCAGTCAACAAACATCTTCTGATCACTTACTATGTGTCAGGTTGTGTTCTAAGTGCTGGCAATCCATGGAGTTCTGAATTCAGCCACATTTTATGCTAAACAGAATTTTGTGTGCTGAGCTGGAATCCTAACCATCATTTCCAATATGTTTTTCTATAGGAAAGGGGTTCTGAGTTGCAAATCAGAAACTTGAAGATGAAATGGCTACTACGCTGGGTATTGCCTTTATCTTGAATGCCAGCCTGATGGTCCAAGGTGAACAAGCCTTCCTGTGTTTTCTGAATGGTAAGAAAAAGTGGGGACACAAGGACAGCAGAAAAGGCATAGGCTCTGATTCCGGCTGATCTCGGCCTGGGTCTCCCTGCCTGGGGAAGGAGGTGTATGTGTGTGTGCTAATATATATGTGGTGCTAATGTATAATACATATGCTTATATGGTGATATGGTTTGGCTGTGTCCCCCCTCAAATCTCATCTTGAATGGTAGCTCACATAATTCCCATGTGTCACGGGAGGGACCTGGTGAGAGGTAACTGAATCATGGGGACGGGTTTTTCCTGTGCTGGTTCTCGTGATAGTGAATAAGTCTCACGATATCTTATGGTTTTATAAAGTGCAGTTCCCCCGCACTTTGCCTGCCACCATGTAAGATGTGTCTTTGCGCCTCCTTTGCCTTCCACCATGATTGTGCGGCCTCCCCAGCCATGTGGAACGGTGAGTCTATTAAACCTCTTTTTCTTTACAAATTACCCAGTCTCGGGTATTTCTTCATAGCAGTATGAAAATGGACTAATACATATGGTGTTTTTGTATAAATTGAAAAAAAGCTTCCATACGAGTGGAAGCAGCTCTGTGGGTGCTTGACTGGCTACCACCTTTGGGCAAATTCAGAAAACACACTTGTTTCTCTCAGCAGACACAACTCTTCACCAGTGCACAAAACCTGATGAGAAGGATACAGACTGGATTTTGGTCCAGCTTGCTGCTTAACTAGGTTCCCTTGCACAACGCACAACCTGTGCAATGATTATGCAGTGAAATTGATGGCCATTACCTAACGTGGCTTCAGTGACCATGTTTTCAAAACTGGGAGTCAGAGTGCATGGCTTGACATCAAGGCTTTGTGTCACAAAGCAGAAGATCATTAATCTGGGAGTTGACAACATTGGAAGCACCTAAACAAGTTGATTATTCATACAAGATTTTTTTCAAGTATTCATTTAAAACTATGCAGTTAAAGGTGGTGCATGTCCTGTTCTAATTGGTAGGCTGGAAATGATGGTATGGAGATGTTGCACCACGTGGTCCCTTCACTAGAGGAAGAGTGGTATGAATCGTGTCCGTCACTGTGACACCATGCAGTCTTCCTGGCAGTACACAAGTTGTGAGAGTTTGCTACCATTTTTACATTTTTGTGATTTAAAGTGTTGAATAACAATTAATAATGTCATACATACTAAAATATTATTTTTATCATTTTACCCTTTTTTAGAATTTAGTACTTAAACTTTCAAGATATTGTTAAAACTGATATTTCAGACAGAAATTCTAGGTAAATGACATCTACTGTATTTTAAGTTGGGGGCATCCTAGAAAACCTGAGAAAAGTGGTGGCCAAATTCCTGACCCTGCCTCTGTCCCTCAGTGCTTTCTGTCCAGACCCTTAGAGCCCCTGTGAGTCCTGAACGCTGCTCTGGCCTGCTGGACACCCAGGCCAGTGGCCCCTTAGACAGGCTGGACATGCCTTCGTCTCACAAGGAGGCTCACCAGTACACAGATGTTCATAGTCTTCACAGCAGTTCCCATGCCAGAGACACCGGCGGTCACACTGGCAGGCAGCGTCCCGGTTAAATTTCTCATTACATCGAGATGCACAGGATTCTATTTTTCCTATGGGCAGTAAAGGTCACCAACTCAGCTCTATGGAGACCCTGTTCTCCCCAGGGTGCCTCCTGCAGGAGGGTTCACAGACCAGGGCAGGAGTGTACCTGGCAGGGAAGGGCATTACTCTCTGCAAAGGAGAAGTACATCCACAGCCTCCCATGCACAACATAAGCCTCCTCCCCACCACCCAACACCCACCAAATATTTCAAGGCTCATCAAAGAGACCAGGATCACAAACCCAAATCCCTATTTGGGTTAGGCCCATAACATAAGCAAGTAAAGAAGCAGGGTATGAGGCAGTAGGAAGAAATGGAGACCGTGACAAACTTGAGAGCAATGCTCCATCTGAAATTTGCAGCTGATGCTCAGCTCTAGCCGATTGTGGCCATGTTGGGATGTGTGCTCAGTGTTGCCAGAGCCTTCCCTTTTTTTTTCAAGATAAATCTTCATTTTTATGTGAAATTTTCCAACCTTGTAACACTTTAAGCACACCAAAGAAAGAGGTCTGTGAACTGGGTGTAGCCCACAGGCCCCCTTCACCTGTCATGTCATGCTGCCCCAGGGATGTCCCCTGCCCCTGACCCTCCGCTGGCTCTTATTCCATCCCTGTTATGTTATTTGCTTCTTTGCTCTTGTCTCCCCTTCTGGTCTTCTCTGCACGCTCTTTCCCCCTGTGTCACATCTTTCTGTTCTTTCCCGTCTTTGGAGTACATTCAGATGAATTTATGCTCAGGGTGGGGAATGAGGCGGGTGCGGGTGAGAATTGGGCTCTGGCATAGCATTCTATTATGTAACCACAGACCACATCCCCCACTGCAGCCAAATGGTTTGCAGAAGCAAGCTTTTGGTCGCAAGGGACATAAGACAAGACATTTTGAAGGAACAGTGGAAACCCACTATCCACTCTGGGCTTTAAGGGTGATAACAGAGTCTTTGTTCGATTTGAGGTTCCTGAGGTTTGGATTTCACGAACGCTGGGTTCAGAGGTCATACTGTGGGTTACAGAGAATGTCAAGATCAGAGTCAGAGTTACCATCAGCATCAGAATTTGTATCAGTGAGGAAACTGAAACCTAATTTGGACCAGGGTTGGGGTTAGTTAGGTTAAGAACTACAGTTAGGATTTGGGCTTGAGTTAAATTAGTTGATAAATTAACAATTTTGTATTGATATTTGGGTAAGGAATAGGAATAGACTTAAGATGACATTCGGGGTTGAGGAATGTGTCAGGATGAGAAAAAGATGAATAATCCCTGTTTTGTTTGGGGGCTTGGTTCTGGTTATGATTCAATACAGGTGTAGTATCTTAATTTAAGCCTGGAGTGGGTTAGAGCTTAAATATTAGAGGTTGGGTTTGGTTACCAGTCCCTAGTATTGGATTCTGGGATTAAGGTTGATACTTTGTCTAATGAGGGACAGCATAGCAGAGAGGTCAAGAACCTAGACTCTGGCGCCAAACTGCTTGAGGCTGGAATTCTGGTTCTACTGCTTTCTAGCTATGTGATCTTGGGCAAGTTATTTGAACTTCTGTGCGTTGGTTTTCGTATCTGTAAAAGTGGGATGATAATGGAGCCTATCTCATAGAATATTTGTAAGAATTAAATGAGTTAATATATGTAAAGCACTTAGGACAGCAAGTGACACATAGTAGTACCATAGAAGTATTTGTTAGGTGAATAAACGGTGGCAATATTTCATGCCCATCTTCCAAGTGACAAGTGTTCAGACTGGCTGGAGCAGTCTTCCCTGTGTTGTGGCCCCGTCGACACACTTAATCTAGCTGACACTCTCCCAGGGTTTCAACAGGGCCATCCCTTGGGCTGGGTTGTCAGCACATCTGTGTTGCTGGTTTCCTGGCTGACTTCATCACTACAGGTCTGTATTCTTTACATCAGAGAGGCATTGGGTCAAGGTTAACCCGGGTCCTCAGACAACTTCACATTGTCAGGCCTCCAAGGTGGGCAGGAAGGCAGGTTTCCAGTCCCTAAAAGAGACCAGGCCCAAGGCCACTTGTTCCTTCAAGCCGGCAGGAACTCCTCTTGAATGTTAAATGATGCTCCCTTGGAGCCTGAATGCAAAGACCTTAAGGAGAAATTTTCAGCCCATCAGCTCCCTGCTCAGTCAGCCTGGCAGTACACCCAGAATCCAAAGGGAGAGAATTCAGGCAAATCAGGGCAATGTTTTTAATGGGCCAAATCAGCAGAGTCCAGGGAAAGAATTCACTTCATTCCAGCAGCTGGCACCAGTTGAGAAGGGTTGCAAGCGAGCAGTCAGCTGGACGTGCAGGAGAGCACCCCCGCCGGCCCAAGCTGAGTGGGCTTTTTCATCTCTGCTCAAGAACTTTGTCTCCAGCAAGAGCCCCATGCCAGCACTTTCTCACATTTCTCTGTGCACTTAGTCTGCTTCAAGGTGACCTTGGGATTTGACAGTGGAGTGCAGGGGTGGGAGGAACTTTTCCTCATAGGCACTTTGCTGTGACATTCTGGGGACACTCTGATGAGTAACTAGTCACCCTAACAACTCACTCCAGCATCCCCACACTGCACCATTAACACCAACACTCTGAGTAAGCCTTGCTCCCCAAGCCAGGTGCCTGAATCACTGCTGTAGTAACCTGTGCCTCTTGTTCCTCTGCCTCACCTCTCTGACTCTCTGCCTTTCTTCATCTGAGCCTTTCCTCTCTCGGGTTCAGATTCTCCCTCCATTCCCCCAAGAAATGCTCAATTTCTCTGCACTTTCTAAGACTTCAATATGCCAGAACAGCCACTCCCTATCCATACTGGCCATCAAGGAAGCTTGGTCCCAAGCCTGGGTGGACACAGTGTCCCTGTACACTGGTGCTCAGCCCCTCTGATGACTGGGACATCCTACACATCTGTACCGTTAGAAGGCCCCAGATGCTGTTTCCATGGAGACCTAGTCAACCAAGAAGCCTCACCCCTTGGACTAGCTTCCTGCCTCCATTCACAACCAAAAAAATCAACCAAGGTTCTCCACAGACATCCAGCTCATAAAGGAGGACCTGAGGCTGTCAGTGATTCCCCATGTGATTCATATTCTTGCCTCTCAGTTCTGAGATGTTGGGATAGTATCAACAAGTGCAGAGCCTCTTCCCTGCCACCTTAGGAAGCCTCATACACTTGACCTCACTTCCCCATCGATCCCACAGCCAAAGCAGATACTGCCCTCCGACCTAGCAGCAAGAGCTCCACCTGCACTTCTAAAGCCACTGCTACCTCTGCCCCCCAGGGACCAAATATCCAGAGTTGCTCTCCTTCCCTAAGGCTGGAATATGCCAAGCCCGCTGGCCACCCCTACACATTAAGCCCCCAAGTTCCACCTTCCTCCCAACCAACAGGGCTGAGGCTGGTGGCTCCCAGGCCCACCCTCATGCTCTCCCACTGCCTCTCCACCCACTAGGGCCCAGGCAGAGCTGGTTTCTGGTAAGATGCACTATCTCATCCATGGTTGGGAGGCACAACTTCCTCTTCCAGGGGTTTTCCACTTAGAAATCCCATAAGGGTCTCCTTTCCACAACCCAGTTGGAAATGACCCCAAGCGGAAGTTTCTCCCAAGAAAATTTATAGTCATAATCATAGCGAATTTCCAGTTCACTGAGATCTCACTTTGCACCAGGTGCTTCTCATACATTATTTCATTTAATCCTTTCCACAGTCCTACACAGGAGCAACCCAGTGGAAGGATTCTTTCTCCTGTGGGCAGAGGAGGATTCTCCCCACACTCCTCAGCTCAGCCCCTCCCTTGGCACTCCTTCCCACCCACCCACTAGCTACCAATTAACCCATCAGCACCAGCATTTTGCACAGTTACTAAACAGGAACATGGTCCTGTTCCTCTGCCAGTCCCATCCCCTGGACCTCTCATAACTGTGGGCCAGGTCCCTTCTGTATTCTTCAATTCTCCTAACACTGCAACAGAGATCCATTCCTCTGACCCCTGTACAGCCCCAGATAGGACGAGGCCCACCTCCTGGTCAAAGGTCCTTTCAGTTTCCTCCTAAGCCTGCCCACCTCCTAAGGCTCTACCCAAAGTAACATCACACCCTAAACAACCTCACCTGTCACCAGGCAGTGGAAGGAGTGACCAAGGGCAGCCAGGCCACTCAGACCCCATGGACACCAGCCCTAGCTTTATTCCTTACAGTGGCCCCAGACAACAAAATCTTGGGGAGATCAAAAGTCAGGCTGGACTAAGGGATATTTGGGGCTGATCCTCCAAGGTGTCAAGAAGGGAATTCCATGAAATCAGACCATCAGCCCTGCAACTCTCTCCACATAGTCCAGTCCATTCCGGGACCAACGCCTGCACCCTCAGACAAGGACAACCCAAAAGTGCTCTGCGGCTTTAGGACAGAGCTCACCCTCCCTTGTCCCACGGCCCTGCCCTCTACCAAGTTCTCCAACTCTCTGCTTCTTTAGGCAAGATCCCGCCCCACCAGCAATCCCATGCCCGCCAGATAGTGACTTACCAGCCCAGGCCAGGCCACACAGCACGGCCAATACCAGGGAGATGCAGGCCCTCATGGTGCCCAGTTGGAGGCCAAAAAGGGAGTGGCTGTTGGACTTTCACTAGAGTCAGATGAATGTCACAGCTCTCAGACGAGCCTTATTCCTCAAGCTGATCCTTTTAAAGACACCAGGACTTGTGGAGCTGGTGTCTCCAGATCCTTTCAGGAAGAAAAAGGGGAGGGAGGGACCCTAGATGGATAGGAGGTGGGGCCCTACAGCTGTTTGAAGCCTGAGGGAAGGTGACTAAGAAGGTAGGTAATGCCAGATGTTGAGAACAGGTAATGCTAGCTGTTTGCAGCTTAAAAAATAGGTCATGCAGGCAGGCACACCAAGATGGGTCCAGTTTGGAGGGTTCTTTGTCCAAATTAGGGACACCCATGGGCTGATCTTTGGGTGATCCCCACCAAACAGACACCTACTTCCAAGTCTCAGACCTGACTTTCCAAGGGGCCACAGGTTGGATTCATCTTCAAATTCCTGGAGCTTAGCATGACACTGGCACACAGTAAGGTGATTGGTCCAAATTTGACAAACAGTAAGTGCCCAAGCAAGGGTTGGGGTCATTGGACAGAGAGATAGAGGATGTGTCGGTCAGAACCAGTGCTATTCTTATGACCACCAAGCCCAGCATAGCTAAATCAGCCACATGTCGAGCGCATGGCTAAATCACTCTAAAATATTATGCAAATGACTCTTACTGAGTCAGCCTCTGGGGTTTAAACGTTTCAGATTCCTTATGAGGCAGGGGAGGGGCAAGAGGCCTCTTAAAGGCAGCCGAAGGCCCACTCTTCTTCCCCTGGGAGCCCAGGGTTTCACTCCCTTCACCCCAACTTACACTCCTCTCCTCAGGAACTCCTCCCCAGTGAGGTTCTTTTGTTTCCAAGTCCAAAAGAAGGGGAGCAGCTCCCCGTGACTGTCCAGTTTTCCCCGATAATAAAGGTAAAATCTGCCAAGTATGATGCCCTTGCCAGAAAGAGCACTGCATGGGGATTCTCAACCCTCTCAGGAAAGAAAACTATCATATAAAAAGGCAAAATTGGTGAACAGTGGAGGCCACTCTATCAGTGATTTTTTTCTGGAGGTTGGGAGTGGAGCACGTCTTCATCCAGTGTGCTTTAACAGGAGAAGTTTCTTCCTCTCGCTGGTCTTCAGCTTTCTCATCTGAAATGATGGGGTTGGATCTGACAATCCCTTCCAGGTTCTCAGACTTTAATCTCGAGTTTTCCTGCCCATGCGCCAGGTTGAACAGTTGCTGGTGGGTTAAAGAGAATCCCCCAGCCTGTTGCTGTGTAGAGAGGAGTCCAAACATAGGGACTCAGGGGTAGAGAGAAGGACAAGCCTAGGGCAAGCAAACTTTGCAAGGGGCTCACACAGGAAGTGCAATGTATGTATATATTTTGAGATGGAATCTCTCTCTCTGTCGCCCAGGCTGGAGTGCAGCAGTGTGATCTCGGCTCACTGCAACCTCCATCTCCCCAGCTCAAGCAATTCTCATGCCTCAGCCTCCCGAGTAGCTGGGATTATAGGCATGCACCACCACACCTGGCTAATTTTTGTATTTTTAGTAGAGACCATGTTGGCCAACCTGATCTCAAACTCTTGACCTCAGGTGATCTGCCCACCTTGGCCTCCCAAAGTGCTGGGATTACAGGTGTGAGCCACTGCATCCAGCCCGGAAGCACAACTAAAGAGTGAGCCTAGCCCTTCTCTCCCAGAAGGGAGCTGGTTAGAATGAGTAAGAGCAGAAATGGCTGCTTCATTTGCATAGATTTCATTTACACAATCCAAAAGCAGGCTGAAGAGTCACTGCCCCTCAGAATCCTCATCCTCCCTGGGTTGGCACCACATAAACGTGTCTCTGACTCCTGTTGTTTAGGGGACAAAGGAGGGTGTCACTGGCTGGCCTGGGAAGCAATGATGCCTCAGAATTTGGGAATGAATGGTCTGTCCCTTCCAAGTGTCCAGCTGGGTGGACCCTAGCTGAAGCCAAAGCTGTCAGAGTGGAGTACAGCCTGGCTAGGTTCTCCTAGTGTCCAGCTGAACTGGCCATGGGATGGTGTTTTGAGGGCAGGAGCTCTCCCCCCATTAATGGAATTTTAGGTCAGGAGCAAGGATTGGAGCTGGGGAAGACAGTTAAGGATGACTCCATAGAGCCAGATGGTTCATCTGAGTACCCAAGTGTTTAAAACTGCATCCTTCAATAAGAATAACAGCCTTAACAACCACCAGCAACATTGACTGAGCACTTACCACGTGTGTTATCATATGTGTTATCTCATTGATTCTCACTACAACCTTAATAGGTACTATTGCTGTCCTCATTTTACAGATGAAGAAACTGAGGCACAGAAAGGTTAGGAGACGTGCCCAGAAGCACACAATCATTAAGTTATGCAGCTGTGCCTCAACCCAGATCCATCTGACCAGGGGTCATTCTCATAAGCACCGTTGCTCCATTGCCCCACAACATCACACTTTGAACGACCACTTAATCATGTCTGGTTACTATACAAAGCAGTCTAGATTTAAATTCACTGGAATTAAAGGGACCTCAACTGCCATCTAGTTCCACTTCTCATAGGATGTCACAACTCCCTAAACAACCCTAAGTGCTTGTCCTGCCTCTCCTTCATTGCCTCTGGTGCTGAGGGTTGAGGGGTGGGGAATTGGGATATGCCCTCCCACGGCTGCTCATACGCCCTCTTCGCAGATCGGATTCCCAAACCCCAGATTTTATAACCGAAGACATGCTGACAAAGGCAGAAAAAATCCATTAAGCCAATAAATGAAAATATATCAATACATATTCATGCAAAGATGCCTCATAAACTTAGATGTCCATGTATGTGTGTATACACACACACACACACACACACACACACACACAAAAAGAGAGAGAGAGAGAGAGAGAGAGAGAGAGAGATACATTAAGATAGATTTCAGGCAGCTTTCTCTTCCCTGCTAGCCTGTTGTGGACCAAGAACTCTGCGGCTCCTCTTTCTGAGTACCCCCCGCCATTAGGTACTCACATGGGCTTTCCATCCTTGCAGACTTCCCAAGAAGCCACAGTGGGACCAGCCAGCAAGTTGGGAATTGTGGTAGGCTGGGTCCTGGAGAGCTGGGGTAGGGAGAGAGTGGAGGGAGATGCATGGTGGATGGTGTCTCAATGATGAGAATAGCGACAGAGATGGTGCAGTTGTGTCCTCTGTGGAGGTCTGGAGAGTGGGGAAGAGGGTGAGGCTGCTTGGGCAAGGATTTGGGAGGCACTCAGCTGTGAGAGACATAGAGGGTGGGAATTCCATCAGCCAAATATTTATCGAGTGCTCACTACACATCAGGGGCTATGCTGTTATTGGACTGGCAGGGTTCAGGCTAGGCTGGAAAACTCTTCCTGGAACTGATTGGTTTCTGGTGGGACAGAAGCCAGATAAGCCTCAGCATTAGGGCATTGTTTGAAGTAGGCCTCATTCATCTCTGGGCTACCACAGGTGTCTGGGGTCTGTCAGGATCAACAGGCCTTGAGAGAGACTGACCCAGAGGACTACTAAAAGGGACACCTGCCCAGGCCAGCCTATTCTACCATCCTCGTTCTCCTGCAAAACCAAGGCCACGTCATTTCAGCAGAGGACCTGCGTGTGGAAGGACCCTGCAGCTGGCCCATCACAGGAGAGGCCCAGACTCACCTCCCAAGGGGACCCTGGCACATGAAGATGCTGGTTCTCCTGGGAGTGCTGCCCTGGCCCACAGGATAGAAGCGCAGGATGGTCACCCATGTCTGCTCTTATTGAATGTGTCTTAGAAGCGGCTCCATGTGTGATTTCTTTCCCACATTGGTTAGTATGGTGTATACCACGTTTGTGTTCCCAGGCTTTTGTTTAAGTTTGTGGGCAGCCCTGACATCAGCATCACACTCAATGCCTGGGCTGAGCATATCCGTCAGACCTCCCAACTAGGCCCACTCATCACATAGTCCCATGCTGCACTTCTAGTTCTGCCAGCCACACCCCATGCTGGTCCTCAGCCTGGAACACCCTCCCCCACCCTCCCTGCTCAGCTGTCCAGCTCCTACTCATCCTCCGGCCCCAGGGCAAATTCACTCTTCCACAAAGCCTGACCTCTCTTCAGCCCACAGGATCTCTCCTGCCTAGGAGCTTGGTTGTGCATATTTGTCCTGTGTGCCTTTGACACAGCACAGTCATCTCTGACTGCCAACATCTGTTGCTGCCAACATGGTATCAGTTAACCCCTGCACTGCCATTTAACTTTTCCTCTGAAGTTCTTTGAGAAGGGGACCCTGCCTCATGGGCCCTTTGTATTGCCATCCAATGTGTGTTAGAATCTAAACAGTTAGATAATTATCAACCTGTGCCTGAGACCTGCAATGAATCAATATGTAAATGAATCAGGGCACTGGTCAGTCTTCCAGCCCCACTTGATATTAAAGACTCAGTGAAGATGGTTAGCAAAGCAGAGGACAGCAAATGGGTCTCCGGCAGCTGTGAAGCACCAGAGTTTATCCAAAGGGGGGACGTGGGGTCTAGAGACTCATCTCAAAGTTGCATTTTCATAACAAATACACTGGGTTTTTTTTTTTTTTAGCTATATTGTGTATTTGTTGGGGCCTAATGGAAATTTAGGAGGACCTAAACCCCCAAGCCACCCTTGGCACCACCCCTACAAGGGGCAGCCACCACAGGGACTGGACAGTTCCAGCAGTTTCTGAATCCACAGTGTCACAGAGATCTCAGCTGTATCCTGCTTTTTTAGGATCCCAAAGGAACCATCTGCCTACACTCTTTGCCAGCTGTGCTAATGTTTGTTTTACACTGCCCAGTAATGATTATAAAATTACTATTGCATGTCCTCAAACTCCACTGGCTTTAAAGAGGGTCTAGAGGCACAATGAGAACAAGGAGATGTGGGCAAGACAGGCAGACAGCGATAAGGAGGTTCAGAGAGACAGCGAGGGAGTGAGTAAGGGCGAGATCAAGAGAGAGACAGGCCCGAGGCCAACCCGCAGCTGACCGCTGGCGTGAGGAACATGGGCTGCCTCTCGCCCCAGGTATGTTGGCACAGCTGGGCTGTTCTGGCCTCAAAGATGATGACAGGACAACAGGACTGGCAGGAGCGGTTCCTGACCCATGATTTGAAATCTACAATCTGTCAAAATTACCATAATTATTGTGCTAAGGTAGTTGGGTTATGGGAAATTCCCCCTTTCTCATTCATTCCTTCATTCACCTGACAAATAGCACTTGAATGCCACTGTGTGCCAGACACTGTGATAAGCAAAGTGGATAAAGGGTGAGCAGCTCAGCAGCTGGAGAGAAAGAAAGACATAAATAAAGAGCGTCTACAGCCAGATCTGGGCAGCAGGACATGAGGCTCAGACTGTTGATTCTAAAGCCAAGCTGCCTGGGTTTGAATCCCAGCTCTGCCACCCACCAGCTGTACAATCCTGGGCAAGTTCCCTGACCCCTCTGTGCCTCAATTTCCCCCGTAGATCTAAAATAGAACAAGTAAGAGTACCTTAGAGGGCTATGGTGAGGATTGAATAAGTTAATCCTTGCAGAGGTTTTAGAACAGTGCCTAATAAATAAGGCCAGATGTTTGTTGTTAAAAAAAAAAATAGGGCCACGAAGGGCGTAATTTAGATAGGATGGTTAGGAAAAGCCTGAAAAATGAATGTTAACAATGTTCTGTGGCTGGGCGCGGTGGCTTACGCCTGTAATCCCAGCACTTTGGGAGGCCGAGGCAGGCAGATCACCTGAGGTCAGGAGTTCAAGACCCGCCTGGCCAACATGGTGAAAACCCATCTCTACTAAAAATACAAAAAGTAGCTGGGCGTGGTGATGCACATCTGTAATCCCAGCTACTTGGGAGGCTAAGACAGGAGAATCGCTGGAACCAGGGAGGTGGAGATTGCAGTAAGCCAAGATCTCACCACAGCACTCCAGCCTGGGCAACAGAACAGGACTCCGTCTCCAAGAAATAAAAATAAAAAAAATACAAAGAAAAGTGTTCTGGGCTGGGCGCAGTGGCTCATGCCTGTAATCCCAGCACTTTGGGAGGCCAAGGCAGGCAGATCACGAGGTCAGGAGATTGAGACCATCCTGGCTAACATGGTGAAACTCCATCTACTAAAAATACAAAAAACTAGCTGGGCGTGGTGGCAGGCGCCTGTAGACCCAGCTACTCAGGAGACTGAGGCAGGAGAATGGCATGAACCCGGGAGGTGGAGCTTTCAGTGAGCTGAGATCGCGCCACTGCACTCCGGCCTGGGCGACAGAGCAAGACTCCGTCTCAAAAAAAAAAAAAAAAAGTTCTGAAAATGACAATAGTGAGAAGGTGGCAGCTCCTCTAATCTACAGTCTCTATAATGTAATATTTATTTTATAATTCCAAAGATAATATTTTCATTTAAAAAACGTGCACCCTCGGTATTTTCAAGTCTTGGGGATGGCCCTTTGATGAGTCGCACTGTCTAACTCACCTGGTTTGGTGCCAAAAGGAACCACCTGTTTTCTGGGGCTGTGGCCTGCAGCCTTAGGAACAGTGCTTTGCTCTGGGGGAAGCTAAAAGTTGCAATGGGGCTAAGCTAAGAGCAGCAACTCCATGGCTCAGCCTCCTGAGCCTTGTGCTCTATTTGATGAGATAATCCACAGCTGCCTGGTGCAAAGTCAAGAACCGGAGAAGAGAAACAGAGATTGCTGACCTTCTCCGTGGGCCACCAGAGTCCAGCCTGCATGTGCAGGCTCTCCCTCCAGCACACAGGTTGCTCCTGCAGGGCTCAGCCCCAGCAACGCTGAGAGGGTGAAACTGGCCACCTACCTCTCCCTCTGATTCCCACCCTGGATGCCCTGTGTCCCAGGACCCCTGTAACATTCTCCCACCCTAAGTAATCATCTCTGGACCTTGCCACCTGATCATGCCATTAAATTCCCCTAATGCCATTGCCTCGAGGCTCTTCTTTTTCTATTCTTTTAAAAGTGACCATTAGAAATATTAATTAGAATCTACAATTGGGCCATTAGAATCTTCCCAACTTATGTATCTACATAACAGGGGCCTTCTACTGACAACTAGAACTCAAAGAGTAGAAGGCAAGCAGTCATGCACTCAAGCAGGTAGCAGGGAGCAACACTCAGGGGTAGGGAGCTCTGAGAACCCCTCCAATAAAACAGTGCTTGCAGCTCACTATCCCTCCCATGAGCAGTCACGGCTGGAAGCCACCATGGGGAAGATGCTTAAAGGGGCCTACACCCCTTCCCCTTTTGACACCCTGAGTTGCCAAATTCATAGATCCTCAAACACTTCTCATCCAAATTCCTGTTTCTAAATGGGGAAAGTGAGGCCCAGGGAGAGGAAGGCGCTTGCCTTGCCCAGGGCTGCTGAGAGATGGAGGCCCCCCTGCCCCAGCACACTGCCCACCTATGGGATCCACCTATGCTGCCTTATACTCTGGTGGACAGGGCACTTTTCTGGGTGGTCAAGTAAGCTTAAAATATCCTGTTGTCATGGCCCCCTAAAAAGGCACCCTGTCTCTACCCCTCTGCTAGCTAGGATCGCCTAAGTGCCAGGAAAGCCAGTACAGCCCCTCCATTCAGCAGTCCAAAACAGCTCTAGCTGCCTACAACTCACTCCAGTGAGAAAACCAAGATCCAAGTGCTCTCCAAGGGCCAAGAGCAAGGCAGGCAGAGTCAGGGTGAAGCCTGAAGCATCCAGCTCCCTGGTCCAGGGTGCACACTGGTCACAGTCCACACACACATGCACAACCAGAATCCCACACCTCCTAGCACAAAAAGTGGGTCCAAACTGTGAGCTTAACCTTCTGTCTTCTTCTGGGAGTCACCAGCCTCCTCTGTGTTCTACCAGCTACCACCAGGAGCATCCTCCCCTGACCCCATCGAGGCACCTGCTCCAGGAAGGCCCCCAGGCATGGGAGAGAAGACTCTTTCTAAGTGCAGCTGAGTCAGACTCGGCTTCTCAGGATGATCCAGTTTTATCATCACTGGGAGGGACGGCAGTCACCCGTGCCCTGGCCTGCAAGCCCCTTCACCCTCAGATGCCAGCAGACTGTGTTGCAGGAAGGCTACAGCTCAGGTCTTGAAGAGTCCAGAATCTGAGAGGAGGGTGCCTGAATTGGCTGCAGCAACTGGACAGGCCTGGGTGGACACTTACTTAGTATAGATCCATGGCCTGGCAGATGTAGGAGGAGCTCAATACTGAGTGTGGGTTGGGGTACTAGGACACATTTTGGAAAGACATGTACTTTCTGGCCTGTAGGTCTGTGGAAGGGAGAAAGGGGTTGAGGACAACTGCCAGGTCAGAATTTGCTGCAGCCACCAGCCACCATACCTGCCTGCTACTCAGGTGGCTTGTGCCAGTGATGAGTGGAGAGCATCCCCATCTCAGGGGACAGAGCTGTGCAGGGCTCAGGGGAGCTGGGGCTATGAACCTATGCTCCAACGGGAGCAGCTCTGGGCCTTAATGCTTGGGGTAAGCACTGAGATGCTGCAGCCCTGGGATTCTGCTGCTCTGGACTTTATCCCTCGGCATCTTTTGTTACTGATAGTCTTGGCTGCCTAGCTGGATGATTGACCCCATGAGGGCCAGAACTACCAGTCTTGGTTTTTTCTTTTTTAGAGACAGAGTCTTTCTCTGTCAACCAAAGAAAGGACGAGTGCAGTTATAGCTCACTGTAACCTCGAACTCCTGGGCTCAAGTGATCCCCCCACTTCAACCTCCCAAG
The DNA here is from genome assembly GCF_000001405.40 of Homo sapiens. Lineage (NCBI taxonomy): Eukaryota > Metazoa > Chordata > Mammalia > Primates > Hominidae > Homo > Homo sapiens. The sequence continues at coordinate 47,734,151 of NC_000012.12, forward strand.
TAGCTAGGACTACAGGTGCACACCACCATACCCGGGTAATTTTTATTTTTTATAGAGACCGGGTCTTGCTTTGTTACCCAGGTTGGTCTCAAATGCCTAGCCTCCCAAAGCATTGGGATTACAGGCATCAGCCACAGCACCTGGCCTTTGTCTTGTTCACAGAGCCCCTACAAGGCCTATAGTAAGTACGTGAAAATAAAAGAATGTGGGAATGGAGAGAGGGAAAAAGGAATTTATATGCTTGGGTCTAATCCTGCAAAAGAATAAAATGTTGGGATTCAGAGAGCTGTCATGGGGAGTGCCGGGGGCATGGGGAAAGGGCATGGCTGATACACATCCAGTTACTTCACCTGTCTACCCTGCTATTAAGCAGTTATGTGACCTTGGGCAAACCTGCCTGTGCCTCAGTTTCTTTGACTGTAAAACCAGAGTAAAAATACCTGTAGTACCTATTCTGTCATCAGGATAAAAATAACGTAACGTGAGACAGGGTGAAGATGAAAGAAGATGAAAACACCATTCAAGTCTTAACCTATTATTATCATGGTAAATCTTGTGACTATTGGGAAGGAGAGCAGCCAGAGGCTGAGGGCTGTTGGAGACACAGAAGCCATAAGGCAGCGTGTGAAGGCAGACATGCCCCCACCCAGCTCTAACTCAGTGCTGAGTGGAGGGGGATGGGGTGCCGGATCTCAGGCTCTGCCTTCCTTTTGTTCGGATGGAGCCTGAGAGAGAGGGGACAGCTGGCTCCAGGCGGAGATGCTGAAGCAGCAGAGGGTGCTGGCTCCACTGACCACTCCACCCCGTCTGTGGGGAGGCGTGGCCCTCCCTGGTGTGTACCCCACAGTCAGGGCCTGAGCCTGGCCACAGCCTGCCTCAGGCCTTCACAGGGAAGTGGAGGGGAAGGAGGAAAGGAGGGGGGATGTGTGTGTAACAATGACCTCCCTCTGTCCTGTCCTGCCCGGTAGGACACACACGCAGCCATTCCTCTCTGCTTGACCTCCTTTCAGGTAACAGAGGCTTTTTAAAGGACTGATCTAGGGCCACACTCCCTTTCTGCACACCTTCTTCTCAGCAGTCCCATGAGCCCCTCCTCCCTTTGTGGCCTTCTTGCAGCTGAGACACAAAATGGGAGCCCCTGCACACAGCCTGGGCTGCTAGGGAACACCAGAGGATGCCTCCTGCCCCACACCACCCCACGCTTGGGCAGTCAGGGAGACAGAAGGCAGCACAAACTCCCAGCATGGGGCCACCGTAACATGGAGCCTTTCCCCGCTTTTGGGCCTCCTGTCCTCTGGGAGTGGCCTGGCCCCCTGGGCCGCAACTCTTCTAGCTCCCAGAGTCTGTGTCCTCTTGCCTGCCCTGGGCACCATTCTCCTGGCAAGGTCTCTCCCAACAGGCTCAAAAGCCATCCTGCCCGAGACTGGGGCAGCTGGGAGACCACCGGGTGGCTGCAGGGTGGTCTGGACTGTAAAGCTGATGGTCCAAGGAGGAGGGAGAAGTCCCATCAGGACGTAGATGTGACCAGAGGAGAAATGCTGGTGGAGGACACCGGCCCCCGTGGCACTTGGTTTCTGTTGTGTCGCTGGGCTGGGCTCACCCTAGAGTCTGAAGAACGGTGAAGGGCCACGGCTGGCTGGCTGGCTTTTGCCGAGACACCAGCAGACAATGGGTTGGATGAAAAGAAAGCCCCCGGACTCCTGACTCACCCAGGCTTGAGCCTCCTGTCCTGATTGCTCAGTTCCAGATGCTTCCGTGCTTCTCCTGTGTCCCCACCCACGGCAAGGGAACTGGTTTGGTTACCACTGCCATCTGCTGCACCTCAGTCTCTCCCTCAGCCCTCAACTGAGGCGAGGCTGCCCCCCTACCAGGCCTGGATAGCACAGGACTGCCCTTGGCTGTCACCTCTGCTACAGAGGCAGGAGCTACAGTTTTATGTGTTTGTCACTAAGCGCTGTATGGCGTTTATCATACCTGGCTTACAGGTGGAGAAATGAAGGAAGAGAACTGTTCACTGACTTGCTCAGATTCACTTAGTGACCTGAGGTCTAAGCCCAGCTGTGCTGCCTCCCTGCTAAAGGCTCTGACCCTTTCTGGAAGCAGCAGGCCTGTGTATCCACATCCATGGGGCTGAAGTGCAGAGGGGCCATACCAGCTGCCTCTGGACGCCCAAGGCCCTGCAGCCTCAATACCTACTCAGGAGTCATGCCAGGGGCCATGAGTTCTCTCTCTGGCCAGACAAGTGCCTCCTGCTGCCAGGACTCAGGGCAATAGCAAGGCAAGAGGGTGGAGTCCCTGGAGCTTCCTGGGTGAGCTCTGCCTCGCAAGAGGCGTCCTGGCAGTAGCTGGTTCCTAGGGGAAGTGCTGAAGGGGCAGGGAAGAGAGGACTTCGTATGACCAGAGCTTGCTGGGACCATTCTCAACACTGATGATAAACCCTGATTTCCTGGAAGTCTGTTGGGCCTCAACAAGCGACGGGCTCTCCGCGGAAGCTTCAGCATTGTTTCTATCACAAGCCACCCCCAGAAGACCCCAGAAGCCTGGCCCAACAGGCCAGGACGAGCTCAAGTGTGGAAAAGCGGGGATTGCAGTTGGGAAGAAGCTGTCAGTTGCATCTGGACTGTAAAGTCCTATTGGACCACCACGGGGAGCTGATGGTCACCCTGGCTGGCTGCTGACAGGGGCTCCAGGCTCCAGCCCGCCCTTTGGCCAGAGCCCTGGAGGCACATCTGGGTGGCATCAGGATCTTGGACCCAGTCTGGCCCGTGCCCAGCATGGGGCTGCTTCTCCTCCACAGCTCCTTCCCAGAGGGCGGGGCCTCAGCCTCCCTGCCACGCCCACTCTGGGCTGGCCTGGAACATACTACTATGTTGACAGTAACAATAAAGCTCCTCAGGGACCACCGCACAGGCCCGCAGCCCCACTGCCTGCTGTTGGAAGAAAGCTGTGGAAAGAAAGCAGGGGGCCCCTGCCCCAGGCCAAGGCCCTGCCCTTGCCACACACGGTACACACATGCAGCCTCTCTCTCTCTCTCTGTCCACTGTGAAAATAAACTGCAGGCCTGGCTGGACAACAAAGCCAGAGGCACAGAATCTGGAAGACATCTGGTGTGGAGACCTCTCTATTGCACACAACGTCCCAGCGCACTCCACTCTCCACCCACTCCTGGGGCCTCTCTGTCCTCCCTTCCTTGGCCTTGGGTCATTCGTTATTCCTGGCTCGGGTCCACTCCGAGGTCCTCCTTAGCTGCCAGTCATCACAGGGGATGGCTGCCTCCACACTGCCTGCTCCAGGGACTCGAGTCCACTCCACGGAGAGCCTTGCCCAGCTGTGGCCAGCCTGTGAGTATCTTGGCCCGGCACACCCTGGCTTTCCCGGCTGCAAGTGCCTGCTCCAGCTCCAGTCCCAGCCCCTCCTCATGGCTCCAGCTCTCGGGAGAGGCGGGAGAGTTCCCGCTGGTTGTCAATGACCTTCAGCTGCTGGACATAAGCCCAGGTGCTGGCTGGACTCCGGGTGCTCAGGGACTGCTCCGAGCCTGGTGGAGGAGAGTAGTCAGGGAGGCACTGATGCCCCTTTGTGGAACCCAACCTTTCCCCTCCAAGGAGCCATATCACATCTGCCTTCTTGCCCTCCACCACCCACCAACCACTTCCCATCACCAATTCCTAAAGACGGCTGTCCCTGCCCACCCCACGGGTGAGGGGACCGAAGAGCCCCCTGGCTCAGAGCACAGAGGCTGAACATTATCAACATCATGTATGGAAGGGCCGGGCTCCGTGCCTGGCACATGGCAAGTGCCTAGGATGTGCCAGCCATGGGTAACTACCATAAGCACCCCCTCCCTGCCCACCCACCATCGCCCACCACTTACATGTGGAAATCCTCGCCACCTGGCTGTCCTCGTGGAGGTGGGAAACTCGGCTTCTGAGTGGTGAGAGAGGCACTGCGGGGGTGGGGAGGGGTCATGGAGTCAGGGCCACCCTGGAGCCTCACAGAGGATGTAGGGTGGGGGACCTCCCACCCCGGGGACCCGCCCTCTCACCAGGGTTGTGGCTTCGGCAGTGGTGCAGCATCCGCGCGGCTCTGGCCATCATTCTCTGCGGACAACACCGGGGCATAAGCTCTTGCCTGAGGGAGAAACCCTGTCCTGCCCTGTGCAGCAGCAGGGAGGCCAAGCTCCCTCTGAACCAAGGATCAGGGACTGTAAGATCCTTGGTTATGTGGCATCATGTGTACTTCGCCTCAGCACACCCAGAGGCCCAGCGGGGACCAGGCAGAGGACAGAAGGCAGAGGCCAGGAGAGAAAGGCTTAGAGAGAAGAGGGCTGGAAGGGCTCTCGTTGAATGGTGAGACGTCTGAGGCTGGCACCCTGGCAGACCCAGTTGCAGTGGAATAAGGCAGGGGCTATTACACAGTAAGTATTCATCCTCATATTATTCATAACAAGTTTAAGCTGCCTCCAAGCCCTGCCCCTTCCCAGGCCACAGTCATGTCCTCCAACCTATGTTAGTAGTGAATGCCTGCTCTCCCTGGACTCACCATCTTCTCAAAGTTGATGAGATTCTCCACTAGTGTGTGGTTTCCCTCATGAATGAAGGTCATGTCTGCAAAGAGATGGGTTTTGTTCATAGGTCCCCAAACTTCTGCCCTCCTGTAGCCCAGAAAAGGTGAAGGGCATAACGGCTCCCTTGGGCCTACCTCACCCCATAGAGCCCCTGCCTCTGCCCCCTCCAAGCCCCAGCAGCATTTCCTTGTATCTCTTAGGCCCTGAAGGCAGCCCGTATTTGTCTGGATGTCTTCATTCTTCCAGTCTAAGAACTCCTAATTCATCTCTGCACTCCCTGAGGCATCAGCACTTGAGGTATAATCTCTCCAACAGAGTGGGTGCACACACAGATAGGCATGGGATGGGGGATGGAGGCAGGAAGGGGGAAATGGGGGATGGAGGCAGGAAGGGGGGAATGGAGGGATGGAGGCAGGAAGCCCTGTTACCTTTGAGAAGAAGGGGCATGAAGGGGATGACAGGAGGGGAGAGCTTGGCGAGGGCCAGTCGGTATACCCGGTGGTTCCATGAGGGATCCTAGGGGAAGAAGCCACACTGAGGGGGTTGCACACACCATAAGCCACCACAGACCCCACCCAACCAAGGAGGGGCCACATGCCCATCCCACAGCAGGTGCAGAGGCCCCAACTCAGCCTCTCCTCAGCCCCAGGTCTCACCCAGGCTCTGTCACAGGCGAACACGGGGCTTCCAACCTCCCATTAGCACTGAGAAAATTCACAGCAGTTAGTCACAGGGGCCCCAGGTTTCTTGGAAAAGTCTGTCACTGTCACCTCTCTGTCCCTTTCTATCCCTGTCTCTTTCTGTGTCCCTCCCTCTCTCTCTCTGCAGAGTAAACTCCTTTGAATCCCTTGAGCCCCACGAGGTGGATTTTCTCTCAAGAGCTCCCAGGCTATGCTGATGAAGTACCTCTTCTCTGCTTCTCTCCAGAATAGTCAAAACCCTCAAAATCCTCAAAAGTTCCTGGAGGTGGGAGGTTCCACCCCCAACTCTATCCTCGCCTCTTCTACTGGTCTAGCCCGCAAGCCCCTCGGAGTTCCTGAGGGGCAGACAGGCCCTGGTGCACACAGGCGCTCCATGCCAGGCCCTTGGGCTCTGGAGCCCCTGACACTGCCCTGGCACCTCAGACCCCAGGACTGGACACCCACATGCTCCAGCCCAGTCTTCACACAGGATCTCCTGCCCCCATGCACACACTGAGGGCCAGGATGCACCGTGCAACCCCTATCCTAGTGCTGAACACCCCTTCCTCAGCCAGCTCCCCAAACTCACAGGCTGGAGCTAGGCCCTGGGCCGAGGTTGGGAACCCTGAAAGTGACAAAGGACGAGTAGAGGGGCTGCAGGGAAGCCAAGAGTGAGGGTGTCTGGAGGGCAGGGCCGAGCCCAGCTGATCCTAGCAGAGCCAGGCCGGGCAGGGTGGAGCACTCACCAGCAGCCTCTCGAGGGCGGAGTACAGCTTCCGGACTTTGTGAGGCAGCCGCTGTGAAAAGGAGGCAGATGAGCGGCTGCTCTGGGGGAGGCCCAGCCCCATCCAGCACTCCCAGGAGGGCCTGAGGCCTGACCTCAGGAGGGGGCCCTCCAGACCACACTTACCTCCCAGGTGTGGGCTAGGCGGCTGATGGCCGAGTTGCTGAGGCCAAACATGACGGCAAAGAAGGAATTGAGATTCTTCTGCTCCTTGAGGCTGTGAGCAGAAGACCCAGAGACCCTCAGGGTAAGGGAAGCAGCCACCCCTACAGTGCCCCCAGACAACAGCCAGGCCAGCCTCTGCAGAGATCCAAGCTGGATGGGGTGGGAAGGCAGAGGCTCCAGGGGACCCAGGGAACAAATAGGGTGGCAGATTTGGCAACATACTAAGCAAAGAGGGGGGCTTAGGAAAAGGTAGCCGGGGGGACTCTGGCCACGCCCTACCCACTGGACAGGGACTCACTGGGCCGCCAGCTTAATGAACTTCCTGAGCAGCTGGGCCCGGGGGCCGGGCACGGGGCAGAGACACAGCTCGGTGGCCACCCAGTACTGCAGCTCATTGAAGCGGCGCATGAAGCGCTCCAGGTTGGCGGTGGTGACATCCCGCAGATGCTGGGGGCCCAGCACATAGTGGATCAGCTCCACCTGGGTGGGGTCAGCAGGAGAGGTCAGCGAGTGCTGAGCCGAGCCGGGCGCCCCGCCGCCTGCTCTCCTCCCCCAGCTCTGCCTCCCATACCTGGTGGATACTGTTGAAGAGGCTCCAGTCGTGGTCCGTCAGCTGGCCTGCCAGGTCCTTGGCACTCACCAGGTCCAGCCCCTCAGCAGAGCCCACAGTGGGCCCCAGCTGGTCAGGGTGTGGGATCTGCGGGTGGGAGAGTGCTCAGGGGGCTGCCTGAGGAATCCAGGGAAAGGCACAGGGTAGGGGGAGAGGGTTGGGGCAAGGACTCTATGCTCGTGTTAGGAGGAGGGTTAGGAGGGCAGGAGTGGGGAGTAGAGGGTCTCTAGGGGCTATAGCAGCTGGAGGATAGGGCTCCCCAGTGCTGAGACCCCTCCTTTTGGGCTCCTGTCTCCTGGGGAACCCCTAACTAGGGCAGGTCCTCCTCTTTCTCCTTGGGAGCTCCCAACCAGTGCTACCAGCCCCTGCCCTGCACTATCTTGGGAATTCCCCCATCAGCTGAGGCCCACTCCTTTGTGTGCTGAGGACCCAGCAGCAGCCAGAGCCAGGCCCCTCCTCCCTCTTCTCCCTGGGACCCTCCCCAGAATCCACCACTGCCACACTCAAAATAGATCTCCTCCCTGGGCCCTGGCACCCTGCCTGGTCCCTACCAGCTCATGCACTTCCTGTGGGTTGACAACAAAGAGACGCTCATTGAGCCCCAGAGATGTGGCCACACCACGGGCATCTGGCTGCAGGCCAATGGCATCTGCAAAGACAGCAGAGGCGGACTGGGTGGGGGAAGGGAGGGAGGCCGGGGACCAGCTGGATGCCAGGGTGGAGGTGCTGTTTGGGAGGCTGAGAGGTTGTTTCTCCTAGTAGCGGGGTTGAAGTCCTGGGTGGTGCTCAGAATACACAGGTGCATGTGCCCACGCAGCCACGCAGCCCAGGGAAGCACATCCAAGAGGATGAGGAAAGATTCTCAGTGAGTCAGGAAGAACCTGGGCAGGGTCTGAGCCTCCCTCAGCCTCACTTTCTTCCCTGGTAAAATGGAGACAATAAGACTTGCCCCAACTATTTCATAAGTCAAATAAAATAATGTATATAAATAGTAGCTATAAGTACATGCTATGTATAAAAGCCCTTTGAAAATTGGGAAGTGTCTTATATAAGCCTTGGTGTTGATTTTCATCAGCTCCTCATGGACTGGGACTGTGCTTGAGTCCCCAGTCCCTAGAGCAGTGGCCTCCAAAGTAAGGTACATCAGATCATCCATGTGCCTGGGGAAAATATGAGCTCTTCTACTTACGTTTACTTTTTCTACCTGCTTTGCATTTCTACTCCATCAATTTCTATTTTATCTATCTTTATTATGATATTAATGTAGTAATATATGTGTATTACTTACAAACAAATATTCACACAGTGGGGTGTGGGTTTTAATTAAATGTTGGTTATTGACATGGGTGTCGATCCAAGTGCTTCGGAGATCAGTGCTCTAAACAGTGCCTGGCACATAGTAGGGTCTCAATAAACATGACCTTTGGGCAACTGCAACTCACCAGGTGGCCAGCAGAGGGCAGTGCTTCCCAGGGCAGGGCACACAGGTGACCATCTCTCCCCACTTCCTGAAGGGAGAAGGCTTTTCTTTTCTCATCCCCACTTCTTGAACGCCCCTAATTCTTGTCTGCCCTGGGTTCCAGCTGTCAAGCCCGTGCCCTCCGCAGAGAACAGTGGTTTTGAATGTTCCAGGTTCTCTGGAGGCCCATCTTAATACTCCTGAGCCCGCCATGTTCTCAGCACTGACTGGCAGGCCCTGTGCTAAGTGCTTTACACACATTAGCTCACTTAGCCATTGCAACCCTGTGGGTAGATACAATTACAGTCCTCATCTGACAGGTGAGGAAATGCAGGCTCAGAGAGGTTAAGCAACTTGCCCAGCATCACACAGCTAGTAAATGGTGAGCCTAAGATGCCTTCACGGGTCTGGGAGTCCACCGTCTATGCTCTTAACCATCAAGCTGACCTGTTTTACCTGCTGTGGTATCTCCAGCTCCTAACATATTGCTGGCTCATAGCTGATCCTCAAAAATGTTTGCTGAGTGACTAAACAAATGAAGACTACTTAAGTTCCAAGACCAGCTACTCTCACTGTGTGAGCTTGAGGAATAGCTCATGCCCTTTGAGCTTCAGTGTTCTTGTCTGAAAATAGGATAAAAGTACCTGTATCTCATGAGATTGTTATTAATTCATATTAAATGACTAAACACAAATGATGATAATAATAGCAGCTAATACTTATGTATCACTATGTGCCGGGCACCATTCTAAATGCTTTCATAGATGAACTCAATTGATCCTCACAATTCCTCCAGGAGGCAAGTACTCCTACTATTCCCATTTTATGGATGATAAAACTGAGCACAGAGGGATGAAGTACCCTGCCAGAGGACACACAGATGGTGAGCTAAAGGGCTGGTGCCGAATGCAAGCAGCAGGCTCCAGAGCTCATGCTCTTACACACTGCATGAAATGCACTTCGAACAGACGCACTCCACCTCCCATTAATGCTAGCCATCATTCACACTGAGGAAGACCAGAAAGATGACAATGATGACAATGATCTTGACTGGGGGACCTGGGCGCAGATCCGAGGGGCCACCCTCCCTTGGGGTCTATCCAGGGGCACAACTCACCACCTGCAGAATTGACCTTCACCAGCACCTGCCCCTTGGTCCAGCCATCCTCCTGGGCCAACGCTGCCATCACCTCTCTCACGGAGGCTGTCACAGGCAGCTGCAGGGTCAACACTGAGTGGTCTGGCCGGCAGATGTCATAGGGGACTGAAGAGGAGACCAGACTGAGCTGTGGGAAGGGCTGCCTGATCTCCACCCCAGGAGGGAGAGGGCGGCTATTGCAGTAATGGTGGGAGGGATCCCCAAGAGGCTGAGCTGCAGGTGGGGAGGCCCTGAGCAAAAAAGAGGCAGGTAGGAGGCAGATCTAGCCAGCAGCCTGGAACACAGACCCTGAGGAGTACAGCGTGCCACCTTGGCCCAGGCACACCGAGGTCAAGAGTGACGACAGCAGGACAAGAGAGGCAGAGACAGCAGGGTGCAGATGTCGGGCTGTGCCCAGCCGGCACAGACCACCAACCTTTATCCCCAACTTGGATGGCACAGCTGCTGCCAGGAAGGGGCTCGTCCTGGTTGGGGAGCCAAACAGGCAAGTTCCGGGCCTGGGAGGAAGAGGAACGAGAAAATAAGGCTGGGAGGACATGAGAGGAGACCGTGGAGGGAGGGATTGTGAGGTCCCTGTGTCACCAGGAGCACGGGCGCCACACAGCATTCACACCACCAGAGGGCTCTGCTTGCCACATTCACCTGAGCTCAGGTAAGGCACCTGGGACCAAGGATCCAGGAGAAGACACAACATGTCTAAGGGCGGGGCAAATCCATGCCCCTCCGTGTGTGTGTGCTTCTGCATCTGCCAGATAGGTCCAGAGCAGTTCTAATATGAAAATCCTTCAGCTGCTGACTTTGGTTTTCTCTTCCTTTTCCTCCAGCTACCATTTGCTACAAGCCAGGCATTATTCTGAGGATCTAAATATTCACAATGCGCCTTTGACAAAAGTATTATTTTTATTTCCATTTTATGGATGAAATAAATGAGGCTCAGAGAGGTTAAGTAACATGCCCAAAGCCACACAGCTGCTAACTGGCAGAGTTGGAATCCCTCCTGCTCCTTTCCCCCTCTGTGCTCCGATACTGTGTCAGTGGCCCTGTCCCAGCCCACAGCAGGGATGCAGTTCATGGAAACCACTGTCAGGCCTCTGCTGGCAGGGCAGCGCCTGCCAGGCAAGTCTCCTGACTCAGGTTCCCCTTCCCACCCTGCTTTTTTCCGACTCTGGTACTGACTCTGTCCCTCCTCCCAGCTCTGCGTATAGCAGATCCTCCAGGTTCGGACCTCAATCCATTGCTCTTCCCTACATTTCCAAATCTCAGGGACCCCTGCAGAGTTCCTTACTGCCTCATGTGTCGCCTGCACATGGGTGATTCCCAAAACTACCAGCAGTGCTGAACTCTCTTCCAAACCCTGGTCTCAAAAACCCCCTGCATCCTTCCACATGAATGATCCATTACCTCACACTCCATATACCCATCGGATCCTTGCATCCTGCCTCCCAGACCACTCTGTTCCCCAGCCATTCTCCCCAGCTCCAGGCTCCTCCACACTTCCGTAGCTTGTCATCTTGCTTTGAAGATTCTTCTTTGAAGTGGGTCTTCTGTGCCCCCTCCTCCCCTGCCCAGGCTAACTCCAGTTCCACCTGCCCACGAGGCCTCACTCCTTATCTACTCCAATGGCCCAACTATGCTCCTCCTCCTCCCTCCCAGGTGCCTCCAGCCCTCCTCCTCCAATCTGCCTGACCAGAGCCCTGTGAAGCTCCCGCACTCGACTTCAGTGGCGTCCATTGTCTGCTGGAGAAAGCCCAGGCTCTTTAGCTGACCTATTCAAAACACAAATCAGACTTTGCCAACCTTGGCTCAAACCCCTTTAATGGTTTGCACTGCTCTTAGGACAAAGATCAGACCCCTGTCCTTGGCCCAGGGGGCCCTGCCCACCTCCTGCCTGCTCTGGGGTCCTACTCTTACTCTCGCTCCTCCAGGGATCCTCCTCCTGGGTTCCCTTTCCTCCTGGGTTTGCCCACCAGGAATCCTCTTCTTCCTCCACCCTTGCCCCCTGCAGCTCTCAACTCCAGTAGTCGCTTACACGGGACACTTTCCCTGAATCTGCACTGGAGTTGGCTCTTCCCCTCCCGTTTTCAGGAGCGGACTACAGTTGGAAGAGCCGACTCCAGTGCACATTCAGGGAAAGTGTCCCGTGTCACTGCACATCACGGGTTGTTGAACTGCTCTGCCCCTTGCCTGACTGCAGCCCCACAGGCCAGGGTTGAATGAGGTGCAGCATCAGCACCTAGCGCAGTGCCCGGCCTGCGAGGGTGAGCCCACATCAGTTTCTGAGCGTCAGCCAAGAGCCAGGCAGCATGTGAGCAAGGAGAAGCGGAGGTGGGGGCCCGCAGGAGGGAAGTCAACTCTCCAGTGGGATGGGAGAGATACCAAAGGACAGAAAGCAAGTAGGCAAAGAAAACAACTCCACATGGCGAGAGTGCTTTGAAGAAAATCACAGAGGACACCAAGGCAGAGCGTGGTGGGAGAAAGGGGAGGGTGCTCCGGATAGGGAGACGGGAGGGGGCCTGTCTGGGAACCCAGCATTTGGCTGAGATGAGAACGAGAAGGATCCTGCCAGGCAGAGCCAGAGAAAGACCCTTCCAGGCTAAGGGATAAGTGCAAAGGCCCTGAGGGGAGAACGGGCTTCGCCTGCGGAGGAGAAGAAGCCAGTAAGAGTCTCCAGCAGGCAGGGGCTGGGACACACAGTAGGGTGGGACCATGGGGAGCCTGCTGGATGGTGAGGCCCCTGGATTTTATTCCCAGTGCAGCCCTCCCCACCACCAACCTAATCTACCTTTCCAGTTCTTTCTCCCACCATTCCTCAACCAAATCCTGGCTGCAGTCACATCTTCTCATCCCCTCTTTGCTTCCCTTTAAGCCCCAGCTGAGAATGGCCTGGGGCCCCCTCTGACTTTCCAGGGAGGGGCCTCGCCTTCCTCTGAGCTCCCACAGCACTGGCCACCAGGAGCCCCGTGGGCCTCAGGGGCCAACTCCAGCCACCATTCCTCATCTCCCAGGCTCTACCTGTGGGCATGAATTACCTCCCAAAAGGAATAAAAGGCCCATTGAGTCAGGGAGTGGGCGAGGAGGGAGGCCACCTTAGGCCTCTGCGCCTCCTGGCACGGCCTGGCCCAGGGCACCACATGCAGCAAGGGCCCCGTGAACACCTATCAGAGACCCAAGGGTGTGTCTGTGGGAGGAGAGCTTCCCACGCCCACAGAGCCCCTCAGGGTCAGGGGGCGAAGGAGGGGCCTGCAGTCCAGGAGGAGCAGAGGAAAGAAACTGGGGCCAGGCAGACACCTTCATCTGAGGAGATGCATTCCCACAGCCATTCTCCAACCTGCAGACAAGAGAGAAGGGAGGTGAGTGAGCCCAGGTATCCCTGGGGCTGCAGCAGGGAGGCCCTTGGGGCTCTGGATTCTCCCCGGCCCTCACCAGTGGTTCAGAGGTAAGCACGACCAGGTAAGTATCACATAAAGAGGGGAGAACACGGTCTTGAAACCAGGCCCCCAGACTTTGTGATTTTCCAAGGCCAGGAGGGGAAGGAAAAAGTTAAAGGCAGATGCAGACCCAGGGTTTCAGATCAAGTGCTGTTTCAGATGAGCTCCCAACCCCCCTGAATCTCAGCTGCTCCCGTGGGAATATCTGCAAAGGTGAAGGTAAAGTCTAGGAAATGTACCGGGCGGGACTGGCAGAAGCTGGCACTGAGGGTATTTGGTAATAAATGCATGCCCAATGGAGGAAGTGAGAACAGCAGGTGCACTCAGGATATGAGAATGAATAAATGAATGAGTGCCTGATGCATGAGAATGGAGGGACATGTGGTGTGAGGGTGAACAGCAAGGGGACTGATAAGAACAAGGAATTGAAGTAAGTGGTGCAGCCTGGATCTGAAGCCAAGTGCTTGACTCCAGAGCGTATGCTCTTGGTCCCCATGGCACTGCCAGTTATGGAAATGACAAATTAACAGAGTCAAAGCATCACCTGTGGCATCGCCGCCTCTCTGGCCACTGCTCCCTCAGCAGGTTGCTGAGTCGGGTGTCCCTGCCCACCAGGTCTGAGAGTTTCTAAGAAGAGCCAAGATTCACTGAGATGGCTGTAGCTGCATCCACCCCGGGCAGCCCAGCCCCGCTGTGCCTCACTCCCAGGTACCTGGAGGAAGCTGGTGGCCACAGGGTCAGTGTGGAGCATGGAGCCATACAGGGCCACCCACTGGCTGACCAGCCGCAAGATCTGCTGCCTCTTGTTGCAGACGTAGGTGCTGCGCTCCTGCTCGCTGCCACCCGCAGGCTCCACATGGAAGGTGGGCACCAGTCAAGGGAACCACAACATCCAAGCAGGGCCACCCACCTGAGGCAAAGGAGGGGCAGGATGCCCAGGGCCCCTGGCAAGCTGGGCCTGGCAGCAGGCTGGCATTTAAAGGGCTCAGCACAGCCACGCTGGTGAGATTTTCTCTCAACCCCACGCACCATCCTATCCCCATGCACACCATCCCCCTGGAGCTGGAAGGATATTGGTGCAGAAGGGCAGCGCAGAGTTGGGCGCTGGGCATGAAGACCCTGTGGGTCAGGAGGAAGTCGCTGAGGAATGTCTCTGTATGACAGGGTGAGGGGATGGGAGGAGGCTTCAGAGGCCAAGTCTGCTGAGCACAGGTGTATGGACAGCTGGAAGGACCCTTCCCCACATCCCACCACCTGCAAGGTCCCAGCAGTGTCCAGCCCCTGTGATAGTGCTCCCCACTAAGCCAAGAGCACAGGTAAGAGGACTTATTGCCAACTTCTGTACAGACCAATCCAGCATTCGGTGACGTCAGATGCAGGGTACCTGGCTCTCTCCCAGGCTCCATGGACCACCCAATGAGTCAGAAAGCAGGCAGGGTGTCTCTTGCCCTTACCTGTTGGGTCATGAGCACTGGAATCTGGTCCCATGGCCTCCAACAGAAGCTCTAGGATCTTCTCTGGGGTGCCAGACATCACTGTATACCTAGCAGAAATGGCCAATCTTTGGCACTGGTGCCACTACTCCCCACTCCCACACCTGGGCAGACATCAATAATCAATTACATCATTTTTCTCCATTAGCCAGCCCTGTCCCACCTTAGGGCAGGGAGGAGACTGGCTCAGCAGGCACATCCTGGTCCCTCAATACCTCTCCATCCACAAGTGGCCAGAGGGCAGGGATATGACACAGGGGAAGGGAGCAAAGATTGGGAAATGAAAGGAGGGACAGTGTGGAGAGGGAGCATGGCAGGTGTATTACCGGTTCCTGCCTGGGGTTGGGGGTCGGGAAGGGCCGGCGCCCTGAGAGGCTCTCTCCAGCACCAGCACCACTTTGCCATGTTCTTCCAGCCGCATGGTCTTTGCCTCCACATCCTGGAGAACAGGCCACATCCCATGCTCAACTCATGATGTTCCAGCTTTAGACCCTCTCATCTACCTCCTTCATTCCAGCCCCTGAGCCCCATGAGGGTCCCACAGGGACCCACAGCCCTTCTCCCACCTCCGACTTTGGCTCCACCTCCTCAGCCTTCCCTACCTTCCATGCATCCTGCCTCCCCCACAGCCTAGTCCCCCGCCCCCTGCATGCCCATCCTTCCCCTGGTCTCCCACACTGAGCCTGAAGTCACTGGTCTCACTGAACTCCTTCTGTGCCTTATGGGCTTCACCTTCTCACACACACCCAGGGCTATGGTCCCACTGCCAGCTGTCATAGCCCAGCATCTCTTACCTGCCCTGCTTCTTACAGGCCCTCTGCTCTGGTCCCTACTCCTCTCTCCACATCACTTCTCTGGACGAATGGCCCCTGCCCTCCCCAACCCCAGCAGCAGCACCTTGATGATACGGTTGAAGTCCTGCTTGTCCACACGCAGGAAATGACAGTTGTCTTCTCGCAGGATGATGGTGGCTGCCCGGGGTGCATCATTCACCAGAGCCAGCTGTCCAAAATCATCTCCCTCATGCAGGGTGGTCACCAGCCCCTGCAGCCAGGCCTCAGTCTCAGCCCGCCCCTGCCGCCCCTGCCGCCCCCAGCTCTTGCCAGGACAGACCCACGGCAGGAGAACAACCCACACAGGAGACACGGGGTCAGCAGCAGTAGATCAACAAAGGCACTGCCCATGAGGACATGGACCAGGGAGCAGTTAGGACCCAGGGCACTGGGGTGGGGAGGAGGGAGGGCTCACCTTGCCATGGGTCACCACGTTGACAGATCCCTTCCAGATAATGTACCACGAAGTGCCCTTGTCCCCCTGGCTGAACACTGACAGAAGCATACCTCAGACCGGGCCCTCCTGGCACCTACCATTCCTTCACACATCCTTCTGCCCATGTCCAGGCCCTGTGCCTGGCTTCTTATGCCCTGCTGGACTTACACACGGTCCCTGCCTTGCTGTGTGGTTCAAAGAGCAGAACAGCCGCTAATTCTCGCTTCACCTGTGTGGTGGAGATAGGAGAGTCGGTGGCGACAAGTTCATGTGCAGAGCAGCCAGGCTTTTGCTAGGGGTGTGGTTAGGTCCAAAGACACAAGTGCTGGGGGACAAAGATGTGGCCAGGTCAGGTGTTCCCAGGATTCAGCAGGAGACAAAGCAAGTGGAGAAAATGGGCTGAGAGAGGCGGAAGGATTTTCAGACAGGGCAGCGCCGGGGGCAAGAAATCAGACTGAAAATTTCCAGCCATAGATGGAAGTGGAGAAATGCCCTCTGGCCCAGCAGTTGGAGTTTCAGGGAAGTCACAGGAAGAGAAGATGCCTGGTACGGGGCAGGGCTGGGAGGGGCAGGACTGACCGAGTTGGAGAGGTGGGCCACAGCCTTGATGTGCAGCAGCTCCTCAAAGATGAGGTCCAGCTCTTCATCCGTGCGCTGACCTGGGCTGCAGGGACAGGAGGAATGGGAGCACACTGTGAACTGTGGGCCCGTCAGGTGCAGGGAGCCACTCCACCCACCCAGCCGATGCCTGTGCCAGACGGTGCCTCAGCAGTGACAGTTATCAGCAGCAGCTAACCTTTACTGAGTGCGCACATGTGGCAGCGCTTGTGATGAGCATTTTGCATGCATTGTTTCACAACAACCCTAAGGAGTGGTTCTATCATCCTCACTTGACAGAACAGGAACTAGCATGAGGAGGCTCAAGGTCACCCAGCCAGTAGCCAGTCCAGCTGGAATTTGAACCTGGACCCACCGGACTGCAGTTTCCAAAACCCACTTGCTTTCAGCCACAACTGTGTCTCTGAGTGGGAAGGGTCCTCAGAGATCCCCCTGGTCCAACATCCTCATCTACAGAGGAAGAAACTGACTTGGGGGGGTTTGGGAGTGTGGAGGGATCCAGGTCACACAGTGAGTCCGTGGCAGTCAGCGCCAGGGGCTTCTGGGCCAGCCAGGTTCCCTTCCCTCCACAACAGGTAAGGGATGCCCCCAGAGATCAATCTGAGAAACCGTGAAATCTGAGTGCTGTGTGAGGCCTGGGGTCACGGGGTGCAGGGATTCTGACTCACGGCTTTCGAAGTGCCACAGTGAGCAGGGCGTCAGGCCCCCGCTGGGAGAGCAGGGCCACAGCTTCGGCCAACTCCTCCTCCATCTCATGAGTTCTCACGGGCTCGGGCTCGGGCCCGGGGAACCGGTAGAATTGGGCATCTCGGTCCTGGAAGGCCCAGTCGTGTTTCACTGGGGGGCAGAGGCCCAGGCGTGGGGGAGGAGAGGAAATTGAGGCTATGTGGGTATGAAACCCCACTGCGATGCCACCCCTCAGCACTCCCCAAGTAGTGCCTGCTTCCCAGGACTGCCCTGTCCTGTCCCCCTCACTGCCCAGCCCAGCCCGGGGCACCCCACCCTGGGCTCGGGCTCACCATGGCAGAGGGCACCTTCATCCAGCAGCACCTGGCAGATTCCCACAACTTGGCTCCGGGAATGGACCCCAAGTCCCAGGGCCAAGATCCCATCCACCAGCTCCCGGCCAGAGCAGCACTGCCTATGGAAGGTAGAAGGGGACAGGCCAGTGGAAGGAGGGTGGCAGGGAGAGGGAGGAACTATGCATTAGAAAGGCACCCTCTGAGGCCCAAGCCTGGTTCGTCCCTGTGCTAGAAGCAGGGTGAGGCCCAGGTGCCTGACATAAAGTGGAACGGAGAGAAAGCAGTGAGGCTGGGCAAGGAGGCAGCAGGGCCTCCACTCACCGATAGAGCCTAAGGTGGTACTTCCGGTCTCGGATGAGGTTTGGGCAGGTGGCCAGCAGATGCCGATGCAGCTGCCTCCCAGCCCTGAGCACCCGCTCTGTGGAGGCCTTAGAGGGAGGAAGGGCACAGCAGTTCAGGCTCTGAACCCCTCATGGTGCTGCCTGTCCCAGCTCCACCCTGCCCAGGCTTCTACCTGCTCCAGGCTCTCGCTGAAATCCAGGGACTCCTCGCTGTTGGTGAGTGGTGTCTGGGGGCAGCAGGGAAAGCGTGCACATCAGTGTGAGGTCTTCAAGCCCAGCTCTTGGATACCTCCCCTCCCCCATCACTCCCACTCTTGCCTAGGCCCCAACCCCAAATGCATCCATGTGGCCACTCCTTCAGCAAATAAACAAATATTCACTCAGCACCCTGTGCCCCGGGCATCGCCTCTTCCCACCCTGCCATCCTGATCACCAAACCCAACTCAAGGACTGCCTCCCTACAGTTGAGAGCCCTAAGACACCCATTCTGCTTACTCAGGGCCCAGGTGTGCCCATGCCCCCAGGTGAACTGCCCCTGTTGGGGGAAAGAAGTGAGGGAGCTGGAAGGAGCATGAGGACATGAGATAAGAAGACCTGGGAGATGGGAGCCAGGATGTGAGCAGCTCAGGAGGCCTGGGAACATCCGCTCCTGGGCTGGGGTCACAGACCTGATCCCCAGCCAGGTTCTGTGTCCTTCCACAGGCCCATGAGCAGGTGTCTTGCCATCTCTGGGCCTCGGATCAGCCTGGTTGTCAAAACACAAACCCTGGAGCCAGGCTCCTGGATTAAAATCTCTGCTTCCCCACTGATGGCAGATGTGACCTGAAACAAATGATTTAACCTCTCCCTCCCTACCTGAGTCTCCTGAACTGTAAAATCTACAAAGCACTAATAATACCGACTCATGAGGTTTTGGGAGAATTAAATGAGTTGCTACACATCGAATGTTTAAAGCATTGCCTGGCATATAGTTGTATGCACATGTTAGCTAGTACTCATCTGTGAGGCATTAGGGTGGGGCTGCTTGCTGGAAAGCGTCTTTCTTCTCTGAGATGTTGCTAGCCTGTGCCCTGCGAGAGTGAATAAGTCCTTGGTGGCACACAGGACTGGCTCAGGAAGACGCACTTTATCATGGAAACACTGCTTAGTAAGGATTCCCTGCCCTTGGTAACAAGCCATTTGGAACTCCCGGGCCTGTACGCCCTGGAATAATGGCCATGAAAGCCCCTCACGACCCTTCTCTTCCTACCACCTGAGAATCTGGGGTTTGTGGACATCTCTGGACAGGATGCTCTACCATCTACGAGCCCTCTCAAAGGGCTCACTTTACAGTTTACAAAGCACTTTACAGTTTACAAAGCACAATCGCCCCCTTGATTTCATTGGATCTCATGTAAAATAGGATCAGATGTGAAATAGGCAGAGCAGGCATTGTCTGTCCTCTGTCACTTACAAGGAAATAAAAGCCTGGAGGTGAGGTACCTTGTGTAACTCAGTTGCGCATACTTCGGACAGCCAGACAGCTGTGGAGAAGTTCAAGTTCCCACCCAGAAGTGCTCCCATTCTCAGTCTCCCTACACCCACCCCACCTGCCCCTTTCCTCTCCCCTCACCAGCCACCTCTCTCCTAGCTTCCCATCTGGCTTCAGGTCCCTGAAAAGGACCTGCTGGGGAGTTGCAGTACAACCAGTCCTGGTGCTGGCAGGGCCCTGGGCACAGGCATCTTGGCACTGCGTGCCCAAGCAGAGGCCTGAGGTCTGGCATGTGCAGGCGCCTGGCCCAGGGCTGGGCGGAAGTCACTAGGTGTCCCAAGGGTATCCCTGCCCGGGTCATGGGGCCCAGCCCAGTGCCAGACACAGAGCCCTGGAGACTTAACGACAGGAAATGAGAAGGAGGAGGAGCCAGGGAAGGGAGGAAGGGCAGGAATGCTACCCAGCCAGCCCCCTGTGTCGGAACAAACAGTGCCTGAGTGCTAATGACTTGTTGTTCATATCAAAATGCCCAGGTGGCCCCAGTCCCTGCCCCAACTCCCATTGGAGCCCACAACCCAGGCTCCAGCACCAGCCCCCTTCCTGGTATTATTCTGACTTGGGAGAGGGCACATTAGGAGGGGTGGTGCTGGGTCACGTGGCCAGGTTGGTCATTTCCTGTCCTCCCCCAGGGGATGAGGATGCAGGTCAGAGAATGGCCCTAGTCCATGAGCACTGAGGAAGGGACTTTAAGGAATCCCTCTCATTTTGACAAGGAAAGCAAAAGCCCAGAGAGATCACACAACTATTTAGAAAGGTAAGATTCTACTGAATAACTCTGCTACTGGTGCTGACCCCAGAGGTAGGTATTTGTTTCCTATTTCACAGCTAGAGAAAAGAAAGCTCCAAGGTTCTATAACCTGCCCTAACTGTTGGTCAATAAGGGCACCAGGATTCATACCTATGTCTGATTCCAAAGGCCATGCTCTTAGCATTATGCCCTACCGTCTTCCATTATGCCTATTCCCATGTTTCCTCAGCTTTGTGCTATAGGCACAGACAGTAGAGGTATTCTGCCTTCAGGCAAGTTCTGTGGGCAAGTAAGTTTGGAAACCACTGGGTTAGACAAAGATAGACAGGTTTGTTATTCTACCCTCTCTGTGCCCCCAGGATGTTTGTGTGCCTGCCAACCTTCTAGGATGGGGCGGAGAGAGGGCTGCTATTCAAGGGCAGTGGTCAAGTGTGTAGGCTCTGCAGCCAGATGCTTGGGTTCAAATCCTAGCTTTTGCGTTACCATCTGGTTGTGTGAGCTCGTGCTGATTACTGAAGTTTGCAGTGCTTCGGTTTCCTCATCTGTAAACTGGGGTTGATGATATGAATAGTACCTATCACAAAGGGTTATGAGGATCAAAAAGTTAATAATATAAAGTACTTGGAATGGTGCCTGGATCATAGTAACTACTTAGTAAGTTTAGTTGACTTGATCAGATGTTATTATTTCATGATGGGCCCTATTACCAGGACACAGTGCAAAAAAATACAATGCTAGTCATGTCAGTTTCAGGGTTCTCAGTTGGGAAGAAGCAGCTGATATGAGTCAAGGTGAAGGTCCTCCTCACCCACTCCCCACTCTCATTCCTGAACAGAAAGGGTTCAGGGCGGAAGAGGAGGCACTAACTCCCCTGGCACCAGCACTGTGGCCTGCCCCACCCTCACTCCCTGTCACTGAATGTCAGAGCTGGGCTGGAGAGACAGGCACAGAGCCAGACAGCCTGGGGACCTGTCAGACCAGTTCCCTTGGGCCATAGCTAAGGTGTCAAGCTAGGGCTGCTTGTGGTGGGACAGGGGAAGGGTGCATGGGGCCGGGATGATGCCTTAAGGTGTCAGTGTTACTGTTCGTAGCAAGAGAGAAGTGCAGCATGGTGGTTATGTGGTTATGAGCTTGGACTCTGCAGCCAGATTGCCTGGGACCAAAGCCCAGCTTTGCCACTTAGCAGCTGCGTAACTCTGAATCTGTCACTTAACCTCTCTGTGGCTTTGTTTTCACATCTATAAAATGGAGATGATGACATTAGTACCTATCTCACAGGGCTGTTGTGAGAATTATTTGATATGATAAAGGCAAACCTCTTTCAATAATGTCTGGCACATAAGTACTGTATAACTATTAACTACTACTATTATTTGGATAGGTTGAATGAAAGTGCGTTCTCGGAGTTACAAAACAGGGCCACTTCCCCAAGAACAGTCACACAAAGAGAATCATCTCAGACTTCCCTGAGCTAGTAGAACCCACCACAGGTCACTCTGATCTTGCCCCTGCCCCCGGACATCAGACAAGATCTCACCTCCCCCTCTTATTTTCCAAAGATGTTCTTCCATCCCATTCCAGTGTCACTTTTGCAATAGCTGTTAAGTCTTATCTTAGTCTGTATCTAACTGCAAGCCCTCCTACTGTAACCCGCTTTCATTTTCTCTTGTCCTGGTCTAGGTAGGAACAGAAAGAGCTGTCTTCAGACTTCTTCTCTGGGAGGTTGATGGGTTTTCCCCTTGGCTTTCGAAGAGGGAGGTCTGGCCTCAATAACTGGCAGTGCTGTCTTCCTGGGACTCGGGCTCCACCCCTTCACCATGGGCGTGCATGCTCACAGCTGGCACTCATTCCCTCACGGAAGCCTTCCCTGGGCTAAAGGCATCATCAAGAGGTAAGAAGTACAGCTTCACAGGTACCCAGAGCCTCTCAAATATAGGCATGATGGAATGAAACCTCCCCACCCCAGTCCCCAAAGTTGGTCATCAGAAGAGGGAGTGGCCGCCTGCCTCTAAACACTAAAAATCTAAGTTCCCTCTAGTCACCAACGCCCACCTGGCACGGAAAGGCCTTGTTTTGGTGCCTTTGACCCCATTTACACTCCAGCAACCTTTACCCCCACCTTTCTGGCCTTCCCCTGCACACCAGCCCTTCATTTCTGGGGGCTGTGGAGAGTCAGGAGACAGCTTGGTGGCCTCCTCCACTCCCTCCCAGACTTCAGGTCCCAGGAGATCCTCCAGTGACCTATTGTCCTGGCACCTGACCTTCTCCCTACCCCCTACCTTGCTTCCACAAGCTGGGAAGGGGACAGGAAATGCACAAATAATTATAGCCCAAGAGGGAAGGAGGGAGGGAGGGTTCCAGCCCACTGGCTCCAGGCAATAGCTACAGCCAGTGACCCGGAGAGCGGAGAGCCGGAGAGCCAGAGGGGTAGCGGAGGAGGACCCAGGCTCATGATAAGGAAGACCCTAGTAGAGAACAGCTCTACCAGGACTGACATGTGGACTCTCCTCTCAATTCTGATTGCAAAGAGGAGCCCCTCATCTTGGTAGGTCTCAGTTTTTTCAACTCAGCCTCACTGTAAATGGCAGTTGGGCAAGGTAGGGGGAAGGAGGGAGAGGGTGGTGGTTATTCCACTCAAAAGGACTTGCCAATAAGAAGTGAACTCTCGGCTAGGCGCAATGGCTCATGCTTGTAATCCCAGTGCTTTGGGAGGGCGAGGTGGGCAGATCACGAGGTCAAGCGATCAAGACCATCCTGGCCAATATGGTGAAACCCCATCTCTACTAAAAATACAAAAATTAGCTGGGCGTGGTGGCGCACACCTGTAGCCCCAGCTACTCAGGAAGCTGAGGCAGGAGAATCACTTGAACCTGGGAGGCAGAGGCTGTAGTGAGCCAAGATTGCTTCACTGCACTCCAGCCTGGTGACAGAGGAAGACTCTGGTTAAAAAAAAAAAAAAGAAAGAAAAGAAAAAAGAAATGAACTCTCCCGGCCAAGCGCAGTGGGTCACGCCTGTAATACCAGCACTTTGGGAGGCCAAGGCAGGTGGATTGCTTGGGCCTAGGAGTTCAAGACCTACCTAGGCAACATAGCGAAACCTGGGTGGACACACGCAGTGGAGACATAACTGAATCTCAAGCTAAGCTACTCTATTTAGTCTGGATGGTTGGGGATAGCTTCTCTGCTGATTTGGATAGTACAGCCATTATCTTGCCTCCCAAATCCCACCATTCTTTCCCCTCCCTGCTCTCTCCTTCATTCTTTCAGGTCCAGAGATGTTTCTCACTAGCAAAGGGCACTTTGGTGATCTCAGATTCTCCAAATGTCTCAGAATCCTTCCCTGAGCCCCCCAAAGGCAGGTACCAAGCAGTGTCCACATGATCACCTCACCCTAAGACCAAAACGCAGAATTAGCACAGTTCAGTAACTCACTAAAGGAGAATGTTGCCACGGTGATGCACCCAGAACTGTAACCAAGCTTACCTCACTCCAACCCATTGACCCGGCCCCCATACCTCCCACCTCCACCTGGAAAGAACACACAAGTACCTAACTCAATGCCGGCTCACTGAGGTGACAGATAAACAACAAATCCCTTTCCCCTTCCCCCCATGCCCAAACAGAGACATTTGGGCAGAACACACACACAGACACACACACGTTGCAGCTGTGTGAGCCACCCACGCACACTGCAGACAAGCTTCCTGACCCAGTGTCCACGGCAGCTGTACCACTGTACACCCCCAGAGCAAGCTGGGCCACCAGCAGCATGCCAAGCCATGATCTAGGCCCCCCTCTAGCTCTGGTACTGGCCCTGGCACCTGGGCAGGTGAAAGGTACTCACCCAGCGCAGCCCCTGGATGCAGCTCGGACGCTGGTGCTCCAGCAGCAGCTGGTAGGAGCAGCTTCGGGGCCGGTGCATCCTTCTCAACACCATGTTGAGTAGTGTCCCCTCCGGCACCACGTCAGGGAGGGCTCCCACCCGCGGTGCTCCCAGAGCTGGGCTATCCTCCACAGCCAGGCCCACCTGCCAGCAGCTCTCACCTGGCCAGCCCACCTGTGACACGGGGAGGAAAGTGGACAGCCATGGGACACGACTGGGGCGGCTGGGCCACAGTACAACTGCCCCAGGCAGAACTACTTCCTTAGAGTCCTCTGGACTGGTCAGGCGGAGGTGCTGCAACCCTGCCAGGAGCTGGGGGGAGGAACAGGAAGACCTTCACTGGGGCCTGCCGGTCTGGCGCACTTAGGGGTCTCCAGCTGGCTCTTGGAAAAGATCAGGCCCTTCTTAGTCCTCTTTGGAATTCTGTCCCATCTCACTGCCCATGCCCCTGCAGGGATCTCCACTACCTCCCAGTATGAAGCTATAGATTCACTAGGTCTCCCAGAAATGCAGCTTCGGCTTAAACCCTTCTCCTCTCCTCCTCAGCCCTGACTAACCCTCCCTCTCCCACCCAAACTCCCCACCGTGTCAGCTTCCTCTCCCGCCCTCTCCTGCTCCTCCTCAACCCTGACCCCACCTTACCCACCTTCATGTTTCTTTTCAAGCTCGCACAGCCGTGCAGGCTCTAGCAAAAGGCTGGGGGGTCCCCAGCGACCCCCATCAGCTTTGATAAGGGGATCCGGAGGGTGCCAGTGGGTAAGTCCAGGTACAGTGAACTGGGCCAGTGCCTAGCTGGACTGGCTGCCAGGGCAGCAGGATGCAGGGCTCGGTGGAGAGGCTCCTCTTGGGTGAGTAGAGGGGTGGGGGCGTGGTGGGGGGACGCCACCCAGCCACCGGCGACAGGGAGCCCCGAGCCTGCGCCTTCGTCTCAGACGAAGGAGCCAGCTGGCACCGGGCGCTGAAGCAAGGCTGCGCTGGCACCGGTCCGGGCGGGAGCTGTCACACCCCCTGCGCTGCCCGCCCCCTTCCCCTCCCCAGGACTGGCGGAGGGGGCGGGGTGGAGGCGCCCTGCCTTACGGTAGAGGAATGCGTAGGGGAAGGGGGCCGGCACTGGCAGGCTTTGGAGTCCGCACCCGGGGGTACCAGAGTGGACATCCGCCTGAGCCCAGAGTATCCCCAGGGGGCAGGAGCGGCCCCGAAGTGTGTGGAGGAGGCCGCAACGGCCGGGGTGTCAGGGATCCGGCGGTGAGTGGCTGCACTGGCCGCCACGTGGCCGGGAGGAGAAATGCAAACAAGGAAACCGGGGAGAGCGGGGAGGGGGTGAGTCACTGCGGCCTCACCCGGGAGGGAAATCCGGGCTGGGGCCGCTTCCCGGCTGGGGGTGTCTGCCTCCTGTTTCGGTTCAGGGTCTCCAGCCGCCCGGGGGAGGGAATAGGCGGCTTTCCCGCGGGGAATCCCGCTGCCTTGCCTCCCACAGTTCCGTTCCCAGACCCACGCCCCACTGCCCCCTGCCCCAGCACACACACACCGGGAGCAGTTGAGGAAACTGAGGCTGGAGAGGAAGGACTGCTCTCCAGAACGGGTAGGGGCCCTAAGAGGAGATTGGGGTTGTGGCAGAGCTTCCAGGGGAGCAGAAGGTGTTCGAGTACCACGCCCCCTACCGCGCGCTCCCTGGTGGCCGGGTAGGTTGAGGCGGAGACCGGGCATTCCAGCGCCCTGCTAGGCAGGCTTGCTACCGAGGCTCCACGCCTCCCTGGGCCTCAGTTTCCACCACTGTGCAAATGGCCCAGCGCGGGCCTCTTCGCCCCACTCCTGAGAGGGTGGAGAGACAGTGGCCGGGGACAGCGACCCGTAATTCAGGACGATAATGAGGGTTTGGAAGGAGGTGAACGCCCCACCCCCAGCTTTTTAGGACTTTTTGCCCCTTCTCTTCCCTTTTCCCTTTGCTGTTGAGCCAGCCCAGACTGGGAAGAAGTATCTCTAAAAAGCCTATACCCCAATTTTGGGATGCCAAGCCCGCATCCTCCACCATGATTATTTTCTTGAAAGTGAGGAGAAGACTGGGAAGAGGTAGCTCTAAGAAGCCTATACTCCCAATTTTGGGATGCCAAGCCCCCATCCTCCACCAATTATTATTTTCTTGAAAGTGGGGAGAGAAATTTTAATTGTGATTAAAATCCCATTTTTAATGTATACATGTATAAAAAATGTTTCCCAGAAGCTTACTAAAATGCAGGCTCCGTCCCCAGCAATTCATATTCAATCCTATTGGCATGAAATGGAAAATCTGTATTTGGAACAAACACCCCAGGTCATCTGCTGTGTCCACACATTAAGAAACGCTGGTGGAGTTTTAAATGCCTCTCCGGGGAAGGAGGAAAGCCTGAGAATGAATCTGACCTCAGACCCAAATCCATTCAACGGAGTTCTGGTAATTTGGAAGAAGGAAGAGCAACCTGGAAACTGACAGGAAAGGATGACAAGTTGGGAGTCACAGGTATGCATGGGGAAGAGTTAGGGGGATGGAGTCATGAGTTTCGGGTTGCTGGGGCCAGTGCCCTGGCCTAGAAGTTCTTGCAGGAAGGCTTCCTGAGACTGGCAGTTGGGTCACAAAGGGGTCCCCTATTTCCTATTCTTGCTGCCCTTACTCTGGGCAGGTGGAAGATGCTGGGGAGTGAGGCAGGACACTTGTATACATTTCAGCAGAGCTACAAAATCTAATCATGTGCGGGCACTCTTTCAAGTGCTTTCCATGTGTTTAATCCCTGCCACGATCCTGTGAGGTATGTACTTCTGTTATCCTCACGTCACAGATGGGGAAACTGAGGCTCAGGGATATTAAGGAAATTGCCAAAGTCACACAGCTAGTAAATGGTGGAGCTGGGGCATGAATCCAGGTTGTCTGTCTCCACGTACTCACCATGGTATACTGCGTATACTCTGTATGTATTCTATTCTTCTAATGTAGACTAGACTGCCTAGGAGAGTCTACTCAAAAAAGGAAAATTGAGGCCGGGTGCGATGGCTCACGCCTGTAATCCCAACACCTTGGGAGGCTGAGGTGGGGGTGAATCATGAGGTCAGGAGTTCAAGACTAGCCTGACCAACATGGTGAAACCCTGTCTCTACTAAAAATACAAAAATTAGCCAGGCGTGGTGGCGTGCGCCTGGAATCCCAGCTACTCAGGAGGCTGAGGCAGGAGAATTCTTTCAACCCGGGAGGCGAAGGTTGCAGTGAGTCAAGATCATGCCACTGAACTCCAGCCTGGGCGACAGAGCGAAACTCCATCTCAAAAAAAAAAAAAAAAGGCAGGGGGGAAATCGAATATGTTTGTGTTGAGGTGTGGGGGAGCCTCAGGGAGCCAAGGATCACTCAAATCGGTGAAAATGAAACTGTCCCAACCCACTCCCCCACCTATGTTCCCCTTCAACACTACTCTTGCCTTTCTTTTTTCCATTTCTTTTTCATTCCCCCTCTCTGGGGAGATTGAGAAGAGGACCTGGGGTGATTACCTATTGGCTCCTAGCCTGGGGAGATCATAGGGAGTAGATCTTTTATGTGTCCCATTTCTAGCTTGTCCTACCTCTAACAGGCAAGGCCCCCAGCCTGCCATCAAAGCAGATGACGGGGCAGGTTTTTGCCTTCTCAGGATCCCTGGATGGGGACCCGACAGTAGAATTACTGCTCAGCAGATATTTGATCAAGGCTGAGGCCTAGAAGGGGCAGAGGACTGGGAATGTGTCTGAGGAACACATGCAAGCAAGATGGTAACAATCATGCCATGTCCTGGTACCGCCTCCACCCTCCTCTGACTGTCATTAAATGCTTGGCAGGTGTGTTAAGACAGATAAATAATAATAAGAATAGTCAACATGCACCAGGCCCTGTTCTTGATACTTTGTATATATTCACTGACTGAATTGTCACAACAACCCTATGAGATAAGGTTGTTATTTTTGTTATTCCATTTTACAGATGAGGGACCTGAGACACAAAGAGGTTAAATGACTTGCCCAAGGTCCCATACTAGGAAGTGGTAGAGCCATGAGTGACTCTGCCCAGGTGGTTTCTACCCTGTGTGCTTTACCACTCTGCAGTCCTGCCTCTGAAACATACTGACAGCTCCTATAAAGGGGGAAAAACTCATATCCACAGCCATTTGCCCACACCTTGGTACAGATGATGGAAACTAAACAGCAGGACCCCTTAATACACTCTACTCGGACAATGAGCTCCTGCCAGAGCATGGACTTACTTGAACCCTCCCCCATTCCCTTCAAGCAGGTGGCAGCGGCTCCCATGGATAGCTCAGGAGGGTGGGAAGGTGAAGGGGGCTTCTCAGACCAGGCTTTGACTCTGGGCTTGATTTTCCCCACCTCGGCCTCTTTGCTGAGCTCTACACAAGGTGAGCCCATAGTTTCCTGGGTCTTCACAGGAACCTCATACTCCCTTCCTGCCCCAGGAGGCCTCTCCTCCTGCTCTGCCTCTCTCAGCTCCCTGTTCCCAAACTCCACTACTGCCTAAGTGAGGAGCCTGATACCCTACATTCCTCATTCTCCCACATCCAGCCAGCCACCAAGTCGGCTTGATTCAACCAGTGAAGCATCTCTTGCATCTCTCTGTTATGCCCCATCCCCACTGCAACTGTTCTAGCCCAATAATGGTCTCTTCCAGTATTTACTATTTGCAGAATACTATGTTAGTCACTTTATATACATCTTTTTATCCTCAGAACAATTCCTATTTGCGAGTGAGGAAACTGAGTCACAGGGAGACGAAGTAACTTTCCCAAGGTCACACAGTTAATAAGTAGTACAGCCAGACTCAGGCAGTCTAACTGCAGAGTCCATATTCCTAAACACCATTGTGCACTGCTACCTCCTGCCCCGATTGCTACTCTCAACCTTGCCTCGCTCAGTCCTTACTATGCAATGCCACAAGAATATTCAAGGAATCTTGAATTCATTCAACAACATTTACTGTAGGTGCCGGGGAACTTTGCTGTAAACTGGAGAGCTCAAACTGAGCAGCAGACACTGTCCCAAATCTTCAGGGCCCCAGAGCCTATTGGAATTATCTTTTATCTCCCTAATACAATAATCTGATTGGCTCTCCCTCCCCAGCACAGTGTCTGGCATGAAGCTGATGCTTAATGATTACGGGTGGAAATGAAATGAACAGGAACAGTGGGCAGTCAGCTGGTGCCTGCTATGGGCCTGTAGCCTCAGCAGGGTGGAAGGGAGAGGAGCTAGTTTCCCAGTTCAATTTCAAGGCCTTTCATGCCATCTCTCCCTCCTTCCTGGCTGCCTTCTTGTCTCCTACTCATGTCTCCTCTATCCTGTGCTGTCAGCTTTGTTCACAAGGCTCAGCCGTGACATTTGAGGGTGATTGGTGGGATGGAGAGAGGGAGGATGGAGGAAAATTTCACTAATAGGCCTCCCATGGGACTGCAGCAAATGGCCAGCTTGGAGGCCAGCTGGGAGATAAAGCTGTAGGGGATATAAGGGCTGTGCCAGGACCTTGGCCTGTGGCTGAGCCTCCCACAATACCCCTAGGAGTCGACCTTGCCTGTGGTTGGTCAACAGTGGGAAGAGATTGAGCAGAGAGGCAGGTATCCTCCTCTGGACTCTACCTCCTGGCTCTGCATGGTTTAAGGCCCTCTGACTCTTGCCCCCGCTCCATCCCCCAAGGGCAGTTCCAGTTCAGCTCCTCCATCTCCTCCCTTGCCCATTCCTGGGGTGGGGGGCAGCGGCAGGGAGCTGGAGCCTTAATGGGCCCCAAGCCAAACCTTCCTAGGACTAACAGGTCACAACCAGTCACTCATGAGCCACTTATGACAGTGATGGGAGGGAGAGGAGGGATGGGCTCCTGCCTCCTGTAGGAGGCCAATGTGGGCAAGCTGGGGCTCACAGTCAGGGCTGGGAGCTGCAGGAAGTTGCAGAGGTGAAAGCAGGAACCCCACACTCTCCTGGAGGCACATTCCTCTGGCTGGTGCTCAAGCTAGCCATGCATGGCGGAGATGAGGAAACAGTCGCTGAACAGACCTGAGGTGGTGATGCTGGGCTGGAGGGTAGGGACAGGGTGAGAGAAGCCAGAAGAGCAGGCGAAGACGGGCAGGGCTGGAGAGGTCCCTAGAAGGGAGGGAAGCAGCCTGCCTCCCGGCAAGTTTACTGTTACAGGAATGTATAGAAACGAGTAACTGCTTTCTCCCCCAACTTCTGCTTCTCAAGGAGAGAGAGAGCATGTGTGTGTATGTGTGTGTGTGTGTGTCTTGTGTGGGTCCCAGGAGACACTGCATCTGACCTTGAGTGATCAGTGTTCTGCAATGGCTGCCCCATTCCAGTTGTGGCCACTTTCCCTAAGAGTCACTTTTCTCCTCACCCCTGTATTCTGTTCTGAGGCTGAACACCCACACTACCTACTACCTCCCACCACTCCCCTCTTTGCAACTTTCCCCACCTTCCCAAAACCTTTGTCTTAAGTGCTCCCATCTTCCAACTCATCCCAGGCCCAGGCCTCTGTTCAGGACTCAAACCCTGTGCCCACTTTGTCCTTTTGTTTCAGAGTCTTGGTAGGGGCGACTGCAGGAGCCTGAAAGAGGGGTCCTAGCAGGGCCCTGTTCCCTGCTTAGGAGATGCCCAGTTCTGTCTCTCAGACCTGGTCAGTCAGGCTGGATCCAGAGCACTGGCTGGGGCAGGGGGAGGATGTGGGTAACCAGGAAAGCAGGCTAGGGCTAAGGTCCCCTTCCCAGCATCAGAGCAGAGCCATCCCACCCCCAAATCCCACTCTGGAAGTACTGGGGTCAGAGAAGAAACCGAATAGGCCAAAGTTTTCCTGGCATCAGATCTACTGCCCATTTCCTCCCTTCAGAAAGAACTTGGTAAGAAATTAGACCAGGTGCGGTGGCTCACGCCGGTAATCCCAGCACTTTGGGAGGCCAAGGCGGGTGGATCACGAGGTCAAGAGATCGAGACCATCCTGGCCAACATGGTGAAACCCCATCTCTACTACAGATACAAAAATTAGCTGGGCATGGTGGTGTGTGCCTATAGTCCAAGCTACTCGGGAGGCTGAGGCAGGAGAATCGCTTAAACCTGGAAGGCGGAGGTTGCAGTGAGTCAAGATCGCACCACTGCACTCCAGCCTGGGCAACAGAGTGAGACTCTGTCTCAAAAAAAAAAAAAAAAAAAAAAAAAAAAAAAAAAAAAAATTAGGGGAGGGTACAAAGAAGAGGGTCTGGAGAGAGAAACAGAAAAGTGGGATCCAGAGAGAGAAACAGAAAAGTGGGATCCAGAGAGAGAAACAGAAAAGTGGGGTCCACAGAGGGAAACAGAAAAGTGGGGAAGGAAACAGAAAAGTGGGGTCCAGAGAAGGAAACAGAAGTAAGGGAAAGTCTGCAGTTCTGCCTGAGAGAGGGCACAGGCCCCCCTCAGGCCTTGCGGGGGATAGAGAGGCAGCCCCACTGCTCTGCCTTCCCACCCCTCAGCCTCAGCCCCTCCTGCTTTAGCCGCTTTGCCTGCTTTGCCTCTGGTGGAAGTGCAGAGCCTGGTCCGTGAGCTCTGCCTAACACACTGCAGGGCTGGACCGAATCCTGACTTAATCTCCCCAACTGCTTCAGTTCTCCCCAAGCCCAGCCTCCTGGGGCCTCAGCTGAGGGTGCCTGCTGGGCCCTGGGGGCCAGGCAAAGTGGCAGCTTCTGGCCTGTCACTGCCCCTGAGTCTGGCTCTGCACCCACCTCAGGGCCTGGCCTGTGTCAGACTTCCCCTGCAGGGCATCATTTCTCTGCCACATGCCTGGCACTCACCACACTGAAATCAAAGCATTGCATAAGTATTGCATGCTGCCTCCTCCAGGAGAATGTTAGCTGCCGGAGGGTGAGAGCTGCTCTGCTGTACTCAAAAATGCGTGCCTTGCGTGGTCAGTGCCTTATACAGAGAAGACCCTCAGGAGAGGTTTCCTGCATTAATAGTAACCAAGTTTCTCCCCCTCCTGCCATGGCTTTTTCTCACCTCCCTCTTAGCTTCCCAAGATCTGTCTTTCCCTCCTGGGGCCTGTCCACCCAGTTCTTGACCAATTGCCATTCCTCCCGCTGTCTTACTCCATCTCTTGTCCAACCCTTCCTCTTCCAAGAAGTATCATGAGATGTGGCCACTCAAGTCTCTCTAGGGTGCCATTCTTGGGGCCCCTGCTCTGGACTAAGCACAGGTAAGAGCCTTATTTCTAGTCTTTTCCTTCACCCAGTGCCCATTCAGCTGGACTAGAGGGGGACCCACGTGCACTGATGAAGGCTCCATGGTGACTTTCTCATTCAGTAAAGCCAGTTCTCAAACTCAGATCTGAAGGGCAAATATTGATGAACCCCTCTGCCAGGCTTTTCCCTTGGGGAAGAGCTAATGCCCTCCCCTCCTGCCCTCAAGCCTTATTATTCTCTCACTCCTCACAGTGCTGCAACCTGCCCTTCTCCTGCCCCTGGCAGCTTCCAAGGAGTCAAGGAAGTCAGTCAGCCCCATTTGTCCCCAGGCCCAAGTCCCTGTGGAGGTGAATTGCAGGCTTTATCCACCCCGCCCTCCCCATCCAGCAACAGCTCCCTCAGTAAAAGGTGAAAGAGAATCAGATCAGGTATCTGTGATTGCGGGTTCAGGTTAGGAGATGGAGATCGCTAGAGAACACCAAGATAGGGAGGCAGGCCTGGGCCCTAGCTCCTTCATGCTGCTCTCCCCAGGCAGCTGCACCTGTGATCCCCCTCCCCTCCCCCTGACCCCCCAGGCCACCTGCCTCTGATGCTTTCTTAGCTCCTGAGTTCAAAGACCTGCTGTTTCCACTCAACATCTTCTCACTTGCCATCCTGCCCTCTGCAGAGACCTCTAGGCTGTCAGTGGGCAGGCAGAGGAAATGGGGTCTCAGCAAGAAGCCAGACTCTGAGCAGTTTCACTCTAGCCCTGAGAATTGAGGTGAACCCCTTCTAAAGGGGCAGAAGGCAGCCCTAGCCCTGGGGAGCTGCATTCTGGGTCCAAGGTAGCCCTTAGAGTTGAGTCCTCCCTGCAACCTCCTAGAATGCATGGTGATGGGGCCAGCTCCTCCTTGCAGCCAGCCACCTGCTGCTGCTGTCTAGGACAGCCCTTTCTGCTCTGTGGTCTACAAGCCTGACCTCAGGAGGAAGGCGAAGCTGCAGGAGGGGGGCCTGGGTGGGGTAGAATGGGGAGAGGGAAGGAATCTACCTCTGTGTCAGGCACAGCCTCGGGTTGCCACAGCCAGGGTCCTCAGCTGTGAACTCCACAAGGGCTGGGGTGGGGGGGTGGAGGGGCGGCAAGGGGACCACATAAGGTCTAGGGAGAATCCTGTGGAACTCACTACCTAGGTACACAAGCTACCAGTCCAACCTGCAAAGCTGTCTGTTCAGGCACAAGGTTGGGGAAGGCTGCCCCCTAGAGCCAGGGTCAAAGAATTATTTATGGACATTCAGCCCTTTTCATATGTATTGAATATTTATTGAGTTCCTACCTAGGCACCTGGCGTTATACTAGCCACTGGGAATACAGAAGTGATCAAGGCAGACATAAAGTGAATAACTATCATAGTTTGCCCTATATTGAGGGGTTTTCTGGGACGTGGAACTTTTTGTGGTAAAACTGGAAGAGTCCCCAATGAATCAGGACGAGTCAGTTACCCTGCCTTCCTGGAGATTATATTCCAATAGGGACAGCAGGAGTAGGGGTGGAAAGTAAAAATACAATTTTTTGTCATGATAAGTGCTGTGGAGGAAATAAAACAGAGCGAGGAATCCTCTGAGGAGGTAACATTTGAGCTGAGACTTGAATGATGAGGGATCAATCTTATAAACACTCAGAGAAGAGCTTTCCGGGCACAAAGCACAAAAAACCTGGGACAGGAACAAGTGTGGCACGTTTGAGAAACAGAAAGGCGAATGTGTCTGAAGTAAAATGAGCAAGGGTGAGTAAGGCTGGTTGGAGCTGGCAAGACCCCAATCAATTTACTCTAAGAGCTATGGAAGCTACTGGAGTGATTGAAGCAGGGGAGTACCATGTTCTGGTTGTTATTTTTATTTATTTATTTAAATTTTTTTTTTCTTGAGACGGAGTCTCACTCTGTTGCCCAGGCTGGAGTTGAGTGGTGCGATCTTGGCTCACTGCAACCTCCACCTCCCAGGTTCAAGTGATTCTCCTGCCTCAGCCTCCCAAGTAGCTGGTATTACAGGCACGTGCCACCACGCCTGGTTAATTTTTGTATTTTTAGTAGAGATGGGTTTTGCCATGTTGGCCAGGCTGGCCTCGAACTCCTGACCTCAAGTGATCCACCCACCTCAGCCTCCCAAAGTGCTGGGATTACAGCCGTGAACCACTGCACCCGGCCATGGCTATTATTTTTAAAAGATTGCTCCAGCTGCTTGGTGGAGAGAGGATTAGAGGGGGAAAGACGAACAGAGGAGGACCAGTTAGGAGGCTGCTGCAGGTAGGTAGGTGGTGATGATGGTGGCTGGACTAGGGTGGCAGAGGGAATGGAGAGAGAGGACAGGGCAAATCCAACTGTATTTTGTAATGAATTTGTTGTAGGAGCAGAGGAAAGGGAGGACTCAGAGATAACACCTAGGTTTGGGTCTGAGCCACAGTAAACAAAGACATGCCCCAGGGACATCAGAGGTCTCTCTGCATGGGGATTAACAGGAGAGGAGGAAGCCCTGACATGTCCAATAAACTCAATCATCTGGAAGATAGCTCAGTAGGTGTATCCTTGACCCAGCATTGTGGGAGAAGATATGTCTGGAATGTGTATATCTGCGGGGAGTGAGAAAGGAATGTCAGCAGTCAGGATGTCTGCAGATGGGGAATTAGAAATCTGTCTTAGTGTTGGTGGGACCCAGTTCAAAAGAGACTTCAGAAGGATTGATGGTTTAGACGGGTAATCTATATAGGACCTGTTTAGATGAACTTCAGTGGAATGAGGGATGATGTATTAGGATAATAAGGTTAGCTGTAACAAGCAACTGAGCTGTAACAAAGCCACTGACACTTCTCACTCATATTCTATAGTCCAGTGAGGGTCTAGGGGACAGGGGTAGCTCTGCTCCATCCATTCATTCAAGCCTAGGTTCTTTCCATTATGTGGTACATATGGCCTCTAAAATTGTCACAGAATGGGAAGAGGGAATGCAGGTTGTATGGAAGATTTTTAAATGAGCCCAGCCTAGAAATGGCGCACATTGCTTCTGCCTTCATTCCATTGTTCAGAACCTGATCCCATGGCATCCGTTTGACTGCAAGGAAGCTGGGAAGTGTAGTTCAAATTTGGGAGGTACTGTGCCCAGAAAGAGACACACAAATGTTGGTGTGTGTTGTGGAGCACTAGTAGTTTCTGGCGCAGGCAGGGAGAATGGCTGTGCATCTTGTAGGGGTCGTAGTAGTGTCTGTCCTGGGCTGGGTTGGGAGTGTACTCTCTGAGAATACCTTGGAAGGAAGCTGATATGAGAAGATGTGTATGAGTGGTGCACACCCATGTGCTTTATGGCTCAACAATCATTCCATTCTTTCCCATTCTCAAGGTCTTTCACTGGATAAGATCTTAATTCTCTCACACCTTACCACTGAAATAACCTTGTGAATGCTTTATCCTCTACAATTTTCCCCCATCAAATCTAACTGGATATTATAGTCTAACTAATCTTCCTAAGACTTGGCGTATGTCATGCAATCCCTGTTCAATAAAAACAATAACAATTTCAACAGCAGCAGCAATAATTTGTTGAATTACTGTGTTGAGCACTTTGAGTGTATTATCTCAATATATCTCGATCTTTGTAACAAGCCTGTGATGTTTCATCATCATTCCCTGTGTACAGATGGAGGGACAGGAGTCCTGGGTCTAGCTGTGCTAACACAGTAGCCACTAGTCATGTGCAGCTACTTAAATTAATTAAATTAAATTTAAATTAATTTAAATTAAATACACTAAACTTAAATACATTAAATTTAAATTAATTTAAATTAAATACAATTAAAAATTCAGTTCTTCAGTCACACTAGTCACATATCAAGTATTCAATAGCCACCTGTGATTAGTGGCCACCATTATGGAGGGTGCAGATATGGAATATTTTCTTCCAGGCAGAAAGTCAATTGGATTGGACATCTGTGAGTTAGGGGCACTTGCCCAGGGTCACAGCAAATGGTGAAGCTAGGCCTCTGACCCCACCTGAGTCTAATGCTCTGCAATAGCTCTTCATTGTTTCCACAATTTAAAAAATGTTTAAGCCTGGCCTTAGCCTTGTACAACCTGGTCTAGTACTACTGTTACATAATTATTTCTCTTTCTTTTCTTGCGCAATCTCACTTTCCAGCACAGCAAGCTTGCTCACTGCTCTCCCATACTCCTAATATGTCCACTCATAATATTTTTGCTCTCCTCCTTCTGTCTGCTCAGCTAATGAATTCTCCCCTGACCTTTAGGTTCAGATAGCTGAAATAGCTCTTGAAGCAGTTTCGTCTCTTCCATTCTCTCTGCTTCTGCCTGGACCAGCTCTGAAGCCCCTCATCCTCTCTTGCCATGGCAGCCTTCTGCTGCTACTAATTCTACTTCCTGACATTTATTGAGTATCTACCATGTGCTAGGCACTCTTCCAGGCACTCCTCATCACAACACTTTGAAGTAGGTGTTACTGCAGTCTCCATTTTAAAGACCTGGTAATTAAAGCACTGTGGGGTGAAATTTGTCCAACTCATCTCTCTGCTTCTAGTGTTTCACAGGCAGTTCGCCTTCACTCTATTACTCTGGCCATAGTTCTAAAACACAGAATTGTGAGTTTTCTCCCCCAGCCCCAAGGGGAGGGGGACAGCCTTCTTAACAGAGCATGCAAGGCCCTTTATGTTCAGAACCTTTCTAATCTCCAAACCCGCTACTCTACCTTCAAACTTGACATTCCAGCCACAAACGACTTACAGTTTCCCAAAGCGGCCGCTTTATTTCTTCCCTCTGCGCCATCACACGTGCGGTTCCCACTGCCTGGAGTACTGTCCATCCTGGCCAGCTCTGAAGCCATCCATGGAAATGCACTCCGGACCACGGGGCTTGCTCCCTCCTCCACAGGACCAGCACTCACTCTCCACCGGCAGCTCCTAAAGGAGGGCTGCTGCTGAGCTCACAGCCTTGACATCACTTCTCATTAAAATACACACTCCAAGATTCAAAATTTAATAGGCAGGGGTGGGGCTGGGTTTATTTTTTTATTTTTAAAGAAGCTCCCAGATTATTCTAGAGTGAGGCAAATGTGCTTAACACTGGTTTACATCCCTTGTTTGGCAGTTAAGCACACCCTGTCTAGATTCCTTGTGTATAATTGCTTTTGTTTTTATTTTATTCTTACCTTCATTCACTCACACTCACCTATTCAACAAACATTTATTAAGGGGTCATTATATGCCAGACATGCTTTTAGATGTTGATGTGAACAAAACTGGCACTGTCCCTGCTCATGAAGTTTATGTTCCAGAGGGGGTGTGGTGGGTGGGATAATAATGGCCCCCAAAGATGTCCACGTCCTCATCCCAGAACCTATGAATATGTCACCTTCCACGGCAAAGGGATTTATTTTGCTGATGTGATAAAATTAAGGATCTTGCGATGGGGAGATTATCCTGGACTATCCCCTCAATCACAGGGGTCCTTAGAAGGGAAAAGGAGGAAGAGGGAGTTAAGGCATGTGGGTAGCCTCACTCTAGAAGCTGGAAAAGGCGGCCGGGCACGGTGGGCTCACACCTGTAATCCCAGCACTTTGGGAGGCTGAGGTGGGCGGATCACCTGAGGTCAGGAGTTCGAGACCAGCCTGGCCAACATGGTGAAACCCCATCTTTACTAAAAATACAAAAATTAGCTGGGTGTGGTGGTGGAAGCGTGTAATCCCAACTTCTCGGGAGGCTGATGCAGGAGAATCACCTGAACCCAGGAGGCAGAGATTGCAGTGAGCTGAGATCACGCCACTGCACTCTAGCCTGGGTGACAGAGCAAGACTCCGTCTCAAAAAAAAAAAAAAAGTCAAGGAAACTGATTTTCCCCTAGAGCCTCCAGAAACAAGGCAACCCTGATGTCCCCTTGATTTTAGCCCAGTGAGACCATTATTTGGATTCCTGACCTACAGAACTGTAAAATAATAATAAGTTTGTGTTATTTTAAATCAGTAAATTTGTGGTAATTTGTTACGGCAGCACACACACAAAAAAAACTAATGCAAGGGGTATTGGTTATGTTTTGTGCAGGTATATGATGGGCCTCCCCATGTGGATCCTTAGTGCTGTGGCAGAGCCCTTGTTATTGTGCTGGGATTTTCCCTCCAGCTCCCGGCCGGAAGCTGGGCTCACGTGGGAGCTCAGTGCCCTCCTGCTACAGATCTGTCTCTTCCTTACAATGGTATGATCCCGAGGGTCAGGGTGAGGGGTTTGGGAGGATAAGGCTTGTGCTGATAAAAGGAAAGGTGAGGTCCGTTGCAGTGGCTCAAGCCTGTAATTCCAGCGCTTTGGGAGGCCGAGGTGGGAAGACAGCTTGAGGCCAGGAGTTGGGGACCAGCCTGGGCAATATAGCGAGACCCTATCTCTACAAAAAATAAATAACAAAAAATACTAGCCAGGCGTGGTGGCACACACCTGTAGTCCTGGCTGCTTGGAAGGCTGAGGTGAGAGCATTGCTTGAATCCAGGTGTTGGAGGATGCGGAGCTATGATGGCGCCACTGTACTCCTGCCCGGGCAACAGAGTGAGACTCTGTTTAAAAAAAAAAAAGTAGGGATTTGTGGGGAGCTGTGCGTGAGGATAGAATGTATAGAATGTTTGCAGTCAGAAGGTGATGGTCGCAGGGGTTCCCAGACTTTAGTGTGTGGAGAAATCCTCTGCGATATGGTGGGAGGGAACCTGGTTGATAGAAGGACGGGCGGAAGGAATTCTATTCACAGCGTACTCTAATATTTCTTAAGTTTTACCTATTAATTTTTAACAAGAAATTTTAATTTTAATTTTAAACGAAAATACGCATCGTACTCAGAGGTAAAGATTTTTAATCCTCGCGGTTCGCTCGTATAAAGGCATATTTCCGGTCCCTTCCAAGGTCCAACAATCCGGACACGGCGGGTCTGGGGATGGGCCCAGGAATCCGCCTTTTTAGCAGCATTCCCCCAAACGACACGGCAGCTTCGCAAAGCGGCGGTGGCGTCTGCGGTTCCGGGCGCGGGCGGCCTCCGGCCGGGGAGGGCGCTGTGCGGGCGGCGCTGGGGGCGGGCCGGGGGCGGAGCGCGGGGCGCCGGCTGCTCTGGCGGCTCCCGCGGCTCCGGCTGGCGGCTTCGGGCCCTGCACCTGTGACTCTCGGCCGCGCTCGCCCTCGGCCCGCCCGGCGCCGCAGCCCCATGGCCCCGTCCAGGCTGCAGCTCGGCCTCCGCGCCGCCTACTCCGGCATCAGCTCCGTGGCCGGCTTCTCCATCTTCCTCGTCTGGACGGTGGTCTACCGACAGCCGGGGACCGCGGCCATGGGAGGGCTCGCAGGTACCCCGGGACGCTGGGCGGCGCGGGGCGGGTGCGCGGCTGCGGGGCGGGCGCCGTCAGCTGCTCCAGGACGCTCCCCGCGAGCGGCGCTTCCCCGCGGAGCGGGTGGAGTGTTTACTCGAAAACAGCGGTTGGCGGCGGCAGGCCCCACGCGGGCCCGGGCTCCTGGGCATTCCTGGGTGCCTCTGAGACCCGATGCCCGCCCGGGCGCCACCTGGGGGTGCCGACGGCCCGCCACTGCCGGCTGCACAGACCTGCCGCGCCGCCCGGGTTATCTGTCACGGCACACTGCCTGTCGCCCTCCGCCCAGTTGCCCCACGACAGTGTCCCCTCCGCGCGCCCGCGGCGCTGGTCGCCTCCTATCCCCAAACACACACACACACACACACGCACACACACACGGTTGTTCTGAGGGATCCCCTGCCCCCCAGGCGCCCCTTCCCTGGGTGCTGGGTGAGGGCAGAGAGGGAAGAAGTGGGAAAGGAAGAGGGCTAGGGGTGGCTGGGGAAGCCCATCTCCCTCCTTCCAGAGGGCTCCCCCGCAGAGCCCTCTGCTGAGACCCACAGGGAGGACGGCGTTAGGGATCTCATAGAAACTGGACATTCTCTTTCCACCCATGTTGGTGCCTTTTTGCTACCCGTCTGCTGTGGCTCCTCAGCCAAGCTCTGCCAAATCCTGCAGGCCAGCCGCCCTTTCTGTGCTTCTGGGAGGGAAGGGGAAGCATCGGTGCGCTGATGGGGGCTCTGGGCTGACCAGTGCTCCTTGTTGTGCACATTTGGGCTCGCAGTTTAACCTCTCTGCGCCATAGAATTGGTATGAAGATGAAAAATATTATCTCTACTTTCTAACATTTTAAAAAATGCTTTCTATGTGTCAGGCACTATGTTAAGCAACCTGCTTCCCTTATTTCATTTAATCCTTACATTAGTCTCATGAAGTAGGCCTTACGATTATGTCCATTTTACAGATAAGGAAACTGAGGCCTGAAGTTAAATAAATTGCTTACCCGGGATTACACAGCTACATGAAATAATATGTGTGGGAAAGGACTTTGGGAAGAAAATACGTATAATACTTTTACATATGATGATTATATTCCATTACTAAAATCCTCGGCCAAAAGAACCCTAAATGGAATAACTAAAAATAACTAATTTACTCACTGCCACAGGGAGTGCTGAGTGCCATCCCTGGGTAGAGTCGCAGCATGAGGTGGGGTTAATGCCTTAGAAGAGGGGCATACAGGGCCCCACCCTACACAATGCCAACAAAGCACTGGGTCACCAAGAAGGGGGGATGGGCACCCTGGCTAGGGTGTTCTCTGCCTGCCCAGCTGCCTCACCACCTGTGGGATCCTGAGGACAACTGGCCCATCTCTGCGCGTTATCTACAGAGCCCTAGTTCCTTTCCCCACTGCACCCCGCCACCCTCCATGTTTGTCAAGGTTCACTTCTCCCTGCCACTTTTTTGTTTCCTATTGGCCCTGTTGCTTTCCCCTCTGGAAGGCGGCGTCAGAGCCCTATGATTGCATTGCGAAGACCGAAGGCAAGAGAAGGATGAGCAGGGAGGGCCAGCCTGGGATCTCAGCTGGTTGTGTTGAGTCTGGCCTGGTACAAGTGGAGGTGAACCCTACCTGGCCGTTTGACCCTATCCTGGGCCACAGTTTCCTCATCTATTAGGAGTGG
Organism: Homo sapiens; assembly: GCF_000001405.40. NCBI lineage: Eukaryota > Metazoa > Chordata > Mammalia > Primates > Hominidae > Homo > Homo sapiens. Next base: position 47,775,126 of record NC_000012.12, read on the forward strand.
GAGGAGATGTCCCCAAAAGACATCTGACTTCCCTCCAGATCTGAAATCTTGCAGTGCTGCCCACTCCCTGAGTCTCCAGCTGCCTCCTAGAGGGCTGTGGAAAAGGCCTTCTTTCTTATACTCTAGGGAGTTGCCTGGGGTTTTCTTCCGACCCAACTCTGCCCTCTCTCCCTCCCCACAGGCTTCCCTTGGCCTATGAGGCAGGCCAGCTGTGGAGCTGCCTTCAGAGAGAGGCGCTAGGGCAGCAGCTCGCTAGGGCAGCAGCTCGCTAGGGCAGCAGCCAGCTGGAGTAGGGTCCTGGTATCTCCCTGATGGTCTGATCTTTGACAGTGGCTGTGGAAGAGCCAAAACTGCTTGGTAGTGGTGGTGGTGGATGGTGGCAGGGAGAGGGGTTGCCAAGCCTGGGCCTCCGACCTTCCCCACCATGAGTGAGTTCTCAGAGGGTCTGTGGCCAGTCAACCTTCTTCCTCTTTTGGGGGTAAAGTGTCAGCAGATTAACTAACGTGTGAGCACCCTACTTCTGACTCAGCGTTTTATAGCTCAGAATCTGCTGAGTCACCCAAGGGTAGCCCCAGCATGCTCCTTCTCCTGTGTTGGACCAGGCAAGGACTGATTGGATGTGCCAGTTTCTGGAGCAGAGTCATGGAGCCCCTGGGTCTGGTGGGCAGAGTGTTCACGGGTGGGGATACCCTCTCCCATCCTGATGGGTACCTTCGAAGAAGTGGCTTTGGAGAAAGGCAGTGGCAGAAGCAAGACTGGCTTTCCTGGGGAGGCGGGCAGGTGTGGGTTGGATCTACCTGGTCTGGCTTTGCTGTGGGAGTCCTGGGGGAAAACACAAACTCTTGCTCTGGGTTTAGTAGACCAAGGAAAGAGAAAAAGAAAAGTTGCTCCTGAAGTCTAAACAGCTCTATGTTTTTCCCAGGTGAGCTGTGAGCAAGAGCCCTGGGGCTCCAGGACTGTCTTCCTCCTAGGAAGGAATAGAGGGGCCTGACCTAGGCCCAGTGTCCTTCTTGTCTGCATTTACCCTGTGGGATCCCCCGGGTGTCTCCTGTCTCCTCACCTCCAGCCCAGCCACTGGGGATGCTTTCACCGCCCTACCCTATGCCTTCCTTACCCTTAGCTTATCGGCTGTGAGCCAATAAGCTCACATGGCTAAGCAGGGGCTCTGCTCCTTGAAACAGGTAGGATGGAGCAACGGTGTGGTCTGGTGTGGGCTTGCAGCCAGGTGGGATTGGGGACCTGTCCATTCCACCCCGAGTTTTATAAACCAGGCTTCCTAGAGTCCCCAAGTGTGCCAGGGAAGGGTATTAGGGAGATACATTGCCTCCTGCCTGATGTGTGGGAGGGGACCAGTGAGGGGCTCCATCTCCTTCAGTGACCCCCTTGGGTAGGGCTGGTGGAGAGCTCCCTTCCCAGGAGGGTGGTGGGAGCCAGGGCGTGGGCAGCAGGCCTGCCTCCACACTTGATGTGTGTTTATCTGGAGGGGAGGCCTCTGTGCAGGGCCTGGAGCAAGGTTGAGGGAAGGTGAGAGGTGGGTAAACCATGCCTGTTGTTAACAAAGAACAGGGCCCAAAACGCCCCCAAATGGCTGTCTTCCTCTCCCTCCTGCCCTCAGCCCTCTTTGGTATGTGCATGTACATGGGGGTGGGAGTTTTGGGGAACCACTGGATCGTGGCCAGTGGACTAAGAGATGGCATCTTCACAGGCCCCTATTTCAGCATTTCCTAACCCAGAAACTGCTGAGTCACAGAGGAATTGTTCTGACCTTATTTTTCTCCCAAGCTGGCTTCTAGAATCTTTGAGTGGGAAAGGATCTTAGAGCTCAACTTCCCCAACCCCTCTGTGGCACGAGGAGACAGAGGGCGAGGGGACCTGTTCCAGACAGGTGCCCATCAGACTGCTCCTTGAGTGTGCTCAGTGACAACACCCCTTGTTCCCAGGGCCCTTTATAAACCAAACAGCTCCCTCAAATGAAAACATGGGACACATGTGAGGAGTGGGAGGGACTTCTGTGAAAGGTGGCTGGTATAAAAATCCAGATCTTGTAGGAGGTAAGAGGAAGCTGCAGGATGATTGTCCTGTCCACCTCTGGCCCACTCCAGCATCCAGACTAGGTGGGGAGGAACAGATGCTTGTCCTGGCCCACCCTGATCTCAGTAGGAGGGGGACCCACATTCCAGGCCCCCACCCCCTGAGGAAGAGTGGAGGTGGGCAGGGGCAAAGCTGGGAGAGTGTTCAGGGGGTCAAACGGTGGCAGGGGCTGAGGGAAGCTGTAGGCTTGGTAGGCCTTCACCCTCACTAGGGTAGAACCCTGGGCCCAGTTACCTAAACTGGCAGGACCCCTGGGCCCACCCATTTTTAGATGTGGAAACACCAAGGCTTTGGGACACAGCAGTGCCAGGCTCCTGGTTTCTTGGCTTGGAGTCTCATGGGTTTTTGTTCCTCACTGGACTGTCTGGGGACAGCCAAACTGGGACAGCCTCTGAGCTGGTAACCAGAGCATAGCTCCACAGTGACAAGCTTCCTCCTGCCTTTTTCCCCCTTAAACAAATTATGAAATATTTTAGGCACACAAAAAAGGATAGATGATTTAACAAACACCCTTATAACCCAGCCTGAGAAAACAGCGTAGATAAAATAGCATAGATTTCCCACCCAGCCTAAGAAACAAAATAGCATAGATTCCCATAGATTCAAAGCACTTCCCCACCCCCACCGCCCCATCAACTTCCCTTCCTTGTCTCCATTGCCAGAGATAACCACTTTCCCCAACCAGATGCTTATCCTTCCTGTGCACATTTGGTAACTACTCTGAGTGGCATGTGTGCAGCTGCCTTTTGGAAAGGCCTCCTGACTCCTAGGATGCAGCGGCCTGAGTGGCCCACACCTTGCAACCCAACCAGCTGAGAGCCTGCAGCTGGCTCTGCCTCCTTCCTCATTTGTCCCTTGCCGGGATCCACCGCCCTGCCCGGACCCTTGCCAATGGAGTTGATATTTGTTCCACTCTTTGGGCTGCACCAGCAGGCACTGCCTGGCACAGAGGGTTGTTTTGTATTGTATTGGCTGGGTGGCAGCTGGCATCCTAGAGGAAGTGTCCACCCAGGCGCAGAGGCCAGGCCCAGGAAAAGCTGGGGGCAGTGGGGGTGGGGAGCGGTGCAGGTGGTGATGGCCTGCCCTTTGCCGCAAAATGGAGGGAGTGGCATGAGGTCTGGCCAAGAACAATAAGGCCACTCAGGGGTTGGGTGGCCCTGGAGTCTTCATGGCTGGACCTCCTCATCCTGCAAAACCAACTCAGGCAGTTTGGGAAGAGCCCTGCAGGCCTTGTGACTTTGAGACTGTGGCCTCTGAGGGCTGGGTGGAGGAGGAGCATGGGGCAGGAGCATGGCTTCCCTGCTCTGTGGCCCTCAGGGTAGACAGTGGCAAGTCCCCAGAAAGCAGGCTGGGCTGCTGAGGCACAGACTTTCTGGTTTTCAGGATCCTTTTATCCTCTTGAAAAGTAGTGAAACTCCATGCAAATTTTATGTATGTGAGTTTTAGCTATTGATATATACTATATTAGAAGTTAGAACATTTTTTAGCATTTTAAAGTAATACTAAAAATAACATGAATTAACATAACATTTTTGTGAGAGATATTCATGTTTTCCAAAACAAAATAAAATCAGAGAGAATGGTAGGGTTTTGTATTTCTGCAGGTTTCTCTAATGTTGGGCTTACTAGCAGGCAGCTCAGTCTCTTACCTGCTTCTGATATCACAGCCTCCGAAAAGGAAAACTCCATTCTATGAGGGAATGAGAGACAAGACCATATTCTTGGTATTCTTATGCAAATAGGCCTGGTCTAGTGGATCTGCAGGGCTCTGGAGCACCCTGGGGATGGGCCCTGATGTGTCTCTCCTGCAGGGGTGCTGGCACTGTGGGTCCTGGTGACGCACGTGATGTACATGCAAGATTATTGGAGGACCTGGCTCAAGGGGCTGCGCGGCTTCTTCTTCGTGGGCGTCCTCTTCTCGGCCGTCTCCATCGCTGCCTTCTGCACCTTCCTCGTGCTGGCCATCACCCGGCATCAGAGTGAGGGCGGGTCCCAGGGAAAGAGGGCATGGGAGGGACAGCAGCGGGGATTTTAGCAGCATTCCCATCCTGGTTCCACAGGTTACCTCCAAAGAGACTGGGTGAATTACTTAACCTCCCCGGACACGGGTTTTGTTATGGTTCATGTGGAGAAAACAAGTCCCCACCTCGCAAGTTGGGTGGATTCTATGAAACTGATGTGAAGTCTTGAGCAGTGCATAGCCCATACAAGCACTCCTGATATTGGGACCCATTAGTCTGTGCTCAGCTCTGGGATGGGAGCGCCCTCTGGTGGCTGTGGCTGGAAATAACCAGAGGTCCTTCTTCCGGGAGTCTGATGCTAACTAAAGCAGGTTGGAGGTGGCCTAGGGTATTTGTCACAAAAGCGGAGTGGATGATACAGACCTGTGATTGGCCAGCCCTGCCCTTCCCTAATCCCCACGGCCTCCTGCCTGAAAACCCTGGAATACTCTAAAACGGTCCCCAGCTCCGTTCTACTGTTCCAGGCTGTGGAACAGTAGTGGTCCGTGGCCTGTTAGGAACCAGGCCACACAGCAGGTGAGGGGCAAGCGAGCCTTACCGCCTGAGCTCTGCCTCCTGTCAGGTCAGCGGCGGGCATTAGAAGCGCAAACCCTGTTGTGAGGCGCATGCGAGGGTTGCGTGCCCCTGATGATCTAATGTTTGACGATCTGAGGTGGAACAGTTTCATCCCCAAACCATCCCAAGGTTTTTGTGGAAAAATTGTCTTCCACAAAACCAGTCCCTGGTGCCAAAAAGGTTGGGGACCATGGCTCTAAAACCTCCATCACAGTGTCTTTCTGAAGGGTTGGTTCAGCTGCCAGGACGTTGCAGGGATGTTGAGTGGGGAGGGTGGCCCTGGCCTTGTGGCCGGTGCAGAGGCCGAGGGCAGGGCCTGCCAAAGTCACTGTCGGTACTTCTCTCCCTGCAGGCCTCACAGACCCCACCAGCTACTACCTCTCCAGCGTCTGGAGCTTCATTTCCTTCAAGTGGGCCTTCCTGCTCAGCCTCTATGCCCACCGCTACCGGGCTGACTTTGCTGACATCAGCATCCTCAGCGATTTCTGACCCAGGGGGTGAGGTCTCTGCACCCTGGGGGGGCCTTAGGACCTGGACTCAGCCTCTGAGATGTTGGGAGAGGCTACTCCCACCCCCTGGTGACCCCAGAACTGTGGCAGAAAATACACAGCAGGACGAGTGTGGTCTCCCAGGAAGCTGTCCTGCCCGTCCCCTTTCGAGGAAACCTGAGTGTGGTAGAGAGGGGATCCTGCCATGTTGCTCCTCATCAGCCTGGCCAGAGGGCAGCTTTAGACCTTTTCAAATGAATCTGTTTTCTTTTCTTTCTTTTTTTTTTCTTTTTTTTTTTTTTTTGAGATGGAGTCTTACTCTGTCACCCAGGCTGGAGTGCAGTAGTGCGATCTCAGCTCACTGCAACCTCCGCCTCCCAGGTTCAAGCAATTCTCCTGCCTTGGCCTCTCAAGTAGCTGGGATTACAGGCATCTGCCACCATGCCCGGCAAATTTTTGTGTTTTTAGTAGAGACAGGGTTTTGCCATGTTGGCCAGGCTGGTCTCGAACTCCTGATCTCAGGTGATTCACCCGCCTCAGCCTTCCAAAGTGCTGGGATTATAGGTGTGAGCCACCGTGCCCGGCCTGGATCTGTTTTCTTAGCACGCAGTGAGGAATCTTTGTACTTAAGGCCAGGGCAACAAAGTCAAGAGGTCAAGGTGTAGGGCCATGAGGCCTGGACCTATGCTGCAGGCAAGGGTTTCCATCCCCGCTGCCCTAGGCACTCTCTTCCCAAGGCCAGGTTGGGCACCTGGGGAGGTCAGTTCAGAAATATCTAGCAGAGACCTCTTAAACCCCCATCCCAGCACCCCATCCTGTTGTTCCCAGAGCTGGTCTCCCATGAGTGTGCTAGAGCCAGATAGCCGTGGCCCCCCACCCATCTCACTCACACACACAGGCATCCATACACCCCAGAAGACTTCCCAAATGAGGCCAGACTCAGGGTCACGGGGAATGTGCTTCTGCCCCTGTAAGGGCTTTGGGGAAGGGGGCAACATAGTAGAGGCTGGAAAGAGCCCCCAAACCTGTACCCATGCCCCTCCAGCCCTGCGTTTCCATTCTGCCTTCTCAGAGTGCCCTTGCTGCACCCAGACCACCGGCCAGGAGAGACCTTCTCTCCCACTCCAGCCCCTCTCACTGCCCTTCAACTAGAGCTTTCACCTTTTTACATTTCCCTTCTGAAGGACACAAATCTGCTTTTCTGCCCATACACTGGCCCAAGGGCTCACCTAACTTGGGAGGGAAGGGGCTGTTGGTACAAGGATGATTTTCTGTTAGACTGCCATTTTGCACGGTCTCCCCCTTCCCATCTGATGTGTCCTGCCCCTCAGCTCTTTGCCTTATCTGTGTCACTGTCACTTTAGCAAAAATACAGCGGCCATTTGTATCAGCCTCTGGTGGTTGCTTGTGAGGTGGGACTCTTGCGGGAACAGGTGGACTTTGGGAGGAGTGGGCAGGGAGGGAGTGGTAGTGGCAGTTCTCGAGCTATCTGATTAAGCCATTCCGCTAGTTCAGTTGTGCCCTGGAGGGCAGGGGACAGAGTCAGTATCTCTGGGGCTGCAGGCCCTCTTGCCTTGGCCCTCCTGGCATGGGGTAACCACCAGCTCAGCTCTCCTCCTCCAGCTTTCCTCTCTCTAGCACACCCCAGCCAGGGCAAGGATGCCCACGGGCATAGCTACAGCAACCCCTGCGGGATTTGGTGTCCACACCCGAGAGGCCAGGCCAGATGGGAAAGGGATTAGCGCCTCTTCCCTCACACTCTGCCAGGCTGCCAGGAGCTTGGGCCAGGTCTAAGGTAATGAGGTGCTCCTCTTCCTGCTGGAAAAACCGGACAGACTCAGAACCACAAAGGCAGGTGCTGCCAGCCTGGCGCCTTCCTCTCTGCTTAGGCTGGGTGAGCTTGTCCAGGCCTGTGCCTCACCCCTTCTCTCTTCTAGGCTCAGTGTATGCTTAATCAGGCATGGTGCATCAGAGCGGGAAGGAGCCATCAACAGTGTATACTTCTGGAGCCTTCTACTGATAAACAGAGGCCCCAGAAGACGATTTGACTTACCTGAGCTCCCAGCTGGGACTTAAACCCAGGTGTGTCTGAGTCACAACTCTTCGGGGATGCCGTGGTGAGCTGGGGCTGAGCTCCTGTATTCCCACTCCCCCACCCCACCCCCACTCCTGCCATATCAGGGCTGGTCTCTGTGGACTCAGCCCAGGGCTGCCTCCTCTTTGTCACCCCAAAGTGGGGCAGCCAGGGACAGCCAGGGTGTGTTCAGAATGGGTTCTTCCTGCAGGGCAGGAAGGGCAGATTGTTAAAGGGGCTGCGGCCCAGACCACCCTGGTCCCTCCTCCGGCAGTGACTCAGACCCACACTGTGCCGTGCAGCTGTGTGCCCTGCACACCCGCTTGACGGCGCACTGCTCACTTCTGGGGGGCCCTTTCAGAGGCACTTTTAAAGCAAATAAAACATTTATTGTTCAGATTTTTTTCCATTTTCTTCCTTTTTACAAAAACATGCATACATACACAGGGTATGGTGGGTCCTAGGAAAGACACACACACACGCCTCACTCACACACACGCTCACACACACGCCTCACTCACACACATGCTCACACACATTTTCCTTCTTGACCCCAGGCCTGGACCCCCAAAAGCCTTGAAGACTTTGCCAGAGCAGCCTCCCCTCCTCCATGTCTGTATCTTCTCTCCCACCCCTTCCCCCTCAGTCAGGCTACTCCTATGTGGGGTGGGAATCAGAGCTATGGTGGGGGAGGCCCCAGAAACAGAGAAGGCTCCCCGAGTGGGCAGTGGCCGAGGGGTCCCAGGGGTATGCTGCGCTTCTTGGGGAGATGAAGGGTTTGGCACCATTGGATCAGGAAGCACAGGACTCCCAGAGCACCCATCTGCTCCACCAGGGCATCGCCAGGAGGTTGATGTAGGGGGGCCTCTGGCGAGGGTACGGACCAGATGGAGGGCTGCCAGTCTCGGCTGTCAGGGAGCTTCGTCTCAGTGCCCAGTGGTAGAGGGAAGCTTCCAGAGTCGTCTGAGGAAGCAGGTGAGAGGGACTACCCCTGCACTCAGGAATATGGGACCTCTTGGCTCCCCACTCCCCCCTAGCCCCTAGAGCCTAGGAAGGGCCAGCCTGTCTGAGGCCAAGTTCACATTTCTGTGTGGAGCCTGAGGCTGTGTGCAAAGTCTGGGGTTTGCAGAGCCAGGAATAGTGGTTAAGGGTGAGCCCGACGGAGCCGGAGCCAGTCCTCCTCTGTGCAGTCCTGAGGAATGGGGGCCACAGCCAGGGCCCATACTGGAGGGGAGAATCTGTTCTCGAGAGCCCTGTGGGGGTCGCCGCCCAGCCCGTCTCCTCTCAGGGTCCTCTCCAGTTCCCATTCTAGACCCAGGGATTTTCTCACGCTCCCTGGGATAACTGTCAAAGCAGGCAGGCTGTTCTCTGGTTCCAACTACTTGCCCACAGGATCTCTAAAGACCCAGGAATGGGGGCTATTGCCAGGGGTTAGAAGAGAACCAGGTCCCAAGGGCATGGTGGGCGGGCAGATGGTTCCAGAGCCTTAGAGATTCATAGGTTCTTCCTCCTCCACCAGCTGCTCCGAGGGCCTGTGGGGAGGGACAAGGGTGGGATGCTGGAGCACCAGGGCTGCAGCAAGGGCCTTAGCTAAGCTTCCTCTCAACCCTGGTCAGGAAGCCTGGGAGGGTTGGGGTGGCTGCATAGCGGACCCGGGGTCTTCAAGCAGGGAGGAATGAAGCGGTGGAGAGGCTGTGGGCCCAGGGCCAGGGGTCTGGCATTACCTATCTTCAGCCAGGATGCCCACAGAGAGGGACGCCAGTGCGGTCACTGCCTCCACTTCTTCTTTGTCAGCCCCTGGCACTCTAGGCACCCAGGAGTCTGGACAGGAGGCCAGGCGCTGCATGCAGCCCCAGTATTTACCTGGGGTAAGATGCCAGGTCAGAAAGGGTTGGAGAAAGCAAGCCCCTCCACACTGCGTCCTAGACCGGATATTGAGGTTGGTGTCTCAGGCCCAGGGCCCCGGAGGAGCGGGCCTGTCCTCCACTTAGGGTCGGCTCTCCCACCTGCCCCTCTCCTCACTTCGCTCCCACTCCCGCACAGCCTGACAGGGTACACAGAGTGGGTTCAACATGGCTGTGAGGGAGTCCTAGCAGGTGCCCAGCCTTTCTCTCATCCCCTGTGGCTGCAAGGCCACCTTTGACTCATTCCCCACAGGTGCGGGGCTCCTGAGAGCATCAGGAGAGCCTGCTTGCCTGCAGACAGGGTCTGTGTCACAGTGACCTCCCAGAGCCCCAAGCTCGGGCCTCCCACTTAAACACAGCCCCCACCAGTGCTCAGCCCAGCACTCAGGAAAGGAGGGCCTGGGAGGTGGGACGAACACAACATGGGAGAACTGACCATCACCACGGCCGCTCTGCATGGGTGCCCAGGCCAGGAGAATGCTCCTCCTGCCTGCTGCTGTGAGGAACCATGTCCTGGAATCTGGCTCAGTGTGAGGGCACCCACCGTAAGAGGAATCAGCCATGTCTTTACCATTATGTAAAGACATCACGGCTCCCCTACCCAGCCCTTGATATGGGAATCTATTTTACTCATTTTTATCCCTAGTATAGATTATGGGTCTTGACATAAGATGCTCAATAGATGTTGAGTTGAAGTTGAAAATTTAAAGTACTTTACAAATGTGGGGGTTATCCCAAGACGCAGCCCCCAAGCCAGCAGAGCTCCTGAGACGCCTGTGGCCAGGACTGAGGGGAGGGATGGGAACCAGGCCTTTTGGCAAACAAGGCCTGAGTGTTGCTCTTGACCTGGCCCTGGTCTAGGGCTGTCGCTAGAGATGGAGGCCAGTCCCTACCTTGAGGGGCCACTGTCTGGTAGGCCCTGCTGGCTCCATCGGGGGGGCTCAGAGGATAACCCCTCACTGGGGGGTGCTCACCATTGCTGCCTGGGTCACTCACAGGAATCTTACTCCAGACCAACAGCAGGTCACCTGGCTGGCACCGGAAGCCCTAGGATCTGGCCACGGTGGGGCAGGGTACCACCAAGATCCTTCAGTCTGAGCTCAGCGAGTGTCCCATCTCCACACTTACTGTGCACCCGGATCACGGCCTCCAGAGAGCGGATGGCATTGAGGTTGGGTTTCTGTTTCCAGCCTTCTTCTGAAAGGGGATCCACCTATAGAAAACAGTACATCAGCCACCAGTCTCTCAGGGACCCACAGGCCCAGCTCACTCCCACCCCAGGGGCCCCAGCCTTCTAGCCACAAGCACACTCTACCTAGGCCAGGAGATGCTGCCTGGACCTAACTTGGAACAGAGGCTTCCGCTTCGCCTACCTTGTTTCAGGCTTGGCCACTCCCACCCTGTCCCATCCCATCTGCCTGCTCCTTGGGTAGTCCTGAGAGCCGGGCTTACCTGCCTGACAGAAGCATGGATGGGGGAGGGAGACGGCTCACCCTGTTACCCAGAAGAGCAGCCACACAGGCCTCAGAGGCGTCACAGATGGCTGTGAGGTCATGGCCACCCTCCAAGGCCAGCACCACTGCGCCTCCTGCCAGGTTCATCAGTTGCTGCGTCATGTATCCAAAACCTAGAGGTTGGGAGGGGAGAAATGGGAGGGGCGGGAGTGGAGAGGTGACCCTGTTCTCTACCCCTGTGGCTTCCCTGCTTGCTTCCTCCCTAATAAAGAATGACTCACATGTATCAATCACTATTTCCAAAGTGCTTTCACATTGAATGTCGTACAAAACCTACTAGTATGCTTCACTCAAGGCTCAGGGAGGTTAAGGGCCTTGGGAAAGGCCCCACAGCTAGTAAGTGGCAGCAAGGTAGGACCTGAACTTGGGTCATTGACTCTAGCCTGTGTCTTTTTCACTGAGCTACACCCTCTCTTCTTTCTGTACTCTGGGCCCTGTGGCCACCCTCTATTCTGAGAGTGCTGCTTCTCTCTCCCCTTCCTCTGGAGGAGCTGCCAGCCCACCTGGAATCAACCCAGCTGTGGTGGGGAGTCCCACGGCTGAGCTTCCTGCCTACTGGACTTAAGTCCCCATGGGTATGACCTGGTCAAGCCCTCCGTGGTGAACCGGCCTGGTCCTGAGAAAGGGCTTGGGCTGTGCTCGGCTAGGAGATCCCGGGGAATTTCAGGACCAGCTGCCATACTCCAGTCCTCAGGCTGAAAGCCCTGGGCTGGCCACTGCCACCTTCCCTTTCTGACTTGGGAGTGCCTCCCAACTCCCCGCACCGCCTGGCTCTCTGTCCCTAACGTCCCCCTCAGCTGAGGCTCCCTTACATTTGGCAGAAACATGGTAGCCACCCAGTGGGGCCGGGTGACCCTCAGCAGCATCAAATCCAGCAGACACCAGGACTAGGTCTGGAGAGAACTCTCGGGCGATGGGCATCACGACTATCCTGTGAGGTCACAAGAAGTGGCGATCATCGTACTGTGCAGGGTTGCCAGGGGCGGTCCTGCCAACTTTGCGGTGGGGCACCCTGTTCTTAGGACTCCAAGGCTCCCAGTGCCCCAGCACAACTGGCAGATTTCTCTGACCTCCTTGACCTTGGCTGGCCACCCATGTCCCTGGCACACACAGCCTAAGGACTCAGCCCCCTAGGGGACTTAACTAGCAAGAGGCAGAAAGGAGCCAAGGATGGAGCACCAGAGGGAATGAAAGAGGAGTGTGTGTGACCATGTGTGTGTGCATGTGTGTGTGTGCATGCAAGCATCTGTGGGGTGCAGTGGCCGGAGCCACAGGGAAAGGGTAATCTCACAGCCTTGCGGAGATGGACTCTGGTCACAAAGCTTCAGGGACTACAAGTGCTCAGTCCTTTGGACTGAGTTGACCACACCCAGCTACTCACTACTTGAGAGCTGAGTAGGGGACAACTAGGTCCTCTGAGGTTCTGCGCCACCTGGCTACATTCTCTCATCCTCTCCCTCTTCCAGGCCCCCCCCCAGCTGCCTTCCTCTACCCCTGATCCAACTCTGGGGCCTGCTTGGGTGTTCTTCATAGCCCTGGGCTCTGAGAAGACTCCAGGAACTCCAGCCCAGGGCTCTCGTAGAATTAGCTGTCATGGAGATAACTCCAGAAAAGTGTTTGAAGATCCATTTCCAGAATTCTCTTTTCCCAAATAGAGTGGCAGCCTTCTCTGACTAAATGTGCCAGCTCTGCTCACTCCACCACCCACCTGCCAGCAATCAGTTTGACATTGGCTCTCGGTAATGTATGCCTTTGCAAAGCACCCTTTGACTTTTGCATTCTTCTCTCTGTTTGTCCTATTCTCACTGGCGTTCACCTACAATGTCTAGGAACTGGTGGGGACAGGCTGACAATCCAACTGATCACCTCCCCCCTGGTGCTCTTGGGAGAAGGGACAGGAGAGGGTGGACTTGCCCCTCTGGGCCCCCAGAGCACGTACCTGAAAGCAGCCAGGTACTCAGGATCCCCCATGGGGGGGTCCAGACCTCCAGCCCAGGCCACATTGACATTGAAGCCCTCACCGCTGCCAGCCCCTACCTGGAAAACAGGAGGCAAGAGAGACATGAGGACAGCAGAGTCCCAGAAGGGGAACACCAGTTTGTTAGAGCTGCCAGCCCAGCTCATCCAGCCTCCCCATTTCCAGGTGGGGAAGTTTAGGATCAGAGAGGCTCAGCAGTCTGCCCAGGATCACACAGCTCGTCATGACAGAGGCAGAGTAAGTGTCAGGAGGAGGTCAATGAGGCTGGAAGATGTGGCCCTGACATGCGGTTACCTCATCCACAGCCCCACTCCCCGGGAAGAAGTTGCCGTCGTCATGGCGATGCAGGGAGATGTAGAGCACACTGGGGTCTTGGTAGAAGGTTTGCTGGGTGCCGTTGCCATGGTGCACGTCCTGTGTAGGGAGACGGGCAGCGATTAGGGAAGGCAGAGAGATGGGGGCCAGGACAGGTTAGAAGGGTTTCAAGGTCAGTGGCCATTCTGAGGTCAGGACCCTAGACTGGGATCAGGAACCTGGGGTTCCTAAAGCCACACGGTCGAGTGGCCCCACGTAATCCACTGCCCGGCTCTGAACCTCGGCCTCTCTGTGCTGGACAGGGCTGGCTGTAATATGAGATCCTGAAGGAGAGGAGGTGTCCCAATCTCAGGCCAGCCCACCTGAGAGAGTAACTGTGTGGACATGGGGTTAGTGGCAAGGAGAGGGAAGGGTTCAGGGTTACACATATCAGGAACCACTCTGTCTTGCATAAAGTCATGAAGTTATGAGGAGATCAGAAACCAAGCTCGGTTACAGAGGGGCAGGTACACGAGGCCCAGCCCCATCCCTCGTAGGGAGAGCTGGGCCCTACACTCGACTCACAGGACCATGCGGGAACTCAAGTGTGCAAAGGTCCTCCACCGCTCTCAACTTCTGCTTAGAAATGTCTCTTACACAGCTGTCAGTGCAGAAGGGACATAGCTTAGCAGTTAAACGCAAGCACTCTAGAGCTAACCCGCCTGGGTTCAAATCCATCTCATGACTTACGAATGACTGTGTGTGAGTTACTTAATCTCTCTGTGCTCACTTTCATCTGTAAAGTGGGTTATAGTCAGGATTAAATCCATCATGTGTAAAACCATCAGTGTCTGGATGTGATTAGTGGTGTACTGATGTTATCTGCTATTATTCTTATCATCACTACCTGTACAGGAAATGCAGAAATTACTAGATCTGCCAAAAGAAGCCAATAGAGGTCAAAAGACAACACTCAAATGACAGCTCCTACTCGTTGCAGGGGTTTGCGATGGCTGAATGCGTTCCCACACGCCATCCCCTCTAGGCCTCCCAACTGTGATGTGGGTGTTATCTTCACCCAAATTTTACACAAGGGGAAACTGAGGCTCAGAGAGGCTACTGCAGAACTAAGACATGAAGCCGCATCTCTAACATCAGGCTCAGGGCTTTTCCCCCAGGGCTCTCGAATTGGAGGGTGCTACGGACAGGCACCTACCCAGTCTACAATGAGGATCTTGCTGGCCTTGCTCTGCTGTTGCAGCTGCCGGCAGGCGATGGCCACTGAGTTGAAGAAGCAGAAGCCCCTGGAAGGAGAGACAGGTCCTGCCAGCCCATTCTCTCCACATGCCCTCACCTCCCCAGGCCCCTGGGTTGGCCCAGCCTGAGAAAGCTCAGGGAAGAAGAGAGAATGTCCCTGAAGGAAGTTCCTGGGGGCTTGCCCCCCACCTCATCCCACCCAGGTCTTCCCTTAGCCTTACATGGCTGTTGAATGATCTGCATGGTGTCCTGGGGGCCGCACCACAGCGAAACCATTCTGGAAAAAGAAAGAATGCTTGTCAATCAACAGACAGCTCTGACCCACAGCTGCATGAACGTACCCCAAGAGTTCCAATCTCAACCTGGTTCCCAGAGCCCTCAATTTCCCCTCCAAAACCCTGTAGCAATCTCTAAGAGGAATGCGATGCCTGGGGTTCTGGGCCTGGATTCCCCACTACCCCACTCTGCTTCCTCCTTTGTGGTGTGTCCACCTTCAACCCAAACCTCCTACCTTTAGCTCACGAGAAGCCACTTTGAAGGCGAGGTCAGTGACACTGCCAGCGGCCCAGCGGGCTGCATTGGAGGAATGAAGCTCATTCCAGATGGTGTCAGTGTCCACCTGCGGGAGCCAGAGTCAGGGCCCGCATCATCCAAGGCTTCACACAGGAGCCAGGGCCCAAGGGGGTGGTCCCCACCCCACGGCCAGGACCCCAGGGGCAGGGAGCTGGGCAGACAGTGCTGCCTCCCCAGTGCCCCACCGCCCAAAGGCAAGGCCTCCTGTGTCCCCCAATCCCAGCATGACTTTTTCCCAGCTTAAGTCCCAGCACCAGCCCATTATCTGGCCAGCACTCTGCTGGCAGCATCACGCCTGCCTCCCCGGTCAGGGGAGGGGGCATGGCGTTACCTGGGCGGGACTTGGGGTTTGGGCCGGGAGGGGGTTTTAAGCCCCAGCTGACTCTGCTCAGGCCCTGCGGGACGGTCGGAGCTGGAGGGGCCGTCTGCACCACTGTCTTCCACTCAGGGCCCCTAGCCCAGGCTGGGAGGCCCCCCAAACCCAGTCCCTGGGCCTCAAGGCTAGGGAGGGGCCGGGGGGCATGATGGGGAGATGGGGAGGGCGAGGCAGACCAAGAGAGGCGAGGAAGGCAGAGAGAGTCGCAAGAGGCTGGAGAAAGAGAGAGAGAGAGAAAGACAGAGAGGGAGAGGAGGGAGGAGAAAACAGAAGCAACAACAGTTGGAAAAACCAGAAAGTGGCAAGAAATGGGAAGTTGTGAATAGGGCACTGACTGGCTCCCAAAGTCCCCCACCAGCTACAGCTCCCACTTTCCCTCCGGAATGAGGCCTCCATCCCCTGCCTCTACACACCTTGCTTGAGAAACTACTGCAGGGATAGTGTTAGGCGAGGAGAGCTGAGCCGGAGGGAGCGGGAAGCTCCCTTCACAAAGGGGTGAGGACTTAGGAAGCAAAGCTCGCGAGCGGAGTTTGGGGCTATGTCCCGGAGTGGGGAGTGCTGGGATCGCCAAGGACACCGGAAGCACCACCGTGATGTCACACCAGGCAGCCCAAGGTCTGGGGACCAGGCTGAGGTACCCCAACTTGCCACTTAAGAGCAGACAGAGCAGCCTGGCGGCCAATGCCCAGTCATGGGGGTCTTTGAAGGGAGAGATGATCCTAAGCCCCAGCCTTGGCCCTGCTCCTGAAACCTCACTCAACATCTACCAGACACCTTCTAGGGGAAGGCTTAGGCTGGACTCCGCATTCGGGGGAGACTGTGGGTCCGAGACACGCCTGTCCAAAAGGAGCTTCCTGCTGCAGGGGGCACCTCAGGAAGTCCCTGGCTCACCCTGTCTGGCAGAACCACAACAAGCAGAGGTTCTGCAGGGGCTGGGCCTGGGAGAACCACAGGGAGGAGAGCTGAGAGCCCTGGCAACGCCCCCCTGAGACCCCTGGGCACACTTACCCCAACCCCACCACAGGGCAGCATCACAAACATCCGCTGTGCCAGGAGCCCTGCGGGGAGAGGCCCAGCCCACGTCAGCGTGAATACTCTCAGCCTTTGGCCCAACAGGGAGCAGGGAGCCCAGAGAGCAGGGCCGGGTGAGTATTGGGGGAGAGAAATATGGAAGGGAGAGGTGGAGGTGGGCTGAGGAGGGGCTTGGCAGCAAGCTGGAGTAGGGACGTCCAGGGTGCAGGAGGAGGCTGGCTGGGCGGGCAGAGCCGAGACAGGAGTGCATGGGAGCTGGGTGAGGTAAGCTGGCATGGGGAGACAGGGCCACTAGGCCATTACCTGCCAGCTTCCCGTTGTCCAGTTTGAGGCGGCTGAGCGGGTTGGTGCCGTAGAGGAGCACGTGCCGCTCAGAGTGGACCGACTGCAGCTCTTCCAGGGAGGCCTTCCGGCCTCGGAGACACTGAAAAGGGGACCACAGAGCTCTGAGCTCATGCTCGCCCCTTCCCTCCCATCACCACCACCCCATGTGCCCCTCATCTCTCATGGGCCCCAGGGCCCCCCACCCCTCCCCTCCCATGACTCCTCCCTCCACCCATTCCTCGGGCCCCACCCGCGCCTCCTCACCTCACACTGGCTCCGGAGCCCCCGCTCCTGCAGCCGGGACCAGATGCTCTGGATGCGGCCGGCGTGCTCCGGGTGCCTGCTGTTGTCACCGCAGGAGCACTGGTGCTTCAGCATGACCGAGTCATAGATCAGCCCTGCAGGAGCAAGGGTCAGAGCGGGGACCCAGGGAGTCCTCACGCCCCATGGCCTTGGCTGCAGAGAACACGCCAGCACCGCCACAGCAGGCACCCACATGGAGCCGGGCGGGTACACACCCCTCACACCCACACAGGCCTGCATTTCATCCTGCCCCTACCCCAGCCCCAGCCCCTCACACCTGTCCACACACGCCCAGACACTTCCCCAGGTGGCAGCAGCCAACACATCAACACAGCTCCAGCCAACATGGCTGCCACAGAGCCACGGCCTTCCCACATGCGGACACGACTGCTGGGTGGCCCAGGACTCGAGGGCCCAGCACCAGGCCCTCAAGTGCTCAGAGCAAAGCATGAGGCCTAACGTACAGCATCTCACACACGTGTCATGAACCCAGAGAGGCTACCAAGGGGCAGCAGGAGGGAAAAGAATTCCTAGGAAACCCCCAAACCGGGAGCTAAGAAGCCCACGATGACACTGGACCATGTGATAGACAAATCCAGCTTTGGAGAAGTGACTATTTCAGTCTGACCCGTGGGAAGTCTTCAGAGGAGGGTCCTGCTCATTGCGGGTGGGAGGGTCAATTTCTGTGCGTCTAGGACACCAACGACTCTCAAAATGCTCACACCATGTGACCCAGGAATGCTACTTCTTTAGAGTGAACCTTGGGAAATAATCCCAAGCATGAGGAAAGATTTATGCATAAGGAAATTCAAATAAGCTATAATCTAAATGTCTAACTGATAAGGGATCCCTCAGTAAAAATGAAATACATTAATGAAATACTATGAGACTCTCAGTTTTAAAGACTAATTATGCCAAGAAGGATTCATAATATGTTAACTAAGTAAAGCAGGATACAAAACGTAGTTCATGTGTTCATGGCATCTGTACATGTACATATGGCCAGAACAAAGCCTGGACTGAAATACAGCAGAATTTCAGAGGGTTTACTTCTGGGTGGTGGGATACTGGTTGGTGATTTTTCTTTTCTTCTTAGGTTTTTCTGTACTCTTCAAAATGTCTAAAATACTTCTGAGCTCTTTTTACAAGCAGAGCAACAGTAATAAATATCATTTTTTAAAAGGGCTGAGTGCATTGGCAGGAGACTGGAATTCTTATCCTGGCTTGACTACCACTTGCTATTTGACCACAGGCTTGTCACCTTAGATTTCGTGAGCCTTGGTCCTCATCGGCCAAATGCAATAACCAGCTGTTCCATGTGCTCCATGGGTACTACGTGGGCCTAACAAGGCTAAGCACTCTGTGGCCTCTAAAAATGTCCCAAGTGACACCAAGACACCCACATGGACTCGTGCAGCCGAGCCCCTCCCTCCACCCGCCACCCTCCTCCCGGTCTCACCTGTGGTGAAGGGCAGGGTCCTGGCAGGGGTCTCTGAGCTGGAGAGGACTCGGGCCTGGCTGGCAGGCTCTGGGGCTGACAGTGAGGCAGGTGCGGCTGGGGAAGACTGAGCCCGGGACAGAGGCCGGTGCCCACCCTGGGCCAGAGGAAGCAGCACAGTGTCCCCGGTGCTGCCCCGGGGGAGCCGCCCAGCCAGTCGCTGCTGTTCCCAGAGCAACACCTAGGGGAAAGATGGGGCCTTGGTCTCCAGTGTTTCAGGGTCCTGCTCCCTCTACTTCTGCCTGAGGTCTTGGGAACTGCCAAGCAGGCCCCTTTCCTAGAGAGATTCCAGGATAAACCTAGACCTGCTGTCCAGTGGGGCTCTGGCCTTTGACTCTCTAAGCCCCCTGTCCCCTGCAGCCCCCTGACAGGTTTGCACCCCAGACTGACCACCCATTCCACCAGCTCCCCGGGCCCTTGGGGCTCCAAAGCCAGGAACCAGGGGAGGGGCGCTGGATCTTGTGCTGACCAGGATGTCCTCCTGTCCTGGACTATGTAACTGTTCAAGAACATGTGTGTGGCCTGTCATCATGTGTTATGGAGTAAATTATGTTCCCCACCCTCAAATTTATATGTTGAAGTCCCAACCCCCAGTACCTCTAAACATGACCTTATTCAGAGATAGGGTCTTTACAAACAGAAGTAATCAAATTAAAATGAGGTCGTTAGGGTGGGCCTTAACCCAGTATGACTATTGTCCTTATAGGAAGAGGAAATCTGAACAGGCATTCACAGAGGGAAACCACATGAAGCCACAGGAAGAAGATGACCATCCACAAGCCAAGGAGAGAGACCGGGAACAGCCCCTGCCCTCACACTCACAGCCCCCAGAAGGAACCAACTCCACCAACACCTCGATTTTGACTTCCAGCCTCCAGAACTGTGAGATGGTAAATGCCTGCTGTTTAAGGCGCCCAGCCTGTATCCCAACAGCTCCGGCAAGCTAATGCACTGGGTCTTGATTCCCACAGTGAGAGCATTCTGCTGGACACGCTGGAGCCTGGCTCCATCCCACCTCTGGCCCTAGCCACCTTTCTGGATAGAGGGGAGACATACCAGGGCAGGACTATGTGTGGCTCCAGGAAAGGACAGACTCCTTCCTGGAAAAGGGACATGCTTCACCTGAGACTGGCAAGCTGTTGTGTGTATGTGTGTGTATGGGTGTGTGAGTGTGCATGTGTGTGTGTGCCTACACCTTAGTGTGGATCCAGCACCCAGGATCTTATAGGGCAACCATGGGTCCTAGAGCTGCCTGTTGCACTGATGTCGTATCTCCCTCCCTTCCCCATCTTATGCCAGGCCCCAGAGTCTTCTGAGGACACTTTCTGAGGGGCAGGTGGGGACTGCCATACCTGAGGGTGCTGCTGGAGAGGAGCGGGGCCTCTGGCCTCAGGCTGCCCATGGCCCAGCTCCCTGTGCTCCAGGCCATCGTCCACCACCTGGCCCGGTCCCCCGCCATCTGTCTCCAGGTCTTCAGCCGAGGGTATCTGCCGCAGCCGGGGCTTCTCACTCGGCTTGGCTGACCTCTGGGGAGGGGAGAACCTGGCTGAGAAGCCATGGTGGAGCGAGGGGCATGGGGTGGGAGGTGGTGGGCTGGGCCAGGCAGCCAGTCATCTTGCTAGGACTCCAGCTGCCATGCAGCTCTGGGCCCCAAGAAGCCACATCCCCCTCTTTTGCCCTCCAGTTCCCTGCCCTTTCTAAGTACCCCTCTTCTTTTGGCCCCTAAGTCCCCAGTTAAACACTCCCTCAATACCTCCACTGCCCAATTCCTCTCACCTTGATCACCTGGACGTGAGTTTTGAGCTGCTCCAGGCGGGGCTGCATGGGGCCCGGCGGTGGGGGAGCGGTGGCACTGGGGGGCAGGGGCTCTGAGCGAGTCCGGCTCAGTGGCCAGTGGAGGCCTGACCCAGAGAGCCGCTCGGTGGTCATTAAGGACTGGGCAAAGTGGAAGGGCAAGGGCCCAAGCCCGGGCACTGGAAAGAATCGGGGGGTGGAATAAGGAGGGAACCACAGGGAGCAATGGAAGGAAGCGAGGGTATAGGGTGGGGGGCCAGGGTGCAGCAGGGCAATGCGCAGGACAGGGGGACAGAGATGGGGAGGAAGGATGGGTCCATCCCAAGCTTGGCTCTTAGCAGGGTGCAGGGACCCAGCCCCTTCCCTGAAGAAGCAGCAGACTCACCAGTCAGCAGCGGGGCATGAGAGCCTGAGGGGTCCAGGAGGAGAATGGGCTGCAGGCGAGAGGGCAAGGTGCCCCCAGCCTCGGGCTCCAAGCCATGGGGCAGGAAGAGGGGAGTGTGGGGGCTCCCCAGGATTGGCCCCCGAGGGCCCAGAGTCGGATGGGTCCTGCGGTCACTGTCAGCCTGGGGGAGAGGCGGGAGAAGTCACGGGGAAGAAGATTCCAGCAGAGAACAATGAAGATGATGGGGTGAGGCAGCAAGAAAAGGGAGTGAAAGAAGCTGGGGGGGCTTGGAGTGGGGGTGGGCACCCCAGCCACTCACCCTGGCAGGGGCGGGCAGCCCCAGAGTGATTGCGGGCAGCAAGGACACTGTCGGCAAGGCGAACGGGGCCACAGAAGTCTCCTGCAGCCGCAGCCGCTGGCCCAAGAGCGCCTGCCATAGGGAGCAGGGCGAGGGTCACCGGTCCCAGACCTCTACCCCGGCGCACCTTCCCCAGAACACCCAGGAGGCTCTGGCAGGGGCTGCCCAGACCCTGCAGCCCCAGCCCAGGTAGGGCCGCCTGCTGGAAGAAGGCTGAGCCTCAGAACTGCCCCAGGAGAGCCCAGTCTCGGCAAGGCCTTACCTCCGAGCCCAGGATGGGATTGGGGCCGTGCTCGCTGTCATTGGGGGAGCTGCACCCTGATGCGGGCGTGCTGCTACTACTTGGGGAGGAGTCTGAGGGTTGGGGAGAGAGGGAAGTGCAGTCAGAGGCCAGGGTGGGCAGGAGGGTACAGCCAGGCCGCCTGGTGCAGGAGACCCGGGAGCACCCCCTTCCTTAACGAGCACCTTTGCTTCCTGCTTTCTTTTTTTTTTTTTTTGAGACAGAGTCTTGCTCTGTTGCCCAGGCTGGAGTGCAATGGCACGATCCCGGCTCACTGCAACCTCCACCTCCTGGGTTCAAGCGATTCTCCTGGCTCAGCCTCCCAAGTAGCTGGGACTACAGGCATGCACCACCGTGCCTGGCTAATTTTTGTATTTTTAGTAGAGACAGGGTTTCACCATATTGTCCAGGCTGGTCTCAAACTCCTAACCTCAGGTGATTGACCTGCCTCAGCCTCCCAAAGTGCTGAGATTATAGGCGTGAACCACCGCGCCCGGCCTCCTGCTTTCTTCCCATCAGAGCAGGAAGAAGACAGGCCACCTTTGGCCTACAGCACCTTTGCATAATTTTTTGAAGGGTGCCCCCTTTTCTGGGAGATGTCACCTTAGCTAACAGAGCAGGGACTGGGTTTCAGCCCCAACTCCCCCGCTTCGGCAAGTGTGTGGGACACCCCCATGCAACCACGCATGGCAGTCCTAAGGAGGGGACCCCTGTCTAGGTGGGGCCTGACCCAAAGGGACAAGACCAGCCAGGTTTGAGGATGGCAACCGCACTGGCTCAGCCGGCCCTCACCTCCGAGGGTCTCTGCGGGCCGCCGCCGGAGGCTGGGGGGCGCACTCTCCTTTCGGAGCAGTGGATTCTTCCTCCGCTCCAGGGACTTCTTGGGCTTATAGCGCAGCTTCAGGTTGGGCTCAGAGACTGCAGGGAGCACCAGCGTCACTCAGGCCCCCACCACCCTTCTTTTTTCCACCCTTTAACCCCTCAGTCCCAGTCATCTCTATCGGTCAAGGAAAGAGAAGGCAGAACTAGAAAGAAGATCCTAGCCTACCGATGATCTCCTGGCCCAGCCCAGCCCGCCCACCCCTGCACACTCCTCCCCCATGTCCGAGGCCCTTCCCCCTTCCTTTGCCTGAAAGGTCCGCCTGTTTGTTCAGCTCACCTGTCTTGCGCAGAGGGAAGTGCTCTGGGGGGTCACTGGGCAGGCTGGGAACAGGAGGCAAAAAGCTGCTGAGCATGGAGCGGGTGGCTCCTTCCGTCTCCAGGGGCTCCAGGGTTCTACAGAACGAGTGCCAAGGCTGCTTCAGAGGTGTGGGGACACTGCACGGGCACTGCCCTGAGCACGGGCCCTGGGACCTGAGGGGGAGGCTGCAGCGGGCAGGGCTGGGCAATGTGGGGCTGGTAGGAATGGGGACCATCTCCAGGTGGCAGCAGTGGGCCGCCTGTCCGCTCCAGCAGCTATAGTGCAGAGCTCTGACCTAGGCATAGAAGCCAGGTGCTTGGTGCGTGGGTGAAGAGCCCACTGGGGGCTCTGTCACCTGCACTAGGAACCTGCTCTGGGAACCAGGACATTTTTGCGCTCAGGGAAAATATAAAGAGAGAAGGGGCTCATGTGCAAGAAAAAAGCCAGTAGGGTGTGTGTGTGTGTGTGTGTGTGTGTGTGTGTGTGTGTGTGAGAAGGGCTCAGGTGGGGTGGGGAGAATTTAAAGAGAGGAGGGCAGGTATCAGTTGAGAGAGGGGCTCGGGGGCATTATGTTTAGAGGAAGGGTAAGGACTGGTTGTGGCAACTGGGGAGGAAGGAGGCAAGTGTGTGTGCTCATGGCTAACACGGGGGCGGGGGTGGAGGGTGCATGTGGGGACAGGAGGGCAGGTGAGGAGGGTGTTACCTGTAGGGAATGCCGGGGCTGTTGGGATGGACTGTTCTTTCTAGGGCCGCCTGCTGTTTTTTCAGAATCACCTCCGCTAGCTTCTGCTTGACCACGCTGCTGGCTACAGCACCTGTAGGGGCAGAGTCAGGAGGGGGCTGGAGGTGGGTGGACAGGCGGCCTCGTGGCACTACCTGGCCACTGCCCTGTCCCCATCCTCAGTAGGAGGCGTCCCAGGGACTCCCTAGGCAAGAGCCAAGCCCGAGGCCCTACCCCTCCCTAGAGCCTCCAGACACCACCCCCCACCCCCACATCCCCCACACATTCACAGGCAGAGCCCAGGCAAGCAGAGGGAAAGCCTCGGCTCAGGCCCAGCTGGCTGCGGCCCTCCCACCTCACCCCTCACAAGCCACACAGGCAGCCGCAGGCACCTGGCTGGTGGGGCTGGGCTGGGCTGGGGTGGCCACCTCCTTACTTCGCTTGCTCTTGTCCTTGTGGAGAAGCTGCCGCAGCTCTTGTTCCTGGGGTCCCACCTGCAACTCGGGCATCGGCGTGTCCATGGAGAGCTGTGGGCAGGGCCGGCAGCCCAGAAAGGGACAAGGAGTTGAGGACTGAGACTGGTGTCTAGGGATGCTGAAGGCGGGGAGGCTGGGGACCAAGCTCAAGGTGGCCCCACATGCAGGGAGCTCCATCTTTACCCTCATGGGCTCCACCGAGCGCTGCTGCTGCAGGCCTGCTAGGAAGAGGTGGTGGTGCAGGCGCTGGGGACGCTGCAGGGCCAGCAATGTGGGCTCTGGTGGGGGCTCCACTGGGGGCCGCTGGCCCACCCGCAGGTCCATGGGCTGCGGCTGAGGGCCTGGTGTGTCTGCACAGGGCCTGGGGCAGCCTAGGGACAGAGAGAGGGAGCAGGGTAAACTGGAAAGTTTGTCCTCGGGGGCATGATACAGCCTGATCCCCCCTCAGCCTCCCTCAGGCTCACTTGACAATGGCAAAACACTCTCATGGGGGTTTTTCCTCACTTAATCCTGTCGTGGTCCTGCAAGGTAGGTATTATCAATTCCATTTTACTCGTGAGAAAAAAGTCACATGAACTGTGCACAGTAACACTGTATCACTGGTGGTGTTTGAACGGAGTCTTCCGACTCCACCACAGTGCTCCTCCACTAAACATGCTCCTCCCTGGGCCGGGGGCTGAGGGCTACAGTGATCTCCGATGGGCTGCAGATCCTATGGTAGGACATTCTTGGCCCTGCCTTCTCCCTCCCTTCATCCCTCCCTGGAATCAGAGGATTTGCCCAGCTGCCCTCTAATGAGTTGGGCTCAAAGGAAGCAATCAGGCAGGCAAACAGGCCCACTTTGTTCTGCCTCCAGCCCCAAGCCTCACAGGCCCTCTGGGTCGCCACCCTCCCATGCTCTATCCCCAGTCATGAGATAAAGTGATGCCTCAAGCCTACAGCCAGCCCTGACCGGCCACGTTGGGCCTGCAGAACCCTGTGCCCAGGGCAGGTTCCTCAGCTCATAGGGCCCATGTGTCCTTGGGCCTGCTCCTGGGTGCCTCCATGGCAGCTCTGGGCCTGGCATGGTCAGGATGGCAGGCACGGCTGCCTCTTCTCAAGTGTCCTCTGCACCCACACTAGGAGCACCCTGCCAAGGCTGTGGGTGCAGGGGCTATTTATAACTGGCCACCAGACTAGGGTCCATGCCAGCATAGCCAGCTGGACCAGGCTGGGCTGAGCAGCCAGAGAGGCTGAGACACTGGGAGACGGAGCTGTTGCAGCGGGCTTATCCTGGAGAAGGGGAAGTGGGTGGGGTAGGAGCAGGCCGGCCCCATGGGAGGGCACACAAGTGGAGAAGCCTTCCTGGAGAGGCCTCCTTCAGCAATTCCAACGCTGGGCATCTCCCAGTGGGGCAGCCACAGACTGTCCTCAGGGATTGGGGCTGAGGAGGGCTGGAAAGGCCTGTGGCAAAGTACCAGTCCAGGAGTCAGAAATCATAGCCTCCAGGCCCAAGCTGGCCACTCCTAACCACAATCTTTACATCTACAGCACTTGTGCATGAGCAGCTACATCAAGCCACTGGCCCCGGGGGGTAGTCATTACTATCTTGTTATCCTAAATAAGGAAACCGAGGCTCGGAGGTGAAGGGCCCTGTCCAAAGTCACCCTGCTAGGGGCAGAGCTAGCATGGGTTCTGGTCCTACCAAGGCAGGTACTCCAGTTTCCCACCAACTTTCAGGAATTCACCTCCCCTCAAGGGGCTTTCTCACTAAGCAAAGAGGGGTTTGCAGTAGGCTGTCATTAAAGGGCATTCACTCTAACATTCCCTGACTGTGACATGGACACAAGACAGGAGCCCAGCAAGGAGGTGCCCGCCATGTCCCCCGAATATCAAGAGGCCTGGAGGGACAGTGATGGCTGTGCACCCAGATGCCGCCCGCAGTAGAAAATGTATGGCTTTGATGCCCCACCCCTTGTTCACATTGCCTCCCAAGAAATCCGGATTCTCATTCGGGTTGAGTCTGGGTTTCGAATACCAAAACACTCCTGCCCCAGGAAAGGTTTCAGTCCTTCCATGTTCTGTGTCCTGGCTTCCCGGGGTGACTCCCCTGATTATGCAAGAGGGGCTTGGGGGAACCAAGGCCAGCGACCTGGACCCAAGACCAGTGGCTTCAGCCACATACGGACTGTGAGCAGACCCCCAGCAGGGGCCCTTCCCCTCACACTCTGCATGGCCACTGCCTCCACAGCAGAAGGGAATACAGGATGGGCTCTGCCTGGAGCCCTGGAAATACTTTTCGAGGTGCTTTAGCATTTGTGAGGCTCCACAATCTGGTCCTAACTTGGCTTCTCTCAACTTGGTCTGCATTTGAACATGAACCCTCCACCTTGGCCATCAGCTTCCACCTGTCACAAATCCACATCTCTTCTGTTCTCTGACCTTTTGCTCACAATGTCCCCCTGCCTGTGCTGTCCTCATCCCTACATTCTACTTTTCCAAATCCTACTCTTTGCTCAAAGCTCAGCTGGAGTCCTCCCTCATCCCTGGACCCAGCCAGCGCCTAGCATCCCTCCCTCTTTTGGACTCCAATCACATGGCTGTTCCACACCAGGATTAGTGCTCTGTGGGCAGGTACCATGTCTGAGTTAAGCTCCATAGGGCAGGGAGTTGGTTTCATGCTTTGTTTATTATTCCTAGCACCTGGAATAGTACCTAGCACATGACAGGCACTCCACAAACATAGAATCAATGAATAAATCAGTGTCTCTCCTAAAATGTCCAGGAAAGTACCCTGGCACAGAGACAGAACTCATTAATGATTCTTGAACAAATGGATAAACTCATGAATCAGTGTCCTCTCATTGGGCACTGGTCACATTATTGCATTCTATTTTTTTTCGCTTTGTATTTGTGTGTGCTTCCTCCCTAACCTGCCTGTTAGCTTTTCAACAGCCAGGACTGAAGCAAGGAGGATACCTGGGTTCCATTTCTCCCTGCTATATGGAATTATTAGGCATCAGGCTGTATATCTTGCACTCAGTAGGCCCTTGGTTGATACTGGCTACACTAAAGGAAGGGCAGACCGCGTCTAGTCCAGACCTGGCCCCATGGGCATGTCCTAAACCAAAGCAGCAGCAGGAAGTCCAGTCCTTCCCCAGGGCAGCCTAGCAGCAGAGGAGGCTCGGGCCAGCAGAGGGAGGAGGCGCAGACAGTGAGAGAACACTTCCCCTCCAGCAGAGCAGTCCTGCAAGGGCTGCCATGCCCACCTTGCAGAGCCGGTGTGAGGACCGAGTCCACACACAAGAACACACCTTGCCTGGTGCCTGACATGGGGTAGGGGTCTCAGTATAAATATTAGCTTCTTACTTTCCTTCCTGTTTCACTGCTCCCAGCAAGGACAAGACGGGCATCCTGTGTTTCCTTTTCCTGTTGTGTTTCCTAGCACTGTGCCCAGCCAGCATCCAGAGCTGCCTCTCTTACCCCGGCTCCTCGCCCCTCCCTGGAGCCGCCACCTCCTGGCTCTCTGGCAGATCAGCCAGCGACCCTGCTTCTCTAACCCCTCAGCTTCTCGCGTTCTTACAGCCTTTCCACCCCTCATCTTCCACTCCCTACCATGGACTCCCCCGGGTTTGACTCTTACCTGCGCCAGTGGGGCTGCAGTAGTGGGCACCCGGGCTCACCTGGGTCCCATCTGTAGAGAGAGAGACGGAGTGAAAGAGCTGCAGGGAGGGGTGAGGAGAGGGAGCAGGAAGGAAAGAAGGTCAAGCCAGGCCTGCTCCCTGCCACTCCAAGCTTGAGCACGCCAAAGCCTGGGACCTCCACCAGAAGCTAATCAAAACGAGAAGACCCCACCCCATTCGACTCCTCCAGTCCCCCTGCTGGTGAAAAGGGCTCCCAGCTCCCTCTTCCTCAAGTCACTCATTCTAAATGACTTGAACTCAGACTACAGCAAGAACCTAAGGAGGCCTCAGCTCACCCAGCAGTGCCCTCAGCCCTCCCTCCTGTGGTCAGATACAATCTTCCCTGGGCAGCCAAACCAGGCTCCCATCGCCCGAGGGAAAGAAGAAGGCCAAGAGGTGAGGTGGGGCCAGAGGTGGGAGAGCCTGGCTGGGGGGATGGCTGGGGGGACAGGAGGAGAAAGGGAGGAGCAGGCCTGGAGAGAGGGACCCTGGCCTGCTCAGAGCCTCCCAGGTGGGAGTGAAAGGAGCAGGAGGGGACACAGAGGTTTCCAGAGTGGGGGAGGGACTGGGTCATGGCCCGGAGGTCAAGTCAGATCTGGTGGGAACTGTGAAGTGATAAGGTCAGGAGTGCACAGCCCAAGGACCCCATAGTGCAGACCCTTTTCCTCCCACTGCCCCATCCTATGTCCTGCTGCCTGTTTCCTCAGAGAAGGGACCTACTCAGCCTCTTTCCCAGATAATCTGAGATAGAAATCTTTTCTTTTGGAAATGGCTACCTCTCTCAGGCTCCTAAGCCCAGCAAGAAAACCTATAGTAGGGCCCAAGCTGGTCAGCAGCAGAAAGCCCCCAGGGGACATGGAGGCCAGCTGGGGTTGGAGAAGACAGAGATGAGTCCTGAGGCCACCTGTCCAGGACAGACACCTTTCCCTCTTGCTGTCCAGTTCAGGGTCAAGGGGACAGGAGGCCAGGAGACCCAGAGGCTGCCTGGACGGGGTACTGGGTGGACACAGAAGCGCTCTGCTGGCCAGACTTGGGGCAGAAGGGATATTTTTTGAGAAACTGCCGGGGTGCTCCTTTGGGTCTGTGTCTCAGAGGCAGCCACAGTTCCTCTTCAGAGCCGAGAAATGAGAACTTCCTGCAGGCAGGCGCTGCTGGGGGAGGGGGCAGCCTGGGCACAGGGAGACTCCCACCGACTGCCCCTCAAACCAGCCCATGCTTTGGGTAACAAAGTTCGGTCCGAAAATGCTGCTCTACCTATTTAAATTCTGCCCATCCTCTGAGGTCCAGCCCAAGTCCATCTCCTTGGGAGGCTCTCCCTGACCTCTCCCCTCTTCCTTTTCCACAGCACTCGCTCTGTGTCTACCACCTTGACACTTCATTCATCATGATCTCTGTGGTGCCCTGTGGAAGCCATGCCCATCTGCACCAAACACCTCGCAGGGCACGTGGCAGGCTCTGTTAGTAGCTGACAAATCAAATACAATGACTCTCTCCTGACAACCTGCCTGAGACACAGCATGCATATTTCTCAAGGTGGTGGGCCTCAGAGGCAAACTCCCCTCCCCACGACATGGTAACCCCCAATCCCAGGCCTTCTTAGTACCTCTTCTTTCTTCTGCAGGACCTGGTCCTCCCAGAGGTTTCTGGACTGGGCTCCAGGGTGCACTCCCAGAGACTGTGTCAGGCTGAGTCCCCTGCCTCCTGGGAATTCTGTCCCACCTCCCCAGTCCCTACCCAGGGGCTGGTCAGCAGCATTCATGCTTGGGAGCAGAGCCAGGTTCTCTGTGCCTTGCTCCCCTGGTAACCACAGATTCCGGACACCATGCACTCTCTGGATAGGAGAAAAATTAATGACCCTGAATTCTGTGGTGTGGGCTACCAGGCCCCAAAGGGATGTTTTGTGGTGATAATCCATAATATAAGGTCTGTCCAGAAAAGCTGTGTGCATGTGTGCATGCGTGTTGGCAACGGGGCTGCTTCCAATAGCAATTCCTGGAAAAAGTTCTGCTTTTCCCCCGCTCCCTGGCCCCGTGCTGAGGGCCATCAAGTTCAGAAGAGCGCAGAGCGACAGAGATTAAGACCCAGGAACAGCTCTCTTTGTGTCCTAGAGAGAGGAAAGGTATCTACTGGCACCCCGTCAGTAGCTGAACTGAAGCCAGAGCATGAACATCCTGCCTCCCAGTTCTGGCTTGAGTGTGGGACCTCTTTTCCCATCACTGCCTCTCTCCGAGGGCTGTTACTACTAATTTGGGGTCAGCCTGAAAAAAAAAAAAAAAAGAGAAGTAAATGGACCCAAGGTACCAGGAATACTGTCTAGCACAGGGCTCTTTGCCAGGTTGGAGAGCTCTTCTTTTTGGAATCCTGGCTACTCCCCTTTTCTATCTTCTTTGGAGGCAACTGCAGTCAGACTTAAGAACAGTTTACTTGGCACTGGGGCATGTGGGCCTACCAAGTCACCTTCTTAAACCAGAACACCTGATTTTACCCAGAAACCTATGGAGCCCCTGTTCCAATAGGTGCACCCCAGCCCTCAGCAACCTCCAGAGTAAACACAAACACAATTCTAAGCACCTGGAACAAACTGACCTCCCTACTGCTCCTACCTTATTGCCTCAGGCCCCAGTCTTGGTCCTCCCTCCCCAGCAGGTATGACTTTGCCTCCTAGATCTGCAAAAGGTGGATGAAAACCTGAGCCTTGCCGACCACCTGCTCTCCCAGGAGCTTCATGTCTTCAGTGGGACAAAAGGCTTCCCCAGGAGCACTGCCACCTAGAACGCCCCCCTCCCGATGCCTCCAGTGTCTTTTCTTAATTTTTTTTTTTTTTTGAGGTACGGTCTTGTTCTGATGCCCAGGCTGGAGTGCAGT
Source organism: Homo sapiens (assembly GCF_000001405.40). Taxonomy (NCBI): domain Eukaryota; kingdom Metazoa; phylum Chordata; class Mammalia; order Primates; family Hominidae; genus Homo; species Homo sapiens. The sequence goes on from NC_000012.12 coordinate 47,805,129, forward strand.
GATGTGAACATGGCTCACTGCAGCGTTGACCTCCTGGGCTCAGGCAATTCTCCTGCCTCAGCCTCCAGAGTAGCTGGGACTACAGTATGCACCACGATGCCTGGCTAAATTTTTTTTGTTTTGTTTTGTTGTTTTTTTTTTTGTAGAGACGAAGTCTTCCCCTGTTGCCCAGGCTGGGCTCCTGGGCTCAAGCGATCCTCCCCGCTCATCTTCAAAGTCTTTGTTGAGGCTGTTCCCACCTCCCTGGACTCTTGATTAGCGGAAAAGGAAGCAGCAGCAAGAAGACCTAGGCCCCAGCAGCAAGAGGAAAGCAGGCAGTGGCAGAAGGCCATAGTCCTGGGTTCAGAGCTGACTCCCTTCACACCCGAGGTTGCTGTCTCTGGTTCTCCTTCCCTGACATAGGCTGGAAAAAGCTTGAGTCTCCATGGGGCTGGCAGAGAAGATGAAGGCTGGTGGTGAAATGGCTTCAGGAAGATCCAAGAACAAATAAACAGGAGAAAGAACACTGTGGTTGCCAGGCCTCCCTGACACAGAGTGGGGGCTGAGCACAGAGGATCTGCTCCTCTTCCAGGCTTTAGAGATCGTTCAGACCAACACTCTCATTTGACAGAGGAGCAAAGAGAAAGAAGGGGCTAGGTCACAGCCACCCAGCCAGCCAGTGGTCCAGCCAGGCCAGGCCAGACCAGTACAGGGGAAACCCAAAGGTCAACCCCAAATGCAGGTACTACTTCCCTGGGAAGTCACTGATCTAGGGGTTGAAAAGATGGAAATATGAGTGAAACCTGGTTCTCACTTTCAAGGAGTTTAGAATACAGCCTGCAGCCTTAAACATATTTGAACAAGTACAATACTTGCAGATACTAAAAAAAATTCAGAGAGCCCAAAAGTTGTTAGGATAAGTTTCTCATTCATCCCAGACTCCCTAGAACTTCCCTGGAAGCCGCCCTTTCTAACAGCTTCTTGTGTCTCCCTTCCAGAAATTCTCTATACTGCTCATTGATTGGCACTGAATGCTTCTTGCTCAGATTTATCCAGAACCCAGCAGGGAGCTGAGAGTGGGCTGGAAGCCCCTGCCACATGAAGTCTGGCAGGCCACAAACTGTGAGGGAATTGAAGGTCTAAAGCACACAGGACATTGGCTTTGCGGTCAGATGGGCCTGGGTTTAAGCCCCGACTCCCTCGGTGACTGGCAAAGCAAGCCAGAAACACAATTTAACCTGCTTAAGCTGCCCCACCTGTAATCAGGAGATAAGAATACCTACTTCAGGCTGGGCGAGGTGGCTCACGCCTATAATCCCAGAACTTTGGGGAAGTTCTGCCCTGGCCAAGGCGGGCAGATTACTTGAGGTCAGGAGTTCGAGACCAGCTTGGCCGACATGGTGAAATCCCATCTCTAACAAAAATACAAAAATTAGTCAGGCATGGTGGCGGGGAGCATGTAGTCCAGCTACTTGGGAGGCTGAGGCACAAGAATCGCTTGAACCCAGGAGGCGGAGGCTGCAGTGAGCTGAGATTGCACCACTGCACTCCAGCCTGGGCGACAGAGCAAGACTCCGTCTCAAAAACAAAAACAAAAACAAACAAAAAGAATACCTACTTCAAAGAGGTCACCTGAGATTAGCAATGCTGTCTGTGATGCACCCAGCACATGGTGGGTGCTCCCTTGTGGTAGCGAGTATTAGTTTGCCTCCTGTACTTGTCTGCAGCCTCCTTCCTGGCATTAGCGTTTCAGTGTCTGCTCCCAACTCTCCTCCCTCCTCTACCACAGACCATTTTCTCCTGAATGCATGCCCCTGCCCCATCTCTCTCTCTCTCTCTTTTTTTTTTTTGAGATGGAGTCTCGCTCTGTCACCCAGGCTGGAGTGCAGTGGCACAATCTCAGCTAACTGCAAACTCTGCCTCCTGGATTCAAGTGATTCTCCTCCCTCAGCCTCCCAAGTAGCTGGGACTACAGGCATAAGCCACCAAGCCCAGCTAATTTTTGTATTTTTAGTAGAGACGGTGTTTTGCCATGTTGGCCAGGCTGGTCTCGAACCCCTGTCCTCAGGTGATTTGCCTGCCTCGGCTTCCCAAAGTGTTAGGATTACAGGCGTGAGCCACCGTGCCCAGCCCCCTGCCCTATCTCTTATCCCCAGCCTCTCCCAACTATGCTCTCTTCCCTTTCTCTTCCACCTGAACTTTTGTAAGCGAACACCTTATTATGTGCCAGGAGTTGTTCTAAGTACCCTACATTTGCTAACTTATCTAGTCCACATGACAAACCTATGAGGTATTTACTGTTTTATCCCCATTAGATAAATGAGTACGCTGAGGCCCAGCAGTATTAGATAACTTGTCTGAGGTCACAGACAAGTGGCAGAGGTTGAGCTGGGACTTGAGCCCAGGCAATTGGGCTTCAGAATCCACGCTCTCAACCAATACACTCCACCCCTCCTCCCCAGCATTCCCATTCGCCACAGGCCAGCCAGCAAAGGACACATGCAGGACCTAGATGGGCATGCAGAAAGATGGAAAAAAAAAATCACACAGCCCCACAGAGACCCGTGCCAGCAGCAATCCCCAGCCCTGCGCAGGTGAGAGGGCAGAAGCTATGTCATCTTTGGGTGCCCATGAAGACAATCTCAAAGAATCATTTGGAGCAACTGTTGACTTTGTAGAAACCAAGCAATGATTTGGGACTGTGTGCTGGAAACAGGGGGCTGGCAATGGGTTGGGGTCTTAGAGGACCCTCAGCTCCAACTCCCCTGCTCTCAGTGCCCTGCCATATCCCTTCTCTAGAAGCTCCCAAGTCCCTCTAGGACTCTCTCATTAGCGTCCCAAAGCAAGCTGCACCATTTCTCTGTATAGGCAGAGGAGCCAGCTGCCCATCAGGGCAGAGGCTCAGCTGCCAGGTGAGCCAGCCGGGATGTCTGCCTACCCAGACGAAGGCCTCCATCAGTCCGAGGCAAGAGGACAGAGAAGCTCCTGCACACCAAACAGGAGGCTGGATGTAAGGGTGGCAACAGTGAGCATGCCTCTTTCTCCGCCACCTCAGGGCAGCTGGGGCCCTGAGGCAGCTATTTTTAGCTCTTGACACCTGGGTATTTTGCAGCCGCAGGATGTCCGGTTTGGAGTCTCTTTCTGGGAATCCCACATGCGGCTGTTGTAAACAGCCCCACGCAGCAGTGGCCTGAGCTGGGAGCCAGTGTCGCCCCCCCACCCCACCTCCACTTCTGCTGTTTGAGATGAATCAAACAGGAAGCAGATGTAACCATGGCAGCAGCGGCTTGAGCTCCCTGGGGGTGGGAAAGCATCCTCCCTGGTTCTTTGTCCCCCACCCCAGATCCCCAGCTCCACCCTGTGGCCTCTCCTCAAGGATGAAGACCTGGCAGAACCTGAGGCCGGGGAGCTGGGCCATTCTGAGTTGCGTATGGCTGTCGGTTTCTGGGTCTGGCACTCTCTGGAGACCCTTGCTGTCCTCTGACAGAGAAAAACAGGGGTCCTCCCAGCCCTGTCCAACTCCCGGGACCTCTCGGGCCACCACTCAGCCTTCCCTGCAAGTCCATTGTGAAGGGGAGGGCATAGCTACTTCCTGCGGTGGCAGGCCTGGAGGGCCTGCATCTACTTCCTATTACCCATGGCCTTCAGCTTATAGCCTGGCCTGCCCCTGCACTGCTCTGCCCACTTAGGGAATTCCTGAGCCAGTGGGCTCCCCTAGTCCACACTACCCTAAGATTTCTCAGTTCCAAAAAGCCCTCAAAGACATAAGTTCCACATTCATCCTCACTCCTCTGCTCCAGTATCTCCAGTCCCTGAGATAGGAAGTTCACCATGATGTCTAACTACCATCTTTCCTATCATAAGCAAAACATCCTGAGCAGGCAAGATTTGAGGCCCTATCTGTAACATGGGGATAAGTCGGCCAGTTTCTGCCTTCATCTCTCCCCTTCGCCTTTACCCCTCTGGTGCCCCACTTAGACCAGTTGCTCCTTTAGCAGCCAGTGTGAGCCAGTCTTTCTCAAGGGCCAGTGTTTGCCCCAACAGGAAGCACAGTCACCGCCCCAGGCTGCCTCTAGGGGCGGCTCCTTCTCCCCTCTGAGGTGTCACACTCATTCCCTTGCTCTCCTTGTCACCCCAGCTCCTGGGCCCTCCTCATGCAGACCCTGCCCCTCTGTGTACCCTACTCCTGCTTTGCCCACTGGTTCTGCCTCTCCCAGCTGCAGGCCGAGCGAGATGTGCCTTCCTCACTCTTCTCACCTGTGCCACCCACAAGGCCACGCAGCCCATTCCCAAGACTGCCAGGGAAATGTTTAAGTTACAATATCAACAATAGTTATATTATTTTAATTAATTAATAATATTAATAATGATCAACAATCATGTGTTAATGCTTACTGTGTGCTGGCTATTATCCTAGGCATTTTTGGCGGGGGGAGGGCAACATCCTCCCACTAAGCGATTTTTATTTATTTATTTATTTTGAGATGGAGTCCCACTCTGTCACCCAGGCTGGAGTACAGTGGCACGATCTTGGCTCACTTCAACCTCTGCCTCCCGGGTTCAAGTGATTCTCCTGCCTCAGCCTCCTAAGTAGCTGGGATTACAGGCGTGCGCCAACATGCCTGGCTAATTTTTGTATATTTAGTAGAGACGGGGTTTCACCCTGTTGATTAGTCTGGTCTCGAACTCCCAGCCTCAAGTGATCCGCCCACCTCTGCCTCCCAAAGTACTGGGATTACAGGCCTGAGCCACCACACCAGGCCCCCACTAAACATTTTAATTGTACTATTGCAAGTAGTCCTCACAACTCTGTAAGGCAGATACTGTTTTTTTGTTTGTTTGTTTTGTTTTGTTTTTGAGACAGAATTTCACTCTGTCACCCAGACTGGAGTGCAGTGGCACAATCTCAGCTGACTGCAACCTCTGCCTCCCGGATTCAAGTGATTCTCCTGCCTCAGCCTCCCAAGTAGCTGGGATTACAGGTGCAAGCCACCATGCCCAGCTAATTTTTGTATTTTGGTAGAGACGGTGTTTCACTATGTTGGCCAGGCTGGTCTCAAACTCCTGAACTCACTGAATCCACCCACCCTGGCCTCCCAAAGTGCTGGGATTACAGGCGTGAACCACTGCGCCCGGCCTATATACTGTTATTATTCTCATTTTGCAAATGAGGAAACTAAGGCTAAGAGAGGTTCAGAAACTTGCTGAGGTCACACAGATGGTATGTGGAGCTGCTGGGACTCCAGAACCTAAGCTTAGCATCGGTACACTGGCGTGGACTGCTTACTCAGCCTGCCTCCTAGTAGTGGCTGAGGTGAGACCACCAAGGGGACAAGGGGATGCAAGACACAGTGAGGCCCTAGGGTATGCTCCCAATGCCAGCCTGTTCCCACAAAGTGTGCTGTGTTCCACCCCTGCCATCCTCAATTCCTTTTTCATCTTCTATTTCCCTTCCTTTTTAAATGTACATTTTACCATTTTAAAGTGTACCATTTAAACACTTTACAGTGTTTCCTGTTAGCTGCCTCCAGCAGGGTATAACTAAACAAGCAAACCTCCCAGGGCTGCCACAGAGGATCAAACGCTGCGTGAGCTCTCTGGAAACTGTCAAGCCCTCTACAAAATGCGGGTTGCATAACCAGAGCAAGTCACCCTCAGAGTGGGTACTCGGGGGTAAATTCTCTTGGGAGGAAAAGGTCTCTCTCTCTCTCTCTCTCTCTCTCTCTCTCTCTCTCTCTCTATCTCTATCTCTGTCTCTCACTCACGGGCAGGCCTTGGGCAGGTGGAAGCGCTGGAAGCACCCACAAGTGCAAAAGGGAGCACCTACCTTCAGGGCCACTTTCTGGGGACTAGGAACACAGCCGCACGGCTATCAGCATCCCTGGATCTGGGGCAGAGGAAGGCAGAAGCCACAATGGAGACCCTGGTCTGCACTCAGTAAGAACCAGGCAAACCGAACTGAGGCATCTCGGATGTGAATAGCCACAAGCTGTGAATCCTGACACTCACAGGGATGCCACATTAACATTAATGACAGTAAATACCCTAGAGGTCCCATCCCAGTGGTGCCCTAGAATCCCCCTCCTTTTGCCTATTACTTTGGAAGACAGCAGAAGTCTAGTGGGCAGATTCTCCACGTGACCTGATTCCCTTTTGCAGCCAGGCTGCCCTTGAGACTTGGTTGAAGGGGTTTTTCCAGATCACAAATCCAGCTAGGGTGCTTACACTGCCTTCAGGTCACTCAACAGACAGATGGCATGGTCCTGGGTACTGATTTGGACAAACCAGCTGTAAGGACAATTTCTGGCCAACTGGGAATTCCGTTAAGATGAAAATTTACTGTAATGGAAGGTGGAAATCACTGACTGAAAAAACAGTATATGCAGAGTAATCTCATTTTCATAAAAATTACAACACATAAAGACACATACGGAAATGGAAAGATGTGCAGTGATCTCTGACTGATGCGTCTGTGATGTTTTTTATTTTTTAGTTTTTGCTGGTCTGTCCTGTCTGAGTATCCACAATGCACATGGACTGCCTCTGTAATAATTACGCAGCATATATACGTACATAGACACAGCCCATGGTAGCAAAGTCAAAGTGTGACCTCGGGCTCCCGTGAGCATTAGTCCACAGGGTTTTCACCGCCCCCGGGTCTTCTTGGACCATATATCCTCTGAGGTTCCGTGTTATCTACAACCTAGCGTCCTCTGCCCCTCCTGAGTCTCGCCAAGGGCCTATAACACAGAGCTGGGCACAAAGTCAGGACTTACTTAATGAATGCCTTCTGGCTGAATAATGATCATTTCCTGAAAGAAATGCCTCATGCCTCTTCCAGAGCCGCTGTGCTGGGAATACTCACTGCTGACATCACTGACCTGCCCACCCCTCCTCTGTTCTTCATAAGAGCAACAAGGGAAGGGCTAAAATAAAGTTCACCCCAGCAGATGCTGGCAAGGTACTCCACATCAGGGCCATCAGGGGCAGCCCCATCCCAGACCCTCCCCAAGCTGGCACAGCAGCCCCTCTCCAGGGCCAGCTGGCTTCAAGGCCCTGGGGTCCCTCCTCGCCCTGCCTCACTGGGAGAGGCTGGGAGAGGGAGTGAACAAGAGAAGCAGGGGTCCACCCTATGACTTCTGGCTACAGCTCTCTGGCTGTTCCAGGCCGCGATGGGTGGAGGAATCTGGAACAGGGATTTGGCCTGGTTTTTTCTGTGAACTGGGGCTAGGCCCAGTTTCTGTTCTTCGTGTCTGCAACATTCCCTATCCCTGACCTTCAAAAAATATGAACAATAACATTAATAATGATGATGAATATTCAGTGAGCCCTGACTTCATACCAGGCACAGAGCTAACTTTATTTACATTATCTCCTTTAATCTTCATAGCAACTCCATAAAGTTGAAACTGTAATTATTTTCACATTACAGATGAAGAAGTGGAGGCACAGAGCAAAATGTGCCCATAATCACACTTGCAGGAGAAACCGAGACTCAGCCAAGGCCATCCCATTCCTCCCTCTGCGTCCTTACAGGAAGCTCTCCTGCCAGGCTTTGCCATATATACAGTAGGGTCTAAGGCGATAATTAACATCTGTAGAGTGCTTTAAGCACTAAGTGGGGCACAGAGAAAAGCCCCACTTGAAACTAGGAAATCGAGTCTCAGAGCCATCAGCATCCTTACTCAAGATCCCACACCTTTCGACTAAGATTCAAACCCAGATCTCTGGCGTCAGAATGGCACATTTCTTCCCTATTATCACACGATGCCCCTGGCTCACTCTCAAGGCGGCCCCGGCTGCCTGGAAGGGAGAGTCACACCTCCTTCAGCGCTGGAATCTGGGGGGCGAGGCCTGCGCTCAGCCCCTCGCCCGGTGGGGGTGGGGTGCTGCGCCAGCACCTCCTCAGCGTCTCCGCCGTGACTCACTCCCGGGACCCAGGGGAAGCACAGCCCTGCGCTGCGGGCAAACATCGTCCGCCGCCCGCCCCGCCTCCAGCTCCCCGCCTCCACATTTGCTAACCGAAACAAGGCTGCTGCTATTTTTAACCCTCCAGCTCCCCCTTGCCTGGGGCTCCCCCCTTCACCTCCCCACCCCCCGCCCCAGCCGGGTGCCACCAGCCTGTCATTCTGAGAGCAGTTCTATAACCTGAACGCGCCTGGGAGGGCGCAGCGGACGTCCCGGACGTGCAGGTTTGTGGGGCAAGCAAAACAAGACGGTTACAGCCCAATCGCCGAATTCCCCCACCCCAGACTCTTTCCGAACCTGTCACTCCCAGACTGCCCTGCTCCTCCTGCCATTCTGGGGGTTGGGGTAGAGGGGAATGGGACTTCTGGGCTGGGGTCACCTCAGGAGCCAGAGCTAGGCTCCTTGGAATGGGTCCTGCAGGGAGGAAGCTGAACTGAAGGGGATTGGAGTTCCCCTACGGATCCCCAGGGTGAGAGGCTGACCCTATAGGCCCAAAGCTTCTGACCACCAGGGTTTACAATCCCTGCAGGCAAGATGGAGGAAAAAGGAAGTGGTGCGGAGACAGGGTGGGGATGGTGAGCTTAGCCCAGGGCCTTCCTGACGAGGAGAAGTCCCCTCCCCATCCTGCTGTGGGGGCTGTGGAGCTTGGGCGGGAAGGCCTGGGAGTCGGGAAGAGCACTGAGCAGCCTCCAGAGAGGCCCAGGGTGGAAGGCAGCCTTGGCAGTGTGCAGGGGGAAAAGCGGACCTGGAGTCAGGGCTCCTTTGACACTCAATAATCTAAGGCAAGGGCCAGGCAACACCTTCCTGCAGCCTGAAGCTCTGGGTCCCCAGAAAAACCTTCCTGGGAGAAGAGGTTGGAGGTGAGAGGGGCTGAGGCCTGCTGGCCTAGAGCCGGAACCTGACACCCAAGTTGCTGATGTGAAAGTTAACCTCCTGAGAGGGGTGAAGCGTAGAGCTGCAGGTGGACCAGACAGGGGCATTTCCTCCCAGCTGATGTAGAGCCCGTGTCTTGAATCAGCCCCATCTGGCCCTCTGGTCTCAGAGTCTCCCCCAGTTTGGGCAGCAGATTCCAAGGGCCCAGGAGAGACTCTGGAGAGCCCAGCCAAAGGGCCATCTGGGCTCAGGTTTTTCCCGTGTGCCTCTCCTGTCCCAGCCTCCATCCTCCCTTGAGCCCTGTCCTCTCTGGTCCCAACCCCAGCCTTCCTTTCTGGTTCTGTCCTCTCTTCCAGGGCCCAGGTCCCCTCTAGGCCTTGACCCCCTCTCTTTGGTGATTCCTGAGCCAAGTAAAGTAAAGTGGCCACAGAGGCAGCAGGCTAGACCAGAGGGAAGGGACTTGGCACAGTAGTTCCCCAACTGGGGAGATGGCGGAGAAGGGAAGGAGGTGGGAGGAAGGTGAAACAGGAGAGCTCCTGGGGAGATGCTGCCTCCTTCTCAACATTCAGTATGGCCACAGGGCCCTGGACTCAGCCCCATGGAAGAAAAAGGGTGCTCCCCAAGCAAGGGAGTGGCTTTGATCTTGGCCTTGTGCAGCTCCCCCTTCTGCTCTCCCCTCTGCCAACCTTTGGGGCTGCTTAAGGGGAGGAGACTGCCATCTTCCATGCCAAGTGAGAGGCTGGCAATTCAGCTCCAACCCTTAGCCATTGGTCAGCCCAGGGCCTCCACCTGCATCCAGGGAGTTCACAAGCACGGCTCCAGAGGCTCTGATGGCTCACTTCCAACCTGGGGAGGTGGGAGACGGCATCAATGTCACCTTCTTAGGCAGTCCTCCCCTGGCCACCCTATCAAAGGAAGTCCCACCTTGTTATTCTTTATTGCCATGCCCAGTTCATTTCCTTCTTAGGGCTTATCACAGTGTGTAACTAGTCACACATACTCATTCCTTTACTTGCCTACTTGTTCTGTTTGTCTTCTCCACGAGAGTGGAAGTTCCCTGAGGTCAGATGTTGTGCCTGTGTGTTCACTGCATATCTGTACCCAGTGCCTAGAACATTGCAAGGCTCAGCTAGGATCCAGTGAATGGATGAATTGCTGAGTGACTGGCTCAGCAACATGGTTCCCTGGTTGCCAACATTGACCTTTAGGGATGACACTCAACAGTTCCAGGATTTCTCCAAAAAGGAGGCAGCAGAATGTAGCAAGAAGAACAAGGTCAGAAAACAAGAAAGCCAGGACCCCAGAGGAAAGATCAGCCCCAATTAGCACCAGCCCAATCGGGTCCACGTCATCACAAAGTGTAGTTATGAGCACACATGCACACACACACACAGGGGGTACATGGGTGAGCACAAAGTCCTGGACAGGTCTTAGAAGCCTTGAGTTTTCTCTTGGTTCTTCCTCTTAATGGCCCTGTCACCTTAGAGAAACTACATACCTTCTGTGGGTCTATTTCCTCAAAAGAAAAAATGAAGAGGTTGACCCAGGGCAGTGGTCCTCAAACACAGCCTTGCCCCAGGATCACCTGAAGCACCTGTTAAAATCTGGATTCCCAGGCCCCACCCCTCAGATTCTGACTAGTCAATCTGGAATGGGCCTGATGATCTGAATGTTTTTAATTTTGAGACAGTCTCACTCTATTGCCCAGGCTGGAGTGAGGTGGCGCAATCTCGGCTCACTGCAACCTCCACCTCCTGGGCTCAAGCAATTCTTCTGCCTCAGCCTCCCAAATAGCTGGGACTACAGGCCTGCGCCACCATGCCTGGCTAAATTTGTATTTTTAGTAGAGATGGGGTTTTGCCCTGTTAGCCAGGCTCGTCTCGAACTCCTGCCTTCAAGTGATCTGCCTGTTTCAGCCTCCCAAAGCCACCGCGTCCAGCCAGGATTTTTTTTTTTTTTTTTTTTTACAGAGTCTTGCTGTCACCCAGGCTGGAGTGCAATGGCGTGATCTTGGCTCACCGCAACCTCTGCCTCCCGGGTTTAAGCAATTCTCCTGCCTCAGCCTCCCGAGTAGCTGGGATTACAGGCGCGCACGCCACACCTGGCTAATTTTTTGTATTTTTAGTAGAGACAGGGTTTCGCCGCATTGGCCAGGCTGGTCTTGAACTCCTGACCTCAGGTGATCCACCTGCCTCGGCCTCCCAAAGTGCTGGGATTACAGGCGTAAGTCACCGCGCCCGGCCCAGGATCTTTATCTTTAACACATTCCCCAGGTGACTCTGAAGCAAATGGTCCAGGAACCCGCATTTGAGAATCCCAAATGAGATGGTGTTTTACAAGCCAGCATCTGGACTTCTATTAAAAAGCCACTCCTGCCCAGATATATACCCCCAAAAAACATGTCCATACATATGGACATGTTTACCCCACACAGGGCCATAACCTGAAAAGGTGTGCACCATACAGATGATGCACATCTGTCTTTTATGTGTGCATATTCCCAAAACACCCAACACAGAACCACCACATAGATCACAAATTGCCCGGAACCACCACATCAGCATACACAGGGTCTGGGGGGAGGGGTACACACACAGATACCCACCACGCACCCAGTGTGTGCTCACACACATCTCATGCAGACCCACACTAAACAGACGCTGTCCTGAATTTATTTTGCCTCTGGGAACTGGTCCAGGACCAAAGGAGCTATGCTCTGCTGATGAAAACATCCCTCCCACCTCTGCCACCCCCACCCCTGCCCCTTGCCCCAGGCAGCATGCTACCCACCTCTCCCTTGTAGGAGGAGGGAGACTGGAGGAGGGCAGTGGGGATGGGTTGGGAGGAAACAAGAGGCTAGGCCAGCGACTCAAGTTGCTCAGGGCCCTTCCGGGCGTCCAGCTCCCCTCTTTCCCTCTCCCTTCCCCCCAGAAGACGCCAAAGGGCCTTCCCCCAGCCCGCGAGTCCATGCTCACTCAGGCCACTCGCCTAGATTCCCAGGCCCCTGATCCTAGGGAGCCAAAAGGGTTAGGGAGGTGGCTAGATCTGGGGACTCCTCCTAATACTCAGGCCTCTAAGGAAAGGGCTGTCTGGGGGCACCTTCCTGTAGCCCTAAGGCCTGGGGCCTCCAGGGAAGGTTACCACAGAAACAGGGGGAAAATATTACAAGGAAACACAATACCCGGCAGGGTCACCTGCTGACCGGGCTTCCTGCTGTGTTGCCCACCCCCAGCTCACTGCTCTCACAGCCTCCTTCTCCAGCCTTGGCCTGGGCCTCCTCACCAAGGCTCTCCTTCCTGCCTCCCCAGAGCTGGGAGAAGCAGTCTTAAGCAGAAACTCTGCCCCTCCGTGGTTCCAAACAACAACATCGAGGATGGCCCAGAGCTGAGCCCCCCACTCCTAATCCTTACCAACCCCTCCTCACCATCACCACAGGAAATCAAAGCTTCCTGCCCCAAAGGAAGTGCCCCATCTAGTGAACAAATCCAACACACACAAATGCACAGTCCTGGGAGCCTCCGGGAGGACAGATGCCCTCCCGCTAGCCCCAGACTTTATTCAGGCCCTGCTTCCAGCAATACCCCACACCCCACTGGAGGCCTCAGTCCGAAGTCTAACTGAGGGCAGGCCAGGGAGAGCCAAGCTGTGGAGGGTGGGCCAGCAGAATGGGCACTGGCAGAGTGAGAAGGCCTGGTTCTGGCCCCCTCCGCCTGCCATTCCCTGGCTGTGTGACCCTGGGCCTTGCATTAGCTCACCTTCTCTCAGGCCCCTGCCGACTTCAAAATTACCAGCCCTTAATGAAAGGCCAGGAGAAAGAAGGCAAAGAGGAGATGGGGTTCCACAGGCTTCTGTCTTCCAAGTCCTTGGGCATGCTTGCCCACAGCTACCAGAGGGTCCCCACTCCCTACCCCATCACACATGAGTTTCTCTCTTGCTCAAGGGTTTTATATCAGAATTGAGAAAGTTCCAGCTTCCATGCCAAGAGGCCACCAAGGACTAAAGCTGAGGTCCATTATCCCTAAGCAAACTGGAGGGGGTGGATAATAGCACAGTACCTTCATTCTCCTCTCCATAGTCAACCTCTTCTGCTCTGCTCTGAGAAGTGTGCTTGGAATTTTCTCCCCATTTTACTGATGGGGAAACTGAACTTCAGTGTCAAAGTGGAGTGAACAGCTTAGACATGCAAACTTCCCTGCCCCAAAACCCACTGTAAGACCCGGTGGCCACAGAGACACCCGCCGAATAAGGGACACAGAGGCCTCTGGAGAACACTGCACCAGGACCATTCCAGGTGCAACATCAGGAGGCAGCTCTGAGCTTGCCTCTGAGCCTGGCCCTGCTGGGCAAGGAGGGACATCAGGGGACTAAAGGCAGAGGACCAGTCCCAATAGGTCCAAGACCTGGTTCCAGTCTAGGTTCACTGGGCTGGGTACCACTCACTGGGACTACTCTGTGCCTTAGTTTCCCTCAGAAATGACTGCAGAGAAGAAGAAAATGACTTAATAACCCATGGGTAGCGGCAGCCTAGCAGCCTATGGAGTCCTGGGAGGGGGAAAGGGCCGCCAAAGCGTCTCATTGGAGGGCAGGGACCTGAGTCACAGTCTCCTGCCAGCCCTATAGCTGAATAGGGGTCCTGAGGAAGGTCCCACAGGTCCAGATGCAAGTCCAGGGAACAGGCTGAGAAGTTGATCTTGAGCTCCCAGCAGGGCCGCTGAGGGCCGATGCCCCATTCTCACCCTAGAAAGCGGCAGGCAGAGCTGGGCCTCAGGCAGATGTTGCCTAGGGGAGTGGGCAGGGAGCGTTGGCAGCGAGACAGCCAGTGTCCAGATGCAGGGGGAGGCCTTTGGGTGCGCAAGACAGCCAGCGGGGAGAAGGAGTGAGGAGCAGCCGTGGCTGGGGAGGTCAGACCCAAACGGGCAGCCACAGCGGGAAGCAATGGGGGTGGGGCACTGGGTGGCCTGCGGGCCCCAGAGGGCTCTCTCCTGGCCCACAGGCCTAGAAACTCTGGTCGTGGGAACCCAGCCCATCCGCCAAATTTGCCGCCTGCTCTCACACTCCCCAACACCAACAGACCCCAGGCCTGGGGGGTGCACATCCTGTCCCCCACCCCTCACACAGCCTGCGGCGCCCCGCTTCCCGCGCCGCTGCCGGCATTGACCTCCACAGCTCACCAGGGCACAGGTGTCTCTTCACCCTGATGGGTGAGCAAGGATGGGGGGCAATGCTCAGAGAAACCTCCCAGCCAGAGACCCCTCCAAGGGACCTCTTTCCCCGCCGAAGGATCTGAGTAGGGCCCTGCCCGGCTCCACGGGATGGGGGCGCTGATGTCCAGCCCCACAAAGCCCAGCCCCAACTCAGTGGGTCCTGCCCTTTGCCCTCGCGCTTCCAAACCTTCCGCCCCGGAGCACCGCCCCCTCGCCGGGCCACCGCGGCCGTCCCTCCCTCCCCGGTCCCTCGGCTCGTCCTCCCCGGGAACAGGGGTGATGGGACGTGGGGCCCGCACACCGGCGGCCGGGGCCTCCAACTCCCTCCCTTGGGCCTGTAGCTGCCCCGGGGCGGGCGGATGTGGGCGCCCCGCGGGAGGCCCGAGCCCTCCGGCCCCCGGAACCAGCTCCGACCCGGAGCCTGCCAGAGCCCCGCGGAGCCGGGCGGGACAGGCGCGGTCGGGGGGCGCAAGCCGGGCTGGGCCCGCGGGGCTGGCGGGAGCCCGAGCCGGAGCCGGAGCCGGAGCCGGGGCCAGGGCCGGAGGCCGAGCCTGGGCGGGCGACGCTGGGTGCCGCGCGCAGGGCGGGGCGGGGGGCGGCCGCCCAGTACTCACCAGCGCCGGGGCTGTGCATCCAGGGGCCGGGGCCCTCAGAGCGGGGGGCTCATGGCGGGGCGGGGGGCTGGGGCGCCGGCCTCACATCCCCCCAGTCGCCGGAGGCTGCAGAGCGACTGTGAGACGGCGAGAGGAAGGGAGGGGGCCGGGAGGGGGAGGGCCCTGGCAGCCCGGCCGGCCGGGTAGGATGACAATGGAAGGAAATGCTTTATCTGAGTCTGAGAGCGGGCCAAGGGGGAGGGGAGGGAGGGGGCAGGCGCTCGCGGCCCTGGGACACACCACCCCGGCAGACACTGCACCGCGCGGCGCACAGGCGGGCCGCAGACACCGCGCGCGGCCAGATCGCGGCGGGGCGCGGCGCACTGCCGGGGAGGCAGCGCCGAACCCGGAACGCCGGCCGCGGCTCCGAGCCCCAGCCGCCGCGAGGCGCTCCGAGCCGTGCACAATTCCCGGAAACCCAGCTACCTGGGCGCACGCACCCTCGCATACACAACGTACACGAGCACGCATCCATGTTTACAAGGGGCAGAATCATTTACACAGCACACACTGGGGCTTCGGGGTGGACCCCCGTGCACACACTACATACCCGTACAGCCCACAAGCACGCAGCCACACGCGGGCACAGTGGGACACGCGTGGTGTCCCATGTCCCATACAAGGAATCCCAGACGGACACCCCCCACCACACACACACACACATAAGCACGACTTGCCTCAGGAAAGTTCCAGGATCTGATTTGAATCACTGCCCAGCCCTCCCCCACTGGCACCCCCACACACACACCATGCCTGCTGAGGGGAACGGAAGGGTCCAGCCTGTTCCTATTAAAAGAAAAAGGGTGTGGGGGTGGTGCAGATTTTGAAAGTTTTCTTTTTTTAAAGAAATTTCTCAAGGGACTTCCTTCCCTCCTCTCCTCTTCCTCTCTTCCTCCCATTCCTCTCCCTCCACAACCCCCCTCTTTCCCCCTCCCGGTCCCTATGAGTCAAACTTCAGCAATGTGCCCAGTGTCCCCCAGTGCATTACAGCGGATCACAGAAATGTTCCAGTCTGTGAGTCGGAATGCAGCCGCCTCCAGCCCTCCCTCAGCTAATAAACTCAGCTCAGGGCCGGCTTTAGGCAGTGGCCCTCCCTGCCTCTCCCTCCGCTTTTAGCTGGAGAGAAGGTCAGATTCAGGGGTCAGGGGCTAAGGACCTCGCCATTGTGCTTCCTGGGCTAGCCGGTCAGCCGTGTCTGCCTCCAGCAATCTGGAGCTGCTCCTAGGAAGGGGAGAGGTCCACCACGCAGGAACACTGGGCTCTCTGCAGCGTGAGGCGCCACCATTGTAAACCAAGGAGCAGCTTCCCCTGACCCCATTCTATCTCCCGCAATCCTAAGAAACCCCAAGAATCCAGAGAAGGAAAAATTGAGGCAGCCCCAGAGGTGGAGTCATGTCTGATTGGAAGCAAGAGCCCACAGTGGCCTAGGAGGGCTTGGCCATGCTGGCGGTGAACTTCAAACCATAGATTCTATTCCCTTCCCTCAGGCACAGCTCGGGACTCACTATCTGTTGCTACCGGCATATTCAGCGTGGGACTTCTTACTTCAGCCCCTTTCCTTGTCCCAGTTCTCCTTCGGCAGGCAGATCCAACCCCTCTGCGCTTGTTAACTTACCCTCCCAAAAGCCTTTCCTGGCATTCAAGTCCTCCTACAACCTGGCACCACACTCCATACACATCCCTGCCCAGTGCCTCCTGGTACTTAGGGCTCAGTAGTGTTAGTCACTATTATTACTATCATTATTTCTGCCAGACTGGGCTGCTAGCTGCTTCCCATCCTGTCCTCACGCTTCCACACTCCCTTGCCTTCGCTCATCATGCTGCCTCCAAAAGAAATGTCCTCCCAGCCCCTTTCTCCTTCTGTTGAAATCTTTCCAATCCTCAAGACCCACTCCCTATCTAGTGGGAGGGAGGGAGGGAGGGAAGGAAGGAAGGAAGGAAGGAAGGACTGGAAGAAAAAGAAAGTGGCATACCACTTTCTCCGGGAGGCTTTCCCGGATTCCCATAGCCAAGAGGAATTCTTCCCTGAACTGTGTGGTCTTTATACATTGACCTTCGCCCACCTAGTCTACTTGTCTCAACTCTCTTCCTTCCAAGAGCATTCAAGAGTGGATATCCCTGAGTCCAGCTACTGCCTTGGTCATGGGTGCATTTCTTGTAGTGTCTTGCACAGAATTCAAACTTGATGTGAGTTATTTGTTGAATTGGGACAGATGTTCATGACTTTCAAGAACCCTTCTCCAGCTGGACACCTACAGTACATTCTTTCACCCCATAACTACCCATGCTGACTCTCCAAGACACATGCTGTTCCACCTTAGGTATGTCATCCCCAGCCCTCAATTCCAAGCCAGATCATCCTCCTTCCAAATGCCTCTTTGGTGTCCACAGACTCCAGAAAAACTGCTTGGTTACTGCAGACCCCCAGCGACATGCCTGCTATCTCCCTTGTCTAGCTCCACAATTGATCCCAACCCCCAACACACACATATCCGTAGCTTTTCTGTAGCTATTTCTGTAGTAAAGCCAGGCCCTTTTATGCTCATTTCTACCATGTGCATTGTGCATACATTTATTTGTGAGTCTTCTTTCTCTTTTTAAACTCATCACTGAGTTTTGAGTGATCTGAATTAAGAGGCTATCTCCCTGCCTGTCTGTCCACACAGTGCCCAACATGTGGCTTTCTACACACCAGGACTCACTGCCTCCAACATATAGTCAGAGAAAAAGACAGCATGTGCAACCTGCATCTGGGAAAGCTGGACTGTGTCTCTCCTTCCCCTGCCAGATTTACTTACCAGACCCCGCCTCATGGCAGAGTCCTAAGCCAGTTTCTAAGTCACATGTCCCCTACCAGGATAAATTAGAAAGCCTCCAAGAACCTTAGAGACATGAGACAGAGAAATGCAAGCTACCTCTCTCTCTTCTAGCCTGGTTACCGTGGGGAGCCTTTTTTTAAAAAGCTCTTGAGTCCAGGCCTCTCATAGCTTTCTCAGCTGAACACCTAGCAGAAGAGACTGGCCCCAAAAGACGTGCCTTGGCTTCCTGAGCCTTCCCTAGAGTCTCCGGCCAGCACAAAGCCTGAGGGCACCCCAATCTGCTTCCCTTTGGGACTCTGGGCCTACTTGACCTTCTCTTCTCCTTTTCCTCTCCTTCTTTCCTTAGTTAGCTACTGTTTACCATTTACTGCGTAGCAGTCCTTGCTATCCCCTGGACAAACATTAGATCATTTATTCTTAACAATAATCCTTGTTATGCTCATGAGTAAAGCATGGCCTTTATGGTTAAGAAACCTGATCAAAGTTGCACAACTAGTAAGTGACAGGGCCATTCATTCATTCAACAAATATTATTGGGTGCCTACTTTGTGCCAGGATTTAAAGCCCCAGAAAATTATCCAAACTTTCTGATACCCTCCGTTCCCAACCTTCTAGATGTGGGGGCCATAGCCACAATTCCTCCGCCAGCCTGCACTTATCCTCACACACTTCGCACAAAGCCAACCAGAAAGTGCTCCTTCCCCAAGGCCTCAGTTCAGTGAGATCTCAGTGGACACTCATTGTATTGGGTTAGTTTGGATCTTGCATTTCAGTTTCTGGATCTGGAATCAAATGCCAATTCTCAGGGTTTGGGACTTGCAGATTAGTAAGGGAGATTAGGTCCCCAACTCCAAATAAAGGGTTTCATGGGACCAGACATAAGAGATATAAGAAGTACGGGAAGGAAAGAAGAAAGGAAGGAAGAAAAGGAAAAAAAGGAAGAAGGGAGAAAGGAAGGAAAGAAGAAAGGAAGGAAGAAAAGGAAAAAAAGGAAGGAAGGAAGGAAAGGAAGGAGGGAGGGAAGGAGAGAGGGAAGGAGAGAGGGAAGGAAGGAGTGGAAGAAAAAGAAGGAAGGAAAGATAATTTAGGATTTATTGAGCATGTTCTACATATCGCACGCTGTTCAAAGCCCTTTCACTTAAATCTCATTATTATCCCCATTGTTTCCATGAGCAAAGTAAAACTCAGAAAGACAAAATGATCTGCCCAAGGCCACAGAGCCAGTAAGTTACTTAATCCCAAGTATGTCTGATTCAGAGCCTGTGCAATTTCCTAGCAGGTCAAAATAATGAAGGACGCATTGCCAGGGTCTCCTGTTCCAGTGTAGCCTGCTTCCTTGAGGTCCCTGTACATCTCATTCCAGATGCCAAGTTTCTGACCCCAGCCATGTGGTCTCATCCCTGTTTCCCACCTTTCTCTGTTGCACTGCACCAGCAGAATCAGGGGAACCGTATAAGTATTCTGAGTAGGGTTGGGGGTGTGACTTTGGGGTACAGGCAGGCAGACCCCTATCTAGGATGTCAGGATCTGAGAGAAGAGGTGCCAAATCCTTCTGGGCCAGAATTGGATGGCTAGATCAAGAAGAGGCTACAGTGTGGCTATAAGTACCAGGGTCTCAGGTTGGGAGGGTAGATGACTGTGGGGACTGGGGCAGGTGGAGAGAACTAAGCTGGTCCCTTCCCCTTACCCCCATCTCCCTACAGAGTCAACAAAGGTGATGTGGTTTCCCCTGTGGTCTGTTGCCCTAGACACCTGCAGTTCTGAATATACATGTATGTGTCTATGTGCCAACTATGTGGCAGGGGACACAAGGAGAAAGCACTGGGACAGGATGGGGAGGGGCAGGAAGCCAGACAGTCTCCTCAAGCCCAAGACAAAGAAGGTACCATGAATGAAAAGACGGCAACGGTCACCCCCTTGACTATGCCAGGTCCCCAGCCAGGAGCATCAGGAGAGAGCTAGAAAGGAGACATTGTGGGGATCAGGAGCCTGGGCTGGGAGTCAGGGAACTTGAGTTTTAGGCCCAGCTCTGCCATTAACTTCCTGGGTCACACCTTTCTAAGTCTCAGTTTCCTGCTTTGTAAATAGCAATATCTTGGCTACTTACCTCACAGGGCTGGCCTGAAATCAGATGAATAATACATGAAAAGATTTGTACCACTGTGAGTTTTAGAATTATTTTCCTGATGGCATAACAAATATTACAATTGCGTACTTTAGCTCCTGGATACACAACACAACAAGAGTGTGGAGATAAGAACATTAAAAACAAAAACAAAAACAAAGCACCTGCCCTTCTATTGGTCACAGAGCGTTGAGGAAACAAAACAAACACATAAAATACTTGAAAGCCTCTTGCAAAGCCAACTATTTAAAAAATCTCACTGTGTGATCTTGGCCAAGTCGCAACCACCCTGGGCCTCAGTTTTCTCATCTGTCAAATGAGGGGGCTGCTTTAGATCATCTATATTTATTTTTCTGAGTCTAAAGCAGTTTTCTGATTCTATTATTCCAAGCGCAAATGAGTGCGTCGCAAAGAGGGAAGACCGGAGCACATCGGGACAGAACACGGCCTCCATGAAGCTGGCAAGTGTCGGTCAAACTGGGTTTTGAAAGAGCCCAGAGATGTGAATCAGAGTGGGGAGAGAAGAGGGGGTGACATTCCAGGTAGGGAGAATGGCATGTGCAAGGGCGAGGCAAGGAAGCAGAGGGTGGCAAACAGATTAGCCAGGCTCAGGAATGAGGTTGGCAGGATTGGAGGGGCCTGGGGAGGAAGTCGGGAAAGGAAGAGTAGAAGGGGGCAGTCCCCAGGACTGAGTGGCTAAGATGTGAAAGTGGGGGAGGAATATGGGTGGGGAGAGACGCTCTCAGCCCCAGAGTTTGGTGCCAAAGCCTGTGGAGCCAAACTCCACCCAGGAGAGAGGGAAAGCAGGGTCCCCTTGCCAAGAGGCCCCACCCACCAGGGAAAGCCCTTCCCTCCCTACCCTCCTCTCCCAGCTTCACTCCCAACCCTGAGGTAAGCGAGGCCCCGCTTAGGCCAGAACCTTGTTCATGGCAGAAACACACAGATGGGCAGGTGCCACATCCTTCTATAACAATAATGCCAGCAGCAAAATAATAATAATGATAATGATAATGATAAAATAAACTACCCATCACCTGCTCTCTGATAAAACCCCTCAGCAGCAAAACCTCACGATGTACCCATTCCATTTACGAGAATATTTGCTCCCAAAAGCTGCAAGTGTTTTATAAGATTATCTAGTCTCTAGGATCCCCTAAACCTAACACTTTATCAAAACCACGTAGGCTGGGCGCAGTGGCTCATGCCTGTAATCCCAGCACTTTGGGAGGCCAAGGCAGGTGGA
Organism: Homo sapiens; assembly: GCF_000001405.40. Lineage (NCBI taxonomy): Eukaryota > Metazoa > Chordata > Mammalia > Primates > Hominidae > Homo > Homo sapiens. The sequence continues at coordinate 47,825,993 of NC_000012.12, forward strand.
TCATCTGAGGTCAGGAGTTTGAGACCAGCCTGGCCAGCATGGGGAAACCCCGTCTCTACTAAAAATACAAAAATTAGCCAGGTGTGGTGGCACATGCCGGTAATCTCAGTTACCCAGGAGGCTGAGGCAGGAGAATTGCTTGAACCCAGGAGGTCAAGGTTGTAGTGCACCACTGCACTCCAGCCTGGGCGACAGAGCAAGACTCTGACTCAAAAAATAAATAAGTAAATAAAAACCACTTGAAAGAACCTGTGAAAAAAAGATTCCTGAGTCCCATCCCCGACCCCATCAGACTCTTTGAGAAGGTTGGATAGTACCCAGGAACCTGCAGCACCACAGGTAATTCTAAGGTGTGGTTAAGTTTGGGACTCCCTGGTCTAATCCAAACCATTCCTTTTACAGATGAGGAAACGGAGGACATGAGGAGGACGTAAATTGCCAGAGATGACACGGTTAATCAGGGCCAGGGCAGGCAGAGAACTCAAGCCCCAGGGTTTCCAGGTCAGCGCTCCTTCCACAGCCTGGGCTGCCCAGCCCAGAGATGCCTGTGCCAGCAGAGATTATGGTCAGGGAGGCAGCCACTGGGCCATACTCTAATCATGAGTGAGAAGAAATTCGTCTGAGTTGCAAAATGCCTTTCTGCAGCCAGCTCACCATTACTTGCTCCACTGGGCCCCTGCAGGGATGCTGTGGTCCTCCCACTGGCAGGCTTCAGCTTCGGCCTTGCCATATGCCCCAACACAACCCTCCAGTTGCCCCAGGGGCTATATTGGCTGGTCAACAGGTTCCCACTTTACTACAAATCTCAATGCTTCTTCTTTGGAAGCACATACCTCTGACTCCAGAATCTCCAGGAGAGACCCCTGAGAAGGTCTTGGCCTGAAGACACTCACCTCTCTTTCCCCAGGAGTGTCTTTTAGGGTGAGTTTGGATTATGCACCTGTGAGTCAGGAGACTAGAGGCAGGAAAGAGAGCAATGAGCTGAGGGTGGCTAAGCTGGGAGGTGAGCGAGGGTGCCCTGGCTGAGACCTTGAAAAACTCCACCCATGATGATCACCATTATACTCCTCTTCATCAACACACATTTGTTGAGCATCTACTCTTTGCCAGGCACCGTGTCAGACTCTCAGGCACAGAGGCAAAAAAAAAAAAAAAAGCCACAGTGAGGAATTCATCACCTCCTGGGGAGCAGGATACAATCTAAGAACAGAACCTGGAGTGGAGAAAACGGTTGGATGAGGGACTCGAATAACATATGCTGCAAAGGAGAGGGAGGATTCAGAGTCACCAGAGTTCCAAGCTGGGAGACACCTAATGGATCCTGGGATCAATGTGGGTTGGGGCAATAGTTCTGCCCTCACCTGCTCTCCTTTGTGCTTGGGGTCTGAGGAAACCCAGAACAGTGATTCTAGAAATCTCTGCCTCAACAGATCCCTCACTCCAGCTTGGTCTAAATGGCTAGGGGTGGGAAGGCAGAGGAGGCAGAGACAATGTGCAGACATCTCCCTTGGGCAGGCCCTGAGTCCTGGGCTCCAGGGTTCCCTGCACTGAGCATTTTTTTTTTTTTTTAGACAGAGTTTGGCTCTTGTTGCCCAAGCTGGAGTGCAATGATGCAATCTCGGCTCACTGCAACTACTGCCTTCCGGGTTCAAGCGATTCTCCTGCCTCAGCCTCCCGAGTAGCTGGGATTACAGGCACACACCACCACACCTGGCTAATTTTTTTGTATTTTTAGTAGAAACAGGGTTTCACCATGTTAGCCAGGCTGGTCTTGAAGTCCTGACCTCAGGTGATCCACCTGTCTCGGCCTCCCAAAGTGCTGGGATTACAGGTGTGAGCCACCATGCCTGGCCCCCTGCACTGAGCTTTTAAGAGATCATTTAGGCCTGCGTGGTGGCTCACACCTGTAAACCCAGCATTTTGGGAGGCTGAAGTGGGCAGATTACCTGAGGTCAGGAGTTCAAGACCAGCCCGGCCAACATGGCAAAACCCCGTCTCTACTAAAAACACAAAAATTAGCCAGGCGTGGTGGCAGGCACCTGTAATCTCAGCTACTCCGGAGGCTGAGGCAGGAGAATTGCTTGAATCCAGAAGGCAGAGTTTGCAGTGAGCTGAGATCGTGCTACTGCATTCCAGCCCGGGTGACAGAGTGAGACTCCACCTCAAAACGAAAGAAAGAAAAAAAGAGATCATTTAAAAGTACCCAGAAGAATGGACAGAGTGAGGAGGTGTTGTACTGTGGTTAAGAGCAAGGATTTGGTGTCGAGCTGCTTGGGCTGGAGCTTGTTGCTTCCCCACTGCTTGACCTTACGTATATTATTTAACCTTGAGGAGTCTTGGTTTCCCATCTGCAGATTAGGGTATGAAGTGCCTGCTATATTAGGGTTTTGCGAGGACCGATGAGATTGGGACATGAAGTACTTAACTACAGTGCCTGGCACACATTGGGCTGTTAGGGACAGAGCTCCAATGCTCACATCAGTAATAGAAGAGAGACAGTGTCCTGTCTCTTCTGTCTCCCTAAGCCTGTTTTCCTCTATAATTTGAGGTCTCAAAGTGAGCACTGAGCTGATTTATGCAAATGAATCCAGTAGGGCCTATCGCCCAAGCTGACCTTTCTAGGGTATACAGGGTAGCTTGGCCAGGCTACAGAAATGGGAAAATAGGTGCAACCTTCCTGATCCTCCTGAAATCCTCAAGTGTTGTCTTGAAGTTGAGGGGAACCAGGACCAGGCTGCGGGGAGTACCACAGGGACTGCAGAAAGGGCCTGGCCTCCCCTCCCGAAACACTGCACATCTGGAGTGATCTGCCCATCTGGCTGTATCCCTGGGGCAATGGCCACAGCTGCTATTTGAGGGAGGAGACATCCAGCTCCTTAGCCAGGGCCTGGGGCCGGGGGGTGGGGGGGTGGTGGGTAGTGGGGGCTATAAATAAGAGGACCAGGGGGGCAAGGTTGACCTTTTGGGGCGGGGGGCAGGAGCTGGTGACTTCCCCCTCTTTGCTTGAGTCCAGAGCCAGAGTTTTAGCAAAACAGGAAGAGGCAGCAGCAGCTTCTGGGAAAGTGGGAGTGGCTCCCCTTCCCCCACTTGCCTGGGGCCTTCGGATCCCAGCCAGGACCTGGGAGAGGTGGAGTCATCTAGGCAAGGAGAGGGAGGGGCAGACCCACGCAGACTGGGCCCCAGCTTCAGTGCCCTCAAATGGCGCAGCCGGGGCACAGGAAAAGGAGAATGAGACAGAGAAGGGCAGCCCAATGGAGTATATCTGCCACCCCTCGTCCCCTCCTGTTCCCTTCTATAGGCATTAGAAATGGAGCTCAAAATGTGCCTGTGACCCAGGTAGTGTACATGGAAGTTCGAGGTCAAGTTGAGCACACCTCCATCTCTCATCCCCTCCCAGCCTGTGGTGAGCTAAGCCTAAGACAGAGTGCGTGGGAGGGAGGGCTCTAGACAGGAGGAAGGACACCTCTGGGCTTCTGGAAAGAGATCCAGGACCTGGCCCAGGTGGAGTGATAGAAAAATCTTCCAATGAACTATCAAGGTGAGGGGATCCAAAGGTCTGGGTGGTCCTGGGTGAGTGTTTTTCCAGAATAATGGGGCATCTACAGGGACAAGCTCAGGAGAGCTAAGCCTCAGTCCAGAGACCCTCATGAAGTCAAAGACTGAAGGAATTATCCAGGAAATGTTGCCTGGCTTTGCTTCGCCTGAGTGAGGCTGGCCACTGAGAATCTGTCCTTCAGTGTCTGTCTGGAGACATCTGGTTGGAGCTCTGGCTGGCCCACACCTGTAGTAGGGCCTGCACCTGTGTCTGTCATGTACTGCCCTTGTCTCCCGAGCCTGGAGCCCCACACTTCACCTGCTGGGAGGGTCTAGATAAGCGCTGTCCAATAGAAACGGAATGTGAGCCACATATGTAACTTATTTTCTATTAGCCACATCAAAAAAAGGAAAAATAAACAGGTGAAATTCATTTTAGTAGTATATTTATGTAACCTAATATAGTAAATCTAAAACATTATTTTGGTATGCAATCAAAATAAAAAATTACTAATGAAATCTTTTACATTTTTTTTCCATACTAAGTGTTTGAAAGCCAGTGTATATTTTATACTAACAGCACATTTCAATTCTGACTGGCCACATTTCAAGTGCTTAGTAGCCACATGTGGCCACTGGCTACTGTATGGACAGCACAAGTTTAGACTTATAGCTTTACCTCTTCTTCATCCCTTCCAGTCTCTTATTGGGGAAGAGGCTCAAGAGGTGAAGGAAAAAGCTGGTGAGGCCAGTGTTAAGGGTTAATTTGCTCTAGGAGGGTGACCACTCCCTTTGGGTTTCAAGCATCTATCTCTAGACCTGGATCCGTTTTAGTGTCCAGGCAGGCAAGGAAATTGAGGCATAGAGCAGCATCTTCCCTGACAACTGGCCTTCTCCTGCCCTTCCCAGTGCTCCTTCTCTGAGCAGAAGGTTGATAGAATCCGATTACCTCTTCAGGCGCATTAGCCTCCACCTTCCTCTTTCCTCTTCCAAAAGCGACTCCAAACCCAAAGGTATTTGAGTAGCTGAGTTAAGGAATATGGGAGGAGAAGCAAATTTGGAGGAAAATGCAGAATGGAGCTTTGCACAGGTGGAGTTTGAGGTGTTGGTGGGATGAGCAAGGGGGGTTGTTGAGTGGACAGTTGGTATCTGGAGCTCAGGGAAGAATTTGGAGGTCATCAGTGAGAGAGGAAATTGTAGGAATGAATGACACCACAAGAGCAGGGGAGAAGAGAGGAGAGAAGGGGAGGGCAGGGAAGATGGCTAAATACAGAAACCTGAGAAAACAAAGACTTCAGATGGGCGAGGAGTGGAAGCTGGAGCAGGCCGGGAGCAGTCACAGATTTCAATGAAGCAAGAGGAAGTGCATCGGAATCCCAAGTGGGAGAGAATATCAAGAAGGAGAGACTCGCACACGGTTGCAGTTGACAATGCTTTAAAATCATTTTTTTGTTGTTGTTTGTTTTTGTTTGAGATGAAGTCTTGCTCTGTGGCCCAGGCTGGAGTGCAATGGCATGATCAGGGCTCACTGCAACCTCCGACTCCCAGGTTCAAGTGATTCTCCTGCCTCAGCCTCCCGAGTAGCTGGGACTACAGGCACCCGCCACCAAGCCCGGCTAATTTCTATATTTTTAGTAGAGACAGGGTTTCACCATGTTGGCCAGGCTGGTCTGACCTCAGGCAATCTGCCTGCCTCGGCCTCCCAAAGTGCTGGGATTACAGGTATGAGCCACCGCACCCGGCCCTAAAATCATTCTTATAAAGAGAGCTCACACAAACTGTTAAGAAGCACTAGAACAGTGGAGACTAAAGTTCAAAGCCCAGAAACAGACTCTCCTGGTACAGAGGAAACACAACTCACAAGCAGAGGTAGGGGTATGTTCAACCTGATCGTCCTCAAAGTAATGCCAATTAAAATGAGACAAAGGTAGGTGCCTTTTTGAAACATTAGCGAGAGCTCGGTGAAGTGTGTGTGCTGTCGGTAATGGCGTAACCTCTTTTGAAATCAGTTTGGCAATATATAGTAAGAGCTATAATGTGCTGTTACCCTTTGGCTCAATAACCCCACCCAGTGTATCCTAAACTAGATTTCTATAGTCAAAATTGGGGGAGGAGGAGCGGAGTATGTGCCTAATGATGTCCCCCATCACACTGCCTATAATATAGAAAATTAGAGACAATTTGAACACTTATGATTGGAAAATTGTGGAGGTAAATTATGATACTATATTTCCACTTAATAGAAAACTATGAAGCTGTTAGGAAGATGTTTATATGCAACACAGCATCACAAGAGAATAGAGATTGGTACATACCCCATGATTGCAACTGTATTAAAAAACATATAGGCATGGAGGAGAAGGTGAAGAGGAAATATGTGTCATAGGTAATGATTATGTAGGGTGGAATGGGTATATATGGTTTTGGTCTCATTTAATGAGTCTTAACATTGCGGAGAGCGGGAATGAGGGTTGACCAGAAGCTGAGATTTGGGTCTCAGCTATAGCAAGGGCCCTGACAACCTTCCAGAGGCCACAAATGCATTTATCTGGCAACTTAATAGACTGAGCTCCGACCGCAAGGCAGGTGCGGTCACTGTGGGTATCAACTCAGCATTCTCCTGATAGGAAAAAGCCCACCGTGAGGGGTGATGGCCAGGTGCTCACTGCAGATTCCCTCCCATATATGGGAGGCTCCTGGAGCTCCATAGTCTCCTCTACTACTGCTGAGGAGCAGGCCATGGCAGGCGCCTGTGGGGACAGCCCCCAGAGGACAGGGCTGACTGCAGGAGGAACAGAGCATCACAGTGAGGTGAGCTCAGCGGGTATGAGGGCCTCTCTGCTTTGGGGTGGGGGTTGGCGGGCTGTGGTCGGCCACCTGCTGTTTCACATCACCCCCTGAAGGTGACATGAGATGCAGGGGCCATCACCTTCACGGCGCCCCCAGGAACTCTACCCGGGCCCCCACCTACAGGCGCCATTAGGCCTCCTGCTCCTCCCCGTTCCACTCTCTTCCCACAACAACACACTGGGGCCTTGAAATAACACATCTTTCTTTACGCCATCATTTCCACAGAATTTGCCTATGATTCATTTGTTGTCAAGAGGTATTAAAACCTCCAGCTCCCAGGCACCCTGGTCTTTGTTCCCCTCCCTCCTAGGTCCCACCACTCCCCTTCCCACGGTGTCCTGCCCAGCTCTTACCCAGTCTCCCTGAGCCCCAGCATCCCAAACTCAGCGCCGCTGCCCCCACAACCACCCCCCAACCTCCTCCCCACTTGGCCTCTTGAGGAACAGTGGGAAGGGGCTGGGGCAGGTCCACATGGCACCCACCCACCTCCCCAGCCCAGCTCCACCAGAGGAGGGCCCTGCTGGGGGCCTCTAGCCTTAGGACTTGGAGATGAAGCCCTGGAAACTCTTTGCCTAAAAACAGGAGGCAGTGGAACCCTCAGCCCCAGAAGCTGCCCCTTTCTGTGACTCCCCAACCCCCTCACTTGGGCAGGATGGATTTTCCTCATACCTCGAGGCCTGGTCCCTGGGTCCCTCCCCGTCACTGTTTCTGACTAGGCACAGGGGTATAGAGTTTCCACCGTGTGTGTGTGTGTGTGTGTGTGTGTGTGTGCGCGCGCGCGCGTGCGCGCGCACGCGTGTATGTTGGGGAGTAGGAAGAGCTGTCTTCTCACACCCTCATTACCCAGTAAGGCTTTGGGGTTCCCCTCCCAGTCCCTCCCCAGGGCTGTGTAGGTGTGTCAGGGAGCTAGAAGGTGGGGGTGGCAGGAGAGGAAGAGGGCGATGGGCGAGGGAGCTGGGGGGCTGCTGGGAGCCTGGCTGGGGTGACAGGAGCTGCTGTGGTCGGGTTATCTGATGTGAGGAGACAGGTGTGCAGCTTCGAGGCTCTGGGGGTGGGGGAAGAGCAGCCTGAGAGAGAAGTAGAAACAGTAGAAGCAGCCTGGAGCCAGCGAGGTAGACAGGAAAGACAGAGATGGGAGAAAAGAGCCTTAGTGAACCCAGGAAGGCCTCTCCCCAGAGGAGGATCACTTTTTTCCTCAAGTTCTGGAGGCAACACCAGAGCAGGCAGGCAGGTGGGCAGGGGGGTGTCCCCAGCCTCTGCCGTGGTCCAACTTCCCCAGCTCGCCAGCTCCCAGGGAACCAGGCAGCCTCCCCTCAACACTGTGGGGCTGATGGGCTCGAAGGTCCAGCCTTATCCCTGAATCAGAGCAGTTGGAGACAGTTGAGGCTCTATAATCTCGGTTGGGGGTTAACGGGTGGAGGAGGCTTTGCAGGAGGAGATAATGGGGCAGACCTCAGGTCTTCCGCACTACCCACCAGCACAACACCGTGGAGCTGGGGGAGTAAGCGGAGTTGTTGGCACCATGGGCCGGGCCAGGCGTGCGTCTGCCATCCTAGGAGCTGGGTTGAGGGCCAGCTTGGCCTTTCACAAGAGGGGTCCACCTGTGAATCCCTGCTTCTACCCCGTCTATCCCTGACTTGGAATGTGTTGGAGGAGCTGCTTATAAGGAAGACGATATCAGGTTAGACGTTATCTCTTTAGAGGAGAGGGTCCCCAGAGGATGATGAAAATTACAGTAATAAAGGCTAACATTTACCGAGCACCGAACTCCATGCCAAGCGCAATTCTAAATACTACATAGTAGCTCATGTGGTCTTCACAACACCTAGGAAGTAAGTACCATTACTCTCTTTGCTTTACAGAAGACAGACAAATAGCCAGCAGTTCCACAGCGACTCAGGGGACTGCCAGGGTTCAAATCCTGCTCCTGCTAGATGCCACTTCTGCTGCTCTTCATTGCTGCCCTAGACAAGGCCAGGCCCTGCGGCGTGCTGCGAGCCTTCCTTCCGTTATCTTTACCAGCTCTACATGGTCATTCACAGATGAGAAAGCTGAAGATCAGAGAGCTCACACATTTCCCACAAGGTTACACAGTCAGTAAGAGACACTATCAGGATTCCAATGACCTGCTGTTAAAGTTCATCTCTTATTCACTCATTGCCTCCCTCAAGGCTGAAGAGTGGGGTGGAGGGGAGACCAGCAGAGCTACTGAGCTCAATCTGCCTCCTTGGCCCTCCCAGCCCAGAGCTCTGCCAGCGGTGGTAGGAGGAGTGTGGTAAGTATTTGCTGATGAATGAACAACCGAAGGACAAAATAATGAACTGTCATCTTCCAAGGCAAAGGATTGCAGAAGCCACTGATATCCTGCCCACCGCCCTCCCCATCCACTCCTCTACCACCTCCAGTCCTTCCTGTGAACACAGCAGAGGCAGGAGCCTCTTGGGGTGGGGTCCCTATCAGGGAGGAAGTGCAGCTGGCTTCTCCCCCACCCCCTTTATCACTTCTCCCCCATCCCTACTTTATCACCCAGGGCCTCCACAATCCCCTCCCTGTCCCTCTCCGGGGGCTCCTGGGTAGGAGAGGGAAAGACATGTAAATCAGTGGGGCTAGGGGAAGTGGAGGAAGCAGAAAGGATACCAGGAGCATTTCCCCTACACGCTTAACCTGGGGCTCACAGTCCTTGCCAGGCTGGGCCAGTGGCTTAGGGGACCAAGCCCTTCCTGATAGGCCGCTTGATCTATCTGGCCAGCCTAGTAGGCAAATGGGGAAATAGTAGTCAGGAGTTGACAAAGTTGGGGCACCTGCCCTCACTTTGGCCCTAGCCCCATGCCGGCTGCCACAGATGTTCACAGGTGTCTGCAGGATTCTTTTGTTTTTGTTGTTTTTTGACATAGGCTCTCGCTCTATTGCCCAGGCTAGAGTGCAGTGGTGCGATCATGGCTCATTGCAGACTCAACCTCCGGAGCTCAGGCAGTCCTCCCACCTTGGCCCCCCAGGTAGCTAGGACTACAGGCACATGCCACCAGGCCCAGCTAATTTATTTTTAAAATTTGTTTGTAGAGATGCCGCCTCTCTATGTTGCCCAGGCTGGTCTTGAAATCCTGGCCTCAAGTAATCCTCCCTCCCCGGCCTCCCAAAGTGTTGGGATTACAGGCATGAGCCACCATGTCCAGCCAGGATTTGGGATTGGGTCAGGGTGGCATGGGCCTTTCCAGAGGCCCAGTAGGCTTCTGAGTGCAAGTGAAGAGTGCAGCGGGGAGGCCCTACGGAGCTAAATAAGGGCTGTCGACCAGGCTATGTGTGACTTCTCCTTTCACCACCAAGGTCTGGAGGTCTAAGGGGAGCTCTGCCCACTACCCCCAGGAGCTCACGGGAGCTTCTTCCTGCCTTCCTCCTCTCAGCAACCAGTATCTAGGAGGCCATGCCTTCCTTCCCAGAGTCCAGCTCAGACAATTTGCAGAACAACCCAGCTTGAAATTTGATACTTGATCCACCCCTTGTGCATCCCCTAGATCAAATAACCCTGGATCTGTGACCCTTGGCTCAGATCTGTCTAATTCTTAAAGAGTCTGTTCAGACTTGGAGTGAGGCTGTTGAGTCCTGAGGAGGGAGGGGCTGTGGCAGCATTGACAAGTTCCCCGCATTCCTGTGGTACCTGAGTCTTTCCAATGACTCCCCTCACCTGAGGCTCAGTCTCTCATTACCCACCCGCTTCCCTTCCTTATCGGTGAGGTCTTGAACAACTGAACCAAAGAGCTTCTGGTTCATGAGCTAATGTTAACCTGCAAGAGGACACAGTCTTTGGCTCTGTCTCAGTCAACTCTGAATATGGTCTGCAGACCTAGCTTTTGGAAGATGCAAGAGCAGGAGGGATGGTGAGAATACTGGATGACAAAATGAGGATTCAAAACATTCGAGCAGGCCAGTGTGGGATAATAAAATCAGATAAATATAAAGAGGGACAAATGCTACATTCTGCATTTAGTCAAAAACAAATTGGTGGCCAGGCACGGTGGCTCACACCTGTAACCCCAGCACTTTGAGAGGCCAAGGCTTGGGAGGAAGGGAGGGGGTTTGCTTCAAGTCAGGAGTTCAGGACTAGCCTAGGCAACATAGAGAGACCTCGTCTTTACAAAACACAAAAAAATTAGCTGAGTGTGCCGGTGGTCCCAGCTGCTCAGGAGGCTGAGATGAGAGGATTGCTTGAGCCCAGGAGTTTGAGTCTGCAGTGAGCTATGATCATGCACTCCGGCCTAGGCCACAGAGAGACCATCTCTCTCTCTTTCTGTCCTTCTCTTTCACACATACACACACACACACACACACACACACACACACACACACACGAATTAGCCAAGTACAGAATGAGGGGGATGTGGCAGACACTTTAGGGAGAGGAGTTAGTATGAAGTTTCTGAAGCCACATGGAATTAACTTCACAGGTTCTGAAGTTGAAAGGAAGGTGTTTAAATTTGCATAAGTCTGTTTGCATTTCATTTTCTAGCAGGGACATTATTAGCCTTTTTGACTCTCATTTTCTCACAAGTGTACAGTGGAGTTTTCCGGAGGCTTCTTGACACATGATATCATAACAGGTTGAATGCAGAAGCCAATATGAGAATCTGGCTGCCTTCTACTAAACCAGACATTAAAGAGATTTGCAAAACTGTGAAACAATACTGTCTTGTCATTAAATTAGTTTTACTTTGGAAACTGGTTATTTTAAAGAAAAAAATGTGTTATTTGTTCTAACTTTTAATAGATTCATTATTGCCACATTTAAAGAATACACTTTAAAAATGTCTGTTTTAATTTCTAATGGTACATATTGATGAATCTAACCCACACACACAAAAGTTCTTTGGGGTCCTTCTTTTTAAGAGAGTAAAAGGATGCCAGGACCCAAATGCTTGAGAAACTCTGGTTTAGAGGCAAGCCACAGAGCTGCACGTTCAGAGAACTGCACGTACCCAGACACGGTGGTCGGTTAAGTTTCAATGTCTGGAACAAAGACAAATGACACTGAAGAGATCATGGTGGGGTTTATACCTCATCAGAGAAGCAGGGTTCCAACAAACATGGGGATAAATGAATCGATCAAACCCGATTCTTGAAACTTGTCTTGATTCCCTTTTCTCTGGGCATAAGCCACCCCTTGCCAGAGAATACTGACATTAATTATAGGTCAGTAAATACGCATGTAGTGAAGTCCAGGTGTTGGTGATTGTTGAAGGATTGACATTGACAAATAAAGAACATGACTGAAAGAAGTTGGGGACAGTAGTCACTAGAGTTCCATGCATTTCAGATTTATATTCCTATCTTCCCACCTCTTTCCCACACTTTTCTCCCCAGGCAGCTTTCGGCTGGGGCCAATTTGGTTTATTAAGTGGCACACCTGCCCCCTGGTGGCCAGGTGGTACAATGACACCTTCTCTCAGTTCTGGTAGATATCATGGAGCAGGAGTCCCTAGCACCAAGAAGCTGAGATCCGGAAGAGGCGCCCCAAAAAATCAGCCTGGAGTGAATCTAGAGGGCCCATCAGGGATCGGAGGTCGGAATGTGGGAGCAATGTCACCTCCTTGATAAAAACTTATTTGGCCATCTCAGCAACCCAATAGTGATGTTGGCCAACACATGATTGATAACTACGTGCCAGGTACTGTTATAAATGCTTTACACAGATTATATCACAACAACAGCAAATCTATGAGGTAGGTACTATTATTGTTACCATTCTGTGAAGAAACTGAGGCTCAAAAACATTAAGTAACTTGCCCAGGGTCATACAAATAGCAAATGGCAGAGCCAGGCCTGGGAGACAGCAGTTTACTTGTTAACTGTTACTTTTAACTTGTTAACACTTTGCAGCTTCCACTTGGCATGCCTAGTACTCATCTGTCTGTAGGGCTGTCTTCTCCCACTGCACAGTGCTTTTCTTGGGGGTGGCGACTGTCTTGTTCATCGCCATATCCCCAGCACTGAGCTCGGTGGTGTGGCTGGTTAGAAACACTGGAAGGACTACATAACTTGGCTGGACCTCAGAGGGAACCTGCAGCCTCGCTCACTGTCAGCACGGACTATGCTCAGAGGCCCGGGGCACAAGACCCTGGGAGGCCCTTGGGTGAGGTGTGAGAGGGTCAGATACTCCCTGTTGCCTGGGAGGAGAAGCCAGAGAGCAGATCCCTAACCCCATGTCGCTGGCATGAGGAGAGGTAAGCACCACCAGATGCCCTCAGTAGCAGAGACTCAGAGCCTTGCTGAATCTCACTCATATCATGGAGATAGAGAAAGGGTGGAAGGGGGATGTGATTGGGGCTTTGGGGGCGGGGGGCCAGGCAAGTGGCTCAAAGCTATCCCTGTAGGGCAGTAGCACCACCTCGTGGTGAAACTCAAGATGATTTAGGAAAAATAACCCAGCTAATCCATAACTGAGGGGAGGCTGGGAACCCCCTCCTTTGGAGTCAGCACTCTCCTTGGATAGAGCCACAGGAGAGGGCCTGGAACTCTTCCAGCGTCTCCCCAAGCCAGAGCAGCTCACTCCAGAAGTGCTCACCAGGTTGTATAGAATGTGAAGAAAACACCCCTTATGGACATGTCCTATGGGCCACAGGCTGAAAAGAGCCGCCTAGCTGAGGTCATGTCAATGAAATCACATGCTCTTCAGGGAACAGCCTGCGTCCAATGACTACCTGATGCAGGAATATAGAAGTGTCTCCCTCACTTCATCTTGGGGCAATCCAAAGGGCCATCCCAGCTTCAGAGATCCCCACACGGGTTGATTGAGACCTTCACTGAGACTGCTTTGCAGCCCAACTTCTCCCACTGCTAATTCTACTTCTTTCCCTTCCACCAGGGCTGATAATCCTGAGACTGCTCCCTAACAAGCTCCCTGCACTTCAACCTGCATTTCAGAGTCTACGTCCCTGGAACCCAACTTGCAACACCATCCCGTATATCATATATCACATGCGTGCATACAGAGATTCGGAGCAGCTGTCTGGAGCAGCGAGCTCTCAGATTCCCCCTGCCAGCCACAGGCTCCACACCCTGCTGTGCTTCTGGGTCTTGAGGAGCACAGACTCCCCATCAGCCTCACGGGCTCCCTGCCCACAATGAGGACTAGTTGCCTATAGGATGTCAGCATGATGAGCCATCTCCTTGGCCATGCTGGAGGTGTCAGACAGCATCCATCCTTCTTGTCATCTGCAGGGACCATGGGGCAGGCAGACCGACCTGCACTGCACAGGCAGCCTGCAAGGAGCCTGGTAGAAGCTGGGGAAATTGAAGGGCTGTGGTCACTCCTGGCAGGCCCTGTTTGCTTGCTCCAGGGCTAAAGGAATCAATACTCCTAGCACACCAGTGAGCTATTTATACCACATGATGCTTTGAGCCTATCAACCCCATGGTCTGTGCAGTGTTTTTGCTTTATGTCTCTTTTAAGAAGCAGACTCATTCGAACTACCCCAGGTGTGGCATAGCCCATTGTAAGGGGAGGATGTTCCCTATAGCACTTCCATATGATGTCAAGTTAGTGGCCATTCTGCCCTACAGATCAACAGAAGCACATGACGCCAGCATCCTCATGGAGTCATTCACAATTAGTACCAGATAAGAATGCATTGTGTAGACCAGTGCTGCCCCATAGACTATTCTGCGATGATGAAAATGTCACGCTTGTAATCCCAGCACTTTGGGAGGCTGAGGCGGGCAGATAACTTGAGGTCAGGAGTTCAAGACCAGCCTGGACAACATGGTGAAACCCTGTCTCTACTAAAAATACAAAACTTAGCCAGGCATGGTGTCAGGTGCCTGTAATCCCAGCTACTCATGAGGCTGAGGCAGGAGAATGGTTTGAAACTGGGAGGCAGAGGTTGCAGTGAGCCGAGATTGTGCCACTGCACTCCAGCCTGGGTGACAGAGCAAGACTCTGTCTCAAAAAAAAAAAAGAAGAAAAAAGAAAGAAAAAAGAAAGAAAGAAGAAAGAAAAAAGGAAGAAAATGTTGTGTATTTGCACTGTCTCTTACGGTAGCCCTGAGGTTATCAAATACTGGAACTGTGGCTTGTGCGGTTGACAAGCTAGATGTTTACCTTTATTTCATTTAAATACTCACATGTAGCTAGTGGCTACTGGATTGAACAGTGTAGGCATAGAACCAAAGCTTGGAATATGAAAACTTGAAAACACTTGATCCTAATTATGCAACCTTCCTGGGGTATATTCCTCTTGGTTTACCTGGAAAAGCGCATTATAACACAGCCTTGGAAATTTTGTGTTCTTCTAGGTCAGCTATAAAAATGCTACATAAGATCCTTCTAACAGTGTATCAGAACTCCATTCTCCACATTTCTCCAGCCAGAGACATGCCCATTTATGCAGCTGTTGATTTCCTTTCTCTAAGTCCCTTCATGTTTCACAAAATAACCCTCAAGTTCTAACCCCAATTCCCCTAAGTCCATCTCATCCCACTGAAACACATTTTAGCCTTTGGTTTGAAATATTTTCAGATGTTTCTGAAAAATTAGAGTGAATCACATCCCCAGGCCAACTTATCCTCAATCAATACATTAGCTGGCATGATTTCCTTATTTTCAGATCACAATGCTGTGTTCTTGTTTACTGTGCCTAGCAATGCTACCCTTCATCATAAACCCCACTTCCTTGGGAAGCAGAATGGAGTGCATCGGCATAAGTTGGGCCCCTTAGGAGTCCTGTTTCTGCACAGCAGTCATTTGTAATCCTCCAGGTCACTGGCACAGCCGCCATCTCTAATGGCAGACACAGTTTTGCCAGTAGCTGTTTGGTTTTCATTTTTGAGGGTCTCACGTAGGTGTCATATATTGACTGCACACTTCCTGGGAGTAGAGCACAGTTTGGTCCAGCACCTCTAATTTTCCTGGCTCAGGGCCTGCTTTAGGAATGGGAACCTCTTTTATCTCCTCTCTAGGAGAGAGCTAGCAAGACCATCAGTCGTCTGTCAGGTCCCCCAACTCAATAGGAAGCAGGACAATGTAGCAGTTAATTTGTGGCTTCTGAACCTAGCTGCTGAAGGTTCAAATCCCATCCCTTGCTAGTGTGGCATTGCTCAAGCTATCCTTTCTGTCAAATGGGGGTAATAATGATTCATCTCCCATAAGGTCCTTATAAGGATAAGGCAAATTGGTTTGCATAAAGCATTTATTTACAGCAGTACTTGCAACAAAGTAAGTGCTATATAAGTATGAGCCATTTTTATTACCATAAGCAAAGCTTTCTACATTGGTTGACTTGACAAACTTCTGGCAAACTTTTTTTCTCTTTGGAAATCATTCAGCAGGCACTGTTTACATCCTTTCGCTGCCATATCTCTAGCTTTCACTAAATCTGCCACACATTCCTGCCTTCTCTGTTGACCTCGCTTGGATTCTCCTACATGCTTCCAGTTAGCCAGCCAGAGGATTTTCCTGTCTCTGGGAATCTTGTGGAAAATCTTGCATTTTGGGGCACCTTCTCCTTCAGTTATAATGATATACCTTAAAAGTTTTACATTTACAAATGTCTATTTCACACTCTCATTCTAAAGTAGAATCGATGATGACCTTTTCTCCCCGTTCAGCCCCATAAAAACTCATTTTCCCCTCTTTTCTTTTCCTCCCAGCTCCTAGACTTCCTTTGGAGGAGTGGCCTAGGTGGTGGGGCCCAGGGCTGAGTAACTGATATTTCCAGGAGTTCCCCGAAGAAGGCAGGGCCAGAGGGAGAGCTGGGAAGGTGGTGACATTACAAAGACAAATGCATGTTATAGATGAGGCAACAGCATTATCCAAGGCTGAGGTGGAGAGCCCAGCAGGCCAGGGCCACATCGTGGTGGGGTAGGGTCTGATTCACATTGAGGCAGAGGTGAGTCTCCTTCCTTCTCCTTCTGATGGGTTGGTGGAGTTACAAGCCAGGGAAGGAAGGAAAGGGTCCCAGATCCAGACTTGCTCTTTCTGAAATCCAGGGCTTCCCCCAGGGACTGGGTCAGCCACCTGGGGAATGAGAGTGGGGGTCTGAGCTCAAACATGGTGTAGTGAAAAGGACACCGGACCATGACTCCAAAATCTGGTCCTGTCCTGGTCCACTTCTAAGACGGAGTTTCGCTCTTGTTGTCCAGGTTGGAGAGTAACGGCACGATCTCAGCTCACTGCAACCTCCACCTCCTGGGTTCAATTCTTCTGCCTCAGCCTCCTGAGTAGCTGGGATTACAGGCTTGCGCCACCATGCCCGGCTATTTTTTTTTTTTTTTTTTTTGTATTTTTAATAGAGACAGGGTTTCTCCATGTTGGTCAGGTTGGTCTCGAACTCCCGACCTCAGGTGATCCACCTACCTCGACCTCCCAAACTGCTGGGATTACAGGCGTGAGCCACCGCGCCGGGCCTGTCCTGGCCCACTTCTAGCTAGTTATATATGCTTGGGTGAGTCACGCCCTCCTCTGTCAGTTTTCCTGAATGAGGGGATTGACTCGTTTAGCAACTTACAAGTGTTTTCTCCCACTGAAGAGCAAGCTGGACCAATACGTTCTGCAGCTAAAATCAAACAAGGGTCTCTCCCTAGACCCTTGTAAAATAACAACAGCAATAATAATTAATGTACAGAAGTTTCACAATGTAAGTTCTCCCCCCATAAATATCTCCAAATCAGTGGTACCTGCTACCCTGTATATTAGACTATAATACAAATGGAGTCTGAGTCTGAAAACAACTCATATCTAATAAATTTAAGATTAAGCGATATATATGCTATTCTGCAGTAAGGAACGTGGCTTTCAGATGTTTTTCCACCTGAAGAATTCTGAGAGACATGGGGCCAGGTGGACACCAAGGCTCTTGCAGTGTGAAGTCTGATTCCTCTCTGGGTTTTCAGGGAACTACGGATGCAGGTGCAAGGACACAGCTTCCAGGAGTTGGGGCAGTCACGTTCCCACTGACTTTAACATTCCTGGTGACTCAGGGAATGCGGCCGCATTCCCCAAACTCAAGCACTGATCTGAAGAAGCCTCTGTGATCCACCTCGAAGAACGCCTTTCTGTACCGGTCCCGCACACCTACAGCTCACTCTCACAAAGACCCCACCTTGGAGTAAACGGACAGACGCTTCCCACCAGCTGGGCTGGGCTGGCTGCAGAGAGCATGCACTTGAAGTTGTATCACTCCGCCCCTGCCTCACAGGCACCTTTTGACTTTTGGGTGGTGGAGTGAGAATAAGAAGGCACCTTACCCTACATCACGGAACCCCCAAACACTCTCTCTGACTAGCCACCCGAGACTGCCCCGCTCTCCCTTCCCACACTCTGGGGTGCGGCAGCGCTAGCTCTTAGCCCTGTGGGTGAACAGCGGCCTTGCAACCACATTGAGGCGGCAGGGAGATCATGACTCAGCCGCTGGGGTCTGAAAATTCTTCTCCTCCATCCCACCCTGCCAGATGGAGAAGATGCGGCTCACTGCTTCTCCAGACCCTCTCCCCTGGGGAGGGGGTGGGGGAGCAGGCTCTCGGCTACTCTCGGTGATCCGAGGAGGACAGGGAGGGCTGGCTCTCCTGGGCAGGAGGTAAGGCACTGGCAGGGGGAGGACGAGGTCGGCAGGTGCTTTTCTGCAAACTGGGGACAATTCAGTCCTGCTACATGGATCCGTGGAAGGAGGGCTTCCACCTCAACCAACCCCTTAGACCCAGGGCGAGGAACTGTGAGCTTGGTGACAGGGACAGCTGTCATATTCTTCTGTGAGGCTGTTTTTGTCTGTTTTTCCTCCTTGGGTCTCTCAGCAGGTGGGTTCGTGCCTGGTGCTCCAGTGATGGGAAGAAAACCCACCTCACCACAGCTACTGCCCGTGAGAATATAACCAGGGCAATGGGATGTTGGTGGGCACTGAAGGGGGTGGGGTGGGAGCTGTGGGCCGATTATTTATCGTGAGTAGGCAGGAGAGGGAGACCCCACTAGGCGCTGGACAAGCGGGGCCTGCAGTGGGGGGAGGTGCAGGTGTCTCTGTCCCTGAGGAATGGATGCATTTCTCCTGTCTGTTCCCTCAACATCAGTCAGCAGCCACTTAGGCAGCGGTGGAGGCATCTCTGGGCAAGGCCCTGCCTCCAGCCTCTGCCCTCTGCCCCCACTTGGGTTTCTTTGTCAAACAAACAGCAACTCCTCATGGCTGAGGTCTCAAGGGACCGGGGAAAAGCCCGCAGGAAAGGGGTTAGGTTGGACAGGAGAGAGAATGGGCTGGGTGGATAGGGGAGGTGGCAGAGGAGGGGCTGAACCCCAGACGGGGTGAGGAGGGCTGCTGAGTAGCCGCCAGCCCCGGGCCTGGCACGTGGCCCTGGAGGAGCAGCCCCACCCAGGCACCGCCACAGGCTGTCCTAGTCAGGAGATCTCATTGCCAAACACTTCGAGCACAAGGGGCGTTAGCTTCATGCTGCACTCAGGCTGGAAGGAGAGGCAGCGGTACTGCTTGGAGTGCTCCTCATTGAGGCTGCGCAGGTCGGCTAGCTTCTGGATCATCTTGGCATAGAGCAGGTGGCTGCCCGGGGGCGGGTGGCGGCAGCGGATGTACGTCTGCAGTGTGTTGGACAGGCGGTCCTGGATGGCCTCAATCAGCGCGGCGTCCTGCACCCCAGGACGATCTGTGGGCACGGGGATAGAGAAGAAGGCACAGGAGCTCTCAGCTGGGCCCCTCACTGCTCAATCCCACCACCCCCCACCCACACAGACACTCAACGGCAGCACCCCCTAGGCCACCCCTCTATGACTGCTGACCGGTGATACCACTGCCTGGCCCCAAAGCCCTCCAGTGACTTCTCCGTGCATTTAGGATCCAGACCTAGGTCCTTCCATGGGCGCACCTGGCCCTGTCCCTGCCTGGCCTTGCTCCCTGTCCATGCTCTGTCCATCCCTCAGCGTCCCGATGCGCCATGCTCTCTGGCCACCAGCCTTCACATCTGTGCTCCCTCTGCTTGGAACTCTGCTCTGCTATCTTTGCCAGACTCTTACTGATCCTTTGGATAACAGCTTAAAAGGTCTTCCTCCAAAAGGCCATTCCTGGCAACACTCTACCTCTGTAGCCCAGACCACGTCAGCTTCCCTCCTTCTATTCTACCCTTCTGTAGCATCACTTACTTTATTTTTAAAACTCTTGCCTTGTTAGGAATTAATAATTAAATAACATTTGTTTAATGTTTCCTCCTAAGCTTCATGGGAGAGGAGCCTGTGTCCCATTTGCTGCTGAACCCCAGTACCTAGCATAGTGCCTGGTACCTAATAGGTGCTCAATAAATTGTTGCTAAGTGGATGAATGAATGAGAGAAGGCTGGCTGGGCAGGGGTAGAGGAGCCCATCTCCATTCCTTGAGCCTCCAGTCCAGGAAAGCATCCCTGGGCACAGGCCACTAGCACAGGCTGAGGCAGGGCCGCCCCTCTTTGGACCTCATCACCGACATCATGTCCCCAAGGTCACAATAACTTCCTCTTCGGCCTTTTCTCCCTCTTCTCACCTCTAACCAGCGGAAGAGGTCAAGGGTCACTGCACATTGCCTCCAAAATCAATCAGGTAAACTATATAGGCAGAACCATCTCTCAGGCTCCAAAGTTTTGTACCCTGCCCGCAAGAAACCTCAAATAACAGGAATGTTGAGCCCAGTTCACGCAAGAGCAGAGCCTGAGTATTGGGAATGCGCAGGCCTGTCTGTGGCCCCAGGAACCCTGCTTATCTAGTTCCTCAGAATCCCCCCTACGAATCGCCTGCACACTCTGCAAGGCAGAGCTAAGGGCAGTGAGGGGCACCTCAGCGTCCACACACCACAGGGGCTCTGCAAACCAGCAAAGTAGGTATTTCCTTATCTGTGTCTCCTTTTGCTACGTCTCCCTTCAGGTTGCCCAGCTGGCCCTCAGCAGGTCTTTGTCCTTCATACTCCCCGCTCCCCAGGTCCCTGAGCTCCTCCCTGCCTGGCCCCATACCTGGGGAGACGATGCAGATGGCCATGAGCAGGACATGCTCCTCCTCATGCAAGTTCAGCTTCTTCAGTCCCACCTGGAACTTGATGAGGGGCTCAATCAGCTCCAGGCTGTGTCCGGCTGTGAGAGACAATGGCCAGGTACTGCGGGCAGAGCTGAGGAGCCGCCCACCCACCTCCAACCCCATGGGTCTGACCCTCGCCCTTCTCTCCCTGTTGGTGCCTAACTCCCTCCCATGTATCTGATTGGAGCCAAACCCCAGGACGGGTGGAGCCAGAATCTGGGAGCTGAAAAAGACTCCCCAGGAGGTGGAGTCTAGGCATACCTTTGGTCACGTCACTGACGCGGTACTTGTAGTCTTGGTTGCCACAGGTCCAGGACATGTCGTCCATGGTGAAGGACTCATTGGAGCGCAACATGATGACCTCAATGGCACTTGACTTCAGCAGTACGATCTGGTCCTCAGAGGTGAGGTCTCTGCAGGGGAGGGAGGGAAGGAGGTCAGGTTACCAGTAAACGCCTTCAAGCCACACAAATCAGTTTAGTGCTTTGACAGGTATACACCTGCTGGGCACCAACATGCACCCTGGGTCTTTCATCGAGGAGCTTGCAGGCTGGCTGGAAGGGACAAGAGTGTTCCTTGAGAGAGAACAGTTCAACACTGTGATCATGTGCCAAGGCCAGAAGTGAAGTAGCTCAGTTACTAAGACAAGAAAAACTCAGAGACCAAGCAGCCAGAGCTATGGGGCACAGGAAACGGAGCCCAGGGAAGTTCCCAGCATTGAGGCATGAATATGGTGGTCTGCAAAAGGTAGGGCCATGGTATCTTCAACAACACCCAAGTTTTCTCCTCCTCTCCCTCCTACTGTCCTCCAGTCCTTCTCAGTAGTAAATTCAGCCAACTCTGTCTCTAGGATGTCTCTCAAGCCCGTGATCTTATTCCCACTCCTACCAGGAGTGCCCTGGTTCAGAGCTCCAGCGTCTTTTCCAATAGCCTCTTACAGGAATCCCAGACTTGTGTCTCTCCAGTCTCTCATTCATCTTTCTTACCACTGCTGCAGGTCAATGTCCTCTTGCACTCAGAAATCTTCACTGACTCTCAAACACCCTAGGATCAGGCCCA
This sequence comes from Homo sapiens, assembly GCF_000001405.40. NCBI lineage: Eukaryota > Metazoa > Chordata > Mammalia > Primates > Hominidae > Homo > Homo sapiens. The sequence goes on from NC_000012.12 coordinate 47,847,455, forward strand.
CACTCCCTAACTTGGCTCCAACCTCTCATTCCAACTCCCTTTCCCATGGTAAACTCCACCAACCTTCCATTCTAGCAGCATCATGCCACTCCACATTCAGATGCTGTGTGTTCTCACTGTGCCTTTTTTTTTTCTTGTGACAGGATCTCACTCTGTTGCTGAGGCTGGAGTGCAGTGTTATGATCATAGCATGCTACAGCCTCAAACTCCTGGGCTCAAGTGAGTCTCCCACCTCAGCCTTCCGAATAGCTAAGACTACAAGCATGCGCCACCATGCTCAGCTAATTTCTTTTATTAGTATTTTTAGAGACAGTGTCCTGTTCTGTCACACAAGCTGGAGTGCAACAGAATGATTATGGCTTACTGCAGCCTCAAACTCCTGGGCTCAAGCAGTCCTCCTGCCTCAGCCTCCTAAGTAGCTGGGACTACAGGTGCACACCATCACGCCTAGCTAATTTTTTTTGAGACGGAGTCTCACTTTGTCGCCCAGGCTGGAGTGCAGTGGCGCGATCTCGGCTCACTGCAAGCTTCGCCTCCCAGGTTCACGCCATTCTCCTGCCTCAGCCTCCCGAGTAGCTGGGACTACAGGTGCCCGCCACCATGGCCAGCTAATTTTTTTTTGTATTTTTAGTAGAGACGAGGTTTCACAGTGTTAGCCAGGATGGTCTCGATCTCCTGACCTTGTGATCTGCCTGCCTAGGCTTCCCAAAGTGCTGGGATTACAGGTGTACGCCTAGCTAATTTTTAAATTTTTTTTGTAGGGATGGTGTCTCACTATGTGGCCCAGGCTGGTCTCAAATTCCTGGCCTCAAGTGATCCTCTCATCTTGGCCTCTCAAAGAACCAGGGTTACAGGTGTGAGCCACTGCACCCAGCCATCACCACGCCTTTCAGCATACTACAGCTCCAGCCAGGAATACCCTTCTAATTCTCCATTTTGTTTTTCTGGTCCTGAATCCACTGTGTTTTCCACTGGAGCCCCGCACCTTCTGACTCTTTAGCACAGTTAGGGCCATGTCATTGTGATGCCTTGAACATTGCTGGTGCTCTTATTTTGCCCGTCTCCTCCAGTTCTGCTCTTTACATGCTTGTTTTCTACTCCTTTTTTTTTTTTTTTTTTTTTTTTTTTTTGAGACAGAGTCTTGCTCTGTTGCCCAGGCTGGAGTGCAGTGGTGAGATCTTGGCTCACTGCAACCTCCACCTCCCAGGTTCAAGCAATTCTCCTACCTCAGCCTCCTGAGTAGCTGGGATTAGAGGCACCTGCCACCACACTCAGCTAATTTTTGTATTTTTAGTAGAGACGGGGTTTCGCCATGTTGGCCAGGCTGGTCTCGAACTCCTGACCTCAGATAATCTGCCTGCCTCAGCCTCCCAAGGAGCTGGGATTACGGCGTGAGCCACTGCACCCGGCCACTTGTTTTCTACTCTTGTTTGTAAGTTACTTGGGGGCCAGCACCTCCTCTTAATCACCTTACTGTTGCCCACACACTGACCATTGAGCCGTCAGCACAAGATGATCAATAGAGATGCGTTGATGATTTGAGAGGCCAATGACTAGTTCCACTATTCTGAGTCAGGAATGGGCTTGTCTGAACAATGGCGAGGAAAAGGCAGGGCTCACAAATCAGCTTGCTTCTGGCTTTTACTCCCTTTCTCTTCCTGACTGTCTACTTCCTCCTGGATATCCTGCAGATAGGCTGTCACCCCGTCAATGGCTGCATGTTTATATATAAAGATGGGAAGCTGATATTAACTGATGAGAGTGTTGTATCAATGGGTGATAGATGGTGGGAAATGAGAAGGCTTGCATGATCAGGATGGCCAGCAAAGGATCTGTATTGAAAAAAAATCACAACGTGCTAGAGTTGGAGGGCCCCTCTTAGGAACTCTTAGAGATGGCTCCTACATAACCTCTGCAGGACTCTCCTAGGGTCAGGGAGCTCAGGGCCTCTGGACACAGCCATGGGGTTGTTAGCGCCGAGATTAATGACCTCTTCTATTGAGCTACAATCCACGTGATAGTACACTCATTTGTGGTTTACAGTTTTGTGCTCAATAAACCCAGAACCAGACTTCTCCACTAGCCATGGGACTTCCTTTGAACCATAACTAATGGAGTTTTTTAAAAAGGAAAACTGCCGTGTCCTCCTTCAGATAGTCTAATGACACAATGTCTAACATCTCACCATCCTTGTCACTTTTCTCTAGATGCTCAATCCACATTTAAAACACAAAAATGAACACCATCCCCATTTTTGTTTTGACTCATTATACAAGTAAAACATACTCATTATCAAATCTTTGGAAAATACATAAAAATGTAAAAACAAATTAAATTTGCTCATAACCACACTTCACATTTTGGCGTATTTTCTTCCTATCTTTTTTTCTTATTTATTTATTTTAATTTTTTTTTTGAGACAGTCTTGCTCTGTCACCCAGGCTGGAGTGCAGTGGTGCAATCTCGGCTCACTGAAACCTCTGCCTCCCGGGTTCAGGCAATTCTCCTGTCTCAGCCTGCGGAGAAGCTGGGACTACAGGCATGTGCCACCACACCTGGCTAATTTTTCTATTTTTAGTAGATATGGGGTTTCACCATGTTGGCCAGGCTGCTCTTGAATCCTGACCTCAAGTGAGTCCTGCCCACCTTGGCCTCCCAAAGTTCTGGGATTATAGGTGTGAGCCACCGTGCCTGGCACCTTCCTGTCTTTTTTCTATGCAAATATATATATACCCACAAATATACATAGAGAGAGGGAGTATACATTTAACATACTGGAGCTTATACTAATTCTTTATCCTACTTCCTATATCACTCAAAATTATTTAGCCCAGTTCTTAGAGGGTTGCATGATGTTACATCATAACAGTATACTCTAAGTTATTGAGCCAGTCTTCCATTTATCTATTTTTGAACATTTTGATTGCTTCCAATTTTTGCTATCATAGGTAATTCTGGGAGGAATAACTTTATACATAGCCTTTTGTTCAGTGCCCCACTCAAACAGATGGCCAGCAGTGAACACATCTTCCATGGATGCAGGCCAGAGAGGTTTTAGTGGGATCACTGCTTTTGTGATCCAGACATCCTGCTGCTAGGAACACAAACCCAAAACGACCCCAAATGACTGCCCACAGCCTGGAAATACAGGGCCTTTCTAAATACAGCTCACAGCCAGGACCAGGGATGGTGGCGTGGTGGGAGTAGAGGTGGAGTTACAGGGGAAGCCATAAGAGAGCTTGTTCCACGATGATAGGCACCAGCACAGCTCCGTTCCCCCTCCCTCACCTGTGTGACATTTACACCCTCCTCTGTCTTCACGCCTGCAGCCGCTTCTGGGCACCCGAGATGTGACTGGAATTGTGTTGCTGTTTCGTCTTTCCCACCCCCACAGGCAGAGCCCGGCCCCTCCCCTCCCCTCCCGCATTCCCACGGTACCTCCAGCAGGCTTGTAGCAGGGCTCTTATCTCCTTGCAGCAATTGTTTACATGTCTATCTCTTTCATCAGACACCAAATCCCTGGATGCCAGGGACTGTCTTCTCAACAACTTTTGTCCCTCACAGTTTATGTAAGAAAGCTATTTGTTGGATGGATGAAGAAATGAATGTGGAGAAAGGGCACAGCACGAAGGAAGCATGATAACCCCCAGGGCTCTTCCCTAGGTATGGAAATGGCAATGAAGGTGAAGGCATTTAGCAGAAGAGGGCAGGGCTGCAGCTTATGTGGCCTGGTCTCTTGTGTACTTTACTTGTCAGTGAAGCCTGGGGGTCCCAAGTCCTCAGATCTAAGGCTGCTCTTGGCCATTTAGATGCTGCTGCTGATGCCACCTCCTCCATGCATTTCATTTGCAGTGCCAGCAGGGAGGGAGATTTGTGGGGTGAGACTGAGAGGCTAAGGGAGGAGAGATGGGAGGAGAGAGCAGGCCAAGGCCACACTGTAGCACAGTTCACACCAAGAACAGCCCATCCAGCCCTGCCCCACGTTGGTCTCATGCCCCCACTGGAGACTCATCCTGTGCCCCCACACACCCACACAGAAGTCTCATCCTGCCTTCCCCACACCCTCCGCCCCTGCCTGCAGGCAGCAAGATCAAAGCCACCAGGGATGCAGCCACTGTTCTTCTATGTCTTGGAACAATAGAACCCCTAAGTGTGGAAAGCAGCAGAACCAGAGAGCTACTGGGCTGGCCCACCCTGGGCCCAGTTGGAGCCTAGGTTTGGGCTCCAGTCCAGGCTCAGCATCACCTCTGTCCAGTCACAGAGAGCGTCCATACCAGTGTCCCTGCAAGCTCTCTTAGCAAGGCCTGCTCCATTTTCATTGGCATACCTTCTGCTCTGGGACTTCTCAAGTCATACTGAAGACAGAGAAGCCAACCCTAGCATGTTCAGGATCAGTTTAACCCATTTTGCATCAATGGCTGGGCAGCTCCTGTACCTGCCATATGTACCTCACTTTAGCCATGAGTTGCAAGGACAGACTAGGGGACAGAGGAGAACATGATGAAAGGAAGAGGGCAGACTTCAACTTAACCTCGGGAAGAGAAACTGAGAGTAGTGCTATTTGTGTCAGGGTACATGTGGGAGGGCAATGGATAGGGGCCTTGAGCATGGGAGAAATTGGAGGCTGGGGTTCCTTAGTGAAGGGGGCAGCATTGGAGTAATCCGATTTAATGAGTAACTTTCTTTTTAGGGCAGCTTTCCCGTGTATGCAATCTCAGCCACCATTGGAATCACTGAACCTGGAATCACTGTATCTGGAAAGGGCCGTGGGGGCCCTCTGTCCTACTCCCCACTAGAGCAGGGAAGGATGAAGCCTGTGTAGACAAGGACTGCTGCCTGACATGAGGATGGAAGCCGAGTGCTTCTGTGTTTTTTCCCTAGCTGTTTACACAAAACAAGACTTTGGAATATGTGGAGTTTGCAAACAGTAACGTGAAGCGTGGAGGAGGGAGTTGGAACTTGTGCTCTACGGAATGTGTTGTCAGTTCCAAAGAAAGCCTCTGAGGGTAAACCCTGGGCTCAGAGCAATGCCGGGCTCACACAAGATCTGTCGCTTGCTCCTGCTTGCCTGCCTGCCAGAGGGGCCCTCGCTCCTATCACTACAACCAAAATGTGCAATGCAGTAGGAGTGTCTCAGCACTGTCTGCCAGTTTTCTCTTCTTCACCATTTTCACATTAATTCCAGGGGAAGAGCATCGAAAAATTTCTGTTATTTGGGTTGGTGAGAGGCATAAAATAACACAGAGCCAGTTTTCTCAGGGCAGAAACAAACTGGAAAGTTCTGGGTTTAGCTCTGTGAATGACCATCATCTCACTGGCAAGGCATTAATTTCGGCAATAACTCATGGCTTTTCTACACAGCTAAGAGGGCCATACACCAATATATGGCACCTCATAATCTGTTTCCATCCAGAGCCGGCAATGTTAACTCATTTTCCAGCTCCCCATATTCCAGCACTGAATCTGAGCATTAGTATCTAGGAAGCATTTTGCCCCTTCTGCCGTAAATACAGCTATTGCTGCTACTTGAAAGACAATAACATTGCTTGAGATTGATTTACTTCTCTTTCTCAACCATATTGTTTATGTATTTTATGGCAATATACCAAATGAACTTTGGGGAAGAATGAAGATACAAATATACATAAATATAGCCATTTCCCAACACATCTATTAAATGTGTCAATACTCTATTGTTTTAAGAATATTGGCCGGCAGTGGCTCATGCCTGTAATCCCAGCACTTTGGGAGGCCGAGACAGGCGGATCACGAGGTCAGGAGATCAAGACCATCCTGGCTAACACGGTGAAACCCTGTCTCTACTAAAAATACAAAAAAATTAGCCGGGCGTAGTGGCGGGCGCCTGTCATCCCAGCTACTCGGGAGACTGAGGCAGGAGAGTGGCGTGAACCCGGGAGGCGGAGCTTGCAGTGAGCCGAGATCATGCCACTGCACTCCAGCCTAGGCGACAGAGCGAGACTCTGCCTCAATTAAAAAAAAAAAAAAAAAGAATATTGGCCGGGCGTGGTGGTTCATGCCTGTAATCCCAGCACTTTGGGAAGCTGAGGCTGGCAGATCACCTGAGGTCAGTAGTTCAAGACCAGCCTGGCCAAGATGGTGAAACCCCAACTCTACTACTAAAAATACAAAACTAGCCAGGCGTGGTGGTGCGTGCCTGTAATTTCTGCTACTCAGGAGGCTGAGGCAGGAGAATTGCTTGAACCCAGGAGGCAGAGGTTGCAGTAAGTTGAGATCGCGTCATTGTACTCCGGCCTGGGCAACAAGAGGGAAACTCTGTCTCAAAAAAAATACAAAAAATTAGCCAGGCATGGTGGCACGCTCCTGTAGTTCCAGCTACTTGGGAGGCTGAAGCAGGAGAATTGCTTGAACCTGGAAGGCGGAGGTTGCAGTGAGCTGAGATCGCGCCATTGCACTCCAGCCTAGGTGAAAAGAGCGAAACCGTCTCAAAAAAGAAAAAAAAAATTAACACTGCATGAGTATTTAAATATAAGTATTATATACAGTACTAGTGTTAAAACAATGAAACATAGGAATAAATGAATGAAATTTATATGAATGAATTGATAAAGGAGGATCCCTTCTCCAGTAGAACTCCTTATACTTATATATTTTGGCAAAAATGTATCAGTATGGTTAGGAAATGGTCTTTATTTTTTTCTTTTTTGAGACAGGGTCTTGCTCTGTTGCCCAGGCTGGAGTGCAGTGGTGAAATCATGGATCACTGTAGCCTTGACCTCCTGGGCTCAAGTGATTCTCCTGCCTCAGCCTCCCTAGTAGGTGGGACTACAGGCATGTGCAACCACACCTGGCTAATTTATAATTTTTTTTTTTTGTAGAGAAGAGGTCTCACTATGTTGATCAGGCTGGTCTGGAACTCCTGGGCTGAAGCAATCCTCCTACCTCAGTCTCTCAAAGTGTTGGGATAGGCATGTGCCACTGTGCCCAGCCAGGAAATGGTCTTTAAATGTACATTTTGGTGAAGGATGCCAGGGTCATATATGCCAGTAAACCTATCTCTCTCCAGGATTCCTAGACTGTTTCACAAGTCTACATGGCCAAGCCCTTCTCTCTATCACTTCATTCTGCTCTCAGAGTTGGGGTGTGGAGGAATCATATCGTTGAATTTAAAGAGATAATATGAGGATTCCAGTCAAGCCAGCTGGAGTGAACACAGCAGTGAGCTGGGAGTTCTAGGCCTGGCTCTGACATGCTGGCTCCAACACCTGGAAGGGATCCTGGCTGGCCATTGGACCTCTCTGGGCTTCCACACCATCATCCAGAAAGTGCGGGGATGGACTAGCTCTCCAGTGCTGGCCTGCAGAGTAACGCAAGACAGGCTGCACTTTCTAAATACAGATTTCTGGGCCTACGCCAGAGATTCTGATTTCGCAGGTCTAGGGTAGGGTCTGAATCTCTATTTTAAAGAAGCAATGGAGGCTGGCTGCTGTGGCTCATGCCCGTAATCCCAGCACTTTGGGAGGCTGAGGTGGGTGGATCACTTGAGGTCAGGAGTTTGAGACAAGCCTGGCCAACATGGCGAAACTCCGTCTCTACTAAAAATAAAAAAATTAGGGCAGGGCGCGATGGCTCATGCCTGTAATCCCAGCACTTTGGGAGACCAAGGTGGTTGGATCACGAGGTCAGGTGATCGAGAGCAGCCTGGCCAACGTGGTGAAACCCCGTCTCTACTAAAATTATAAAAATTAGCCGGGCTTGGTGGCCCACACCTGTAATCCCAGCTACTTAGGAGGCTGAGGCAGGAGAATCACTTGAACCCGGGAGGCGGAGGTTATAGTGAGCCAAGATAGTGCCACTGCACTCCAGCCTGGGCATCAGAGCGAGAATCTGTCTGGAAAAAAAATAAAAATAAATAAATAAATAAATAAATAAATAAATTAGCCGGGCGTGGTGTCTGGTGCCTGTAATCCCAGCTACTTGGGAGGTTGAGGCAGGAGAATCGCTTGAACCTAGGAGGCGGAGGTTGCAGTGAGCCGAGATCGCGCCACTGCACTCCAGCCTGCGTGACAGAGCAAGATGCCGTTTAAAAAAATAAAAAATAAAAAAAAGAAGTGGTGGATGAGTGATCTCCAACCCTTCTTGTAGCTCAGTCTAGGACTCTGACTCTGTTCCCCAGAGATTGCAGAAGTTTCTTACCTGAATCCTGGTATCATCTTAGCAAAGCCAATGACCTTTTGGATGCTGTAACTGACCAGGTCAGCCAGGTGGGGCAGCATGGAGAGCTGGGACAGCTCTAGGGTCACAGAAGGGTCATCTGAATCTTCTTCACTCAGATCCAGATTGGAGAAGCTGGACGAGTCCATCATGTCTGGGAGAGATGAGGGAAGAGAAGGAGCTATTTAAGGATACTTGGACCAGGCCCCCTCCTGCCAGACCCTGCAAAAACCTGGTGTGCCCTGGCAGCAGAGCCAGCTGGGAATCCCACAGTGACTCCACAGGTCACCCTTCAGCCCCAGGCTTCCCTCTGGGACTCTCTCTGCCTCTTTCAGCAGCATAAGGCAGTAAAATCAAAGAGCCAGAGACACTCAGAGCAATGAGACTTCCTCAAGCAGACTGTGTGCTGTTCCTATGGATCTCAATCAAGAAAGAATTTGGGACCCATCAAGTCATGGAAAAAAATGTTCAACCTTGCTAATGGTCAAAGAACTGCAGTGTAGAACATCTATAATTTTCACCTACAAACCAGAAACAAAAATGTTTAAATATTGATGCCAGTATTTATAAAGATGCAGGAAATTAGGCAATGCCTATGAGGGCTGGGGTGCTAAAGGAGGTGCACATTACTGAAGGTACTCTAGAAAGCTATTTGACATTAGTCAAATAATTGTGTGTACTCTTTGACCAGTAGTCACACTTCCTGGAATTCATTGTAAGGGAAAATTTCCGATAAGTGTAAATATTTGGCTACAAGTATACTGTTTTCTTATTAAAATGCTGAGAAATAATCCAGATATCCAATGGTAGGGGATTAGGTACATTATTGTATTCCAGAATACTATGCAGCCCTTAAAAATTATATTCTGGATGCGTACTAACTGGTATGGAAAAACAATGCCATATAAAAAAAAGCAAGTCATCAGATTGTATACAGCACAATTTCTTTTCTAAATATACATATGTGTTTTTTTTAAAAAAAAAAAAAAAAAGAAAGGAAGGAAAGCATGATGCCTCCCAGACTCTCAGCTGAGCTGGAGGGGACAGGTCCTCCAGGGCCAGAGTGGTCCCCAGAGCTCAAGTGGAAGGTGGACCTCAATAGGACCAACACGTTCACCTTCCCACTCCAAATTTCACCTTCTGAAGGGCCCAGGATTAAAATATCACGTAAAGGAAGCAGGTCACCTCCACGGAGGGGGCCATGGGCTGAAGCCTGGCTTAGAGGAAACAGCATGGGCCCGGGAGGCTGATGCTACACAGCTGGAATCCCAGCTTGGCCTCTTCCCCAGTGTGGGCCCTTGGGTAAGTCACCCCTTTCTGTAACAGAGGGGCTGTTGTGAAGACGCTGCATAGCGCACAGTATTTATGTAAGTTTCCATTAGGGAGCCTTCCACCTCCTTCCATCCAGCAGCCCCAGGGCAGGTGCGGTGGACTCCTCGCCCCCGCTCCCTTACTCTATGGAGGACTGAAGTCCTGCTTACCTGAAGAGGTGATACAGTGATCTGAGCAGGAGGAGGAGGAGTCCCCAGAGAAGCTGGGAGTGTGTCTGGAGTTGGGCCTGGAAGGATGGCTCCCTCCACCATCATTCACACGAACTGGAGGCTGGAAGGGAAAGATGGGGTCTCAGACCCACATTTTGGGGTTGCCTTCCTACCTTGGCCCTGATCTCTGATAGGAATGGCTTTGAGGAAGGTCTACAGGAAGGCGAAGCCTCCCAGTGCCAGGGGCAGAGCAGCCTCCGTCCCTACCCCAGTTCTGTTCAGGATGTCCCCTGCCCTCTGTCCCTACTCCCTGGGCCCTGGCTCCACTAGTGCTTCTCCTCTGGACCGGCTCATCCTCCCAGCAGGCAGACATACCCGGAACTGGCAGAAGTCGGAGTAGGTGGGGTCGTAGGTCTTATGGTGGGCGTCCAGCAGTATGGCAATGATGCGCTGCTGCTCCTCAGACAGCTTGGGCCGCAGACTGTCCTTCAAGGCCTCCTCCTCCTTCCGCTTCAGGATCATCTCCCGCTTCCTCTGCACTTCCTCATCTGTCAGAATGACTGTGGGGTGGGAAGGGGAGTCAGGAGGGCTGGCCAGCAGCTCCTCCAGGAAACCTTCCTCCTGCGGTTGGGGGTAAAGGTCCAAGATAGGAGGGGCTTTAACACTCGGGGCTCCCTCGGGGGTCCTCCTGCCACGGAGACTCCCACTCCACTGTGTGAAGAAAAATTGGGTTTGCTATGGTGAAAAGGAAGGCACATGCAAGAAGAAGAAAAAGAGGATTTGAGAGGGGGGATGATCTGGGCTTTAGGGAGTCGGGGTTCTCAAGAACAAGTTGTGGGACCTTGGGCAAACTCTCTGGGCTTTTGTTCTTTTGTTTGTAAAATGAGAGATTTGGACCATGTAAGTTCTTCCAAGGTTCCTTTCTTGTACCTTCCTCCATAAAGTGTGTGTGTGTGTGTCTGTGTGTGTTGACATGCAGGTGGGGGAAGTAATAATACCTGCCTCAAAGGATCAACTGATTTGAGAACTGGATGCATGCCTGGCCCAGAGCAGATGCTCACTAAATGTTAGTTCTCTTCTCTTCCCTACCCTGATGTTCCATGATCCTGAAGAAGATATCAGGGTGAAGAGAGGATGCCAGAGCTCTCATAGCGCTGGAAGTGAGATGTGGAGAGGACTCCTCTATGTGGCTGTCTCCACATCCAGGTTTCCAGACATGGGACTGTGGAATATAGAAAGACTAGACCTCTTTGGTTCTCTGCAAAACCACCCCTCCTCCAGCATGTACAGCCTTGACATTTCTGTCCATGGAAGTTTTCAAGTCCTCTTGAAGGCCCCAAAGGGTGAGGCCTTGCAGCTCTAATCTTAGAAGTTCTCTCCAGCCACTAATCAGGGTGTGGGGCCATAGAGAGCCCCACCACCACCTGCAGGCTTCTGCCTGCCTCCCTGTGCTGGGGCAGCTGTGGGGGTGGAGGGGATGCTGGGAGCAAAGGTGCCTGGCACGGCGGCTGGGCAAACAGACCTCCTGGCTGTGGCTTGCTGAGTGCTGACGGCAGGAGTGGGCACCAGGGCCTTTGGCCTGTAGCTACTTGCTTGGTGCTGCTGCTGCCAGGGCATCTGCCCACAGAACTGGGGAGTTTCACAAGAGCAGAGAAAGGAACCAGAAGCCCAGGGTGGGTGAGTTCCAGGCTTTGAGAAAGGTCCATTGGCCCAGGCCCTCAGGTAGGGGGAGGACGAGAGAAGTTGCTGTGGGGTGAGGAAGAGCCTATGCTGGGAGGGAGTGGACAGCCAATGCCACAGGCATGGCAGGAAAGCGAGCGCTACTGCAAGAGATGGTGCTTCCCTCCACAGGGAGCCTGGGAGTAGACCACACCCAGGTGACTGACTCACCTGCCCAAACAGCTGCCAACTCTCCTCCCACAGTGGGTGTCTGCACAGACCCTACCAGGTCAGGCAGGGTGGGAGAGGAAGGGGCAGGGAGCATCCAGGGAAGGCAATGGGGGTAAGCCCTCGCTTGGGGAGCCCAAGATTAGGTGTCTTGTCTTTCCTGCTCACCTGGGGACCAGAGTTAGGGAGACCTGTTTCTGCCAGCCACACCATGGTGTCTACAGGCACGTAGCTCAGCCTGACTGGACTTTGCTAACTTTCCAGTGATTCTGTGATGCCATTCTCCTGCCCAGATACTTTTCTCGGCCCCTACTGATGACCACGTCCAAACTAAAGTTGGCCTCTTCCTAACTTTCAGACTTCATGTCTTAGTGCTTCTGGACACAGCCTCTGTTCTGGGCATGCTGGCATTGCTGCTGGCCTGGGAACATGACCTGCTCATGCTCGCCCCTGCATTTCCAGTTGTGCTAGGTGCCCGTCCAGCTGGGTTTTCTCTCCCCCAAACCTGTATGAGTTCTACCAGTTCTTCAGTGCCTACATCATAGCCATCTTTTTCCATGAAGCATTTCTTGATTGCCCTGATCTGCATCAAGCCTTGTTTTTTTCTGCTGAGCCTCATTTCCTATGCCTGCTACATATTTAGTCTTTCCCACACACATTGACACCCAATTATCTTCTGCTCTGTAAGACTCATGGTTAGCACAGTTTTCAATTCATTACCTATAGACGGAGCCCAAGAAGTTCAAGGTCTCTTTCTCTAGATTACAAGTTACTTAAGGGCAGGGTCCATGTCTTACAATTCTTTCTTTTCTCTCCCTTCCTTTCCCTTCCTTCCTTCCTTCCTTCCTTCTTTCCTTCCTTCCTTCCTTCCTTCCTTCCTTCCTTCCTTCCTTCCTTCCTTCTTTCTTTTTCTTTCTTTCTTTCTTTCTTTCTTTCTTTCTTTCTTTCTTTCTTTCTTTCTTTCTTTCACAGACTCTCGCTCTATTATCCAGGCTGGAGTGCAGTGGCACCACCTCGGCTCACTGCAACCTCCACCTCCCGGGTTCTAAGCGATTCTCCTGCCTCAGGCTACAGAGTACCTGGGCTTATAGGCACATGCCACCATGCCTGGCCAATTTTTTTGTATTTTTAGTAGAGATGGGGTTTCACCATGTTGGCCAGGCTGGTCTCAAACTCCTGACCTCAGGTGATCTGCCCGCCTTGGCCTCCCAAAGTGCTGGGATTACAGGCGTGAGCTACCATGCCCGGCCTTTGTCTTACAATTCTTATATTTCCCCCATAAAGGCTAGACCGGAGGGGCTACCTGGCCGTGGTGTCTGCTCAATAGTCTGACACCAAATATCAAATGCATCCACACAGATTACACCAACTGTGTGCAAATCATTTTCCTGGTTCAGGAAAGGCTAGTGAGTACTCTAGTGCTGCTTGTCTCCTGCAATGTAGTGAATGGCACCTGGCACACCAGAGAGCTGAGAAAGCTGACCTCTTTTATTGAAACAATTGTTATGGAAAGATTTTCAAGACAGAAAACCTTGTAACGGAACACTTTTAACGTCATATAACCTTTCCCTGATGATTCAGAGGTATCATTCTGAATAATTACTGAACATTGCAGGACAAGGTTACAGCCTCAGAGTTGTCAGAGGCTGTCTGCCCCGCATTGCATGGCTTGGCGTGCTGGGCTTTGGAGTTCTTGGGCTGCTTTTCTTGCTTCCAGTGTCCACCTCCCTGTTAAACTATGCGTTGTCTTCTTATTGGTGTCTGCCTCTGGATGTGTGCCTTTCTCCCCCTTAAGACTTACTTCTGATCTCTTGGGAGCTAGAAGTTCTGGTGATCAAGTTTGATGTAATAAAAAGAAAATATTCGTAATGCTGGATGGCACATAAAGAGTTTTTCTATCTATAAGGCACTATTCTGAGAGCCTTTTGTATATTAACTCATATATTTAGCCCTCATGACAACCCTTTAAGGCAGGTGCTGTTGTTATTCCCATTTAGCAGATGAGGGAGCTGAGGCCCAGAGAGGCTTTCTACCTTTCTCAAAGTCACACAGCTAACAGTGGTGAAACCAGCATTTAGACCTGGGCAGTCTGGTTCTGGAGTGGAAGGTCATAACCACTAGCCTCTACTGTGTCTGATTACATCTGGTTATAAGCGGACTTTGGCTTTCAGCCATGGAGTTTTGACAGGCATTGTGTTCCAATCCATCTGAAGAGTGTGAAAATAAAATTAAGTCACAAAGCTTGTAAATTACCCACTTTAAAGAGACAAAGAAAGTTCAAGTTTAACCCTATAACATGATTCCTCCCAGTCACTTGCATCAAATAGCAACCTCCATCTTCTATGGAGGTAACAGAGGAAGAAATGCTGAGATCTACCAGTTTCACACAGGCCCAATCCATGAGCCTTCTGCAAGGCAACATTGCTTGAGGACTGAATAAGTCTAAAGTCTTTCACATATGCAAATGCACTGTGATTTACGAAATAATTTGTTTAAAGATCTTGTTAATTTCATGGGAAATTTCTTATCATTTTTTCAATGGATTGAACCTAAGATGTCATTACTATCATATAGGAAGACACTATATGATATATGAAGCCATTGACCTAGAATAAGAGTAAACAGGTTCTGAAAGAGTGTTGGGCTGTCTGGTGATCAGGCGTCTAAAGTGCATGAGTTTTGGCATGTGGACTTTGTAAAACCTACATGGCTGCTCAGAAGCTTTTTTTGACTTCATTTTAAGCTCCTTGCTGAGTGTGAAATAATTTTGCGCAAGTTATTCCCATGCAAGACATGTTCTCTCCTTAACGAAGCCAAGATCTGCAACATAAACAATTTGAAAACATTTCAAGATGCCAAGGATGGGCTAAGAACAACCACAGGAAGAGGACATAAAATGTTTCCAAATGAACGGCACAGACATGATCAGGTTTGGGAGAATCTTACTGATCTATAGACCTGTGGAAGATATACAGAGAGAAAGAAGCATAATGAGGAGCTAATATTCATTGATTCCACACATTTATTGAGCACCTACTATGTGCCAGGTACTTTACTAACACCAGGGAGAAAAGACATACATCTGTAAAAACATCAAACAAGTTACCACAATGTGTGGTTCTGTGCAGGACAGGTAATAGTATAAGCAAAAAGCAAGAACTCAGTTATAAAATTTCTTGGGTTCCCAGGGTATAAAGTCAACTAAGAATGGAAAAGAGAGAAAATGAGTCTTTGGTGGGACCAAGCTCTCTTCAATCCATCTCTTAGAGCATGTGAAAGTGCCTGGAAATGCACAATGGAGTGAGCTCCGACCCACTGGGGCCACGAGAGGCTGCCTCGGGTGTGGCCCACAAGCCTGCCCTTTGGAAGCAGAAAGACCTAGATTAGAATGAATGCTGATACCATCATCTTATTAGCTGAGAGCCATGATATTTTAATTCCTCTGAGCTTCCTCAGCTATTGAAAAAATAAAAGTATTTACGTATTTAGGGAGTGTTGTGAGAATTTCAGAAGAAAATGCATGTGCTTGATGTGCTATCTGACACACAGTAGTTGGTCAATACACAGGGTTTCTGTCCTCATCCTTTCCCTTCCTGTGCCTCTTCTATGGAAGGCCCACCTCCTTGCTCGGACA
Organism: Homo sapiens; assembly: GCF_000001405.40. NCBI lineage: Eukaryota > Metazoa > Chordata > Mammalia > Primates > Hominidae > Homo > Homo sapiens. The sequence continues at coordinate 47,862,650 of NC_000012.12, forward strand.
GCAGGAGCCTGGGCTTTTAGCTTTCTTCCTGTGGTTTTACAAATATTGAGACACTCAATTGTCTCTGGGATGCTATGCCTTGGGGACAAAACCCAGCCCAGATAAGAAATGTGCAGCTCTCCCAGGGTTCTGAGGCCGGGGGACTTCACACTGGTGAGGCCTCCTGAAGCTGGACTAACCTGAGGCTGGGAATGTCTCTTCCTGGACAGTCTTCCCTTCAGGAAAGTAAAAAGCATCAGGACGTTTCTATTTTAACTGGATCCCCGCTCCACCAGCCCATCTAGAACTGAGTACTGCTCCCTGCACTGGGATGAGGAGGGTGGTGTGGCGAGAAGCTACCTTGGGCATACAGCAGGATGGGGACACAGGACTCCACAGGAGAGAATTAGGCTGGGGTGGGCGTGGCTGAGGGATGGGGTGGACATCGCTTCTGGGCTGCTGGGTTCCCACCACGTGGTAGGGTGCTCCTGGGCAGGGCCCCCTGATTTACCCCAGGCTGGTGCTGCTCTTCACCATGGATGCAGCGCTGTTTATGGGGACCAGGAGGCAGGTAGGAGGGGACATGAAGTCTGATTCTAGTCCCAGCTTGGCCACCAACTTGCTTTCTGACCCCAGACCTGAGGTCTTTACCTCTCTGAGTCTCAGATGTTCTTTCTATTTTAAGTCAGTAAGACATCCTCTTCCTCCTGAGGTAGGAGAGGGGCCTCTTGGGCATCAGTGAGCTTAGTCCTGAGGGGAACTCCTGTGGCAGTGCCTTACGAACCACTGCAGTGGAACCTCGTGCCAGTCTTGGTTAGCTGGAGCTTTAGAAACCGGACTCCCTGCTTTGCAGAGGCTGTCTTCTCTGCGGAGATGGGACTGTGCTGAGCACACCTTGTTGGTGCCCACCCTAACGCCTCACCCTGAGCAGGGCCCACTGAGAATGTGTGTGAAGCCTCTTAAGGCACCCGGGCCTCCAGCCTCCACTTCTTATTCTCTCCAGGATAAACACAGGAGCCAGGGCGTGGCAGGGACTAGGGTAGGAGCGACCAGCGTGCCCAGGCCTGCACCCTGTGATGGTGTGGAGAAACCACAGCCCTGGAAACACCTTTCAGGGCTGCCAGTGTTGGCTGGGGAGCCGTCAGATCAGGAGGGAGGAGTCATGACCCACAGAAGAGAAGCCTAGGTCAAGGCCCAAAGAGGAAGCCCAGGGTCAGGGCCTCAGCTCTGCCTCTGTGTCCCAACAACAGATAATTTTTTTCCCATTAACGGAGAAATTTGCTATCCTCTAAGCCCTGTTCTGTGACTTATCCTCTGTCCCTGACACATCTTCCTGTTACCTGACCTCTCCCCATCCCCAACCACTCCAAACGGTCCCATAGCCAGGAGGGTCCGCATCTGAGCAACATCCCCACCCCGACTCCGACTCCGATTCCTCAGACCCACAGCTAGGAGGGCCTGGGTTCTGTCCTAGGGCCGGGTGGGGGTCTGGATGCAGATGGCAGACAGGAGTGAGCAAGAGAAGGAGAAAAAGGAATGAGTGTACAGAGAGCACCCATGCCCAGCTGGCCTTGCTCCAGCCCAGAGAGGGCCAGGCTGGCCCCTCCCAGCATCTACTGAATTCAATGCCTACTCTAGTTACCAAATAACTGTCCTAGAGCTCTGATGCAAAGTTCAAGTGTTGTTTTCAGTGATGGGTCAAAATATCCATGTAAATATGCCATGTTGGTCTTCTCCAACCCCAGAGAGGGACAGGAAGTCCTATAGAATCACTCCTCTTTCTCCATCTGGATTCAGAGGGTCGTCCTAGAACCCAGTGCTTCCCCTGGCAGACTCTTTCCTCCTGGTCTCTCCCTGGCACAAGCCCTCAGATCTGCTCAAGGCGCCAGAGAGGCTGGGAGGCTGGGGTGGGACAGAACGTGGATGCCAACTATGCTCTGAATACTAATTCTCCCCATCACTCCTGCCCTTCCTAACCCACATCAGCCCTCTCTTCCCAAGCCCATAGAACCTGGGGGTCCTTGAACCTCATTCTTCCCTCTAGGTCCGAGTAACAGGGAGCTGTGAAAAAAGAATGACATCCTGGAGGAAGACCCTGACCCAGGAGTAGAAGGGACTCTTGAAGGCAGTGTCCGGCCTCTCCTTCCTCTCAGGCCCCACTCTGGAGGGACCCTTCCAGGGCCTCTGACACCAACACACAGATCCTCAAGAGGTGCACAGGGCCGCTGAGTGCATCTGACCCTGGACTTCCAGCTGCCCTGTCACCAGCTGCTGGTCCCACTGAGGCCCTGGCCCCAGATGCTGGCAGCTACAGAGGAAGGGCAGGCAGACCCTCTGCCCAAACTTGCAGGAGAGTGGCCAAGGCCTTTCCCTGACTCCACTTCAGGCCCAAACCCTGCCCAGCCCCTGGACACTCACACTCCTTCATCATGCCGATGTCCACACAGCGTTTGAGCCGGCAGGCCTGGCAGTGGCGTCGGTTGTCCTTGGTGATGCGGCAGTCCCCGTTGAAGGGGCAGGTGAATAGTGCCTTCCGCTTCATGCTTCGCCTGCCGAGAGAGCACACACCCTGCCCTGGGTCACTGAACTTCCGGCTCCTCACCCTGTCATCACGGAGACCTGTCTTCTGGGCCCCCTGGTCTCCATTTCTCCAACAGAAGACATGAGGCCCACCCCAGCTGCCAGTCACTCTCACCTCTAGGCTGGGCACCAAACGATTCCTACTTCTCCTTTCATTGCCTGCCCAGCTCCAATCATGGCTTGTACTTACCTTTTTTCTTTTAATTTTTGTTTCTTTTGGGGGGACAGGGTGTTGCTTTGTAGCCCAGGCTGGAATGCAGTGGCATGATCTCAGCTCACTGCAGGCTGGACCTCCTGGGTTCAAGTAATCCTCCTGCTTCAGCCTCCAGTATAGCTGGGATTACAGGTGCATACCACCATGCCTGGCTAATTTTTTGATTTTTTTGTAAAAATGGGGTCTCACTATGTTGCCCAGGCTAGTCTGGAACTCCTGGGCTGAAGCAATCCTCTATCCTAGGCCTCCCACAGTGCTGGGATTACAGGTGTGAGCCACTGCACTCCGACTCTTTTTTTTTTTTTTTTTTGAGACGGAGTTTTGCTCTGTCACCCAGGCTGGAGTGCAGTGGCTCACTCAGCTCACTGCAAGCTCCACCTCCCGGGTTCACACCATTCTCCTGCCTCAGCCTCCAGAGTAGCTGGGACTACAGGCGCCCGCCACCACTCCTGGCTAATTTTTTTTTGTATTTTTAGTAGAAATGGGGTTTCACCGTGTTAGCCAGGATGGTCTCGATCTCCTGACCTCATGATCCGCCTGCCTTGGCCTCCCAAAGTGCTGGGATTACAGGCGTGAGCCATCGCGCACAGCCACGCCCCGACTCTTATACTTATTTTACAGTACTCTGTTCCCCTTCCCATTTTAAAAAATTAAACAGGAAATAACAAAAGTGCATTTCCCTAGAAAAAACCCTTTTTTTTTTGAGATGGAGTCTCGCTCTGTCGCCCAGGCTGGAGTGCAGTGTTGCGATCTCAGCTCACTGCAAGCTCCACCTCCTGGGTTCATGCCGTTCTCCTGCCTCAGCCTCCCGAGTAGCTGGGACTACAGGCGCCCACCACCGCACCCGGCTAATTCTTTGTATTTTCAGTAGAGACGGGGTTTCACTGTGGTCTCGATCTCCTGACCTCATGATCCGCCTGCCTCGGCCTCCCAAAGTGCTGGGATTACAGGCGTAAGCCACTGTGCCTGGCCGAAGAAACCTTTTTAAATATTGAAATCTCCAGAGTAGCCAGCATAATAACATTTAATGAGCCGCTATGAGAAGTAAGGATGCTAGTCTCAGCATGAAGTCTTCTAGATTCTAGAGACCTGTGACTGGAATAGCTCCTGTTCCAGGGATAGATGTGTACATGGAAGGAAGAAAAGGCCCAAACCATAGCTCTAGACATCCCAGAACCTGCCCAGAAAAAGAAGGGGCCAGACAAGCAGGTGGAAATCCTGAGGCCTGGCCTTGGGTTTTTTGAAAGGAAGAGGAAGCAGGAGCTCTGTAGGAACAGAAAACTAGAGCTGGGCACAGTGGCTCAGGCCTGTAATCCTAGCACTTTGAGAGGCTGAGGTGGGCGGATCATCTGAGGTAAGGAGTTTGAGACCAGCCTGGCCAACATGCCAAAACTCCGTCTCTACTAAAAATACAAAAATTAGTTGGCCATGATGGTGCATGCCTGTAGTCCCAGCTACTTGGGGGCTGGGAGCTGAGGCAGGAGAGTCGTTTGAACCCAGGAGGTAGAGGTTGCAGTAGGCCAAGATCATGCCACTGCACTCCAGCCTGGGCAACAGAGCAAGACCCTGTCTCAAAAAACAAAACAAAACAAAACAAAAAAAACCCAGAAAACTACTGAAGTGTTCTTAGCTAGAAAGGTGGCACCCTTGAGGCTGGGTGTGGTGGCTCAGGCCTGTAATCCCAGCACTTTGAGAGGCCGAGGTGGGTGGATCATGAGGTCAGGAGTTTGAGACCAGCCTGACCAACATAGTGAAACCCCATCTCTACTAAAAATACAAAAATTAGCCGGGCACGGTGGCACATGCCTATAGTCCCCGCTACTCGGGAGGCTGAGGCAGGAGAATCACTTGAACTTGGGAGACGGCCGTTTCACTGAGCCGAGATTGTGCCACTGCATTCTAGCCTAGGCAACAGAATGAGACTCTGTCTCAAAAAAAAAAGAAAGAAAAGAAAAAGAAAAGTGGCACCCTTGTAGCCTATGTAAGTTGTGTGTGTGTGTGTGTGTGTGCACAAGTGTGCACATTTAAGGGCTCATTTTCCTAATTCGAACATTCTCTCCCACTGCCAGCCACACCACGTGGACTTTGGGAGGCTGCATAAAGGACACCTCCCTGAGGCACCTCCCTAGAGGCTTTTCATCATCCATGTCCTGAGAGTCCTGTCCTCCTCCCAGCCCCAGCAGGAGTAGGCCCCACTTTTCTGACATAGTTAGATGGGGAAAGATGGTGGCAGAATCACTGTCTGCATGAGCAGCAGCATCTTCCAAGGAACTGCTGAGTGTGAAGATGCCCAAGCCTTCCAAGCCAAAGCCCAGGCCCAACCATTTCCTTCCTGGAGATGAGCTACTGACGTCATCTGCTCAGGGGCCAGGCATTAGTTAGGATTCTTGGTAAAACATGACTCACTGTTCACATTCACTAGAACATACATGGGGTTGAGGGGAATCGCACTCATCAATTGTCAAGCTTGCTCTAGCAAATGGACAGCTGGGGACCACACCGACTCAGCCCCTGGGATAGAGAAGAGACCAGAGTAGGGCTCTACTGGCAGTCCCAGGCAGGCCCAGACTCTTAGATCCACAGAGGGCCCAAGAGACCGTCAGTGTAACTCCCTCCCTTTATACGTGGGACCACTGAGGTTAAGAAACTTACAGGTGAGGATATTCAGCAAGAAGTGCAGGCTCCTAGGTCTGGAAGTCTTAGGGATCTAAGGCTTAGCCTTTAGCTTCCTGGATTGTTTTCAACCCCAGAAACTTAAAGTGCTCAGTGAAGTTGATGCCCCAAACAGCCCCAGGTGGCTCAATGCCAAGAATGACCCAACAGTCAAGGAAGCAGCTGCTGTTGGTTTTGGACCTTGGCTCTGGTACCCTGCTGTGACAACCCTCATCACCCAAGGGGCCTACTGCAGAGCCAGGGTTGTCAGGAGGTGGAGCAGCACCAGGCTATCAGGGGCTCCTTAGCTCCAAGTCTAGCCCGCCTCAGGCCCAGTCCTAACCCTGCAGTAGCTAACAAGAAAGAAGTTATACGCCAGGCTTTTTTCCATCTTCGTAGAAACAAAAAGCCTTTTGCCGTTCACCTCTATTTGTTTACTGCTGCTTTTCTGGAGGGACAAGAGAATATGGAAGCATCTTGGGAACTGTTAGGGTTCCCCAGAAACGAGATACAATTATCCCCACAGGGACATCTGTATGTTCCAGGACATGAGATTGGTGTCCCTCCCACCAACCTTGTGGTTCTTGAGGCTTCATCCGTCACCACAAATGCTCAGGCCTCAGAATGCCCGTAATTCTCTAAACTTACTCAAGGACCAGAAGTTTCTATTTCAGAAGAAACTCTCATTTCCTTTTTTTTTTTTTTGTTTTTCAACAACCGGGCATTTCGCTCTGGTCACTGAGGGGCTGCTCTGTCCTCCCACTGGCTGTCTTGTCTGGCTCAGAGCTCTTCCTGTTAAGCCTGCAAGGCCATGGGCACCAAGAAGACAGCACATCGTCAGCCTAGCCCAGCCACCACCTACAGTGATGTGAGCCAAAGCCTCTCACCAGACTGGGCCCGGGACTGAGAGCTTCTTGAGGCCCCAGGGCCTATCAGAGGCCCCGTCTGTCCTTCCCCAGGCTCCAGGGAGCCTGCCTTTGACCCTCACTTGGGGGCAGCCCCCCCAGCTGCAGGGTTGCCTGAAAAGAGATTCCACTGCTTCGCCATCTTTCTCTCATTTTTCTCATGTCACTTTAAATATGAAGCTCCATCTCAGATGTCTATACGCAGGAGGGTTGGAGATTGCCACTCAGCCCCACTTTGCCTGACAACAGGAATGAGGCTAGGAATAGGAAGAGAAGGCCGGGCGCGGTGGCTCACACCTGTAATCCCAGCACTTTGGGAGGCCGAGACAGGCGGATCGCGAGGTCAGGAGATCGAGACCATTGTGGCTAACACGGTGAAACCCCATCTCTACTAAAAATGCAAAACATTAGCCGGGCGTGTTGGCGGGCGCCTGTAGTCCCAGCTACTCGGGAGGCTGAGGCAGGAGAATGGCGTGAACCCGGGAGGTGGAGCTTGCAGTGAGCTGAGATCGTGCCACTACACTTCAGCCTGGGGGACAGAGCGAGACTCCATCTCAAAAAAAAAAAAAAAAAAAAAAAAGGAATAGGAAGAGAAAATAGTGCAGAGCTGAATTAAGAGAAAGTACTGGGACTGGGTGCAGTGGCGTGAGCACGCCTGTAAGCCCAGCACTTTGGGAGGCTGAGGTGGGCAGATAGCTTAGGCTCAGGAGTTTGAGACCAACCTGGCCAACATGGTGAAACCCTGTATCTACAAAAGATTAAAAAAAATTAGCCAGGCATGGTGGCATGCGCCTGTGGTCTCAGCTACTTGGGAGGCTAAGGTGGAAGGATCGCTTGAGCTGGTGAGGTCAAGGCTGCAGTGAACCAAGATTGTGCCACTGCACTTCAGTGTGGGTGACAAAGTGAGATCCTGTCTCTAGAAATAAAAAATAAAAGAGAAAGTACTGGGGGTAAAAAAAAAGTTTGGCGCCCTTGCTTCTGCTTAAGAGTTGTCATATGAAGCCCGAGAACACTGAAAAGGAAGAGGACACCATTACGCTCTGGAGCGTGGGGTCAGTGTTCAGGGTATAGAAAGTTTGCTCCCCAGCTCCAACTGCCAGACCCAGAGGCTCTCTGGAACTCAGATCCCAGAGCTGGCCTTTCAGGTGTGTCTGGCCCAACATGTCTGTTTGCTGGGCCACAGATCCTCTTGGCTCAGAGGTCCTGTTCTTCCCTGTTCTCCTGCCTTCCAAGGGCACTTCCACATGTGTGGCTGTCATTTACTCTCTGCCCACGAGGAGTCAGGGCAGCCAGACTGCCCAACCCTGGCTCTGTGCTTTGTCCTGAAGGTCTACACCCTACCCTGCCTTCCTCCCAATACTAATTGCCTGTGAGCTGGTTTGGATTTGAGAAACAAGAGCTTCAGGTTTCCATGAGAGCCCATTGCCTCAGCTGCTCTCTGAGCCTGGACCCTGTCATCCTCTGGTTGGTTGGCATTTATACCCCAGCTCAGGAAGGGGGGGTAGGGGTGGGGCAACCAAGCTAAATATAGATGCAGTTTCTAGAAAGCCAGGGGTGAGAGAGGACATTGACCGATTCTCATGCCAGAGACCAGTTTATCAAAACAGAAAGAGACAAAAACCTCACAAAAGCATCAAGAGCCTGGGGCCAGGGCCTCAGGCCTGGGACAGTTGGGCCTTTCTCCAGTAGGTGGCCTCTGCCAGCAGAGACGCACGTTGCATAACCCAGGCGTAGGGTCAACTATCCCCTCTGGGCTCCATCTCCACTGCACTGTCACAGAGATTCCAGCGTCTGCTCAGGATACAGGAACTAGCGAGAGCTCCTGATCTGAAAGCTATGTGAGGTGCTGGGAATGCTTACTAGTTTGATTATGGTGATCATTTCACAATGTATATGTATAGCAGAACATCGAGTTGTGCACCTGAAATATAGACCATGTCTATCTGTCAATTATACCCCAGCAAATCTAAAGGAATAAAAAGACCTACATCAAATGATGTAGGGGCCTACATGTATGTGAGAGGCAGCATCAGGGGGTTCTCCTCAGGTGGGTTTAAAAAAACATTAAAGGATGGTTAGCACTGTAGAAAAGAGCACAGACTTTTTTTTTTGGAGGGCAATTGGCAATGCGAAGCATGTTAAACACACAGACATTTTAACGCAGTAAAGCCACTTCCAGGTATTTATCCTGTGGGTAGATCGGTCCATGGGCGCAATGGTGGTTACTGCAGCTCTGTCTGGAGAAGCCAAAGACCGAACCTAAATGACCATGACAGAGGACTGGTTTCTTTCTTTTCTCTTTCTTTCTCTTTCTCTTTCTTTCTTTCTTTCTTTCTTTCTTTCTTTCTTTCTTTCTTTCTTTCTTTCTTTCTTTCTTTCCTTTCTCTCTCTCTCTCTCTTCCTTCCTTCCTTCCTCTCTTTCTCTCTTTCTATCTGTCTGTCTATCTGTCTTTCCTTCCTTCCTTCCTTCTTTTCTCTCTTTCTTTCTTTTTTTTTTTTTTCTGGATGGAATTTCACTCTGTCACCCACGCTGGAGTGCAGCAGCACGATCTGGGCTCACTGCAACCTCTGGCTCCCAGGTTCAATCGATTCTCTTGCTTCAGCCTCCCGAGTAGCTGGAATTACAGGCATGTGCCACCACGCCTGGCCAATTTTTTGTATTTTCAATAGAGATGGGGTTTCACCATGTTGGCCAGACTGGTCTCGAACTCCTGACCTCAAATGATCCACCCACCTTGGCCTCCCAAAGTGCTGGGATTACAGGCATGAGCCACCGTGCCCAGCCAGGCACTGGTTTCTTATCTCACAGAACCTCCATATAATACTCTGTGACTATGAAAAAGAAAGAGGAAGAATGCTGAAATGGGAATGAGCTTGAAGAAGTGTTCTTTAGCAGATAAAACCAAGATGCAGAATGGTGACGTGTGTGCACACACACATACACACACACACATATGCACTTTTACATAAAGAATCTGGAAGCGAACACGATGAGCTGGCAACAGTGACAGCTTCCTGGAGGAGGTAGGGAACTAAGAATTGGGTTGAATAGGTGATTTACTTTTCACTTACATATCCTCTTAAACTGTTGGCTTTTTAAAAAGCCATATTATGACGTTACATTTAAAAAATCCACTACCCACTACAACTACCTAAACATTAAAAATGAAATGCAGTCTTTGGTTAGATCGATATGTTTGAGTTTAAATCTTAAAGCACAACCTTGGGCAAGTTACTTAACCTTCCCATCCATTAGTTTCCACATCTGTAAAATGGGAGCAACATTTCAGAGAGGGTTGTAAGAACTAAATAAAGGAAAAGGGAACAGGACCTGGACAAAGGAAACCCTAAATAAAGGGAAAGAAGAGAAACTAGCAGAAAGAGGCAGTGGGAGGGAGTGCTGAGAGTGGGTGAAAGTAGATTTTAAAGTAGATTTTAAACATCTCATTAAGAATTTGAGACCCCTGAAGCAGACACCATGTCTTAGGCCTGCTCTCTGGGTGCCTAGCATGGGAGCCTGCAGGCAGCAGAGTTTGAAACCATATTTCTGTTTCATGTGCTGTAGCTCCTGATGTCTAGAGCCACAGCCCCTGTGCTAGTTACAGCAACCACTGTCCAGTTCTGTTGAGCACCAGCCAGTTCTACCCAGCCTTTGACCGACATGAAGCTCTCTCAGAGCCCCTGGCCCAGCCCTTCCCTCTTCATACCTGATATTTAACTCCTTCTGTTTAGGAACCTCTTTTCAGAGACCACTGCCAACACATCACATAGTTATACTTTCCAAGTTCCATGGTAGAGAAAAGGAAGAAAGGACCATCTGTCCTCAAAACTAAGACACTAAAAAGGGATAATGATACTAGCTATCACCACTGGAAGCTTTCTAGGTCAGTATTTTACATACTATCTCCAATGCTCTCGACAACCTTTGGGTAGATATTATCCCTGTTTTACAAGTGACACAAAAAGGCACGGGAAAGTTAAATAACTTGCTTTAAGTCACAGCTAGCAAGTCTGAAAGCTGGAATTAGAATCAAGAACTGTTTGACTCCAAGGAATCTGACTGATATGGTTTGGCTCTGTGTCCCCACCCAAATCCCATCTCGAATTGTAATCCCCATGTGTCGAAGGAGGGGCCTGGTGGGACATGATTGGATCATGGGGACAGATTTCCCCCTTGCTGTTCTTGTGATACTGAGTGAGTTCTCACAAGATCTGATGTTTTTAAAGTGTGGCGCTTCCCCCTTCACTTGCTCTCTGTCTCTCCTGCTGCCATGTAAGACAGGCCTTGCTTCCCCTTTACCTTCCGCCATGATTGTAAGTTTCTGAGGCCTCCCCATCCATGCAGAACCATGAGTCAATTAAACCTGTTTTCTTTTTTTTTTTTTTTTTTTTTTTTTTTTTGAGACGGAGTCTCGCTGTCGCCCACGCTGGAGTGCAGTGGCGCAATCTCGGCTCACTGCAGCCTCCGCCCCCTGGGGTTCACGCCATTCTCCTGCCTCAGCCTCCCGAGTAGCTGGGACTACAGGCGCCCGCCACCTCGCCCGGCTAATTTTTTGTATTTTTAGTAGAGACGGGGTTTCACCGTGTTAGCCAGGATGGTCTCGATCTCCTGACCTCGTGATCCGCCCGCCTCGGCCTCCCAAAGTGCTGGGATTACAGGCGTGAGCCACCGCGCCCGGCCACCTGTTTTCTTTATAAATTACTCAGTCTTGGGTAGTTCTTTATAGCAGTGTGAATATGGACTAATACACTGATCTTCATATATACTATGGTTCTCATCAGGAATGTACCATCTCTCAATCCAAGCTAGAGCAGCAGTCAAAAACATGCTTTCCCAAAGTCCAGGAGCATGAAGCAGAGGCTGTTTGAAGGACTCCTCTAGGACAAATCCCTCTAGGGATTCAGGCAGTCTCTAGAAGGATGCTTTGGAAGTGTGGGGTCACATCTGACCATGCTCTCCACTGGCCCTGTATAACCCAAGCACAGGGAAGATCTCAAGTGTGTGCTGAGTGCAAAGTCATGCAAATGAGCCCTGATTAGAGTGCTGAATTTCAAAAGAAATAAAAGAATGACAAAAAGGTAATGTAAAATCCTATCCTTGCAGCTGTCTTTCTTGATAGCTTCAGTGACCTTCCCTCTCCAAATATTTTGGCCTCCTCTACCCAAGCTTCTGAACATTACTCTTGGAACATCCATAGATAACCCCACTCATTCTCTTTCATTCACATCCTTGAATATCTGTGAATGGAGGTCAGCTGCCAAAGTGGACCTGGACAAAGTCTCTCCAGCAACACTGACTTCTTGGTCACTCATTTACTTGTGCCCATAGAATACCCTGTGTGGCTGTTCCTCCCTTTTTTCTCTATTTTCTCTCCTTTAAGCAGTTTAGGTTTTAAATTCCTGGACATCTGCCCTATTTCTCTGCTTCCTTTCACATCAGGTTGCTAGAAGAGCTACAAATATCAGTGGGGTGACCTTCCTGAATGCCAGAACATTCCTCATCTTCCTGGATCCTCGCCAGCCTACCTTTTGCCCCCTGCACTCCGCATGACCCATAATTAACAAAGTCCTCAAGAACCTTGGAGCTAGGAAGCGAAAACGCACTTCTCTGCACTGTCTTTGTTAGCTTGTAGCTGCACAGAGTCCTTATTTAAGCATCCCAACAGGGAGGAAGAAGACAAGATAAGCAGGCAAACGATGACCTGTTTCTCATCTTGCCTTCCAGGATCAGCTCTTAAACCTCACCATCCACCTTCATTCTCTTCATCAAAGGGGTTCCTCTGATTTTCTTCTCTGTCCATTACACCTTTTCCTTTATATCAGACTCCGGACGAAGCCATCCATGACCATATGCATCCACATGCATATACATATATGGATCATCCACTATATATGTCATTTGGAATAGACCTATTCCAAATGTTTTTCCTCCTCTGGCTCTTACTTATGCTTTAGTTGTTAACATATAGCCAAGAGGTGTCTGGCCATCTATAAGCCTGCCTGTGCCAACCTTATATTCACACTGGAAATATCATCTTTCTCTGAGGATGTCCCTGTATTCCAGAATAACAGGAAGCACAAGCAACATGAAATAGCTTGCAGGAGGAATTGACCAGCAATGGCCTCTAATGCCTGATCATAGATCAATAGAACTGTGATCCCTCTCTAACCTTCTAACCATCATCACACTTCAGCTAGATTATGAGTCTTAGACTCGTTTTGATGATAACAACTAGCTCCTAGAGCAGTTTAGTTAACTATCTTAGAAGCCAAACCAAATACTAAATGGTCAAATGGGATTGGATTACTGGTCTCCAGGGCTTGGAAAAGAGCTAGTGACCCAATATTCAAGCAATGCTGTCTGTCAATAACTATCAGGAAATGGTCAAGCAAGCTTCTTGAGAGCAAGGACTTGGTTCCTGTCATCTCTGTGTTCCCAAGGATGCAAGGATGCAGTACCCACCACAGAGAAGGTACAGACCACTGACATTGTCCTTGCTTCCTGGGATCAGAGTTTCACAAACAGATATGAGTGACCACAGGGTTCTCAAGCAACTATTTGGACCAGATCAAAATGGAAAACTTCCAAATAAAATTTGGATGAAGCAAAGAAGGAGAAGCAGGCATCAGGGGTGGAAGAAGAGGAGAAATGATGTATGTATAGCTGATTCTCATTATTCATGGTAGTTATGGTCTATAGTCACTGTGGACACTGGATTAGTGAATATTGAAACACTGTTCCTGGAGGAAACACAGGGTGAGGTTTCTGCAAGCCTCTGGTCACAAAATTTTCATCAACTGATCAACACATAACCTTGTCTTATGTGAGTTTTCTGTTTAAAGATATCTTATTCAATAGATATTGTTGGTTGAGTTATTAACATTGATCAAACAGCCAGCAGCACTGTTGTCCTCAGGAAGCTTGTCTAACACACATAGTTTCCCTGTGAGGCACATCACGGCCTTGCACTTAGGAACACCAGACAGCAGTGCAGCACTACGCTTGGGAACTGTTTTAAACAGCAAAGTCACCAATAAAAATCAAAAAAAGGCAAAAAATGTAGCACTAAATAGATTGTGAAGACCCTGGCTGGGAAGATAGGTGCCAAGTCATGTGAATTTTTCACTGCTCTGCACATGTTCACAAATGACCACAAAGGGGCTGCAAGTATTGATTTTGGTAAATTTTAGCAAGTGGGCAGATTTGCAAATACAGAATCCATGAATAATGAAGGTTGACTGTGTGTGTGTGTGTGTGTGCATGTGTGTGTTTGTTTATGTACATATCAAACAAAATTCAGAACCTTGCAGCTGTCTTTCTTGACAGCTTCAGTGACCTTCCCTCAAGTTTCTGAACATTACTCTTGAACAATCCATAGATAACCCCACTCATTCTCTTTCATCCACATCCTCAAGCAAATGACAGACATGTTGGCTCTTTAGAATGTAGCAGCCTAGCTTAGTCATCAAGACAGAGACAGTAAAGATCTAAGTAAGGTAGACTGAGGACAGGGTAACAAGACAAAACCAGCCTGCAGCCCATAGTGCCAGGCATTGCAGGCAGTGGTTGTGACCAACAGCCAGCAACAGACTCTAAGGGCTCTTGTCAAGGTGGACTAAGAGTGGGTTAAGGTGGCATCATGTGCCCACAAGCAACACAGCCACTCTGTCAGTCTGTGGTGACACAGATTACAAACATACCATCCTTGTTCATTCTGCCATCTTTCACACTCAGCCTGGGGCATGACAGGACCTGTCCTCTCTCCACCCAGATGCCTCACATGCTCCTGTCCTGAGGATTCCCAGCCTAGTGGTGTGTCCAAGGGCAGCAACTACAGATGCATAGCAGTCAGAGCCACTCCAGTGAGGAACTGGCCTCCAATGTGTCACCACCCAACCAGCTGCCACCTAAGATTCTCATTTCCCAGAGCTGAATCTCAGGGGGGAGGAGGCCTAGGAGGAGAGAGTGGATTTGGGGGTAGAGACTCCATAACCAAATGCTTTGGTTGCAGACTGACAAGATATGACCTTCGGTGAGAATCTCCATATTGACAACTCCTAGCCCAATGCCAGATTATAAATGCAGATTGAAGTCTGGTGACGGAATGAGTGAAAGAAACACAAGGCCAGACATGGTGGCTCATGCCTATAATCCTAGAACTTTGGGAGGCCAAGATGGAAGGATCGCTTGAGCCCAGGAGTTTGAGACCAGCCTGGGCAACATAAGGAGGCCCCATCACTACAAAAAAATCACACAAACACACACACACACGAGGAAAGTGGCTGGCTGGCTGGCTGCGAGGCTTTTGTTTATTTTATGAGAGCATGGTTCCATGAAGGGCAGCAGTGGTGACCCATCAGGCTCAAAAATCTCAGCTTTTTTCATCAGACTGAAAAAGTGTTTTTCAAAGCACTTTTTTACATGTCATCTCATTAATCCTCAGATTAACACTATGTAGCAGAGGGGGTGGATATCAATACATGCATGCCATTAGTTGAGTTAACTAAAACCTAGATATGTCAAGGACATCCATTTGAGCAAGGACATCCCATAAATTATTGCCATGGCCAGCACCCCAGACCATGCCTTTCTGATGGGTTTCATGGTAGTAAGCAGGCGCTGAGGTGTGCGTTAGATTCCCCTCTCATTAGCACTCAAGGCAGCCCCCCAAGTTAGAGGACCTGGCAGGAAAGGGTCCATGTGTCACCTGGGACACACAACTGGGGCTCTAGAAGGCCCACCCTGCAGGATGTGTGGACCTCAGGCCCAAGGATTGGCAAATGCAGCAACACGACTTAGAGCCAGCGATGCTGCTTGTCTGGTTCCCCGAGCTGGAGAGTAGGCTGCCGGGAAGCCAAGCGGGCAGCCAGTGCCAGGCCAAACAGGCAATTAGCACCCACAGAAACCCCACTGCCCAGCAATTGCTCAAGGCCATGAAACTCTGGGCCTGCTGATTCCTGAGGCAGAGGGCAGGTGAATCAGGAGCTTGTGTTGACAGAGAGACCCCAAGTCCTTGAGTAAGAGTCCCACACAAGCGCCTGGACTTGAATTCACTGTGCCCCCAAGGCGAGGAGAGCACTCCGGTTTAGACAACAACCAAGCCGACCTCAGCATCCTCCTCTGGACTTGATTTGTGCTTTCCTCATTTGATGGTTAGAGCCCTGCCATAGCCACCTCCAGTCTAGACCGCTAGACAGAAGATCTGTTTTGGCTGCCTTCTTTCAGGCTATTCTCTCTCTCTCTCTCCAATACATGCCAAATGCTAATTTCTCATGATTCCCAGTTCCTGCCCCAATTCATCCCTTTCCCACGCTCCCACCCTGGCTTTGAATGGGAACCTCCAGTGCTTTTCCCACACCTTTCACATCTGTAATCCTGGGCTCATGTAAGGGGAGTGTGTTGGTAAAGAAACTGGCCCTGATCAAACAGGAATGCAGGTACATTCCTGACACTGCCTGGATGTTCCAAGGTTGGCTTTCAGACCAGGACAAACAGTCCTTGGGTGAAGATATGGGTACAGATCGTGATGACCCGACAAGAGGTGCCATTTCCCTTGTTCCAAGGAACAGTTTGGATTGGATGGGAAGGCAAGCTCTGAAACCAAGTTCTTGGGCTTTCCCCAAAGACATGCCTGTCTCTTGGGTGAGGAAGCTGTGATCATCAACAGGGAGGAGGTTCACTCTGGAAGGATGGACACGTGGGTTGGTGTAGGAGGCTGTGGGTTACAGGCGTAATGGAAAGACAGAGACCCACACAGCAACCTCAGGAAAGCGATTTCCAAGAGAGTCAGAGGAACATCTGGAGCTGAGAGGAGGGAAAAGAAGATACCACTCACCAAGACCCTCCTGCTCCTGTGGCTGTGAGCGCCGCATGTTCCATGGACATTGTAAGGAAGGAGATGTGAAAAATGCAAGGGCTCCCTTCATGGAAACACCTTGCTTCTTCTCCCTCCCTTTCCACTGGGGAGAGCCTGGGAGGAGGGCTCACCTGAAGAAGCCTTTGCAGCCTTCACAGGTCATAGCATTGAAGTGAAAGCCAGTGGCTCGGTCTCCACACACCCCACAGATCCGGGGCACGTTCCGGTCAAAGTCTCCAGGGTCAGGCAGGGAAGTGCTGGCCGCCATTGCCTCCATCCCTGTAAGAACAGCAAGCAGGCCACGGTCAGAGCCAGAGTCAGTGCCAGGGCCAGCTGGCATCCTTGGTGCCACCCACCCCCAGCCTCATCCCACCGCCCCCACCCCCCACCACCAGGGAGCTCAGCAAGGGTGGGCATCTCCCCAGGGCCCAGGCCTGAGCACAGTGCCTTCGGAGCCCTCATACATGATTCGCCCTACATAGCTGGCTCAGAGCATGGCTTGGAATCAGCTGCCTGGTTTCAGATGTTGCATCTGTCAGGTTAATTTGGGTTTAGTGGTTCACCTCTGCATGCCCCCGCTGTCTGCATTGGAAGAGGTGTTTTACTTCCAGGGTGTAAGGATCATATGCATGAACCCATTCATGCTACTGGCACTAGCTCTGCCTCAGGCACAGACCTGAACCAGGTCAGGGGCTTCTATCCTGCCCAACGCCCCCTCCAAGGGAAAATGAGAGTCCTCCCTCAGCCTCAGCACCTACATGTGGAGAGAAACCCTCAGGTCTCCTCCTCTTGAGGGTGGGGGGAATTGAGGATTTAGGTGCCCTGGTCATTCCAGCCCCAGCTCCTCACAACCATAAAGCTCAGGGCTAATAGGCTTATGCCCCTGGTGTTCCTGTACCAAGACAATCAACATTTCAAGATATTTCCCCCCCCTTTTTTTGGCAATAACACTTAAAACATTATTTTGAATGTCCTTCTGAGTCATGTGAGTCCTATACAATTAATTGTGTTTTCAGAGATGGTTTTTCTAAACAGGCATTATCATCTAGAGATGGATTTCATACTTGAGGAAAAGGAGAAGAGACAGACGGAACGAAAGCCCACAGCTTTGGGAAGGCCTTCTCAGGAAGCAGCTGGCTTGACTCTTTCATTAGCCAAAACTGGGCCCCCAGCTTTGTCTGCTGCGTCTGATCCCGTCTACTGTCAGGCTCAGAGATGATTCTGGGATACCTCAGACTGCCCTGAAATGCTTTCAGACCCTACTGCCTCCCAGTTCTCCCAATTTTATCTGAATCCTCAAAAGGGTCATTACAGGTTTCAGTGACCCCTTTGACCCTAGGCAAAGGGTCCTTCTTGTCAGAAGAAAAATAAGAGAGAAAGCCAGGAAACAAGAGACAAGAACCCACTCCACCCCAGGGTACCATTTCCTCCTGCCCTTGGGTGACAGAGGCAGATTCTGGGGGCCCTTGGGAGGCTCTGAGCTACTTTTCAATGACTAGGCCCATGATCTCTGATCTAGGGTGTGGAATATCAAAGCTCATTAAGTCTTATTTCACCTTCATACCACTTCATGGTGTAGATGCTATTATCATCATCCCCTTTACAAATGAGGCCCAGAGAGGCCCAAACCTTAAGATATGTCTAGAAACCACTACTGCCAAATGAATAAAACAAATACTTTCTAAAAATTCCCCAAAGAGCTTCACACCAAGGGAAAGAAGTGGTGCAGATAAGCAAGAATATGTTATCATCAGTCCCAAAGGGACAGAGGGAATCCCGGTCACAGACCTCGGAGATTCCCTAACCTCATTTAGCTTTTCTTTTCCTGGAAACCTTAATGTATTAGGTTGGTGCAAAAGTAATTGTGGTTTTGGCCATCAAAAATAATGGCAAAGATCGCAATTACTTTTGAACTATCCTAATAGTAATAGTGACACTATTGCTAATTTCTTTCACAGCTAGATTTATACTTGCTAAACTCTAATGTATATATAATATATACATTAAATATATAAATACATATTAATATATATTATATATTAATATATATTAAATATATAAATACATATTTAATGTATATATTAAATTTTAGCAGCTACATATACATTAAAGTTTAGCAAGTATAAATATATACCTATATATAAAGAGAGAAGCACTTTCAGAAAGAGAACAAAGATCATTGCAGCGATAGCAAAGACACAGAATCAACCCAGGTGCCCATCAACTCTGGACTAGATAAAGAAAATACAGTATATGTGTGTGTGTGTGTATATATATATATATACACACACATATACTGTCCTTTTTACACACGTATACTGTCCTTTTTACACACATACACTGTCCTTTTTCCTTTGCAGCAACATGGATACAGCTGGAGACCATTATCCTAAGGAAACAAAGCCAGAAACAGAAAACAAAATAGCACATGTTCTCACTTATAAGTGGGAACTAAACATCATGTACATATGGACATAAAGATGAGAACAATGGACACTGGGAATACAAGTGGACAGGGGCAGGGGCTGAAAAACAACCTATTGAGTACTATGCTCGCTACCTGGGAGACAATTCATTCATACTCAAAACCTCAGTATCTTGCAATATACCTTTGTAACAAACCTGCACAGGTACCCCCTGAACCTATAAGAAAAGTTCAGAAAAAAAGAACAAAGGAATGATTAACAGAAACCTTTGGAGAGATGAGATCGGGGAGGGGTGTGCATTATATAGTAGCAGTATTCTATTTTTTGAGTAGTGAGCATATGGTATCTTCTTCTTATTATTATTAGCAAAACACTACATCTATGTTTTGTATATCTGTGTTTGCATGCCCTTCTGAATATACAAAACGTTTCATAATTTAAAAAACAATTAAAAATAGAAAAAGTGCTTGTGGATCTATCAACATTGTCCCCAAAGACCATCCCAAGTCCAAGCTGATGCCTGCAGGTTTTAGAACATAGCACACATTCAAGATGTGGCCAGCATCCCGGAGGCCCAATATCATTGTGGGGTAATAGGGGAAACTGTCCAGGATGCTTGTGGCTTAACCCTGGGTCAGCTGAGATGCTGCAGCTCCGAGTCATCGTGGTGTTGCTACAGAGTCTGGGTCATCCAGGCTCCCAAGTATCCGGTGGATTTCGTGGAAAACAGAGAAATCAAATGGGGGGTAGGAAGGAATATCTGTTAAATCAGTCAACACATGTTCAGCATCACATGGACTCATTTGGAGATGCTATGATGCAAGCGAGTGGAACAACATACTACCACAGCACAGCAACGGGGCAGTCCTGCAATGGGGTGGGGTGCTGCCTTGACATCAGGAAGTCTCTATGCTGGGGGTGAAGGCTGGAAAGGCTGGATCAAGCAGCCAGAGGCCCACAGTGAATGAGACCATTTCAGGGGAGCTGACAGAAGACCCAACCCTGCTTGAGGTTATTTGCTGCTATCAAGAAGCCAGCGCCCAGGACCAGAGTCCACATGTGGAGATGTCCAAGCCTCTGTGGCTTGAGAGCTGAAAGTCCCAGGAATGACAGGCAGAGACTAAAGAAGGCAGCAAAGAGAAAGAGGAGATGGGGGCTGGATAGGAAACATCAGACGCACAGGAGAGCCCAGCCAGGGTCGTGGCTGGAGCCAGCAAGCCCCATCTCCTGAGCCCTTCTCTGAACTCCCACCCGCACCCCACACACTCATGCATCTCAGTTGCAGACTCTGCTGGCCCGGGACCCACCTTGCAAAATCCTGGGTGGTATCCCTTCCTTCCCCTGCCCACCACCTTCTTATGCCCCTCCCCCCCACCCCGCCCCTTGAAAACAGAAAGCCAGGGAAGTTGCGGCTGATGAGGAAACACCTACCTGAAGGAGCAGGGGGCAGGTAAGTGGAGCCCAGGGGTGCTCTTCTGTGAGGTCTCACAGACACTTCAGACCCAAAGGCTTCTGAAATGAAGAAGGGGAAACCTTTTATCTAAGGCGGAGCGCTGACCGCCTCCCCAGTCTCTAAGGAAGTGGGCACGAGAGGCTCTTTCCAGGGACTTTAGTCCCCAGATCAGTGACTGCAAACAGAAGTGGCTTGTTGGGAGCAGGCATGCCATGTCATCGCTGGCAGGGGTGTGGGGGTGGCGGCTGGGCAGCAGCCAGGATGGCCCTCCCTCGAGGCAGGGAGTAGCAGGAGCAGTGGGAAGCGGTGGCGGCAACCAGCCCCAGGCAGAAGGAAACAGCCTCCCGCCTAGGCACTCCTTCTCCTCTCACAGCCCAGGGTGTCAGGAGGGAGGAAGGGCCTTTTCGTTAGGGAGACCCACACTCTCACTACCCCCTCCATCTCCAGATTGTAGGCAGCTCAGGAAGCAGAGCAACTGGGCCATGTGTCCTGCTGCTAAGAGCGGGAAGACGGCTGCCCCAGGCAGGGCAGAGGAGGTGCCGCACAGGAGCTGGGAATGGGGCAGGCTTGGATGGCAGCCCACAGCCTTGGCCTCTTGGGACAGCTTCAAAGGCAGGTGTCTGAGATCTCCTGTCTGTGGAGACCGGGTGTAGGCGGAGCAGGTGTTGCAGGGGTTAAATACAGCAAAGCATTGCTTTCAAACAGGATGTTTTCTGCCACTTTTAGCTCTTCCCCAGACATGCTCAACACCCCCAGCTGCAGTAGGGTTGACTCTGCTGCCCAGACTCTGGATCTTAGCAGCTGGCTGGGGGGCCAGCAAGGAGGGATGGGCAGAATAGTATCCTTTCCACTTCCACTCACACCCGGCCCTACTTGTCCACCTGCAGACATAGACAAACAGACAGACACACACACACACAAACACACAAACACACACTTCTTTCCTTCTCTGATGCCAACAGGAGGTGACCCTGGCAAAGGCCTTTAAGTCAGACCCCAGATGGGGTATGTCTAGACCCCAGCTTTTGTCTTTCTTTGGAGACCTCTGTCTTCCAGTGGCCTAAGCAGGGAAGGGGGAGAGCTCAAGGGGCTTCCAAGACCTGGGCCCGGTCCTAGAACTGTGAGCCGACTGAGGCCACTTGCCACCCCCTCCAGTACTGCCAGCTCCCAGGGAGCATCTGAGGAAAACACTAGTGGACAATGAGCCAAGATAACCTAAGCTGGGCTGGCCCACCCCCACAAGAAGCATGGGCAGTGGGAGGTGTCTGCTGAGGACAGGCATGCTGCCACGTACCCCCAACCCAGGCCCTCCTTTGCCCCCTCTGCTCCTACTGCCCAAGTCCTTCCCAGCTGACCACGCTCTGCAGGGTTCCTCCTCTGGCCTTATTGATTCCTCAGGCTCCTTTCCTGGTGCTCAGGAAGGTGAGGTGGGGACCGGGTGGATGCAGAAAGGAGCACTGCTTTCCTATCCTCAATCCCTGTGGTTTTCAGAGGTCAGAGGTGACATCCAGATAGACAACCACCCTGGAACTTAAAAAAAATGTTTCCGGAGTATTTACTACATGCCAGGCCTGCTAAGCTCTGCATACATTATTTCATTTAGCCCTCACAACAGTTCTGTGAGGCAGGGAGCAGTCCTACTTGTAGCAAAGCCAAATTTCAGAGCACTCTGAGTGACTTACCCAGGGTCCCACAGCTAGGCAAGTGGTGGTTCCTGGGGCCAAATGAGGACAGGCTGATTGTAGTGCCCAACTGGGTCCTTTTGCAATGACAATCATCAGAGCAGATGCCTACTGCTCCGCACTGGGCCCTGCTCCATGGTTTTCCTGTGTCCTCACTCACTTCACTCTCATAAGAGCCTCCTCCAGTGGGTACTTTATTGCCCCTATCTTAGGGGTGGAAACTGAGGCGCAGGGAAGGTGATTGTCTTTGGAGCTGGATTTGAATCTAGGTAGCTTAGCTCTGAGTCATTTCTGCAACCCTAAGCCGTGGACACCTTTCACTTCCACTAAGTCAGGAGCAATGCAGAGAACAATCCCCAGGTCATGAGGGAAGAACCTGGGGATTGTTCTTTTCCTTCCAAGGATCCCCAGGCCAAGGGATGGCAGGCCTCAGCCAGGTTCCATCCACTTTCTGTCACCCAGCCCCTCTCATCTGGGAAAATCCCATTCAATAGATGGGCCTCTCCTCCTCACTCGACTTTCCAATAGTGGACGGTCCTTTTAGGAGAGATATCCTAGATTCAGCCTCTAAGTCCAAGTGCAAGCCTATAGGAAAGTGGGGCAAAGACATAAGGTGGAAAGGAGGACAGGTGGAAAAACTGCTTAATACCTGCCCTCTGCCACGTCACACGCCCACCCCACCAGCAATTCATGTTCTGAGTACACAGAACATCCCACTGCTTTTGCTGGGACCGTCCCCAGAGCAACCCTCTCCTGACCCTGCTTTAGAAATACCAAACCCCCAGCACTAAGCTTCAGAGAAGCAGAGGGGGAGGAGCTCAACTCTGTAGAAAGCCCCTGGCTTCCATCCCTCCAGGGCCTGCATCCCACATCAAAAACCCTGCCTGACCCTGACCCCAGTGCTGACCTTGCCTTAGCAAGAAATGAGAAGATAACACGTTTCCTTCCAGTCACTGAAGCCACAACCATTGCCTCTCCTACACGTCTGCCTGTCAGCCCACACCACAGGCGGCCCCATCTTGCGGCAGCTTCTGTTAAATGGGCATCCCCGGGGCCATCTCGCCTACGGCAGTCTTGCAGGGTGGCAATTGCCAGGTGTCCTGGGCAGAGCCCTGGGAGGACAAAAATCAAAGTCCCTCATGGCTCAGTTTAACTCCACATTGACTGGACCCTCCTAAGGGTGGTAAAGCTGTGACTCTGAGAAGGACCATGGAGTGGACAAGAAGTCTGACCGCTAATGTCTTTTCTAGCTCTGAGAGCATGCAACTCCAAGACTGGAATTCCCATCATGAGAAGCACTATTTTTTTTTCTTTTTAAGAGACAAGGTCTCCTCTGTTACCCAGGCTAGAGTGCAGTTGCACAATCACAGCTCACTGCAGCCTCTAATTCCTGGGCTCAAGCAATCTTCCACCTCAGCTTCTCAAGTAGCTGGGGTTACAGGTGTGAGCCACGCCAGGAAAGAAGACCTTAAATGAGATGAAGCTTTCTCCCTGATCCCTCATTAGCCAGATGAACCACAACATTCATGCCTCAGTGAGTGAGACTCACTCATCCTCAGATGCCAATGAGCAGGAAGGGCACAAAAGATGTGGCCCCTAATCGACCCCAGGAGAGGGGTCCTCTCTCTGCCAGGTTGGGACTGGAGTGATCTAAACTGGGCTTTCTAATTGTTGACATTGTTCCAAAGTTCCTACTCCTTCTAGAAAGAAATGGAAAGCTAAGCTATTTCCCCACAGAGTGGGAGACAATTCTTCTTCTTCCTAAAATTGCCACACACAGAGTCAACCAAGTGTTGGGCTTTTCCAGGAGAAGATATGCCTGTGTGTCCGCCAGCCACAACCGCACATGTACTTGTGCGTACACACCCTTGTCTTGCTATTTTTCGTTTCATCATCCATTAAACTCTGCCCCATCGAGTGCTAAGCACTGCATGACCTACCTAACTTTTTGTCTTCTCTTTATTCTGGTGCATAACTCAGGCATAATAATATCATGGCCAGCTAAGGTGATACCCTCTCTTTCTTCTCCACCATCCCCACCATGTATCCATTTTCTTTGTCCAGAACAGTCTCAGTACCTCCCAGAAGAAGCTGACAGAGAACAGAGTGATAATAATGGGGAGTGGAGAGGGTTTACTGTATAAATAGAACATATCCAAACTACTTCCTGCCCCGACTGTCTCCCCAGCTCCTTCATACACACATCTTTTAAATATGTGTAAGAACGATTGGAAATTATTTTCTACAGACCACAATGTCCACAGTAAAACCCAAGAGATAACATTCAGCTCTGAAAATCTCAAGATTGGAAGGCAACAGCACCACCTAGTCCAATCATCTTAAATTTCTTCTATGATATTCTAGCCAAACAGTTTTCTAGCCCATGCTTGAATAATTTTCCTAGTGGAGAACCACCTCCCACGGCAATCCACTCTCTTTGGATGGCTCTATGCTTAGAAAGCTCTGTATCATGCACAGATGGAACAGCACCCCATAGCTTTCAATGGCTCCTCCTAGATAGCTCTTTGTAGCCATGTTAGACAAAGCTACTAGGCCATTCGCACAGGAGCTCTAGAGGAGGGCTTAGGGGGCCACCATATGGTACCATATGCACATTAGAAAAAGGAGCCCTGGCCGGGCGCGGTGGCTCATGCCTGTAATCCCAGCACTTCGGGAGGCCAAAGTGGGTGGATCACTTGAGGTCAGGAGTTCGAGACTAGCCTGGCTAACATGGCGAAACCCTGTCTCTACTAAAAAAAAGAAAAAATACAAAAATTAGCCGGCTTTGGTGGCGGGTGCCTGTAATCCCAGCTACTCAGGAGGCTGAGGCGGGAGAATCTCTTGAACCAGGGAGGCAGAGGTTGCAGTGAGCAGAGATCGCACCGTTGTACTCCAGCCTGGGCGACAAGAGTAAAACTCCGTCTCAAAAAAAAAAAAAAAAAAACAAAGGAGAAGAAAAGAAAAATTAAAAAGGAAAAGGATCCCTTTTTCTAAGACTCTTAGACTTTTCTAAGACACTAAGCCCTAAGACACTTCACTTCCATCAGTCAGAAAATTATAAAAATAGAACACTCTATAATGCTTATGTTGTGAGTGAAGTTGCAGGGGAGAAGCAGCAGAAGATAGCCTGGGTTACACTTAATTTTGATTTAGACTCCATCAAATTCCCAGGTTTGATCATGATCCCCACAAGAAGAGTGAGTAAGGTGGTAGCACAGACAGCGTCCACCTTTGTGGCCTGCACCTGGAGAGAACAGTGTCTGTTCTATGGAAAGGGCCCATGGAGCAGTGTGAGTGCTGGGTGTGCTCCCAGCAGGGCTGCCACCTCCTCTGTCTGCCACTTGGCTCTTTCCAGAGGAGGCTGGGCCCCAGCAACGCAGCTCTAAGAACCTCTAAGAACATTTAAGAGGCTCACCAGTTATGACTGACTGAACGATGGGAAATTCAGTGGCTGATGACACAGTAGTTGTAGGAAGGAGTTTACCCCTGAAGCTTGTTCTTCATTAACCCTTTTGGGACTATGCATCACCTTTGAGAACCTGCTAAAAGCCATGGACTGACACCCCCTGCAGTATCAGGGTGTATTAGTCTGTTTTCACGATGCTGATAAAGACATACCTGAGACTGGGAAGAGAAAGAGGTTTAACTGGAATTACAATTCCACATGGCTGGGCAGGCCTCAGTATCATGGCGGAAGGTGAAAGGTACTTCTTACATGGCAGTGGCAACGGAAAAATACGGAAGAAGCAAAAGTGGAAACCCCTGCTAAACCCATCAGATCTCATAAGGCTTATTCACTATCATGAGAATAGCATGGGAAAAACTGGCCCCCATGATTCAATTACCTCCCCCTGGGTCCCTCCCACAACACGTGGGAATTCTGAGGGATACAATTCAAGTTGAGATTCGGTGGGGACGCAGCCAAACCATATCACAGGGCTAGTGGGTCACTCCATGGAAACCAGGCTACATACTCTCATTCACCAAGGCTACTCTGGGGAACTCCAGCAGCTTCTTGGAGCGTGGCAGGACTCAGAGTGGGGAGCCCATGAGGCCTCAGGCAGTGGAGCAGGAGATATATGGCTTACTTAGATAGATTTCCACTTCTTATCAACAATTTTTCCTGCAAGCTGCTTTTTTCCAATGGAAACTCTGCCCTTAGCTTTGTCAACAAGATTTCTGGGCTGATTACTGCTCTCCAGGTAACAGGCAGGCTATGCCCGTCACTGCTGGAGAGTGGCCGGTGACGCATAGGGGACTGGCCCATTTAGAAGCTGCAGTTCAATCTCTCTGGTTTTACAACTGAAGAAACGGAGGCCGTGAAAGTAGAACCATGGGTATTTAGAGGCTGGGATGGGTAGCAGGGAGGGGAAGATGGGGAGAGGTTGGTTAACAAATACCAAATTAAAGCTGGACAGGAAGAATGGATTCTGGTTTTCTGCAACACTGCAGGGTGACTCTGGTTAACTATAATTTACCTTCTATTCCCCAAAAGCTAGGAAAGAAGATTTTGAATGTTCACAACACAAAGAAATGATAAATGTTTGGGGCAATACATAAGCGAATTGCCCTGATTTGATCACTGCACATTGTGTACCCATATTGAAATATCACTCTGTATTCCATATGTACAATTATTATGTGTCAACTACAAATAAAAAGAAAAAATTCTAAGAAAGTCAATAAAAACAAGAGAGGAGAAGTATACTCCCTTACTGCGTGGCCTTGGACATGTCACTTCCTCTCTGATGGCCTCAGTCTCTTCTCAGTCTCCTCTGAGGTAATCAGAGAGGAAGTGACATATCCAAGGCCACACAGTAAGGAAGTATACTTTCTCACCTCCAGCCTGGCCGAGTCCAGTACCCCCAATCGCCTGCCTGAGCAGCTTCAGGGCGAGGATGTGGTGTGGGGTAGGAATGGGCCATGGAAGCTGGTGTGTACTCTCCCTTTGGGGCTGAGAGTTCCCTGTAGGAGGCCTGATGCAGACTGCAGCAGGTCCTCCCAGCATTGACTACATTCTTACAATCAACACAGAGAAACAAAAATGTTGCTAGGATCACCCACATGCTCCTGCCCGACTAACTCCAGCTCCTGGCTTCAGCTCCCGTGGCCAAAGACATGAACAAGAACTCAAGACAGGGAGTACTTTAGAGGAAAGTGGGATACGCCTGGCCTGAGCTTTCTCTACTCCAGGTGGGTCTTCCTGGGACACTAGCATGGGGGTACTTCCCAAGGATATCTGCTACAGGGAAAAGTTGATGAGACAAGGAGGCTATTTGTTCAGTGACTTGGAGACCAAGAAATAGAAACTGGGGCATCCCCAAAGGGAGAGAGTAGGTCCAGCCCTTCTTTGGGGAGACCCAAACTACTGCTAGTGTTAGTGCAGCTGATGGCTAAATGGGATTTTCTCTGAAAACAAAAACAAAAACAAAAAAGCAGCTCAAGACAGCGGGAGAAAGCTGCTTCCAAGCCACTCCCAAGCCCAGCTTCCAGTGTGCCTGTGTGCCTCCCTCCAGGCTAAGCATCTGTCTTAACGCTGGGACCCGCAGCCTGAGTCCACATAGGCCTGAGCCACGGTTTTTTGTTTTTTTTTTAATTGCACATCACTCCTTTATTATACTGATCTGGAAAAAGGATTTAGTACAGTTATGCTCAAATGAACACTGGACCCATGTGGCAGGACCAAGCAACTAGAACATGATTCAAAAAATCAGTGAAAGACACATTTGGACAGGACCAAGAGGCATTTCACTGCCACGAAACAAGGCGGGGAGGGATTCTAAAACACACAGCAGGAAGCACTCCTGCTCCTCAGAGGTCAAGGAGCTTATCCCATATTAGTATGAGGAATGGCTTATTTTCTGACGACCACATGAGGGACTATTTCAACTGCCACGAGAAACCCCAGAAAGGTTATTGTTTTGTATTTTACATATATGTAATATGTATTTTATATATATTATGTATGTAATATATATTTTATATATATATATATATATAAATCTAACACATAAACTAAATTCAGGATTGATCCCAACCTTCTAGAGCCAGCTCCTCTGGGGTCAGGGAGGAAACGGTTGTCACGTCACCAGGCAGGTTACATTCATCTTCCACTGGAATGACTAGAGCCCCAAGGCAGTGGCCTGACTGCAGAAGAGCAGAGGACTGGCTCCTGGGGGCAGACAGGCTGTCTTGCTTCTCCTCATTGGTTATGGCTTAGCACGGTTCCTCCCCACAAGTCCTTACTAAACAAAACACTCGCAAAAACCCAAGTCACTACCTTTAAACTCTCTTGGATAAGGGGAGCTTTCCCACAGCTTGGACTGAGAACGTGTGCCCTAGAAGTGCTATTCTGACTAGATTGTATGAAGGGAGTGGGTGCAGGAGACAAAATGGCTAAAATGAAAATGGGAGCCACTGGTCCCCATCTGCAGCTACAACTCAAGATGTCTACAGATGTGGTCAGTGTGACATGTGCAGGAGGGAGGGGCAGAGGGACGCGATGGGCAGGGAGGGTGCTCCTGGGGACAGTGGCCTGCCCAGGCCTGAGCCACTCTTGCTCAGGCAAACCTCTTTGAGGCCCAACAACCTACCCCTATCCAGGGTGGCCAGGCTTATTTTCCTTATTTTCCTTCTGGGACCAACGTGATCTCTGAGTCACGTAGACTCTTCCGCATTGTGTCAAAGGTCAGTATTCAAACCCCAGGTCCTACCAGCTCTGAGATATTTGGGATCCTTGGGATCAGACCCCTTGCCTTTGTCCAGCTACCTGGGCCAGCCTGATGCCCCTGGCCACCTGACCACTGTTCAGATGCCCCCAGAGCCCATTCCTGTCTCCTTATCTACAAACAGGGACATGATAATACCTGAGTCTCAGTTCTTGTGTGGGGATCAAACGAGCTGATCTCTGAGTAGCCCTCAGAAGGGTGCCTGGCACACCATAAGCTTTATGTGTTAACTATTATTATTATAACTGTACCTGGCTTTAGTATAATCAATGGAGAATCCAGGAAAATGAGAAGAACTTCAGGCCCGAGAGAGGTGCTGTGAAGGGCAGGATGCCTGCTTCTCAGTCCCAAAAGCTCCACCCCAAACAAACGTTGCCCAGAAAGCCACAATTTTGCTGAGCTGGGAAAAAAACTGACCACCCCACCCACTGTCTGTGGCTTCTAAAACTCTTTCAAAACTTCTTGGGGTGAGGAGAAATGAGTTGTTCTAATCTCTCTCCTAACAGTCAGAGAAGCTGAGCTACAAATCTGGACTTTTCCTCCACGTAAAACATAAAGCCTGTGGCTCCCAAGTTGTCACTGATTACCACCCTTACAGCCATCATCCTTCCTGTCCCTTCTCATCCAGTGTCACCTCCATCCCCCACCTCCCCCATCATCAAGTGCTGATCCTGTACCTGCATCTGTTCTCACTCTAGTGGGACCTGAAGCTTGACTACCTCCAGGATGCCGATGCCCCGCTGTCTGTTACCAGGGCAGCGGCACCACCACCACCCACCCCCACCCACCACCACCTGAAGCAGAAAGCAGAACTCAGGAGAAGGCTGAGGTGGGTGCCGAGGGGCTGGAGTCAGGAGGTGGCAGCGAGAACCGTGGAAGCCCTGGCAGAAGAATGGCCCTGCCATGCCCCTTCACCTAGACATGGGGTGGGCTCTGGCTCAGTGGGCCTGGACTTCTGGCTGCCCCAGCTCTTGAAGGCCTGGGAAGGCCATTCACTTATCCTGGGATAGATTCTGAAGCCTGTGTCAGAATCAGGGAAGGATCCCCAGGGTCCTCTGAGATGGGCAGGGCTGGGCTAACTCTCCACCAGGCAGCTCCGGTCCCATGCACGGCTGATTTGCCCAAACGTACCGTCTCCATCTTCTAGGTTATTAGTGAGGGTGGACACTTCCCCTGTACTGTGTTCATGCAGCTTCTCAGGACCTGGGCCACGTAGGAAGTTCCCACTCACTTTCAAGGGCAGCAGCAGTCACCCCAAGGTGACATCGGCTGCTCCTCCATTTCTGATTAGAATGACTTCCCCCTAACAAGCTTTTCCAGAGCTGTTTGGTCAGGCTTCTGGCCATCCTTCTGGGTAGGGTCCCTCTTCAGGACACCCCTGGAGGGCCAGGGATAGGATGTGGCGGCATTTCTTCTTGGCCTCACACTGTGGTGGACATTGACTCTGGCCTCTGCTGCCTTATCTCTGATAGGGTCCCTGCCTATGTTTAAGTGCCAGCCACATGGAAAGGCCTGTACTGGAAGTGAGAGACACAGTGGTGAGCAAGACATAGACCCTGTCCTCTAGGAGCTTACAGTCTACCGCGGGTTGGGGGGTGGGGATGGGGGACAAACAGGAACCTCCAATTCAGTACGACACATCCTACGATCCAGGTAAGTGCCAGGTCTAGAGGGAGCATATGCAAGAGCCTCTGCCTCATCTTGGTGAGAAAAGAGAAGAGAAGGCTCTTTGGAGGCTGTCCCCTCTCAACCTCTCCACGGAGACAGGAAGGAGCAGAGGAGTTTAATGTGGTGTGGTAAGAGGCGTAAGGAGCACTCCAGGCAGAGGATACTGCACATGCAAAAGCTGAGAGCGAAAGGGAAAGAACATGTTTGGGACAGAGAAACTCATTCAATGTGGCTGGAGAGAGGGAGAGGGTGCCAGGAAGAGACGTAATAACTGGCCACACTCATGTCAAAGGCCTGTAGGAAGTACATTCCACTCTTTTCTCTGCTTCTTCAAGTTAAACCCAGTGAGTCTTGAATATCAGGAATTTTTAATTATTGCCACGATTTATTGAAACTGAAGAGTTTCAGACCCCATTCAGATCCCCATTCCAACCTGAATCCACCTTGAGTGTTGTGACAACAGGGCCTCTCTCATTGTTTCATTGAGACGTTAGCTATGCACAGGCCTCTTCTGCAGCACAGCTGAAGTCCCAGCCTGGGTACACACAAAGCCACTGTCCCCCACAGTCCTTCAGGGAGATCCTTAACCCTGAGAAGAATAGGACCATCAGTAGTCGAGCTAGAAGGGAGAGGTAAAGGAGAGACCTGAAAAATTCAGCCTAGCTGAATAGAAAAAAAAAAGGTTTTGTGGGAGAAAATCAAAAGAAAGAACAAATGATTCAATAAGGGCAGATGGAAGGGAGGTTAGTGAACAACTCAGCTGCCATATCACCAGTGCAATCCTTACTTAATTCCTCAGTCTGTCCAGGGTGGTCAGATATGGTTGATGGGCGCAGAGAGAGGTGAGTTGCCCACAGCCGCAGGATCCCCAAACCTGCCTCCACCAGTCCACTCAGCCCACTCAGCCTACTCTGTTCTGGTCAACAAGGTCACTTGCTCATTGCCAGGAATTGTCTAAGGAAGGGCATCAGGCAAAATACACGATGCTCACAAACAACACTCACCACAGACGTGTGTGGAGCACCTCACATGCAGATAGGCACATGCCAGTCCATATCCTGAGTCTGGCTGTCCAAACTCACTGCTGGCCAACATGACACAAGCCTTGCCTTACCCTCAGAGCTATAATTGAAGATAACCCTCTTGGTTCAACGTTTCAGGCCAAATATCAGAATCTGTCTGGAGTTTTCTTCCCCAGGGCCACAAAGTGGTAGGAAACAGCTGTCTCTGTTCTAAGCCTTGAACCCTCACCAAGCTATGATTCCCCTTCCCCAGCCCTACCCATTTGTCATCTCCCTCTTCTTTGTTTTTCTTTGGTAGCCAGGGGGCAAAGACAGAACAGATTTAAACCACAGGGTACTTTCCATAAATGCTGCCCCAGGACAGAGGAGGAGCTAAACTCAGGGTCCCTAGAGGAGCAACTTCTTTCCCTCCTGGTGGTTAGCTGTCTGCAGCCCCCCAGCTGCCCTGAGCCAGGCCTGCTGCCCACCGGATGTCTGAACCAGCTGGCAGAAGTTCCACTCTCTGCACTCAATACTCTTTCTGGCAGAGGCAAACATCCCTCAAGAAGGAATCTGATGGACTAGCTCAGAACCTAGATTCAATTAAAAGACTTGTGGGTGAAACCCCATTTCCTCTGACTGGGCTGGGCCCCACTTGTTCAGCTGGAGTTGCTGCCAGGTGGGCTGCAGACAGGTAGCATCCTAGGGAGGATGTCAGCAGCGGTGGTCCGTCTCCGCCCCTGGGTGAGATGCCTCCTGCTTCCCTTCACTCCCCTGCCCTTACTTTTTCCAGAACTCCCCCTGACCTGAAAAATAATTCTGCAGCTAGGCTGGTCAGTAGCCCAGGATTGAAGTTTAACAGAGATGAAAATAATTCCCCCAGTGAGTTATTTTCTGCCCAGCTTTTGGAACAATAGCTCAGAGTGACAGGCAGGGTGGGGCGGGGGAGGCTGGCCTTGGGCCACTAACTGGGGTCACTATCCATTTAGGGCCCTTCCCATGTCCACTCCCTTACTCTTGCTGGCACCAGATTTTATAGAGGTGGGACCCTAGTCAAGGACTCAGACTAACTGCCTGCCACACCTGCCTCCACCTGTGGATCCACATGGGGCATGAGGGCGGCAGGACAGGGAAGGCCCGCGGGAGCCAGGAGTTTCCATCCTCCGTGGCTACAACTCTTACAGAATGCAAGGAAGAAGGAGAAAACACTGCGACTTTACCAAGCCTCCAAAAGGAGATTCTATAAGACTGTTGTGTCAGCTGAGATAAATATTTCAAATGTGTTATAAAAATTGTTACACTCTAAAATTACACTCTATAAAAATACTAGCTATTGCATTACTATTATTTTTCCAGGCATTTAAGAATAGGAGAGGAGGAGGAATAAATTCAGGTAAAAAGGGGAAGGCTGTGAAAAAACACCTTGAACGATTGCATGGAGCATGATCCATTCATTCGTTGTCTACCAAGCCCATCCCCAAACTTTCTCCTTTTTTTTGTGCCTTAAGACCCTATCCTCTGTTAGTTTCCTTTTGATTTTTCTCACACAACTTTTCTTCTAATACCTATGAGGAAATACCTTCCTGAGAAGACAGAGTATGGGAGGGAGAGAAGGAGGAGGGGAGAAAGGAAAGGAGGGGAAGGTATTCTTGGAATATCTTACTCTGAAAGCTTTCTTTCTAACTCACAAGGAAGAAACACTCTGTATTATAAAGCTATTATCACATTCTGGGAGGGGTACCTTCTAGTACGTTAGTAAGGAATTCTACAGGAACAGGGTTTTTCCTATCCCACTCTATAACAGTTACCTGTTAAAAAAAAACTACCAGAGGATGCAGTGGAGCCTGCAGGGCAGACCTGACTGTGATGTTTGCTGTTTGCCACCCGTCCTTCCCCAACACCAACAGTGATTACACATTTCATTTTTTTTAAATTGGCTGTCAATGTTTTAGAAATCAAGAGTTTACATTTTTGAAAAAAAATCTGAATGTCCAGCTTTCTATGAAAAAGTCAGATAATCTGGCCACACCAGGCTGAAGCTCCTGCCGGAAGCCTGCTGGGCCGAGAGGGGCTGCTCCCATCAACCAGCGTGTGCTCTCCAGTCCATCTCACCGGGTCTGCATCCCTCCAGCCTCACTCATGACCCACCTGGCCCTGGCCCCCTGACCAGCACACACTGACAGCAGAGCTCACGGTTAGAAGTGCAGGCTCTGGAGGCAGCTGGCCTGGGTGTGCCCAACCCTGAATTCTCCCTACCACTAGCTGTGCAACAAGAACCAATGAAATGCACTCTCTAAGCTTCTGCTTCCTCACCTGTGAAATGAGAAAAATAACACCACCTACTGCATAGTCTGTGAGGAGTCCATGAGATAATCACGTCAAGTGCTCAGCATAGTGCCTGGCACGTAGTACCTGCTCAGTAAACGTTAGTGCTTATTATTGCGCACAATTACTGCAATGACTAAGGAGAATTCATCTGAGTTGCAGCCCAGTTTTTGAAGATGATTTAATGACACAAAGCAATTGCCCTTCAACCCTCCTTTCTTGCTCAGGCACCTGGTCTACAGACAAAACCATCTAGTGAGTATATCTGTGACATGTTAGTTATTGTGTGGAGCAGGGGCACTTCAGAGACAGGATTCAGATCTGTTCTCGGGGCTCGGAGTAGAGTGGGGGGAATGGACGATGACAGCACTGACAGGTGGAGTTACGCACAGAGCTCTCCCCACAAGCCCTGCCCAGGACCACGCAGGAGCTTGGCATTCAGGAGGACCTGGGGGTGGGTCTGACTCTTTTCTCCTTCTCCTTCTAGGCTCCAAACCTTCGGGGGGCTTTGCTAAAAGACACCCAACCTCGAATTAGTTCCACTCCATTTCCAGTTTCCCAGGCTGTGCACGTGGTTTCAACAAAGCCGGTCAGACCTCAAATGGAGTTCATTATAATGGAATTTTACCTGAGGCAGCCCCTCCCCCACTTCTTAACATCATGGCACCCAAGATATGGGTGTGCTTGCCAAAGAGGCTGGGCAGAAGTCACTTCCTGCCCCTGGCAGAAGTCCGGAAATTCAGAGCCGTTTGGAACAAAGAACTCTGCCCCGAAGGTGTTTTCCAGCATCTCCCTGGCCAGATTGGAACTGCCCCATTCACCCTCGTACCACCTGCTGCGTTTTTTCCAGCCCTCCTAGACAGGAAGGGGAGGAGGGAAGACTGAGCTGAATGACCAGGACACTGCAGGAAAGGCAATGCACAAGTGAGGAAGAGAACATGCACTCTGGACTTAAGCCTGAATTTAAATTCTGGTTCTGATTTAGTAGCTCAATGTCTTTGGGCAAGGAATTTAGCCTCTTAATCTCTATGAACCTTGGTTTCCTCTTCTATAAAATGGGTATAATTTTACCAGCCTCGTAGGATTATTGAGAGGCATAAATGAGAAAATGCATGAAAAGCACTGAACATAGTACCTGGAACATAGTGAGTTATAGTAACCATTGGTTATTATGATTGTCAGCTATTACATAATATGGTAACCTCACAAGGGTCAAAGGTTGGTATAGAAAGAGACACTGGGTGGAATTGGGGTGAGGGGATGGCTGGAGAAGGTAGAGCCCTGTCCCTGATCCCAGCACAGGCCTGGGAGCCAAAGTGAGGCCCAGGGCAGAAGCACCTGCCTGCCCGGAGCTGACAGGCACAGACTGGATAGGTAATTACAAAGTTGAGAGCTGAGGTGGCCCATGCAACTGTCCAGCCAGCCACATTCCTTTGTCCCATGGGTGGATGGGTGGTGAATATCTGGCTGTTTATGTGGCTACCAGGATGGTGAGTGTAGTTAACACCTCTTTTCCCCAGTAGTCCTAGCAGGGTATTCGACCTTCAAAGGGAAAGGGATTCTCTACAGGCATTTGGCTCCTTTCCCCATGGCATCGCCTCTGTTCCCTCCACTCCAATCCTCCAGCTACCCCTTGCTTCTCAGGTTAAACAAGTCAAAAGGCCAAAGAACAAGGCCAGACTCTGAAGAGATGGCCAGTAGAGACTACTAAACTTCACCCCATCTCACTGGAGCCCTTAAATGATCAAGAAGCCCAGGACAGACATGAATCCATCACTGCCCCAGCCCTGTGTGCTTTGATTAGCCAGCAAACTCATGGTTCTTATACTTCCATGTCCTTTTCTCAAAACTGATGCCCAAGGAAAATATATATTCCTCCCCAGGTATTAATTGAGCACATAGTATGGGCTCACTGCTGACACCAGGCTCTTGGTTGAACTGAGGAGACCACCAAGTGTTTGGGAGGATGTAGAACCGTGGGATCCCTCAAGCACTGCTGGTGGAAGCCCAGAGAGGAAGGGCTTCAACTGTACTTAGAGGCCCAGCACAGAGCTCTCTCTGAGACATGTCTCAGGCTGTGACATGTATGTGGTCACCTGTACAGAGTGCAGCAGACAGGCACACACATGAGCCAGAAATTGGGTCCCTAGGTCATGAATAATACAACTATTATAGCTAATCATTATAACTGTAGAAACTCATCTAATGCAACTTTTTCATTTTAGAAATGAAGCCTGTATCAAGTGTTGAAAAGGATGGAGAACAATGGAGACTTTCATCCACTGCTGGAAGTGTTTTTTGGGACAACCACTTTGGAAAGCTGTTTGGCACCCTATAGCAATGCTGAACATAGAATTCCATGGGAGGCAGCAATTCCAACCCTAGGTATGTGCCCTACAGAAATTCTTGTGAGTTTCTCATGAACCAGAAGACAAGTATAACATGTACACCCCTAGCAGTACTGTCCTATCGTAATAGCTCAACTGGAAACAACCCAAATGTCCATCAGTGAGAGGAGGATATACAAATCGTGGTGTATTTTTCCAATGGAATTCTACACAGCAGTGCAAACTCATGAACTGCAGTGGTGTGCATCGACATGGATGAACCTCAGAAAACTCATATTGACTCAAAGAAGAGTGCATCACAGAGAACACACAGGTATGCGAACTTCAAAGCCATGTGAAATGAAACAACATAGTGTTTTGTAAAATCTACATAGATGATAACTTACAAAGAAAAGCAAGGAAACAATTAACCAAAATTCACTTTGGGGTGGGGAGTAAGGAAGGGGAATGCAAATGGGGAGAGGCAGAGGGGGCTTTTAAGGTGCTGTGAATGCTCCACTCTTAACTTAGGTGGTAGGTACAGGGTATAGGATTCTTTAATCTATACATAAACATATAATCTTGTGTATGTGATATATCGCGGTTTTTAAAAATGAACAAAAAAGAATTGAAGAACCCAAGTTGCAGAGAAGCTAAGTAACCTTCACAAGCTCATCAGCTAACAAATGACAGAGAAACCAATTTGCCAAATCTGAGTTTAGTCAGGTGCCAGGACAGCCATTCCTGAGTTCTAAACGGGCCTCTCACAAGGACAGGCTTCTGGGCTAGAAATTTTGAAAAGAAGTGCAAGAGTCTCTTTTTTCCCCACTGTTAAATTCCCAGTGTCTTGACTAGTACCTGGCACACCGTAGGCTCTTGGCCCATATCTACTGAATACACATGCCTTTCAAGGGCCTACTGTGTGCCAGGCACTTGACTTACATCATCTAATCCTCACACAGTCCTACAAGGGAGCTATTACTATACCCAGTTTACAGGTAAGGACACTGAGATTTGGACAGATTAAATAACTTGCCCAAGGTCACAAGCTACAAAGCGACCTCGCCAAGATTTGAACCCAAGAGTCTAACTCAGACCCTGTGTTTCTCCTGTTCTGCCAGGCCACTAGCTTCTAACAGCACTACCTAAAATTTTAGTCATCTACCAAGGAACCCTGAGACCCACAGGGGGTGGGGCAGGCTGAGCATTTTCTCTTCCTGCGACCTCTGTCTCCAGGCTCTGACAAAGCGGTTTGTATGGCCAGGCCCAGGGCTGGCAAGCCGTGTAAAGCAGTGGTTACAGGCTGACTCTGCAGCCTTGGGCAGGTGGCTGCATCTCTTTAGACCTTGGTTTCCCCACTATGCCTGCTAGAGAACATAACTGTACTTACCCCAAAGAGAAGCTATGAGGATTGAGGGAGGCAAGCAAAGCAATGTGCACGGGGCCTGGCATGAGGCTATCAGAGGAGGCTAGAGTCCATTTCTCCGTCCAGCTGGGCTAGGTTCAGGAGCCCTTAAGGGATAGCCAGGAGAGGGAAAAGGTAGGCAAAGTGAGAATAGCTCCCCATTGGCCAATGGGACAATCAGCACATAGTAGGTTTTCAATAAAGATGCCTGTTTGAAAGATTGTTTCCTATTTGCCTTCCAGACTATTAGAGTCATATTTGATTCCACACAATTTCTCTGCACAATCCTACCTCTGTTGGGTTCTTGTTCTTAACCAGAGTAAGGTGCCCAAGACTGCCAGAGAGGCATGAAGATCTAAAAGTGCTGGCAGAGGGAGCCTCCTTCTGAGAGGCCACTGTCCCCAGAGTAACCTTTGGGCAGTCCAAGCCTGTTCTCAGGTCAACTTGTTCAAACTAGTTAGTACATCTAACCTCTCAGCTCATAAACATTTACTGCGGGTGTATAATGTACAAGACAGGGCACTAAGTGCCCTGTGGCCATCCCATGAATGCAGAGGTGGGAGAGTTCCATGCAGGTTAAGAGCATGGGCTTCTGCAAACCTGAGAGGGAGTCGTGGGTTTCCTCCTCACAGGCTATGACAGCTTGGCATGTTGATTAACCTCACAGAGACTCCATTTCCTCATTTGTAAAGGGAACATAACTGGTTCCTACCTCACAAGACCTAGTGATAGGTCTGGGAGGCACGTAGCACAGCACCTGTTACCAAGTGAGTGCTCAGTAAGTAGCTGAAGCTACAACTCCAGTACCAGCAGGTGGCACACACTGGATGTGTCACCAGCAAAGCCTCGGGCCTCATGGGTATTCCACAGTGCCTGGAATGTCCCACCTTGCATAACACCTCCAAGCTCCAGGTTGTCATCAGAAGGCCAGTGAGAGGCAGCAGCTTCTCAGGAACCAACTGCCGAGTCTGCACAGACTCCGCTTTCCCGCCGGTGCAGCTGCCCACACCCTGCTTAGGACCAGGACTCTCCCCTGTGCAGAATGAGGACTTTGTATGGCATCTGGTTCTGGGAACACCACTTAGTCTATTCCCTGGCACAGGACCTGCAGGGCAGGTTTGCAAAAGCATGACACACATTCCAACTCACAGAGTACTGACTGCTTCTGCCTTCCACTCCTGCTATTCACCAACCAGACACCCCCATCCTCTCCCAGCCAGCCTTGGGGTGGGGCGGTCTCACCACCTACCCCCCTTGCCCACAAGTCACTTCAAAGACATGACTTCCCAAGAGATCTTCACTTGCACTTTTCATTTGTTGGCAGTGAGAATGACTTCCTTCCTGGCAGAGTAACTGAGAGTCACTACATGGTCATCGTGGCGGCTCTGCTCCCTCCACGCCTATGCCCGATCACCCACAGGCTGGACCTCTGGGGATCCCACCCTTTGCATCTGGACCATGAGGACCCAGGACCCAGAAGGCAGGACAGTTTCTCTTCCACATGTCGCCACAGCGGGATGCAGGCACTGCCATCAACGCCTGTCACTTGGATTGAGCAAGAACAGCCTCTCCCCACCCTGGACCATTTCCCCAATAGTCAGACCAGACCAAAGAGGCAAACTCTAGTGTCTTTGGGAACTGACTCTGTCTCCTGCAATGCAGCTTCTCCCTGGCTTTGGCCTCCACTTTGCTTTTCATTTCCCCGGAACCTGATTATAGGTGACCTATGTCCTTTATCAGAGTGGGCGAGGTTTGCCTACCCTTGCCTTCCTGGCTGCTTACCTGCTTTACAGCCAGACTTTCTGTGGGATAGTGTGGTCCCCAGAGGTCTGGGAAGCTGGATGAGCAAAATG
The DNA here is from genome assembly GCF_000001405.40 of Homo sapiens. Classification (NCBI taxonomy): domain Eukaryota; kingdom Metazoa; phylum Chordata; class Mammalia; order Primates; family Hominidae; genus Homo; species Homo sapiens. The sequence goes on from NC_000012.12 coordinate 47,901,705, forward strand.
TGGAGGCTGTAGATATGGAGGAAGAGGGAAGAGGAAACGTGAGGCCCAGTCTTGGCTCCACTATGAACCCCAATTTCCCCAGGGGAAGCTGAAGAGGAGTTGGCAGACCTTCCTGTCCCTGTCTGAGGTTGGGGTGGGGCAGGAAAACCAAAGGTGAGGCCAGTCACAAGTCAAGGGTGAAGGGAAGTCACACGAGTGGTGGGCTGGGTCCCAGGACAGGGTGGCCGGGAGCAGTGCCGCCCCAGGGAAAAGACGAGAATTGGCTGATAACACCAGGGAGCAGGCTAGGGTGTCGGGGGCTGTCCTCAGAATTAAGCTACCCCTGTTTTCCCTTGAGCATTAAGCCTCCCCCAACCTTATCATCCCCTCATCACTGCTGTGACCTCTGCTGAGTTTGGAGTGATGATCACTAGGGTGATTAATATTCCATTTTTCCCTGGAAAGTTTGGGTTTATGTCCATTGTCCTGGTATAACCATGCATGGCATCCCCTTTCACTCTCAGAAGTATCCCAGTTTGCAAGATACATTACACAGGCACTCTTTCTAGCATATCTAGGAGGGCACTGACACAGGAAAAGGTTAGGGACAAATCAGAGGGAAGCAAAATGACAAGCAAGGCCTTGGTGGCCCAGAGTGGCAGCCAGGCTGGCTTCAGCCCAGCTGGATCCTCTCAGAACTGGACAATAGTGGAGGGAGAGCCTGAGAACTGCTGCCCACCCTGGGGCTCAAACTGTCTTGGAGTCAGGGGCCTGGTCTGGTGGGTTCTGCTTCCTGCTATCCCTCAGAGGGCCTGGAGTCATGCTGGGCACACAAGAGGCTCTTAATCAAATCTGGTCAATTCCTTATTTCCCTCTACCTGCATCCAAAACAGAATTGCAGCAGGGACAAATGGAAGCTGGAGCCCTGTAATTCTTTATTCAGCAACACACCAAATGTCATCTAGGTGGTCCTCCCGTCTCTGGCTCTCTGGCCCCTAGGACCTGACTGCTGCACAGGCAACAGCGAGTTTCTAGCAGAGGTTCCAGATGCCTATTCCAGCCAGGACAGCGGTGCCTCCTTAGGATGTGGGGTAAGGAATGAAACAATGGGAACTCCCTTTCGTGTCTTAGATAACCACCTGATGTAGTAGCCACCTGATGTAGCCCACTCGGTCCCAGGCCTTTCTCCATTCACAGCCTGGGCTTTGGACACCTGCTATCTGTTCTGGGGGTAGAGTGTAGGGGTTCAGGAGGTCCTCTCGGAGCTTCCTCTGGGGCTTAGTTACAAAAGAGATCAGTTTTGAGGTCAAATAGGGGAAGAATACTGAGAAACCATAAACACAAACTATCAGGGCACCCCAAACAGCACCCGACCTTCCATAATGTTTATACAAACAAAGTCTGATGGCCTCTGCCGAAGAGGAGTAAAGGGTTGGGAAGGCTTTCTAACTCTCATTTTTTCCCCTCCTTTCTTACCCCATTTTCTAGTCCCTCCTTTAGCTTGGTAAGGGTCCAAGTCACAGCTGATCAAGACCAGCCAAACCCAAAGCCATGGGACCCAGCCAGAGCATAGACTGTGAATTCCCCAGCTTTTTGCAGTTTGAGTCAGCCCCACAGCTGGATTGGCCTCCCAGGACTCTTCTCAAATAGGTCCAGAGAGGCTGCTGAGTGGGGGCCACGGACTCTGCAGGGAGGGCTACTTCTGTTCAACGATCTCTAGCACCCAAAACAAAAGCCAGGGAGAAATGTGCAGTCTTACTACCTTCTGGTCTGGCTGCATGCCAGCCCTGAGACTGTTTCAGAAAGACTCACAGTTCCCTCCAGCACTTGGACAGGGAAGGGACGGCAGGTCTCTCAACACACAACACTCTTAGTCCATAGAATTGAGGCTCCAATGTTCAGATAACCCATTTCTACCTCAGCAAATCACCCTCACTCCCTAGCCTGAGTTAAAGCCTTCTTTGCCAACACCATGACTTCTCTGGCCCCAGACTTTCCTAATTTCTTTTGCTCACCCCCTTCACTAGCAGAGATGGGCTGCTAATGAGACCACTAGGCAGAAATGGAAGGAAGGGCTGGAAAAGCCTGCAGTGCTGGGATGCACCTCCTTATCCCAGGAGAAAGATGAGATGTAGATTTATCATAAAGCCACTATCCCTTCACGGTCACCTCCTGCTAGAATCATCTCATAGCCATTCCATAAGCACTGCTGTGTTGGGTATCTGAGCCCCTGCCCATGAGGAAGACCACCTTCCAGCAGGGAGCTGGAGCAGAGCTGAACTCTGCCCAGGAGAGCTTCTGCAATGCTCAGAAAATGCCTGCCCAACTGCTTGCCTGGGCTCTGGCCCCTTTGGCTGCAACTGAGCCCAGACAGGAGGCTGACTCACTCACCGCACGCATAGAGGAGGAGGAGGAACAAGAGGAGGAGGAGGAGGAGGAGGAGAAGGAGGAGGAACTGTGAGAAGGGTCTGGGCTTGGAGACCTAAGGCTCCCCCAGCCCAGGCTAGGTCTCAGACTCTGGTCCCTGGGTGAAGAGAAGGAGGGGCAGTTGTACACTGGCCCTGGAGACCACAGGCTGTTCCCTCCTAGATACTTCTGAATCTTCCTCACCACCACCCACAGATCCAGGGCACCTCACTTTTCAAACAGAAACTACTCCTTGAGCCCCTTCCTCATTTAAATGCTTGCCCCTGAGTTCCTCTGAACATCTATTGACAGGCTGTCCTGAAAAAAAATAGGGCCAATTAGGTCTAAACTCATTGGTAGTTCAAAGAAAAGTAAAAAAAAAAAAAAAAAAAAAAAAATTACTTAAAAGACCCAACTCCACCATCACAGGTGACCATACCTGGGCCCTGTAAGACAATAAATAAGGTTACACACCCTCCACTCCAGCAGTTCTGAGCACCATCGACAGCCAATCGCTCCTTTTCTTATTCCTCCACTCCATGCCAAGGCGCCCCGACAGAAGAAGGAAACAAATACTTCTTGTTGCCCAAGTGCTAAGCACTGTGTTAGCGGAGCATTTCTCCTAAGCGCCGAGGATGTCGCTGCTCCCCTCGCCAGCCTGGCACGAACTTCAGCTTTCTCAAACCTCAGTGCCCCTTAGTGTCCCAGCCTCATGGCACGACAGCCCGGACCTCAGTAGCCAAGTTTACCGCTGAGACTTAGACTCTAATGCTCGCAGCCGGGCGCTCAGGCCCCGGTATCCCAGACGCCCCGACCCCGAGTCCCTATCCTGAGACCCCCTTTCCCGCTGCTCCCGGGTTCGCACCTGGTCCGGCCGGCGGGTGGACAAGCTGTTCCGCGCTCCCGGCGCACACGGCTCCGCTGCCGCCTTTTGACAAGCAGAGACAGCCCAGCACCTGGCCCCGCCTCTCGGTCAGGCCCCGCCCCGGCCCCGCCCCGCCCCTCCGCCCCGCCCACAGGTCCAGTCCTCTCTTGCCAGGAGCTCCGTTGGCGCTGCAACCATCTTGACTTGGAATCAACCACCCTATAGGCCACGCTGTAGCCTTAGATACTCTAACTCGTGAAATTTTCATCGACCGTCGTCCATAGGGCAAGGCACGCTTCTGCCCTCTGTGGGACAGAGTTGTCGATGATTATAGGTGCGGATACCCGCTTCAGCCTGTGTTAATCGGGGATGCAGCCCCCCACCCTTCCTGCCGTGGTTCTACCCAGCCTGCTGCGGACGCCTGAGCCAGGTGCGTCACCCCCACCTGGGCTGACCAGGCCAGGACTTCGTCGTCCGCGGGACGCTGGGGGGCGCCTGCCGACTGGCACCGGCGGCTAGCTCCGCACGAATGGGAAATCCCGGGCTCCGCTCGCCAACCTGTTACTGCTGCAGAACGCCAGGAAGCTCAGCCTGATCCCACAGATTAGGGTAAAATATCCCGGGGGGCCGAAGTGGAAACCGGAGTTGCGTCATTGCTCCCACCCGATATCACCTTGGCAGCGACCGCGGCTGACCACGTTCCCGGCCTGTCGCGAATCTCACCCAAGGGAGCTGAGTCTCAGCTTCCCTGGTCCCTGGTCCCGAGTTCCGCCTTCCCCCCCCGCCCCGTGGCATCGGCGTGAGGGGAAAAGATAAAGACTACCTCCTGAGACCTGGAATTGTGGATGGCTGCGGAAAACTCACCACAGGAAATTTTGGCTTAAAGTTATTCTCTGCTTCCCTTGACTGTGTGATAGGCACCGCTCTATCTGCTAGAGGACAGGTGAAAAAGATGGGGTTCCCTCTTCTTAGAACTCACTGTGCAGTGGGAGAATGTATAAATAAATAGTAATTACAACATAATCTTCTGGAATAGAAATGCTCACAAAATCATCCAGCAGTCGATGACCTCCTTTAGCCAGGGAAGATATTGCTATTCGCCTCTTACAGAGGAGGAAACCATGGCTCAGAGGGACAAGGTGAAAGGGTGGGAAATTGAGGCATAGAAAGTTTAAGTGATATGCCCAACATGACTCAGCTAATCAATGAAGGACTAGTGCTAGAGCCCAGCAAATCTGCTGGTGCAATGGTCTCTGAACCATTTCTGAGACAGCTATGCTGGACTACATCATAACCAGCCCCTCACAACTCAATAATAGGGTTAAAAGAAATAGACTGAGATTAAATAGAAGGAAGAACCTTCCAACAGTGAAGTTTGTTAAGCACTGCAACAGTTCATTATGGAGGTATCATGGCAACTTTCTGGGAAGACTTAAACAAAAGACAGAAGAGAGGCATAGCGTTTGATTGAACTTGGGAATGGACCATTTATTCTGAGAAACAGATGAAGTGCCCCTTTAGAGGTCCTGCCAGTCTGATGGATGGATTCTCTACCTGTAATGAAAGTAATAGGAAGGATCCCCTTGCCCAAAGCATCGTGGGAAAGCTAGCGGTGATTCTTGTGGGAAGAAAAGCATAAGAGGAAATTTCCAACCACCAATACCTTGGGACATTCTCTGCAAGTCCCATGAGCCTCTGAAAGAGGTTGAACACTCAGAAGTCACTTTTGTGGTGCTTGACTGGCCTGACATCTTGCAAATAAACCTTATCAAAAGATGGTGGAAGATGCGTACTAAGTATTCCGTAGTAACTGAGAGTTAGTCTTTTTTCACAGCCTTTGTTGGAGGAGAGGTACTTGTAATTCACATGTGTAAACTGCTTTATAATTTAAAAATTCTTTGGAATATCTTACTTGATCTTTATCATAGCCTTTTCAGACATGAAGAGTAAAAAATACCGTTCCATTGTACAACTGATGTGCAGAGTTGTCAAGGTTTCTACAGCTGAGGAGTGTCAGAGCTACTGGACCCAGATCTTCTCTCTGCACATCCCACTGTTTCATGCTGCCTCTAAAAAACAAAAAAAAAATTTCCATGCATGCACTTTTCACAGAGTTGAAGAACTCAGAGGTTCTGCGTTTGGCAGATGGGCAAGATTATAGATGTCATCACGGTCCCCAGCACATGCCGTCATCAGCCCCGTCACCTTGTCTGTAACCATGTTCTTCCCATATTCCCCCAATACCTGAACTGTTCTCTCTCATCCACCTCTCCAGACCCTCTCCTCTTTCAGGTCCTGCCTATTCCATCAGGCTTTTCCAACATCTCCAGGAAAGGAACTGTCAATTCTCTGGTCTTTGTAGCGCATGCATTTTCTATATTGCATGGTTTGGCACCTGCTAATGAACCATCTTGTATTTACATTGAACAAAGATAGATTTTTTTTTGCCTGTTTTATTCTTAGAAGGAAGGTTATTTTGTGAAAGTAGAAAAGCAACATCATATGAGATTCACTTCTCCTGTGTTCTGTTGTAATCCCTAATTGTCTCTGGACCCTACTTCTCCCTAGCCAGGTACACAACTGGAAAGGGAGGTTGCTGTCCCACACCGTGTTCTCTTGATGCCTCGATGACAAGCACCATTCCTGCACTACAGAGTTAATAGTTTTAAATTCCCCTATCTTGACTTCTCCATAAACCAGGTACCAGAACCTCTGCAGAAGACATTAATTTTTCTTTTCCCTGAAGTTAACATTTCTCATATTCTCACTTATCCCTGGGATGGGTAGTGGTCTTTATTGGGATGTACAGATTGTTTTTTGTCAGTACTCATCTCTGCCAAATTACATCAGGGAATATCTCGTAAGCACTTGCTTGGTTAATATTAGCCAAGTCTGGTGGTGTGCTAGATACTCTGCTATAGTGCTATAGACTCAAAAATCTATATAGAAACAAAAGAGCCCTTCCCGGTGCATCTGACTTTGATGGAAAGATTCCAGAGGTACTAGGCTGAGGATTTCGTTTCATTCATTTCATTCCTGTGCATTTCATTCCACAGAGTCCAAAGAAAGGCAGGGCCTGGTCTCTTGACCTCTCTGCCAGGCTCCAGGCACCTGGGGATGGCCTGGGCAGTTGTGGCTACAGTCAGGCCACAGGACTGCAGCCTGTCCTCATCTCTGGGCTTCCTTTTTCTGCAGCCTGGCCACTGTCCTCGAGGCTGGCTGATGCTCTCTGCACTTCTTGCTGTGGTGTCAGAGCTAGAGTGGGTCACTTTGTCCCTGTGAGTCTCCCAGAGACCCTGTCCCCATGGACAGAGGTTTTTTGAGCTGTCTAAAGGCTGCTCTGCAGGTAAAAATGTGCCCTTTGAGCTCTCTCTGGAACACTCCCATCTGACTGTTTGTTTTTCCCTTTTTTAGGGCCATTTTCCCCCCTTAAATATTTTATGGTTATGAGCACGGTAGGACTGAAGAGAAGCCTCTCTTCAGTAAACACCCAGAGAACATTCTGAGAGACATGAGCGTGGAGTTAGAAAGACAGAAGGGACCAGGCCATCTTTTCAGTTTGTTCCCTTGTTTTAGAGATTTTTTAAAAAACACACGTTAAGTTCAGAAAGATTAATTCATTTATATTTCCTAACCCAAGTTAAGACAAAAAGGATCAGGGATGACTCTCCTTATTTATGTTCCAGATGGTAAAAATAGAATGAATAAATGTAAGAAGCTGTAGCAATGAAAGCAAACCAAGGGGTCTTCCCAGGACAGTATTTTTCAAAATTTTAACTGCAACCCATAATAAGAAATAAGTTTTTACTGTGACCTAGTTTACTCAGGAATATATATAAGTTCCTGATACAAAAGATGTTCTACAATGTTTTCTATTATTTTCTCTATCCTCTTTTCCTTCCTTCCTCCCTCCCTCCTTCCCTCTTTCATTCCTTTTTCTTCCTTTCTCTCTTTCTTTCTTCCTTCCTTCCTGCCTTCCTTCCTTTCTTTCTTTCCTTGCTTTTCCCTTCCTTCCTTCCTTCCTTTCCTTTCTTTTCCTTCCTTCTTTCCTTCCTTCCTTTCCTTTTGGGATCCACCAAATTTATTTCACAGCCCATTAATGGGTTGTGACCCAAAATACAGTATTAAAAATCCTACCCTACACAGTGGCTCAGGCCTGTAATCCCAGTACTTTAGGAAGTTGAGGTGGAAGGATTACTTTGAGGCCAGGAGTTTGAGACCAGCCTGGACAACATAGTGAGACCCTATCTCTACAAAAAATTTAAAAATTATCCAGGCATTGTGGTGTGCGCTTGTAGTCCAAGCTGCTTGAGAGGCTGAAGTGGGAGGATCGCTTGAGCCTAGGAGGTCAAGGCTGCAGTGAGCTATGATCATGCCACTATGCTTGAGGCCTGGGAGGCAGAGTGAGACCCTGTCTCAAAAAAAAAAAAAAAAAAAAATCCTGCCCTAGATCATGGGCTAGGCGGACTTTATTGTTTGAGTAGCCAACTGACAGAAGACTCCATCCAGGGAGTTGATGGAATCTTGCCTTTCTGAATGACAGAACAAGTCCCTCTCACCATAGGACCCCCTCATTTAGAATCTGGAACATGAGATTCACAGAAATACATTTGCGAGACCATCAATGGCTTACAAGTAGCCCCCTCAGAACCCTGCAGGGGATACATGATGGTTTTGGTGATTCTACCTCCAAGGGTGCATGGTCAGGGTTAGGTCACTGAGGCAGAATGTATCCACCCAATGTTTGCTTTTGTGGCCTTTACTCAACTGATATATTACCACTCACAAGTATTTTCCAGGTTTGGGGGGTTCTTTTAGCCTCATGATGCCTATGGCATCTCAGAAATCTTGACTGCTCCAGAACAGAACAGAACAGCTCCAAGGAGTCCTGTGCAATGCCATGAGAAGTGAATGCACACAGACTCAGCCTGCCCTAGAAAGAGTAGGGCACCACCAGTTATTCACTCCAAATCCATCTGGCTCCAGGGCTCCATTCCCAGTAGCCCAGCTCATGTCTTCTTCCTCGGGGCTTTTGGTATTTGTCTTTCCCACCTGCTCCCACATCCTCAAGCCCCAGGCTGCCAGCCTGCTGGCCTGCACACAGCGTCTGCTGGCATGGTAAAGTAGAGCCTAGAGGCCGAACAGAGAAAGGTTTAAACTCCCACCTGCACCTCCAAGCAAACGCAGCTCAGAACTCTCCCAGGCTACTAGGTATTTGCTGGGCTCCTGTCCAAATCCAAGCAAACAATGATGACTCTTCTCCAAGCCCCAACCCCAACCATTGAGACCAGCAAAATAGACTAGAGGTTCAGGGTCCTTTCCCATCTATGATTAACTATGGCTGTGGGTTTTGCAACCACCATGATTACTCTTGTAGGGAGATGAAGCAAGCCTCATTCCCAATGCCTTTGGGGAATTCTTATTCTGCTCCTCTGGGGAAGAGTGTCTTGTGGAGGAGCCCAGGGGTGGAGATAAATGGAGGGGCTCCATGGCATGGGAGTCAGTATCTTGGGAGCAGGTGAAAATGGAGTTAGTGTCACATTGCAGCTGAAGAGGTCAGTAGAGAAAAGCTGATTATTTTGAAAGAAGCTTCCCGTCCCCATAGGAAAGTTTTCAGGGAAGATGATTGGGCAATGACCTCCTTCATAGCAATGAGTAGAAGCCCCACAAGCCTCATCTTGGGCATGCCTGCTTGTTTCTCCAGAAGAACAGGAAGGACATTCCATAAGCAGCCCAGGAATGCATTAAACAACTCTCCCCTGGGGCCCCAACTCCAGAAAGATGTGGCTGTTGACAGCTCTTCTCCTTTGCTTTCGGCCTCTGGCCTGGGACAAACTTACTACCAAGCATGGCTGCCCTTTTGGTTGTGTTTGCCTCATTGTCCTATGTCGTTAAAAGTGTTGCCATTGTTAAAACTGTTGTTTCTGGTGTCCACCTCCACTTCCAGCTGGATTTGTTCTGGACTGCATGATGGTGGTGGTGTGTTGCTTTGTTATCATCCATGTGTCCAACAGCCAAGAAGTTGTCTCTAAATGTTTTTAATTTAAAAACCCTATTGCAAAAAAATAATTGTGATCCCACATATGAATATTATTTTCAAAGTACTATCATTAGTTACTATTTGAAGCCACACTACACAGGGTGAGATTCATCATCAACAGTAATGAGTGGCTTCCATTTCATGGAAACATTCATCTTAGGAACAGGAACTAGACAGACTGGCTCAGAGACACCACATTCCATTCTCTTCCTCTCTGGAAAGTCTCCCTCTAGGAGTTGTAGCTTCTGTATTTAGTATAGTCTGGCTGGGGGCCTGGTCTTTAGCTGGGCCTATCTACACTTGGGTTTGAAATACCCCTACCTTTGAAATATAAAGGAATTGGATTGGTAATCTCCATGTACCTGACAATGTCCCTGTCCACATTTTTTTTTTTTTTTTTGAGACGGAGTCTCACTCTGTTTACCAGGCTGGAGTGCAGTGGCATGATCTCGGCTCACTACAGCTTCTGTCTCCAGATTCAAGCGATTCTCCTGCCTCAGCCTCCCCTAGTAGCTGGGATTACAGGCATGCACCACCACACCCAGGTAATTTTTTTTGTGTGTGTGTTTTTAGTAGAGATGGGGTTTCACCATGTTGGCCAGGCTGGTCTCAAACTCCTGACCTCAAATGATCCGCCTGCATCGGCCTCGCAAAGTGCTGTGATTACAGGTGTGAGCCACCACATCCAGCCTTCCCTATCACATTTCTACAAGGCTCCAGGGATTTAAACTACAGGGAGGGTGGGGGCAGCAAGTCAAGTTTACAGTGTAGTGGTAAAGAGCTTGGGCTTGGACTGCTTCTGATTAGTCAAATGACTTTGGGCAAATTATTTGATTTCTCTGAACATCAGTTTTGCCATCAGCAAAATGGGGATAAAAATAGTCATAGAGTTGTTGACTTCATAGGGTTGTTGAGGAGATTAAGTAAAATAACCTACATAAAGCCTTTAGCACTGTGCCTGGCGCATAGTAAGTATTCAATAAATATTAACTTAATAGTTAATATGTATTCATTGTAGTAATTAGCAAAGCCCCTTAAAACTCTCATGGCCCCTGGAGTTTCAACAAGATATTACTTCACATCTCTCTGATTAGGGTGGAAGGAGGGAGCAAAGGAAGGGGATATGAGAGGTAAAAGGAAAGGGAGTGCTTGGCCTGACTGTGATGTTTTTAAATATCTGTAGGTCTATCAGCTATACTGTCACCTATTCTTAAAATGGCTTTGCCTCTGATACACAAAGCCAATTTATTTTTGCCCTTGGCCCAAAATATTTTAGATGTAGCCTAATTTCTTGGAGGTCCTTGACTTGAGGTGAGCGGCTCTGATCAGCTGAGAGAACTGGTGGCCTCCAGACCCTGGGGTCTTATGAGATATTGGCATCATGAAGCCTTTACCGATTGCCTCCAACAGGCCACTTCCTCTTCATGATAAGTAGGAAAAGGGAGGCAAATCCATCTCACAAGAACTAGAAGATAATTAACTGGAAAGAATAGCCAAGGGTGTAGCTACTGTGTATCTCAGGAGGTCTGCAAACCCTCTGAGATGTGGGCTGCCCATTACTGTGTGGGGGCACAGAGTCGGACCCAGCAATGGGAGCTGTTTGCACCAGGGCTACTCAGTCAGGAGCATCTGAAATTTTTAGAGTAAAGCACTTAAGATAATGTTTTGTGCTTCATGCCAACTGTGTTCCATATCCCGGAAGAACTTTGGACTGATATGGTCTACACTTTCGGTTGTAGCAGTGCAATCTGGGCCAATAGAGAGGCTGATTTGATGCCTACAGCTGGTTTACTTCCTTATCAAAGCTCTGAATGTGGGGAGACACAATTCTTGCTTTGTGGTTAATAGTAGTCTCCCTCTAATCTCTTGTTATCTTACTGCATTAGATGATCCGTTGACATTTAATCTGTAGTAATTAAGGATTTATTGCCATGTTTCTTTCTCCCAAACAGTATACACCCTTTAAGTAGAGGGCATTTAGAGTCAAGTGGTGTTGGAACCAGAACAACTGACAAAGATGTGTCAAGATAGCATTACCTTCATCTTAAACTCAGCCTTGAGAAAGATGTTTCATTTCTAATAGTAGAGTGGATTAGGCACTCTGAATGAGTCTCCCAATTGAAGCAATAATTTTCTAAAATCTTAAATTTATCACCAGGCTGGCACCAAAGAAAGAAATCTGCAGAACTCAAAATGAAGCAAAAATAGGAACACAGGTTGGTAAGCCAGGACCAAAGCTCACCTTAACTTGGAGAGTTCCTGTAGAACCCTGGGAACCTTGAGCTTTCTTTCACTTTAATGGCTTCGCAGGGCATGGGGTCGGGAGATAAAGCCAAGGGATCAATCTGCATAAGCTGGGTTCCAGGACTCTCTGTGTAAGGAGAATGAGAAATAAACCTGCACAAAGAAGAGGATAGCAGGGAAACTGGCCTGGGCCATTCTGGATGGTTGGAGAACTAATAAATGTCCCCTTAAAATTCACAACGACAAGCTAGTGTCTATCTGGATTTGCAGTCCAAATTTATATGCTATGTGATTAAAGAAAAAAAAATTCTCAAACATAAAATTTAATTTAAAATGATCCCAGGCTATTCCTACTCAGATAACTAGTGGAATCAAATATAAATCTTCTCTGGCCAGGCACAGTAGCTCATGCCTGTAGTTCCAGCACTTTAGGAGGCTGAGGTGGGAGGATTGCTTGAGCCTAGGAGTTCAAGACCAGCCTGGGAAATAACGTGAGACTCCATCTCTAAAAAATAAATACAAAAATAAATCTCTGCAGGACATCACCCCAGTATTCAAAGATTTGCCACAGATGAAATTTCACAGATAATTACAGCTCACAGTCAAAGTCACAAAACACGTGAAAATAAAGCATAATGAGTAAGAGTCAGCAGAAACAAGCCCACAAAGGATTCAGATATTTAAATTCTCAGATATAATATAAAGTAACTAATTTTAATAGGTTTAAGGAAATTAAAGAGAAGTTCCAAAAATGGGCAGGTAACAAGAGACTATATAGATCACCAAGAAGACTCAGAAAAGAACCAGAAGGGATTTCTAGAAATAAAAAGTAATAAGGGTTGAATCTTTTTTTTTTTTTGAAATGGAGTCTCGCTCTGTCGCCCAGGCTGGAGTGCAGTGGCGGGATCTCAGCTCACCGCAACCTCCACCTCCCGGGTTCACGCCATTCTCCTGCCTCAGCCTCCCGAGTAGCTGGGACTACAGGCTCCCACCACCATGCCCAGCTAATTTTTTGGTATTTTTAGTAGAGACAGGGTTTCACCATTTAGCCGGGATGGTCTCGATCTCCTGACCTTGTGATCCGCCTGTCTCAGCCTCCCAAAGTGCTAGGATTACAGGTGTGAGCCACTGTGCCCGGCCAGGGTTGAATCTAAAAACTCAGTGGGTAGATTAAACAGCAGATTAGACATAGCTGAGGAAAAAATTAGTAAGCTGGAAGCTAGAGCAGAAAAAATTGTCTAGAATGTAGACCAAAAAGACAAAGCCAAGGAAATATGAAAGGTTAAGGAGTACAGAGGAGAAAGTAAGAAAATTGAATTGTTCATAGAGTTCTAGAAGGATATGGAAAAATAGGGAAGAGCTAATATTCAAAAAAACAATAACTCAGATATTTCCAAAACTGTGGAAAACACGAATCTTGAGCTGCGGGAAGCACAGTGAATCCAAAAAAATGAATAAAGAGAAATTCAAATCTAGGAACATCATAAGAAACAAAACACCAAAGAAAAAAGAGAAGACTGAAAGCTACTAAGGAGAGCCAGGCGCGGTGGCTCACACCTGTAATCCCAGCACTTTGGGAGACTGAAGCAGGTGGATCATGAGGTCAAGGAATCGAGGCCATCCTGGCCAACATGGTGAAACCCTGTCTCTACTAAAAATACAAAAATTAGCTGGGCATGGTGGTGTGCGCCTGTAGTCCCAGCTACTCTGGAGACTGAGGCAGGAGAATCGCTTGAACCTGGGAGGCGGAGGTTGTAGTGAGCCGAGATCACGCCACTGCACTCCAGCCTGGTGAGAGAGCGAGACTCCGTCTCAAAAAAAAAAAAAAAAAAAAAAAAAAAAAAGGAAAGCTACTAAGGAGAAAGATCACCTACAAAGGAATGGTGAATAGACTATGGCTGACTTCTGACTTCTCAACAGCAATAATGGGGCCACATGAGAGAAGGATATAGCAGTATCTTCAAGGTGCTAAAAGAAAATGACTGTGAACCTAGAATTTTGTATCTAGTGCGACTATATTTCAATAATGAGAGCATAACAAAAATATGTTCTAATAAAAATTGAGAGCATTTACAACTAACAGATATTAAAGAAAATTCTCAAGAATTTTTGGAATTTTTATTAAAGAAAATTTTAAATAATTTAAGCAGAAGGAAAATGATCTTAGATTGGCCATCTGACATGCAAGAAGCAATGATGAATATCTTTATTCTAAGATCATCTTCCTTCTGCTTAAAAATAATAATTACTGTTTTAAACAGTTAATATTGGTTAGCATTTACCTAACCAGTATTTATGTGTGGTGAGGAAAGGCTAGAACTAAAAGAATAGATATTAAAATCATCTGGGTTGTACAGATTGGTGTTAAAGTATTCTAAAATTTTTGTATTGTTTAGGAGGCAGGTGCAGGTATTGATTAACTACAGACTTTATTAGGGTAAGAATGAATATAAAAATAGCTAGGAAAATCATCACAAATAGATGTAGGTGCCAGACATGATGGCTAACGCCTATAATCCCAACACTTTGGGAGGCCGAGGCAGGTGGACTACTTGAGGCCAGGAGTTTGAGACCAGCCTGGCCAATATGGCAAAGCCCCATCTCTACTAAAAAATACAAAAATTAGCCAGGTTTGGTGGTGCACACCTGTAATCCCAACTACTTGGGAGGCTGAGGTGGAGGTTGCAATGAGCCAAGATCGTGTCACTGCACTCCAGCCTGCGGGACAGAGCAAGACTCAGTCTCAAAACAACAACAACAACAACAACAAAACACATGTAGACTATATAATTTCAAACCAAGTAAAGGGGAACAAAAGAGGTCAATAAAAGTAAATTTAAAGAAAAATAGAAAAATAGAGACCCAGCACTTAAGATGGTGGTAGCAATAAATCAAAATATGTCAATAAATACAATAAATTGTAATTAAGTAAATGTTCTATTAAAGAATGGAGATAGATAGGGTTTTTAAAATTTCAGTTACATGTTATTAACTCAATTAACCAGGAAGCTAAAATAATTCCAAATTTGTATACATTTAATAACACCGTCTTAAAAGTATGGGGCAAAGTGACAGTATGATAAGAGGAGAAATTCAATATTATAGTGAGCGATTTTAACACACAACTCTAGAGAAGTGACAGATTAAGGGAACAAAAAATGAATGAGGATAGAAAAGACAATTAACAAGCTTGATTTAATGTTCATGTAAGGAACGTAACATACAACAATTAGAGAATATTCTTTTCAAACCCTACACGGAATGTTTATAAATGTTTATGAAAATTGGCCACAGGTTCGACCATAAAGCTAGTCTCAACAAATTTAAAGGATTGCTTTCATCCTGATTGTATCCTTAGACCCCAATTTACCTAAAAAGAAATAATGTCAAACAGGATAGGCTAGATGATGCTGTGGTAATAACATCAAAACTTGAGTAGCTTGATTGACACAACGGAGGTTTATACGTTGCTCAACATGCAGACAGCCCTCCAGGGCAGCTGCTCTCCACCTGGGCCTCAGTGTTGTAGCCTAGTCTGAACTGCTGGCACTTGCATGTCAACATGTATTTCCCCAATCCCTGTGGAAAGGGAAAGAGCATGGAAGATCGCATGCTGCAGTGAAAGCATTTAATTGTATGTATTTAATTGATCAGAGTAAGTCACTTAGCCATAACTAACTTCAGGGGTCAGTGAGTAACCCTTTCATAGGTCCAGGAAGGGAGAACTGGAAATACTGATGAACATCACAATAGTCAATAATAAAGAGTCCAGGAAAAACCTTTTCCAACCAGAAATTTTAAATGTATTTCTGAAGAATAAACCATAGACTAAAAGAGAAAATATTCAGAACATAATAATAACAATGCTGTATATTGAAATTTATGGATGCAACTAAAATTGTACTTAGAGGGATGTGTATAATACTAATACTTGCTTAGCATTTACTATGTGGTGGACATTGTTTTATGTACTCTACATGTGTTACTCATTTAAGTTTTCTGTTTTGAAATGGGGTCTCGCTCTGTTACCTGGGCTGGAGTGCAGTGATCATAGCTCATAGCAACCTCAACCTTCCAGGCTCAAATAATCTTCCCACCTCAGCCTCTACAGTCATGTGCCACCATACCTGGCTAATTTTTGTATTTTTGTAGGGACAGAGTTTCGCCATGTTGCCCAGGCTGGTCTTCAGCTTCTGAGCTCAAGTGATCCACCCACCTAAGCCTCCAAAAGTGCTGGGACCACTGGCATGAGCCACCGCACCCAGCCTTAATTTTCATAACAACCCTTGAGGCAAGTACAAATGAGGAAACTGAAGCGCACACACACAAAAAAACTAACTGAAGTCACACAGCTAGAAGTAGCAGAGCTAGGAATTGGACTCAGGAAATCAGGCTTTAGAGTCCATGTGCTATAGTTGCGAATGTTTACATTAATTTTTTTTAAAGCTCAAAATTAATGTGCTAAGCATCCTATTTAAAAAGTTAGGGCCAGGTGCAGTGGCTCATGCCTATAAACCTAGCACTTTGGGAGGCTGAGGCAGGCAGATCACTTGAGCCCAGGATTTCGAGACCAACCTGGGCAACATGGTGAAACTCCACCTTTACAAAACATACAAAAATTAGCCAGGTGTGGTGGTGCATGCCTGTGGTCCCAGCTACTTGGGAAGCTGAGGTGGGAGGATAACTTGAGCTTGGGAGGTTGAGGCTGCAGTGAGCCAAAATCATGCCACTGCACTACAGCTTGCACAACAGCGTGAGACTCTGTCTCAGAAAAAAAGAAAAAGTTAAAGGGTTGTGCTTGGTGCCTCATACCTGTAATCCCAGCACTTTGGGAGGCAAAAGTGGAAAGATCACTTGAACTCAGGATTTCGAGACCAACCTGGGCAACATAGTTCATGAGTTCATATTAATGTTTTTAACTGTCATCCAGAACTCCAAGGTTCATTCTAGCCTTGTTTTCTTGCTTTTCTGTAACCTCCCTCTCCAATAGTGAAAACTTGCTTCTGCCACCCATGTTTCATAAATCAATATTCATGACAAATAAATAAATATCAGTTAGTGACTGAATGAGTAAATGAGTAGGGGAGATTAGTTAGATAAATCCCCTCTATAAGAGAATTCCAAATAGCTTACATAGATACCACCCACTCAAGGAGGTGAAGCATCATTCCCTACTCATTCAGTGTGGTGTGCATGTTATTATTTCCTTTTACAAGCACAGTATGGAAAAGGGTGAGAAATGTAACTTTACAGTGAGGAGAACTAGCAAACACTACCTCAGCCAGGTGGTCAAGGTGAACATTATTGGTGATAAGTTAATATTAATAGCATATACCTTTGATAGGATATGATGAAAATGACAGTCTACCTCTATGGTCTTCTTCCCTAAAACACATACTTCCTGTGTAACTATGAAACAAAGAGATCAGACAAACCCAAGTCGAAGGACATTCTAAAAAATACCTGACCAGTCCTCCTCAAAACTGTCAAGATCATCAAAAACTTGGGAAGTTTGAGAAACCATCATAGTCTAGAGGAGCCAAAGGAGACATGATGGCTAATGTAATGTGGTGTCCTGGATGGGATCCTAAAACAGGAAAGCCAAAGAAATGCAAATAAACCAGGGACCTCAGAAAATAATCATATAGCAATATTTGGTCATTAGTTGTCACAAATGCACCATCATAATGTAAGATGTTAATAACAGGGGAAACTAGGTGTGAAGTGTATATAAGAACTCTCTTTAATACTCATGCAACTTTTTTTTTTTTAAAAAAAAACAGTGTCTTTCTATGTTGCCCAGGCTGATCTCAAACTCCTGGGCTCACACAGTCCACCTACTTTGGCTTCCCAAAGTGCTGGGATTCCAGGCATGAGCCAGCAGTTGAGGCATGGCCTCAACTTTTCTATAAATCTTAAACTACTCTAAAATGAAAATTTATTGAATGTTTTAAAAGGGGTATTTCTTAAGCGAGAAAGAAAAGGGGTAAACTAAATGACTAACCAATTTGACTATGTCACAGTGGAGAATCTCTGCTATAAAAAGACAATGGCCAGGTGCGGTGGCTCACGCCTATAATCCCAACAGTTTGGGAGGCCGGGGCAGGTGGATCACTTGAAGTCAGGAGTTTGAGACCAGCCTTGCCAACACGGCGAAATCCCATCTTTATTAAAAATACCAAAATAAGCCTGGCATGGTAGCAGGCACCTGTAAATCCCAGATATTCACAAGGCTGAGGCAGGAGAATCGTTTGAACCGGGAGGCAGAGGTTTCAGTGAGCTGAGATCGTGACCGCAACACTGCACTCCAGCCTGGGTGACAGAGTGAGTGAGACTTCGTCTCAAAAAAAAAAAAAAAAAAAAAAGACAACAAAATAGTGAAAAGACAAGCCAAAGAGTGGAACAAGATAATTGCCGCATGGTTAACCAACAACAGATCAATATCAAAGATATATAAAGGATGGCTATGAGACAATCATAAAAATGTAAACTATTACATAGAAAGATGAGCAGAAGATTTGAGTAGGCATTTCACAGTAAAGGAAACACAAATTATCCGTAAACATATGAGGGGAAAAAGTCCTCATTAGTAATCAGGGAAATGCAAATTAAAACCACAATAAGATATCATTTCACATCTCCCAAGTTGAAAGGTCAGTCAACTCAAGTTTTACCAGAGACGTGGGGCAGTTGTAACTCTCATCTGGTGGGTCAGTTGGACCCACCATAAAGAACAGCTGATCTCTACCTAGGGAAGTTTAATGTGCTCAGACCTTATAATCCAGCAATTTCACTCCGAATTATGTACTCCAGAGAAACTGTTGTTCACATGCACCAAGAGACAGGTACAAAACATTCACTTAAAAATTGTTTATAATAGCCAAAAAACTTAAAAATATATTCGTCAATGGAATAATGAATAGATAAATTGTGGCATGTTCCAAAATGGAATACTATATAGCAGTAGAAAATGAAATAACTACAACAACTCACATCCACATGGGTGAGTCTCACAAACATAAAACTGAGAAAAGAGGTAAGTGATGGACTATATACAGAATGGTTTCATTTATTTAATGTTTAAAACAGGAAAGATGAGAGAGTCTAGTATTTAGGGATACAAATATATCATTATCTCCTGAGCCAAAATAGTGTTCAGTGCTATAAGAAAGTAATGATTTCCAAATATTCTCAAACATGATTTTGCTATTCTTCACATGCATCCCCAGAGACCATAGACAGTTTTAGGGCTGGATAAGTACAAGTTCAAAGACACTGAGGAAATTTACTAGTCTAAAACTCAATCACACAGATGGCAAAAGTATAAAGAGGATGATTAATACAAAGCTTAGGATAATGGTGAGCTGTTGGAGGAGAAAATGCAGGGCGCTTCTGATGTACTGGTGTGCTCCCTTTCTTAATCTAGGTACATGGGTTTTCATTGCAGTATCGTATTCATATTTAACTGTGTGTGCAATCATAGTATACCTGTTTGTGTATCATGTGTGTGCCTCAATATTCAATGATAACAAACTTGCTAAATAAATGTTATACTGAGGAGCCAGCCATATAGACAGATATCTGATGGCAGGTGTGAACTGGGAACAATTAATATGCAGTATCCCTTTCCCATGTCTTCTCACTAAGGTTGACTTGATTATCCAGTCCACCCAAT
The DNA here is from genome assembly GCF_000001405.40 of Homo sapiens. Classification (NCBI taxonomy): domain Eukaryota; kingdom Metazoa; phylum Chordata; class Mammalia; order Primates; family Hominidae; genus Homo; species Homo sapiens. The sequence goes on from NC_000012.12 coordinate 47,920,914, forward strand.
TTATTGTTTTAAGTTTTTATTTAAAGGTCTTTTCACTTTTTATCTGGTTATTCCAGGTAATTGTCCGCATGGGCCTCTGTGTTGTCATGCTCTGGCCTTCCTGGCCATTCCTAGATTCATGCTTCCTCCAGAGGCTGCACAATCACATCTGCTCTGCTGTGTTCCCACCCGGACTGCATTTGCTGATGCCTGGACCTCTCTCTGGGTTCCCAGGCCTCGGGCTCTACTTTTCAAATCTGTCCTGTCATCCAAGGCTGAAGCTATCCGTGTTTCATGTGAACTCCTGGTGGCCTCCTCTCGTGGGAATCTTGCCCACTCACAAGCACCCGAGTCTTCTTATTGCTCTGCTGTTTGTGTTCTTTTCATCTCAAGACAAGAAAAAAAATTCAGTTCAGAAGCCTACTTCCAGACCTAGGATAAAAAGATTCCTTTTCCCTACATTACCTTCAAATTTAACAAGTTAAGTATCAATGTTTTGCCTCCACATTTTTGGCAGTATAAGGTAATAATGAAGATCTATGATTCTGGACTCAAACTGACCTAGGTTTAAATCTTAGGCCTGCCATTTAACAACTATAGAACTTGAGCTAGTTATTAAGCCACTTGAATCTCCAACTTTACCTCTGTATAATAGAGATAATTTTTTTCTACCTCATAGAGGTGTCATAAAGATTAAATTAAATAATGCACAAAAAGCACTTAGAAGTTTGCCTGAAGCATAGAAAGCACTCAATACATTACTTATTACTTTTTAAAATCTTAATTATTACGAATTTGCTTCAGGAGCTGAGTTCTCCCTCATAGTGAAATGATTTCTTGTTAACTTTCCTAGCATGAAATGGTCCTTTACCCAGATTTCTTACCCTCATACTGTCACTTCCACTGGTTTGAATAAAAAATGAGAGTCCAGGAAGTTAACCTAAAATCTACCGAGGCAGATGAGAAGCCCGTCCAGGTGCTGAAAGGCTGCTGAACAGTCAGAATATTCGATACCCTTTTTCAGTGATTCCTCACAGTCCCACATTCTTCTGCTAGTCCTGAGGGTCTTCCCAATTGCTTATTTCAGTTCCTTTTAGGAGGCCCATGCCCATTCACTTAGGTCCTTCAGTGAGCATAAGGAATGACTGGCCTTTATCTTTAACTCCGTGATAATGGCTGAAAACTCTCAGTCTCCCTTGCTCTTCTCTTACCCCCACAGAGGACTCTTAATTTGTTTGTTCTCTTTCCTCTTTTTCTGTCATTCAGCCATACTGACTAGGGAACTTATGTAATAAAAAAGCCAATAGTCAAGAAGCAGATTGGCATTAAAATATTTAAAACTTACAAAAACAGTTATCTACATAAATAGCCTTTTATAAAGTTTTGAAATAACCTTTGACTACCCAGGCATGTTTTGTGATTCAAAATTTAAAAAATCAAAAAGAAAAAAAAAGACAATACTCTCCCATCTGCTAGAAGAAGTCTGCAATTTGGCTTCAGAGCTTTACTCTGTTAGAACAGAAATTCCTTCAAGAGGATACGAACATTTGGAGAGGGATAATACTGCTGACCCTGGTTTGGCAAATGGTGTTCCACAGCATACTAGCTCTATGGGATGTTAATAAATATTTTTATAGCAGAAAAAAAGTTATATGATCAAAAACATTGGGAAATGTTATTATAGAGAAAGTAAATACCTTGCGGTAGCCCACGAGGTCCTGTTTGATTTCGCCCCTTCCTACCTCTCAGGTCTCACCAAACATGCAAAAGTTTATTTGAGCTTCAGCACCTTTGCATATGCCAGTCCCGTCGCCCAGGATGCTCTTCCCAGATCTTCACATAACTGGCCTCCTCGTCATTCAGGTTTCTGGTCAAATGTCGCATCCCAGAGAGGGTCTTTCCTCCCCACTCCATCTAAGGTAGACACCCTTACCACATCACTCTTTATGGCAGTCTTTATCACTATTTGAAACTGTGAGTTTTAATTGTGCATTATCCGCTCTTCCAATTAAAATTAAAAACCATGTCGATCTCATTTATTGCCATCAGTCTAGTGTCTAGAATAACCCCGGCACACTGTAGGAACTCCATAAATATTTGAATGAATGGATGAACCAATATCAAGTAGATTTCTTCAACACAGGACTTCTCAGGGTCTTCCATGAGCAAATCTGTATCGGAACCTTCAAGCAAGAGACATAGTATGTGGGGTTTTCCAAACCTATTGGAACTATTCCTTGAAGCATCAAGTGGGAAATTTTTCCATTGCTCATACTTTTGGAGACTCTGCTTTAGGTTTTATGCATGACTTTGTACCTAAATGAATTTTAGATTCTGTCTGAAAGCTAGTTTAGAGAATTAGAGAGTCGGGAGGACCCAGGAGGCTATAAACAGAGCAAAGATATATAGATAATGAGAGTGGGAATGGAAAAGATCCTATAAGTAAGTAGTAATAAGTAGATGGAGACTTTTACCTAAGATTGCCCCAATATCTAGATGAGTAGATCTCTCTTAGGCTATGTCTCTGAGGCTGGACACAGTGGCTCACACCTGTAACCCCAGGACTTTGGGAGGCCAAGGCAGGTGGGTTGCTTGAACTCAGGAGTTCGAGACCAGCCTGGACAATATAGTGGGACACTATCTCTACGAAAAATACAGAAATTAGCCGGGCATGGTGGTGCACACCTGTAGTCCCAGCTACCCAGGAGGCTGAGGTGGGAGGATCACTTGAGCCCAAGGGGTAAAGGCTGCAGTGAGCTGTATTCACACCACTGTACACCAGCCTGGGCAACAGAGCAAGACCCTGTCTCAAAAAGGATATGTCTTTGACTTAAGGTCTTTCTCAGTCCAGTTGTACCTAGCATTAGACCCACTTGCTTCTGCTGAAGTTTTATTTATAAACAGAAAAGTTACCACCCTCAACAAGGGCTTAAATCAGGACAGACTGAGAACGTGCTAAGGAGGTTGTTGTGTCCACTTTACCTTCTGTGGGGGAGTTACTGATATGTCTTTGCAAATATGTCTTTTTAAATGTCTTAACTGCTTTTACCTGGGCAGGAGAAAGGTGAACTGGGAATTGAGAAAGGCTCGTGGGCTGGAGGGAGAGGAAGCTGCTATCTTGGGGAAGTTAAAATAACATTTCATCTTTGTCTTGGATGAACTGTAAACAGGTTCAATACTTTAATTTGCTTGAAAAATAGTTTTTCTAAATGCTTCTAAATTGGCTTAATAGTTCAGAGGAGAGAACATGATCTTTGCGGAAATAAGTCTCCAATTAAACCATGTACTAGCTGCGGAGGTATTATGATTGAGTTTAAAATGCAGGCACCATATTTTTTTTTTTTTTAGAAAAAGATGTAAGAAACTATCAACAATGACAGGCTTTAGAGAGAGAAACTTGGGTCAGGTGAGGGATGTGTTGAGGGAGATGTTTACTTTTCATCTTATCTTTCTGTTTCATTTGGCTTTTTACCATATACACATATTACTTTTTTAAAAATGTTAATGCATGAAAAGAATGTACTTCCCTATGTAGGTCACCCATCTCCATTTTCGTACCTGGGTCTAGGGTAGGAAGAAGCAGAAACTGGAAACATGAGAAAAGAACCAGCAAGGGTCAGCTCGGAACTCCACCAAGAGGGGCTACACATGGGGCCCAGCTGGGCCACGGGTTGGTGCTACTTGCCTTATCTGAAGGAGTGCGTCTAGCCATGCCTTATTACTAAAGAAAGAGAAGGATTGTATTAATGGGATCATTGCCCCTACTCCTCAGTTGATGGCATAAAGGCAAGAAATCTAATAACCTATTATCAAAATGTATGATTTTTCCAAAAAGAAAAGAGTTGGAATTTTCTCATCCCCATCAAAACCTTGGTGCTAAACTCAGGGATCTTGCCTGGTTCATATCTGTCTGAAACTGAAAACATTCCCACACCTCCAGAATTTGTCCTTCGTGGCCTGTCCTATTGTCATCTGCCCTGCAAGAGAAGGAATGACCACTGGGCTTACCTACTGAGGACAAACCTCTTGAATTGGCTCTTTTGAATCAATCATGCACTTTGCTGGGAAACAAAGGTATAAAACATTAGTTCTTGGGAGTAGTACTACCTCTGGGAGTGGTGAGTAATAAGTGCAGAGTCTGAAACTTTTTCAAATCAAGTTTGAAGAGGAAGAAAGAGGAGGAGGAGGAGGAGGAAGCAGCTTAAGAAAATGGATTGAGGCCAGGCGCAGTGGCTCATGCCTGTAATCCCAGCACTTTGGGAGGCCAAGGCGGGTAATCACCTGAGGTGAGGAGTTCGAGACCAGCCTGGCCAACATGGTGAAACCCTGTCTCCACTAAATACAAAAAATTAGCCAGGCATGGTGGTGGGTGCCTGTAATCCCAGCTTAGGAGGCTGAGGCAGGAGAATTGCTTGAACTCGGGAGGTGGAGATTGCAGTGAGCTGAGATTGTACCATTGCACTCCAGCCTGAGTGACAGAGAGAGACTCTGTCTCAAAAAAAAAAAAAAAAAAAAGAAAGAAAGAAAGAAAAAGAAAATGGATTGACCCAAAGTACCCTCAATATCTTTACAGAAATGTGACCCTTCAAACCAGATGCTCTTTCAGGTCCTTATCATTATGTCTTTGTAGCCTCTTCCTCTTCCTCTTCTGTTCCTTTCTTGATTCCTTCCTTGATTCCTTCCTTCCTTCCTTCCTTCCTTCCTTCCTTCCCTCTTTCCTTCCTTTCTTTCAATAGATGTTTACTGAATACCTACTAAGTGATGGGCATTGGTGCAATAGAAGATACAAAGATGAGTAACATACAGTGCCTACTCTCAAATACCTCATTAATACATCATAAGAGGTCTAGTCAAGAGTCAGTAAAGCTCTAGGACAGCTGTTGATTCTGAGTGAAGAGACCAAGATGGTGTCATGGAGAAGTTAACATTTGAACTAAAGAGAGAAAGTGAAATAAGTAGATTTTAGGATGGCCCCATGACCTTCACCCCCTGGTCTTACTCCCATGATTATATGGTAAATGGAGATAATCCAGGTGGGTCTGATCTAATCACATGAGCCCTGTAAAACCAGGGCATTGTATCTGGCTGGTGATAGAAGAATAAGTGAGAGACTTGAGGCATGAGAAGGGCTTGATATGCCATTGCTGACTTGAAGATGGAGGGACCACAGGAGAAGCAATGCAGATGGCTTTACAGACTCAAGAGAGACCCCAGTGACAGCCAGCTGAGAAATAGGAACCTCAGGCCTGCAGCCACTGGAACTGAATTCTGCCAACAGCCTGAATGAACTTGGAAGCAGATTCTTTCCCAGAGCCTCCAGAAAGAGGCTACCCAGGCGACACATGAATTTTGGGCTTATGAGACTCCAGACAGATAACCTAGCAGGGGTCACCTGGACTTCTGGCCTACAGAGCAGTGACTAATACATGGATGCTATTTATCATTAGGCTGTGGCACTTATTATACGGCACTAGAAAACTAATGCAAACAGTTTTCTATTCAGAGGGAAGAGCATGAGCATGATGATATGGAGCACTCAGAGACTTTAGGGGAGAGCAAGGGGCTCAGTATCTTCAGATATATCAGTGGGAAAGGAGTGGCATGGAGAGTCTGCAAAGCTGTTTGAGCCAGAGTGGGAAGTCATTTATTTTCATGCGTGTTAGGGAGTTGGGCTTTATCCTTGAGCACCATGTTCTACCTCCCCTTCCTCTTGGAAGCTACATCACCTCCTGCCTGGCATGGAAATATCATCTGTCTTTCTTTTCTTTTTTTCCTTTCTGTTTATATCTACCTGTATCATCTTGCCCTTCACTCTTTGCACTGTTCCCCTTGAGGTAAGAGAATCCCCAGGAGCCCTGCCTGCCAATGTGGCAAGACATAGCTATGGTGGGAAGACAGCTGTGCAGTCATGGCAAAGGCAATGTCCTCCTGCCCAAGTCCACCAGCATCCACCACCAGCTCTCCTCTCCACAGAGGGACTGGCTGATGAGGAGAGAGAGTGGAATCAATGTCTACAAATGGGAGGAATGGAGTGGACCAGAGCCTGGATGTCTCATTTAGACAGCAATGGTAGTGAAACTCTGAGCACTGACACAAGGATCCCAGCAAGTGCTGTTTGGAAAGTGAAGGAGGCGAGACGTATCCAACAAGGCCCTAGCAGAAAATACAATTCACCCCAGAGGGGTCAAATGAAGAGACCTTGAAGAAAAGTCAATTGATAGAGGTGTAGGCAAGGTTAAGGGAATGAAAATGGACTGTAGGAATATTAGGAAATCATTACCACCTTGATCTCAATGGCCCAAGGGATAAGGAAAGAAATAGCAACCAGAGCCCAGAGAGAGCTGGAAGCATGGAGAATGGGACTCCTGGCAGGAACTGCAGTCACTGCACAGAGACTTGGCCCTGGAGCAAGGAGAAGGAGGGAGAAATACTTGGCCTCCCTCTCCTCTGGCCCTCAGATCCCCTGAAAGTGCCTCCCCTGCTGGACCCTGTCTGAAGCCCTTCAGTGAGGGAGTCCATGGGGGCATAGTCCAGACAGCCAGCCTTCTGGGACACAGAACAGGACAGAGAAAGGTGAGAATGGATCCGAGTGGGAGGTGGGATTGAGGAACAGAGAATAACCCGAGGTAAGGGAACCAAGAGGTTCATTGGCTTTGCCATGATGTTGACTTTGCCATGACCTGAGCCATGTATGAACTCAAACAAGACCACTTTTGACCCTGGCACTGTTGCTATGGCTATACCCTTGCCAGTGGCACCCAAAAAAGGAATGATCTGAAAGAGGAAAGGCTCCCATGACAGCGAAGCTCATATCTTGGCCCTTTAGTTCAGGGATGCTCTATGAGTACAGCCACCTCCCATGACAGGAGAAGGTTTGGAGGAATAAATGAGGGTATCATATGTCATTGTGGGAGCTTCTGGCCAAGGGACATTAGGGGCTTCCCAGAGATCGGAGTCTGAACTATTCAGGATGTATATGTTCAGAGTGGTGGGAAACCATGCTTGGAATTGTGGGCTGGACTGACCATTTCTGCCTGGTCTGTAAAGCTGTGTTTTGGAAAGAGAAGGGCAGCAAAGAGATCACAAAAGGGAAGGATGTGGTTACGCCCTTCTTTAAGAGCACAGCTTGTTATCTTTGGGGTCAAGAAAATTATAGGGGATTGATAAATTTACTAGAACAGCAAGAATCACACTGGGTTTTTTCCAGCTTTAAATAAGGACATTCTTTTCCCAAAATATCTTCCTTAGGCTTAGAAGAATCCTAGGAAAGTTTCTGACCAACCCAGACGTAGTCCAGAGAGCCAGCCTCCTGGGACACAGAACAGGACAGAGAAAGGTGAGAATGGATCCGAGTGGGAGATGGGAGTGAGGAACAGAGAATAACCTGAGGTAAGGGAACCAAGAGGCTCATTGGCCTTGCCACGATGTGCCACAACCTGGGCCACATATGGACTCAACCAAGACCACCTTTGACCCTGGCACCAGATCAAAAGTGGTCTTGGTTGAGTCCATACATGGACACTTAAAAATTAATTTTGGTGAAGAGCTGCAGTTAGTGCTATTAGGGCAGATGGAGCCCTTCAGTGACCCAAATCCTGCTACAGACACCATGAGGCTTCCTTGTCCAACTCGGACAACCCCCTGCCTCCTCTTAACCTTTTGGCTCTAAAAGGTTACGTATTATCTCTCATCTCTTGCTCAACCCCAGAGCTAGACCCAGCCACTGGGCTCACTGAGGTGAAGTTTCTCCAGCCCTGTGGGACATTAAGGACCAGGTCTATGACTGGGGGCAGAGATGAAGCAGACTGAAGTCCTCAATAAAGAGCCAGAGGATGTGTTAGCCACAAAAGGGGGACATATCCTATGGCGAAAGTGCAGTCTCTGCTTCCTGCAGATGATTCTATGTGGCCTGGCCCAGGACAATGGGAGCTTTCCTTCAACCTCAAACAGCTGGTTCGGGGCACTTCTTCCCAGGAACTCAGCTTGTTTACCCTGTGGCCCAAATTCCCTCTTGAGCCCAAAGAAACCTCTGCAATAGAAGTCTGGCCCCAAACTTTCATAATCAGACCCTCTTCATTGGGTCTCCAGACACAGGGATACTAGACCAAGATGGGATTGGGAGGCCCAGGTCAGCGTGGCCAGTAGGGAGAGGGGGAGCTGAGCCCAAGACAATGCTGCCCTGTGGCCTCTGCAGCCTGCCTGAGACCACAGGCGAGACGCACACATAGGCATCATTGCCCAGGCCATCCACTTCCTCCATGGCTCCCCAGGGCTCTCAGACCTCTGAGCTTGGCATAAAGCCTGCAGTGAGACTTCTGGACCCGTTAGTAAAGGCAGGAGAGGTGGGTAGGGGCCTGGGGCCTGAATGACGATGGGCAGCCATCATCAGAGCTTCCTAGGTTTGATGTCCAAAGACAAACCAAGGGCTAGATGTGACTTAGAGTTTATTAGCATCATTGTCAGCAAGACAAAGCACTGTGTACAGGCGACCCAAAGCTGAGGATCTCTGCCCACCATCAGCCCCTCCATCCTTGCCCTAACCCCCAACTCCAAGCCCCAAGGTGTTCCCTGGAGCAGATTCTGCCTCCTGGAGGCGCCAGGTGCAGGAGCTTTCCCTATCAACAAGCCAGCTTTCAGTTTCCTAAACCCACTTCATTAGGTTCAGGTGTGCCCACCCGCCCCCATCCCAAGCCCAATTACAATCTCACCTGCCATGGTGGTAATCAGTAATTGTGCCAATTACTCTAACCGCCGGGTGCTGAGGATGAAAGGACCCACCCACACACTGCTGCTGAGATGCTTTCTTCCAGAGCTCTGTTTGCCTACTCTGAGTGGGACTGATATCTAGGTGCTCTCTGAGAACTCAATGTACCTTCTGCTCCCGACAACTTGCCTTTCCACCCCCACCAGAGGAGATAGGGCCCGAGGCAAGTCAAGGGGGACAGAAAGCGCTTCCACATCTCCAAGGTGCTGCAGACAAACCTCGAGTCTGTTCTCAGCCAAGCAACTGAGTGACACAAGAGTGATGTCTGTGCAGAGTCCATCAGGAGATCTGGGTTTGTGTTCTAGGTGCCTGGGGAAAACCTGAGATCCAGGGGGGATAAAAGGATCCTGGAATTAAAACGCATGCCACTCTGTGCTGTGGGCTGCTGCCCCTGGCCTGGAGTTCTTGTTGCCCTGCTCCCAGGGCCAAGAATGCTATCCTTATCTGGTTCTGTCCATCCTGGCCAGCCTTAGCCAGGTAGTACTAGGTGGCTTGGTTATATCACAGCATGCTTGGGGATGAACCAAAGTGAAGGAAGACATTACCAAGTGAAAAGATGCCTCAGTTCCTGTTTTAGGTGAGAAGGCTAAAGAGCTCCTGCTCCAGGTAACAGCACATGTGGAAGCTTTGGTCTCTTAGCTTAAGCAGTGGAAAGTGCTGTACAGATGCGCCTACCCACACCGGTACTGCCTTTTACCCTATCCTTGAGTACTGAAAACTAGGATTATTGGCCACAGAGCATTGTTTAGAAATTGTGGCAGGGTATCATTTTCAGTCAATGATTTGTGAACATATATTTTTAATGGGGTTGTCTGGTTCCTAAGCACAGGTTATAGTTTCTGAGAACCCTCTCGTTATCAAGTAAATCTGATCCTTTCTATCATTTTTCACTAACAGAAAGGCTTTCAAAGAATGGAAACCAACCGTGGTCCCAGGGAGAGTCTCTGATGAGCTGGTCTTTGGAGTCTACCAGTTCAATGGAGATTGGGTGATGGCGATGGCCCTAATGATACTAAAAAGTCCCCTTCATCATATCCTTCAAATCACTCCCACACCCACGCTCTGTCACTCCTGTTTCCCTGGGTCCCTGCACTTCACCTGGCATCCGATTAGGCCCTAAGAGAGCTCTTGCTGAGCCAACAGGTAGTACAGCATTGACAACAGGTGTGTGCTCTTGTGTTCCCAAGGTCTCTCGGGCCTCTGTTGATGTGCCTGTATTGTACTCCCTGCAGACTCCTCAGGTGCTGCACAAATACCAGGGCCCTTGCCTCCTAACCATTCAGGGCTTTCAGCCTCAACCTTCCCCAGACCACAGACTCTTACGCCTCCTCCACAGTTTCAAGCTCCTAAGCCACTAAGATAGGAATGTGAGAAAGGATACCACCTCCCTAGTCAAGCCCAAGCTTACCCTTCTGAGGTGTAAGCTCAGGCTGGATGGGAAGAGAGCTGGAGACTCTAAACCCAACCCTGCTATGGGCAGGAAACATAGGGCTCACTACGGAGTACCTGTGGTGCTGCTTAAATCTCCCCCACTCATGCCATTTGCTCACCTGATCAAGGTATCTACCTACACTTCACCTTTCCCCACTTCTACTCCCCAAACAAAAATATCTGCTTTTCTGACTTCAAAGAAAAGCAGAGACATTCCTGCCAATGAGACTCTTCAAAGCAAATTCCTCCCTAGCCAGTTATACTGAAGCCAGCATAGGAATCTGCATATGTGTGTGTATGTTTGCCTGTGCATGCAAGGAGGGAGGGTTGTGGAGGGAACTATGGGATGGGAGAAACCACAGCAACTCAGGGAGAAGAGGACGGAGGAAGATTCAGGTGGACAAAGCCTGGAGAGCAAAGGGTTGCCTCAGACTTGTAGATGCCAAGAGGGCTCACTTTTGCTTACTGAACTAAGTGGGGTTCAGTAACCAGTGGGGTGTTGACTACTGAACTGAGTCAACTCCTTTGTCCATCCCGCCCACATGCTGAAGGACATGGACATCCCAAGTAAATTATCCTCCCATAGCCGTGTGCAGTGGCTCACACCTGTAATCCCAACACTTTGGGAGGCCAAGGTGGGCAGATCACTTGAGGCCAGGAGTTCAAGACCAGCCTGGTCAACACAGTGAAACCCCATCTCTACTAAAATTATAAAAATTAGCCGGGCATGGCAGTGTGTGCCTGTAATCCCAGCAACTCGGGAGGCTAAGGTACAAGAATCGCTTGAACCTAGGAGGCGGAGGTTGCAGTGAGCCGAGATCATGCCACTATACTTCGGCCTGGGCAATGGAGCAAGACTCTGTCTCAAAAAAAAAAAAAAAAAAATCCTCCTTTGGATTGTGTGAGCCAAGCAGTGGGGGCTAGAGGTATACGGGACACATCTAGGGCTAATAGATGCTGGTGGCAGACTGGATGACTGTACTTGAAGTGGAAGAGAAAGGTAAAATAAGCACAAGATGAGGTCATCTCCAGGACTAGGGAATTTGACAATTCCCAGGCAATTCTCTCAGGAGAGCTATGAGTGAACAATTCATGTTCATTTTCCTGGGAATGGCAATGACATCTTCAGTTCCTCTGGATACTTCCGGCTTAAAACCTGGGCAAACTAAGAGATTCACTGTGTATAATGTTATTGGATATAACGTATCTGCTAAAGGATAGAGATTCTCAGACTGGATTTCAAAAGTTCATCTATTTTGTTCACAATCCGTAACAACACAAAAATGTTTTTGGGGGAAATGATATTAAAAAAAGCTTGCTGTAGCAATATTAATATCAGAACAAACAGAGTCTAAAGCAAAACAAAAAAATCTGACAAGCATTATAAGGATAAAGAAGATCATTACTTAAAGATATTATATCAGGAAGATATAATAAGACTAAATCTGCACGCATTTAGCAATATAGGCTTGAAATACACTAAGCAAAAATTGAGACAATTACAAGGAGAAATTAACAAATACACAGAGTAGGAGATTTCTATTCATCATTTTTAGAAACATGAAGCTTAAGAAGCCAAAAATCGAATAAGAATAGAAATCATTTGAACAAAACTTATTAAGTCCTGAGTTGATAGATGTATATAAAATCTTACACCCCAAAATCGACAAGACGCACTTTTTTAAGAACACATGACGAAATATTTATAAAAGTAAATCCTAAAGCACTTCTCAAAAAACACCCAAAAAGTTTATATGTTCTGTGACCACAATAAAGTGAAATAAAAATTCAAATTCAAGAAGATAAATAAAATATTTATTTGGAAAACTTCTAGTACTCCCCTAAATGACTTAAACCAAAGAAATATAATTATGGTTATGAAATTGTTACAACCAAATAATAATGAAAACAATACACATCAAAATTTGTGGATGCAGTGAAAATAGTTTTTTTTTTTTTTTCCTGAGATGGAGTCTCGCTCTGTCACCCAGGCTGGAGTACAGTGGCGCAATCTCGGCTCACTGCAACCTCTGCCTCCCAGGTTCAAGTGATTCTCCTGCCTCAGCATCCCAAGTAGCTGGGACTACAGGCGTGCGTCACCACGCCCAGCTAATTTTTTGTATTTTTAGTAGAAACGAGGTTTCACTGTGTTAGCCAGGATGATCTGGATCTCCTGACCGCATGATCCGCCCGCCTCGGCCTCCCAAAGTGCTAGGATTACAGGCATGAGCCACCACACCTGGCTGAAAATAGTTTTTATAGGAAAATGTATGGTTTTAAATATGATTAGAAAATAAGATTGAATGTTAGTGAGCTACGTATTCTATTCAAAAACTAAGAACGTTCAAAGAAAGTAGAAAGAAACAAAAAAGCAAAAATTAAAGAATCAGGAAACAATAATGACAAACTCGAAAGCTGAGAGAATTAATAAACCTGACAAACTAAAAAAAAAAAAATGAAAAGCAAGATTTATCTAGGAAGGAAAAAGAATGAAAGAGGGGCAGAAAGAGCTTTAAAGGCAAGTAGAGGTACTATTTTTCTGTTTTGTTTTTTGAGACAGGATCTTGCTTTGTCACCCAGTCTGGAGTGCAGTGGCGTAATCATGGCTTGCTGTAGCCTCAACCTCCTAGGCTCAATCAATGATCCTGCCTCAGCCTCCCGAGGAGCTGGGACCACAGGCACAGGCCACCATATCTGGCTAATTTTTAAATTTTTTGTAGAGACAGGGTCTCACTATGCTGCCTAGGCTGGTCTCAAATTCCTGTGCTCAAGCAATCCTCCTGCCTTGGCCTCCCAAAGTGCTGGGATTATAGGCATGAGCCACTGTGCCTGGCCTAGAGGTACTGTTGATATGATGAAAGCCTAGAGGATATTAAGTCCATAGGAGACAAGTCCCCCTCTCCCTTTTCTGTTGGCGATGTGGTGCCCATGTCTTAATTATCTTTGTATCTTCAAAGGTTGGCAGCCTGGTACATAATAGGTATTCAGTGGGTTTGGTGTATAGAATCAAATCCCCTTCTTGAGTAGGTTGTCTATGGCCCCAATATTGAAGTGAACAGAGAGTCAAGAATTAAATGCTGCTATTTGTCACTGACGTTAAGAAAAGAACAAAAGTTGGCTGGGCACGGTGGCTCACACCTGTAATCCCAGGACTTTGAGAGGCTGAGGCGGGCGGATCACCTGAGGTCAGGAGTTCCAGACCAGCCTGGCCAACATGGCAAAACCCCATCTCTACCAACAATACAAAGAAAAGAATTAGCTGGGCATGGTGGCACATGACTGTAATCCCAGCTACTGGAGAGGCTGAGGCATGAGAATCACTTGAACCCAGGAGGCTTGAACCCAGGAGGCAGAGGTTGCAGTAAGCCGAGGTCTCACCACTGAATTCCAGCTTGGGTGACAGATTGAGACTCTGTCTCAAAAAAAAGAAAAGGACCAAAGTTTAAGAAAACTTAAAAAATAATAATCAGAGCAAATCAATATTATCCTTATAATAATATTCTCATTTACTTAGATGACATTCGCTTGAACAAGAAAGGAAGGGGTAGTGTTATAGCTGCCAGGGAGGGTGTTCATCACCAGGACACACACGTCCCACACATGAGCTTCAGCTGCCATGACTGTCACACGCAGGAAGCCGATCAGTCTTGGTAGCTGTGCCCAAGCATCTTCACAGCTAAGAAAGTCAGACCTGCCAGATTCTCACATCAGTCTACAAAATCAAAGGAGTTAATCTTGGCTTTCACAGACACACTCATACGAGTCAGGAGCAAGATCAGGAACACAGCAAAGTTTGAGCATTTCTGGCTGGGAATGGAAAATGGTAAGGCATACAGATCCAGGACACTGAAGACTAGGATTTCCGAAAATGTGACCCTTTCCAGGCACCTATCCCTGAGCCATTCCCTTGTGGTTCTGACTGCCATCTTGACTTCATCCCCTATGGAGAGGTCACCCCAAGCCTTATCAGGCATTGCCAACTCGATGTGAATTCATATATCAGATGATTTCCTGACATGAGCATTTGATGGGGGCGGGTTGGGTGGAGTGAGCTGAGGGCACGGGGGCAGGAGGGCATGAGGGCACTGGCTGCCTGAGGGGAAAAACTGGCAGGGAAAACTGCCTAATGCAGAGTCCCACCCAGGGCCAGCCCTGAGCGTGTGGTCAGCTGAAGGGAGAGCCCACAAGCCGGGAGAGACAGGAATGCATTCTGGATGCCCCAGCACAGCTGAAAGCCATGTGGCCTCTCTGGGTCAGGGCCAGGAGCACAAGCAGACTAGCAATCAGACGGCGGAGGGAGAGACACATAGCATCTGGCTCAGTAAATAACAGCTTCCAGAGAAACAGCTTCACGTGAGTGCACCATGGAACGGATGCAAGGTTGTGAGCTGCTATCAGTCCATCAGCCCCACTCGCCATGTCAGCAACGCCCAGCTACCAGAAGGCTTTGAAGGCAAAGCCCAGCAACCTCAGAACAATCCTAACAAACGTTTGTAAGGCACTTTACGATGTAGAGGTCTTTCAAATGCGTTATCTCCCTTGAGTCTCACAACATCCTCCAGAAAGTATGTATTTAAGACTGTTTTGTTTTGTTTATTTTGCAAAAGAGGAAACTGAGGCTCAGCAAAGATAAGAAACTAGGGACAGGCCTGGGACTTCTAACTCCAGACCTAATATGTTTCATGCCTTTGCTTTTCAATGTGTAGTCCACAGACCAGCAGCATTGGCTCACCCTAGGAGCTTGTTAGAAATATGGAATTGCAAACCTGGACCCCGTGAATCAGAGTCTACATTTCAACAAGATCCCCTGGCGATTCACATTTTACATACACATTAAAGCTTGAGAAGCATTATTTCTACCACATCAGACCACTCCTCATAAGCACCGGATGATCTCCCTGAGTCATACACTCTTAGGGCATCTTAGCATTTTAGAGCTGGAAGGCAATTCTCAAAAGCTCTTAGGCCCACCCTGTCGTAGGACAAATAATGACACTGACACATTTGCAAAGCAAGTCCCTAGCAGAACAAAGGTAAAACCCAAAATCTCTCTTTTGACTCAAAACTCTTCCATTGTAACTGTCCTCTTCCTATTTCTTTACGTCTTTATTTTCATATTTGGTGCTTTATATTTGGGATTGTGTTGCTTTTTTTTTTTTTCTGTAACTGGCAGACCAGTTACGTACAATTTAGGCTAATAGTAAATTTCATTGCATTTTCTGAGCACGCATTAATAGAGAATGAAACAACAACAAGAAGAGAAGCAACAATGGCCTTTTCTAGCATGACCTCCTTTTTAGGGTCAGTCACATGACAGGTAGCTGCAGAAAACCAGCCTAGTATGAAAGATCAGTCCTAGATAATCTAGGACAATCATGGAGTTGCTTACAAATATACATTAGATGTAATAATATGTGGAGAGATCTACTTAATAATAATGTGTGGAGAGGTATCTGTATATCTGCAAGGATTTAGGCCACCCTATTAAAAGTGCACCTGGCAAGCACAAGTGCAGGACTTTGGCACTTTTCTAGTTAACTTGCTAAATATACGTGGCCAAACCAGATCATTCAGGCCAGTGGTGATTTTTGAACCTAAATATTCTGGTTTGGCTGTTTTCATTTGTAAAATTAACCTGATACTTGCCAAATCACTGCTTCATTCATGCTCTATGAAGAGAAAAGTAATGCTCATGTGAGTGTGAACACACATGTGATTTAATATGTGTATTTACATGTAACTCAGCTTTGTTGAAATGGTATGTACTCAGACATTCATCCCACAAATGGTGGGAAATCCAGGTATCTAATCCTAGTATGTCTAGGAATGTTTGAGGTGGGAATGGAGTTGGGCTTATGTTTCTTTCAGTCACTTCTGGCTCTAAGTTCCTGCTTCTATGGAATTTTATCTCTTTTTTTAATGTCTTGCCTCTTGTGGACATTTCCACCTCCGCCTCCATTGGTTCAAACATGTAATTCAGCCCATATTTCTTAATTTCTCTAAGATGTTACCACAAAGGCCAGGCGGTGTCTACTGTATGTGGACTACTGTAGAGCTGAAAGTAACTGAGGGGCAGTTCTTTGCTGCATAACAGAATCAGTCGTAATGTTGATCATTAGAATCTTTGTCCTTAAAAGTCTTTCAGTTCTTTCCTTTCCCCATATTCCCACCATGGGGAATTGTCTTCTACTTGGACTCAAGCCTCCTACCATGTTGTGGCTCCTTCCTCGTCCAATCTCCTTCTAAACTAACCAACACTCACCCACAAATTCCTATGTTGGTTATGTCTGTCTCAGTCAAAGCCCACTCCATGCAAGGACTGCCTTCCACAACCCAAGTGGCCCATCATGGTGTTCGTTCAACAAAGTGCTTGAGGAAGAATTTTCCCTGTCAGTGACAGAGGCCCCTTTCCTAACACACCAACACCTTGTGTTACAGACAGCAGTCCTTGTGCTAGTGTGTACATGTGAATGTGTGTGCAAGTATGGGTGAGAGCATATGTATGTACAAGTATGTGTATGTGTGACTGTGTGTGTGCACATGCAGGGACAGCCCTAAGAATTAGATCAAATGTTATTGGGAAAAGGCACAAAGTAGATGTTTAGACTCACTCGTTAGGTGTTGGATCTAGAGCTAGGAAATCCCACATGTCAGTCTTATGAGGGCCCCAAGGAGGGGATTCCCTATACCCAGACTGCATCTGCTTGAAAATTAATTAATTAATTGTGAAATGACATAGAGATGATGCAAAGGAAAATAAAGAGATAGAGCCATGGGGAACTGGAAAGACAGAAAAAGAATCCATTGAACAGCAAGTTCCAAGGTCATCTTGATTCTCAGAGACCTGGGCTACAGTGATTTGCCATACATGCCACTGGGAGGGACAAAGTTAGGTAGGAGTTTCTACTTCTTGGGCATGAAAGACCGTGGGGAGGGGGAGCAAGATGAGCTATATAGCCTCCCCATCCCCAGAGATCTCTGAGGCCCAACATAGCCCACCTGTAAAAATGGAGCCAGGTCCTGGCCTTCCTGGAGGGAGAAGGAGGGCAAGGATGAGCTCTAAAAGCGAAACCTAGTTTAAGAGATTTCCAAGCAAAGGAACATGAGCCCAGCTGCATCCCCAGAGTTAGAAGGAATGGCTTCTTGAGGGTTGGGGGAACAGGATGTGGTTAGGATTTCTTATTTATTTATTTATTTATTTAGAGACAGATTCTTGCTCTGTCACCCAGGCAGGAGTGGAGTGGCACAATTATGACTCACTGCAGTCTCAACCAGCTGGGCTCAAGAAATCCTCCTGCCTTACCCTTCCAAATAACTGGGACTACAGGCAGCACTCCCCAACATGCCTGGCTATTTTTTTTTTTATGTTTTGTTGAGACAGGGTCTCCTTCCATTGCCCAGGCTGGTCTCAAACTCCTGGGATTAAATGATTCTCCTGCCTCGGCCTCTCAAAATGCTGGGATTACAAGTGCAAGCCACTGTACCTGCTGGGGTTAGCATTTCACCAGCTCCTTCTCTCACACTGCTTATGTTCTCCAGGGTTTAGAGCCTCCAGAGGAGTGAGGGCTGTAGACAATGTGTTCAATGTCACACATGTCACAGGGAGACGCAGGCAAGACCAGGACGCCAGTGGACGAGTGCTAATGGCCTTCCCTATTGTGTGTCCAGGCAGCCCCACTGGGCCCTGGCATAAAGAGGCCCCTGAAGTCTGTGCTCTGCCCTTGTTGCAGGGCAGCACTGCCAAGCCCAGGAGAATCCTCTCTCTACTTACCTCCTCCAGCCCCACTAGATTCTGACCTGGCTTGAACAGCCATGCCCCTCCAACTGGGATGAGTTCTTCAAGGAACGAGAAATGGAGACTGCATCCCAGCTCCATCCCTGACTTCCTGTGTAACCTTTGCTAAGTTGCAGAATCACCTGAGCACCCATTTCCTTGTTTAGGGAATGGCAGTAATAATGACTACTTTGTGGGGTTGTTTTAGGATGAAATGGAGGGTACCCGACTTTGGTCTGGGGGACAGTGGAACTGGTCTGGCTTCCTCCAGGGCCACATCATGTTGTCCAGTGCTCAAGCACTGAGCACTTGAGGGCAGGGACAAGTCTCACTTATCTCTGTGCCCTCAGTACCTGGCACAGTGCCCAGCTCATTCTATGGTATCCAATAAGCATGTGTTGAGCTAAAGTTGGCAAGTCAGAAGGTCATGGAGAAGGAAGCATCTGACAGGTTCTGTCTGTCACCTTCAAAGGGCAAGGATCTCAGTCCCCATCCCCACCCCAGGACCCACCTCCCCCAAGCCCCACCCAGCTCTCAGTGTCTCTCAGCACTTCCTCTTCGCCTCGTTTCTTTCTTGGGCCAAGGATCACCCTGGGAGTGTCCCATACGGGTGCGCTGTGATGACGTGCCCTGCTCTTGCCTAAGATTAGGTTCCATAACTGCTCCACCTGAACCCAGGGCTCTGCACACTCCCTGGGTCCCATTACTCCATCAGGCCTGGACCCCCTCCCACCACACCCTCCTCACTCACCTAGTCCAGATAAAATATAGGATACCCAATTGAATTTGAATGTCAGATGTACCTATACTAAAAGAAACCATTGTTTATCTGAAATTCAAATTTAACTGGGCATCTTGTAGTTTTATTTGTGAAGTCTGGAAAGCCTACCTAGGCAGTGCCTTTCTACCAACCATGGTCTTCCCTTCCTCCATACCTGTCTTCCAGTCCCACCAGAACCTAAATGACCTTAGCAACTGGGACCATTCATTCTTTTATTCACTGACTCATCCGACACATTTTTATTGCACATCTACCAAGTGCCAAGCCGTCTGCTAAGCATTGGGGTTACAATGATGGAAATATCAGACATAGCCCCTGCCCTGTAGAGTTTACATTCTGGAGTGAACAGCAAAGGTGAAGGTGAAGAAACAAATAAATAAAATTATTACAAAGTACAATCCATGCTATTATGAAAAGAAATCAAATAGAGGACTGAAATAGAAATTAGAAGAGGAGGGCTGGTTTGGACAGGGCAGTGAGGAAAACTTCTCTGCAGAGATGACACTCAGGTGGATGTGAAGAATGAAAATGGGGCCAGCTCAGTGTGTGTGTGTGTGTGTGTGTGCGCACGCATGCACATGCTGGGAGAGGATGGGATTCTAGGCCCTATGGTAGGAAAAGAAGTTTGACTAGTGGGAGCTGAAAGACTCAAGCACCTGGCCAAGGATAAGGGGTATGAGATAAGGCTGGGAAAATGGGAAAAGTGTGGAATTACTCAGGGCCTCACAGGCTATGGTAACATTCCAAACACACACACACATGCATGTGCACATATGCACACACACAGCACACACGCATGGGCACACTGAAAGCTTCTGGAGAAAAGATATCATGAACCGAATGCTATTAAAAGACAGTTCTGGTTGTTTGTTTGTTTGTTTGAGACAGGGTCTTACTCTGTCACCCAGGCTGGAGTGCAGTGGTGCAGTCTCAGCTCACTGCAGCCTGGACCTCCCAGGCTTAAGTGATCCACCCACCTCAGCCTCCCGAGTAGCTGAGATGACAGGTGCATGCCACCACACCTGGCTGATTTTTTTTTTTTTAATAGATGAGGTCAAGCTATGTTACCCAGGCTGGTCTCAAAGTCCTGGCCTCAAGTGATCCTCCCAAAAAGACAATTCTTCATACTTCCTGGAGATTGAAATGGAGGAGGTGAGGGTTGGCAGCAGGCAGGCCAGTCATGAGGCCACTGTGGAGTCCAGGTAAGAGAGGATTTCATGGATGCATTAAGTCGAAATGTCCGCGAGGCCTCCAACAGAAGTCTCCAAGGGAACTGCTTCTGGGGGTCAGAACTCAGAGGAAGAATGGGGTTTGCCACCATACAGATGGTGTCTAAACCACAGAAACACAGCAGAGGGTACGGCAGGACCAAGTCCACGTGGCACTAGCTTTCCAGTCACTTTGGTGGCTTAGAAAAACCAGGGCCATGGTGGCCATTGAGAAGAATGGTGGCAAAGCAAGTGCATTTTTTGTGGGATCTGGTGGACTGGACGATATATTGGATGTGAAAGGTAAGGCAGCACCAAGGACTGCAGTCTTCAGCAACTAGAAAGATGAAGGTGAGGCAGGCTAGATTGGGGGTGACAGGGGGGAATCAAGGGTTGTCATCTGGATGCATTAAGTCGAAATGTCCGCGAGGCCTCCAACAGAAGTGTTCAAGGGAACTGCTTCTGGGGGTCAGAACTCAGAGGAAGAATGGGGTTTGCCACCATACAGATGGTGTCTAAACCACAGAAACACAGCAGAGGGGATGGCAGGACCAAGTCCACGTGGCACTAGCTTTCCAGTCACTTTGAAGAGAAACCTGCCAAGAGGCCTGAGAAGGAATCACAGACAAGGCAAGAAGGAATCACAGACAAGGCAAGAAGGAACCAGAAGGACAACGCCGCATGGGGAAGCAGAAGGGAGAAGAGAGGGCCTCCGGAGGGTAGTCAGCTGAGGCCGGGCTGCTGGGAGAGGACATGGGAGGCACAGAAGCTCTCCTCAGGCCGAGTTGCATATGAACAGCTGCAGTGAAGCAGTGGCTGGGGCTGGGGGAGGAAGTGGAGGCAGCAAGGGGCCCTGCTCTTGTGAGGAGGCGGCTGTGGAAGGGTCAGCGCGATGTACTGGCAAAGACGGATCCTGGAGAGGGATACTTTTAGAGATGAGAGGTAGAGCATGCTGATGGGAATGGTCCAGGAGAAAGCAGGGTGGGGTTAGGGGTCAGGGGAAGATATGAAAGACAGCTGAGGCACCCTCTCCCTCAGGTGCCCCCGTCTTCCTCCACAAAGGCGAGGGAGCCGCGGCTGTGGGACCTGGACCCAGGCTTGGATGGAAGGCAGAGGCCCAGCCCCCGCTCGGGTGGAGAAAGCCGCGGAGGGGAGGACCTGCCTTTGCTCTGGAAATAGAAAACCAACATTGGTAACTGAGTAACTCCCGGAGAGGGGTGCAAAGGCACTGGCAAAATCTGAAGGAACAAAAATAACCTGTCCCGCTTGGGCAGCGAGGTGGATCGGATGTAGGGGGTGCAGCGGCCTGACCTGCAGGGGCCACGGGGGCTCTTCCCAGTCCTGCTTGGCCACAGCCAGGAGCGATGGTCCCTGGGAGGCAGAGCATCGCCAAGAAAAGGTCAGGTGCTCAGCCCCAGGCCGGCAAAGTCCCATTTCCTCTACCCACCGCCACTGCCTGCTCCGACTGCAGCCTGGCGCACCACCCGGACGGACAGACAGACGGACAGACACACAGACAGAGGCGGGCCTCGCAGCCCCGGCCAGCAGAGAAGTCCTGCGCGCGGGAGCCAGCAAGGCCGCTGCCCTGCCTCCCTCCGCCCACCGCCCACCCTTCTCTGACCGCGCCAGCTGCGGGTCCCAGCTCCCCTCCCACACCCCTCCCGCCTGCAGGGGGCAGCCTTGACTGCCAGCCTCTCTCAGACCTCCCTCTCCTGCGGCCCCAAAGCGCGGGCTACACACCTGCGTACCTGAGCAACCCACACATCTGTGCACCCCACACACCTGCGCACCCCCACACACCCGCGCACCCCTCACACCCGCGCACCCCATACCCTTGTTCACCCCTACACACCTGCGCACCCCCATACACCTGTGCACCCCTACACGCCTACGCACCCCCTCACACCTGCGCACCCCCATACACCTGCTCACCCACACGCACCTGCGCACCCCACACACCTGCTCACCCCCTCACACCTGCGCATACCCGACACTTGTTCACCTCCACACACCTGCACGCACGACTGGATGGCAGGCTCCTCGGAGGAACTTTCTACCAGCGTCTAGGAGTTGCTGAGTGATGGATTGGGCTGCGGGTGAACACACCGCCCTCTTCCTTTCTGCCTCAGTGCCGCTGTTCTCCCTCGCCTTGGGCCGGGCCCCTGCGTCCGTCCGTCTCTGGCCTCACCCCTGTCCCCAGGCTCACCGCCAAGGTCGCAGGAAGCAGAGGCGCATCTCCCCTTGCTTACACCACCCTGGCCCTGCTGCTGTCCAGCCCCCAGGCCTGCCCTCCTCCCCACTGCGCCAGGACAGCAGGACCTTCAGGGAACGGAGGGGCCAGGCTGCAGGGAGCGGGGCTGGGCCCACCCTCCTGAGGAGGAAAGGAAGGTGAGAGTCAGTGACCTGAGAAGTTTCCATGAACTCTGGCCATGAGGGAGCAGGGGGGCACCAGAAGGCTGGGCCCCACACAGCAGGAGGGAGCCACCTGGCAAAGTGGTTTCCCTACCATCAATTTCTAATTGGATCCTGAGGTAAACAGACACACCGGACCTGCCCTGAGGAAGGAGGCGGGCTGCGAACTGCTTGCCACCATGGGCATTAGAGGAACCAGAGGTATCTGAAGCAGGGGGTTCAGGGCTGTGGACAGCCTGGCCGTCCATCCTGGGCAAGGGGAGATGGCTTGCCCAGGGAGGACGGTGAAGGCTGTTCCCATCCCCACTCCCACTGGTGCTGTTAAAGTACGGTTCGTTGATGGGTAAACTGAGTGCGTGTGAGTGAGAGAGAAGGGGTCATGGTTGGTCTGAGGAAGCAACCAGTTCAACACCTCCAGCTGCTGACTCAGCTGCCTCCTGTCCCCAGCCCTCAACATCTCCTTCCTAAGCCGATGGGAACAAAGACACCGCCAGTTTCCAGTTGTAAAAATCGGAGGAACAATCAAGAACAAAGATCAAGGCTTCACATTTTCCATGACATTGGTGCAGGGGCGGGGGCACCACGCCTACCTGGCACAGTCCCCATTCCCCATGCCCTCTGGGAAGCAGGAAGCTGCCATCTGGGCATGGGCAGTGCTAGCCTCTCCATTAGCATGGTGCCTCCCCTGGGTCGGCCTGGGTGGCTGTCTTGGCCAGGCCAGGCTGTCTCGGCAGAGCCTCCTGAACTCAGGGTCCCTCAAGCCCCAGTTCCTCACAGTTCTGGGAGATCAGCCAGCCTCAGAGGCCAGGAGCTGGGAAGCAGGGAGCCCACCCGGGAGACCCCCAAACCCGCAGCACTATACAGAGGTCAAGGGTCAGAGGGAGAAGGGCAGGGGGACAGCAGACAGAGGACTGGAGAAGGAGATATGGACTTGGGAGTGGGTGGGGTTGTAGAGGTGGTGAAGGAGCAGAGTTCTGGAATCCATTTGCAAGATGTCAAAGGGCCGCTGAGCCTGGGCTGCTTCCCAGGGTATGGCCGACATTGACTAGTCTCCTCGTCCTCACCCCATCCCTCTGGCACCCTACTCTCGCAGCTTCTGGGGGAGCTAGGCACAGAGTGAAGAGTCCACCCAGGTAAACAGATGATGATACATCTGTTTAATGGAGTACTCTTCAGCTGTTGAAAGTGACATAAACCCATTGATACTGGCAGAGAAAATGACCAAGGCTTATTAAGTGGGGAAAAAAGGTGAAAAATGATATATAGATTCTGATACCATTTTGTTAAAAATAAACCTAATACTACTACATTTGGATATGTGTATCTAAATCATGTAAATAACTATATATTTGAATGTACTTGAAAGAAGTATAAAAGGATAAATATGGAATAGTTAAAAGAAATTATATCTAAGATAATTTAGACTTAGACATTTGTATATGAATTTTTATAATAAGCATGTACAATCTTATAATAAAGAAAAAGGTGAGGGCAGAGAAAAGGGTTCAGAACAATCCAAGTCTGTGGATAGATGTGGACATGCCAGGTACACATGCACACACACACATGCACACACACGCACACACACATTCACACCCACATGCACACACACGCACATATGCACACATGTACACACACAAGCACACATGCACACACACGCACACCTCCCACATCCACACACACATGCACACCCACACAGGCGCACACACACACACCCCGAGCACACCTGGCCCACCAAGGAGGGCACACCTGGTGAATCTGGCAAAACTTGGGTAGCACTTGGCTCAGGCACATACCCACAATCCTGGGTTCCCTTGGCATGTATCAGGAAGGGCCCAAGGCTCTCTCCAGTCACTGATCCTATCTCAGGTCAGCTCAGCTCCTCTTGCTTCCCCAGCCTCCAACTCATCTCCCTGGGAGCCTTGCCATTTCTTGCCAGGTACTCAGAAACCAGGATCCTACTGATAAAGCCAGGAGAGTCAACAATTCCTGGTGAGCAGCACCCCTCCTGGCTATGAAGATGCCCTCCCTCTTCTCTAGGGCACTGGGGTGCTATTCGCAATGCTGGGCTGTCCCAGAGTTTCCTGTGGATTCTAGTTTAACCAAGGAACACCCTGGGAAACACCCAGCCAATCCAAAACATGATCCTGGTTCTGCCACTTATTTCTTCTCTAGTGTTGGACTAGTTATTTAACCTTCCTGAGCCTCAGTTTCCTCATCAGTAAAATGGGAATAATAAGGTGATTGTGAAACTCAAAGATGATAATATCTAAGAAACTCTACAGTCTTTGGAAGACAAACGAGGAAATGATGACACAAACATCAGGATCCCAGTTCCCTCAGGGTGGGGCAGGGGTTGTGATCAGGGAAGAACACAGGGCTTCTAGAGTACTAGCAGTATTCTATGTCTTGACCTAGGCAGTGGAAACCTAGGTGTTTGATTTATAATTATTTATTAATCTGTACATATATATTTAATATACATATGTTATGTTTCACAATGAGAAAAGAAAAAGTAAATACTTTGGACATTTTCCTGCTCAGTATAAATGTAAAAGTAGTACTAGGAAGTGCAAATTCCCATCTTCACACCCTCAGAGGAACCTCTGGGACTCTAAATTTCGCCTGGTTTCCCAGGGAATTGAAAGCAGGTAGAGAGTGGTAGGGCTGTGGCTGAGTTTGCTGGATGGCAAGGACCAGCTAATGAGTACAGATTCCAGTTATAAATTCAGACCAATGTCGTTTTCCTTGCTGGGGGGTGCCCAGAAGAGCAGATGACTTTCTGGGAGGCTGTCAGTCCACTCCAAACAGCCCTCCCTCCCGTGGTCTCTCTCCCCCGCAGACTGCTGAGGACAGAGGGCACATCTCCCCACTCTTGAATTCCTGCCCGGGGTGGTTCTGACCCCTGCAAAGCTCCCTAGACCCCAGACAGGCCCCTTTCCACACCTACCCACCGCCCCTACTCTTCAACACAGCCCCTTCCTTGGGCCTGGGCACCCCAACTTGCTGGCCCCAGACAAGGACCCCTGCCTTCCCCAGCCCCCCAAACCCCCAACATCCCCAGCCCTTTCTCCCCTGCTATGGGTTCCCCTAGACTTTGAGGAACACTCTGCCACTGAGCACAGGCATCACCCCCTTTCATCAGCCTGCTGACTTGGCAGTCTCCCAAGGTGAAGGTGGAGGGAGCTCTCAGAAGCCAGGACAGAGGCGGGGCCTCCTGCCCACCCAAGCCCTGGACCCCGGGCATCGGGCAGCCCTCAGGGCTGAGCCCACCCTGCCATCGGAGGCCACAGGAATGTCCATGAGGGCCTGGCCAGGGAGCTGCCCGGTGGTCATCAACGCCCTCCTTCCACATCTGACTCGCTCCCTGTCCCTCTGACTCAGCTTCTGTTTGACTCGGATTTAGTTTCTCTCCCATCCTTGATTTTCTGTGGGTCTCTGTCTTCACAGTCCCCAGACTGCACAAGGGCAGCATGAGCCTTTCCTCCGACTGTGTGTAGGGTGACCCTGGGCCTCTGGGCCTGGCTGTCCACCTGTGCCACGGCCCACTCTGTCCAGGAAGGAGGTCTCCCCACCCCCACCGAGGGAGGTGGCTGAGGTGAAGAAAGAAGCCCGAGGGCCTCGGTGGCAGAGCCGGGCTGAAAGGAAAGAAGAAGCTGATGAAACCAGGGCGCTGGAGGACGGGGCCGTGGAAGGGCGAAAGGGAAGTGTGCTGTTAGGTGAATGGGGTGCATTGGAGGCAGGTGGGAGTGGCCGAGGCGTTACATAACCAGAGCTGAAAAGGAGTTGAGTTCTGGAGAAAAACAAGGTCTTAGGGGAAATAAAGGTGGATTACAGGGATGGGCTCTGATACTAAGAAGTTCTTTTCAGTGTCTAACTTCAATCCCGCCTGCGGCAGAACTAGCTTTCTCCACGTGTAGTTCTTGCATCCTGGAAACTCACGCAGGGCATAATGTGAAAGGAAGCGCGAGAAGTGCTTGTGAGGGGCAGAGAGTCTTTCTCCTTGGCCTGGGAAGCCAGCACAGTGTCCCGTCCCCACCACCAACCACCTGATAGCTCCCCAGTCCTTGGCATGGCCCGGAGACCAAGCTGTTGGCAGTGGCAGCTCCTAGCTGTTTAGACAATCTTCCTTTCACAAGTTTATTTATTATTCTTTTCCCACCTCTCCACCCCTTCCCCACCAGCTGCTTAAAATATTTTTCAAACAGAAAAATCCAACCACAGCTGGAAACCAACCCTAAAGTTAGTCCGGAACGTGGGAGCTGCCAGGGAAAATTGCTGGGGCTCAGGCTGTGGGAGGAAGGGCCTGAGCCGCGGAGACAGGCTCGCTCTGCAGGGGCTTGCAGCAGGGACACAGACGCAGGGAGAAGGCATCGGACCTCATCATCATTCCCCAAACCGTCAGCGAGAACCGGCTATGAACCAGGCCCTGCGCCAGGACAGTGAGGGACACAAATTGCCTTAAGTAAAAGGGGCTGACCCCATTCTCAAGAAGTAACAGGCTTAATAAGGAGGTAAGGCACAGACACAAACACTCCAGTGGCAATCATAGCATGCACTTAAAGGGTGTTTGCCATGTACAAGGTCCTGACCTAAGCACTTTACATGTAGTAATTCATTAAAAACCCTCATCAGCCCTGTAAGAAAGGTACTCTTATTATTCCCATCTTATAGAGGAGGAAACTGAGGCACACAGAAAGTAAGATATTCTTTTTTAAAAAAAAAAAGAAAAAAAGACAAGAGTTGCACTCTGTTGCCCAGGTTGAAGTGCAGTGGCGTAATCATGGCTTATTGCAGCCTCAACCTCCTGGGCTCAGGTGATCCTCCCACCTCAGCCTCCCAAGTAGCTGGGACTACAGGCGCACATCACCACGCCTGGCTAATTTTTACTTATGTTTTAATTTTGTACAGGCAGGGTTTAACCATGTTGTTGAGGCTGGTCTCGAACACTGGGTTCAAGTGATCTGCCCACATCAGCCTCCCAAAGTGCTGGGATTATAGGCGTGAGCCACCGCACCCAGCCAAGAGACTCTCACACCACAGTACAACTAGTAAGCAGCGGAGTCAGGATCTGGGCCCAGGGAGTCTGAATCCATCTTAGCGGCTATGCTATGCCACTTTTGTACAGTCATGCAAGGGGAGAGGCAAATCCCATGAAAGAAGCATAAACAAATTAATATGAGAACTCAAAGAAGGGAGAGATTGTCCCCGGCAGAGGGTCAGAATCAAGGAGTGCTCCCTGGAGGAAGTAACATAGAGCAGCCTCTGGAAGGATAGTGGGGCTTCTGAGCCTATACTCAGGGGCAGGGACGGAAGCTCTACAGCAGAGATCGCTAAAGCAGTAGCAGAGACAGCACCCAAGAGGTCAGCTGCTGTTGTACAGCACCACCCAAAAGCCTGTCCTCATGGCAGCCCAGTGCCTAGAAGGGACACTGGCCAGAGGAAGATGTCCAGGCAGGCCAGGCTCAGCCACAGTGGAACAGCAATTCAGATTCATGCTCCAGCTCTCCAGCACCGTTGGCCTGTATCATCTCCCCGCACCTCCTACCTGCTCCATTCTCTCACTCTCACTGCTAATCCGGGTCCCCTTGCAAATCTGTTCATGGGGAGAGTGAAAGACAAAACTACAACACTTGAAAAACTCTTTATAATACAAATATTTGGTGGCATCTAATTTAGACAAAAATCACCCAGCTGTCTTGTTTGGACAGTTGGGCCCAGTAGAGTGGCCACAGAGCCATGTGGCCTGAAGCCTCAGGAGATAGGCTGGTGGGTGTGTGGGCAGGTCCCGCCTCTCCCTGTCAGGCCTGTACTTGGCTGAGATGCCAGGTCATTTGACATCTCTGGGCCTCAGTTCTCTCAGAAGTGACGATGAAGAAATATGAGCCCTTTCCCGGCTCTAGACCGACAGCTCCAGTCATAGCCTCCAACTGCAAGCATCTACCTGTTCCAAGGTGCATCCCAATCCCTTCCTGTCCCATCAGGCAAGAGCAGGTCAGGCCAAACCCCAGCCCACTGTTTTGGGTAATCCAGCCTTGGGTGGACTCCTTCCCTTTGCTCCTGGCTGCCTCCTGATCCCTTCAGTGGAGGGAAGCAACCTCCAGCCTCTTGTGGATTTGTTTTTTGTTTTGTTTTGTTTTGTTTTGTTTTGTTTTTCAGAGATAGAGTTTTGCTGTGTTGCCCAGGCCAGAAAACGCAGTGGCTATGCATGGGTACGATCATAGTGCACTGCAGCCTCGAACTCCTGGGCTCAAGCCATCCTCCTGCCCCAGCCTGCCAAGTAGCTGGGACGACAGGCGCGCCTGGATCCTCTTGTGGGTTTTAAGAAAGGAAGGAATTACTGGAGTCTGGAGGCCCGGCCCAGGCCTCCCACGCCCCCTGGCGGAAGGAACAGAGCTGTGTCCAGACCTGCACTGGAATCTGTGGCCAACCTTCCCACCACTCTCCTCCCACCCGTCCTGTCTTTTCCTCTGACCTTATTCATTCACTCTTAACTGCACATGCACTGGGTGCCAGGCGCATGCCACGAGATGGGGCGTGGAAGTGACTGAAATTGTCCCTGTCCCAAGGTGCTCTCTGTTCACTCAACTCTGTTCAATTCATTCAATAAATATTTACGGAGCTTCTGCTCTCTGCCAGGCTCTTCTCAAGGCCCCAAGGACACCATCCTGCCCTCGCAGAGTTTAGTCTAACAGGACCTATGGCCTGGTAAACAGACAATCATCATACAGTAGATGAGCCACAGGTGCCAGAGGAGAGGCCAAGAGGAGACACGCCAGATGCGCCAACAGCGGCCCTCACGCCGAGCAGGGGGCCGGAGGGGCAGAGGAGGGTGTGGGTGCGCACGCGTGTACGTGTGTGTGCATGCTGGGGGATGGTGGGAGACGGATTTGCAGAGATGGCAGAGCCACGTCAGGGCTGGGCTCGAGCAGCTGTGTAGGATCCCTCCAGGCGCAGGAAACGGGGTATGGGGTGGGGCAGGGCGGAAAGAACATCCCACACCAAGAGGACAGAGGGAGCAAGGGCACAAAGTCCCGGCATGTTTAGGAAGCTACAAATAGTTTGCTGTGGTACAAGTGTGTGGTCAGTGGCAAGGAGGCAGCAGGAGGGTGGAAGAGGCCTCGCAAGTTGTATAAGGGGCTTGGGTCTGATCCTGGAGCCTGTGAGGAGCCACTGAAGGCTTCAAGAGACGGAATGATACGAATACTTCTGCTTTCAGAAAAAGACCGCTAGACCAGTGGAATGTGGAGGGGGGCTGGGAAGGCAAGTGGTCGGAGATGGCATGGTGCTTGTACCCCAGCTGTGTGACATCAGGCAAGCCACATCACTTCTCTGAGCCACAGAGGCCTCATCTGTTAAATGGGGGTGCATCTGTCAAATGGGGGTGATGAAACTCAGCCTATAGACTTGTTAAGAGGAGTAAATGAGATAATATACAGAAGTGCCTACTGTGGTACCTGACACATAATAGACACATAGTAAATTATATACATATGCATATACATATATATATATGAAACGTCAGAGAGCCTACCAAGAAGGCTATTTCAATTGCCTAGGCAAGAGATGCAGAGAACCTGAATTCAATCATTGCGGAAGGTGAGAAGAAGGGGATGTCAAGAGCTGTTTCAGACAGTTGCCCTTTGGGAATGGGTTGGATATGGATCTTGTCTTTCTAAAAACATCCCAGAGTTCATCTCAGCCTTTTGTCCTCAGGCACTAATCCGTGACTCCTGCATTCCTCATCATCTTCCTGCATTTTTTCACTGCCTGCTTTGTATTAGGTGTACATACGCTTGTTCAAGGCTTGTCCATTTGCAGTTTGTCTGGCTCAGGCACAGGATGCCTGGAGTTCAGGCAAAGGCCCTGCTGGCTGAGCCTCTAGGTAGGTATGTCTCGGGCAGCAGTGGACAGATTCATGGAGGTTTTGGATGACAATCAGATGAGGATCTGTCCAGCCACCACGTTCATCCCTGAAGCTAAGGTTGAGAAAGGAAGTGCTGGGAAAGTTGACCACGGAGATTGGCTGGCTGGCGCCTGGGTTTCATCAAACACTCATTGCAGAGTGGAAATCCAGCAAGCCCATCTCCAGCCTACCCCTCAGGCACAGCTCCCCCAGTTCCCTGGCCAGTCAGCCTTCCTCCCACACCTGCCTCCAGGGTGCCAGCTCTTAACACAGGTACCACAGGTACCATTCGGGGGGTGCTCCAGCCCCTCTAGAAGGGCAAAAAGGGGCAAGCAGTTTGTGTGTGTGTAGCTCGATCACCATTTAACCTACTTAGAGTGTGTTCATCCAAGGTTGCCAGCGGCAGAGAGAGTTGTGGCAATTATTAAGGGCTAAGACCCCCAAAGCCATCTCATGGTGTTGCCACCCTCTCCAGGCCGTACTGAGCCTGGGGCAATTGTTAATAGTGTCAGAAGCAGCTATTAGTCTCCGTGGTCTGCAGGTTCCCCTCCAAGCTAGTTTGATTATGTTCATTTTAAGATGTTAGTTTGTGTTTTGTGTTTTTCCCCAGTATCTGTCCCCTGTTCCAAAGGGATAACTCAGCCCTTTAGATTTCTTTGGGGTAGAAATTAAAAAAAATAATAATTCAAAGACAACCTCTTGAACTGTCTCTCATGAATTCCTGGGCTTATTCAAGAGATGATATCAGGTGTTCAAGATGCTGTTGAGAGAGGAAAGCAAGGAGTGAGCAGGGTGAGGGGAGAGGAAGCTGAACTCCTGCCCCAGCATCACTGTGGAGAAGGGGCAGGGTCTCCAAGGGGCATGGCTGCATGGGCACTTTGGACCCTGCACACCAGCTCTACCAGCCTGGGCCAAGGTTCCCAGGTCACAAGGAGCAGTAACATGACCCAACACAGAGGCCTGTGGGAAAAGGGACAAGGGGGAGATCAGCATGACATGGTGAGAGGCCCTTGCATACCCTGCCTCCTGGGCTCCAAGAAGTAATTCTCCAGGACTCCTGAGCGACCCTGGGGAGGGGGAGGTAGCCTCAGTAATGGAGGAGATTAAATCCCCTGGGGCCAGTCAGGATGGGGCTCTGAGTTAGATTTAGGTTGGTTTAAATTTTTAAAAAATAGGACCTCTTTTGCTCTTCAGGATTTATGGAGGAAGATTCATCCCTCCAACTGCAGCCAGGACACTTATTGGCTGTTCCAGGTGCACCTGTGAGCCAGGTGAACATGGGCACAATGCAAGCGAGACCCTCCTTCCCTGGTCCCACAGGCAGCCTCGTCAGGTCCCTCAAAGGAGGAGCTGAGGATGTGGCTTTTTGGACCACCTTGGTTGACTGGCTTCTGGGTCCCCTTCACAAGGTCGTGGTGAATTGTCAGTTCCTTGATGTTGTGCCGGACCCCTATTCACTTCAGTAGGGAGGGCACCAGGTTCAAGAGACCGAAGAAGAGACGCAGGGCCAGCATACGAGACCAGGGGCTTTATTAGTGGGAAACTTACACGTGGGGATGCTCCTGTGGTGGCACGCTGGGCAGGAGAACAACAGCCACTTGTGAAAAACGTGCAGTTTACAGCATTTTCACTTCGCACCCTTCCCCTAACAGCCTCCACCTGGCAGCCTTCATTTAATCCAAAAGAAAGGGCCTCAATCCCCTGTACGGCCGTGTCCCACTGGACAGCAGGGAAACTCGGATGTTCTCATAGATAAGAAATTAATCTCCGGGTTGGCCACTCCCAGAATCTTTAGCTCAGACTTCTGAACTGCTTTCAGGTGCATCTGCTGTACAGGGTCACTCTCAGGCTGTGCTTGAGTTATCACTCTCAGGTGTGTCTACCATACACTTGAACACATAAGCCCCCTGCACCCTCACTGTGTCTAACCTGTCTGAGCAGAGCTGTCTGCCTCCAACTGCACCCACAGGTGCAGACCCCTGCCTGAGACCTTCTCTATACAGACACCCTGTGTGCTACTCCTCCAAGAAAAAGTCTGTAAACTCTCTTCCTTTGTCCATTCTTCACACAAATTAGCACAGTAAGGAAAAAAGAGACGACTTGGGAGCAGAAATCCCAATGATCCAGTTTGGACCCTACCACAATAGTTAAGACAAATCAGCTTCCGTCTGTTTTTCCACCCGTAAAATGGGAATAACAGCTGCCTCACATCAAAGGAAGTGCCATGTAAGTGGCAAAATGCTCTAAGGTTGTAAGGAGTTTTTAAATGCAAGGGACCTTATTCTCCATTTAGAGAACTGAACCCGGAACTTCAGAGGGTGAGACTATTTCCTCACTCTAGACATATGAGCCAGAGCTTTGGGCTCTGAGATCTCTGATTCACATAAGAATAAACACAGAATCCATTAAATAAGGTTTGTGTGCCTCTTAAGTCCACTCAGGTACTACAGTGGCTACAGCAACGGGGTTATGACCTGGCTCAGCCTTCAACTCTCCAAGCTTCAGCAAGTCCCGATCTCTTGGGACAGTGCACCCAATAAGCAAACAACGGACTTGGTTCTAGTCCTGATTCTTTCACTCACTAGGTGTCATTTAACCTCAAGCAAGCTTTCTCAAGTGTGGAATCAAGAAAGCAGGGACAGAATGAAGACCATGAAGAGCACCTCCAACTCGAATTCCTCAGTCTCCCCACCAGTGCAAAGGGAGGTCAAGACAGCCCTGAAGATCCTCCTGCCTCATCCCGTTCCTGCATATGAGTCCAGGGAGGGATGCAGAGCTGGGCAGAGCTAGTTGCTGACCTGCCCCTGGCCCCACAGGGCCTTTTCAGACCAGCAGCCCTTTCCGGCCTGCACTGCCCTGGGCCTATGGGGCCAAGAGTACATGCACGTGGAGAGATTGAGGAGGCTGGGAATACAGGAGTACACAGCTGGCCCCCTCTGCCCAGGCCCACCCAGAGAGCCCCAGTGAGCTCACGTCTGCAGTAACCTCACTTCTCATAACTGCGACGGTGAGACACGCCTGGGAAGCCAAGCCCAGGTGAGAAGTGATGGCTGTCTCCTCAGGAATGTGCTGCCCAATTAACACTGCCTCCCAGATGGCTCCTGCGGAGGCTAGGACTACTCCGCCAGGGCGGTGCTGGCCAGCCACCAGGCTGAGTCATTCTGTGAGCATTTATTGAGGGCCTACTATGCATCGGGCATAACAGGGAGGAATAAAAGCCTAACTGGAGAGTACAGTCTATCTGTCCCAGACTCACTTTTGGAGACAGATTGTCAGAGAGCCTCAAGAGCTCTACAGGTGAAGCTCCCAGATCTCCATCAACCCAAAGCCCTCCCACTTCCTGACCACAGCTGTAAGCCCTTAACTTGTTTCCCTCCCTTTTCAAGGCATCCACAGTTCTCAATCTCCTTCTAGGCTCCTCTTCGTCTTAAGCTGTATGAATCAGGCTGCTGCCTCCTCATTTTCCTGTTTCTAGGACAGTCTAAACCACCCGCTGTCCATCCACTTGCAGATACTAGGTTTATTGCTTCCTGTCCTTGGCAGGGTGTCCAAGAGAGGCCATAAAGTGAGGCAACACCCAAGTGCCTAGAGGATGGGCTCTCACTAGAGGTGCTCTCCACGTGAATTACCTATAGAGGCAGGTCCTCAGGCAGGAAAGCCTAACTTGGAAGACAGGCCTCAGTCAGGCAAGGGGCCTCCCTCTCAAAGGGCATGTGCCCCGAGGGCTGAAGTTGGAAGAGGTTAGAAATCTCAGTGTGGCCTACATGGTATGTGGTCAAAGCAGTTATTCTTCTTGTTATAAGATCCAGTCTTTTATCTTTACTAGCTCTGTATCTGCATGTTAGGATTGCATCCCACCAGGAAAAAGAGACACCCAAAAGACCAGGCTTACATGATTTTGAGGGGCTATTTGTCTCATTTAATGATCGCTCAGAGGTGAGGCAGTCAGGGCCTCACCATGGCTACAACGCCATCAGGGGTTCAGGCTCCTTTTACCCTTCTACCCAGCCTCCCTTAGCATATACTTCTTATTGTCACAAGACAGCTGTCCCATCTCCAACATCAAGTTCAAATTCCAAGCAGGAAGAGGAAGGTCAAAGGACCAGTCCAGTCTCCATCCCTTTTAAGGAGCTTTCCTGGAAGTTCCACACAAGTTCTTACACCCCATCGGCCAGAACTGTGTCACACAGCCACCTCTATCTGCAAGAGAGGCTGAGAAATGTATTTTTAGTTGATCATTTGCTGCCACCAACAACATTGGATTTGGTTAACTGAGGAATAAAAACTGGTATAGAACTTGCAAGGAGAGAGATGTGTAGGAGCAAAGGGAAAGCTGCCCCCTTTTCCTCTGAAGGGGCTCCCACTTGGTCACAAGTCAGGCTCTCAACGACATAAGACAAGACGAGAGGGGGACTTCATCCAGTTTTTATTTTGGGTACTCAGTGGTTTTTCTAAATAGACACCAGACTGATCAGTACCACAAAACTGACCAGTCTGCAAGGCTGAATTGAACAGCAGGCTTTAGGGGTTTTAGGCATATATTCTACGCTATGGTACCCACTTTATGGCATGAGAACACAGAAAGACAAAGACAAAGGAAAACAGGATTTCTGGGAGGAAAAAGGACCAGACAACATGAATATTCGTTCAAAAAGTACACCAGAGTTGCCATACCCAGGACTAGTCACACAAATACTTTTCTCCCATTAATCAAGATTTGGGAGAGAAAAAGGCAGTGTTTTTTTTTTTTACCATTTGCTCAACCAGATTCCACAGAAAGAGAGATTGAGAGCCTGGCTGGTAAAAATTTCTTACCCTTCTTCTGACTTGTGAGGTCCTGAGTTCTTTTCATGGCAGCTTCCAGAGGAGCAGAGCGGCATTGATGTGCTGCTCACAGTGCCAAAACGGTAGGGGAAGTTTGCTGAAAATTAACTGAAAAAAGGCAGATTAATAGAAGAAAAGGCATACAAATTTTATTAATATGCATGGAAGGGGAGTGGGGGAAGAGGGAATCATAGAGTGATTAGCCCAGCCCTGAAATGGGATACAAAAGTTTATATACCCTCGATATGATTTGGATTTGTGTCCCTGCCCAAATCTCATGTTGAATTGGTGGAGGGGCCTGGCAGGAATGATTGGATCATGGGGGTTGTTCTCATGATAGTGAGTGAGTTCTCACAAGATCTGATGGTTTAAAAGCATGTGGCACTTTCCCTTCACTCTCTCTCTCCTGCTCCGCCATGGTAAGCTGTGCTTGCTTTCCCTTCACCTTCTGCCATGATTCTAAGCTCCTGAGGCCTCCCACCCATGCTTCCTGCACAGCCTGCAAAACTGTAAGTCAATTACACCTCTATTCTTCATAATTACCAGTTTCAGGTAGTTCTTCATAGCAGTGTGAGAATGGATTAATACAGAAAACTGATACCAGAAGTGGGGCATTGCTATAAAGATACCTGAAAATGTGGAAGCAATTTTGGAACTGGGTAATGGGCAGAGGTTGGAACAGTTTGGAGGGCTCAGAAGAAGACAGGAAGGTGTGGGAAAGTTTGGAACTTCCCCCTGAATGGTTTTGACCAAGATGCTGATAGTGACATGGACAATGAAGTCCAGGCTGAGGTGGTCTCAGATGGAGATGAGGAACTTATTGGGAACTGGAGTAAAAGTCATTCTTGCTATGCTTTAGCAAAGAGACTGACAGCATTTTGCCCCAGCCCTAGAGATCTGTGGCACTTTGAACTTGAGAGAGATGATTTAGGTTATCTGGTGGAAGATATTTGTAAGCAGCAAAGCATTCAAGAGGTGACCTGACCTGGCTGCTCCTAACAGTGTACAGTTGCATGTGTTCACAAAGTGATTATCTGAAATCAGAACTTATGTTTAAAAGGGAAGCAGAACATAAAAGTTTGGAAAATTTGCAGCCTGACCATGTGGTAGAAAAGAAAAACCTATTTTCTGGGAAGAAATTCAAGCTGGATGCCAGGCACGGTGGCTCATGCCTATAATCCCAGCACTTTGGGAGGCTGAGGAGGGTGGATCACCTGAGATCAAGAGTTCAAGACCAGCCTGGCCAACATGGTGAAACTCTGTCTCTACTAATAATATAAAAATTAGCTAGGCTTGGTGGCGGGCACCTGTAATCCCAGCTACTCAGGAGACTGAGACAGGAGAATTTCTTGAACCTGGGAGGCAGAAGTTGCAGTGAGCCATGATTGCACCACTACACCCCAGCCTGGGCAACAAGAGTGAGACTCCAACTTGGTGGGGGCAGGTTGAAATTCAAGCCAGCTGCAGAAATTTACATAAGTAAAGCGGATTTGAATGTTAATAACCAAGACAATGGGGAAAATGTCTCCAGGACATGTCAGAGATCTTTGTGGCAGCCCCTCCCATCATAGGCATGGAGGCCTTGGAGGGAAAATGGTTTCATGGGCCAGGCCCAGGGCCTCTGCTGCTCTGGGCAGCATCAGGACATGGCACCCTGCCTCCCAGCCGCTCCAGCTCCAGCTGTGGCTAAAAGGAGCCAAGGTACAGCTCAGGCTGTTGCTTCAGAGGGTTCAAGCCCCAAGTGTTGGTGGCTTCCATGCGGTGTTGGGTCTGCAGGTGTGCAGAAGGCAAGAGCTGAGGCTTGGAAGCCTTCACCTAGATTTTAGAGGATGTATGGAAATGCCTGGATGTCCAGGCAGAAGTCTGCTGCATGGGCAGAGCCCTCATGAAAAACCTCTACTAGGGCATTGTGGAGGGGAAATATGGGGTTGGAGCCCCAACAGAGTCCCCACTGGGGAGCTGCCTAGTGGAGCTGTGAGAAGAAGGCCACCATTCTCCAGACCCTAGAATAGTAGATCCACTGACAGCTTGCACTGTGCACCTGGAAAAGTAGTAGGCACTCAACACCAGCCCATGAAAGCAGCCAAAGGGGCTGTACCCTGCAGAGCCACAGGGGCAGAGCTGTCCAAAGCCTTAGGAGCCCACTGCTTGTATCAGCATGCTCTGAATGTGAGACGTGGAGTCAAAGGAGATTATTTTGGAGCTTTAAGATTTGGCTGGGTGTGGTAGCTCACACCTGTAATCCTAGCACTTTGGGAGACTGCGACAAGAGGATTGCTTGAGGCCAGGAGTTTGAGACCAGCCTGGGTAACATGGCAAAACCCCATCTCTACCAAAAAAGAAAAAAATACACACACACAAATTAGCTGGGCATGGTGGTACATTCCTGTGGTCCCAGCTACTTGGGAGGCTGAGGAGGGAGGGTGGTTTGAGCCAGGAGGCGGAGGATGCAGTGAGCTGAGATCATACCCCTGCACTCCAGCCTGGGCAATGGAGCCAGACCCCATCTCAAAAAAATAAAAAGATTCAATGACTGCCCTATTGTGTTTCAAACTTGCATGGGGCCTGTAGCCCCTTTGTTTTGGCCAATCTCTCCCATTTGGAATGGAAGCATTTACTCAATGCCAGTACCTCCATTGTATCTTGGAAGTAACTAAATTGTTTTTGAATTCACAGGCTCATAGGCAGAAGGGACTTGCCTTGTCTCAAATGAGACTTTGTCAGAGGCATGTGAACCAGAACAACTCCATCTTGAATAGGAGCTGGGTACAATGAGGCTGAAACCTACTGGGCTGAATTCCCAGACCATTAAGGCATTCTAAGT
The DNA here is from genome assembly GCF_000001405.40 of Homo sapiens. Classification (NCBI taxonomy): domain Eukaryota; kingdom Metazoa; phylum Chordata; class Mammalia; order Primates; family Hominidae; genus Homo; species Homo sapiens. The sequence goes on from NC_000012.12 coordinate 47,958,817, forward strand.
CACAGGATGAGATAGGAGGTCGGCAAAAGATACAAGTCATGAAGACCTTGCTGATATAACAGCCTGCAGGAAAGAAGCCAGCTAAATCCTACCAAAACCAAAATGGCCATGAGAGTGACCTCTGGTCGTCCTCACTGCTACATTCCCACCAGTGCCATGACAGTTTACAAATGCCATGGCAACGTCAGGAAGTTACCCTATATGGCCTACAAAGGGGAGGCATGAATAATCCATAATCCACCCCTTGTTCAGCATATCATCAAGAAATAACCATAAAAACAGGCAACCAGCAGCCCTGTGGCTGCCCTGTCTATGAAGTAGCCATTCTTTTATTCTTTTACTTTCTTTTTTTTTTTTTTTTTTTTTGAGACGGAGTCTTGCTCCGTCACCCAGGCTGGAGTGCACGGGCACGATCTCGGCTTACTGCAAGCTCTGCCTCCCAGGTTCACGCCATTCTTCTGCCTCAGCCTCCTGAGTAGCTGGGACTACAGGTACCCGCCACCATGCCCGGCTAATTTTTTGTATTTTTAGTAGAGACAGGGTTTCACCATGTTAGCCAGGATGGTCTCGATCTCCTGACCTCATGATCCACCTGCCTCAGCCTCCCAAAGTGTACTTTCTTAATAAACTTGCTTTCACTTTGCACTGCACACTCGCCCTGAATTCTTTCTTGAGCGAGATCCAAGAACCCTCTCTTGGGATCTGGATCGGGACCCCTTTCCTGTAACAACTTTGGACTTGGACTTTTGAGTAAATGCTGGGATGAGTTAAGACTTTGGGGGATTGCTGAGAAGGGATAATTGTATTTTGCAATGTGAGAAAGACATGAGACTTGGGAGGGCCGGGGTGGAATGACACAGTTTGGATTTGTACCCCCACCCAAATCTCATGTTGAATTGGAGGAGGGGCCTCATGGGAGGTGATTGGATCATGGGGGCTGTTCTCGTGATAGTGAGTGAGTTCTCACAAGATCTGATGGTTTAAAAGTGTGTGGCACTTTTCCCTTCACTCTCTGCTGCTCTGCCATGGTAAGATGTGTTTGCTTTCCATTTACCTTCTGCCATGATTGTAAGTTTCCTGAGGCCTCCCACCCATGCTTCCTGTACAGCCTGTGGAACTGTGATTCAATTAAACCTCTTTTCTTCATAATTACCCAGTCTCAGGTAGTTCTTTATAGCAGTCTGAGAATGGATACAACCCTTCTTTACAGGGGAGAGAGAAGATGGGGAATGTAAGCAATTCTTTTGAGGGGCAGTAAATGATTAGGGAGAATGAATAGACAAGGCAGACACATTAACTTGTAAATGATTCTCTTTGCAATTTGAATGAGCAGGAAAGGCAGGCATTATCTTGTGAAAAATTCCATCCAAGCATGATTGCATTCTTCAGTCTTCTTCTCTGCCATAGATCATGATATTTCAGGGATGGGATACAAACTCTTGGTAAGAAGTTTTCTTGGCCAGGCACAGTGGCTCATGCCTGTAATCCTAGCACATTGGGAAGCTGAGGCAGGAGGACTGCTTGAGCCCAGGAGTTTGAGACTAGCCTGGGCAACAGGGGGAGACCCCATCGCCAGTAAAAATTTAAAAATTAGCCCGGCGTGGTGGTGCACACCTATGGTCCCAACTACTTGGGAGGTTGACGTGGGAGGTATCATCCAAAAAAGTATCAGAGATAAGTCTCAATTAATTTAGGAGTTTATTTTGACAAGGTTAAGGACATTCCTGTGACACAGCCTCAGGAGGTCCTAACGACATGTGCCCAAGGTAGTCAGGTACAGCTTGCTTTTAAACATTTTAGGGAAACATGAGACATCAATAATTATGTGTAAGATGTGCATTGGTTGGGTCCAGTAAGGCGGGACAACTCGAAGGGTGCCGAGGTGGGGGTCTTTCAGGTCAGAAATAGATAAGAGAAAAAAGGTTGCATTCTTTTGAGTCCTACATCCGCCTTCCATTGAATACACAATTTAGTCTGGCTCAGTACACCTGCATTTTTACATACACCGTAGGGCAGAGGAGGCAATCGAATACACATTTGTCTCAGGTGAGCCTCAGAAAGATGACTTTGAGTCATGTCTGTCCTTTGTCCACAAGGAAATTCCTTGTGGGCAAATTGTGAGGGGGATATGTAATTTTGATCTTTGTAGCTACCTTATTTAGAAATAAAATGGGAGGCAGAATTGCCTGACATAGTCTCCAGCTTGACTTTTCCCTTGACTTCATGATTTGGGGGTCCTGAAATTTATTTTTCTTTCACAACGGTAGTGAGGCATGTCTGACTCCCCCTTCCCATCATGGCCTGAACTAGTTTTTCAGGTTAACTTTGGAATGCCCTTGGCTGAGAGGAGGGGTCCATGCAGATGGCTGGGGGTAGAGAAGACTTAGCTTTATTTTTGTTTCACAGAGGACTGCTTGAGCCCCAGAATTTGAGGCTTCAGTGAGCTGTGATGGCACCACTGTACTTGATCCTGGACGACAGAGCAAAACCCTGTCTCAAAAAAAAAAAAAAAAAGCTTTCTTGGTGAGACAAGGAAATTCCAGAGAGAGTCTTCCCCTATGCTTGGGGTTGAGCGGAGGAACAAGACAAGGTTAGAGGTACCTTGATTCTGAGGCTTGTTTTCTTTTAATTCTCAAAAGCACTCCGTATGCTCAAACACCATATTTTGGGGAATCGTTTTCTGTGACCCAACAGATGAAAAAAAAAAAAACATTTCAAGAAGGAGAAGAGGTGGATCAGAGATGTGAGAGGGGAAGTAGAGGGTCCTTGTTGCCTCTTACTAAAGACTCAGTGGGCTGATTGTGGCCAGTGGTCAGGCAGATGGCTAGACAACAGCAGGTACATTGGCATTCCCCACAGGAGAAAGAGGAAAATACAGAGGTGGCAGAAACCTGAGGGGTCACCAGCCTCAGCCTCACTCTCTATTGCCAAGTGGGCCCCTTATTCATCCCATTTCAGAATATCTCCTCTCCCCTAGCATCATCTTTAATAATTTCACCTGGTTAATGTCTGTACTCAACTCCTGCTGCTGCAGGCTAAGCTCAACCTGGCAGTATGAACAAAGAAACCCACCCATTAAAAAGTACCCTCTAGGCCGGGCACAGTGGCTCACGCCTGTAATCCCAGCACTTTGAGAGGCCAAGGTGGGCAGATCACCTGAGGTCAGGGGTTTGAGGCCAGCCTGGTCAACATGGTGAGACCCGGTCTCCACTAAAAATACAAAAATTAGCCAGGTGTGGAGGTGTGCGCCTGTAATCCCAGCTACTTGTGAGGCTGAGGCAGGAGAATCGCTTGAACCCGGGAGGCGGAGGTTGCAGTGAGCTGAGACTGTGCCACTGTACTCCAGCCTGGTCGACAGAGCAAGACTCCATCTCAAAACAAACGAACAAACAAACAAACGAACGAAAAGTGCTTTCTAACCTCTTACGTACGTGCCTTTTTTGTGGAGGTCTGGGGAAGGGGGGGCCCTACTACCGAATGAATCTACTCCTTGGTGCCTCTTGGCACCTAATTGGCTTGCAAAGCTCAGCTGTGGGGTCCGTTCCTGCGAGAAGCCAGCAGGACTCCCCATGGAAGGTTTCCCCCAGGCTGGGCCCCTCTGACTTGTGAGACTTCCAGCAGCACTTTTATCTACAGTATTGGAGGGGTCTGATGAAGCCTCTGGGTTCCCCTCCTGGACTGAAGACAGGTTCTGATATAATTGCCGGACGGGTTCTCCTTGCCCGTTGCCCAGAGCTGATTCATCAAGACAGGGGAATTGCAATGGAGATTTTAATTCATGCAGAGCCGGCTGAATGAGATACCAGAGTTTTATCACTCAAATAAGTCTCCCCGATAATTCAGAGACTGGGGTTTTTTAAGGATAATTCGGCTGGTAGGTATCAGGCAGTGGGGAGTGCTGATTGGTCAGGTTGGAGATGAAATCATAGGGGGGTCTAAGTGGGTTCTTCTTGCTGTTTTCTGTTCCTGGGTGGGATTGCAGAACTGGCTGAGCCAGATAACTGGTCTAGGTACTGCCAGCTGGTGCCTCAGAATGCAGGGTCTGAAAAATATCCCCAGCACCGATCTTAGATTTTACAATAGTGATGTTATCCCTTGGAGCAATAGGGAAGGTTTGGAATCTTGTGACCTCTGTCTGGATGACTCCTAAACCATAATTTCTAATCTTGTGGCTAATTTGTTAGTCTTACAAAGGCAGTCTGGTCCCCAGGCAAGAAGGGGGTTTGTTTTGGGGAAGGGCTGTTATCTTTGCTTCGAAGTTCAACTATAAACTAAATTCCTCCCAAAGTTAGTTTGGCCTATACCCAGGAATGAACAAGGGCAGTTCGGAGGTTAGAAGCAAGACGGAACTGGGTAAGTCAGATCTCTTTCACTGTCATAATTTTCTCACTTACAATTTTTGCAAAGGCAGTTTATCCGAATGCTCCGCATGTGTGTACCCTCAGCGACTACACAGCTCCTGTACTATAAAGAATATTTCAGAATGGCTTCGGTAGCCGGCAGCACCTTCCTCCTCTCGCAGCAGAGAAGTGTTTTGCTCTGGAAACTTGACTGGAGCCTTTCCCAGCCTATCTAGCGAACAGCAGAGCATCATCCCGACTCCGCGGACTACCGCGGCCCAACAGCAAGGGTCGCGGCTCCCCGGCGCTCTCTGCCGCCCTCTACCGGAACCGAGGGAGCCAGACAGCTGCGATATTGGGAAGGCCTCCGGAGCCGCGAAGAGCGCACGCGCGAGCGCGCGCCCGCGTTCTCCTGGCGGGCTTGGTATTTGGCGCCTGCGCGCTGAGTGCGTGCCGCTCCGCCGACCGAAGAGGCTGGTAAGTCCTCAAGCTGGCAGGTGGTCGGGGGAGCGGCCGGAGAGGAGCTGCCGGGAGTTCGTGCCCTGCAGGTCTGCGACGCTGGCGTTCGCTCCTGCCTGGGCCACTTTGGTGGGCTCAGAGCATCGCTTTTTGCCAAGGGGCGTGACCTGAGCCCGCCTCCTGGGGCTGGGGGGTGGAGAGGAATGGGAATCGTTAAGGCCGGTTATCAATTTGGTGCCTGTTTGTTGCTCGAGGAGGGGCATAGAGCTTACAAATAGTGAAGAGGAAGGGGCGAGGCTGGACCAGGTGGGAGCGGGGGTGCCCCAAGTCCCAGGGCGGTGAGGATCGAGGCAGGTGCGTGAAAGGCAGGCCCCGTTCCCCCTCCCCACCCCCGCCGGCTGTGTGTGGCGGGTAAGAGGAGAGTGGGTAGCACTACTACAAAATGAGGGTCCCGATAGAAATCGTACAGGTGTTGGGACCACACTCAGGGCGGCAACTTGTCATTTTTGCGTTTTTAATTTTCTTATAGAAACAAGCGATTTCTGTCGTGATTCACTGGGGCCGCTAACGTGCACTCCCTCTTTTCATCTTAGGACATGACACCAGTGGCATATCACGGCCATGGGGTCTCAGCATTCCGCTGCTGCTCGCCCCTCCTCCTGCAGGCGAAAGCAAGAAGATGACAGGGACGGTTTGCTGGCTGAACGAGAGCAGGAAGAAGCCATTGCTCAGTTCCCATATGTGGAATTCACCGGGAGAGATAGCATCACCTGTCTCACGTGCCAGGGGACAGGCTACATTCCAACAGGTGATCATGGAGGGATGATTCCCTGATGAGAATCCCAAGGTACCCTCGGAGTTCTCCTGTCTGCCCAGACAACTTTTCTTCTAGGCAGTAATACCATAATAGAGACAGTGCCCTGGACAGGAGCCAGCTCAACTGACTTAATACACTTGGGCAGTTCTGCAACTTCTCTTCCTCTCCTTATTTTTCCAACCCTTTCTTTTCTTTACCGCCACTCTTGTTCTTTTCCTGAGGTTTGGAACATTCAGTTCGCTCTGTGTTGTGGGATTTGTTGACAGGCACATTTCTTTATCGCTGTCACAAGGATTGGGACAGCTTTGCGGGGGAACCATCTTGGAAGCTGCTTTTCAAGGAAATGGGTAGCTAATCCTTAACAGCCTAAGGTCAGAAAAATATATCAGGTCAAGAGAGAGAGACAAATACTTAGCCTTGGTACAGGATCATCTATTACTATTAACAAATTGGCCCTCAGAAAGTCTTTAACAGTTTAGCTGGAGAGTCACAGAAATTTAGAGCTGGTTAGGACCTTCAAAATCATTTACTCCAAAGCTTCCATATGAAAGGCAAGGAAACCATGGCCTTGAGAGATTCGACGACTCTGCCAAGCCCATGCAGTAAAGCCAGAACAGGATCCCAGGTTTTTCAACTTCCACATCACTACCCTGGCAGCACTGATAGATGTTTTATAATTTGTGGCACTCTCTTGTTTCTTGTTCATTAGACCCAACATGTGAATTTCACTAGTATTTTTTAAAATGTCTCATTCCAGAAGAATATTTGTTGTGGCAGGCTCAAGTGAGACGTGAAGGAAGTACTGCCAACACATGGGATTTACAAAATAATTGTTTGGCTCTTTTCTAGAGCAAGTAAATGAGTTGGTGGCTTTGATCCCACACAGTGATCAGAGATTGCGCCCTCAGCGAACGTGAGTTACCTGCTTCTCACCTGTTAATACCTACTTCTGTCCCTAATCTCTTTCTGTATGTATGAATGCCAGTTAATTCTTTGAAAACTACACATGTTCTTATAAGTTCCCCATTTTCCTTATAACTGTTTGCCCAAGCAAGATATCTCTGCCCCCATCACAATCTGGGGAAAGAAACTTGAAGCTGGAAATGCTTTGAAGGTCAAGGAATGGAATCAGAAGAAACTGGGAAAGTGGAGTGTTCTGGGAGGTGTGGGACTGTCTCTGTCCACATAGCTCCTTTCTTCAGCTTTTCTTCCCAGAGTGCAAACAGTGTTTAAAGGAGTTTTAAAAGGTTTCTCCTGCTTCACTGCTTCTTAACTGGTTTATGGTTCCTGGCTCTTGGAACTTCCCTTTCAGCTCCCTTCTCTTTCCTGGTTTTGTGTTTAATCTTGACACATTGAACCTTGATATCTGACTGCCTGGGTCGGTCATGTGCTGTGTCATTTGCAGTAAGCAATATGTCCTCCTGTCCATCCTGCTTTGTCTCCTGGCATCTGGTTTGGTGGTTTTCTTCCTGTTTCCGCATTCAGTCCTTGTGGATGATGACGGCATCAAAGTGGTGAAAGTCACATTTAATAAGCAAGACTCCCTTGTAATTCTCACCATCATGGTAAGCCTTAGGGTTTCATTCCCTGGGTTGTGCACCTGCCAGGCTGGGACCCAGGACACTTACACTTGTTTCCTGACTTGCCCTGATGTAGGCCACCCTGAAAATCAGGAACTCCAACTTCTACACGGTGGCAGTGACCAGCCTGTCCAGCCAGATTCAGTACATGAACACAGTGGTCAGTACATATGTGACTACTAACGTCTCCCTTATTCCACCTCGGAGTGAGCAACTGGTATGCTGTTCTTTTAGGAATCTTGCCCCACAGGCCTAAGAGAAGAGTAGGGGGCTGTAGGAATGCCATAGCTGTGTCACTTTCCTTTTTGTCTCCTCATTTCTACTTGTAGGAACTGGTGATGAGGAAGACCTGTTGGGCCCTGTAATTATAAATAATTGTGAGAAAAAACAGCTATCATTTAAGCATTTGGGGAGCAGAATAATTTGTAAGAGACAAAGATTTGCTACAAAATAAGAAGCAGCAGTGTTACAGCCTGAGGTCCATTGGCCTCTCAAAAGGGAAGAGGTTGGCAGTATCAATTAGAGGCTCATAGACTATATTAGGGACAATCTCAGGGAAGTATTTTGCATGTGATGGAAGAATGACCCAAGGTCTTTGGATTGCTAATAATAATACTGTTCTGTGTCAAGCCTGCTTGGCCACAGACCAACTCTGGTATCTTATTTTCAGGTGAATTTTACCGGGAAGGCCGAGATGGGAGGACCGTTTTCCTATGTGTAGTAAGGACACTGTTCTCTCTGTGTGTGCTCTCTACTGGAGGAAAGGGATTCAAAGTCATACTCCATTGATTGGGGCCTGGTCCTGCCTTAGATCTCAGCTTTTGACTTATAGGTTCCCTGGCTTTGGATGTCTTGAGATTTATTTGAAGAATGTATTATTATTATGTGTGTATTTGAAGAATGTATTATTTGATATGTGACAGAAGTGCTGGAATTTCTAAAAGAGAACATTAAGCCACTAAAAACGTTACCAAGCTCCAGCACTTATGTGATGGGTTTGAAAAAACAGAAAGTGGTATGACGCTGTGGGAGGATGAAAATGACAGTGGCAGGGACTGAGAGCTGACAAGCCTTGGCAGCACTTAGGTCGGAAGGGGGAGGGGGGCACCCCAAACAGGACAGTGTAACTCTGCACTCTTCTACTGAGGCTTTAAAAAAAAAAAAACTGACTATTTCCATATTTGCTGTTTGGTAGCTTCTTCTGCACGGTACCTGAGATCCTGGTGCACAACATAGTGATCTTCATGCGGTGCGTCTCTCTTCCCTATCCCGATGGCCTGTCCGGCCATGTGAGCCTACCACCTTTGCTCAGGAGGCCCCTGTGTGACCACAGGGCAGAGGCACCTAGCCCGAGGGGACACCCTGTGCCTCACAGGCACAGATACAGTAGACCCTTGGTGTTCTCTAAACACAGTGTCCACATGCCCTTCACAAATCACCAGTCACCCTGAGCAGTCAAACATTTTCTCCATAAAATGGGTCTAGTTTAACTAAACACTTGATCCCCTCAGAATCCTAATGAGACAGTCATGAACAGAAAAGCTTTCTCAAGATGTTAAGTACTGGGCATTTGACCAGACTTCCTCTCTAGCCACACAAATTACCACATGTCATGGACCTTTAGGGTTGTTTTCTGGAAGCATGGCTGTTAAATTTGCAAGTGACAAGACTCTGCTGCAGACATGAAATATGAGGGGTTAGAGCAGAGTTTCTCAGCCTTGGCACTACGAACATTTTGGGCCAGACCTTTGTTGTAGGGGGCTGTTCTGTGCATTATAGGATGTTTAACAGTATTCCTGGCATCTGCCCACTAGATCCCAGTAGTAAACCCTCCATCCCTTAGTTGTGACAACCCAGAATGTCTTCAGGCATTGCCAGAAGTCTCCTGTGGGGTAAAATCATTCTCGATTGAGAAGCCTTGTTTGGAAGGCCACCTCCTGGCACAGTATCTCTGTGAAAGTGGAAAGATCTTCTGGCCTCCTGGTTACATAACCATGAGGATATGTGCCTGGGGCCCGTGGGTATTGTTCTCTGAACTTGCAAAAAATTTCCTGGGACATTTTTCTGGCTTATTTCATCCCCCAAACATAATTAATTCTTCTTGGTTTTCTTTTCCCTAGAACTTCAGTGAAGATTTCATACATTGGCCTCATGACCCAGAGCTCCTTGGAGACACATCACTATGTGGATTGTGGAGGAAATTCCACAGCTATTTAACAACTGCTATTGGTTCTTCCACACAGCGCCTGTAGAAGAGAGCACAGCATATGTTCCCAAGGCCTGAGTTCTGGACCTACCCCCACGTGGTGTAAGCAGAGGAGGAATTGGTTCACTTAACTCCCAGCAAACATCCTCCTGCCACTTAGGAGGAAACACCTCCCTATGGTACCATTTATGTTTCTCAGAACCAGCAGAATCAGTGCCTAGCCTGTGCCCAGCAAATAGTTGGCACTCAATAAAGATTTGCAGAATTTAATACAGATCTTTTCAGCTGTTCTTAGGGCATTATAAATGGAAATCATAACGTGGTTCTAGGTTATCAAACCATGGAGTGATGTGGAGCTAGGATTGTGAGTGACCTGCAGGCCATTATCAGTGCCTCATCTGTGCAGAAGTGGCAGCAGAGAGGGACCATCCAAATACCTAAGAGAAAACAGACCTAGTCAGGATATGAATTTGTTTCAGCTGTTCCCAAAGGCCTGGGAGCTTTTTGAAAAGAAAGAAAAAAGTGTGTTGGCTTTTTTTTTTTTTAGAAAGTTAGAATTGTTTTTACCAAGAGTCTATGTGGGGCTTGATTCACCCTTCATCCATTGGCTGGAACATGGATTGGGGATTTGATAGAAAAATAAACCCTGCTTTTGATTCATCTGTGTCTCCTCTGATTGCCTGGGTGTTTTGTAGGGATCTCTGGGGGAACCGTAGAATAGTTCCCTTCCAAGTGGGTCAGGATGGAATAGGAGGAAAGAGACTGCACCCTGATTGTACTCCCGTTCCCATGAGTTCCTGTCACAGCAAGCAGCCTCATTTTCTTCCATCTGCCTCTTGCGGCAGGGGGCTACCCTGTTCCCTTCCAGGACAGAGCACTCAGTGCCCCATGGAGGTTGGAATTCAGTCTTGAATAAGACATCCTGGTTTGAGGTTGTAAGTTTCTTGGGTCATCTCCACCTGCTCTGCCACCAGAGGTTAGGCTACAGCCCCAGGATGGCAGAGAATCTAGTTAAGAAGCTTGAGTAGTCAGGTGTTAGAAGTCAGCTCTTCCCATAGCACTGGGACCTCAGGAAACCCTAACAACAACAGGTGGTGGCTGGGGTTGTATATTAGTTTTTGTCTCCATTCCCATAGCTTGGTTTTCAATATTTGCTTAATGATCTGTATAGTCTTGAATCTTCAAACTAAAGCTAAATTTCATGACTGTTGGGCTGACTTCGACCATAACGGAGGAACCCAGAAGCTGAGGCTTAAGTTTTGGTGTTGTCCTGGATCATGTAGTGACACAGGTACATGACAGTGATGACTGATGTGGATTGATGATAGGACATCACCACTTACACGGAAGCAAATGTGCACCGTTTCTGAGCATGCTGCCCTAATCAGAACATGCCCTAAACACATGAAGATGTTCACGTTGCTACATTTGCTCTTTAGTTTTCCTGTTTTCCAAATAGCCTGTGTAACAGATTTTTCATGGAAGTTTGAAAAAGATACTCATACTGGTACTTCAGTTTTGAAACATTTTTTTTTGTGACCATGTGCCTTAGTAACATTTCTTGCTTTTGATATTATCTTAAAATCCAGTTATGATATTAGAATGAGAGCACTTACATTTTTAAAACATATAGCAATAAATCTGACGTTATAATACTATCAATTTCCATATCTGTTTACATTATTAGCATCCCAAACTGCACTTTGGGTTGTTCTACAGGGCTTTATTGTAGTGTCTGTCAATTCTTGAACAAATGCCTGGAGTATTCTCTCAGCACCCCAGAATAGAAAGAGAAAGTGGCTAGCTTTGGTGTCATTGTCATCACCATTGTGTTCCCGATGGATTGAAGTTTTCAGAGTGTGTTTCTTGGAGAGAGGCTTTGCTAGCTATCTCTTCTCTGTAGTTTCTGGCTTGGCCTATACTGTGACCTGTTTCTTATCTCAAACTACTTATACCGGATCACCTGGTTGAAGAGTTGTTGCATACAGAAATCTCCATTCATTTATTTACTCATTCTAGAAAGTATTTATTGAGTACCTGCTGTATGCCTAGGATTGCAATTTCTAATGCATTTTGTCTAGAGTCATAGCTGGAGTTTAAAACACTATCACAAATCTTTTATGCTCACCAGGCCTTATATAGGCCATAGTGTATCTCCACCAACTATTCTGCAACCCTAGGTACCTCAGTGCAGGACCTCCACGATCTCTGGGTCATCTCTCAGGGATTCTAGCCCAAAGTGTGAAAGAAATTATTAAAAGAATCAGCCTATTTGTTTAAAGCACTACATGAATCAATAGGGTCCCAGGTCTTTTCTCTGGGCAAAATAATCCTTATTCTTTGCCTTGATAAGTAAAATTCTTTATTACCTGGTTAGCACTCCTTTAAGATTCTGTGTTCTTTCAGTTGTTTAGAAGGGAACCCGTTTCAGAAGTTCTGTGATTTGCACAGGATCCAAGGGACTTGAGAGTAAGTCTTAGCTGGAGCTGAGACTGCCGACTCCTCGTCCAAAGCCTGTGATGCCGGACACTTCCATGGAGATGAGGAGGCTCAAGAGAGGGAAAGCCTGGCCCAGCCCCTTAAAATCAGCAAGCTGGGTCTTTCCACTCAGTCCTGCTGAGTGGAATTTATCCAGAGTCCTGCTGGGGTTGGGAATTTATCTGACAAGTTGTTCTGACCAGTGAGACTGTCTCCTTTCTGGGGGCATCAGGGATCACAGAAGTTAGTAACGATCCTGGTTATTCTCACCTTCCCCTCCGGGCCAAAGGAAGACAAGGAAGCGGCACAGGGAGCACAGACCTGCCAGCCAGGGTGGCGATTTCCACCTGACCCTAGTGCAGGCAGAGGCAGAGCTTTCCGTGCACTGCCCTGGGCTCTCCCTTCTACTTCATGCCGCAGTTACCTAGGGAGCAGCTGCTATTATTTCTGAGTTTGACTAGGGACTCAAGAAGCGGGTGAACTGCAAGGAATCACCTTGATCCTGGGACTTCTCTTGCAGAGGTCTAAGCTGATGGTCACAATCTACTGAACTACTTCATTAAGAGTAAGTAGGCTCTGGAGTTGGACAGGTTGGAGCAGAGCTCAACTCTCTAGCTCCAGCTAGGAACCCATATACGTCACCTGCTCTCCTCCGACCCTAATTAGCGCTCTTGGTAGGTGGAAGGGTTGTTTAACTTATGAGATAGCTATTCTAATTATGTGTTTTCAGTGATCATGTTTTCATTTTACTCCTTTGTCATGAACTAGCTCTGGTGGGGTATATAGTATTATTGTAGGTGTATATGTATGTATGTGTATATACATACATACATATATAAACCTAGGTATATATTATATATATTATTAAATAATATATAGGTATATATAGGTATATATAGGTGTATATATATAGGTATATATTATATATAGGTATATATTATTTAATAATATATAGGTATACATTAATAATATATAGGTATATATTATTTGTATAATAATATATGTATATATTTGTATAATATATGTATATATTATTATATTGTATAATAATATATGTATATATTATTATATTGTATAATAATATATGTATATATTATTATATTGTATAATAATATATGTATATATTATTATATTGTATAATAATATATGTATATATTATTATATTGTATAATAATATATAGGTATATATTATCTATATTGTATAATAATATATAGGTATATATTATCTATATTGTATAATAATATATAGGTATATATTATCTATATTGTATAATAATATATAGGCATATATTATTATCTGGTGATAATTTATATCATAAATTGAGTATTAATATATACAAATCCAACACAAGTGTCTCATTTATTTTTACTATTTAATAGAAAAGCTGTCAACCTTAACCTGGAGGAAGCAGGGGCAGGGATGGGAGAGAGGGATAGAGAAAGGGGTAGCTCTCTGTTTTATCAGTTGTGCCAAATATTTGGAAATTTACTTCACAGAATGCTACTGCCCTCTGATTGATTTGGAGTCTCCCGCCCACTTCCCGCGTTCCCGTCACCGTGGAGAAGGGGACAACTTGCTCATTGTTGCCACCTGTCCAGGTCATTGAAAGGCAAGGGACACCCAAGAGTAGGAAGAAATGGGAAGCAGTCCATTCTTAAGCCTGGTGTTCAGAGTCCGTGGAAATTTTAAGTGCAGGCCCAGGGAGTGAAGAATGGGGGCCACAGTGGCGGGGGCAGGAGGAATATGGGTGGGCCAGGTCACATTTCCACCTCTCCTTGACCTACAACCAAAAGTCTTACAGAGGGACACAAATAGATCACTCAGATTGATCGTGTGCACTTAACCACGGGCCCCTGCAGGATTTGCTCCCCTGTCTTCTTCCTTTCTCGAGGGAGTATCTCCCACGTCTCCGATCCAGCAGGATGCAGCCCACATGTGGTCTTACACCGTAAGCTGGCAGGGCACTAAGGTGTCATAGAGCTGTGTTCAGTGTTTACCTTCAAGAGCAATGCCCTCCCTCTAGCATACCTCCCTTCTCAAGTTTTGGTTTCTGGTCCTGTTCAACAGTGGGTTCCACATAGTGCCAAGGTTTACCAGAGAGGCAAGTTCATGTTTGTGTGAGGCTGCTAACCCTGGCGGTGTGGCTTCAGTGTCCTTACTCTCGGTTGAAAAATCAACAGAAGAAGTCCTTAGGACTGCTATTTGGGCATGCCTACAGAACGGAGGATTAATGGAAAACAAACTAAAGAACAAACCACAAGTCAATATGTACTTTCCAATAATCTTTTCATTTTTAATATCAATTGATGTTTTAAAAAATACAGAGGTGTTTGACACAGAATAGCACCATTGTGTAGGACACACACAGTTCCTGCGCCCGGCACCTGAAGGGAGGTCTTCTGGCCTGGGCTGGGGGCAGTCACTCAGGGGGCATTTGACTCACACCAGTTAGTTTCCTGCCTCTGCCTTGACCCGAAGGTCTTACAGGAAGACAATAAATAAATAGAACACCGAGATTTTATTTTGCAGTCTGCCCAGTTCAGGTCTCTTAGAAAGAGAGGGGAGAAAAGTCCGAACTGTGAGAGGGTGGGATGAATGGACATCAGGTCAGGTCAGCCATTCAGTGCAGAGTCCTAGAGTGACTGAGATTGGAAAGTACTTGGGTCCTTTGGGTTTGCAACGGATTGTGTTGTTTCTGGGTTCAGGTTTTTACAAGAAGCAGACCGGCCCTATGTCCACACCGAATTCCTGCTCGGGCCCTCCTATGTCCATGGGTGCAATGTCAATGATGGGGAGGCGTGAGGTCTTCTGTGACCGGTACTCGATAACAGTCTTGCCCCACTTACCGGTATGTTTCTAGGGGAGAAAAAAGGAGGAGGCTCTGTTCAGTAGATGCCTTGCTACCCAGTTCCAGCTGCCCAGAAGCCCAAAACTGAACAAACTGGCGAGCATCAGAGCCCACAAGGTTGAACCACACTGAGGGGGCTCCTGAGACCTCTTCTTGGCTTGCCAAAGGCCTCTCCACTTCAACTCCTATCCTTAGCGGCAGGGCCCTTCTCCACCCTGCCCTTCCCCTCCTTCCCCACTCCCCACAGTGAGCTCCCAACCTGTGACCGCTTCTTCACCCTGTACACATTGCGAGAACACTTCTACAGTAGTCACTGGGTTCCAGGTAGGGTTTTGTTCCCCTGAGCCAGGGGAATGGAGAAGATGGAATGATATGTGCCTCTCTCTCACCTGTCACTCAGCCTATCTTCTCTACATGACCCTCAAACTCATGCCTCTGATGATCCTGTCACTTTAGGACCTGACAGCTGCCGCGGGCCAACCCTCAGCCCTGCTCCAGGCGGTTTGGGCACAGGCAGCTCTTCTCTCTGGCAGCCCCACTCACCGTGCAGCCATCCTTCAGGGCAGTGTACGTGAACCTGCTATTGCCCTCTGCCCGGATCTCCACGTCATTGGAGCCCTGGATGAGCAGGGCCTTCTTGAGGTTGCCAGCTGCTTCGTCCAGATAGGCAATGCTGTTCTTGCAGTGGTAGGTGATGTTCTGGGAGCCTTCCGTGGACAGCAGGCGTAGGAAGGTCATCTGGACGTTGGCAGTGTTGGGAGCCAGATTGTCATCTCCATAGCTGAACTGTTGGGGCAGAGAGCGGCAGTGTGAGGCCTGGGAGCTGGCATTCAATGGGACCAGGGGCTGTAGGGGCTGCCAAGAGTTCATGGTTCAAGGACCTCAAGGGTACTGGGGCAGCAGGGAGCTAGTTGGACATTTTTGCTTCCAGGAGTGGAGCAAGCTCAGAGGACCTCTTTTCCCACCTCCACGTGGGGAAAAAATACTTTTCCTCCTCTTTCCCTCCTCTCAAGCCCAACAGAAAACTGGAGGAAAATATGGGGAAGGTGCTAAAAGCTTCCAGGGAGAAAGAAAAGAAAGAGTTTGAGGAGCCATCTCTGCTCATCATCTAGGGCACCCAGGTACTCACATGGAAGCCACCATTGATGGTTTCTCCAAACCAGATGTGTTTCTTCTCCTTGCTCTTGCTGCTCCACCAGTTCTTCTTGGGAACGTTTGCTGGATTGGGGTAGACGCAAGTCTCGCCAGTCTCCATGTTGCAGAAAACCTTCATGGCGTCCAAGGTGCAGCCTTGGTTGGGGTCAATCCAGTAGTCTCCTGCAGGGGGAAGAGGCAGCACCCATGGGGGCTCAGACAGGCACAGACACAAAAGCTTGAGAGACCCAGGCCTGACTGAAAGAGACAGAGAGGCCTACAGGGACAAGGGATGAGGTTCACATGTGGCCTGAAAGGAGGGGGACCTGGGAGGATGCAGGGGCAGGGAGATCTGCATGAGCTAAGTCCAGCCCTAAGGAAGAACACATGCAAAGAGAGCAGAAGCAGTGCCCAGCTGGTGGATGGAGTCCACCCTGAGGTCACCTCGGCCAGGTAGCCATGGCAGGACAGGGGCCAGGGCTGCAGCTTCTCTGCTGTGAAATAAGAGAGGAACCCTCTGGCGGAAACTTCCAGGCCCAGCTCTGCCCTGTACTAGGGGGCATCTCCTCCCTTGCTGCTAGGCCTAAGGGATGACTCCCTGCTTCCCGGGGCAGGGGATCCTGTTCTCCAAGCTTACCACTCTTCCACTCAGGGTGGCAGAGTTTCAGGTCTCTGCAGGTGCGAGCAGGGTTCTTGCGGGAGCCCTCGGGGCTGCGGATGCTCTCAATCTGGTTGTTGAGGGACTTGAGTGTGGCATCCACCTCGGCGTCATGCTGTCTCAGGCCACCGGCTGCCTGGTCGGCCCGCATGTACTGCAGGGGGTCGGGGCCCTTCTCTCTCGGGCCTAAGCCAGCAAAGGCGGACATGTCGATGCCAGGGCCAGGGGGACCTGGAGGACCAGGGGGTCCAGGATTTCCAGGAGGACCCTGCAGCAGGAAACAGAGAGATCAGCCAGGATTGTGTGAAAGTGCCCCTCCATGTCCATCCCCATTTGCTAGAATGTACTAGAGTGTCCCTCTTCCCAGCCCCATGGGTGGGGCGGAGGTGTAGCAGGCGAGGACCAAGGAAACCACAGCACCATGTCTATTTCTTCCTTAGCCCTTCTCTTCAGTTTCCCAGCACTGATCATGGGCCCTGTGACCTCTGAGGAGACCTCAGGATAAAGGATGCCATCACTGTTAGCTGCAGGCTGATGCCCTAAAAGAGGCCCTGAGCAAAAAAGAGCTCAAGCCTCCCGGATGGTAGGGACACCTCGACAGCAGGGAAGGAGTCAGGACACTTACAGCAGGGCCGGTTTCGCCTGATCGTCCACGGGGACCAGGAGGCCCAATGGGGCCAGGGATTCCATTAGCACCATCTTTGCCAGAGGGACCGACGGGGCCAGGAGGACCCTGCAAGAGAGAGAGGTCGTGAGGAAAGAGTGGTCACCACAGGGAAGGCTGGGGAGTCGCTGGGGCTGGGTAGGTGGCTGTCCTGATAGCACCAGCCACTCCGCCCCCAGTTCTTCACATGCTCAGTCATGGAACCCTAAGTTGGTCTCTATTTGGCCAAGAACCAGCAGGATAGCTCCATGGCTTGCCTACCCTCCTAAGCTCCTCTTTGTAAAATGCTGTTCTGTCTGACAGCGAGAGGCTGATTCATGTTTGTCTTACAGCCATTGTGGCCTCAGGCGCTTTTCTGGCCATAGGCACATGAGCCAGTCCTGCCCCCATTACTGAGTGAGGACCCCTGAGCCCACAGCTTCCCCAGAAGCAGCAGCATTTCCCTCCCCATGGGAACACAGGCCCACACTCTCTGAAGGGCCCCCTCCATCTTCCAACTCCATGTCACTTACTCTAGGGCCAGAAGGACCAGCAGGACCAGAAGCACCTTGGTCTCCAGAAGGACCCTGTGTAGAAGGAAGAGGCAAAAGGCCACGGTCAGCACAGACATATCTATCTATATTCTGGGAGCTGGGGGAACAGCTTTATGTCCCAGCCCCATTCCCTTTCCACTTCCTCCTCCCTCCAGCCCTGAGGAAATCCTAGAAACTGCTTAGGGTGATCCCAAGCTGTCCTGGCAGCACAGGGAGCTCAAGTGGGCTCTGTGTGGCAGGAGGCCTCGGGAAGTCCCACGCAGGCAGTGACACTCACAGGAGGGCCGGGCAGACCCTGCAGACCAGTGAAGCCACGGTGTCCCTTCAGGCCTCTCTCGCCAGGCTCTCCAGCCTCTCCTTTGTCACCTCTGGGGCCTTGAGGACCCTGGGAACAAGACAGACACCGATTGAGTCAGGTCAGGGCCAGGACAGGAGCCCCCTCCTGTCCCACCCAAGCTGAGGAATCCCCGGAAACACAGGGCTGGAGGCCCAGGAACCACCTGGAGGCTGGCTGCCCTCCCAGCCTATCCCTGGTGGGGACTCAGTGCAGGACACTTGGATACTCACCTGGATTCCCCGGGCTCCAGCTGGTCCTGAGGGTCCCATGGGGCCTTGTGCACCCTGAGGAGAGAGTGAGCGCAGCGTCAGAGAAAAGCCAGGACAGGTGGGGGCCTCCTCTGCATCTGAGGCCACTGCTCCTTAGTCCAGAGACTGCGGAAACCCAGGGACTGCCTCAGCCCCACCGCGCAGGGGAAGGCGGCTTTTACTGAATTCAGGATACTTACAGCTTCTCCTCTGTCTCCTTGCTTGCCAGTTGGACCAGCGGGGCCAGGGGAGCCAGGGGGCCCAGGGGCTCCAGGAGCTCCCACAGCACCAGTCTCACCACGATCACCCTGTCAGGAGAGAGGTCTCAGGCTCAGAGAAGAATGTTCCAGAAGAGACAGGAACAGAAGGTCCTTCTAGGCTGAGATGAGACTTGTTCCAACCTGCCACCCCCAGCTGACCTGTCAGGCCCGAGGCAATGTCCTCCCCAACCCACTGCACACACAGACACCAGACACTCACCTTGACTCCAGCAGCGCCATCTCTGCCAGGGGGGCCATCAGCACCGGGGCTTCCCTGGACAAAGTGAAACAAGAATGCACTTAGAGCTGCTTCCTGCCCATCTCCCCCTCTGCTCCCCCAGCCCCTCTCAGAAGCCCAGGCCTCTCCTCTTCTGCCCAACTCACTCACACTTTGAAGCCAAAGTTTCCTCACCAAGTTTCCCTCCTCCTTCCGGAAGCAGCCCTTGGTCTCTATGCCCGTCTCTCTCCCCGACAACCTTCCCATTGTACCTAGGCTTTCAGGCCTGTCGGCCGACACTGCCACCCCCTTCTCCAGGGCCCTGACTGGGACTTGTCCTTGCTGACCCAGCACAGAGACTCACAGGGCCCCTCTCCCCAATCAGGGCCACCCCAGGGGGTCTCACTGCTCACCTCTCGTCCAGGTTCACCTGCAGGACCCGTCAGGCCAGGAGGACCCACGGGGCCAGGAGGACCTCTGTCTCCAGATGCTCCAGGAGCACCCTGCTTGCCGGGCTCACCCTGGAGGGACAGAGACAAGGATGATGAGTGCAAGTGGTAAGCACCCCTGCCCAGGGCCCACTGACCCTTCAGGGAGAGGGCAGACAAGGGACAGTCCTGAGGGTGCTGAGGGAGGTAGAAGCCTTGGCAGGCAGGGCCCAGCTTGGATGGAGGGAGGGATACCCCACACTCACCGACGGGCCAGGCAAGCCAGGGAATCCTCTCTCACCACGTTGCCCAGGCAGACCGACGATGCCTCTCTGACCAGCCAGACCCTGGGGACCTGGTGGACCTTCGGCACCCTGAGAGAGGAGAGGCAGGAGATGAGAACTGACAGTGGCCCAGCCTCTTCTGTCCTCTCAGCACAGCTCTGTCTGTGCAGCCCCGCTCCCTGGCATCCCCACGGCCCCTGCTCCCTCCTACCCCATGCTCTGTGAGCTCAGAAGCCACTCACGACCCTGCTCCCAGGGACCTTGGCATGGGCCTGGTGAGGGACTTACAGAGGGACCGTCATCTCCAGGCTCTCCCTTCTCGCCAGGGGGTCCAGCAGGACCTTGGAGGCCGGGTTCACCAGCTCGGCCAGGGGGGCCGCTGTCTCCTCGAGCACCTTTGGGACCATCTTTTCCAGAAGGACCAGGGGGACCAGGGGGTCCAGGGTTGCCCTAGAAGGAGAAAATGCGGGAAGTGAGGACTCATCTCACCCTTCCTCATCCAGGCTGCCAAAGTCACTGTGGCCTCAGTGACAGCAGTTTCCTCTCTGGGGGCTTCTCTACCTCCCCACACTAAGGGCAGGCAGCTTAACCCCCCCAACCCCAATCTACCGCTGCAACCTTCTCACCATGTGAGACAGCTCTGGGCAGACAGCCCCAACTTCTCCAGCTCCTGCTTGCTTTGCTTTCTCCCATCTACCTGGAATCTCTCCTCCCTCCTCCCTTTGTCCTCAATCCCCCTTCCTCAGGAGCCGCTCCAGCCCTGCCCCTCTGACCCCTGAGCTTGCCCCCAGCACTCTCTCCCTCTGCCTATGGCGCTGGTGAACCCAGTGAGTTCATCACCACTGCTCCCTCCATGCAAACTCCCTGAGAGCGACCCAGGACATGCGGACTTGCTTTAAAGCACACAGACAAGTGCACAGAACATGCTCAAGAAACATCTGTCCAGGATGAAGGTAATCATGGCAGCCCTGTCCTGCCCACCAAGCCAGCAGGGCAGCCACCCATTGCTGACAGCAGGGCCACAACCCTGCCCCCAGCCACCCTCAGGGGATAGGTCCCCATGATCAGTTAGCTACTCCTCCAGGGGGCAGGAACGGACTCAGAGGAGTGAAGGCCAGCCTGGAGCTCTCCAGACCCTGTTGGGTGCTGGGCCAGGCTATTCCATGCCTGCCTGTGCCTCTCATGCCAGGAGCATCACTTACATTGGAGCCTGGGGGTCCAACGCGGCCAGCAGCTCCAGGGAATCCAGTGGCTCCCTGTGTGGGGAGAGGAGAGCCCCTGAGAACCTCAAGCCCTCAGGAGGTTTGAGATTAAAATGGGCGGGGGGCGGGGGTGGTCTCAGAGCCTGGTATGGAAAGGGCGAGGGACTGCAAAGCAGCAAGGGGGATCCAGGGAGGGAGAAAGGGCCCCCGGGTCTGGTCATAGAAGCAGGCACAGGCTGTTTCCCTGCCTCCGGTTTCCACAGTCAGCACTTCAGGGAGCTGAACGAGGGACAAGCCTCGGGCTGGGGAATCCGGGACCACAGTGCACCCAGCCCACAGGCGCCCTCTCTCCCACCTGGCTGTGGGTGGGCTTAGGCTGGGGACCAACGCAGGGCTGGGAAAACAGTCGGGGGCATCCCAGAACACCCCCGCCATGGGAGCCTCTGGGGCCAGGCCTCTTTGTGAGGTGCAGGGTGGGGTGTCAGAGGCCTCACTCACCGGGGGGCCTTGGGCACCTCGGGCTCCTTTAGGACCAGTCACTCCAGTAGGACCCTGGAAAGGAAAGAGGGAGACAGTGAGGCCCAGTGGCCCAAGGAAGACGGTGGGCTTCTGTCTGAGCCCCAACAATGGACCCCTGAGGTTTTCGAAGATGCAGCTTTCTTGGCACTAAAAACCCAGCCTGAAGAGGCTGCCACAGGCAGCTCTGTCCCCTCTGCCACAGGAGACTTGTGTTCTAGGAGAAGCCTGTCAGGCAACCACAGAACCGGTCTGGGGTCTGGCCTCCCGGGAAGCTCTTCCTGCCACCGCCCCCTCCTCCCCAGGAGATCAGCAGCTTGGTTCTGGCTGGCTGTGGCCAGCCTGTACTCTGTCAGTCCCTACACCCCACCCACACAGCCCACATGCCACATGGAAGCTCCTTCTACCAACATGGGGGTGTTCCCAGGCCTGCGAACCATCCTCTGCGCAGCCTGCTGGGGCCTTCCCATCTGCACGCCAGGAGCCCTTCCTTGAGGGAACAATTCTTGGAGTGCAGCGTTACCCACCTGAGGCCCAGGTGCTCCAGAGGGGCCCTGAGGACCAGGGGCACCAGCATCGCCTTTCTGGCCGGCCTCTCCTTGCTCACCCTTGGCCCCAGGCTGGCCATCAGCACCCTATAATGGGAAGGAGGAAGCAGGTGAATGAGGGGCAGGCTAAAACCCTGGAGCTCTTCCAGAAGAGCAGGAGACTCTGTGAGTATCTGCGTGTGTGTCCTGGTCTGGACATGATGGTTCTATTAGTATGGAGGCGGGAAAGGAGAGGAGAGGAGCATCCATTTCCCTCCCTGACAAGCTCCGATGCCCGAGGGTGCTGGATGTGGAACTGGCCTGAGTGGAGGGACCCAGGAGGATGGACAGAGATACTCACAGGAGGCCCAGCAAATCCCGCTGGTCCGGGGGGCCCAGTCTCTCCACGTTCACCCTGTGAGAGAAGGGGGCATGGCGAGAGGTCAGGCCCCGCTGCCTGACCTGCTTCTGCTCCCCTCCAAGAGCCCCTTGGGCCCTGCCCAGCCTCCTGTTCCCCAGAGACGGGGATCTGAAAGCAGCCTTAGTCCTGAACGCAGGCAGAGGCTCTGTTAACCCAAAAGCCCTCACCCTGAACACATGATGGGAGTGACGTGCCTTCCCCCTTCCCTTCCCATCTCTCCTCCCACCCTAGACCCAGCGGGTAGGGAGGGAGCCAGTGCCTGGCAGCACACAGGGCCACCAGGCAGCATGAGGGCCTGCACTGACTCCCTGGCTCTCTGGTTCCCAGGGGCCTCGGGCAGAGCCAGGCTCAGAGGGGCAGACACTCACCGGAGCGCCACGAGCACCAGCACTTCCTGCAGGACCAGGAGGTCCAACTTCTCCCTGAGGGTGGGGAAGGGAGGAAGAGCTGGGGTAAGAAGGTGGGGAGGCAGAGTGGGAGAGGGCAAAGTGCATTTGGGGGGCCTTGCTCGTGGGAAGGGGGCTCCAGGTCCCCCTGGCACAGCCTGTGTTACTGTGCAGCCCATACCCGCACCCTCTCGAGGGCCTCTGCTGAATGTGTGTTTACCCCAGCCCAGTTGCCCCACCCAACAGGGAACACTGCCAGCGGCTTCACTTCTGAGAGGGCCCCCTCTTCACTCCTACGGCCTTGGCCGAGGGTGACAGTGGTGAGGGAGGACAAGACAGAACCGCCTTTGGCAGGAGATAAGAAGGAGGTGTGACAGGGAGGCAAGGTGTGGAGAGGAAAGGAGCCGGGACTCACCTTCTCGCCATTAGCACCAGCTGGGCCAGGGGGGCCAATGGGACCTGTCAGGCCCTGCGGGGAGAGCAGGTAGAGGTGAGGGAGGCAGGCTGAGCCAGCCGAGCACGTGCGGCCCGGCACCAAGCCAACCTTGGTGCGTGCTCCCACCGCCTCCAGAGCTCCCACTTACCCTCTGGCCCCATTTTAACAGAGAAGTCCCTGCAGTTGCCCAGCCCCGACAGAGACAGGACCAGGGACCCCAGTGGCAGACTGCCCAGCCCTCTCTCCTGCTCTCCTGGGTGCAGGGCTAGGATCCTAATGCCCAGCAGTCCAGCAGCCCGCATTCACTTACTCGTCCACCATCCTTTCCAGGGGCTCCCTCAGGGCCTTTCTCACCAACGTCACCCTGAGGGAAGAGAAAACCAGCCGCCTCAGCCAGGCACCCCAGGACCCCCATGGTTTGCTCAGTCCCACCCAGGCTGGGGTGCTAGGGAAAGCCCAGTCCCTGCCCAAGAGGAATTTGCTGTGGTCTCAGGGTGGGTGAGGAGCAGCAGGGGTGAGATGAAGGAACAGGGGAAAGGATGTCACTAAAAGGCAGGGAGCTTTGGAAAGGAGTCTTTAAGCTCCTCAAAAAGGGCTAACAGAAACCTTCATCACCAGGTGCCATAAGGGAACGGAAGCGATCACAAGGGGCAGGAATGTGGCAAAGCCACAGCTTTGGTGAGAGGCTGTAACCTCAGTACTTACCCTGTCGCCTTTGGGCCCAGCGATACCAGCTGCTCCCCTCTCGCCAGGCATTCCCTGAAGACCTGGAGGGCCCTGAGCCCCAGGGGGGCCTGCTGGGCCAGATGCACCCTGGGGAGGGAGGTAAGAGGGAGTCTGTAGTGGACAGCACCTCTCCCTGAACCCATGTTCATGGAGCCTGGGTAACCAGGGCCCCAAACCCCTCTTCCTTCCCTTCCTCCCATGTAGACCTCCTTTCCAGCTCCCCCCACTTCTGTTCTTCATTCCTCCTGAGCCCGCTCCTCTTCTCCCTGCTCAGTGGGACTCCCAGGCTACCACGAAGACCCCTACAGGATGCAGCCTCACTTACTTTGGGACCATCAGTGCCAGGAGTGCCGGGGAGGCCACGGGGACCCTGGAGGCCCTGGGCACCGGGAGAGCCACGTTCACCTGGGAAACCTCGTTCACCCTGCGGCAGAGACACCAAGAAGTGATCAACCAACAGCAGTGGGGGAGAAGGTCCAGGGAGAAGCAGGGAGGTGGGGAAAGGAGCAGGAGCATAGGACCCAGGGCAGGCCCAAGGAGGCAGCCCGCATTGGCCAACAGGATACTCACCCTGGGACCCACGAGGCCAGGGGCTCCAGCTTCACCGGGAACACCCTGGAGAACAAAGAAAGATGTGTGAGAGTGAAGGCTTCATATCACAGACCCCTGAACAATTCTCCACAGCAGGGCTGAATATCACTCCTCCCATGGGGGATTGTGTCATCTGTGGAGGCTGGGACATGGGTCCAGGACATTCCCAGGCCTCACAGGGCTCCTCATGCCCTCTTGCCCTTGCCTCCTAGGCATCAGAAAAGACCTTCCCATCTAAACAGGTTGCAGGTCCAAAGAGCCCCATACTCACCTGGTCACCTGGTTTTCCACCTTCACCTGGGGGACCAGGAGGGCCAGGAAGTCCCTAGAAGCCGAAGTGACAAGCGTTAGCAAAGGAGTGAGTTTGCTGCCCTGGCCCCCAGGGAGGCACAGTATAGGGCAGACCCAAAGAAAGGAAGCAGCAGCAGTGACAGCCAGGGGTGCAGGGAAGGCTCGATGCCTGGCACCCTGCAAGAGGTGTGGGCCCTCCACCGATAGTGCCTGCTGCTGTCCCAGGGAGCCCTGGGTATGGCAAAGGACTGCACAGAGAGCCTGGTCCAGCCACCTACCTGGAACCCAGATGGCCCAGGAGCACCCTGCTCGCCTCGTTCACCAGCAGGTCCCTGCAGTGGAAAAGAAAAGGTGAGCTGAGCCAGTGTTCCAGAGACCCTGAGAGCCACAGCTAGTAGGGCCCAGGGGAGGTCAGCAGGGTGGGCAGCACAGGCGTCTTCCTGCACCACTCAGACAGTGCATGCATGCCTCCCTGCACTCCCATCAGCCACCCACACTCCTCTCCACCAATGTGGGTCCACACAGCCTCCTGGGACACCCTGCCTCAGCTCAGAGTGAGTCTGGTGTATCAGCTCAGCCCACATTCACATCTGTCAGCTCCATTAATGGATGGGCTCTCCCACCCCCACCCCTCCCAGCCCCTGCCCCCAGGGCCACCTGGGGAGGCTGGGCAGGTACTTACAGCAGGGCCAGGGGGTCCTGCAGCACCTGTCTCACCATCTTTGCCAGGAAGACCCTAGACAGAAGAGAAAAAGAAAAGTCAATGACACGCTTTTCTTCCCACTTGCAGTCCCCCTAGGATTGGGCAAAGGTACTTCTGGCCCAGAGTTTCCAGACCTCCACGGTACCCCAGCTGAGCTCCATTTCCACACCTTCCCCTCCCTTCCTTCCCAGGCCCCGTCTTTTCTTAGCTGTTCTCAGCATGGAAGCCTTCCCCAGCTCCCCGGCCTGCTGACCAATGGCAAACAGAAGTCTCCCTGTGTAGACACCCAAAGGGCCCAGCCAGCATGGGGCTCAGCCACAGAGATCAACACTCAATACTGAGGGGTCCCGGGACCATGCCATGGGGAGGCCGTTCCCCTGTCCTCCCTGCAGATGCCCGGCCAACACCAAGTCATGGGCAGCGGGGAAGGATACTTACCCTCAGACCAGGAGCACCAGGCAGTCCCTTCTCACCAGCTTTGCCAGGCTCACCCTGAAGGAAAGAGAGGGCAGGGCCATGAGGCGGATGGTTTGGGAGGGAGTTGGGGGCAGAGCGGGCTGCAGGGACTGAGGCCTGGGGCCACATCCTGATGGACAGCCAAGATAAAGCAAAGTATCAGCCCTTCTCTTCTGTTCAGGGGCCATAATGGCAACCAGCCTGCTGGGCACTGCCACATGGAACAATTATGGCCGCAATGCCCCGAGGCTCTGTGGGGCCATGGATTTTCCCCAAATCACATACAGACCCCCACTGCCACCCATGGCACAGGAGCCCCACTCATCACTGTCCCTGGTTAAACTCTACTCAGGACCCAGCCCTTTCCCCAAGAGGGCAGGGAGGTAGGTAGCACCACATGGAAGGAAATAGAAGAGCAAATTATTACTTACGTTGGCACCTTTGGGGCCAGGGAAACCCATGACACCAGGCTGCCCACGAGCCCCCTGAGGACCTGGAGGTCCAGGACGACCATCTTCACCAGGGGCTCCCTGAAAGACAGAACACCATTCTCAGAACATAGACACTCTGACCACATCCATCCACCCAACATCCACTAAGGGCCTACATGGCAGGCCCAGGACTAGGCACCAGCCACACATGCTCAGCATCTAGGATTGACCACATCACACCCATGGGCCCATCTACAACAAGACACCGCTGAGCTTAGAAAGCTGCCCCAGAAAGTGCACACACGATGTCATCATTCCCCCAAGGATAAGCCCCGAATGCATACTGGGGTGGCATTTTCAGTGCTCACAGCTACTGCACAGGTTACATCTGGCCCCAGTGCCTACCATCTACCCCCTGTCACAATTCTCAAAATTCACAGTACTTCAGGCCTCCCTAACCCAAACTCCATCTCTCTTTTCCCTTGCTTCCCCAGGGAGATCCCCCCACCCTCCTAGCAGCCCTCAGAGGATAGACTTACAGAAGGGCCAACTTTGCCTTGAGGACCAGCATCACCAGGGCGGCCAGTGAGACCCTTTGTTCAGGAGAGAGAAGAGGGTGGGGTCAGGAGCCGGCCCCAGGACCTCCCAATCCTGGCAGTGCAGGGCTGGAAGGAGCCAGCCAGGAAGGGCCTGAGGGTCTGAAGCCAAGGGCAACAGCAGCTCTGCTACTTACCCGGGCTCCAGGAAGGCCAGGTTCTCCAGGACGGCCAGGGTCACCGTTGGCTCCCTTGGGGCCAGCAAGACCACTGGGCCCTCGCTCTCCAGGGGCTCCCTACAAGGGTACACAGGGAGTCAGTGGGATACCATGTGACCTCAGCGATGCAGGGAGGGACCCCAGCCCCTCTTCTCCCACTCACCTTGGGACCTGCCAGACCATCTTGACCTGGGAAACCGCGGTTGCCGGGAGCACCCTAAGGAGCCACAGGGAGGAGAGGCAGTGAGTGAGAACAGCCCCAACCCAGCCAGGCTCCAGTGGGTCCATCCCACTAACCCACCAACCCCAATTTCTGGGGAGCAGTAGCTGTGGCCTGCAGGATTCTCAGAGGTTAACTTCTGGAGCCTGCCCCGCTTCCTGGGAAGGAGCTCAGACTATTTCATGTCAGTCTGGTGGTTGGCGGCACAAATCAGGATCAGACTCCCTCTCCCCGCGGTGTGGATGGAGAAAGAGGAGGATGACATGCGGAAAAGTCACGAGACTTGACCAGAACACGGACCACAAGGACTCCACTTCCCTCTCGAGGTCACAGGCCCCATGGGATGGAGCCTCCACATTCACTTAACTCTTTCTCCAGGGGGACCGATGGGCCCAACGCCACCAGGCTCTCCACGGGCACCTCTCTTGCCTTCTTCACCAGCGGGTCCAGGGGCTCCCTGGGGGCCAGCAGGGCCCTGAGGACCAGCAAAAAAGAGAAACAGAGTGAGCCTTCACCTGGCCTTGGAGCAAGCCTCGACTCAGAGTATGAAGGAAGTAGCCTTGGCAACTGTTTCAGGGCTGGGGGGGGGCTTGAGGACGAGAGGCCATAAAGGACGAGCCATGGCAGGGCAGAGGGAAGTGAGAGGGGCTAAAGATCCAACTGTTCACACTAGCCAAACCAAGGATGGGAGCTGAAGCTGTATCTGGGCCTTCTCAGCCCTGTTAAGTCTCCTCCAGGCATAATCTGAAAGGACCCAGATTGGGGGATAGAGCCCTGGAGGAGGGAGGTGGTGGGTCAGTGGGGCTGAGGCCTGTGCCTCATAGAACAGCAGCAGAGAAGACAAGGGCTTGGGGGCAGATACTCACAGGTTCTCCCTTGGGGCCTTGTTCACCTTTGAAGCCAGCAATACCAGGTTCACCCTTGAAAAGAGAGGCAGGTCCTCACACCAGATTCTCTCCAGGGAGCCTGCCCCTCCCCAGAACCCCTGTTCAAGATGCCCTCGGATGGAGGCCGCTGTGAGGCCAGGGCAGGAGAGCATGGGAAAGAGGGGTGATGGGGTTTGACTCCAGAGATGTCAGTGGAACTTGGGGGTCACTTTGGGCTCTTACCGTCTGACCTTTCGGGCCCAGAGGACCAGTTGCACCTTGAGGGCCAGGAGGGCCCCGTGGCCCAGGGAAGCCAGGAGCACCAGCAATGCCAGGAGCACCCTGTGGGCATGAGAAGAAGGGAGGGGTGTCAGGAGAGGGGAGAGGCAGGACTGGGCTCTCCTGGGGTAGCAAAGTCCACGGGCAACACTCACAGCAGATCCTTTGGCTCCAGGAATTCCATCTGTTCCAGGGTTACCCTGAAAAGGGAGACATTGTCAAATAAGCAGCAAAGAATGAACCCCAACCACCTCCAGCCCTCCAGGATCCAGATCCAGGGACCTGGCATAGGTGCTGTCCATTTCAGGGACATTCCCACTATGTGTTTCAAGGGGAAGATGGGATAGAAGGGAATACATCTAGAGGTGGGGACAGGCATTGGGCCAGAATGAAGGTTTGGTGGTTGGAGCCCACAACTGTCAGAGCAAAGTACAGAGTCAAGAGTTCCAAAGCCACAGACCCCAGACCCCCCCAGGCCAAAGAGAAGCTGCACTTACGGAGGCACCAGCAGGCCCAGGGGACCCAGGAGTACCAGGTTCACCGCGAGGACCTTGAGCACCTTCAGGACCACGGGCACCAGTGGGGCCGGCTTCACCCTGGGAAGAGACAGGGAGGATGAAATGAAGAAGAAGAGAGGGGACACAGACCTCTAGTGGGTGGGCAATAGCTCAGGGCCAGCTGCAAGCACAGCACTAAATTATGCACATGCACCCAACCCTGCACATGAACATGTGCGTTCACACACAGTTCACGCTGCCGTTTTTCTCCCTGCCTGACCGAGCTGATGACTTGATGACTTCCCACGCCTGCCTCCTCTACTGCTTACCTCATCTCTACACAGTGAGCCTCCACATGCCACGGCACAGCTACATACTACAGCAATGGGCAACCTGCTGTTCCATCGACACCATCAGAAAAGCGTGGGCTGGGGACCCTGCCATCCTGGCACCGTGGGATGATGGACGGACACCGCTCTCTCCCCCACCTCCTGTTTTTCTATTTTATTGAGGAGCTGAGGTCCCTTCTAAGTCTCTGAACATCCCAGCTCAGAGCACCACCTCACTCCCATCTGGCTGACGGGTGAACAGTGACACCCTGGCTCCGGCCCCAGTCTGTTCTCAGTAAGCCAGAAAGCCAAGGCAAAAGCACATGGGGACTCTGCCCCTCCCTGCTCTCAATACAGCCCAATTCCCCTTAGCGGGCGCCTCTGGCAAGCCCCCTCCCCACAAAATGGCTTGTGCTTTTACTTTCATTTTTTCCTGAAAATTACAACCCACTCTAGATGGCAGAGTCCCTGGGGAGGGCTGCTGACCTGGAGAGAGGGCAGAGCCTCCTCAGGTTTCTTCTCAGAACATTCCTGCTTCACTGTGGTAATTATTATTTTCAAAAGGTCAGCCCCCCTCACCTTCCGCTGTCCCTCTTCACAATGGGTCTCCTTCACCCGGCTCCGGGACCTCAGACACTGTCTGGTTGCCATGGAAACCCCCAGGAGGGGAAAAGCAACCTGATGCCAGTGACACATGGAGGCTCCTTATTCATTCCCAGGGACGTTCACACTGGAATCCTTCCTGGGCTGCGAGGCCTGTCCCTGAACTGGCTGGCCTCCCACTGGCCTCTAGTAATCCTCCAGAGAACTCCGTTAACATGGTTTGGAAGAGCCAGGCACCCCAAATAAAGCAGAAACCCAGAGGGGAGCAGGGGCTCCCTGCCTGTGCCCTTTTCCCTGCCCAGTTCCCTCCAGTGCCCGTCAGGGCCCCGAGCTTGCTCAGCTGTTGGGTCTCCCCTAGGTTTGCTTCCCTGTGCTGCCACTCCTGGCCTTCTGCCCCTGCCAGGCCTATGGTGTATCCCCGTCTTCTTCTCTGTCCACCTTTCCCCACTCCAAAGTTGTAACTGGATCTCCCACATTTTATCTTCTGTCTTACTTTCCCTCCAGGTGAGACTGCGAGTGTCTGGCTTTTTGCCCTGCCTGGATGGAGGGGCCAGTGGGTGGGGTGGTGGGGAGCTACTTCTCAGAAGGGAGCAGGTGGTTGTTGAGGGAGCAATGAGCAAGGGTTACGGGGAAAGGACAGCTTCTCGGCACCCAGAAGTTCCTGACTGGACAACAGGGCACGTACCTTGGCTCCAGGAGCACCAGGGAAGCCAGGACCACCAGCAGGACCGACAGGACCCTGGAGAGAGTAGGCGGATGAGAAGAGAGGTGAATGCCAGTTCTGGCCTCCAAAGCGAGCCACCCCGACACCTCACACTCCTTCCCTCCTCTGTACTGATTTCACTCCATATCCATTGTGGCTAAAAGGCCTTGGATGAAAATTGTCCCCATTGCCAGCGTCCCCAGGAAACTTTGCCTGGCTTCAGAAGGCAAAGCAAGTTTCTGACTACATCTGTGGTGAGAAGCAGAAACTCCTTTGACCTCCCTCCTCTAAAAAGACTGCTGAAAGGATGGCTGAGGAAAATGAGCCCATGCTTCAAAGCTTGTTATCGATATGCTCAATTGATATTTACAAACTTCTTCTCTTTCCTCCCCCTTTCCAGTAGACATCAGAGTGCTGCTGTGGTTGCACCCAATACACCCTGCAGACTGCCTTGGGCTGCTTAACGGGACTTAAAGCACAGCAACAATGACCTGCTGAGGATGAAATGAACTTACCGGAGGCCCTGCGGGGCCTGGCTGACCATCGTTGCCTCGGGCACCCTGTGAGCAAGAAGGAAGTGACCATGAGAGGTGCCCACAGGCCCTGTCCGTCCCTGCTCCCAGCCCACCCTTACAGAAAACGAAGGACACACTGTGCCTGGGGTGTCCCAGGGCAGAGCACGAGGATGGCGAGGTGTGGGCTGCAGTTTTGGTGTCTGTGCGAGTGGGTGGCCAGAAGGCAGTAATGGGCTTCTTCTAATCTTTTTTTGTTGTTGTTTTTGAGACGGAGTCTGGCTCTGTCGCCAGGCTGGAGTGCAGTGGTGCGGTCTTGGCTCACTACAACCTCCACCTCTCAAGTTCAAGCAATTCTGCCTCAGCCTCCTGAGTAACTGGGATTACAGGCATGTGTCACCACACCTGGCTATTTTTTTTATTGTTATTTTTAGTAGAGACTGGGTTTTGCTATGTTGGCCAGGCTGGTCTGGAACTCCTGACCTCAGGTGATCCACCCGCCTCAGGCTCCCAAGGTGCTGGGATTACAGGCGTGAGCCACCGCACCTGGCCCCTAATCTTAAACAAAGCTTAAATCATTTTCTCTTTTCTTCAACTTCAGTTCAGACCCCAAATATCCGTAACTTCAAGGCCAAGTGATCATTTAAAGACTGAGAGAATTGAGTGTAAGGAAATGAAACAGCGAGGCAACCATGTGGACTCAGTGCTTCCTGCCTGCTCAGGGGGAAGCGCTTTCAAGGCTTGGTTAACCTCTGTGGTTAAGGCTTGGTTAAGGCCTCCTCTTGGTTGACTCCAGGTTGCCTCTTCCTCTGGCCCATCCCCAGACAGCCTGCTCTTACGGAAAACAAAGATGCCCATAGGATGTCTACCATTGGCTCCCTGATGGGGCAGGGCACCAGCCACAGCTCAAACACTACATCTGAGCTCAAGCCCTAAGAGGCTTTTGCTTACAAAGCAAGGCAAGGTTGCCAGCTCCTTCTCTAGGACTGGACTTGGAGGGGGAGGGTTTTTTCTGCCAAGTTTGTGGTGGCACCCCTCAAATGCTCTCTCAAGGTTCCTTAAGGCCCAGGGAACTCTTTACCGAAACTCTGGGGGCCACAGGCTGGGTGGAGCTGGGCCTAGGGCCTGACTGAGCAGGTCAGGGGGGTACCTTTTCCTGCTGAGTCCTGCCTGTCAGTCTCTGCCTCTCCTTAGAAGCTAAAGAAGGATGCTTTAGGGGGAGCTCGTGTTTTAAATACAACTCAACTCTTCTTCCTGGCTGGGGTCCATTTCTCCTAACGGAGACTCTCCAGATTGGCATTTAAGAGGAAAGCAAGAGAAAACTTAGAAAAAATGTCAGCAGGAACATAAAGCTTCAGGATTGGCCACAGCCCCTCTGGGCTGGCCTGGCTGCTTCGGGAAGCAGTTCCTTGGGGAGCTCTGGAGCACCCTCTCCCCAGGGGTCAGCCAGCAGGAGGGCCCAGCCTGGGCCTGAGTGAAAGGGAGCTGCCATGCTGCTCTGAGAGGCCAGAACTAGGCTGACATCTGCCACCTCTCCCTGCAGCAAGTCTGGAGAGAGGATACAGGCCCAAGGGAGGGCACATGACCACAGCAGGCAGACACCAACCCAGCCCAGTCTCCAGGCCAGCCTTGACACTAGATCAGCACTTGGATCTCCATGAGCCTACCCCGTGTCTGGGGCCTGCACACCCCGGACACTGCACAGCCCCCTTCTGGAAGTCAAGGCTGAGAAGGCTGCTGGGATACCACAGAGCAGAGGCCTCGCAGAGCAGACTCCAGAGAGGAGTCTGATGGGAGGGGAGAGGGAGGAGTAGCAAAGAAGGGCTCAAAGGCAATGTTGTCAATCTTCTAAGCCAAATCCTACACACGCTGCCAGCCTAACTACCGTGCGGACAGGAACCAACAGAGAGAACCAAGAAGCAGGGCGGCTGTGCCCAGGAAGGAGGGAACAAGGACAGGAGATGGAGCTTGTCTTTAGCCCATGCAGACTAGGGCCACCGCAGCTCTGAGCCTCGCTAAAAGGCCACAAGCCAGCATCCTGCTAATCTGTAGAAACGGCAGTGTTTCTTGGCAGCCCCAGTGCTCTCTAATCCCCTCACACAAAGTGACCCTGGGGCAAGGCACTTCAGCAGCTCTGGCTGACAAAGGGGGGTCGAGGCTTCTGCTTATTTCACTGATCTGCCTTTGAGGGAAACTTCTGCCAAACAGACACATTAGCTGGAAAGCAGCACAACGGAGTGAAGCTGCTTTATTTTGGCCAGCCCTGCAAGGACCTGTGAGGAGGGGCCTCAGAGCTTGGGTGTTGGGGGTATGAAATCAGCAGAAAGCATAATCTTTCTTAAACACAGCTTTCATCGCATCACTCGCCTGACCAAGTGCCTACAAGGACTCTCTATTGCTAAGGAATCAGAGCTAAACGCCTCTGTCTGGCACCCTGCACCCTCCATCAGCTGCCAATCCCCTCACCCTTAATTTCCCACATTAACTAGAGGCCACCAGAGTCTAAGGCTGCAAGGCACTATTTATCTTAAGCTATTTCACCTTTCTGTGTCTCGGTTTTTTCATCCGTAAAATGGGGAGAAGAATAGAACCACCTCTCAGGATATGGAGGAAGATGAGATGAAGTAAAGCATATAGGGTATTAAACACAGGAAGTGCCTATGGAATGGTGGCCCCTGGTACTATAGCATAACATCCCTCACAGCAGCAGCCAGCATAGAGCCCTGTGAGTTGATGCTCACCTGTTCCACTTTTCTAGGGCATTTGAGCAACCAGGAAGAACAGAGAGTAGCACGGTGGTGCTATAGCCAGCTAAGTCTGTCTGTAAACTCCAGCTGGATTGCCCAGGGAGTGGGTGGTGGTTGTTGAAGGGATTACCTGATAATCTGGACTGGTTAAGAGAATCATGCTTTCACCCATCGACCCTCCCATTCCTATCCTTCCTCCTTCAACTGTGCAGACTCAGCCTGGGAAGTTTTGATGGGCACACTGGGGGTGAATTCTTAAGGGATAACAATACTCCCTATGCCTCACAGGGTTGTTTCGAGGGTCAAGAGAAACAAACCTGTAAACTCTAAAGTGCTCGGCAAATGGTGGTGTTTGGCTTTGTCAATTACTCACCGCAGCGCCAGCAGGGCCAGTCCGTCCTCTTTCACCAGGCAGGCCACGAGGACCCTGGAACACACACCAGGACAGCCTAAGCATGAGTTGGCTTTACGGTGCTCAGGGTGACCATTTCTACCTGCAGGCCCTTTGCGGATACCAGAGGAGAGGGAGGATGCCCACACCCAGGAAAACAAGGACCTCCTGATGGTGCTGGCTCCTTGACTAGCCAGGATGCCTCAGATCACACCCAACAGTTTTCTCCACAGGCGGAACACACGAATGTTCCTGTTGCTACCTATTGGGAACCTTTGTTACAAGCACACCTTGCTCCTTGCAGTAGATGAGCTTGACAAAATGTTGAGACTCAACAGAATTTTTTTAAATGGGAGCATCTTTAGTGTGATAAAATGGGTATCTTAAGGAAATGTTGGTGAAATCTTGAACAAATCATCTGTCTAATACATTTTGCTTTTTGCTCACAATCAGATGAAATCTACAACACAGAATATGAACTTTGCACAAAGGGAGCTCTTTGCAGCCATCTGATAGTCTGAAGAGTCTTTGATAAACCTTCCTGGAGGGTGTCCATACTTACCATTGGGCCCGGAGATCCGTTCTCACCCGGGGAACCACTCTCACCCTGGAAAAATGATGCACAAGGTCAGTGTCTGGGACCCCATTCTTGGCCGCCAGCAAACTCCTAGGGAAGACGCCAAAAGCCCTGGTCATCTCAGCTCGCACTGACACAAACTTCAGTCCTGTGAGGGACAATGCCCTGAGCTCTCCAGGCCTGCTGTTGGCCCATCAGGATGTAGGGCTGGTGTTCCCAGCCAAGGCTGTTCTGAGGAGCTAGTTCCACTGAGCTCCACAGTGTCTCCCTGGCTAGGAAGAGGGGCTCCTCATTGTCTCCCTCCTCCCCATCCCATTGTACTTTCTGGCCTCTCACCTTCACACCAGGAGCACCCGCCTCTCCCTTAGCACCGTCCAGGCCTGGATAACCCTAGGGAACAAGAGAAAATGTTCAATCAGACTTCTGGGAAACCCAAGTTGGAAGAAATGCACGCACCCCAAAGTGCTTTTCTCTCCCACCAGGCATCTCTTCCTTCCAACCTTCTCACCCGTGATACTTACTCTGTGACCTTTGACACCAGGAAGGCCTGGGGTTCCTGGGAAACCACGAGCACCCTGCAATCCAAAGTGGAGGTGTTCAGAGCACAGAGTAAAATAACAGTGGAAAGCTGCCCTGGGCTGCAGGAGGGCCTCCAGTTCCCTTGGGCCACCAGGGCGTTGTCTCGAATCCCCACACTTGGACAGCTCTTTCTGTAAAACCCAGACCACCCCTCCCCGTACCCCCCATTTTATGCAAAGTGGTATAAATAACAACTGCCCAGCCTCCCTCATGAGAGCCTGAGTGGAAATTACAAACATGGTCGTGATAAATATAGGGGCTACTGGCGTTTCATCTCAGAAGTGACCTCATTGAACTGGATGCACTGTGTTTAAGGCCACAGGGAGGGAGACGCTAGGAAAGATGCCTGAGGCTGGGAACGGTGGCGTTTACCTGAGGACCAGGCGGACCCCTTTCACCAGCTTTTCCAGGTTTTCCAGCTTCACCCTGAAGGGAGAGAGAGAGATATCCCAGCTTCCTCAGAGACGCAGTAGCATAGTGGGGGCACCCCAGAGGGCTTCCCTCCTTCCAGCCCTCCATGCCTTTGCCTACCGGCTCACTCATCTCCCTCACCTCCTTCAGACTCCACGTGCCTGGATGCCTTTCATGGGTCACCATTTATTCTTTTGGACACATGCATAGCCCATGGGCAAGCTCCTCTGTCCTCACCAGCCTCCAACTTCCCCTGAGAGGCTTTTTCTCTCCTCTCCTAGGTTCTGCTGACTGTATGTGCTCTCTCTAACCTCAAGAGACTTTTACTGTCTAATGCAATTCATAAAAATAGCACAAGAGTGCCAATTCTTGTCTCTTCATTTCGTTTGCATCCTTTGTAGACATCCTGACTCAGGCTGTGCTTTTTCTAACTCATTTACAATTAAGATAATGCTGGGTTGTTGAACGCTTCTTTCTTTGTTTTTCCTTCTCTACATCTTTCTGCCTTGTATTTTTTCTCTCCCTTCTCTCATTTCTCAATTTCCCTTCCTGGGGCTAATGATGTTTTAATTATTTGTCTTCCCCTTGGATCCAAAGCGGTCCCCAGGGAACTTGCCAGCACAGTCACAGTGGCCATATAGATAGGAGATGGCGTCAGGGTTTGGGACTGCCCAGTCTTGCTCCTCAAGATACCTCCACCCTGGGTGCCTCCCTGTCACTCCCCAAGCACACACCCTCTCCAGGCCCTTTCAAAGGAGGCAGCTCCTCATTTGTCTACTCGTGTATACTCACATCATCACCAGGCTTTCCAGGGGGACCAGGAGGACCACGGGGACCCATGGGACCCTACAAACAAAGGAAGATAGTTTAAGAGATGGTTATAGTGGGAAGACACCTAAGCAATGGACAAAACTTTGACATTGTAGTTTTGGAAGCCAGTTCTTCTATGAAGAAGAAAGATGGGAAGGTCAGAGCAAAGGTGCAGAGATCATAGTGGGACGCAGCAGATAGCACAGGCTGGGGTGACCCGGAAAGGGGGCTGTTAGGACAGAGTCCCTGGTGGTCCTTGCCACATTGGGCTGTCTGTCAGAGTTCCTCCACAGCTAGGAAGTGACATCCGAATTTCCTTGGGGCCACCGACTGTGGGAAAGAGCTGGGCAGAGCCTGGGAGGGACAGCAGCTGCGGTCCTAGTGGTCTATCATTAGAGGCTCCCCCAGAGAAGGGACAGGGCCGTGCTGGTACTCACAGAGACACCAGGTTCACCAGGTTCACCAGGATTGCCTTGAAATCCTTGAGGCCCCTAAAAAGTAAAATGAGGATACCAGGTCAATCCCTATAAACTGCTAAAACATCATAGTGCTTGGGAATCATCTGCGACACGATGGAGGCAAAAAGAATTGCAGATACTTACAGGAGCACCTGCAGGGCCTGGAGGTCCTCGAGGTCCCATGGGGCCCTGCATCGGAACAGAAAATGAGGGGTTTACTACACATGCTTCCTCAGTGGCCTCCAGTGTGCCATCTTCTCCCAGCCAACAGCCCGGGCAAAGGACAAGAAGTTACTCTGTGGGCAAGGGGCCTAGAGTGGCTGCTCCCTCTCATTTCCCACTCCCCACGCAACACTCTATTTTTATTTATAGGCACCATTTGGACAGAAAAGCTGGCCTTGCTTTCTCCTGGACAGCAGCCATGTTTACTAAAGGCTGAGTTTCATTTAGCATGTGCCAAGTCAGAGCTGCGGGCTGAGATTTCCTGCTGGAAGTCTGTGGATGCTGGAGAACAGTAGCTGCTGTCTGCATTCTTCAGTTCTCATTCCAAGAGCAATAGCAACTGGTCTTCTAACAGATCAGCCTATATGCATCTCCCCATCTTCATTCTTCTTAGTCACTCCAGCGCATCATTAAAAGTGGCATCCATTGCCATTAAAAACCAAATGCTTTGGGCTAGCTGAATGGGAGGTTACATAACTACGGAGGAGAGCCACTCTAAGCAATTATCTGTAAAGCAGAGGTTGTCAGACTCTCTGGCTCTGCTAAGGGCCACCTCCTGCCATTTTGGCTGCAAAGAACTAGTGTCTTTTCTTACCATTGGTCCTTGCATTACTCCCAACTGGGCGCCACCAGCCTTTTCATCAAATCCTCCAGCCATCTGGGCAGCAAAGTTCTGCAAAGAAACCCAACAACGTTAGGAGGTTGAAAGGCACTAGGTCTTCCCTACTTGGCTAGGTAAGCTCTATATGGATACAAAGAACTCTACTGAGATAAACTCTGATTGTTGGAGACTAACCTATCATTGATCAGAATTACCACTGATGCCTGGAAAGTAATTTTGGGAATGGATTATTAGATGACAGTGGCAAAATCATTTCACTGGAAGGGAAAGTGTTATTTGAGGAAGTATCAGTTCCTTGCATTTCATTTTATAAAATTATTTTTATGCTCTAAAATATGACAGATGTTATTTAACGTATATGGAGAAACATAACCAAACCTTCTAAGGGTGTTCTTTATTCTTTAAGACTTTAGTGCCCAGCAAAAGACTAAAATCAACAGTCTTGGAATATTTCAGCAAGAGATGTAGTAGGCATCTGTGATCCCATTTGAGTTTAAGAATTTAAAATACAGCAAACATCAAAATAGCAAACCTGCAAAAACTAGGCAATCATATAATTTGTTGATTGGTTTGATTCCAGAATTGACTTTAGCCACACACCTTCACTCAGTGGAGCTCTTTCATGAGAGTGAATAGTTGCTTGGAATGTACTTGGCAAGAACCAAGGATAAATGTCTTCCAAGGACAGTGGTCACTCGTCTTCCAGGGAAATACAAGTGCCCAGTCATCCTTCCTCCTATCCCTTACACCCACCCCCCAGCATCAACTACGTGGTACAGATGCCAGGAAGCCAGGTAACTGAGGACTTTCTTTATAGAATCCCAGTTAGTGAAAAAAGCCAGCCCTTAGCACCACAGTCTCATGCCTAATATGTGACTCTTCTAAATTACAGGCCTGAGGGCAAAGCCCATGGACAGGCTATGTACACACTGCTGGCAGCCCTGGGAGCCAGCCAGGTAAGTGCAAGCAGCAATTTAAAAGCCACATTTCTGGAGGGACAGCCTGAAGGAATGGGAAGTAAGGATACTTACTCCACCAAGACCAGGGGGACCAGGGGGGCCGGGAGGACCAGGGGGGCCAGGATTTCCAGGGGTCCCAGGTTCTCCATCTCTGCCACGAGGTCCAGGGGCACCCTTGGCATAAAGAGAAAAAGGCATCAATGGGAAGCAGTGTTTCTCCAAGAGCCATCTGTCCCTTGGCTGCTCTTTAAGAGGTGACCAGGCCCTTAAACACATGGTGGGGCCTTGGGGGACCTGGGAAGTCCACCAGGGTCAAGCAGCATTGCTTTTTACTCACTTTTTCACCTTTGTCACCACGATCCCCTCTGGGTCCTTGTTCCCCTGCAGGTCCCTGAAGGTGAAGAACATGGTAAGATGACAGCAAGGCCAGGAGCCTGCAGATCAGTAACTTGCGCGCAGCGAGGAAGGGACGGAGAAAGAGATTTCTCCCTCTCTTACCTGAGGCCCAGGAGGTCCTTTGGGTCCTACAATCTGTGAGAGAGAGCCCCACAGGATGGTAAGTTAGAGGAGAGCACAAGGAAATGACCCATTTAGAGCAGCAGCTGCAATACCGGGTGAGAATAATTTGCACTTACATCCTTGATGTCTCCAGGTTCTCCTTTCTGTCCCTGAAACATGAAACATTCACAGGATTAAGCCGAGTAAGCCCACTAAGCCCCTAGTCTAAAACCCTGCCAGCAGCCCCTGTGTTGAGGTACCCTCTGAAACAGATATCTTCTGATGTCTAAAAAATCACAGACTGGATTAACATAGCATTGCTTTTGAAGCAGAAAATATAAAGCCAAAAAAATATGAAAAAAGAAAAAGAAGAAAGCCCTTACCTTTGGTCCTGGTTGCCCTGCAAGGGAAAAAATATAGAGAAGAAGAAGGTAAGAATCTTGAGATGGAAAAATACCTATTCTTGTCAC
The DNA here is from genome assembly GCF_000001405.40 of Homo sapiens. NCBI lineage: Eukaryota > Metazoa > Chordata > Mammalia > Primates > Hominidae > Homo > Homo sapiens. The sequence goes on from NC_000012.12 coordinate 47,998,502, forward strand.
TCAAACACTCATTAGATCAAACAAGTAAAAGGACACAATCAAGGAAGGCGGCAGCTTCCTGTGACTCCACTGAACCCCTCTGTTGGGGTGTTAGGGCCACTGTGGCCCTGGGGTTGCTGAGGTCCCATGAGGAATGGAGGTGACCCAGACTTTGTTATTCAAAAAGCAGGCAGCATGCAAAAGAAAGGAGCAAGGGCAGCACAAAAAGGCAATGAAGAGCTCAAGATCTAATCAGCCACAAGAAGGAAAGCACAGATTCAGTCTCTCTTCCCCCCACAGGGTAGGGAGCCGTTCCCGAACCCCAAGCCCTCCCAGAGGAAGAGTTAGGTACTTAGAAAGGTCTTACATTAGAGCTGGGTCTCCTTGAAGCAAGCACAAATAAAAACACAAAAACAGCAAGGCATATGAGTTATGAAGAGCATCGGAGCATCATAGCCTGTGCCATCCCCAGTCAATAACCTCTCCTTCACAGTAGCAGCAAAATAGTAAAGGCAATCAACACTTCACTCACACGGGCCCCTCAGAAAGGATCTGGGAATCTGCACATTAGGGAGCCAGTGTTGGTGAAGTGTTAAGGAAAGGCAGCTTCTCACTTCCCTTGCCACGGCCTTCTCTACTTCAGCAGGAAGCGGACAGCAAGAGCTACCCAAAAAACCTACACAAGCGTCCCCACTCACTCTGCAGGGAGATAGGACATCTGTATGAATGCTGGGAAGGGGTCACCTGCACATATATCATCCACCAGCACTGGATCTAACTGGGAGTTTATAACCACCCACTACAGTGCAGATACATGGGGCTCTGTCTCCACCCGTCCCCACGAGAACTCCCAAAGCCTAGCCCTTCCCTCTCCTATTATTTTGCTTCTGAATTAATGGTCAACTCCAAGAGAGGTAATAGCAGAGAGGAAACTACCACCAATGTTCCATAACTCAAAGAGGGAGCCTCTGCCCCTGCAGTCTCCCCACTAGCTGGCAGAGCTTTCTCCACACTGAAGACCACATACATAGAAGTCTTCTAAGGAGAAGACAAGGTGTCGGTGGCAGAGGAGGAATTAATTCGTGGATTGGCCAGACAGAGCATTTGATCTCCATAGTGGCTCTAGTAATTTGCAGAGATGATTTCAGAGAGGATTTTTTTTTTTTTTTTTTTGTAGAATCACATCTGTCCTTCATGTGTCTTGGAAGCAAATGTTTTTGGAGATGTTGGGCAAAGAAGGACCCCTCTAGTGTCTCAGGCTCGTTCACTCAGTTTCAACCTGCAAGTGAGAAGTGGCCTTTCCTTTCTACCCCAGCTACCAGGTCCCATGGATAACTAGCCCCTCTGCTTTGCAGAGACGACCAGCATCTATGGGAGCGTGTTTGCAGTGCTTGCAAGTAATTTATTTATGTTGAACAGGAAATAAATAAATTACAACCACTGGCAGTGGCGAGGTCAGTTGGGCAGATGGGGCAGCACTCTCCGAAGGGGATCTCAGGGCTGAGGCAGTCTTTCACGTCTTCACAGATTATGTCGTCGCAGAGGACAGTCCCAGTGTCACAGACACAGATCCGGCAGGGCTCCGGCTTCCACACATCCTTATCATTATACCTCTGCCCATCCTGCACACAGCTGCCAGCCTCCTCTGCACCAAGGGTGGGGAGGGAGAAGCAGAGAGCCAAGGGAAGGAGGGGGTGGGGAGCCAGAGAGAAAAAGAGAGAGGTTGCAGTCAACTTGACAGAATTCAAATGCTGAAGAATGTAGGCTGGGGCCACCTGGACATATAGAACTTAAAAATTATTTTCCTAAAACATCATTGATTTTTCCATGTATTCAACAAATATTTATTATGCACCTTGCACCATGTTGTCTATTCACCAGTGAAAATCTTGACCCAGCAATGAAGGTGGGGGGTTACTATACTATATTCTCTTTACCCACCTAATACGGGGGAGACCAGGTGATGGAGTGGGTGGAGGGAGTTGGAGGGTGAGCGGAAGGGAGGAGACAAGATATTCTGAATAGGAATTCTGGGACTATAAAAAGAAAGGAGACAGAAAAATGGCGAGACCTCCCTTCCACCAGCCCAGGAGCAGAGAAGTCTTCTTTCTTCTGCCTTCCTCTGGGAATTATGGGATTAGCTAAATACAACTGACAACTAACATTCAGAGGGAATGTAGAAAATTCTACCTACAAAAATTGGAATCTATAAGCAGTGAGGCTCCAAAAATAGGTATATAAGAAAGGGGGGTGAAAAGACGAGCTATTAGAATTAGGATCTTGTCTCATTCTTTGAACCATATTAGAATTAGGACCAATTTGGGGAGGGGGATAGACCCATTCAAACAATACACTTGGGGCTTGGGCAGGCTAATAAACTGCTTAGGAGGCCAGTGGAGCCAAAGCGCCCCCAGTGCTGACCTCCACCTGTAGCCCTGCCTGGAGAGGCCCTGCCTCCATCTGAAAACAGCACCCCAGTTTGGGGAGCAGGGGTCGTTGAATACCTGGCTAGGGCTAAGATTGGCCAGTCCAGGCCTGGCCTCCTCCAAGACTGCAGAGGAAGAATAGCAGGGACTAGTCTCCTCCACCAGCGCCCTGCCGTCTGGAATTCATGCTGCAAATGAAACCTGTGCTGACAAGAGCGCTCCTTAGCAGCCAAGGGCTGTAGAGCCCGCACCACGTGCTAGGGAGCGCCCAGCGCTGTTTTTCTCATCAAAATCCCCAAGGCAATAGCAGCAGCAGGGGATGAATAATAGGAAAGAGCCACAAACCCAGAGGGCGAGAAAGAAACGAGCCTGCCCACTGCTCTTTAAAGAGAGTGAAAATCCAAAGATAAACTTTCCTTTTTACTTTCCCACTAGAAGAAATCCGCCTAGCCTTTGGGCAAGATAATCACAGGAGGGTGAGGGATTCCAGGGAAAATACAGAAGTTGCGGGGACACACCCGCCGTTAAAATAGCTGGAGCAGTGGAATGCAGGCGGTGAGGAAGGTGTGGGAGAGGGGGCATCGGTTAATGCGCTCCAGCCCAGACTACAGGAGAGCCCACCCTCGCCCATGAGGACCCAGGGAGGAGAGGGGGAAATGCTAGGAGAGGGGCCACTCCCCGTGCGGATCAGATTTCCCGGGGAAGGGCGGCCCGGGAAGCGCCGGCGCAGGGGCGGGGCCAGGCTGCGCTGGGTGTAAGAGCCGCTGAGTGACTCTGTGGCTGCGGCTCTGGACACGGCTCGCTCACAGACACCGGGAGAGTGAAAAGTGGGATTAAATGACTGCCCCAGAAAGGAGCCAGCGCCGTAACCGGATCCCCTAGGTGTGGACGGAGGAGCCCAGCACCACCATAATTGCTGCTCCAAAACGGCTGCCGATAGCATCCCGGCGCGCCTGATCCGGTTCCCCTCATTACCGCAGGGCCGTATAAGTGATTCTTTGTGGCAAGCCAATTAAAAAGCTACCTCTTTCGGGGAACTGTTTTGCTTCACCGCCGCTCTGCGCAGGGCTGGAGCCGAGAGGTGGCGGCGGGCGGGCACAGGGGGGCATTGTGGGAGAGGGGGTCTGGGAGTACGAGAGAACCCACTGGACCTCGTCTCTCATGAATGGGGCTTTTCTCGAGCGCACACAGAGCCCGATTCACAGGTCTCCGCGAGGAACCAGTTTAAATAAATACGGGCAGCGTTTCAGCCCCATCTGGAAGCCATCGCTGCCAATCTCCCAATGCAAACAAGCCTCACAAAGGAGGATTGAGATCTCTCCCCTGAGCCAGGGGCACTTTCGGAGGCGAGGGCTCTGAAATGCAGATGAGGGTCAAAGACGCCGCCGCCAGTAAGTTTCTCAAACTCGTGGAAAGATGGAGAGGAGGGGTGTGGCCGAGCTCTAGGTGTCTGACATTCCTGACGTCCACGCAGACTGCGCATTTCCCCACGTCACACCTTTGGGTCCGCTGACCCCAGGCGGGGGAAGTTATAAAAGGTGGGATGCTCCAGGGCGCAAAATCAGCCTCTCGGATGCAGAATCACACTCCCTCTGGGAGGAGGAGCGACTGGAAGGTTTGGGCCGGAGAAGCTGTGGAATCACTCCCTCCCAGGAAAGATGCGGCGATGAGAGAGCTCTACCGCCTAATTAAGCAAGCGACCCTAATACCGGATGGAGAATTTGAGAATTATTTTAAAGCCACCCAGCTAATTCCATTGCGCACTAAGGCAGGGGTCAGTCAAGAAGACAGCTTTGTGGGCGTGTGCTTGTAAATGTAGTACAAAAATATAGTCAGTCTGAGTCCAGGCCACGTATAGTCACGCTGTATTCCTCAAATGCCCAGGAGCGCGCCTCCAGCTTAGCGCACTACCGGGTGACCCGGCCAGAGTCTCCTGCTCCCGGCTCCTCGCAGCTGCGCCGCAGGCTCCAGCCCTGCCCCCGCTGCGCTAATGACCGGAAAGCCCGCCTGAGCCCGCCGCCTTCCACGCTATCCCTGGAAACAGCCTGGTGGCAGGAGAGGGCCCACAGAGCCTCGAAGGCAGAGAACTTTTATTCCCCCCGCCGAAGAGTTTCCCTCTGCGATTGATTTACAATCTGTAACATACAAAGACAGGGCTGGAATCCCAGCCGTCGGAAACGTGCCCAAACACGTGGAAAAAAAAATCCTCTCTACCTAATACACTTTCCAGGCTTCGTTTGTCCTGAATATAATCCCAGACAGTGGACCTTACCAAAGGAGGGGTAGAAAGGTGCAGTCCGAACAGCATTTGGACCCGACTACAAGAGCCATCTCTAACTATACCGGTTGAAATAGTTGTAGCAACCGTAGCAATCGACCAGCCTGCTCCCCTTCCCTGACACACACATACACACACACACACGCACACACACACACACCACGCAGCCTGGCTCGGTGAGTTCCAGAATTTAGAAAAGTAACTCATTGTAGTACCTCGGGGCGGCGGGGAATGGGGTAAGACCGCGGGGAAGGGGGCGCTATTTTCGGGGGCATTTGAAAAGCACGGTCTGGTTGGAATGTTATCGTCTTTCAGATGGCCTCTCCTACTGGAAGTTTCTGTACCCTTTATCAGAAGAGAGGCGCAGGCGGACGGAGGGAAGTCGAGATGAGCGCTAGGGCTGCACCTTGCTCCAGGGCCAGCTGGGAGGGGGAGGGTACCCTAAAGAGGCGCTGAGGTCTCAGAGGGCCTATCGGAAGCCGTTCTTTGTGGCCTGGGATTTCAGCCCACCAGTGTCAGAGTGTTAGTCCCCTTTGTCTAACTCTGCTTTGAGCCCACCAGCCACCAAGCCTTGGACAGGCTGTGAAGTCAACCCTTTGGCGTTTGCTTGCTCCCTCGCTCGCGCTCTCTCTTTCCTACTTCACCTAAGTTCGATGAGTTGAGATCTGTTTTTGCTGAACTCGAAGTGCTTCGAAGAGGCGAGCTGTGTGCATGTGCGCCTAATTATCAAAGCTGGTGGAAAAGAGCCCATTTATATCTGTGCGCAAACTTCTCCGAGCCAACACTTTGCAAGTTCAGTATTCTAGCGCAACGTAGGGACCTGCAAATACTTGCAACTGCGATGGGCACCGAGGACCCTGGGACAGAGTCCTTGATTGGCAGAACTCTTCTTGGTGAACTTCTGCGTGTCCTGTGCCTAAGTCGGCGCGCTACGACCCCGGGAGCCGTTTTAGCCCGGAGCCGCGGGCTCCAGAGCTGGAGCGGGCCGGGGAGAAGGATGCTGAGGGACGCATGGAAAGCAGGCAGGCAGGCAGGGGCGGGGGAAGACTTACGGACATCCTGGCCCTGACACCGAAGGACAGCGGCGACGAGCAGCGTCAGCAGCACCAGCGTCTGGGGAGCCCCGAGGCGAATCATGGCTCACCGCGGGGCCTGGCTGAGCCGGGCCCGGGCGGAGCGCAGCGAAACGGCAGGAGCACGGCGCGGGTCCGGGTCTCTACCGCGCCCTCATGCAGGAGGCCCTTGGAGCAGGAGGGGGAAGCGGGAGACCCGGCAGCCCAGCAGCGCTCTGCGTCTTCTCCCCGCCGCGGCGCCCGTTATATGCGCCCGGCCCCTTTCGAGGCTGGCGAACTCGCCCAAACCGCGGGCCGCCCCCTGCCCCCCGCTGGGCTGTAACCTGAACCGCCCGCCCCCGGAGCCCGCCTGGGCCCTGCCAGTGCCCGCACCTGCCCAAGCCGGACCCCCCTCTCTGGGAGTCACGCTTCCCGCCCTCCACCCCTAGTGCGCCGAGTGGCCTGATCGGGCGGGGCGCAGAGATGGCCCCTGCCCCCCAAACCCGGGGCTGCGGCGCTGCCCCCCTCTGACCACAGGCGGGAAGGGTGGCCTCCGGCCCCTCCCCTCGGAGTTCTGCCGGAGTTGGAGGGGAGGGGGTGTTTGCAGAGGCGCAGGCCGAGAGCCCTAGACCAAGGACGGAAAAGACATGGGAGGGAGGAGGGAAAGCGGTAGAAAGGAGCAGCGGAGGGCGAGGGGGCACCGCGTCAGGCGTTTGGGAGTGGGGACAGGGAGGAGCCCACAGAGATTCAGAGTCCTAAATCTTGGAGACAGGCTAGCTGAGCCAGATCTGAAGGGTTACCCCGACCTATCTTTTAGCCCTTCCCTGCAGTACCTGGTCCCCAGACTCCCACCTGGACGTTCACAGCGACTGCCCTCCACCCCTCCCCCATCCAGCTCTGCGTTGAAGGCTTCCTCTGGAGCACAGGCCGAAGTTGGCCTGAGCCGACAGCCAGGAAAAGAGCTGGTGTGTTACTGCACAGAAGGAGACCTGTGTGAAGGTGTGGGGGGCAGGGGCAGGCCCTGGGAAGGGGACTGAAAGAGCCACAGAGGACGGAGGGAGCCGAGACTAAACGGTGCAAGCTGCCTGCTGTGGGGGGACTGTCTAGCTCCAGGCTCAGACGTGGTGTCTGCTCTTCCTGGCTGGGGTCCGGGAGTCCCCCGGGGAGTGGGCACTGCCGGCCGTCGTAGAGCAGCTTTGGCCAGGGACGGTTGGTCACTGCTGCGGCCCTGGCCAGGGATCGGGGAGGCCGATCCAGCTGGCGAGTTCTGTGAGCCGGGGAGAAGCGCCAGAATTTCCCAGTCGGCCCCCTAGCCCTCCGCTTGCCGCCTCACCTCACCTTCCCCGGTGAGCGCCCTCTCTCACCTTAGCCAAACTGCCTTCTTCCCAGGGCTTAGCTGGTCTCTTCTCTTGGTCTCCGGTGCCTCCTTTCATACCAGGGAGGAAACGTCCCCAAACAGACCTTCCTTTTGAGCGATATGGTCCCCCAAAGAACTATAGGCAAAATGAAACTCAGAATTTGGGGTCTGACTTAACCAGAACTTCTGCCCTCCTGGGCAGTTTTGTTTCTCTGGAGCTTTCCCCCTAGAAGCTGAGAGCACTTGAAAGAAGCTACTTCTGGGCCTTAGGCTTCCACCAGGGGTCCTGGGACCCCATCCCTAGCCTATCATGCTTTGACACTTGTCCTGGTAGAGGCTGGAGTTCCAAGTGCTCTGGTTGGAAAGGGAAAGAACTCATTGTTGAAGGAAATGCTTCTAGGCTTTGTCCAGTCTGGATGGAGATGGGGAAGAATTCAACCAGTTTCCAGCATCTCCCCTACCTTCCACGGGCCTTGTCTGAGTCTCCATGCTCCCATTCAGGGGCTTGCATTAAGCTCTGGGCTCTTCCTCAGGCCCAATCTCTGCTAGAAGAAAGCTGGTCTCTTGCCATCAGTGCCCCATGTCCTCTTTGGGGCTCAGAAGGTCCTATATTCTCTACCTGGAAGATAGAATGACCAAATTCCACACATTTATCAAGACCTCCTAGGTTAAAGCCCCTCTGAGAAGCCTTCTCTGATATCTCTAGAACACAACGTCTCCCTGGCTTTCTGAATCCCCCTGGCATTTATAGCCTAAGCTACATATGTTTTTGTGTAGTTTTAATTTTTTCCCCTTATATCCATTGGTCTTTATCTCATCAATGAGCTTGGAAGATGCTTGGGGACAAGAACTGTGCCTAGCACAATTCTAACACATAGGAGTTAGGAAAGCCCCTGTGGACTAATAATTTAGATACAACTATAAAGGCATTTATACAACTGACTTCAAATACAAGTTGTCATAAAAATTCAACAGAAAAAAAAAGAATTTGGGAGAACACACTAAAGTATGTGGAAAAAATCGAAGCCTAGTTCAAAATGATCCAGTTTAGTGAGTAGCAAAGTGGTACAGACTCGTTGCAAATTTGTTCTTAATTTCATCCTCTAGCTCTGTGATTCATCTTTGCCAATAGACTGTGTCTACATATAAGAGCTTTGGATTCCTTCCAGCAATCATGGTCCATCTATGAGTACAAGTTAAGCTCTCCACCCACTGTGGGAAAATTTCTTTTCACCAGCAACGGGAATTGACATAAGAAAAATAAAATTTAAAATTTAAATTGACAAAGCCAAAATAAACTATGGAAATTATTAAAATTCTAAAGCCAATTGAACACCAACATTAATATTTTACCCATCTGTGACTCCAAACAACTAATTAAAAACCTCTAATTTGTGACTCAAACTGGAATTAGACCTATATGTGGCACACATATGCAAATCACTGATTTGGAAATTGATCGTCCAACAATCTCACTATCCATACCATACCCAAGAAACTGAAAAGAAGGGGAACTAAACCACTAAATAGCCAGAATTGATGTTATATAAAGCTATGCATTTTGTGCACTGTAGAGTCCTTCTTACTCCATGTCTGCTAATTCATAGTTTAGATATTGTATTAACACGTAATGGCATCTGACCTCACCAATTAGATGCAGAAAACTAGAGGTGAGATAGGAAAGCAGCAGTTGTTGATGAAGCACAATGAGAACAGGAAAAAGGGAGAGTAAGAGAGGACACAGAAAAGCAATGTGAAGTTGACACAACAAATACAAAACATGGTAGCCGAAGGTCAGTGGGGTAGGGTCAATGCCCTTACAGTCATCAATGCTTCCAGGGAATATCCCGATCTACAGCATCTGCTGTAGTCCCTGCGATTCATAATGATAAACTGAAATGTCCAATAAAATGCTAATTTAAGTTTAATGTGGTCTCTTTGAGGAGACAGGAAATATGTATTCCATATTTGAGAAAGGTTGTAAATAAATGTTCATTCACTTAATGTGAAAAATATTCTATCATAGCAGTGTCAGACTAATAAGGAAATGCTGCAATTTCTGGAGCCACTGAACTGAAAACAAAGAGCTTCTGTTTTCCCCAGTTGGTAGAAGAAGAGCATCGATGGCCGAGATGAGTGTCCCACATGGCCAGCCTCACTTACACCTTTAAGTACAGCATGGGTAACTGTAGGTAGAACAGTTAGAAATTAAACAGGTACAATAGGGTGCTGTGCCTCACACCTATAATCCCAGCACTTTGGGAGGCCAAGGCCAGAGGATCACTTGAGGTCAGGAGTTTGAGACCAGCATGGCCAATATGGTGAAACCCCATCTCTACAAAAATATGAAAATTAGCTGGGTGTGGCGGTGTGCACCTGTAGTCCCTTAGGAGGCTGAGGCAGGAGAATCTCTTGGACCCGGGAGGCAGAGGTTGCAGTGAGTTGAGATTGCGCCATTGCACTCCAGCCTGGGCAACAGAGCGAGACTTCATCTCAAACAAAAGAAAGAAAGAGAGAGAGAGAGAGAGAGAAAGAAAGAAAGGAAGAAAGAAAGAAAGAAAGAAAGAAAGAAAGAAAGAAAGAAAGAAAGAAAGAAATTAAACAGTCACAATCAGTGTATCTACCCCAAGTCAGCCCAATTCAGAGAAACAGATGGATTAAATCAGCAATATTGTGTCGTGTAGACAAAATAACCATTTCACTATTTTTCTCTCTTTTATGGAGGCATTAAATTTAGACTCAGGTTGACACAGCCTTATTGGGAAAGATATTTGTAGACAGGCTGTAAAGAAAAGATATCTTTCTCTTCCTCTACACAAATCCCATTTAAAAATAGTGATAAAGTGAAGAAGGATTCACATTCCAAAGAGGTAAGCCCACCCCAAATATGGCAGGTGGTGAATGCACAGACTTCACACAGCAGCCGTGCCTGGGGGTGGTGAGCCCAGCTTACTCAGTGACACTCAGCTTCTGTTGGTTGGGCTCCGTTCAGACAGTCTTTCAAGATGTGTTTATGTTTTCCTTTGGCATTTTGGGGGCAGAGTAACAGAATCAAGACTGTCCAGGATAGGGTTTTCCAGATTTATGGTGTACATTCCATTCCATAGGAGCATAAATGTGTTACTATGTATTCTCAAATGCAAATAGCACCAAGAATCCCACCCAGTCTCCTCCATCCTGTCCTAGTGCCATACAAATTCAGCTTAGGACTCGTACTGAGCACCTACTTCTGTATGAGATGGGGATACAGAGAGGATTTAGATACCACCTCTGCATCTGTAGGGGAAATAGGAAAAAAATGATTGTACAAAATGCTGCAAAAAAGGTATCCCACTCTCCCCAACCCCCTAAAAAAAAAGAAGAAGAAAGAAACAGAAAGAAAGGAAAGAAAGAATGGCATTCTGGAAGCCATGGAGTAAGCTGGGGGGAGGTTTCCTAAGAGAAGCATGTCTCCAAGCATGGGTGGGGGTTTGAAATGCAGAGGTACAGTGAGAGGGCAGGATGGCTCCCAAATGGAAGCAACGAAGGGCAGATGCACCAGAAGACATGGCAGTGGCCCCAGGACAATGTGGAGCCATCTGCAGGGCCCTGGGAATAAGACATGGCAGTAAGGGGTGAAGGCAAGGCCAGACATGGAGGACTCCTTGAATGCCACCGAGTCAGGCTCAGATCTACGTTTCTTCTCACTTTCCCCTCTTCTTCTTACCTCCTACTAGCTAGACCTTTGCGGGAAAAGATAAAGGTGTCTGGGCTTTTTAAAGGCTTACATTTTGAAGAAATGTCTGTATTTTTATACAGAAATGATCTTCCCATTTCACTTTAAAAACAAAGACAACAAAAGTCGTGCGAAATATTGCATTTTCTTAAGGTGGGTAGCTTTCTGCCTTTAAGGAGCATTTGTCTCTCTCATCAGCTCTTGATGGTTCTGAGCTCTAGGAAGAACACAAATGCTTAAATGCAGAGATGTTTGAGCACTCCCAGCAGAAGTTCCATGTGAAGCAAATGGTTCTACAGTAAACCACAACCATTCCCAACAGCCACAGAGCATCTGTTCCAGGCACTTCTCAAGCAATAACACAACATGGGGGTTCCAAGGGATACCCTTTGAGAGGTCAACAACCCACGAGACAGGTGGAACTCTCTCTCCCCATCTCTCTCCCTTCCTTGAACTCCTATTGCATTTGGGTATGGCCAGTTCTATGGAGTTATGCCTTTAGATCATCATCCATCCATCTGTCCATCCATCCATCCCTTCCTCCCTCAAACATGTGAAGAAATCCCATGTGAGTCTATTCACATGCCTCCTTGAGAGCAGGGGCCATAACTTAATACACTTAACTTTTCCCCTGCAAAGCCTGCTTGGCACAGTGCGGTCACATAGTAAATGTGGTCCATGGACCAGCGGCATCAACCTACCCTGGGATCTTGTTGGAAAAGCCGAACCTACCAAATCAGAGTTGGCTTTTACTAAACTCTCCAGATAACTCATATGCCCATGAAGGCTGGAGATGTGCTGGTCTAAATCTTGGTCCACGGAAAGTTCCATACGACCCTGGCTAACAGAGGGGTGTGGTCTGCATGGTCTGCAGTCACACATGACTGGGCTCAGGCCTGCACTGGAGGCAGACAAGGCAAGGAGGAGCCTGAGTTAAAGGTGGCAGAAAGGAGAAGTGAGTTTTAAGGAGAGGAATGGATGGAGGACCCTAAAGGAGATGATGGATGCATGACTTTGTAAAGCCTCCTGCGGTCTTTTTTTAAAGCAGGTGGTGGGTCACTTTTCCTATGTCCCTTTTTTCCAGTAGGAATTGGGCTCAGTGCAAGGAAGAGACTGACCCATGATTAGAACTGGAGCCCTGGATTCCATGGAGACAGTGTCAGGGCAGAGCCAGCAGGGGAGCGGAGTCAGCCACCTGAGCCTCCTTCCCGTGGTGGCCCCTTAGCCCTGCCCCCCAGGGACTCCTGACTGATGAACTCCTCCTAGGTGGGACATACCAAGGAAAGCAAGGAGCTAACTATGATGTCCCTAGGACTAGTAGGGTAGATGCCACCTCAGAGAAAGCCAGGCCCCTGCAAACCAAGTTTATCCTGCTCCAGTGCGGGGGGCGGGGGGCAGTGGGCCTGCCCTCTAGGAAGTCCCTGAAAAGCCCCAGGGAACATACATGTGGTAAGTTTCTAGTGAGCTCCTTTGCCAAAAACAACCTTGAGAGGGAGCAGGACAGTGCATGCTGCCCTTCCCCATGAGGGCCCCTCAGCTGTCCCCACACCCAGCACCTATCCGGAGGCAGCCAGGGCCCCATTGTGTTCTGCACCGCCCCGATCTCCACTCCAGCCTCCAGGCCAGCTCCTTAGCTGATCACCCACCCACTGCCCTTGACACTCTCCCTCCCAGAATCCTGGGTGCAAAATCTTGGGGTCCTGCTCGACTGTCTCCCCTTACTCTATCCTCCCTCCTGTCCCATTCCCCCTCTCATTCCTCGGCCAGCATTTCTTCATCCCCTGTGTTGAGCACAAGCTATGCGCCAGGCACTTGCTAGGTGGTATGGAGGGACAAAAGAAAGCTCTATTAGACATGAATCCTACATGCAAGGAGATGACTACCTCTCGGGGGATACACAAAAAGCCAAACTGTAAGGTAAACAAGTTATAATATATTGTGATGTCATGTGGCATTCTATGATGTGCTGTAGCACAATACAATGTCATGGACAGAAGCGCTCTGTTCTGCCCTTTCACTGAAAATAGCTCTTCCTGACACAGGCTTGGGTAGTGAAAGCAGCTTGGTCACATCTGTCCCATGGTGTAACTAATCTTTAGGATCTGCAGAGACCTGCCTTCCTCTGCAATTGTAACTGTACCTCCAATCGTGAGTTTCGTCTGGCAGCTTAACTGGGCTACCAGCGAGGTCCTCATAATGGCTTTTGCTCCTTGCCTCGCGGAGACCCGACTCTGGAATCCTTAGCCAGTGGTATATGAGCTTCTTTCTCATGGGGGATAGGAGGAAAGAATCCTGCATGTGCCCCAGTTTCCTCCCATGCAAGCCTGTCAAGAGGCCCATCTTTATCCTAAAAGTGCCTAGAGGCTGGGCGCGGTGGCTCACGCCTGTAATCCCAACACTTTGGGAGGCCGAGGCGGGCGGATCACCTGAGGTCAGGAGTTCGAGACCAGCCTGACCAACATGGAGAAACTACTAAAAATACAAAAAAATTAGCCGGGCATGGTGGCGGGCACTTGTAATCCCAGCTACTTGGGAGGCTGAGGCAGGAGAATCGCTTGAACCTGGGAGGTGGAGGTTGCAGTGAGCCGAGATTGTGTCATTGCACTCCAGCCTGGGAAACAAGAGCGAAACTCCGTCTCAAGAAAAAAAAAAAGTGCCTAGAAACTTACCACATTCTTAATGCTTTCCTGGGTAAAAATACAAAGAAGTGAGGGTTGGCTGCCTTTTAATTTCCCCAGATTAGATGCTGCAACTGCACTTCCTGGCTCCGTCCTCTTGAGCAAGTGAATTCGCTTCTCTGAGCATCAGAGAAGTAATCGGTAAAACAGGGATAATAGTAATTTACTCATGGGCTTGTTGTGAGCAGTAAATGAAGTAACAAACATAAAGCCTCGGGAGAATGCTTTACACGGGAGGCTTAGAGTAAATGTTTATTATTGCAAGTACTACTCTTCTTGGTCTGCATCTGATTTATTTACCCTTCCTGCACACACCTGCCGTACCACAAATAGACAATATCATTTATCTGTTTTTAATTTGGGTCTCATAAAAATTTTTGTCTTAAGTTATGTTTGCATGAGTTTGGATTATAGCTGATACGATCTAGGTTGATTGATGAATATCCTGGAATTTAAGGTATAGCGCTGAAAACATCTTAATTGTTTTAAAATCTGTTAGGAATAAAAACTAGATTAAGAAACTTTCAATATTACCTGGAAAAAAAAAAAACTTGGCACTGGGGATAAGTGGCCCCAATTCTTCAGCACAAGTTTTCCCTAAGAAGAACAGGAACTTCTAAATTGATCATAAAGGCTCGGAAGGCTTGGATAGGTATTGGCCTTCTCATTAGTTACCAGCTTAAACAAAAAGATAAGTATGATATAACTGTGGGAAGATTACTATTTGGGAAAAAACTGTCTGCAAGGCCTTTTAAATTTGGTTTGATAAGAAGCTCTAAAGGATCTAACTCAAAAAAATAAGAGGGAAAAGCTGGTCCTTCTCATGTCTGGATAGTGCCAATACTATATTTTGTAGTCAGAAACAGTTTAAAGTGAGTGAAAAAGATACCTGATTGTATATAGGTGTTTCTGTTTCTTTAAATCTTGCTTGGAGTTTTGTAACTTTAATTCTAAATTACCTATCCTGATTCTCCATGATCTTTGTACTTAGTTGTATTAATAAAAGTTTCTAGTTTGTAGGGAAGATGTATTTAAATAGAAAAGTGAGGCTGGGTGTGGTGGTTCATGCCTGTAATCCCAGCACTTTGGGAGGCTGAGGTGGGAGGATCGCTTGAGCCCAGGAGTTCGAGACCAGACTGGGTAATATAGCAAGACCCTAGCTCTACAAAAACATTTAAAAATTTAGCTGCGTGTGGCATTCATGTCTGTTGCCCTAGATACTGGAGAGGCTGAGGCAGGAGGATCACTTTAGCACGGGAGGTTGAGGCTGCAATGAGCCATGATTGTACCACTGTACTCCAGCCTAGGTGACAGAGCAAGACCCTGTCTTAGAAAAAAAGAAAGAAATCTTAATTGAAAAAAAAAAAAAAAGAAAAAGAAAAAAGAAAAGTACACGTGCCAGGTCATTCAGACTCAGTCCTCAGATAAAACAGAGTTCACCTGTGACAGAGGGTCACAATTGCAGGCAAAGTGCCCAGGAGTGCTGACTTGGCAAATGCAACCTAACTGCAAACATCACACCATTCTCCTTTTCCACAAGTATTGTAAATATCTTACATGTACTTGTGAACATACTGAATATATTTTGCTCTTGATGAGGTAATAACTACTGATATTTACTAAATGCGAGCATTTAGGAAATGTTAGATTTCCCCAATATTAATGCCTTTCATCTGTCCACTTCTGTGTGTTGGTCTTTGGCATTAAAGAGCAGCGAGTACCTTCGTGTAGCACAGATTATGAATGGAGATAACACTCAGTGGTAACACTGGCATGGTTCTCTAGACTGAGAACTAGTAAGTAATGTGATCAGTACTGGGGTAGAGAAGCAGTAAGAAGATTTTGAGAAATGTCGGCTGAAGTAAGTTCATGCATTTGTTAAGAGCCAACTGATGACCACGTTGGTGTCTTGGGCTGCATGGCTTGTACATTTCCAGTGTGATGTGTCTGTAGACCTGCAAAAGAAGCTACCGTTCTCTTCTTTACCAGCTTGGAAATATTTCCTATGATTATAGTGCTTACAGCTTCCCCTTTCTTTCTTTCTTTTTTTTTTTTTTTTTTTTTAAGAGATGTGGTCTCACTATGTTGTCTAGACTGGCCTCAAACTGCTGGGCTCCTGCGATCCACCTACCTTGGCCTTCCAAAGTGCTGGGATTACAGGCGTGAGCCACCATGCCCAGCCGCTT
This sequence comes from Homo sapiens, assembly GCF_000001405.40. Lineage (NCBI taxonomy): Eukaryota > Metazoa > Chordata > Mammalia > Primates > Hominidae > Homo > Homo sapiens. The sequence goes on from NC_000012.12 coordinate 48,014,173, forward strand.
CATCTTTCTTTACTCATGGTGAGTTACTCATCAAAGATGTTGCTTTATTGCTGAGATATGTGCAGGGGGTGGTGGGAAGGTTTAGCCTTCCCCAAAGGAGTATGTAATGTGTATCCTGTAGTAGGATGTGGTGAGTGTAAGTGAGAAAGTAGGAAAAAAGCAATTTTATTATCATCCTTTCCAGAAAAGAACTAAAGAACACCTACCTTGTATATTGTACTAGAGATACATATTTATGTAATATTCTATTTCTATTCGAGTGGCTTACACATTCTTGCAAACCTCATGGACATGAAGCAGTGGAAAGAACACTGGTCTGGCAGTCGGGAAACCTAAATTTTATACCTAACCATGTGTCTAACATGTTGTGTGATTTCAATCAAATTGCTTTACTCTGTGGGCTTCAGCTGTTTCAGCAGTAAAATGAGGTGGCCACACGTGGCTCTGTGATGGGTCCAGTTCCAGTTTCTTTTCCACTACCACTTTATCCTAGCAGAACAATGACTTATCAATTAACTCTGAAAATCAATCGCTGTGAAGCTAAAACAAGAGCACACCTAGCTGAAGGTTTAACTTACCCACCCAGTGTGGCTAAGGCAGATGGAGCCTCCCTCTGCTTCTGGGACCCAGCACCCCAGTCCCAGCTCTGCCTCCTGTGTCTGTGACAGCTGCCCAAGGAAAGACAGAGCAGCTATGCAGGAATAGGAAGCAGGCCATCTCAGGAACTTCCCTTTCCCCAAGGCCCAGGAAAAATGCCTAGAGAGAGAACATATCCAGATTTGTCTCCTCTGAATTGGGCTTGAAAGATGAAGGGTCCCATTAGGTAAACCTGGGCGTCTCAACCCATCTCCCAGGCTAAATGACTAATGATGGGCAGATGCTCTGACAGAGGAGGCCACCTGGAGCCCTGCCTTTTTTTTTTTTTTTTCCTTTGGTCCTGAACTATGGGCCAGCCAGGGATAGAGGAAGCATTCCTATTGCAACCTGATCATTGACCTCTTCCAAGCTGACATGCCCACTGAACCACTGGATACAACTCCATAAGACTGCTCATTGATGCCCAAGTAGACATTAATCAGTCAGTGTTTATATGGTGATCGTCTTTGGACAAAGGCACAAGTACCCTAACTGAAGCAAGCATTAACTGAGCACCTATTACATTTCTAGTTCACAGACACAATGTGGGGAGTATAAGGTACTGTTTCATAGTCCCTGCCACCAAAGTAGCTTCAATCCACATTTCAAGAGATGGCAACTTGAATAGGAGTTGAGAGACAAGGAGATGTTCTAAGACAGCACTGCCCCAAAGAACTTTCTGTGATGAAGGAGAGTCTCTCTGTGCCATCCAATATGGTAGCTACTAGCCACGTGTGGTGACTGAGCACATAAAATGTGGCTAACACAGTGAAGGAACTGAATTTCTAAAGTTTAAGTTGTTTTAAGGTTTAATTAAGCAGCAGCCTGTGTGGCTGTTAGCTACCATGTTAGACAATGCAGTGTGCTCTTGCTACTTGAAGTGGGGTCTGCAGACCAGCAGCATCTCATCACCTGGGAGCTTGTTAGAAGTACAGTAGTTCGGCCGGGCGCAGTGGCTCATGCCTGTAATCCCAGCACTTTGGGAGGCTGAGGTGGGCAGACGACCAGGTCAGGAGTTCGAGACCAGCCTGACCAACATGGTGAAACCCTGTCTCTACTAAAAACACAAAAATTAACTGGGTGTGGTGGCATGCACCTATAATCCCAGCTACTCAGGAGGCTGAGGCAGGAGAATCACTTGAACCCGGGAGGCGGAGGTTGCAGCAGTGAGCCGAGATTGCGCCACTGCACTCCAGCTTGGGTGACAGTGCGAGACTCCGTCTAAAAAAAAAAAAAAGAAGTACAGAAGTTCAGGTCCCACCCCAGACCTGCTGAATCAGAATCTTCATTTAATAAGATCCTGAGGTCATTTGTTTACATGTTAAGGTTTCAGCACTGGTCTGGGTGGGGCAGTAGTTCCCAGTCCTGACTGCATATTGGGATCACTTGGGGAGCTTTTGAAGATCCCAATGTTGTGACTGCACCCCAGAACAATTAAATCAGAATTTTTTTTGGTGGGGGGACCCTGGTCAGTGTTTTTTAAGCCCCCCATGTGATTCCAATCTGTGCCTAAGGTTGAGAACCGCTGCTCTCAAGCTATGCAGCCAGCCAAGGGCACACTCAGATGGTAAGTCCATGTGAGGGCCAACAACTCACTTCTTAGCCTCTAAATTCGCTTGTTGGACCCAGCTAACTGGGAAGCCAAAGGGACTTATTCATCCTCAGCAAGTGTAAGAATTGGCTGGGGCTTATGTTTGTTTCCAACATCTAAGTGAGATGTTCATCAGGTTTTCACAAAACGTGTCTAAATACCACACCACTGAAGGGTACAGAAGCAGCCTGCATGACTGAAGGCTGGGAAGAGTTGATTCACTTCCTCACTCTGGGACCTGGATAACCCTGGCATCCCAGAGCAGTCCCGATGAAGGGAGCCATTCTTCCTGTCCAGGGTGGAGGCCACTGTTTTTTCCAATGTCACTTGTCTTTAGCTGCCCTCCTGCAGCTCGGCAAGAATGCGAGGGGCACTGGGGCCAATGAGAAGAGGTGGGTTTTCCTGAAGAGCGGGATTCTCTCATCCTGTTGATCTGAACAGGACCTCAGAGGCCCCAGCCACTTTCTAGTGATGAATGACATTTGCAGAGATGAAGCTTCATCTCTGAGCTGGTGAGGATTTGGGAAGAGCATTCTGAAACCAGCCTCTCGGGAAATGGGTTGCATGAGCAGCCAGGCCGTCCCAAGGGGTGGAGCTGCAGCCCCCATGTGGAACATGGGTTTGAAGTCTCACTGAGAAATGTTATCCTGGACTTGGGTGATGGGGAGGTGCAAGTCATTCACTCTGGAAATGGGATTCCCTAACTAGATGATTATTAACTAATTTGTCTCAACATGTCCACAGAATGTCCTAAGCTTTGTATTCACAGCTGTTCTCATGCATTCATTCCATGCCGGCCTTAGAGGACTCGGTCAAGACAATGGTGCCCTCAGGAAGGTTACGAGAGAGCAAGCTGTGCTGCTTTGCCCATCTTGGGATGAGGTGAGAGGGCAGCACTGGTTGGGTCCCAGGATACCGGGCAGGGCACCTCTGTTGCTGTCCCTTCCTCCTATGGGGTACCAAGCTTCTCTCAGATATCCTTAGAAAGCTTTGTTAGCCAGCAGGTCGCTGGGCCATAAGCCACATGTGAATGAGGCTCTCCCTGTCCCCTGACTAGGTCTGAGCACAGTTCCAGGGGAGAAAGAGGGAGGAGGCGCGGGAGCATTGTCCCCCTCCTGTCGCTGGTAGGTGAGCTTGTGTCCAGTGGAAACAAAGAGAAAGCTGGCCAAATGTTGTTATCTCCCCCAGCTGCCTGGATTCTATTGCCATCCCTTGTCCCCATGAAGACTCCCTGTCATCTCACCCGCACTATTGTCTGGGCTGTACAATTAGCACTTTGTTAAATGTTCTCTCATTCTTCAGTGGCACTTCATTACTGAGCCATAAAACAACGGGGCCCAGCAGGTTCCTGGGCAGTCAAATGGTCCAACCCTCTTGACTTAGAGATGCGGAAAATGAGGCCTTGGGGACAATGCTGTGTCCAGCCATAATGGAGCCCACAGCAAAAGGAAGAATCAGTAATATTGATCCTATATTTATTTAAATGTCTGGTATTTTGTTCATTATAGATTTTTGCATTAATTTTTATTTTTAAAATGTTACATTAAAATAGTCTGTATCTTGATGACTGAGTATTTTTGGTGCCTCTTAAAGTGTGCACCCTGAGCCTGGCCCTGACAGGGACAATAGGGAGTTGCCCAAGGTGACACTAGTTTTGATCAAGAGGTTAAAAGAGAGCTTGGGTCTTCCAACTTGTCCACTTCCTTCTTCTCTGTCAGCTTCAAGTGCAAAGTCCTGTTTTTCCAAATAAGTAGAGAGCTCCAGCAGGCAGGGTGGTGAACTTGTGGAATAATAACACTTTCACATGGTTATTGCCCAGCCAAAGAAGCAACCATTTGAAAATTCAAGAAATTGCAGATTTATTCCTTAAATAAGGCACTGTTGTTGAAATAGTATCAAAATATTGATACTGCAATGAGATAAGAGACCTAGGAACACATGCCAGAATGTGGACCGTTGGCCCAGCCCAATCCTCTCTCACCTGCACTGCTTCAGAAACCCCTTCCTTTCCTTCCAAACCCAGCTGACATCTTTCCAAAGAGTTTTGTGTTTCTGATCGGGCTTCGCTGCACTTGTGTTTCTCCCACTCATCTGGTTCTCAGGGCATAGAACACAGCCCCAGGTACACAGAGAGTGAACAATCTTCAACAACTGGGCACCAAGGATCCTGCTCCTTTTTCTTTGTAATAGCTGCATGACATGGTCTTCTCCTGTATCGATGTACAAGCTGCCTATTGATAGACTTTCAGTTGCTTCTTTTTGTTCTCTCTCTCTCTCTTGTTCTCTCTTTTCTTATCTTTTTGGCCCCCTTTTTCTCCAGTGTTCTCCACTGCAGAGTCGTGTAATTCCCTCACAGTTTTCTCAGAGCGAGTACATATTCCCTGCCCAGCATCAGCGTTGCTTGCCATTAATGTCCTGTATCTATAGGGATGACCATGCCCCCTTGGAGGAAAGGCTTGGAACTTACCAACTTATGGAAACTTACGGAAATCATCACTTGGTATTGAGATTTTGCAGGGAACACACTCCTTAAAAATCTCCATGAGTGTGCTGTTAAGAATCCCATAAAGAGGGAGAAAGGTGGGAAGTGAGTGAAGCAAGGCTCAGCCGCCACCACGAACAAAGTGGGGTCCACTTTGCATCTGCTGCAAAGGAAGGAACGGACATTTGGCCTGTCTCCTCTTCCTTTATTGTGTCATGTTCTTTCCTTTACTCTTCTCTTTTTTAAAACAAGAAAATCATAATTTTAATATTATTTTAAAAATAGACAATACATTCACACAATTCAAAATTCCAGTAGTTGGCCAGACACAGTGGCTCATGCTTGTAATCCCGGCACTTTGGGAGGCTGAGGCAGGAGGGTCGCTTGAAGCCAGGAGTTCAAGACAAGCCTGGGTAGCATAGTGCAGACCCCATCTCTACAGAAAATTTTTTTAAATTAGCCAAGCGTGGTGACGCACATCTGTAGTCCCAGCTACTTAGGAGGCTGAGGTGGCAGAATCAATTGAGCCCAGGAGATTGAGGCTGCAGCAAGCTGTGATCACATCCCTGCACTCCAGCCTGGGCAACAAAGTGAGACCCTGTCAAAAACAAAAAAAAAATTCCAAAGGTACAAAAGGTGACGTCTCCTCCGCTTCCACTCATTCCCCTCCCCATAGAGGACCAATATTATTAGTTCTCAGGTCTCCTTCCAGAGAGATTCCAAGCATATGCAAGCAACTGTGTTTAAAAATCATCCCTCACTCCCATCTCAAATGGTAAAAATCACCCCTCTCCTCTCTTGGCACAAATGGTAATATACTCCACACACTGGTCTACACAGGACTTTTTCACTTTCTGTGTCCTGGAAAGATTCCACACCCACACGTTTCTGAAATTCTCACTATTTTAATATTGCTTAATATTCCATTATACAGATATACCATAATTTATTTAAGCAGTCCCCTTCTGATGGACATTCGGGTTATCTCTAGCCTTTTGCTGAGATAATGCTGCAGTAAATATTTGTGTATATGCCATTTTGCACTTGCACATTTATCTGTTGGATAATTTCCTAGAAGCAGAATTGCTGGGTCAAAATTGAAGTGCATTAAAAAAATTTGACAGATAAATTCCCTTTAACACTGCATGCACCATTCCCATCAACAATGTATGCCAAAGCCTATTTCACCAAACCTTTGCCAGCTACCACCGTCATGGTTTGCAGAGGACAAATCTCACCACCATAGCCACTCCTTGTATAGTAATCAGTTCTTTTGGTCCTTGCCAATCTGAAAAGTGAAAAATGCTGTCTCAGGGTGGTTTTAATTTGTATTTTCTTTCTTTCCTTTTTTTTTTTTTTTTGTATTGGTTTTGCTTCATTTTCTGGGAACTGTCGGTTCATATGCTTTGCTTTTCTATTCAACTGTTGTTCTCTTTCTTATTTGATTTACATGAGATCTTTATATAGAACATTACCTCTTGCCTATAATAAGAGTTGCAGGTAATTCTTCATGATTTTTCATTTTGACTTTTTTTTTTTTTTTTTTTTTTTTGACACAGAGTTTCGCTCTTGTTGCCCAGGCTGGAGTGCAGTGGCACAATCTCGGCTCACTGCAACCTCTGCCTCCCGGGATCAAGCGAAATCTCCTGCCTCTGTCTCCCAAGTAGCTGGGACTACAGGCATGCACCACCATGCCCGACTAATTTTTGTATTTTTAGTAGAGATGGGGTTTTACCTTGTTGGCCAGGATTGTCTTGAACTCCTGACCTCAAGTGATCCGCCTGCCTCGGCCTCCCAAAGTGCTGGGATTACAGGCATGAGACACTGTGCCTGGCCTCATTTTGGCTTTTGACTTTGTTTATGATTATTCTTTTTGTTTGCCATGCAAACACTTTTTATTTTTATATGGTCAAATTTATTGTTATTTTATTTTATGGTTTCTGGTTTCATTCATAGATTTTAAATTTTTTTCTCCTGGCTCCTTTAAGTTCTTTTAGGGTTAAATTTTTACATTTAAATTTTTGATCCACATACAATTGATCTCATTTTAAGGTATGAGATATACATCTGAACTTACTGTTTTTTCTCCCAAATGTCTGCCCAGTTGTGCTGGGACATTTATTGAAAATTCTATCTTGGCTGGGTGCAGTGGCTCACACGTGTAATCCCAGCACTTTGGAAGCCCAAGGCAGGCAGATCTCTTGAGGTCAGGTGTTCAAGACCAGCCTGGCCAACATGGCAAAACCCTGTCTCTACTAAAAATACAAAAATTAGCCAGGCGTGGAGGCACACACCTGTAATCCCAGCTACTTGGGAGGCTGAGGCACAAGAATTGCTTGAACCCAGGCGGCAGAGGTCGTGGTGAGCCGAGATCATTCCACTGCATTCCAGCCTGGGTGACAGCAAGAAAAGTCTATCCTAACTGGTTGAAATGCCATCCTTGCTCTACTATAAATTCCAGAGTTTCTTTGTGCCCATCTCAGTACTTCTGTGTCCCCTGCCATGTGTATCCAAGCACCAGCACCACAGTGCCTTTTTTTAGGCTCCATGCAGCTTAACTACAGGTCCCTGGGTCTGCAGACATGGAGATTTGCTGACCCTGAGGTGGGATGAGGAGGTAGGGGAAATAGCAAAAGAGTTGGATATTAAGATCAGAAAGCTTCTGGGCTCTCTCCAAAGAACCCCTAGCATCTAAAATGGCTTTGCTCCTATACCTCCTCTCAAAACAAAAAAAAAAAAAAAAAAAAAAAGAGAACAAAGAAGTCTGTTTCCTTATTCAACAGCTATTTGTCCAGCCTGAAAGAGCCCCTCTAGTCTAACCCTGTGCATGCTGCTGATCCTCTCCCAGAGTGCCTTCCAAGATTATTTCAGGAGCCTAGGAAGGCCCTAAGTGTGGCTTTGATCGCCATATTGGAAATGCTTCCCTCACTGGCTCCCTGGGCTCCAAGCCCAGTACTTGACAGTTGCCTGTAAACTGAGCAGGTCTTTATCTTAAAGACATCACAATGGACCCTAAACAAACACATTAACAACCACTCAGAGACCTAACGCTGGCCAATAAACAAACCCCCAGGAAAGCTTACTCAGAAAAGGTTCCTCCTTCCTGCAGCCCCTGAGGGCAGATCCCGGAGTCCCTCCTTCCTCAGCCTGCAGGCTGCTTTCCAAGGGCTCTCCAGCCCTCCCGGCAGGAATGTAATCATCTGCCCTGCGTGCCCTGCCTTCTCTCACCTTTACCCACAATAACCCAGCATGGTCACAATGCACTCAGTGCATACCTATTGCAAATAAAACAAGAAAGTAAATCTCCTTCAAAGGAACAGCTAATAGCTCCAGGCTACCAAAAACAATGTGTTCTATGGGAGCTAGCGATTACCCTATATACCAAGGGTTTAAATTTAAGGTCTTTAGATGAGCTTCGGAGGTTCCCTGAACCCCTACAATGATTTGCAAAATTTATATGTAGACTTATGAAGGGCATTTTTTCCCTAAGATACCGGGAAGGAGATTCCCTGTATCATCAGAGTTCAATATCAAAAATTTTTTTTAAATCTAGGTATCTATGGATAAAAGGATATGATGTCTAGATTTTGTTTCAAAACATTTCAGTTGGAGGACAAAGAGTGGGTGAAGTAGGTGCAGTTATGGATTAAACAAGATTGGCCATTAGTTGATACTTATTAAAGCTAGTGATGAGTGCTTGGAAATTTATTATATTATTCTGTCAAGAAAGAAGTGGAAGGAAGGAAGAAGAAAAGGAGGGAGTGAGGAAACCTTTTGCTACAGACTACGCTGAAAGAACCAGACAGACCATAGTATACATCTGCTATTCTCATAGTCCTAGCTTTATAGGAACAACTGCCCAGTGGATTGCCTGGTCAGTGTTTGAAAGCCTGGCAAATTTGTGGGTGCAGAGGCATGTTCTTCTCACTCTCACCCCCGCTCTCTATCCTCAGCATCACCCAGAGAGAGGGACCAGAATCCCTGAGGCCATCTTGGTTCATCTGCACCGTCTCTCCTACACCTCTTCACCCCTCCCCTCTCCACTTCACTCCAGGCTGCATTGGGGCGGGGAGGTGATCATCCAAGGCCCTGGCTCTCCATCGAGACCCCAGCCAGGTAGAGCCCCTATTGCCTGAGCAAGCTTGCGCAGGATGGGGCTGGAGCTGCACTATTTGGATCTTCTTGGAGTAGAAAATTCACAAATTCCAACCTCTGCTCCCAAAGCAAACCTCCCCAGCCCAGGTGGCTGCATCCTTCTCCTCCCCTCCCCCCAGTTCCCTGGGTCGCCAAGCCGGAGGCTTTGAAAACCAGCTTGTGTTTGGTTTGTGAAAGCACCAATGTTTGCAATGTTTGCCCAGCAGAGAAGGAGCATATTTTCTCCCTTCCAAATGCAAACTCAAAAGATGCTCCACCAGTTTTTCTTCAGACTTTCCACAGGAAACATAAATAAGAAAGAAAAATGACTTTAGGTGCTGAGACCTGAAATGGAATTTCAACCCTGAAGGAACTGCCTGTAACAAGCACTCTCTGTCCTTCAGTGAAGGCTTCGAGAGCCTAGGTGCATGTTTCTTTCCTCTGAGTAGCCTTCACAGATGAGGCAAGGGGAGGAGCTGAACCAGTTCTTAGACCTGACTCCCAGCTAGATCTTCAGCCCCACACAATGAATGGCCGGTGACTGGCACAGCAGCTGAGATTCCCTGGCTACAGTGTTCTTTTTTATCTTTCTTGATTGTGTTAGGGTAGAACAAATGAGGGTGCTGCAACCCGAGAGGCCCAGCCACACTGCAAGCCAGCACAATCAGAGTGTGAAGTGTGGACACGCCCCCCTGGAACACAAGGCCACAGTTTGCCACCTGCTCTGCCCTTGTCTCCATCTCGGAAGAAGGACATCCCTGATCTGTGGCCTCTGTCCTCACGGATCTTATAATTATCAGACAAACACAACCACAGAGAGGCTGGAAGGCAGTGCTTCAGCATCACACATATATGCATCGGTGACCAGAGTTCTGATTAATCTTAATGCACAGATAATTGGAGCATTTCTTGCTCACAGCTTATAGCCACCAAATGACTGCTTCCAGGTTAGGAGTTTGCAGAATATGTACACACACGGAGCCCTACAAAAGGCTCCAGACCCAAGAAATACAGGGTTGAAGTCAGTGTGGACAGTTCTAATGCAGCTAATACATTCTAACTGATTTGTTGTGAGCTAAGGGTTCAGTGTTTACACTTCAAGGTCACTGTTTCTGTCTCCTGACATCTGAGAACCTTTCTTCTTCTTCTTTTTTTTTTGAGACAGAGTCTTGCCGTGTCATCCAGGCTGGAGTGCAGTGGCATGATCTCGGCTCACTGTAACCTCTGCTTCCCAGGTTCAAGCGATTCTCTTGCCTCAGCCTCCTGAGTAGCTGGGATTATAGGCACCCCCCGCCAGACCTGGCAAATTTTGTATTTTTAGTTTCGCCGTGTTGGCCAGGCTGGTCTCGAACTCCTGGTCTCAAGTGATCCACCCACCTTAGCCTCCCAAAGTGCTGGGATTACAGGCGTGAGCCACCGCGCCTCACCCAAGAACTTTTCTTCTTAAGGTGTTTTCCTTTCCCATAGCATTCTATCTTTGGATAGGCCCAACGAGGCCATTGAGCATCTACCCTTTTTACAAAACATATTATCAATCTTATAGCCCATATGTTTAGTGATAAGTCAACTAAACAAAGCAAGGGACCCCACTGGAAGGTGCTTGTGGGAAGTGTACCCTTCCATCTAGGACTTCACTTTGATGTACCAAATTCTGAGAAAGACCCCAGAAGCCATTTCCTTCTTGCTGAGGTTTATTTATCTTGTTTATCTGAAGCCAGGGCCAATAACCCAAATGGCTTTCAAATGGCTACAAAAGTGTCTCAGCATTCGATTAATCAGTCCCATCACAGACAAGTCAACTAACCTGCAGACCCACGTGCTGTACTCATAGTCGTTGCTGGTTCTGGCAGGGGTGATCTGGGAGGAGGTATTTCCCGGAGGTGTTTCCGAAGGGAGAGGCACTAGCTGAAGTTGGCTCTGAGATTCGAAGCGGAGGAGGAAAGGGAAGGTGGAGTGCTGATGCTGACAAGGTGAGGAAGAGGAGGAGTAGAGGTTACCAGCGCTCAGAGCATGGGTTTTGGAGGCACACAGATCTGTGCCCAAAGGGCTATCAATGCTCTTCCACTTCATTGCTGAGCAACCTGATGTGTTCATACGTTCCCTGATGTGTAAAAGTGGCACAATACTTGCGTCTACCTTATAAAGTGCCTGCAAGCACTAAGACAAAATGTAGACAGAGCTTAATGCAGTGCCGGACTCAGTCAACAAATAGCAAATGGAAGTCGTTCTCATTAAACAGCGAAAAGGAAGTAAAAAGGAAGACAGAGGAAGACAAAGGGGAGATGGGGAGGGGATGCCGTGGGAGGCTGTGGGTGGGGTGCAGAGGCTGACACTGCAGACAGCAGCCCCTCACCCAGCTCCATCTCTGGGCGCCTGGGACAACACAGCTCTCGGTCCAGACAGGCTGCTCAGATGTTTATTAAGAAACCACCCATAAAAGTTATTGGAAACTTTACATTTGCAGCATGGTCTCTGCACACTGCCGAGCTGCCACGGCTCTCAACAAGGCCTCATTCACGGCCCTAGGCAGCTCACTTGCCTGCCCCCAGCCCCTGGGTCTCAAGCCCACCAGGGTGCCTCCCAGCCCCCGCCCCCAGCCCAAGCCTGGCCTCCTTCCCTCCCTTGGGTCTGAGTGATTTTCTGATTTGCCTTTTCCAAATGTGAAATCTTTGAATGAGGTCACTTCAACTGGAGAGCAAGGGATAGGCCACAAGACAATGTTTCCTAAGTGCAAAGGTCCCTGGGTGATTTTAGGTAGAACTTGGATGAAAGTTTTGCATTCTAATAGTGTTATATATAGTATCTATATTTTAATGTACATGTGTATGTATTTTGGCAGGGACCAAACCTGTAAAACAGATTTATTTTAATAAGTATTGGAGGAAAAGGTAGAATATCAATCCCATGTTACAGAGTTTTCATTTCAAGTAAACTTGAGTAAAGTAAAAGAGAATGAGAAAGTTGACTTAAGGAAACCATAAAAACAATCATAGTCTAGGTGACCCTCAGATCTAGCAAATCGATCTGGGAACACTGCATGTGATCTCAGCCCTCACCTAGAGCTGTCTGGACACAGCAGTCTGATGGACACAATTTTGTTCTACACAGGGAGGTCCTGCCCCGGGCTGGTCAGAGAGGGGGCCTGCTCCTTATCCAGAGAGTTCTAGTGACTTGTCCCGGCTCCCTGGGTCATGGTTCTGCCTGTCCCCTCCAGTCTGCACTTGGCCAGACTTTTCTACTGAGACACTGTCTACAGGCACAGGGCAGCTCCTCAGATCAGCACCCAAGGCCCTTCTCATCCAGCTTTCCTGTCTCTGTCCCTGGTTGGCTTCTCCACCAGGCCCAGTGTACTCAGGGCCAGGACGGCGTGGCTCCTCTCTTTGGTTTCCCCTCTGCTTAGACTGCTCTGCTGACACGATTTGCCCACTGGCCTGACTTGTTCCTGCTCCCCCACCTTCTCCCAGGCTCCCAAACCTCCCCCTCCCTGCAAGTGGGGCAGATAGTACAGCATCATGCTCGAGTTCAGGCTCGAGTTCTAATCTTATAACTACTGCTTGCCAGCTCTGTGTGCTTGAGCCAATTGCTTAACCTCTCTGTTACTCAGTTGCCTCATCTGTTATGGGGGGCAATGGCAGCAACATCTTCCTCCTCCCAGGTTTGTTGGGAGAACTGAATGAACAGACAGTACCAGATTCACAGTAACAGCAAGTACACTGCATGGCTGTGCCTTCATTGGAGTTTAGTTCTTGCCAAGAGCAGCCTTTCAGCACTCATTTTCCAGGGAGTAGGTGCTTGATCTGTTGGCTGATTATGGATGTACCATGAGGTGTTTTCTACATACAATCTCTTGATCCCTGAGCCTGAGAGCTGAGTTTCTTTCCTGGATCTAACAGCCCTGTGGAAAGTTGGAGAGCACTTATTCCTGGGCTATCGCACAGCCGTCTCTTCTCTGGAAGGTCTGGTCTCCAGGGCTCTTCGTGGAGCTCATCTTCCTCTGTCAAGTTTGGCCTAGGAGACGGAATCCTCCAGGAGCAGGCCTGGCTGGGGATGCACATAGACCTTCCCCGGCACAGAAAGGACAGTGCCTGGGGACACTCAAGGCCATCTTCTCTGAAGCCCACCCACGTGGACAGACTAGAGAGAAGCCACTAGCACACACCCAGTGTCTCCTTGTGCCAGACACTAAGTTAGGTGCACCCTACAAGGTCCAGGCCCTGGTCCTTCAGCCGTTGCTCAGGTGGCTACAATGACAGCTCCAGAGCCTGGGGATTGGGGCGAGTTCTCCAGAGCCTGGGGGTTGGGGTGAGTTCTCCAGCCGTCAGCCTGTGGCCACCCTGGAGCATGCTCAGAGGGAGCGGGCTCCAGCCTCCTGCCTTCCCTCGCCCCAGGCCTCAGCCTTTTCTGAAAGAAATGTTGTGTTCCCTCGGCCCTCCCCCCTTGCCACATCCCCTTCCTCCCACAGAGCCCGGGTCCCCCAGGCTACAGTCCAGCAGTCCCTCTGTGAGCAGACTTCCAGTGACACATGGCTTTGTTAGAAACCTCATTAGCAGAGACAGAAAGGCGAGAGGCAGCTCAGAGAGGCATTCCAGGTGTCAGTTAAGAGGGGCCGCAGGAGGAAAAGGCCATTAAACCACAACTAAGGTCAGCCCCCGGTAGAATGAAAAAACAATAAACTGAGACCTTGGAGAGTGGTGGGAAGGTAACTGGGGAATTGAGGGAGGGTACCCCTGCCTCAGGCTGGGGAGGGAAGGCCTTGGGTCCTGGAAGGGACACCAGCTTGTCTTGCCTGATGCTGGGAGTCTCAGAGGCTGTTCTGTGTAAACTCCTGGAGGCAGGGACTGGGCCCCAGGAGACTCTGAACCCCGCGCCCAGCGCACGCTCAGCACACCACAGGCACTGGGCACGCGCCTGATGAATGAGTGGAGATTGAGCCTGGCGCACAGGAGGAGGCTGGAGTGCTTGCCATGCATTAGATGCTGGGCTCGGCACTGCCTGTCTGCAAACTCTTCGTACCCCAAGACGTGAGTATTATTAGCTCCCTTTTAAAGACAAGCAAACGTAGACACTAGAATATGTTATTTTGGGGCTCCCCAGACTCTGGGAATTCACTAGAACTCTACCTATTGATACTTGGAACTTCTGAAACAGACACATTCCTTCATTCCAGAATTAGTCATAAAAAGGCTGAATGAGGCCGGGCGTGGTGGCTCACGCCTGTAATCCCAGCACTTTGGGAAGCTGAGGCAAGCAGATCATGAGGTCAAGAGATGGAGACCATCCTGGGCAACATGGTGAAACCCCGTCTCTACTAAAAATACAAAAATTAGCTGGGCGTGGTGACGTGTGCCTGTAGTCCCAGGTACTCAGGAGGCTGAGGCAGGAGAATTGCTTGAACCCGGGAGGCAGAGGTTGCGGTGAGCCGAGATCGCGCCACTGCACTCCAGCCTGGTGACAGAGCGAGACTCCACCTCAAAAGAAAAAAAAAAAAGGCCGAATGCCTGTGGAGGCTAAGGCAGCACACTGAAACTCACTCCTGAAGGGTCATTAGAATGATTGTCTGGTATCTGGAATTCCCTGGCCTGTCAAGGATGATGGGGGCTGCCCTGAGCTGGGGAACATGCTCGGCTGAGGGAGGTGGAGGACAGTGGCAGGCCTGTGTGCACTCCCAGCGTTGCCTCAGTGAGCTGTTTGCCTTCACTGGGCAGGGACCCACAAGGGTCATGTATTTTTGTCATGCCTGACGGGGAATGCACATGATTTATGAAGTTTTTTTTAACCTGAGGCTTCCTCATAAAAGAGCTTTGAGAAGACTGCAGCCAATCTGGTTATGAAAGGCCTTCCTTTCTGGGATCTGTTAGACAAGATATTGTTGACTGCCTGCCCTCAAGAATGAGGGACCACGTGTGCTCCACCCTAGGTCTGGAATGGCCCAAGACCCCAGGAAAACTGCACGTGGATTTGTACCTTGTTCTCCTATCCCATCTCAGGCTTCTTGCCCTCTACACCCTCTTAGCTGACATTTCTACCCCCAAGAAACCTGCCCCAAGAGATCTCTGAGTCCCTGATCCCTTATGCCCTTGACATCAAAGGTCCAAGCTTCCCTGGACAAGTCACTTGACCTCACTAAGTCTCTTTTCTCATCTGCAAAATGAGCATAAAAATATCCACCTTGAAATCTTCATAGTAAGGGATTCAATCAATGTCTCACCAGCTGGAAAGCTCTCTGAGCTCTCTCTCTCTCCATGTGTCATTTAATCTTGTCTCCCTAGCACCTAACAGAGTGCCAGGCACATAGAGGCCAATACTAAGTGGCAACTTGTAGAAATGACTTCTACTGAATTCAGTGAATTCAGTGATGAGGAATAAGTAAAATGTGTTTGTAAATTGCAAGCACAGTGCCTGGCACTTGGTAAGCATTTAGAAAATTTGGGTTACGCCTGCATTTGAATCTGACTCTCCCCTACAGATGCCGGACCCAAGACTCTGGCCCCAGTGGTGAGGCAGGGACCCCAAGGTTCCAGCCATCTCCTCCTGGCCTGACTGGGGCTGCAGGGGACCTGTGTCAGTCTCCCTCCTTGGCGCCCCCTCCCCCATCCCAGACCCCTGGCCTCTTGATATCCCGGCAGCAGCCCCCACAGCCCCTCTGGGGTGGTGGGCGTCCCTGTGTCGGCACAGCTAGGCTGGGCCCCTCTCCAGGGAAGGGGCTGAAGGGTGTGAAGGACTGGTGTGTATGACTTTGTTTATTTTCTCTGAAGAATCCTGCCTGAGCCCTGCTATAAAAATAACCTGCCTGGAAACCTCATCTCCAAGGGGTAGAAAGAAGCTTTTGTATCCAGGGAAGCTGCTCTAACTGCCTCCCTGTACCTTCGCCTCAGCCCATGCATCAAGGAGGAGCCAGCCAAGGTGATGAGGGGCCAGGGCAAGGGAGAGGGATGTGTGGGGAGGGAGGAGGGGACGGAAGGGCAGCTCAGCAGCCTCTTGCCCTGAGCACGGCAGAAGCCTCTCACTTGTCTGCTCGACCCAGGAAGATCCAAAGGAGGAACTGAGGGAGAGAGAGGGAAAGAGGAAGTCAACAAGAGAAAAAAACACTGGATGTTGAGAGAGACAAGGAGGCCAGGAGACAGAAGATCAAATCCAGGACAGAGGAGGGGCATGGGGAGAGTGGGGAGGAGAGTGAAGTCAAAGGAGAAAGAAAACCAAGAGACGTGTATGCAGAGACACAGAGCTCAAGGGATCAGAAAGAGGCTGTGGCCATGTTTACAGACGTAGCTTAGCATGTGGTCCCCACCACCAAGGGAGAAAGCAGGCACAGCCAGGCTGTCCCTGCCACCTGCTGGGTTCCTGCTCTGCTGCACAGCCCAGCTTCCACTCTGGCTCAGGCTGTGGCAGAAAAGACAAAGGTCCCCCGAGCACCCACTATGGCCAGGCCCTGGGTGAGGCATGAGACCAAGCCCCACTAAGGCTTCTCAAAGTGTTCCTTCCCAGGAGCCAGGCCTGATGGCACGGAGCAAGTCTGCACTGTCACCAAATTCAGGAGGCCTGGATTCAAGTCCCAGTTCTCCTGCTTTTTAGCTGGGTGATCTTGTACAAACCACTTAGAATTTCCCAGCCTGGTTCTCTTATCTGTAAACCATAAATAGTAAACCTCCCTGTCTACCTCCCGGGGCTGTTGAGCAGATCTATGGAAGCATATCTGAACAGGTTCTCCAAGTTGTATGGTGCCAGCAAGACAAGAGGGAATGACCCATTCCTTTAGCCATATTTCTCTAGGTAGCCATCTTAGGATCATGGGTGAGCCATACGGAGAATGAACCAACATAGGAAACTCCTATTACCTCTGTTTTCACAGTAGAGGAAACTGAGGCTTAAACAGGTTAGTAACATGCTCACCATCGTGTATTAATAGCTCTTAGGCAACAGAACATGAATCCAGGTCTCTATATTCAGAGTCTGTGTAGACCCAGAGTGCTGGGCCTTCTCTCCAATCTAATGGCAGAGGCTGCCCAAGAATGACCTGGGACAGTCTGCTCCACTTCCTTTAAGGATGAATTAATTTCCAATTGTTCTATGCAGGCCAGACCTATCTCTCCTTGGAGACTGCACAAGCAGGTGAGCATTAAAGGAAGGCGGGAGGCCAATTTTTGCCCAGCATTAGGAAGAACATTGCTATTGTTCCAGCAATGAAGTGAGCTGCCTGAGAGAGTCCGAGCTCTCTGTGGCTGCGAGGCCAGCAGGCCAGGACTTGCAGAGACCACTGGTGCCTATAGGAGGCACATGCTGGGCTTGACAAAAGAAAGCCCAACATTTTATACCCCTTAAGTCATCCCCAGCCCATGCCTTGTTTCCCCATCCGCACAGTGGTTGGAGCAAGACTAGATGAAGGCTGAGGTCTTGTCTAGCTCTAACTTTCTAGAATTCTGGAATTCCTGAAGGCAGGACTCCAGGCCTCAGGGTCTGGCCAAGAGAACAGAGACGTGGCTGTTTGTCCAGCTTGGTAGAACAGTGGAGCTTATTGAGCTTGCGGTTCCCTGAAACAGAACCAGTCAAAAGGCATACGCAGAGAAGGTAAATTCATCTGTGGGTCTGGTGAGAGTCACTGAAAAAAATGTAGTGCTTGAGGACTGTCCAAGGAGAGCCAATTTTCAACTCATAGCCTGTGATGCTGCGCCCAAACAATGAGAACAGCACACTGGGCTTCATCCAACCACGGCCAGAGGGAAAACAGTGATCTTGCAGATGATGTCCTCATCGATAGCACAGTGACCAAGCGGCCCTGCATGGTGGGGGCCCCTTAAAATGGTTCCCCTTCCCTTGCAGGCCTGGTCAGGTGGTGTTTGTAAAGCAAAGGGAACCCTTTTAGAAATTTGCCTTGAATTAAACGATTGTTGTTCATGAGACCAAGAAGTGTTTATTTCAGCAACAGAAAGACCTTCCTAAGTTTTGAGCCCAGAATTAGAGTGAGGCGGGCTGGGGTCTACTCCCTGGATATGTTTGAGTTAGACTAGAGGCTGGGAAGTGGACAAGATGCTGTTGTAAAGCTTCTAGTGATCGCTATGGGACGTTCCTTCCACTCTTTGCTCTAATGACGATTAATGTTGATGCAGTGACTATTTTAATGTGCTTAGACACCTGCAACCCCATTTGGCCTTCACTACAATATGCGAAGTAACTGGCTAATATTATGTAGGTAGTAAATAGATAAGATTATGCCCATCTTAGGAGAAAATGGAGGATCAGAGAGGGTAATTCTAAGGGCCCTCAGTTAGCAAATGATGGCTTTGAGGCTTGAACCTAAGCCTCTTGGCCCCAAATGCTGTGCTCTTCATAGCACTCTGCCATCCCTCTGCCCCCATTTTGGGGCCATGCAGGGCTGATTTTTCCAGGCTGCTTTTTCTCTTGTTTAGGGACAGTGCAAAACTATTGGAGCTGGATTAAAACCTTTACAAATACCAAGTTTTGAAACGATTGGTATTCAAAATGAAAGCAATTCTAACGATTAAGTATAAAGAAGTCTGACGAAGTTCTAACTTTTGCCATGAGGATTACTTTGATGCTTTAAAAATATGAAATATCAGAAATTAAATCTTAATTTTTTATATAGTACCCCTGCCTTCCTGTGCCTTAAGTAGTTTCTAGTCTGTCCTTGGCCCACCTAGTCCTGAGGACTTCCTAACACCACAAGCCCCAGAGCAGAAAGACAGGCTGTACCAGAGCGGAGCAGGAGGTGACTGTTGAGCAGGAGCAGGGAGCAGGAGAGGTTTTGGGAGTGGGGCCCAGGCAAGCAGGAGGAGCCAGAGAAAGTTAGGCTCCCACAGAGCTGTGAATCATATTCTTCCTGAGCTTAGGAAATGCAACAGTGACTGCCATTCCTACCCTCAGGAGGAGACAGACCTCAGATCCAGAAGGGCCATAGCAAAAAAGTGGAAGAAAACCAGTCTTAGGAGTGTCCAGTAAGAGAAGTAGAAAAGGCACTAGAGATGCCCTGATTCCCTGCTCCCAGTGGAGCTGACTCTACCCTCCAGAACCTTCAGGCTGGGACTCCTTCCTGCATTCTCTGGTTCCTTCTAGATGCCAGTCTGGGGATGAAGAAGGCTGGAGTTCAGTTCAAGGGAACCTGTCAAGTATCCCACTGGCATATTTTCCAGTCTTCCTCACTCTTTCTGATAGCATAGAGGCTGGAAGGGGGCAATGGAAGGGATTACAGGAAGAAGACAGAGAAAACAGTGTTAGCAAGTGGATTCTGAGTCCTTTAATAATCAATAATAATTAATATTAATAACTACAAATTAATAAGCATCTGCAAAACTCTTTTAAGTAATATAAACAGCTAATAAGTCTTTCATTCCTGGCCTCCAAAAGAAGTAAAATGTTTGTTTGGGGAGCAGCCGGCTTACAGGACTTCCACTGATTCTTCCTAACACAGTCCCTCCTGCCCACCCCATCTCCCTAGCAGTCCTGTCCCTTGTCCCTGAGCCACCCATCCTTTTAAAAATCCTGTAGAGTGATGAGGGCTGGCTGTTTTCTGGCTGATGGTGGGAGGGGCTGGAGACCCCTGTATGTTGGTGGGGCAGCCCAAGGTCCCTGAGGACCCAGGGGTGGAGAGCTTCTTGTGGAAGCTGGAACAGTGAACAAAGAGGCTTTTGAGCAAGTCCTCAGCAAAAGCTCTGGAGAGCCAGTGGCTTCAGCCAGCCTCCCAGCTGCCCTCATACCCCCAAGGACTGGCTGAGGTAGACTGCTGGCTCTGGCCTCTTCTCCCCAGAGAGATCCCTTATGCAGCTTTGTGCCCCAAATGCTGCACCGCAGTGCCCAATGCATCTGAAATGTCACCAGAGATGGGGTCATCCCCCCAAAAATGTCCTCTCATTCCTTCTCTTTTCTAAGAGTAGAGACTTTGGAGTCAGACAGATCTTCTGTCAGTGCTAGTGTCTTCTATTTGCTGGTTGAGTGATCCCGAGCAACTGACGATCTCCATGAGCCTCAGTTTCCTCATATGTGAAATGGAAATAATGGTATTATGTACTTTATTGATTTGTTACACAATGCCTGGCACATAGTAAGCACTCAGTAGACACCAGTATCATGGTTATTATTCCTGATATTCACCCATCCTCCATTCCATCTTGCCCCATGGCTCCTGCTAGACTGGACCCCATTCAAGAAAGGGGTCCATCCAATGAGAAAGCATCAGTCTGACCCAGAGCTGAGCTCTTCCTGGATGTGATAGGGGCCTGTGGTTCCACAACCTAGGGGTATAGGATTGGGGTCATGTAGGGGAACTAACTTCAGGCACTAGGGGCAAGGTGATGTTGACACTGACCTTAGATGACTGAGTGGACTCTAATGGCCATATCCGCATCACTTACAAAGAAACTGACTCATACAGGGTCTTGGAATGTTTGAGTTCACTGGTTCTCAGGTTTTGAGGGGGTTCAAGGGTCCCAGAAGAAGCTGGCTAAACTCATGAAACCTCTTTCCAGCAAAATGTAGAATTCTACATGTTTTGTGTATCATTTCAGGGGGTTATCTGTGGCCCTCAGGTTTACCCCTCCTCAAGCTCTTCTCTCACCTCGCAGTTCAGAGACTGAAGTCCAGAGGGGTCAAATAACTTGCCTGAGGTCCCACAGCTTGCTAGTGGCATGGCTGTGGCTTGCATCCAGATTTTAACAGTCCTCTCTTTCCCTCCACTGGAAGGTGGCATCTCCATGCTGTTCTTTGGCTGAGATTGTGTTCACTCCCCTACCGAGCACTCCCCTACCCGGGCACTCCCCTACCCGAGCAAGTGCCACCAAGGTGGACTGCCTGGGGTTCTGAGGAGGTTGTTTAAGGGTTAACTCAGGTGGGTCCCACATTGGGTAAAAGAAACTAAAAAAGGCAAAGCCAGAGCCCAAGCCAAGAACCAAGAGCCACCCTGCACATGGTGGTAGAGGGTTAAAAGAGTTGAGCGTGGCTGCGTGTGTGTGTGCTGAAGAGCAAGGCTGCATGTGCAAGGGTGCACGTCCCTCATTCGCACATGCTGGTGGTACAGGAGCAGCACTGCAGGCCAGCCCAGGAGAGAGGTGCTGCACACTCCTGGTATGAATGGGCCTCTGTCTGCAAAGCTGTGTGAGCCTCTGTGTGTGCAGGTCCCATTAACTCACCCTCAGCCACATGTGGAAAGGGGAGGAGAGGCCTGGGGAAGCCCAAACCACTCAGAGTTTTTCTGGTTTTAGACTGAAGTAGAAGACACAGGAGAAAGAAATTACACAGACCCAAACTCAAAATAGCACACGCACATATGCATACATGCTCCCCACCCCACTGGTGTCTGGTCATAACCTTCTCTTCTCAACCCTATTCTCAACCTATTACCCAGCTGGGCACTTTTGGGGGAAGAATCTTCAGCTAATTCCTAAATCAGACTCTAGAAAGCTGACTTTATTTGCTTTGTGGCTGTCTCAGATTTGTCCTGTGCCTGAGTCTGGGAGTGGCAACTCATTCCCTGACTCACCTGCAGCTCCTGCTACGTGGGCTCATCCCTCCATCCAGCCATTGGGCCTCACTCACACCACTGTGCCTGTGATGGACGGGCTTGGCTCACATTCTGTCCTGGGCCCAATGTTCCCACTCCGCCTTCTAGTGCTCTGTGGGCCTGGGCCCCTATTGCCTTTGGCTGTGGTTTGTTTAATGGAGCAACTCCCATCTGGGAGCAACCCAGAGCTCAGGACACAGGGAGATAGTTGTCCAGGCTTGCTATTTTTTCACCAGAGGAGCCAAACCACAGTGATGGGCTCAGTGGCCTGGTGGCACCTTCCTCATTCCTCCTATCACTAGCCAGGCCTCTATTCCCCTGGCTGGCCCTGACTACCAGTGGCCTCTGATGTAGGAATTCCAGTTATCCATTGAGAGACTTCCTGGGTTGGAGTCTGGTCCCCTACACAAGGAGAGAAGGAAGATCTGAAGTAGCCAAAGCTGAGAGAGAGAACTTGGGGACCAAAGGACAGGCCCATAGACCAGCGACCATGCTACATTCCTCCCTCTATCCCCATGCCTGGCACAGAGTAGCTCCTAGAATACTGAGTAAGCAGTTGAATGAATAGAAGGATGAATGGAGAGATGGGCAAATAAATAAATGAAGACTCTTAGATTCATGTAAACATTCTGTTAAAAATAGAATTTGATTCCCTGGCCCCGATATAGGAAAGAAGGAAAAAGAGACCTAGCTTCAGAAGGTCCAACCATGCAATCTTTGAGTCTAAGGGAAATCTCTCAGCTCAGGCCCTTTATGGTGTGTCTTTGAGACTCCTTAGAGGTCTAGGATTTGGTAAAACTGGCTTTTCCTCCATTCTTATGTCTACTTCTCAGGCCTCTTCTTGCAGAGCCTGTTTTGCCCACTAGAAGAGGCTTTACAGCTGCACAAAGCAGCAATGAGTTGGGGTGGAGGTGGGTGGGAGGCGATGTGGCTCAGGCTGCCAGGTGCCATGGAACTGAGCCCTGGGACAGGATATTTTAGGCTGGGGCTAGAGCAAAGTGTTACGTGCCTGGGCCAAGAGATGCCGAAAGTTTCCAGCACCATAGTAGGCATTCACTAAGTATTTGTTGAATGAATGAATGAATAAATAAAATATTTCTATGTCCTCTGCTCTCTCAGTGATACCACACAATCCTTTTCTGGGGGTAGACAGGATTTTCAAGAGCCCTAGACCACTAGGGACCTTCTTTTGAGGGTAGAATGAATCAGGATCAGTAGCCCTGCTGAAAGAGAAAGGGACAGTGTGTATACCTCCTCACCACCACACTAACCATGATCTTCACCCTCCTTCCTCACCCCTACCACCAGTTACTGTGGTGTCGATATGGAAGCAGGGGCTACCAGGAGGGGACAACATAAAGCCAGCCTGTGTGTGCCTGTCCAAGTGAGTGAGGGGATGTGAGATGGTCTCAAGCTCTGGCGAAAGGCCTCCTCACCTTATTGGCTGGGGTGTAGGATGGTACATGGAACTGAGGGGCGTGGGAGGTGGAGGATGGTCCTCTGGTGAGAAGGGGAATGGCTGACGAGAGATAGGCATCTCCACACTACCAGGGCCAGAGCTGTGGGGCTTGGAGACTCCATTCAAGAGTCCTGTAGTTCCCTTTCCTAGCCAGACCCAAAGGACCTTCTCTGGTGCTGAGATCTTCAGAGAAATGCTCAGAGCTCCTCAGGAGACCTTGCTGCTAGGGTTTGGTCACTATTCTCTGTTGCAATTTGCCTTGAGAGAGCCCAAGTGGGTGCCTCCCCTCTGACTTAGATCTAGAAAGCCAGGGTTTTGAAGCCCAAAGAGGCTAGCCTCTCTTTCCATGAGAGTTGAGCCCATTTTCTGAGCAGACACAGGAGAGCTGTTGGCTCAGGGCAGGCAAGGAAAGGCTTCGTGAGCCAAGGGAAAACAATTAGGAGTAATTACCATCAAGAGAGGCCTCCAGTGAGGGGTGAGGGTGGGAAAGGCTGTCTGTTGAAGAGGAAGATGAAAGTGGCAGACTGATTTTGGGGATGAAATAGGAGAGAGGGCAGGAGGAGGGGTTGAGCCAGAATGTGTGCTGTCTTCCTTCTCCAGTAACAGGGCGGCACCCCTCCCCCTCAGTCTGTAGCTGAACTAACTTCCGCCTCTACAGGGCAGAGGGGCTCAGTGTATGGGGGTGGGAGGTGGAGGAGAGGGAGGGCACAAGGCTCTGCATTCCTGACATTCTCAAACCAGTAGGAATGGCCGAGGAAACTCCATGCTGAAGAGACAGAGCGGGAGACACAGACCGAGGCAAAAAGATAAAATGGAGCACTAGAAATGTTTCCAAATTCCTACAAGTATAGGTCCCCAGGTCATCCCCAGAGAGGGCCACCGCCTGGCACACTGGATTCCTGAGGCCGTCGGTGGGGACAGGCTGAATCCACTTGATGTCTCCCTACCTCACCACCTTCAATCCCTAGCCTTCCCCTTTCTGGATTCAGACTAGAGACCTTGAGGGAAAAGAGGTTTGCTAATGTGCACAGCCAAGAGCAGAGGATGAAAGGAGGAGCCAAAAAGAAAAAGGACAGACAGGAAAGGGTTGTCATGGGAGAGGTGAGGAGAATTCCTTGTTATCCCTGTCTGGAGAAGCCAAGAGAAAGTGAACCAATGACAGAGGGACCTCCTCATTCCCCTTGACTTCCAAACTATGATGAAAAGACAAATAAGGACCTCAATGTTGCTCACGAGAGAAAAGCAGAAGATGACTTTGAGAACTTTGTCAAAGGTTCTCTTATTTGGTTTCACTTTGGTCGAGTCCCCTTGGAGTCTAGGTCAGGCGTTTTTCCTGTTGAGATGAAGTCGTGTGGCCACGTGGAAGCAGCAGATTCTAGCACTTTTAGGGGTCTTGGAGTCATATGCTCCCTGTTTCTGTCACTGAAAATCTGAGAGACTCTGGGCAAATTATTTAATCCCTATCCTCCTCATTTTCTCATCTGAGAAATGGGGATAATAATGTACCTACATCATAGATTTGTGAAGATTAAATGAAGTAATACATATAAAGTATTTGACATGTAAGTCTCAGGCCAAGGTCTCGATAAATGTTTATATTATCATTAACACTATTTGAAGACAACAACTCTAACTGCCAAATGGACAATGAACTTGAAGCCAGAGACTCTGAGGTAGGAAGTATAAACTAGACACAAAGATGTGAGAACCTGGAATAGGGTGGAGGCTTCATGATGGAAGCACAGGTCAAAGATGCTAAATAACAGGAATTCATTCGTCCCTTCAACTATTCTCTCCTTCAACTATTCTAGGCACCTGGAATACATAATTCTAGCACCTGGAATACAGATATTTTAGTGATGGATAAAACAAATCATTTAATACAGGTTGGGCATCCCAAATCTGAAATGCTCCAAAATTGAATTTTTTTGTATGCTGACATGACACTCAAAGGAAACGCTCATTGGAGCATTTTGGGTTTCAGATTTGGAATGCTCAACTGGTAAGTATAATGCAAATATTCCAAAATCTGAGACACTTCTGGTCCCAAGCATTTCAGATAAGGGGGAGTCAACTTGTAATATAGTTAGATGCTGTTAAGTACTGTGGGGAAAAACTGAGGGTAAGAAAGCTATGGGGTGTGAGAATTGGGGTATAGGGTAACATTCCACCAGAGCCCAGAGGAAGCATTGAGTAGAATGGCCCTGAAGTAAAAGCAAGCTTGGCTTCTTAGACAAACACCAAAGAGGCCATTGTGGCTGAGGCAGAGTGGGCAGGGGAGAGTGGTGGGGGATGCTACTGGAAAAGTGATGGGTTGACTCTTACAGGCAGAGATGATTGGCTGGTGATGGGACAATGGAAAAATGAGGCACAGGAAGGTAAGGAAGTAAAATATTTTTCCTGGGGTTCAAGGAACAGGCACCCCACCCCCTTCCCTTTGTAACTTTCTGCAGAGCCCAAGACTAGACCAGATACCCAGGGAGTGGTTTGGGATAAAGGCTGACTCTGACCCATGGTTAGGTCCAGGTCCCCATTCGCAGGGACAGTCTATTGCCTGACTGGTGATACCTGGTGCAGACCCAGGCATTCGTCAGCTATTTTTAACCACATTCAGGAATCAGGAGAGCGAACGTGGCTTGAAGATTTCCCTAGTCACTCCATATTCAATTGGCTTCAAAGTCTTAACCATGACTAAAAGAAAACCTTAGAATTTGAGAACATCCTGGGGACAAGAAGAGGATCTTCTAACCCAACATAGAGAAAACTGTTCCCCCAAAATAATAGATTTTTGAGAAGTTGGTGCTTTCTTATGTTTTACTGTCATGAGTGTGAGTTTTACAGGTAGAAAAGTGGCAAGCACTTCACTTCGAAGTTATATTGTGAGAAGAAAGGGGTGCAGGAGAGGAGCAAGAACAGAAGGCCACAGTTAGCAGGGTGGGTTGGAAGTCCTGATTGGTGTGTTTGGCCTCAGGAAAGTTCTTTGGCAGCCTCCACAGACAGGTTTGGTTTTTTAAAGTGCCAAAGAGCCACAAATTTGCATGTTATTTGCGTTCCAGGCTTCACTTCCAGGTATATGGGATGAAATAAATGAATGAACAGTATTCAGACTCCTGGGTAAGGGGTGGACTCAGAAATCCAGACCACACCGAGGATCCAATCACTGGTCCAGCTTGGATCGGGAGACACAGGCACAGACAGAGACAGAGCAAACAGCCACAGAGACAGGGGGACAGAGAGACAAACACCATCAAGTCCTTTTTACCAGGGAGTTTCCAGTCAAAGCAAGAAAGCAAGATCCACAGTTTATTTTAAATAAGTCAACTTTTTAAAAATTAGGAAGAATCATATAGATAGGCAGATAAAGGCAACATTATCCCTGACTTACCTCCACCTTTGCCCCTTCATCCTCTACTTCTAGTTCTGTATGGAACTACATGCCTATGAGTCTGCCTTCTTGATAAGGTATATTGCTTGGTGTTTGCTTAGCTTCCTAAATTAGTTAACTATAAGGTCTACAGACTCTAATACAGACTCTAAGATCCTGAGGACAAGGTCAGCAGGCTATAAAAACCTGAGAACAAGGTGGCTTTTATTTCCATAGTCAAACCATCTTTTCACTCCACCCTTCAGGGCGACTAAGGCCAGTGCTTAAACACGTGCTTGTAAAACACCTAGCCTGAGGGGCTTCCTCAGAGTCTCAGTCTATGAGGGATGCACAATATCACCGGAAATAAAAAGGATGGAGGAAACTATTTAACAGAAAGCTGTGTAGAGAAAATACTTCCACAAGGCCCCTGGTAGAGACTGAGAACCCCCACCCACCCCAAAGAGCATGCTAAATGCTGAGGAAGGTGTTTTTGTTAAGGGTAGAGTGGAGCGTTAGGTTTGAGGCCAGAGATGAACGATTTGGGACCACAAAGGAGGTTGCAGGCTGCCATGAGCAGTCCTCCTTTCTTCACAATATATTTTTTTTAAATTTTTGTGTTGCCCAGGCTGATCTCGAACTCTTGGGCTCAAGGGATCCTCCCACCTCAGCCTCCCAATGTGCTGGGATTACAGGTGTGAGCCACTATGCCTGGCCCACAATGTTGTCTTTCTAAATAAATGTTGAATAATTACCTCTACCTCATCACTGGCAGGCCAGAAAGAAACAGCTTTTATTCCTGGTTTGAAAAAAAAGCACCAAATCATTTACCTGCCCTTGGTGGCTACATGTCTCAGTCCATTCATGATGCAAAAGGTGAATTACAATACAAATACCATGTGGACTTATATTATTTTCTGATTATAAGGGCTGCAGATGTCCAGATGAGAGATATTAAGATCATGTGATCAGGGAAGGCATCAAAGAGATAGGATTTGCGTACGATTACTCAGTAGGTATTTGTGAAAAGAATAAAAGTAAATTGAATGAGGGGTCTCCAGTGGACTGGACTCTGGACTTCTTGTGTGCCACTCTCCCACACTTTTTCCTTTCCTAGCACTTGTGTTCTGCAAAGGATAAGGCAATCTCCAGAAGTAAGGAATTGATGGCTACTCCTTAGATTGGAATGGAGAAAATTCTGCAGCTAAGGTCTTGTCGCCTTAACTCTAAAACCAAGCCAGTGCTAAGCCAGTGGCCTTAAAAATTTAACTTTGAATCTCTGCCTTGACTTCCTCTTCCCAGCAACATTGTGGCACTTAATACCATTCCAGAATCTTAGAGTTTGATAAGACCCCTGGACACGTGGTCCAACCATTCACATAATTGGAATTATCCCTACCATCTCCCTGACAGGCCAAAGAGACAGCTCACAATAACATTTCCTCGAGGTCCCAGCTCAAAGCCTCCTAGCCACTCTTTTCTCTCCCACAAAGGAAGTATGTGTAAGGTATCCTTTATTTTAACAGGTGACCAGCATAACCCTCTGTCCCACGTTTCCTTTTCCACCTTCAAAGCTGGGAATGGTAGTGTGTGTTCTTAGTAGACAGATGTTAGGAGTCAGTACAGGTAAAACAAGGCCCTAGACTTATAATAAAGGATGCTGGGATGAGCCTTGTCCCTTCCCATGGAATTCCAAGCTGTAGATGCATTGCTCCTGGGCGGGAAAATAAGGTACCCTTCCCAGTAGTTCAGCACGTGGCCTGTTTAACAATAGGGCCTAATAGCCTAACACCTCTTTTTCTGACTCTCTTGGGTATGTGAACTCCCAGGGTGAAAGCATCATATTCCACCTCATGCTAGTCCATCCAGGTGGACCAAACAAAAAGAAACCCCAGGTGTCAGTCCTCTCTCTTACTCCAGCAAGACATATTTAAAAGCTGGAGGGATGGCACAGGACCAGAAACTGAAACATTAAAAACATTGGGGCTCTCAAGTGAACTCTTCCCCCTTTACCCACTAGAGCCACTTAAGGGCCATGTAAAACCAGGCAGTAATGGACAGGCTATGAGATGGGGTTGGTGGAAGTGCTTTTCCAGGTTATCTCTGTTTCTACCTCAGGATCTTGGTGCTAACATTGCTGGGGGCAGTGGATAGAAGATGCTAGCATGATTACAGTGGCTAAAGAATACAGAAATTAATTCCACATAGAAGTATGAAGCATCTCATACAGAGGAGTCAATTGACACAAATTCCCCAGACTGGATGAGGGAAAAGTACTCTTATATTCAACCCTAAATAGGACTCCTGGGAGCAATGGTGGGTCCCAGGTGACAAATGGGATGTAACTAGCCTCTGTGCCTCAGACCATGTGTTTCTCAAATGGGTAAGAAAGGTCTGTCTGATATTCTCTGTTCAGGGTCTCGGAGTGATTCTTGGGATTATGGTTTCTGTTGAGGTCTCTATAGCTGGCATCTAGTGCTTATCATCCCTCAAATATTCCTTTTTTAGGGAAGGCAGGTGAATATGAGCAGTGGACACAGGAGAAAGGGGAACACAGGAGAAAAAAGTCTTATTTAGTTTAAAGTAAATTACATAAGATATTAATAACATGCCTTTGGGCCATAAAATGCAGAAATACCTTTTTTTTTTTCCTGGTCATCAAAGCCTACCCCTAAACAAAGGGGAAAGTTTCCAGATACTACTCCTGCTCTTGTTGGCTAGCTCAGGAAAGAATGGTCCACTGTGTAAGTCTGTATTTGGACCAGGTCCAGGGTGGTAAGATGGTCTCAGGGTCACTAACTTCTACCTTGTGCAAAACTGCATTAGTCAGAAAGGGGGCCCAAATTCAGACAGGCTCAACAATTCCTTATATATTTTTCAAAGTGCTTTTGTTGCATGTTTCATTTTCTGCTATACATGGCAATAAATATTTGTTGCTTTGGTCTGTACAAAGTCTGTGAGGAAGGTAAGACAGATGTTACCTAAATGGACAAACAATAAATACAGAGAACAATCTTGTTCTGAGTCCCCCAGACAATAGTGAAAGAACCTGAAAAAGGTCTTTTGATTCATAGTCCAAATCGACACCATATTGCC
Organism: Homo sapiens; assembly: GCF_000001405.40. Taxonomy (NCBI): domain Eukaryota; kingdom Metazoa; phylum Chordata; class Mammalia; order Primates; family Hominidae; genus Homo; species Homo sapiens. The sequence continues at coordinate 48,043,443 of NC_000012.12, forward strand.
ACCTTTCAAGTTGTTGCTTACATACAGTAAATACCAAGAACCAGACAATATTCCAGGAGTCCTGCAATGAGACTGCATGCCACAGCTTTCTAAAAGAGAATGTGAAGGTCCCCAGCAACTCATATATAGAAAGCTATTTATTTCCTATAGAAAACTCAAAAACAAAGAAAAAGAAAGAAAAATAAAGAGAGATAGAAAGAGAAAGGGAAAGAAAGAGAGAGAAAAAACAAACACACAAAAGGTGGTCTTTCCCCAAAAGGCAGGCAGTTGAAGGGAGGACATGTAGTTGCTGGAGTGGAAACAGTAACATTCAGTTAACAATGGAATATTTAAAAAAAATAGTTTTCTTTTCAAATTGTAACTTGTGGTAAAACATAGAAAAATGTACTAAACGAGCTTGTATAAAACAGTAAAATTTTCAAATAAGCCCAGGGAAAAAGCACAATGCTGGAAAGAATGCGGTACAACGGGAGAGGAGAAAAGATTTCATACAAAACTACCTATTACAATACAGAAAAAAGTATAAAATGTTCCTACTTTGGAACTTAAGTACAAAATGACACTGGCATTTGATCACTTCACTATCTAAGCCTGAGGAGCTCTCAGAGGGTGGGGAGAGATGCTAGAAAGAACAAAAGGAATAGCAGTTTTTAAATCTCAAGTTGATCAGTCCAAACTCCACCCGTTTTTTTTTTTAGCTGAAAATATCACCTCCCTCTGTAACCTCTACCCATATGGCAAAGTTCATCCAGGCCTCAAAAATATTCCATTAGGTAGTCCACAAACACCCTACTCATAGGGGCTGGGATCTCTGTGTGCTGGAATTTGGAAAATGGAAATAAATCTACAGGCTAAATGGTGAACACATTCAGTCTTTAAAAAAAAAAGCATATCCCTGTGAAATTTTATACATACATATATATATATATATATGTATGTGTATATATATATGTATATATATATGAAATTCTCTGTGGTTAGAAACATATTTAAACTAGCCACAGACCAAACTAGATCTGCATTCATCCAGCGCTGGAATTTTATGCTAAATACTAAGGTCCTTTTTCTTCTTGGTCAGAAGTAGGCAACAGTAAAAGTGGTGCTTTGTTGCGCCACTGAAACCGCTCCCTGGGTGGGTCTTCCCCGTATCATGTGTTGGTAGCACATGCAAACCCCTGCTTTCACGGAAAGGACTGCTTGGAACTTTGGGACCTGTCCAGGGCTCATGTGCTGTGCCTCCGGATAGGATGAAGCTACAGATGATAAAACAGCTACGTATAAAAGCAGATGGATTTTGTATAGGGACATATAAATAGGAAAGGTCCTGGAGGAAGGGACTTATGCCTGGGCCCCAAAGTCCAGTTTACAGTCACATTCCTGACCATACATCGTGAAAATTGTGTGTGTGTGTGTGTTTGTGTGTGTGGGTGTGTGTGTATGTCCATGTATATGCTGGTGGTTTTTATCCCTACCTTTTGCCCATGCCCTTTCCTACTTCTTAGTAAGGCCTAACAACAAGAATTTATATGAAACCAAGATTCTTTCCAAGCTTTTCTCAGTCCCATAATTAGGGACTGAGTGAGGCTGGAGCCCTTTGAAAACAAGATGGCAGAACTGAAGAAGTGAAAAGCAGTCTCTCTCTTCAGCTTAGGGATGTCCCTCACCCCTTTCACAGCACCAAAGTTTCTTTGCAAAAATAGTATCTGAGATACAAAAGGAAAGGCAGATGTGCTTGTGAATGCATCTCGCCAGGGCCTGGTCCAGGATCAAGGGTGTTACAACAGCAGAGGGCTGGGAGCAGCTGTTTCCAAGGTCTCTGGCTGTAGACAACAAAGAGCTGGTCCCCCACATGGTCAAGGTCTGCTAAGTGAGACAGTCTTCACAAGAGTTTTCGGTGGAGGATCTCCCAGACCATCCGCTTCCGGAAGTATGGCATGTGTTGCTGTAGGGACACAGAGACACCCTTAATTTTCAATGCTTTTGTCTAGACCTGATACGCCTTTCCCCATACTTCTTTCTTTTGCAAGGTTTTCAACAAACAGTCTCAGTTGTATTTCTGGTCTTTTAAATTATTCATTCTTGGTTACATGTAGTTTTTTTCTTTTCATTGCTTTTTCTATTGTTATTTTTCACCATTATAGCCTTAGAAGTTACACTGGGTATTTCCAGGAATCCCCAGGCTATGCCCACGTCTCTAAGAATTTTGAGAATGGTGTCTAATAAGTCTTCTATGTTGAACTTTTAAGAGGATATGAGCCTAGGCCTAAAAATAAAAAATTCACCTTTTAGAAGAATTAAGGGAACTTGAAGAGTCAGCTCAGGCTGGTCTAGACAAAGGGCTATGGTAGAAAAATCTGGTAAAGTCACTGATTCAAACAGAAGTAAAAGTGGAGAACACATCAGAATAAACCATAATCTCTAATCTCAATCCACTTTGGTCTGAGAGACCACATGGACAGAAATGACCAATCACTCTCTAAGAGAAGACTGACCAGATTCATCAAGTGAGGGGTCAGGGGAGGGGGCAGCATAACAAATTACACTAGGAGATTGAGGTATGGCCTATTCCCAAACCTGACTACTAACGAAATGCAAGGGAACTAAAGAAACCTGCTCTGGTCCCAGTTCTCTCTAGAAGTTACAGTAGGTAGAGGAGACAGGCAGAGAAGGTTCTGCTCTTGAAACCTTTACTACAATAACTGAGGTGTGGTAACCCAGGACGTGGCTTATCACTAATTTTCTTTCTTTTGTGATGTGATTCAGGTAGTAACCATCAGTGTTATGAATCATGGGCTGAAGCATGCTAAAGGTTAGGGTAGAGGCCCCTAAAGAGAACAACTGGAGAGAAAAACATCTACAGGGCAGCTTGGAGACAAAGTAATCCTAGAGCTCCCTATGGAAGGCTCAGCTCACCTGTGTGAAGTTGATTGGTCTGTCTTTGGTAATACAGTCAGCATATTTGCAGGCAAACATCCCACAGTCACTTCCATTCATCTGCTGAGGAATCTCCTGGAAGACCAACAACAAAAAAAATGACATCTTTCCAAGCTTCTTTCCTTCTTAGATTAAAAATAAGAACCAAAAGATATAAATTGTACAGGTTTCTCTAAATTACAAACAGATGACTCTGGCCCCCCAGTCAGGACAACAGAGGCTCAAAGAAACAAAATACAACATTCCAGTCAGGTCTGTGTACTCTGTATTAATCAAACAGGAGAATATCTCCGACTCCCATGGCACCTAAGGGTATAAAAACTGCTCCCTCCCCCAGAGGCCAAATAATCAGCAAACATTCCCCTTAGGAGTGAAAAGCTTAGTAAAATATCTGGGCATTTAGAAAACCTAGTTCTACATAAGAAACACACTATCACTTTTCCTACGGATAGCTTAATTTATCCTCCCCCAGAAACCAACCAACCAAGCTGAAGTCAGGCTAGACACGAACACAGGTGGTCCCTGGGAATTAAGCAGTAAAATTCTTTCCTCCCCAAATACCCTACTTTTAGGACTTTTATTTCATCAAGATGAAAGGTACCTGGCTTTTCTTGCTGAAAAGCTGCCAGCCATTGGTGTCAAACTCTTTCCTTTTCTTGTCAATGCTTTCTTGCTTTAGGTATTGCCTAAAGGTATCAGGAGAGAATGAGATAAGCAGTGGGGAACATCGATGACAGCTGCCACACTAAGAATGGGGCTGACAATACCTAGGAACAAATTTGTTTCATCTGCTCTTCTGAGGAAAAGAGTATATAATACTGGGCAGGGAATCCCTGGATTGTTAAGTTTTCTCCAGAGCTGAGCATGCCTCTTCTAGCTTGTCTCTTCTAATGTCCACTCTGTCAACTCAAAAGGAACATGACCTCTGCCTCTAACAGTTAAGCTCCTTCTACCTACCATTCCTTCTGAGGAACAATTCTTTTTATTCTTTTCCTTGGTTTATATGGTCCTTTAGAACTCAATCTAATGGAAGAAAAGTGTTTTTCTGGTACTATTGAGGTATTTATTTACTACTGTTAGGCTTGGCTCTCCTATCTAAAAATTAAATCCAAATCAACAATGTATTGAGTGCATACCTTCAATAGAGCTCTCTTTTAAGTGCAAACTGTTCACCATTGTGGAATGTACTTCCTCCTGGCCATCAGAGTGGTACAGTGAGGAATAGGTATTTTGGAAAATGAAACAGGTGGAGCATAAAGAGATTTGCATTCTGGTCCACCTGAGCCACTAACTAATAGGACCTGGGCAAATCAAAGGCACCTCTGTGGGCCTTGGTCTCTTCATCTGAAAAATTAGGAGGTTGGATTAAATGATTTCTAAGTAGCATCTATATCTTTATATCTAGTCTACATTTTAGTGCATTAGGATAGTAATTGCTCCCATTAGGGCATACTTTGGTATTGTTTTTAAACTAAACTTACTTAGATACAAAATATGCATTTTTACTTAATATGAAGATTTTATCAATCACTCCATTGAAGGTATCAAACAACTGAGTTCAATTACTGGAAAAACACCACCTATACCCGATATCAAACTCTTCTGTCCTCAACTCCCTACTTACAAGAGTATTCTGCAGGCTTCATTGTTTATCCCACCCATGGAGTCGTAATAGGTAATATTCTTCTTTCTAAAGTCCACAACCTGAGAATAAGAAAAAAAGTCTCTGTGTTTATGAGATGAAGAAAATCGGTTTATCAGTTTTTCCCTTCCCTGCCCTTTGGAACCTTTTGCCAGACTTCCTACAAAATCATGACAAGTTTGACTGATATTTTGCATTATATTATGCTTAATCTGTAGAGAAAAAAAATGAAGGGTTATTTACATAAAACTATGATGGCACTCATCAACAGGTGGCCCCATTATTGCTGTGAAGCCTTTTTCTAATGTTCATTCTCTCCCTCTGCAAAGTGGGCAACAGTGAAGAAACTACATGATTTTCAGGGAATATAAGGTGAGTATCTCAAAATCACTTCCACAAAGTTTCAGAAAGATGGTGAGCAGATTCTGGGTTTTATTTCTTTATATTGAGAAGTTCCTTTTGGCTTTATGCTTTTGAAATGTAATCCAAAACAGACTGTGAAATAGTTTTATTAACACATTAAGCTAATGCTCACAGAGTCATAAAAATATTAAATTACCAAGTATGCAAGGTAAGTTATGATTAGGCTGAAAATAACAGTCACAGAATCTGAGTGGCAGCATCATTAATAAGTCACTTTTTTTCCCCCATGCCTTCCTTTAAGGCTGCTTAGACACCCTATAACTCTCTTTTAAATATTTCTAGAAAGGGAAATTCCACAGCTTTCTTCAAAATCTACATCCCAATCTTGATAGGAAGTTCATAGATCTATCTGATTTTAGTCAACCTACTACTAAACACTCTTTCTCTCAATAATCAAGGGAACATGTAGAACTACTACTCACTACCCTCTGTGTGTTCTATAAGTACATAGCTTTTACATTTTATCAAAAATGAAAGGGGTACTCACAGCTAGACACCAGTGTACTCCCAGGTGAATGGGCACCAAAAGAATGTCAACAGAAAATACATCTACTTTCTTTGTCCAACGTTTCACTGCCTGATAACCAGCCGTTTTTAATTTAGTGAAGAAAAAGGTATTAAATGCATGCACACTTGGCAAGCCCTTCTCTTTACTTCGCTCCATCAGCATATTCATGTAGAAATTGATGATCTGTGGGAAGAAATTACACCTATTAGAATAGACACTCAGGCCTAGCCTTTCAAAATAGTTGCAGTTGCTGTGTTGAATAGCATATGTAATTGTTTCCTAATAAACTGAATTAAGTCTTCAACATCCAACAGATTCATTTCTCTAAATCAAATTCTGACTAGAAGGGGGAAGGCTGAAGTGCTATAAATGGTGAAAAGAGAAAAAGCTGACATATATATTATGGGGTTGGGAGTACAAATGGGCAGACGCTGGCCAGGCTTGTAGAAGACTGAAGGTTAGGTCAAAAGACTGCAGGAAGACAGGGGTGTTAAGGTGAGGCTTACAGAAAAGGAGAGGAAGGCATGCAAGCAGTTTAATAATGCACATTAGCAGTTACCTTTATCTACTGGAACTGTGTGAGCAATTTAAGTAGATACTGAGCTCAGTTAGCGCCTAGTGTTAGTCAAGTTAAAATCAAGAACTCAAATTTTATATGACAGCCACATGGTTTTACACAAAGATGGAAAACTCTGCTCCATGGTTAAAGACTGCCTTTTCAACTTAATAACCCATCCTGCAGAGGCAAACTCTTTTGGTCTCAAGTAGAACTAAGTGACAGGAGAAGCCATTAATTATACTGGAAAAACACCTGTAAACTGATAGTAGCTCAGCAATGTCACCTTTATATAAAGGCACACATGGAAGTATAAAAACCTACCTTATATGAGACCTAAAGTCAAGTCACAAACATGAAGAATAACGTTCTACCCCAGAATCTATATGGTTAGCTTTCTCATCTTTGTTGATTCCATTTATGCCTTCAATATTAAGTGTGGAAAGAAATTACAATGGCTGAGTGGGGAGATGTGTGATTCTTTGTTAATGAAACGACATCTTCTCTAATAGTGACTATGTTGTGTATGGTTCCATTAGGTCCAGGACTCTTTGGTACTAAAACTTGAAAGTTATCGTGCCGGAAGTTACTGCATACTTACTTTATGTGGCCAGCTGAGGTCAGGCCAGTGTCTGTCAACTGCAAGGAATGAATGGGCTAACTGATCCACGGCTTGGAAATATGACTAAGAAAACAGGCACATTTTTCAGAATGCTTTTTGGGGAATGGGAAAATGCCCCTGTTCTTTGACAAATATTTACACACCAGGATGCCAGAACAGTGAGCTACTGCCCAACAGTAAGCAACGACATACTGGGTAGGCAGCAGGGGAACACTGCCAGGAACACACCGGAGCACGGTCTAGACCAGAGAAAGGGCCTATAGATGAGGATGCCTAGGCAGCTGCGGGAAAACCACACTCGCCATGAGGCAGAGCTCTGAGGTAGGGGAAGGCTAGGACTGAAGAAAGACACTGTTTTCTCTGCAGCTGATGACTGAGCAACAGGCCCAGTCAGCCCAAAGGACTCAGGTTGTGGCTTATTCTCTGCCTAGTGTGATGCCCAATAGATAACTGGAGATCAGTTGTTACAGATAATAATTAATCAAGACACAATTAGAATCAGGTATTTCTTAACTATAAGTTTTCAGTCTAACTCTGCCCCTCAGGATAATGGTGCTAAAGACTGCCTCTAGGTTTCCGAAGGCAGCCATAAATGCAGTAGGATCTTCCCAGCAAGTACAGATTTCTAGGCTGTAAACTATGTTCTCTAATGAGGAAAAATTGGCAAGAAGGAATTCACTGATTCCTCTGGCCTTCTACCCATCTTATAATGTTGGCCATGTTATAGGGTAAACCCTTCAATCCAAGACATAAGCAGATGATCTGCCAGTTACTGTAAGCGAAACCTTCCATAGGGGCAGACAGCTTATATATTCCAACAAGAAATAAGGACTGAAGCAGGAGGTGAAAGGAATCAGGCAGAGAGATAAGGACGGTGAAGCACATGACAGCCATGGAAATACATCTCCCCTAGGTGCCTATCAGAGATTACCTCTGGAATCGTAAGTCTGAAGTGAAAAAAAAAAAAAAGAATGACATAAATGAGTGTCATGCTATACATCACTATTCTATTTTTCAAGAGGAAAGAGTTCCAGAAACCAAGGAAGCTTAGCTGGACTTACACAGCCTGAGTTTTGCTTGTTTTTTCACCTTCAGAGGGTTCACTAGAAAGCTAAAGACCAACACAGCTGAACAAGAACAGAGAACCCCAGTCATCAGACACCATGGTATCTGTTCCCTTTGAGAATTCCTCTTCCATTGCTGCACCCAACCAAAGTTTCTCAACTGAGAGGAAAATGGCCTCCAAAGTCAACTAGTTAATTAGCTCTAAGGAATGATCTGGGTTCTTTTTCATTTCCCCTAGATCCCAGTAGAAGGGAGTTTGGTGACCTCAATGCTCCCCACATTAGCTGAGAATGTAAATCTGACATCCAAGGCAGAATCTGGATTCAAGTCTTTCTCCTCAATTTTTTTAGCTATTACACCATCCAAATGAGGAAAATTGCCATAGTTCAGCCAAGACACAATTAAACCAAAAAAATGAGCTAAGAGAGAACAAAAAAGTCCTACATGTCATCTCACAGAGGAGGGCTGAAGATGAAGGAAAAAGAAATGAGAGAAGGGATCACAGTGTTCAAGATGAAAGAGGAGCAGTGATGGTCACAGCATTTGCTTGACTTTTGTGAAGACAACTGTCCCCGACGCCAAGTTGGCAACAGCCCTTTCCTCAAACAAGACTCTCTTAGCACCAGCAGATCCTAAATTCCCTTTGAAATGAGCTAAAAGTAGATGAGTCCTGTGCTTGCTATTTGTCTCACCAATATACCACAATCTGAGGACTAACTGTCAACATTAGTCCACCTGTCACCTTTTCTGGGACCCACACTTGCCTCTATTTGCTCACTGTGGCTCTTGGTGCTTAAGGAGCTACCCTTCCTGCTGCCTTTGCAGCCTTGGCCATAAGCATCTACTTGTCTATGCAGTCATGTTTAGGGATGGGTGGGTTGTTTATAGTGCCTTGTTCCTTTGAGATTTTATTTGAAGAGCTGCCAGGCTGAAGCTGAAAAAAGCTTTTCTTTCAGAGAAAAGCCTACAATGTTTTCAAACTAAGGATTCAATCTTTTTCCTGTACATTACCACAATGACATAAACGACCAATGCTATTTGTATCTTCCTTCTTCCCCAGTAAACCAGCCAAACTATTGTTTTCTCATGTTTTTAGAAATAAAACATTTCACTACCAGTAAAGTCTTGATTTTTAGCCATTCTCATGCTTATAGTTTGAACTCTTCTAATTAGCTTGAGAAAAAATGTTCTAAAAGGCCTGGGCATGACAATACTTCTGAGCAGAGATCAAGACAACTTTTGGGGGGACAAAAGCCATTTTTCCAATTTTACCTCTCTAGATTTTCACCTTGACCTCCCCATTCTGATTTTCAAATTAAATTTACCCTTATCAACCACAAAGTCCAAGAGACTAACAGCAGCATTTGAATAGTATGGTTCAGGTCATTCACTCACAGGAGCTAACCTAGTAATATTATAGAAACCAGGAAGGCAGGTTTCCCTCACTGCAAACATGCACACAGAATTTTTCTTACATGCCAATTCAAGGAACAAATTATCAGAATTAAAGCTAAACTTTTAGAGAAAGACAGGCAAGCAACATGTTTATGGAGTCATTTATGGAGAATAACTACTATTCTCCATGTGACCTTGCATAAATCCCTGGTTAATCAGGGCTAGTTCTATTTAGAAACACTTCAAAGAGATAAACCATAATAATGTGGAAGCCAAAGAGTCACGTTAGAAAACTTTAGTTCTGATCGTTTTATTCTACACGTAAGTGTACAGCAATGGTGGATTCATCATAGTCACTTAACTAATTTATTTCATTTTGCCTAGTTTTTTTCCTTCTTATGCAATCAGCTTTTATTCTCTAAGGAAAACCTATTCCTAAGGCTAGGTTTGTCTGGTTGAACTTAATGTTTTGCAGGTTGTTTCCTCTCTTTACTGAGCATCACTCAGATTTAACTACTCCTTGGAAAAATTATCAAACTATGACCACTACCAATTCCCCCCGTTCCCATCAAAAATATATATTCTGAAAGTTAGAATGCTAGACAAAGCTGGGTGTGGGCTCCTGCCTGTAATCCTAGCACTTTAGGAGGCTAAGGTGGTAGGATCACTTGAGGCCAGGAATTCGAGACCAGGCTGGGCAATATAGTGAGACTTTCTCTCTAAAAACTAAAAACCAACAAAAAAGCCAGGCATGGTGGCACATTCCTGTGGTCCCAGCTCCTTGGGAGGCTGAGGCAGGAGGATCACTTTAGCTCGGGAGTTTGAGGCTGCAGTGAGCTATGATCACACCACTGCACTCTAGCCTGGATTACAGAGTGAGACCCTGTCTCAGGAAAAAAAAAAAAAAAAAAAAGAATGTTCATCAAAATGCAAGTGCTCTGGTTCCAGATTCTGACTCTGCAATAAAAATCGGGTGACTTTAGTACTTCCCCATAAAGTTTTGCTTCTTATTTTATGCCACCAATCAAGTAAGAATATGCTCTCTACACACCAGGCTATTGTGATGCTGAATAGCTGAGAGATATCTCTTTCTTTTCAGAGATGAAGCTTACCAAGTAGGTAATTAGTCTGCCTGGTTAGCTGTAGTTTCAGTGTAATTACAGTCTGCTATGTAGATTCTAAATTCCTCTTTCACCATCGTCCTGTCCCCCATATTTCCTATGAGTTTGTTCCTCATTGGCCTTTCACTAGCTGGTGAAGTTAGAAATACTGTATTCCAACAGTCCAATGCTTTTCCAATTGGAAACAACTGGTAATAACTAATATGGGTTTATAGAGTAGAACCCATCCCCCAAAAAAGAGACATGTCAGCTTGCTATTTTTCCAATTCATCCACGTAAATTGACAGCAAGGAATGAGAGGGAGAATAGGGTCTTGGGGGGAAAATAATAGAGAGACAGGAAATGCTCCAGTTATCCTGCTTCACGTAGGATAGGGCATAGAGGGCTGAGTAGAGGAAGTGTTCCTGGTGTACAAACATTTGGGTGCATAGGATCGATCTACCTGTTCCAGTCTTCTATATCCTTACTGATTTTCTACTTATTCTATCCATTACTCAGAGGCAGTGAAACCTCCAACAGTAATAGATTTGTCTATTTCTCCTTTCAGTTCTATCAGATTATGCTTCACGTATTTCGAAGTTCTGTTATTAGGTGTGTACATATTTAGGTTGCTAAGCCTTCTTGATGAACTGACCCCTTTATCATTAAGAAATGTCTCTATTACTGATAATATTCCTTGTTCTGAAATCTAATTTGTATAATGTTAATAAGTCACTTTTTTGAGTCATGTTTGCAGGGTATATTTTTTCTGTCCCTTAACTTTTGTAAACCTATGTCTTTACATTTAAAATGGTTCCTTGGCCAGGCGCAGTGGCTCACATCTGTAATCCCAGCACTTTGGGAGGCCAAGGCAGGTGGGTCACCTGAGGTCAGGAGTTCAAGACCAGGCTGGCCAACATGGTGAAACCCCATCTCTACTAAAAATAGACAAATTAGCTGGGTGTGGTGGCAGGTGCTTGTAATCCCAGCTACTCGGGGGGCTGGGGCAGGAGAATCGCTTGAACCTGGGAGGCTGAGGTTGCAGTGAGCCAAGATCATGCCATTGTACTCCAGCCTGGGCAACAAGACCAAAACTCCGTCTCAAAAATAAATAATAAATAGTTTCTTACAGACAGCTTTTTAATCCAATCTGACAATCTCTGCCTCTTTTCACATATATGTAATACAGATATAACATATACATATAAACATATATATGTTTAAAATATATACATTTTTAAAAACCGGAATATTTATTGTGTGACTAATCATTGAAATTCTTAAGATGAACTGGATGACACAACTGCTGCCCTCTTGGGTGTAGGTGTTGTTCCTGCAAAGAATCCATGCCTAAATCTGCAGTATACAATGTTTAGGTGCTTCATTCAACCAGTCGCCGTGGTATTTTCTTTTAGCCGTGGCAGTCCAGTTACACTTTCTCTTGCGCTTGGCAGGGGAGCCACATTTGCCACAGGTTGACTTCTGAAGGTGGTATGCCTTAGAGCCACAGAGGCAGCACAACTTGTGTATCATATCACGACACTTTCCAAACGGCGATGTTCCCTTCATCTTATTATCTTTACGGATACCTGCCAGACACCCTCACCAATGAATCCTTTTGCTGTTACACAGGGCCAAACATTCCCAAATCTCTTCCCTTAGCTCTTAACTGAGGTCAGAACTGTGCAGGCTCCCCAAAGATCAGACTGAAGCAAGGGACACAGTGCGGCTCCAGCTCCACAATTATGGGCTTGGTCCCCCAGGCATCAGTCAGCAGCTATTCTTCTGGCTCATGAGGGCCATTGCATGCCTTTTTCCTGCCCACCAGCTTCCCTTATCCGGAAATTTGCTGGCCTCCCCAAGGATAGCCAATATCTGCCTTTTAATTGGATGTTTACCCTATACTGTTTAGTAAGGCAGCCACTAGCCAAATGTGACCATTGAGCACTTGAAATGTGACTAATCCAACCGGAGATGTGCTATAAGTGTAAAATCCACAGCACATTTCAAAGAGAAGGTAAAATATCTCAATAGTATTTTGACTACATGCTAAAATGACATATTTTGTTAAATAACGTTATTGAATATATAATATATATTATTTAATATATAAATAAAATATATCATATTAATATATATTTTATATATTTATATATATTAATGTATAAGGTATAATATATTAATATATTACATATTATGCAATATATAAAAATATTAATATATTTATATATTATACATTACTATATATAACATATATTAATAATATATGTAATATATCAATATATAATTTAATACATGATATATATTATTTAATATATATTTTAATATATAACTTAATATACTTAATATAGTATAAATATATACTGTATACTTAATATACAGTATATATTATATATTTACCATACAGTATATATTATTTAATATATATTTAAAATATAGTATATATTATTTTATATATATTATTTAATATATAGTATATATTATTTTATATATATTATTTAATATATAGTATATATTATTTAATATATATTTAAAATGTAGTATATATTTTACATATAATATATATTTTATATATTACTTAATGTATTATATATTACATATATAAAATATTATTTAATATATTACATATCACATATATAAATATTATTTAATATATTACATATAATATATTATTTAATATATTACATATATATTTAATATAGTACATATTACATATATAATTATTTAATATAGTACATATTACATATATAATTATTTAATATATTACATATTACATATATAAATATATTATTTAATATATTACATATTACATATATAAATATATTATTTAATATATTACATATATAAATATATTATTTAATATATTACATATATAAATATATTATTTAATATATTACATATATAAATATATTATTTAATATATTACATATATAAATATATTATTTAATATATTACATATATAAATATATTATTTAATATATTACATATTACATATATAAATATATTATTTAATATATTACATATTACATATATAAATATATTATTTAATATATTACATATTACATATATAAATATATTTAACATATTACATATTACATATATATTATTTAATATATTACATATTACATATATAAATATATTTAACATATTACATATTACATATATATTATTTAATATATTACATATTACATATATAATATATTATTTAATATATTACATATTACATATATAATATATTATTTAATATATTACATATTACATATATAATATATTATTTAATATATTACATATTACATATATAAATATATTATTTAATATATTACATATTACATATATAAATATATTATTTAATATATTATATATTACATATATAAATATATTATTTAATATATTATATATTACATATATAAATATATTATTTAATATATTATATATTACATATATAAATATATTATTTAATATATTATATATTACATATATAAATATATTATTTAATATATTACACATTACATATATATTATTTATTATATATAAAAAATACATTATATATATATTTTTTTGAGACAAAGTCTCACTCTGTCACCCAGGTTGGAGTGCAGTGGTGTGATCTTGGCTCACTGCAACCTCCACCTCCCAAGTTCAAGCGATTCTCGTGCCTCAGCCTCCTGGGTAGCTGGGATTACAGGCGCCTGCCACCACACCTGGCTAATTTTTGTATTTTTAGTAGAGACAGGGTTTCAGCATGTTGGTCAGGCCGGTCTCAAGTTCCTGACCTCAGGTGATCCACCTGCCTCTGCCTCCCAAAGTGCTGGGATTACAGGTGTGAGCCACTGCGCCCGACCTGTATTATATATATTTTTATGTAAAAATATATTATTTATATATAACATATATTACCTATATATTATTTTATATATTTTATATATGTATATATTTTTTAATTGAAACAGTCTTGCTCTGTCATCCAGGCTGGAGTACAGTGGCGCGATCTCAGCTCACTGCAACCTCTGCTTCCTGGATTCAAGTGAATCTCCTGCCTCAGCCTCCCAATTACAGGCACACACGATGACGGGCTAATTTTTTTTATTTTTAGTAGACAGAGTTTTGCCATGTTGGCCAGGCTGGTCTTGAACTCCTGACCTCAAGTGATGCACCCACCTTGGCCTCGCAAAGTGCTGGGATTATAGACGTGAGCCACTGTGCCTAGCCTTAAATATGTTAAAATTAATTTCACCTGTTTCATTTTATTTCCTCTTTTTTTTTTTTTTTTTTTTTTTGAGATAAAGTCTCGCTCCATTGCCCAGGCTGGAGTGCAGTGGCGTGATCTCAGTCACTGTAACCTCCACCTCCCAGGTTCAAGCGATTCTCCTGCCTCAGCCTTCCAGGTAGCTGAGATTACAGGCATGCACCACCATGCCTGGCTAATTTTTGTATTTTTTGTAGAGACGGGGTTTCACCATGTTGGCCAGGCTGGTCTCAAACTCCTGACCCCAAGTGATCCACCCGCCTCGGCCTCCCAAAATGCTGGGATTACAGGCATGAGCCACTGCACTCGGCCCATTTTACTTTTTTAAAAGTAACTATTAGACAATTTAAAATATGTGGCTCACATTATATTTCTATTGGACAATGTTGACGTAGATAATTTACATTTAATATCAATGTGGTTGAGTTTAAATCTACCATCTTGCTCTTTCTTCCTATTTGTTCTATTTGTTCTTTTTATCTTTTTTCTTCTTTCCAACTCTTTTGTATTTTTAAAGCTCCATTTTGCCTCCATTATTGGCTTAGTAAATATATCTTGCTTTTAATTTTTATTTTTTGTGGTTACTCTATGATTTACTATGGCTTTAACGTACAGTCTTCCTTCATATAACATTTTACCACTTTATGTAGAGTAGAAGGATCTTCCAACAGTATATTTGTCCATTTTGTCTCCTTCTTTGTGCTGTGATTATATTTTACTTCTGTATGTTATAAATCCCACAGTATGTTGTTTTAGTTCTGCCTTAGTCACCTGTCTTCTAGAGGTATGAAAAAATGAGAGCAATTCCACTCTTCATTCCTTTGTGTAGACTGACATTTCCATTTGATATTCTTCTTCCGCCTGAAGAACACGTAATATTTCTTCTGGTACAGGTCTGTTGGTGATGCATTTGTTTGTCTGGAAAAGTACAGCCTTACTTTTTGAAAGATATATTTGCTGGGTATAGAATTTCTACTGACAAATTTGTTTCTTCTGCAGTACTTCAAAGATGTAGCTACATTGTCTTCTGGCCTGCATCGTTTCCGACAGTTATTCCTATCTTTGTTCTTCTGTACTTAATGTGCCTTTTTCCTTCTCGTTGCACTTAATATTTTTATCACCAGTTTTCAACAACTTGATTACTATACATTTTAGCATGGTGTTTCTTCTACTTGGGGTATGGATAACTTCTCAAACTTGTCAGTTCAGTTTTCAAATTTGGAAAATCTTCCATCATTATTTCTTCAAATACTTTTTCTAACACCACCTATGCCCCCACCTTTCCTTCTGGGACTCCAATTATATGCTTAACCTGTCTGGTATAATCCCACAGCTCACTGATGCTCTTGATATCTTTCTTTGGCTTTTTTTGTGTGTCTCATATTCAAGTTTCTATTGCTATTCAAGTTTACGAATTTTTTCTTATGAAGTGTCTAATCTATTAATACTACCTTATATATTTTTATTTCAGATATATTTTTCATTTCTAGAAGTTCAAGGTCGGTCTTGTTTAAAAAATATCTTCCATTTCTCTCCTCATGATGTCCATTTTCTTCTATCTTCTTGAATATGTGGAAGATATTTATAGTAACTTTTTAAAAATCCTTGTCTGCTAATTCTATTATTTTGGTCATTTCTGAGTGTTTCTTTTCTCCCTCATCATAAATTGTACTTTCCCGCCTCATGTATGTCTGGTCATTTCTAGTTGGATGCTGGATATTGCAAATTTTATGCTGGGCCTTGTTGTTGATGGAATTCGTTGTATTCCTTTAAACATTGTTGGCTTTTCTCTGGGATATAGGTTATTTGGATCAGTTTCAGGCTTTTGAGGTTTGTTTTTAGGCTTTGTGATGGTGGGTCCAGAGCAGCCTTTATTCTAGGGTCAGTTTTGCCCTATTTCTGAGGCAATACCCCTCTGAAGATTCTATTCAATGCCCTGTGACTTAGGAGGTTTTTCTACTCTTAACTGGTTGGAACATAAACTATTGACACCTGTGCTGGCTCTAAGACTGCTGATTCCTTCTTTCTGGTGGTTCTTTCCCCAGCCTCTGGTAGCTTCTTTTCATACATGCACAAATTGGTACTCAGCCAAAGACTGGAGGGAAGCCCCTCTGCACAGACTCTACCAGTCCCTCCTTCACAACACACACACCCCACCCTAGAAAGCTGGGGATATTATAGCATACATACCTTTTATTTCCCTTCCTCAGGGATCACTGCCTGGTACTACCTGTTATCCAATGTCTGAAAATTGTTGTTTCATCTTTTGTCTAATTTTCTAGTTAAGTTGAAAGGGTAAATCTTGTTTCCTTTATCATGACCAGAAGCAAAAGTAAGTTTTATTTACTTGTATACCTAAATTATATCCATGTATTTCTAAATTTATCTGATGCCTTTTAAAACAATCCTTAGTCCCTCAAAGGAGAACCATTTGGCCATAAAGAGAAACACAAAGCCTAAAGCAGTACTCAGGATAATACACCTAGAATCTTAAAGTTGGAAGGGATTCCAGAAGTCATCCAATTCAATCTCCAGGAATTAATACATAGTTTCTAATAATGACACCCATTTGAAAATATTTCCTTCTGTTTCTTGACTGCTTCAATCTACTTCTACTTTTGCAACTAATTTTTCCTCTCTCCCTTTTTCTAAAAAACAGACAGGATCTCAGAGTCTTGTTCTGTCACTCACCCTGTAGTAGAGTGCAGTTGCACAATCATAACTCACTGCAGCCTTGACAACCTGGGCTCAAGCAATCCTTACACCTCAGCCTCTCAGTGTTCGGATTACAGGCATGAGCCACTGCTCCCAGTGTAATTTCTCCTCTCTTTAACTCTATCCTCCCTTCCCTTAATTAGATATTTCTATTAGTAACTAATCTCCTGACCCAGTATAGAAATCCCCATCTACGGTGTCTTGATTGTAACAGTCTTCTTGCCTCCTTTTGTATTCTTTATATGGCAGCCAGTTCCCACATTCCATTTTTGAGACGTTTTATTATATTAATCCTGTCAATCATTAGTCCTTTGAAGTTGTACAGAATTTAACCAAACTGACCTATAGAGAAATCCATTTATGAAAAAAATCTTAAAACCTACTGTATGAATAGGTACTGTGGTCACTCTTCTTTTAGGAACAGGGTATCCTAATGGCTTTCCATACATATCCCAAACATAGGATTTCTGGATTTTATTTTCCTTATAAACTGAATCTGATTCCTTTTACTTCCTTGCTCTTATATTACTTTTTAACTCTGAAAGCCTACAAAGTATGGTACTTTGTTTATAAAATGATAAGAACAATGTATCAGTCACCTATTTTGGAGAAAGTTTTAATACATCTTATAAAGCAGGAAACAGAAAAAGAAGAGAAATTATTATTAATGAAAATATCTACTTGAGGGAAGAAGAGGATTGAACAGAGGACAAATCATTTGCAAAAGACTGATAGTTCACAACTGAGAAACAGAATTAAGTTTTGTATTCTTTTGAAGACACAGAGTCTTGCTCTGTCACCCAGTCTAGAGTACAGTGGCTCAGTCATAGCTCACTATAAACTCAAACTCCTAAACTCAAGCAATCCTCCTGCTTCAGCCTCCTGAACAGCTGGGACTACAGGCATATGCCACCATGGCTGGCTAATTTTTAATTTTTTTGTAGAGATCGGGTCTTGCTATGTTGCCCAGGCTGCTCTTGAACTCCTGGCCTCAGGTGATCCTCTCACCTTAGCCATCCAAGGCACTGGGATTATAGGCATGACCCACTGTGTCTGGCCAAAATTAAGTATTCTTCAATGAGTATCAATACTTAAGGATACCTAATAATACTCCATCAGGATGTTAGCTTCTCAAGGGCAGTAACTTTGAAAGCCTACGAAGTATGGTACTTTGAAAATGGTGCTTTTTAAGATAGCTCCCATCATTATTATGGACATGTGAACTGGCACTCATTTTCAAGGATAACATCATTCTGAACTGAGAAGAAATGCACTCCTTCTACAAAAGTTATGGCTAGGGGTGGTAGGGATAAAGTAGACAAAGAATCTTTCCTTCTTCTCATCTCCTCTAAAATAATGTAATTTCCATTAACTTAGCTTGCTAAAAATCCAGCCTCTGATGGGCCCAGGGAATGGAAAATATGTCCTGATGAATGCTGTCTCTGTAAGGAATCTCACTGAGGTAAATGCCACAGTAAATAGCAAGAACTCAGCTCATATCCTACTGATTGCTGCCCTCTAGGAGGTTTTCCATGATTTACAACAAACTAAAGCCTACTATCCCTTTAGAGTAACTGACCTCGCACCACCAGCAATGGCAGGAAATAAATGGCAAAGGACCACAGATCAAAAATAACTTATCAGTGGATACTTATAACTATCCTTGATTTAATTTCCTCCTTTGATTTGGTGAGCTCTTTTTTTCCATTATTTGAACCAATGTTCTAATATCTGAGCCAAAAGAGGCAAAGAGGGTTTCTTCTAAAGAAAGACAGTAACAAACCATGCCTTCCTTATTATTCTTGGTCACAGATATTATTCAGGGAGTGATGAGCTTCTGAAATTTTTATCTTATAAACCAACCAGTGGCAAAAAGAATGGGGCTGGCCCCAGAGAAAAAAAGCATCCTGGACATGATATATGGCTCCTAAGTTCTATATATCTGATCCTAAGACCAGTATCCAATTTAAGATTCTGAGGTAGTTAAGATATAGTAGATAAGACCCAATGCTTGGGTCTTAATCTTGGCTCTGCTGTTTACTAGCTGTATAACCTTGCAAGTTTTTAAATCTTTCTATGCCTTGTTTCTTTATCTGCAGAATGGTGAACTATCATATCTACTTCCAAAGATATGATGACTATTACAAGAATAAAACACATAAAACATGAATCGTACTAATGAGGTAAATGATCAATAGTTATTGGCAAATATTATTTGGAAGGTCTTGATCATACAAAAACAGGATATGGATATCTAAAATATTTAATGATTACTACACTGAGAAACTAAAAATCCTCCACAGCTGTGAAGCTTGAGTATACCCAGATTAGCCAGGGATGCTTATGCAAAGAAGGTACTTAGGAAAAGATACCCAACCCAGTTTTCTTTTGCTGTAAAAATAACCTTCTAAAATAAAACAGGTACCTACAGGTTTAGGCTTAGGAACAGATCAGTTTAAAAACTGTAGTGTAATTAATATACTTAAAATAAATTGGAGTTAGGAGGTGAAGACCGTAACTTCTCCCCCAATACCTCAAATATTTAATAATAATATAACTTTTTCAATGTCCATTTAAAAAATATCATACATAAATGGAGGCGATTTTGGAAAGCTTGTCATTCGTAATATAAGTGATCTAAAATGAGTAGAACTTAGGTAGAAAGGGAAGTAAAACTGGATTCCTATAAAGAAATCCCACAGTATTCCCTCATGCTGCAACATGGTCGGCTAATACTTATTTGTTCAGAAGAGATGAACTGCAGAATAGGAGCCTTAAAGAGTGAGAATACCAATGAGTGAATGTCTTCTTCAATGTTCAAATCTTCAACAAGAAAAGGTAAATTCAGTGGTTCTCAGACTTTAAAATACACCTGAGATGTTTGTTAAAAATGCCTGTCTCCACCACACTCCCTCATAGTTACAAGAATGAAGAGGCCTATGAGAGATGATTCCAATGCAGGTCATCCATGGACCACATTTTGAGAAAAAGTGAGATAATGCCTTAATTTAACTGCCACTTAATGTTTACTATTTGTATGTAAAAATAGATGCAACATTACCTCATCATTGAGCCAATTCAGATGGTTTAGAGTTTGAATATCTTTGCGTGTAATGGTCAGGCGAAATGCTTCACTGAGAACTTCATCCTGATTCCCATTACGAAATACATTCTTTATTTCTTTCTCCATTTCCTAAGAAAACAAAAGGTGTCAAGACATCAAACACGCGTGGCTTCAGAAAAACCGTATTTCTCACCAAACCCCATATAATCCTCAGACTATATTTATCACCATTCGATTGTTTATAAATTTACTGTTAATCAGTTTACTTCTAACATTTTGGTTTCTATTCCTTCCCAGTAATCCCCGATTACTTCTTTCCACTTCATCTAGTCCTCCCTTCTCTTTTTCAGCACAACATTCAGATCCTTGTTTCCATATTAATTCCTAAAGTCTGGAACAACCTTCCGCTATCAAATTTTCTAAGCACATGAGAAAAATTAACTGTATTTTATATCTCTGGTCCAAATGACTTCCTGAGAAACAGAATTTTTCATAAAAGGTAGTAAGAGAGTAAAGGCAGTATCTTTTAGAAATTACTTTCTTAGAGATCTTTTTTTTTAAATGTAAAGTATGGAATTCAGTACAACTATAATAAGTGTGTTATGCTCACCAGCTACATGGTAGTGTTTCAAAGAGAAGTATGGATAAAGAAACGGATTATCTAAAAATGTACACAGACCTCCATGTATTTTCCAAATTTTCTATAATGGGTTTTATTACTTAAAAAAAGAGCAAATCTCAGCTTACAATTTGAGGTCAAACTATTGTATGTGTGCATTAAGTAAAAATGCACATGACATGAAAGACAAATGTATTAAATGCTTCTTCACTGAAACTGTTAAAAGCCACCCATAGTTCTTTCATAAATTTTCAATATTTTAAAAATAAAGCCCAGATTGGTATATAAAATAAGCGAAAGCTGAAATATACAAGAAAATTTAAATAACACGTGTTCTATGGCTTTTTGTGTGTGTGTGTATGTGAGATGGAGTCTTGCTCTGTCACCCAGGCTGAAGTACGGTGGCATGATCTCGGCTCACTGCAACCTCTGCCTCCCGGGTTCAAGCAATTCTCCTGCCTCAGCCTCCTGTGTAGCTGGGATTACAGGTGCATGCCACCACACCCAGCTAATTTTTGTATTTTTGGTAGAGATGGGGTTTTACCATGTTGGCCAGGCTGGTCTCGAACTCCTAACCTCAAGTGATCCACCCGCTTCAGTCTCCCAAAGTGATGGGATTACAGGCGTGAGCCACCGTGCCTGACCACTATTGCTTTTATGTTTGAAACTCATCCGAGGGATTCTTTCTAAACATGATACTTAGTAGTGTAGAAATTAAGTGTATGTAACTTACCTCTGTAATTTCAGGAAATTCATCTTCACTATCAGTTAATTTATGACCTTTTTTTTGTGTTTCTTGGACAACAGTAACAGGAATCTCCTTTTCAAGAGGTACACGAAGATGTAGTTCTACTGAATCATGTACTGAATGTTCCCGCTCCTGCAATCTCTGAAAGATAAAACTTCAGAGTAAGTGGGATAAAGAAATCTGTGGATGTTCCTTGATTTATGATAGGGTTATGTCCCAATAAACCTGTCATAAGTCAAAGAGCGTGCTTAAATGCCCATTGCTTTCGCTTTTTTGTAAAGTCAAAAAATCATTAGTCGAACCATCACAAGTAGGGGACTATCTATATTTGTCTTATGTACAATGAGTAGCACTGACTGGACAGACCAAGAACATTTACGACATATCATAACATGCTATGCTACCATACGATCTTGGAATTACAACAGCAATTACCCAAATCTGGGTAACTTTCCAAAATAGTTTCTACTTTGATGTACTATTTATTTGTAATATTATTCCAATTTTCTTTTTTACCTGGTTTTGAAGCTGTAAGGCCAATGCCTTCTGTTCTTCAATCTGGCGCAATCTTTCTCGTGCTCGAGAATCATAAACACTAGTTCTAGAAAATGAAAAGGAACGTGACCAAATGTAGACCACTCTCATTATGAAACATATTGTTGATGTACACTGAATATTAAATACAGGACCCTCACAAAGAAAGTCTAAAATCCTTACACTAACTTATCATCCTTATTTTAAGACATAGAGTGAAACCACATAATGTTACTGAAATTACTCTACCATTTTTACTTATTATTTTTTATAGAGATAGGGTCTCACTACAGTGCCCGGGCTAGTCTCAAACTCCTGGGCTCAAGCGACCCCCCTACCTTGGCCTCTCAAAGTGCTAGGATTACAGATGTGAGCCATTGCACCCGACCTATTTTTACTGAAATTACTAAAAATATTAGTGTGCTGCTAAATGTGAACAGATGACTTGTTAACATTTGTAAACACACAGTTCTTTTCTTAACATGCTTTTAAGATTATAGTGAAAGCGAAACTTCAGTCTGGAAATCCAAAAATGGGATTGAACCCTAAAGGAGAAACGAATACAAGATATCACTGAAGTTTAATTCAAATACTTCATTTTTGATAGATTTTTAAAAAATTACCGAGACCGAGGGGTTTGGATAACTTAAGTTCCTTAAGTGAGACTAAATGCTTTCAGTGATTTTGCAAAGTCCAGAAATATGAATTATTCAATAAATTAGTTTTACAAATGCCAAAATAGGATCATTTATTTTCCCTATTATATAATAGCTAACTCTATTTTTCCAATTTAATTTAGCTTCAACAATTGTTATAGATTTAATAAACATAAGTATAGAAATGTTCCAACTCCAACAATATTTTGAAAACCCAACAACTTAAAAGTATAAACAGGCACTTCTTTTTTTTTTTTTTTGAGATGGAGTCTTACTCTGTTGCCCAGGCTGGAGTGCAGTGGCGTGATCTCGGCTCACTGCAACCTCCACCTCCCAGGTTCAAGCAATCCTCCCGCCTCAGCCTTCCAAGTAGCTAGGATTACAGGCGCGTGCCACCATGCCCAGCCAATTTTTGTATTTTTAGTAGAGATGAGGTTTCACCATGAAGGCCAGGCTGGTCTTGAACTCCTGACCTCAGATGATCCACCTGCCTCAGCCTCCCAAAATGCTGGAATTACAGGCGTGAGCCACCGCGCCCAGCCTAAACAGGTACTTCTTATTGGCAAAAAATAAGCAGGATGATTAGCTAATTGTTTGATTTCTTCTAACTAAAAATGAACTGATTGAGAAGGAAAAATGATACCAAAAATAACTTACAATTCTTTGATCCACAGCTCTGCCTGGAAGAAAGTAGAACTATGGGTAGGAAAAGAAAAATTTGACAAATGAGCAGGAGGCTTATGAGAAAATTAAAATATTTTCATCAATAAAAACAATCATTTAAATTGTTTATATGAGTGCTTTACAAGTATGGAATAAGTAAAAGGAATCTAAATGACATAAAATAATTGTAACTAGGAATTAAGGAGACACAATCCTTATGCATACATATTAGTTAAAATCATATGGATACATATTAGTTAAAAAGGTGACCCAAAGTTCAGCAGAGATACTACATTTGGCATAGCTCCCTACTTGCATGAGACCAACATTACGTGAAAGAGGACATCACTTCTCAAAATAATACATTAAGCTAGAACATTGCTCTTCCCAAATGACTCAGATTGAAAGATTTATTAAAAATCCCCACACACAAAATAATCTACATCAAATGGCTAACAAGCCAATGAGCCAAAGCAGAGAATCAGCAACACAACTTCCTTCCAAAGATGACAGGCCAATTCTAGGTCCATGTGGCTCTGCTGACAACCCAAGTGATATGCTGAGCAGAGCCACAGACATGATTAATTGTCCTAGAGCCTCTTGTTTTTCTCAAACTTCCTTATCTCCAAACTCCTAACTAGGCAGGATCTATCACAGAAACACAAAGAAGAAGAGTGAACACTTTTCCAAAGAAAACTATTAAATATAGAGAACAAGTAAACAGAGCATCAAATTGGGAGTTAAGAGACCTGGATCAGAGGCCAGGCATGGTGGCTCATTCCTGTAATCCCAGTGCTTTAGGACGCTGAGGTGGGAGAATCGCTTGAGCCAAGAGTTCAAGACCAGCCTGGGCAACATAGTGAGATTCTGTCTCTTAAAAAAAAAAAAATGATCTGCAACTAGAATAGTGCTTGGCACAGAGTAGGCATTTAGTGTTGTTTGTTTGTTTTTTGACTCTCACTCTGTTGCCCAGGCTGGAGTACAGTGGCACAATCTCGGCTCACTGCAACCTCCACCTCTCGGGTTCAAGAGATTCTCCTGCCTCAGCCTCCTGAGTAGCTGGGATTACAGGCACCCGCCACCACACCTGGCTAATTTTTTCTTTTTTTTATTTTTATTTTAGTAGAGACGAGGTTTCACCATGTTGGCCAGGCTGGTCTCGAACTCATGACCTCCGGTGATCCATCCACCTTGGCCTTCCCAAAGTGCTAGGATTACAGGCATGAGCCACCATGCCCAGCCATATAGTATTTCTTGAATAAACAAGTAATGTAGGGACAAGCAGTTTTCTTCAATGGATCAAGGTATCCACTGGCTCCGGAAAACAAAATGCAGGGAAAATCTGCTTTTCCAAAGAGATGCATTATTTCTCATATAATTGAGGCATATAGTAATAATAACTGCAAATGTTTTTGAGCACATACTTAGTGCTCTACATGTAAAACTCTGCTCTAGATGTTTTATGTATTAGTTAAGCCTAATGAAAATCCCTATACTATTTAAACCTCAACATAATATATAAAAAAGAATTATTACTCATACTGTACAGAAATGAAAAAGGAGGTTCAAAAAGATAATTTCTCTTGAAAGGCT
Organism: Homo sapiens; assembly: GCF_000001405.40. Lineage (NCBI taxonomy): Eukaryota > Metazoa > Chordata > Mammalia > Primates > Hominidae > Homo > Homo sapiens. The sequence continues at coordinate 48,068,526 of NC_000012.12, forward strand.
AGGATTAGAAATCTTATCTGTCCAATTCCAAAGACTGTGTTCTTTCGACTGTGCCTTTCAATAGATGAAAGCATTAAAAAAAAGCGGGGGAGGAATAAGTACTTGGGCTACTCAAGAGAGCACTTCAGGCTATCTAGGAAATTCATTTGTTTAACAAAGATTTATTTACTGAGCACCCATCATATGCCAAGCACTATGACCAGCAATGGGTGACAGATACAAAAGTATTAGTAACAAACAAGGTAGAAGGATGGAGGGAAAAACTAACATTATCTGGCAAAGTCAAAGAAATCTTCTGAGAAAAAAAAAATAACACCTGGATGAGATTTTGAAAAGCAAAATTAAGGCCAGGCACAGTGGCTCATGCCTGTAATCCCAGCACTTTGGGAGGCTGAGGTGGGTGGAACACCGGAGGTCAGGAGTTCGAGACCAGCTTGGCCAACATGGTGAAACCCAATCTCCACTAAAAATACAAAAATTAGCTGGGTGTGGTGGCATATGCCTGTAATCCCAGCTACCCTGGAGGGTAAGGCACGAGAATCACTTGAACCCGGGAGGCGGAGGTTGCAGTGAGCAGAGATTGTGCCACTGCACTCCAGCCTGGATGATAGAGCAAGACTCTGTCACAAAAAAAAAAAAAAAAAAAAAAAAAAGAAAGAAAGAAAAGGAAGCAAAATAAGAGCTTACCAAGTAGACAGAGAGAGAAAGGGACATCCAGACAGAAGGATCAGAATGTATAAAGGCAAAGAGGTATGACACAGCATAGCATATTCTGGGAAATAAAAGCAGATCTTCATTACTGGAACTTAACTGAGAGGCAGTAGTGGAGAATTAAGAGTAGAGAGCCAATAAACCAAGCCTCAGCAGAGTAGGCACCAACTTTGACAAAGAGCATTGCTCAAACAGCCTTACCCAACAGACCATTTCTCCTGCCATCTCATTCTTTAGTCATCACTAGGGGAAATCCTCCGTAAAGGAAAGGCAGTCTTAGTAAAGAACCATTAAGGAACTGAGATCAACTCTTTACCTGAGAGATCAACTTCTTCCCAAGAAAGTTGCATGCATCTTGTGGCATTTCATGTGAAGCACTTATAAAAATAAGTGTTTTATCTGTAAGTTAATCTTCACAATTAAGTGTAAGGTATCAATACTGGCATTTTATTGATAAGGAAACTGAGGTTCATAAGAGTAACTTGTCCAAAGCTACATGAAGCCTTTTCCAACCCAAGATCAGAAGGCAGATCTGACTCCAAAAAAGATGTAAGAAATAAAGAATCCAAACTATGAAGTCTCCCCAAAAGACTTAACAAATAGAGAATTTTAAGAAATATTTAAAGCTTAGAACATATGGGGAGCTGCAAAGAAGTAGGGGAACTGAGATGAGAAAGAATATTTCATTACTCTTAATCTTCTCAACGGAAAACTGATATTATTCTCATCCTAGCAATTGAATTCCCAAAGCCATATATGGCAAAGGCATAGCAATCATAGTAATGGTTACTATGGATTACTATTACTGTATTACAGAGGAAGAAGTATTTGATACCTCCAGATAAGTAAAGTTTCATGCAGAAGTTCACATGTGAGTTGAGACCTAAAAGATAAAACACTACTGACAGACAAAGTTGAGGTACGGAGGACATTCCAGGCAAAAAGAACACTGAATGTGAAGGTAAGAAATGCTTATTGTATTTGCAAACTGAAAATAGTCCAGCTTATAAAAACACATGAAAGAGTCCCATATTTCCATATGGCTCCCTCTTACCTCCATCATGTCTCTGCTCAAGTCACTTTATCAGAGACTTTCCATGACCACCCTATACAAATAGTATCCTCCCAATCCTACTCTATATATTACCCTGCTTCAATTTTCTTCATAGCACTTATCACAAGGCATATACATTTGTTTATCCTTCCCCTCAAGTAGAATGCAAGCTCCTTGAGCATAGGGACTTCACATTGTCCTTCATCCTTCCCCTCAAGTAGAATGCAAGCTCCTTGAGAATAGGGACTTCACATTGTTCCCTATTATCCTCAATATTTATACTAGTACCTGGCACACAGTAGGCTCTCAGTAAATATTTGTTAAAAGTGAGAAAGTGAGGCTTGTGAAAGAAGTGCTTTGTATACCATAGTAAGGAGCCTGAGCTTAATTCAATGTCTGATAAACCACCCTTGAAGGAGGTTAACAAATAATCATTAAACCCCTTTAATGAATGATCAGACATGAATTCTGAAAGATCACTCTGATTGCAGCATGGAAGATGGACTAAAGAACACAGCAGGCCGGGTGCAGTGGCTCACACCTACGATCCCAGCACTTTGGAAGGCCAAGTTAGGAGGATCGCTTGAGGCTAGGAGTACAAAACCAGCCTGGTCAACATAGCAAGATCCCGTCTCTACAAAAGAAAAATTTAAAAGTTAGCCAAGTATGGTGGCATGCATATGTGGTCCCAGCTGAGGCAAGAGGATCACTTGAGCCCAGGAGTTCAAAGCTCCAGTGAGCCATGATTGTGCCACTGCACTCTTGCCTGGGTGACAGAGCAAGACCCTGTCTCAAAACAAAAACAAAAACAAAAACAAATGAAAAAAGAGCAAGGCAGAAAAATTGTTTCAAGAACATGGTATGGTGGAAGACGGAATGAAGAACAAAATAGAGGCTGAAGGAAGAACAATTATAAAGCCACTAAAATAATTCAAGTAATACGTGAGAAAGGTCTGAATTGAGGTAGTTTTACATTATGTAACTTTTAGTGAAAAAGCTGTGATTAAAGAAAGGGAAAACAATATGTTAAGAAGAAACTTTTAGGCCAGGCATGGTGGCTCACGCCTGTAATCCCAGCACTTTGGGAGGCCGAGGCAGGTGGATCACTTGAGGTCAGGAGTTCGAGACCAGCCTGGCCAACACAGCAAAACCCCATCTCTACTAAAAATACAAAAATTAGCTGGGCGTGGTGGCGGGCGCCTGTAATCCTAGCTACTCGGGAGGCTGAGGCAGAAGAATTGCTTGAACCAGGGAGGTGGAGGTTGCAGTGAACCAAGATCGCGCCACTACACTCCAGCCTGGGCAACAGAGCGAGACTCCGTCTCAAAAAGATATATTAATTAATTAATAAAGAACAAGCTTTTTCCAAAGTTTACCTGGGAGTTGGAGTCTGGGAATCTTTCACTTTCAGTAAAATCACAGAGTCTGATCCTAAAGAAACACAAGAGCATTTCATTAGTAATAAAACTCCACAAAGTTATACTTTCTAGATATCTTAGTTTAAGTTCCCATACTTTGCTATATTTTATTTCCACAAAAATAACATAAGAACAAAGGTTAGATGGGAGAGAGAGAGAGGCAAGTCCATTGTCACTGAGAACAGAAATAGGTCTTAGTGAAGAATTTGCTTCACAAATAAGAAAATCCCTGGGAAATAACAAACATATTTGCCCTTCAGAATTTCCTCCTAGGCTGCACTTGCTCCCTGTGCTTCCTGTCTGTTTCAGGAGAACAAGAACATGGCAGGATTCCTTAAAAGTCTTCATGGTAGTCCTCTATCTGCAATTTTGGTTTCTATGGTTTCAGTTACGCATAGTTAACTGCGGTCCAAATATATTAAATGGAAAATTCCAGAAATAATTAGTAAATTTTAAATTGCATGCCATTCCAAGTAATGTGATAAAAATCTCTATCCAGCTCTATTTCAGGCATGAAATCATCCCTTTGTCCAGCATATCCATGTTGTATGCACCACCTGTCATTTAGTAGTCACCTCAGTCATCCAATTGACTGTCTCAGTATAGCAGTGCTTGTGTTCAGTAACCCTTACTTAATAATGTCCCCAAAAGGCAAAAGTAATGATGTTGGCAATTCAGGTATGCCAAAGAGAAGCCGTAAAAAGTGCTTCCCCAGCCTGGCCAACATGGTGAAACCTGTCTCTGCTAAGAATACAAAAATTAGCTGGGCATAATGGCTCACACCTGTAATCCCAGCTACTCAGGAGGCTGAGGCAGCAGAATCGCTTGAACCCAGGACATGCGAGGTTGCAGTGAACCAAGATGGTCCCACTGTACTCCAGCCTGAGCAACAGAGTGACACTCAGTCTCAAAAACAAACAAAAACAAAAACAAAAACAAAAAACACTACTTCCTTTAAGTGAAAAGGTTAAAGTTTTTGATTTAATAAGAAAAAAGTAACATCTTCATTACAGTATATTGTTATAATTTTTGTTATTAGTTATTATTGTTGATCTCTTACTGCACCTAATTTATAATCATTAGTATGTATGTATAGGAAAAAACATGATGTATATAGGGTATGGTATATATAGTATACTCTCCATGGTTTCAAGCATCCACTGGTGGGGGGCGGGTCTTGGAACATATCCTCCCCCCACAGATAAGGGGGAACTACTGTAGTTCATGATCTACAATGCGACTGAATTAGGTGAAAGAAGGGGTGGGGGAATGGAAGAGGGAAAGAAACTGGAAGAAGGAGGGAAGGGGGACAGGGAAGGAAATAGCACCCCAGGAGGTGTCTAAAAAGTACAAATTTTATCATTCTATTATGTATTTTCTCTGTTGAATACTACTCAAAGGCAGGAATCATGTTCTTCTAAAGTGCTGTCATTAGAACCTCAGAGTATTTATTACATGGTACAAGGAAAGTAATTAAACAGTGCAATGTAGTATATTTGTTTCAACTTAGTTGTATCTAAGTATCTGCAACACAATGTATGTTTCTGAGGTTAAAGGAGTTTGGGTTTTTTGGCTTTTTTTTTTCCTTTACAGTTCTCAGTACATCACCTCACAAAATATAACAAGAGTCTTCATGGATATGTGTAGCTATACAATGATGCTACCAAAAAGTTTAATCCTGAGTGAGAATTTTCACAAAGTACAAATAGATTAAAAAAAAAACCTCAAACAACCTGAGAAAGGAGGGGAAAGACTAGTGCTCCATCTATCAAAAAATCCCTGATGTTTAACCATTTAACCTATAACTTGTTTTAAGTTGCATACCTAAGTACATACCATAAATTGATACATAATACATACCTAAAGAAGGGGGAAATTAAGGAAACAAACCTATCACGACAAAACCTTAATTAACTGGAATGCAAAGAGAGTGAATATTTCAGTTAGTTGAAAGTTACGTAGAAAACTTTTTGCTTCCAATGCTGACAATCATTCTAAAACGCACAAACCTAAGTACTTAAGCTTCAGTATTTATCTGATGTTTCAAAACTCCTACAACTTCAGAATTCTTACTTACCACTGTAAAGTCATAGAAACAGAGAAAGTGCTGAAGCAATTGGGCTGAGTATATATACTTTGACTCTAGCCTGTACTTAGGAAGTTGTTTAAATAAAATGTATCAAATCATTTGCATCTTGAGGTAAGAAAAAAAGAATATCCTATTTGTGGATTTAGTTTACTCACAGCATGGTTAACTGAATCATATGTATTTAAAGTATGTAAGTACATGTCTTACAAGTTCAGTATCCCTTATCCAAAATGGTTGGGACCAGGAGTTTCAAATTTTGGATTTTTTGGACTTTTGAATATTTGCATTATACAATTTGAGCATCCCAAATCCAAACATCCAAAATCCCAAATGCTCCACTGAGCATTTCCTGAGTATCATGTTGGTATTCAAAAAGTTTCAGATTTTGGAACATTTCGGACTTCATATTTTCAGATTCGGTATGCTCATTTATTTATATGTATATTACAATGTTGCCTGTAATGAGCTAATGAACAGTTAATTGGCTATTAGGACTAAAAATGTAGTTATATGATACCATGTTTACCTTCAGATTGTGTATTTGAAGCTGCTAAGTTATCTGGCTGATGTGGAACAGAGTGGTGATGATGGGGATGATGAAGAGTACCAGAATCTTTGGATCCAAATGCAACATCTGGGGTATAAGAAGATAGGGAATATACACTGTGGGACAGCTGTTCCTGGTTAGTTAAAATGCTGGCAGATCCAGATGATGAAGTATCAGAGCCAATGATCTGAGATGCACAAGAGTTTCCATTTTTAAACAGTGAGTCTTTCAAAGTATTTTTACTGGAACTAAGACATCGAGACCTAGCAAGAGAAGAATATTGTTTCAATATCAAGTAATAAATTGTAGAATTAAATTCATCTGAAATATGCTTCTGTGACTCACAGGTGTAAAGGAAAATGTGTGGTGGGTTTGGCTATAGTAAACTGTTTCCCTGTGACCATCTGTAGCAGCTGTCTGTAAATCTCTCTTTCTTCTTCTTGAACTGTCTATAAGAAAACAAAAAAAAAAAACAGTTTAAACACATCCAATAAGGCAAGTATTTCTCAAACTAGCATGTAAACAGAATCCTAGCTCTGCCAAAGCTCAGGCAGAATCCTTAAGATAATTAAGAATTATGGGCCTAACACAGTGGCTCATGCCTGTAATTCCAGCACTTTGGGAGGACAAGCGGGGAGGATCATTTGAGGCTAGAAGTTCAAAACCAGCCCAGTCAACATAGTGAGACCCCAACTCTACAAAAGAAAACTTAAAAAAAAAAACCAACTGGCTGTAGTGGCACATGCCTGTGGTCCCAGCTACTGGGGAGACTGAGGCAGGATAATCACTTGAACCTGGAAGGCGAAGGTTGCAGTGAGCCAAGATGGTGCCACTACACTCCAGCCTGGGGGCAGAGCAAGACTCTGTCTCAAAAAACAAAACAAAACAAAACAAAACAAAACAAAACAAAAATTATCAAGTGTGTAAAAGACAGGTTGAGTAAATACCAGATAATATACTTTGAAAAATTATGGAACATATATTTAAATAATAGTGCAGAGGAACTATAGGCTATAAAACCAGAAAGCCAGCAGGTAATCACTTCTGAGTCAAAAAAGAGTCCCAGAAAAAAAGGGCCTCTAAATTAGGATTCCAACAAATCCCTTGACTCCTGAAACCTGTTAGAAAAATCACAAGGAAGTAACCAGACTAGTCAAAATCAGAGTGGAGTATCTTGCCAACAGTTTCCTATTTTATTTAAGTGCAGGTACTTTCCAGAGACAATATTCATCTCCAACATGTATTTATTTTTCCTGTAAGACCCAATACTACATTTAGTGAAAACCATATACTTCCTAACATTCATTCATTGACATGAACACCTACTATGCTCCAGTCACTAAAGATAATGAATGCATCAAATAAAATAAAGTTCCTGCCCTTGTGGAGATTATATTGCAGTGAAAGGAATCAAACAAAAAACCAGTCAGGTAGTATGCAGAAAATTAAAGGGTAAGAGAATGGAAAGTGATGGAAGGAGAGCAGCAGGAACAGGTAAGATTTCTCTAAAAAAAAGTGATATTTCAGCAGAAACCTAAAGCCAAGGGAAGAAGTCAGTCCTAGAAATATATAAAAGAATATTCCAAATAGAGGAACAACACATGCAAAGCCCTGAGAGAGGAAGGTGCTTAATGCGTTCCAAAAATAGTAAGGTCCATGTGAATCAGAAGAGTAGGAAGAAATGAGATCACCTGACACAGAACCAGATTACATAAGGACTTACAACTCTGGTAAAGCATCAGTTCTATACAGGTCCCCTGACTCAATGGGCTATGTTCACTAGCACTTAGTAATATGCCCTGGCAATTTATTTTTAATCTTATATACAGTTTAATACAACCACCAATCCTCAAAACATAATTTTAAACATTATGTCAGTGTTAGCACCATCTCGTACTGTGATATTTCGATATGTGCTGGGACTACAGGCGCCCGCCACCACGCCCAGCTAATTTTTTGTGTTTTTAGTAGAGATGGGGTTTCACCATGTTAGCCAGGATAGTCTCGATCTCCTGACCAGCCCAGGCTGGAGTGCAGGTGCGCCATATCGGCTCACTGCAACCTCCACCTCCTAGGTTCAAGTGATTCTCCTGCCTCAGCCTCTGGACTAGCTGGGACTACAGGTGCACGCCACCACACAGAGCTAATTTTTTTTTTTTTAATTTTTAGTACAGACAGGGTTTCACCATGTTGGCCAGGCTGGTCTCGAACTCCTAACCTCAAGTGATGCGCCCACCTTGGCCTCCCAAAGTGCTGGGATTACAGGCATGAGCCACAGCACCCAATATGTAGTTTTTGCTTTTTTTTTTTCTTTTTTGAGACGGAGTCTCACTCTGTCACCAGGCTGGAGCGCAGTGGCACGATCTCTACTCACTGCAACTTCCACCTCCCTGGTTCAAGCAATTCTCCTGCTTCAGCCTCCCTAGTAGCTGGAACTACAGGTGTGCGCCACCACGCCCAGCCATTTTTTTTTATTATTTTTAGTAGAGACGGGGTTTCACCATGTTGGCCACAATGGTCTCGATCTCCTGACCTCGTGATCTGCCTGCCTCGGCCTCCCAAAGTGCTGGGATTAAAGGCGTGAGCCACGGCGCCCAGCCACCAATTTGTAGTTTAACACTTGGTCTCCTTCCACCCTCCCATCTTGTAGTCCCCAGTGTCCACTATTCCCATCTTTATGTCCATTTGTACCCAATGTTTAGCTCCCACTTATAAGTGAGAACATGCAGCATTTGGTTTTGTTTCTGCATCAGTTTGCCTAGGATAATGTCTTGCCTATGTTTTAACAGTTTTGTTTTCTTGGTATTGAGTTGAGCTCCTTATATATTTTGAATATCAACCCCTTATAGAATGGATGCAAATATTTTCTCCCAATCTGTAGGTTGTCTCTGCACACTGTTAATTGTTTCCTTTGCTTTTTAGTTTGATGTACTCCCATGTGCCTACTTCTGCTTTTGTTGCCTATGACTTTGCGTGCAAATCCAAAAAAATCAGTGCCAAGACCACTGTCGTGTAGTTTTTCCTGTTTTCTTCTAGCAGTTTTAGAGTTTCTAGTCTTAAAGTCTTTATTCCATTTTTAGTTGATTTTTGCATATGGTATGAGATAAGGACCTAATTTCATTCTTCTACATATGGAAATATAATTTTCCCAACACCATTTAGTGAAGAGACTGTCCTTTCCCTTTCTGTAGTCCTAGCACCTTTGTCAAAAATCAGTCAACTAGCTATATAACGGGTTCACTTTTTTTTTCGTCATACTTTAAGTTCTAGGGTACATGTACACAACATGCAGGTTTGTTACATATGTATACATGTGCCACGTTGGTATGCTGCACCCATTAACTCATCATTTACATTAGGTATATCTCCTAATGCTATTCCTCCCCACTCCCCCCACCCCACGACAGGCATAACGGGTTCATTTCTAAGTTCTCTATTCCGTTTCATTGGCTGATGTCTATTTCCAATACCATGCTGTTTTAATTACTATAGCTTGGTAGTATAGTTTGAAATAAGCTAGTGTGGTAGCTTCTTTTTTGTTCTTTCTGCTCATAATTGCCTTGGCTATTCAGGGATTTATGTGGTCATATGAATTTTAGTATTTTTTTCTATGAAAAATAACATTGGAATTTTGATAGGGATTGCACTGAATCTGGAGATTGCTTTGAGTAGTATGGCCATTTAAACAATATTAATTCTTCCAATCCATGAGCACAGAATAGCTTTCCATTTAATTGTATCTTCAATTTCTTTCAACATTGTATGTTTTTCAGTATGTAGGTCTTTTACTTCCTTGGTTAAATTTGATTGGTTTTTTGTAGCTATTGTAAATGGGATTGTTCTCTTGGCTTCTTTTTTGCATAGTTCATTGTTAACAGTGCATAGAAATACTACTAATTTCTGTGTGTTGATTTTGTATCCTACAACTATACTGTATTCATTTAATAGTTTTTTGGTGGAGTCTGTAGGATTTTATATATATATATATATACACACACATATATATATACACACACACACATACACATATATACTTATACATATACACACACATATATACACATATATATTCACACATACACATACACTGTATTCATTTAATAGTTTGAACAGTTCTTTGGTGGAGTCTGTAGGGTTTTCTATATATAAGATCATGTTGTCAGTAAAAGTGACAATCTTATTTCTTTTTTTTTTGAGACAGAGTCTTGCTCTGTCGCCCAGACTGGAGTGCAGTGGCGCGATCTTGGCTCACTGCAACCTCCGCCTCCCGGGTTCAAGCAATTCTCCTGCCTCAGCCTCCTGAGTAGCTGGGATTACAGGCACCCGCCACCACGCCCAGCTAACTGACAATCTTATTTCTTCCTTTCCCAAAAGAACACATGTAACTTTTTTGGCTTTGCCAAAATGAAAGTTACCTAAATAAAACTTTAAACAAAATTCTTTTTTGGACCATCTGGTACTATCAGTAAAAGAAAACATCTTTCTCTGTAAATTACTTGTTAAACTGTTTTTGTTGTTGTTGTTGTTAAACACAGTGGCTCACTCCTATAATTCCAACTCTTTGGGAAGCCAAGGCAGAGGATCACTTGAGCCTAGGAGTTTGAGACCAGCCTGGGCAACAAAGTGAGACCCTGTCTCTACACAAAAAATGTTTAAAAATTAGCTGCATATTAGCATGTGCCTGTAGTTGCAGCTACTCAGAAGGCAAAAGAGGGAGTATCACTTGAGCCAGGAAGTTGAGGCGGCAGTGAGCTGTGATTGCGCCACTGCATTCCAGCCTGGGTGACACACTGAGACTCTATTTCATAAAATTAAAAAAAAAATTAAAATTAAAGAAAGCCCTAACTGTTCTTTACTGAATAAGAAAATTAGGGGCTGGGCACGGTGGCTCAAGCCTGTAATACCAGCACTTTGGGAGGCCGAGGCAGGTGGATCATGAAGTCAGTAGATCGAGACCATCCTGGCTAACATGGTGAAACTCCGTCTCTACTGAAAATACAAAAAATTAGCCCGGCACGGTGCTGCCCGCCTGTAGTCCCAGCTACTCAGGAGGCTGAGGCAGGAGAATTGCTTGAACCCGGGAGACGGAGGTTGCAGTGAGCCGAGATCGCGCCACTGCACTCCAGCTGGGGCAAGAGAACAAGACTCCGTCTCAAATAAAAAAAGAAAATTAGGATCTTAAGAGTAAAGGAAGCAATAATTGCATAGCATGATAAAGTTAAAGAAGCTAGCTAATGTTACGTTTTAAAACCTGAAAAAACCCTAAGACGAGTGTTTTGAAGTATAAAAATAATTAATTAAGGTGCTGAATTATATTTTTTAAAAGGGACAGAGTCCTGTAGTTAGGTGATGTTTCTATAAAAGGCTCCATCATAAAAGAACTATAAAATTATAAAACTTTAATAGAGAGCACAAAATAATTTTTAGGACACTAGTAAACTGTTTTTTTATAAATTACCACCAATAACTTTATAAATAATACTCCTAATTTTCATTTTGTTTAAAGTAATAACTTTATACCATATAAAATATGCAAAGTGCAAATTTCAATAATTTTCTGAGTCCCAAATGCTTGACTTATGACAACACTGTAAAGCAGTTCTAAGAAAAGTATAAAACCATCACTGTCACCTATTACAAAAGTCCAGTATCTTAAAATGTTGCTCAATAATTTGCAAAGAAGCGTGTCTAGAAGCAACATGTAACTGAAAAGAAACTACCTGTGTTTTTGCCATTTTACATTTTTATTGTCACAAGTATTTTCTCTTTTCCAAACAGAACTTTATATCCTCTATAACAGCATTATCTAACAGAAATTTCTGTAGTAATAGAAATGTTCTATATTTGCCCTGTCCAATATGGTAGCCACTAGCCACATGTGGCTAATGAATACTTAAAATGTGGCTAGTGTCACTGAGTAACTAAATTTTCAATTTGAATTTGAATTAATTTAAACAGTGCTTGTGGCTAGCCGTTACCCTACTGAATAGCACAGCTTTTTGATGTTGCCTCTTGAGCATCAGCCATTCTGCACAGCCACTACTTGCATATTTCTAAATTCTTCTTCATGTGTTCTCTTCAAACCTCTGTTGTAAGACTGAGCAGTGCAGTGGTGACATCATCTTAATTGTTAATTTTGTAGAAGACTTCATATTCCTGAAGTTGATGGACAAATCCGGCATTAAGGTTAATACATCTTCCTTTAACATAACCAAATGTACCTCTGCTGAGGATCCCAACGTTTCACGGAAAGTGACTTTTCATCCAGTTTGTAAGTTCCCATCAGTAAATTTAGTCCCAGGGTTAAAAAGTATTATATCCGAATTATTTGTAATATCCAAAAATAAACATCTAAATAAATTTGTTGAAAGTCTGATAATAAAGTTTGGCCCAATATTTTGTATTATTCATGTTATATGGCTTATTCTGTAAGCCATATAGTAGTACAGGTAGCTTGACTTTCATATTAGGAGAATATAGAACTAAAAACAGGCAAAATTTCCCGCATCGCTCATTTCATAGAATAGATTCTTAGCATCTTCTTTGCACTACAGGAGGAAGGAGAACTCCACCTTCATGTTCTCCACTGACCCAACCTGTGGCCTGGAGGGCTGTTTGGAAGGGTAAAATTGCCCAAGCAACCCCCAGTCCTCAGGCTGGCAGAGGAGGCAAAAGAAGGAAGGCTGAGTGGTCCACAGAGCTGGTGGGTGAATGGCAAACTTACAATGAACACAGAATTAAAGGATCCTGGTGAGCCTGAGCAACAGAAACATGGGGCAGGCGAGGGTTAGGAGCCCTGTACCCAGCTGTCATGCTGCTGTTGTCTCCTCCACAAAGTCTCTCTGCACCCCTTAGGCTGTCTAGAATCCAGCATAATCATAAACCCCACAACTCCAGTAATTATTTATGCATAAAATAATGTAAATATAATATAAAATTCAATAGCATAAAAGGTATAATGAAAAATAAATCTTGGGCTCACTTTAGGAGCACATATACTAAGACTGGAACTATATAGAGAAGATTAGCATGGCCCCTGTACAACGATGACATGAAAATTTGTGTAATGTCAAAAAAAATTTTTTTGTTAAAAAAAATCTCCTTTTCATCATTGTTGTCCAGCTTTGTCATCAAAGGCAAATGTTGCCAGTTTCTTGTCTATCCCTTGCCCTGCTAAATGACTTACTAGTTCTGCCACCCTCCACTTGAATGTTGGTGTTTTTTCGTTTTTTTTTTTTTTTTTTGAGACAGTGTCTTGCTCTGTCACCCAGGCTGCAGTGCAGTGGCACAATCACAGCTGACCGTAGCCTTGAAATCCTGGGCTCAAACGATCTTCCTGCTTCAGCCTCCTGAGTAGGTGGAACTACAGCCACCTGCCACCACACCCAGCTAATTTTTTTTTGTAGAGACAGGATCTCACTATGTTGCCTAGGCTGGTCTCAAACTCCTGGCCTCAAGCAATCCTCCTGCTTTTGCTTCCCAAAGTGCTGGGATTGTACATGAGCCACCATGCCCAGCCAAATGTTTTAGATTCAATACAAACTTTTTTTGTTGTTGTTGTTGAGACGGCTTCTCACTCTGTCACCCAGGCTGGAGTGCAGTGGCGCGATTTCGGCTCACTGCAAGCTCTGCCTCCTGGGTTCACGCCATTCTCCTGCCTCAGCCTCCCGAGTAGCTAGGACTTACAGGCGCCCGCCACCACGCCTGGCTAATTTTTTGTATTTTTAGTAGAGACAGGGTTTCACTGTATTAGCCAGGATGGTCTTCATCTCCTGACCTCGTGATCCGCCCGTCTCAGCCTCCCAAAGTGCTGGGATTACAGGCATGAGCCACCATGCCCGGCCTCAATACAAACTTTAAACCAAAAATATGCACAGCATTTTTAGTAACCATATCACAAATAATCAAGTTTTGCCACCTAAGAGATCACTGATTACCAAATTATGTAATTATTTAGCAGGTAATGCTGTATTCTTGACTCCATGCTCAGTAAGCTTCATTGGGCAGGAACCATATTGCTGTGTTGTATAACAGAAAGCATACTTGACCAAACCTCTTCAGAAGTTCTGGGTTCTAGGCCTGCCATTTACTAGTCATGTGACCTATGACCCTTATTTTCCTAATCTGTAAAACATGACTATTACCTCATCTCTACCTATTTTGCTGAGTTAAAAGGATTAAAAACAATAATACACGTGGAAAGTACACTGGAAGCTCTAATGCTATTTAAATGCAAGGTAATTATTATTCATTTGTATCTCCAAGCAACCACAGCATTAGACGTACATTAAATATGTAATCTAACAGATATGTGCACACATCCTATCATGCAAATTATATGCTACATTACATTCACAAAATTGGCTTTTTCTTTTAGGTTTACTGAATTAATATAACAACCCAAGTGTCAACAGAACATCTTTCTTTTCAGGAGTCTGTAACTTCAAAAAAGGTCTTACTCATAATGAAAGGATGTATATTGTTTAACTAGCTTTTTGATTTTTCTCTTATATTGAAGAAAAATTGTTCCTGGTAAGAAGAATAGGTATTTCATCAAATTAAAAAAACAATTTTTTTTTGAGATGGGTCTCACTCTGATGCCCAGGCTGCAGTGCAGTGACACAAAGCAAGTCGAGTGCAGCCTCGACCTCCTGGGCTCAAGCAATCCTCCCACCTCAGCCTCGCCAGTAGCTAGGAGTACAGATATGAGCCACCAAGCCCGTCTAATTTTTATATTTTTTGTAGAGACAGGGTTTCTCCATGTTGCCCAGGCTCGTCTCGAACTCCTGGGCTCAAGTGATCCACCTGTCTTGGCCTCCCACTGTGCTGGGATCATAGGCATGAGCCACGTCACGTGGACTGAAATAAAATTTTATCAAAAACTACGGAGGAAGAGTAACAATTTTTCCATAGGAGACAACGGTTTAGGAAGGGTCTAGCAAAGATCAAAGAGAGATACTTTGATGTATGAGAAACCATTCAGGCAACATTAAAGATTAAGTAAAGTCAGCTGTCCAGCAGGCATAGAAGATATAATAGTAAGACAAATAATGAAGTCCTGCTAAAACACCTCTTTAATCTCTTTAGAATAGATGATAACACTCAAAAAGAGTAATTCAGACAGAAAAAGCACAGGAAGGATAAAATAGAATGGTTCTTAAACAACTAATTATTAATAGGGAGCAAATGGCTCAATGTAGGGAAAGATCCTAACTTTTAGTAGCTTTTGTCACACGTTTTCCTTACCTCTTCTGCTGTACTAACATGTCGCCTCTGAGTTTTCTTGGGGCTCAAAAGACTTCGACGACATGAACCACTCCAAGATGGACTTGGAACAGGTTTAATAGGAAAAGATTTTTCATATGCAGATACATGGCAGTGATGGTTTGACTTTCCCGCAAAACTGTTTGATAATCCACTAAAAAAAGAGTTTGTAAGAAAGATAAGAACAGATAATAAGTAAAATAAATCCAACCTAGAGATTATTTTCACTTTCAAAATATAAAACCAACCAAACAAAACAGGTAAAATAATAGGTTTCCCATTTGAGGGAAAGATACAATAAATGAATAAATGATATATAAGGATGCTGCATCAGGTTCTGCCACTTAAAAGATCTTACATTGTCAAAATTATCAAACACTTAAAACTGCATTTTTAGATCCACAATCTAGAATTTATTTTGGTCAGAAACCATATAGTTTTGTGGTATGACAAAGCATAACAGATTAGATGTCTTCAAAAAACCTGGGTTCCAGGTATGCTAACAACACATACATTTTCTATTATTCCCTGTACCCCTTGTACCCAGCCTGTTGGAGGAAATTAAGATTAAATATGTAAAAATGCATAAAGGCTGAAGCCTCTCAACTAAGCTTTTAAACTGAATTTTTAAATTTCCTTAAAGACCAACAGAGGGCTCCCATCCTTCATTAAAAACAACTATTAGGCTGCGTCATTAAATTCTCCTTCTGGCCTATTTACTTCCTCTGAAGAATTTTTTGTCTCTTTATACTATCTAATGGGAAAAATTGGCAAATTGGCAAGAAGAATATTGTGAACTCAAAAACCCTGTCTTATATCTAAGGCTTACTAATTTTGAGTTTTTTTTTTTTTTTTTTTTGAGATGGAATCTTGCTCTGTCACTCAGACTGGAGGCAGTGGCACGACCTTGGCTCACAGCAACCTCCACCTCCCAGGTTCAAGTGATTCTCCCGCCTCAGCCTCCCGAATAGCTGGGATTACAGGCACCCGCCGCCACACCCAGGTGATTTTTGTATTTTTGTAGAGACAGGGTTTCACCATGTTAGCTAGGCTGATCTTGAACTCCTGACCTCAGGTAATCCGCCGGCCTCAGCTTCCCAAAGTGCTGGGATTACACATGTGAGCCACAGCACCCAGCCAATTTTGAGTTTTTTCTATGTGCTCTTTCTCATTTATCATTACCTGGAAAGTTTGAGGTACTTATTCTTAGCATAATACATTTTCTTTTTTCTTCAAGACTCAGACTAGAGAAACACAGCTGAATATTCTAAATTCAATGAAATCAACTCTTTAAAATCATTACATGTGGTCTGAATCCAAATCAGACAAGATCTAAAGAAAATCAAACAGTGCATAATTCTCTTTAAGTCTTCTTGGGTTTGTACGTGTGTTAAGAATGGGGAAATGAGAGTGGCTTCTGGTGCTCTGGGGTGAGCTCTGCCTGGCTGCAGGGATGGCGGGGAGAAGGAAGCTCATCGCAGTGATCAGAGACAAGGACACGGTGACTGGTTTCCTGCTGGGCAGCATAGGGGAGCTTAACAAGAACTGCCACCCCAATTTCCTGGTGGTGGAGAAGGATACGACCATCAATGAGATCGAAGACACTTTCCGGCAATTTCTAAACCGGGATGACACTGGCATCATCCTCATCAACCAGTACATCGCAGAGATGGTGCAGCATGCCCTGGACACCCACCAGCACTCTATCCCTACTGTCCTGGAGATCCCCTCCAAGGAGCACCCATATGAGGACGCCAAGGACTCCACCCTGCGGAGGGCCAGGGGCATGTTCACTGCCGAAGACCTGTGCTAGGGTCTTTGTGTGAGGACTCCTCACAGCCCTCAGCCCTTCCCTCATTCTCAGGCCTCTCCCCAGGCTTGCCATCAGCCTTCTTTACATTTTGAGCCTCTAATTTCCAAGTCCCTGCCCCTTCCCACTCCATTAAGAGGCTAGGTGAGGCGCTTCTAGGTTGCTGGGGCTCTGCTGTTAAAATCAAGGCTGGTTAAGGAACAGGAAGCCTGACCATCTCTCTCCACTACCTCTTCCCTGTGCTGTTACACAGTGTCATTGTTGATGTTAAATTACAGTCATATTCTTGCTTCTCTCAAAAAAAAAAAAAAAAAAAAAAAAAGAATGGGGAAATGAGCAAGGACTTAGAATTTTAGGAACAGGCTTATTTTCTTAGGATGAGTGGATGCAGCTAGGAAAAGATGGCAAGGGCAGTGCAATTGTTTGGTAAAGACATGATGGATTCTCCACAATGTCTTCTGTATTTGTGTTTCCCAGAGTATGCGTGCGCCTATGCATGTTTTTTTTAACATAAAAGATTACTCTTCTAAAGAAACAGTACAAGGGCATCCTGCAATGACAGAAAGCAAGGGTGTTACCCAAAATTCATGAGTTAAGGTCAAACAGACAGAAGCAAGCTTAAAGGGCTTCCACTAGCCAAATTTCTGAGAATGTGAGCATTAAAAGTATAACAATTATAGTGGATTACAAAATACTGAATCCATAATGACACTAAAAAAGGAACAGACAAATTCATTTGAAACATATGAAGTGTCTATTTTACAAAAACCTTGCTTTGAAAACTGGTAATGAAAAAGAAAAATCTAATCATGTATCAGGCCTTTCCCATAGGAAACACATTTCAGGGACTCTAATAGCCCCAGCTAAGGAAAAATGCAATCAGAATGCCAATTAAGAAGTGTAAAAGTGATAAAATTAGAAAAATATTATTTCATTAACTCTAATAAAACTATTATCAGGTATTAGCAAATGATATTAATTATTAGGTGATGGCTGATGTGAAATTCATCATTCATATAACGCCAAAGTAACATTATTTAGATTACATTCAAGTCACACGGGAAAAAACCTAACTGTACAATTAACCACCAGACTGTCAGTTCCTCAATCCAGAGGTCAGTCTAGCATCATGAATAATAGGAGAACCAAAACAAGATACTGTTTGTTTTTCAAATGTGATAAATGCAGCACACCTTTTAGTCACATCTAAAACCTAGCTTATAAAAAATACAGGTGATTTTTTGACAAAATAATGATACCACGAGGAAGCAACCTGCCAAATCCAAAAAGTAGAACATTATACAGAAAAGTCATGTCATTTAAAAAAAGGAGGCTGAGGCTGGGCATGGTGGCTCATGCCTATAATCCCAGGAAGGGATCGGGAGGCCAAGGAAGGCAGATCACAAGGTCTGGAGTTCGAGACTAGCCTTGCTAATATGGCGAAATGCCGTCTCTACTAAAAATACAAAAATTAGCAGGACATGGTGGCGGGCACCTGTAGTCCCAGCTACTCGGAAGGCTGAGGCAGGAGAATTGCTTGAACCTGGGAGGCGGAGGTTGCAGTGAGCCGAGATCACACCACTGCATTCCAGCCTGGCCGACAGAGCAAGGCTCCGTCTCAACAAAACAAAAAAACAAAACAAAACAAAACAAAACAAAACAAAAAAAGGCTGTTCTAGTTATAAGTGACAAAGCCAATAACTTCCAGATGCAAAACTAAACTAACTATAAAAGATACTTTTGGGTCAACTGAGAAAATTTAAATATGACTTAGGGTATAAAACAAAATTTACAAAAGAATATGTATACTATAAACTCATTTTGGAAAAAAAGTAGAGAAAAGTATGTAGAAGGATATGTACTAAGATATTACAGAGTTGATCTCAGGCTGGTGGCAATGTGATGTTTTTATTTTTTATTTTTCTTAACTATATTTTCTAAACTTTCCCAAAGTATTTGTACTACTTCTGTAATAACATTTTTTTAAAATAACAGCATGGCTTTATTGCATTAAAAAAGCCACCTGCTAAATGATGCATATAGAAAATCTTTAATGAAGACAAAATAATATCATACATTTAATAGTATACACAACATATATATCATACTATATATGAGTAAGAAAGAGTAAGAGAGAAATAGGTATAGGAAAAGGTTTGGAAGGAAACACACCAAGGAAAAGGGATTGGGATTGTGGGTAGTGGTCAAGGGATCTTCAGCTTTGCTGGTAATGTGTTGATTTCTACAATGTGAGTGTATGAGTGAATTACTGTATAATTTTTTAAAAGTTAAGTGAGGAACATGATCCCAGGGAGTATTGACACATTCCTGGAGTCCATGTGCATAAAATAATAAAAGCCATCTTGTTGGCTTCTATCAACACCATAAAGCTCAAACTTGACTAAACAGTACACTAAATAATCCCACATTCCTAAAATATACCAGGGCAGAATTTAAGTAGTCATAAATACTATTTTAAAAAAGAAATGTTTACTAATATAATAAATACTAATATAACAAAATATCTGAGGGAAAAGTTTCTAAGCCAGATTTCATCTGCCTTTAATAATCCATGTAAGTTTTGTTAGATAGAGCTTATAAAGTTGGAATAACTAGCATAAAGTTCTCTGTGACTATCTTTTTTTTTTTTTCTGAGACGAGGTCACTCTGTCACCCAGGCTGGAGCTATAGCAGCATGATCTCAGCTCACTGCAACCTCTGCCTCCCAGGTTCAAGTGATTCTCCTGCCTCAGCCTCTCAAGTAGCTGGGACTACAGGCACACACCACCATGCCTGGCTAATTTTTTTGTATTTTTAGTGGAGACAGGGTTTCACCATGTTGGCCAGGCTAGTCTGGAACTCCTGACCTCAGGTGATCCACCTGCTTCAGCCTCCCAAATTGCTAAGATTACAGGCACGAGTCACCGTGCCCGGTCTGTGACTCTTTATTTTCTAATATATAGAAGTAGCTTGGTCTACTTGACTAATGCCATGAGGTAGAGAACTGCTTTAGTTTAAGTCAGGTCTCTGCTCACTTGATAGCTGTAAAATATGTTTCTTTCCTGCTCAAATTGTGGAGATTGACTGATTTTCACTTTAAGATTTGCAAGAGCCATATTGATCTTGAAGGCTCCCAATATTCTCATATCCACCAAGATTTACTTAAAATTCTCTCTTCTAGTAAGATCTGGCTATCATCAAAATTCAGCACTAAGTAAATGAGAAGTTGAAAATGTAAAATGGATTTGTTCATATCCTTAAGGTTTAAAGTCCAAAAATGGTGTTACTCTTTTAAAATCCCAATGTAATAACTATCTACCTTTTAGTCACTTTCTCTTATGTCTGAGGAAGGGCTTGAGAACTAAGATGACAAAATACGAACCTTGAGGTCTTTCGGGTTTCGAGGTAAAGACTTCGGCTGTTTCTTGATTTTTGTAAAGATGAGCTTGACGATGGGGTAGAATTTCTCCATTGGCCATTTGCACTCTGGCCAAAGGTTCTTAAATCGCCTGAGCCAAGAAAACTGTCTGAGGAAGGATTATCTAAAAAAATAAAAGTTTGAATAAATTAAACAAATTCTACAGGTGGTTCTCCTTATGACTGCAACCATGACCAACCATTGTATTCCAAAGTAATGTGGCATGTCACCATTTCTCTCATGGAAGAAAGATCCCAGTCTCAACTGCCAGTAAAGTCTGCAGTAGGGGAACTTCTACAAACTATAATTGATTCAGCCATACTAACCTGAAAATTGATGAAGGAGCTGAATCCTGCCACAGCCATGTGCCTTATCTGCATCAATGTGACTCCGTGGTGTCCACCAAAAGTCAACATTTTACCCCAACTATATCTTGCAAGCACTCCCAGGCCTGGGCCTGAAAGAAGGTAGGCCAGACCAGTAAGAAAGCAGGTGGGGGGCCAGTGAGAATTGTAATTCAAATGAACAACAGTTATTGATTACTAAGCAGCTAGTGTCACTTTCTTCGTTTTAGTTACCATGTTCAAGACTCAGGTACTCTCTCAAAGAGCAGAGATAACCTAATTGCTGCTTATTCTGGTTGGCTTATGGCAAGGAATGACCCATCATATATATCTGGTTCTGGTATAATAATCTTCAGTCATCTAATGCCATAATCAAACATATTATTACTCCAATGTTTGCTACTACAATCAGATTAACTGAGAATTACTTATTATTTGAATTTTCTAACTTGTGGATTACAATCTGGCATATCAAAAACCTCCTGAAGTTTCAGCTAGGAGTGGTAGAATAATTTCTATAACCTCCTCTCCCTATCTGCAGAATTGGACAATTTAAAACAGCTCCCTCAAAATAACTTCAGACATTAAGTTATGGAACTCTAAGGAGCTCCAGTGAAAACACAAGAATAATAATTCTCTATTTCTGGAATTTTTTTCTAATGCTGACATTATTTTGAAGATATTCTTTTAAAACATATTACTATAGAACTTTTCGCAATATTGTAAATTTATGCTATTAAAAGTATTTAATGTATCTTTTCATGCTCTATCCAAATAGGCAGCCTTCCAAAATATAATTTTGTGCTTCTGTAAGCTAATCAAGATGTCAGGATTTAGGGTAAATAGGAAAAAAGAAGAAGTCATGGCTGGTATTAGCACTTGTTAATTCAACAGTTGGTGACCTTAGTCTGATAATTAAAATAAGCTAATTTACTTTCAAAATGAATTGTAACTTTGTTCCTTTGTAATCAGTATCTATGCTTAGCATCTATTACTATAATTTTGAGGATAGAAACATGATGCTAATGAAAATGAGTCTTAGTAAAGAACTAGAAAATTATTATACTTAAGTTTAAAGTTGTAACAGTAGAAATATTTGTCTCTCACACATTTTGGCTAAAATTTGATTAGGGCATGATCTAAATACAGATATCTATCTGAGGCATCGGTCTGTCAAAAATGCAAATTACCCTAACAGGTGTGAAATTTGAGACCAAGGATAAGTCAGAGTAGCATTCTCAACGGCATGTGACAGAGACTGCAGCTTTAAAATGCAAGGGGAAAAGCAGAAGATCAGGCAGTCTGTTTAAACAGAAAAAGGTGGTTCCAATCCCAATGAAATTGCTGAATGGTGTTCTATTGCTGATGGGATCAAACAAAGCTAGAGACAGACCAAGAGGAAACTACAGATACTGTTTTTGTTTGTTTGTTTTTGAGGCAGGGTCTCACTCTGTTGCCCAGGCTGGAGTGTAGTGGCACAATGATAGCTCACTGCAGCCTCGAACTCCTAAGCTCAAGCAATCTCCTTGCCTCAGTCTCCCAAGTAGCTGGGATCACAGGTGCATACCATCATACATGCCTAATTTTTCTATTGTTTTGGAGAGGGAGGGTTTCACTGTGTTGCCCAGGCTGGAATCGAACTCCTGGCCTTAGGTGATACTTCCACCTGGGTCTCCCAACGGCAAAGTACTGAGATAATACAAGTGAGCCACTGTGCCTGGCCACATATAGTGAGAGTTTAACATGATAGTCTGTCACCACTGATTTCTGTGAGAAATCAGAGTTACGAACACCACAAAAAAGATTACCTATTATGTGTACATACATACACACAAAACTAGGAGAAAATACACCAAAAATTTAATTGTGGTTATGTTCTAATGATAGAGTGATGGGTATTTTTCTACTTTTCTACACAAATTTTCTGCAGGGACAAGCAATACTTTTATGAATATAATAAACTTCATATTAAAAAAGAATGTGTCAAGACTGGGTGTGGTAGCTCACGCCTGTAATCCCAACACTTTGGGAGGCGGAGGCAGGTGGATCACCTCAGGCCAGGAGTTCAACACCAGCCTAGCCAGTATGGTGAAACCCGTCTCTACTAAAAATACAAAAAATTAGCCAGGCGTGGTGGCACACGTCTGTCGTCCCAGTTACTAGGGAGGCTGAGGCATAAGAATCACTTGAACCCGGGAGGCAGAGGTTGCTGTGAGCCAAGATCGTGCCACTGCACTCCAGCCTGGGCGACAGAGCGAGATTCTGTCTCCAAAAAAAAAAAAAAGAATGTGTCAGCTAACTACTTACTATGAAAGTAAGTACTACCAGTTGTTCCTGTTAACTTTAGTTAAAATAATAGCAGGATGTTTAAATAATATTACCTACCAAGTATCATTCTGGTAACCTAATGTAACATATTTTCCAAAGAGAAGACATTGATAATGATTCTAAGCACAAGCAAAATCACTTCTTTTCATCCCACTTTTCTCTGTTTAGGGTTAAACATTTTTTTTTCTTGAGACAGGGTCTCCCTCTGTCCCCATGCTGGAGTACAGTGGCACCATCATGGCTCACTGCAGCCTTGACCTCCCAGGCTCAAGAGATGCTCCCACCTCAGCTTCCTCAGTAGCTGGGACTACATGTACACGTTACCATGTCCAGGTAATTTATTTTTATTTTTTGTAGAGACAGGGTCTCAGTACGTTGCCTGGGCTGGTCTCAAACTCTTGGGCTCAGGTGACACTCCCGCCTTGGCCTCCCAAAGTGCTAGGATTACAGGCGTGTAAAGTTTTGCTGTAACAAAGTAAACTGTAAAAAAGTTTTTAAAATTTTATTTTTTAAAAAAATCAATGTTTTAAATACTCTAATCTTAAGTGGATTGAGAGGCAGATTTTTAAAAAGCTTGATCTAGAGAAGTCAATCCAATAAAGTAATAAAGGAGAAGTTCCAGATCCTAGATCCTAAAGTTTGGGCCTTGCTGCTCATTTTCATCCTGGTGAAGGAGGGGACAGCAGGGTGAGAGAGAAGACAAATACCAATAAAGTCAGGATCAGCAGATAAAGGCAGGTAAACTGAGGGTCCGTGTCTAGCCCAATCAAGAGGTAAGGCACAAAGTGATGACCACTGCAATCGATGTGGGGATTATCAGAAAAGAATATATCCAAAGGAGAGAGCATAATTGGAATGAGTGTGGAAAGAGGAAGAAGTTTTTTTAAAGTCCATAGTAAAAAGTAGGTTTTAATTAAAGACTTCATTATAAGAAAAAAATATATATAGACCACTGACGTTCACAGATTTAAATTCCTGATTTTTAGAAAGGGACCTTTGATGTCTGTGACATGCCATAAGCTTGTTTGATCAGGGACTAGATGAGATTTGTTAAAGGCACAAATTTGAGTCCTCTGCTTCAAGCTGTAATTTAGCATCCCATTTCAGTATGACTTTATTATTTACTATTGTTATTCTCTAATCATCACCATATATATAGTAACTGTTATAATTATTTTCTTCTCCAAAAAAAAGGTACTCAAGTGAGAGATGAAGCTTTTAGTGTAAGACTGTTGATATGGGAATCAACTTGTGGTATGAGGATAAACATAAGAAAAATGTAATTCTCAACAATTACGTAACTGAGTAGAAAGCCAAGGAATCTGGCCAAATATTACATTAGGACTTAAGATAATCTTAGATATATTCTTTGTGAATATCAAGGGTTTACTAAAACTTAGGAGAAAAAAAGCTCTATATACCAATGCTTTTAAGTCATGTTATTAACAATAGCTGAAAATGGTAAGGGTAAATGTGCACCTAAACCATAGGGAAAATAATGAAGCAAATGAAGGCACACACCCATTATCCCAAATCAAATGCTTGAGTCCAGTTCTATATCCAAATTTTAAATTTTTGGAATTTTAGAAAGATAACCTGACATATTAGGTAACACTTTCAAGTATAATCTGTAAGAGCACTCTGTAATCAAACATGTTATCTACAGCAAAATGTGAAAATACTCATTTTTACAGAGATTTTAAAAAAGAAAAAATATAAACAGCTTCATGTCAGTTCAAGTAGGTTTTGCCAAGGAATGAATTCAGGTGAGGTTTTTTTTTTTTTTTTTTTTGGAAATGGAGTCTCACTGTGTCGCCCAGGATGGAGTGCAGTGGCGCGATCTCCGCTCACTGCAACCTCCACCTCCTGGGTTCAAGCGATTCTTCTGCCTCAGCTTCCCAAGTAGCTGGGATTACAGGTGTCCTCCAACACACCCTGCTAATTTTTGTGTTTTTAGTAGAGACAGGGTTTTACCATGTTGGCCAGGCTGGTCTCGAATGCCTGACCTCCGGTGATCCACCCGCCTTGGCCTCCCAAAGTGTTGAGATTACAGGCCTGAGCCATCGCACCCAGCCTCAGGTCAGGTTTTGAAGCCAAATGAGATGTGAAAAAAAATTTTGGTTTTCAGAGGTTTTTGGATTTTGGAATTGCACATAAGGGACTGTGGATGTGCGTATCAATTCCATGAATTAGAAATGAGCAGAAAATGATAAAAAAAAAAAAAAAAGAACATGTTGACACATGAAAAACTATAACTATTAGCCTGGACAACATGGCGAAACTCCGTCTCTACCAAAAAATGCAAAAATTAGCTAGGCATGCTGGCATGCACTGGTAGTCCCAGCTACTCAGGGGGCTGAGGTGGGAGGATCACAGCCAGGAGGTGCAGGTTGCAGTGAGCTGTCATTGTGCCACTGCACTCCAGCCTGGGCAACAGAGTGAGACCCTGTCTCAAAAAAAATTAAAATAAAAATACTGAGTTAAAAAAGATTACATGTGTCAAATCATGCAATGTGTATGAGGTATGTACACACAGATAATCGGAAGAGATCACAGAGACTTGAGTTAAATAAGAGTTGAATGAGATGGGGTGCAGTGGCTCACACCTGTAATCTCAGCACCTTGGGAGGCCTAGGCAGAAGAATCACTTGAGCCCAGGAGTTTGAGACCAGTCTGTGCAATACAGCAAGACCCTCACCTCTATAAATAATTTTTCAAAACATTAGCCAGGCATGGTGGCATGTACCTGTAGTCCCAACTACTCGGGAGACTGAAGCAGGAGAATCGCATGAGCCTAGGAGGTCAAGGTTGCAGTGAGCCATGAACATGTCACCACACTCCAACCTGGGTGACAGAGTGAAACTCTGTCTCAAAAAAAAATTAAAAATAGGCCAGGCACAGTGGCTCATGCCTGTAATCCCAGCACTCTGGGAGGCCGAGGCAGGTGAATCACCTAAGGTCAGGAGTTCGAGAACAACCTGGCCAACATGGCGAAACCCCATCTCTACTAAAAGTACAAAAATTAGCCGGGCATGGTGGCAGGCAGCTGTAATCCTAGCTACTCGGGAGGCTGAGGCAGGTGAATTGCTTGAACCCAGGAGGCGGAGGTTGCAGTGAGTCAAGATCGCGCCATTACACTCTAGCCTGGGTGACAGAGCGAGACTCCATCTCAAAAAATAATAATAATAATAATTAAAAATAAATTAGAAATAAAACATTAGAATTGGGTTATGAGAAGGGAACTTTGAGTAGAATTTTCTATATAACTTTATTATTAAGTAATTGTTTTTAACTTAAAGCAGAGATTCTATCCAATGGTAAATTGGCATATGAAATTATAAGCAAACATAGCCTGAGTTCAAATGGAAATACTGATGATCTAATTTCATTAACCATTCAACTGTTCCTCCACCATTAATATTGACCTATCAAACCAGATTTCAGACTCTGTTCATCAAAAAGCCTTCTCAATAATAATGGTAGTAGAGTTACGTTTTGAGAAAATTGATTGATTTTTCTATACAAATTATGCACATACTATGGAAGTCCAGTGCCCAGGGCAGATAAAGTATCACCCACCTAAATCACATTTAAATATAGTATGAATCTAAAAGAGCATCCTACTAACGTCTTTTTAGGGAGGAGATCTCATCTTGCTGACAAAGAATCCTAAGGAAGCCAAATAACAAGAATAATTATTATCTGCATTCCATATTTATCATCCCAATTTATCCTTATAAAAATCCAGCCAGGTGCAGCGGCTTACACCTGTAATCCCAGCACTTTGGGAGGGGGAGCCAGGCGGATCACTTGAGGTTAAGAGTTCGGACCAGCCTGGCCAACATGGTGAAACCCCGTCTCTACTAAAATTACAAAATTTAGCCGGGCGTGGTGGTGGGTGTCTGCAATCCCAGCTACTAGGGAGGTTAAGGCAGGAGAATTGCTTGAACCTAGGAGGCAGAGGTTGCAGTGAGCTGAGATCACACCACTGCACTTCAGCCTGGGCAACACAGGGAGACTCTGTGTCAAAAAAAAAAAAAAAAAAAAAAATTCCTGTTGAGGCAGTTTCAATGGTATAACTGGTATTCCCATATTGTGGTAAGGCAAGGAGACTGAAGCATGAGGAGTAAAAAGACCTGGGAAGACTACTGTAATCTTTCTGAGTCCTACAGCCAAGAGGCTAACCAACAAAACTCTTAGTTTCTCAAGGCAGGGGCAGAAGACCCTTGGAAGTCCAAACCCTAGTAAGAGGGCAGATGATAGATAAGTCAGGCAGGTCACAGGATAAGAACAGCCTAGAGAATGCTGACTTCTGTCATGGATCACAAGTTAAATAGAAAAGCCCTTGAATATGCAAGCATATGGCTGTGGCAGGTGCTAGACAGAAACATGTAGTTAACATTTCCTGCCCTGAAAGAAGGACAAGCTCAGGAAGAAATAAATTTTCAGGTTTCATGGTTTCAAGCAGAACAGAAATAAACTTGCTCTGTGATTTAAATTAACGCAAAACAAACACCCTTTACACACATCACATACACATATTCCCAAAAAAAGGTCAAAAACAAAGTTGTATTGCTTTTTACAATGGCATAATGGACAGTTAGATTCTCAAAACACTTTCCCACTAGAAAACCAGTATTTGGATGAGACAAAATCAGTAAAGTATCATAGCAACCACATACACAGGAAAAGCCATTCAAATGATGTTTTAGTGAAGAAAATACCATCTTGTTTTTGACAATGTTTTTACTTTTGGAGATGATAAACATAAACGATATGCTATCAAGAAATCCAAAAGGTATAAAGTCCCTTGACTCCAAGTAATGTGTCATACCTGAGTAATAGCTTGGATTATAAGCTGCACTTCTTGTGGAACATGTAAAAGATCGGTCCAAATGTCCTTGCCTGGAAGATAAAATCTAAACAAAGCAGAAGATTTTTCTTAAGTCACATTTTTTTTTTTTTTGAGACAGTCTCACTCTTGTTGCCCAGGCTGGAGTACACCGGCACAATCTCTGCTCACTGCAACCTCCGCCTCCTGAGTTCAAGTGATTCTCCTGCCTCAGCCTCCTGAGTAGCTGGGATTACAGGCACGCGCCATCACACCTGGCTAATTTTTGTATTTTTAGTAGAGACGGGGTTTCACCATGTTGGCCAGGCTGGTCTTGAACTCCTGACCTCAGGTGATCCGCCCACCTCGGCCTCCCAAAATGCTGGGATTACAGGCGTGAGCCACCGCGCCCGGCCATGTCACTTTTTTAACAATAAAATAAAAACATATACTAGGAAAAATATATAATTAAACAAGACTATAAGCCAGGTGCAGTGGCTCATGCCTATAATCTCAGCACTTTGCAAAGCCGAGGCAGAAGAATCACTTGAACCCAGGACTTCAAGACTAGCAATGGACAACATGGAGAGACCCCGTCTCTAAATAAAGACTATAGCAGAACTAAGACTATTTCAGAACTCAATATAATTATATTTATATATTATACGTATTAATACTACATACTAACAAGAAAGGAAAACACATAGACAATCTAATGAAATAATTCAGGCTTCAAGGAAAAAAACAGGCAAAATATTTGTTATACAATTTAATTCAAAGAATGTTCACTAGAAGGTAAATATGTATTTAGTACATCCTGTCTGAAAGCCATTTATAACACATATTAAAAAGGTTGAGAAAAATCAATCTGGTTTTGGTTCTTTTGATAACTTTACAGAGATAGCTCTTAATCAGAGGTGGTGCTATACCCTGAGTACATATCTGGAAATGTGTGGATATATATTAACTATTAAAATGATTATGGGGGGAGGTGGATGTTACAGGAATTTAGTGCCTAGGGCTCATGGATGCTAAACATCCTACTATAATTAGGAAAGATTCACACATCAAAGAATGATCTCATCCAAATTACTAATGGCTTTCCTATTGAAAAAGACTGCTTAATAGTGCTCCCCACACTTTCATGTGCATATAAATCAAATGAGGATGTTTTTAAAATATAAATTCTGATTCAGTGATATGAGGTAAAGCCTGAGAGTCTGCATTTCTATCAAGCTCCCAAGTAATGTTGATGCTGCTGGTCCCGAACTAGACCTTGAGAAATCAGGCATTATAGCACAGACATCTTAGAGCTGCTGTATATTTTCACATTTCTCCCCCATTTAATGCTCAGCAATTTTAGGTGCTAGTTTAAAAGAACACTGATCTGCATATAAGTAATTTTAAAATTCAGAGGAACAATGAGTTTTCTAAAACGTACTGTTCTCAAAGAACTCATACATAGCCTATTTTGTCTTAACGTCCTTGTCTTAATTTTAATATATAGAGCAGAATTCCAAACACTAAAATTACTGATTCTAAAAAGTTTATAGCTATGCTTGTATTTTTGAGTGTGGCATTTAAACTACATAAGATGAAAACTTATGATGAGCCCAAATAATTAATTAATTAAAGGAAGAAAATTGCTCCTAACCTGCTGGTCAGAAAGCGAAAGCTGGTCCTCTGGAAAACCTGTTTGTGGCAGGAGGTGGGTTTTGAATACGGAGTTGTGGTTCACTAAAGTCACTTCTCCAGCATCCATCCTCATCCTATCAGCAATATCATCTGGGGAGACAGTCTGGATTAGTTCAAGTCACATAATTCTTCAATAACGTTTTTCCTATGAACCAATCTTTTCACCTAATAAAAACAATTCCCACCCAGGCATGGTGTCTCATGCCTGTAATCCCAGCACTCTGAGAGGCTGAGGCAGGAGGATTTTTTTGAGGCCAAAAGTTCAAGATCTATCTAGGCAACATAGTAAGACCCTGTCTCTACAAAAAAATTTAAAAATTAGCCAGCAGGTCAGGTGTGGTGGCTCACACCTGTAATCCCAGCACTTTGGGAGGTTGAGGCGGGTGGATCACGGGGTCAGGAGTTCAAGACCAGCCTGGCCAACATGGTGAAACCCTGTCTCTACCAGAAATACAAAAATTAGCCAGGCATGGTGGCGGGTACCTGTAATCCCAGCTACTCGGGAGGCTGAGGCAGGAGAATTGCTTGACCCTGGGAGGCAGAGGTTGCAGTGGGCCAAGATCGTGCCACTGCACTCCAGCCTGGGCAACAAGAGCAAAACTCCATCTCAAAAAAAAAAAAAAAAAGTTAGCCAGCCAATGTGGCACGTGTCTGTAGCCTCAACCACTTGGGAAGCTGAGGCAGGAGGACTGTTTTGAGCCCATGAGTTCAAATTTACAGTGAGCTATCATCACACCACTGCACTCCAGCCTGGGGGACAGAGGGAGACCCTATGTCTAACAATAATAATAAAAAAAGACAAAAAAGAACTTGAAGAACAACTCTGCAATAAAATAAAATCCCTCTTTCATAGCTAACCAATGGCAAAAATCTCATATTGTCATTGTCAAAAGAGGTCCATGTGCAGAAATTGGCTCATTTGGAATTAATTGAGGCCATCTACCAAACAGTTCAAAACTTGTACACATATAAAAACAGCTTAATTTAAAGCTTTAAAAATAACGAGACCAGGCAAGGTGGCTCACACCTGTAATACTAGCACTTTGGGAGGCTGAGGCAGACGAATGGCTTGAGCCCAGGAGTTCGAGACCAGCCTGGGAAATAAGGCAAAATCTTGTCTCTATTAAAAAACAAAACAAAACATTAGCCAGACATGGTGGTGCATGCCTGTAGTCCCAGCTACTCAGGAGGCCGACCTGGAAGGATACTCTGAGCCCGGGGAGGTCAAGGCTGCAGTGAGCCATGACAGAGTCACTGCACTCCAGCCTGGGTGACAGAGTGAGACCCTGTCTCAGAAAACAACAACAACAACAACAAAGAAAAACACAAACAAAAAACAAAAATGCTCCCAAAAGAAACTTTTTAAATATTTTAACTATAGAAAAAATTTTAAATATAAAAAAATTGGGGGAAAAAATTCACCATTCAGTAACACACACTGTTAACACTGGTTCATTTCCTGTTTTAACACAAAGAAGTGCTTTAAGAAGTAATCCACCTGCCAGGTGTGGTGGCTCACACCTGTAATCCCAGCACTCTGGGAGGCTGAGGTGGGCGGATCACTTACTTGAGGCCAGGAGTTTGAGACCAGCCTGGCTAACATGGCAAAACCCCATCTCTACTAAAAATACACCAGGCATAGTGGCACATGCCTGTAATCCTAGCTACTTGGAGGCTGAAGCATGAGAATCGCTTGAACCCAAGGCAGAGGATGGAGTGAGCCAAGATAACACCACTGCACTCCAGCCTAGGCAAGAGAGTGAGACCCTGTCTCTAATAATAATAATAATCTGCCTGAACATTTTTTTAAAAGCATAATTTTATTCATATTGCTCTTAACAGGTATCAGCTCAATAACTATAATATTATGGCAGAATTTTACTTCAGAACCATTTTTGATACCTTTGTTACTATAGAAGAGCTAGAATAGAAGCAATAAACGTAACAGAATTCAACGACTTACACTGCTATCAGCAATGAGAGAAAATGGAAACAAATGAACAGGGAAGGAGAAGGCAGACTAAGGAAAAGGAAAACACAGAATAGAGAGAAAGCTAATGTGAATGTAAAAGGAACATATGGGATGTTATAAGACCTAAGTGTATAGATTTTTCAACTTATTCCTAAATTAGCTACTAGTCCTGACCTTATATTGATCCCCTTAACAGACATAAAGTACTACAAATGAAATAGTGAAAAATGTCCTAACCACAATTCTCAGTAACACTAGCTAAATGAAATAGAATATTTACATTAATCAAATTATTTATCATTTAGAAGTAGTATAACATAGTACTAAGGAACAAGAACTCTTGGCTGGGCGCAGTGGCTCACCCCTGTAATCTCAGCACTGTGGGAGGCCAAGGCAGGCGGATCACGTGAGGTCAGGAGTTCAAGACCAGCCTGGCCAACATGGCGAAACCCCATCTCTACCGAAAATACAAAAATTAGCCGGACTTGGCGGCGCACGCATGTTTGTAATCCCAGCTACCTGGGAGGCTGAGACAGGGGGATTGCTTGAACCCAGGAGGCAGAGGTTGCAGTGAGCTGAGATCATACCACTACACTCCAGCCTGGGTGACAGAGCGAGACTCCGTCTCAAAAGAAAAAAGAGAAAAAAAAAAAAAGAACGAGAACTCTAGAAAACTCTAGAACCAGAGTGCCTAGGTTTAAATCCTGGCTCAGCCAGTTATAGTACATGACTCTAGGCGAGCTTCTTAACTTCTGTGTCTCAGTTTCCTTGTGATATAATAGGGATAACAACAGTAACCTACTTGGTAGGTACTATTAGGTACCCTTGTAAGATGGTTATAAGGATTAAATGAACCAATATATTTTAAATACTTAGAACAGGGTCTAGTACACAGTAAATGTTTGCTAGGGTATACTTAACTTTTTCAATACAATCAATGAGATAATACTCCTAAATGAGCATATAAACAATGTTCTAACCAAAAGATAATTATGTGGGCTGGGTGCGGTGGCTCATGCCTGTAATCCCAGCACTTTGAGAGGCTGAGGTGGGCCGATCACCTGAGGTCAGGGGTTTGAGACCAGCCTGGCCAACATGGCGAAACCCCGTCTCTACTAAAAATACGAAAATCAGCCGGACGTGGTGGCACATGCCTGTAATCCCAGCTACTTGGGAGGCTGAGGCAGGAGAATTGCTTGAACCCAGGAGACAGAGGTTGCAGTGAGCTGAGATTGTGCTACTGCACTCCAGCCTGGGTGACAGAGCAAGACTACGTTTCAAAAATAGCAATAATAATAATTTTGTTTGGTATATAGTATTACATAATTAGGATTAAAATTTCTCTTAAAATTATTATTAAGCACAAAGATACAAATACTGAAAATGTTAGGAAAACCCATTCTTTCACTACAGCTTAACCAATGAAAGTAGCTAAAAGGATTCAACAGCTAGTTAGTCTTACCCATTTCAAGTCTTTTCACATCACTGACTTTAGCAAAGATACAAAGTCCTATAAAAGAAGACACAAAACAGAAAAATTACATACTGAAACACCTACTTCACTTAATTTTAGAAGGTGCAGCCACTAGAAGTGACATTTGTTTGTGTTCTTAGTGGAGAAAAATCTAAGGTGGTAAAGAGTTGACTTGATGGGAAAAGAGTAAAAACTAAAACTAGCTTGAGGTACTTCCAAACATTTCTGCAACCTGTACTACATTAAACAGCAATTACAGACTACGCACAGAATCACAGAATATTAAAGCAAGAAGCAAATTGGGAGCGCCAACCCTTAAGAGACTGAGTGGTTTGCATAAAGTCATAATGTTAGCAACTACACCGAAATTATAACCTAGAAATTCTTCCCAATCCATTGTTCTATTACCTCATGCTAAATCACTTCATAAACAAGTGACAGACTTTGTGATGGTCCTATTAAGACTTTTCTTCCATGTCTTACTCAGTAGCCTGATACTCTAATGACAATCAAGAACTACTCTGGAGTAATACAAAGTACTTCCCCCAACATCATCAATCAAACTGCTACAAACCAAAGCCCCTTTGCCTATATAAAAATTACTGTCTCCTCTGATGTATCCACTTTTTCCACAAAATAAAGATGTTAAAAACCAAACTGCTGGCCGGGTGCAGTGGCTCACGCCTGTAATCCCAACACTTTGGGAGGCCGAGGAGGGCAGATCACTTGGCCAAGGAGGTCAAGACTTGGAGGCCAGCCTGGCCAACATGGTGAAAACCCATCTCTACTAAAAATACAACAATTAGCCAGGTGTGGTGATACGTGCCTGTAATCCCAGCTATTCAGGAGGCTGAGACAGAAGAATTGCTTGAACCCAGGAAGCAGAGGTTGCAGTAAGCCGAGATCATGCCACTGCACTCCAGCCTGGGCGACAGAGCAAGACTCTGTCTCAAAAAAAAAAAAAAAAAAAAAAACCAAACACAAAAACACAACCAAACTGCTTGGAACTAGGTTAATAAACATATCCTCGGCACATATGGTCTTGGTAGATTTCCAAGAGGAGGAGGCTACTAGGGATGGTAATAGTCACACCTATATATATTTATAATCTTATAACCATATTTTTAAAAAATATTAAGCACTTCATCAACCACATAGCAATACTAGGGCTTCAATGTATTCATGAGGCTGGATGATGATAATAGGCATTCTTTGTGGTCACAATAATGAAAGTCACACAAAGGAAGGCAGCTTAAAGTTTTCTTGGCGTACGAGACCACGCCACTGGCCACTGCACTCCAGCCTGGGCGACAGGGCGAGACTCCGTCTCAAAAAAAAAAAAAAAAAAAAGTTTTCTTGGCATAGCTATAGACTAAGCAGAGTAATTATCTGATTACCTAGTCTTGCCAGGAAGGATCCCTAAAGAATTTAAGCCTTAGATTTATGCTTCAAATATATTTCCAAATGCTCAACTTAAAAGGCTTCTTTACTAAAAATTCTTCAGGTTATTCTTTCCCCTTCTTTCTTCTTTAATAGAGTAGACTCCCTTGGGTTCCAGATTAAGGGGGAAAAAATCTTATCAACTAATATATTAGCAACACTTTTTTGACATTTTAAAGTTGCTTCATAATTGTCATTACTAGCCTTTTTAAAATTATTATTAAGAAGAATGCCAACTTAAAAGCTTGGTGCCCAACAGAATAATCCCATGTCAATTTCCTTGCATTTTGTTGGGATAGATGTGAAGAGAAAAGGAAGCTAGAAATTCAAAGAATTTTACCGATTATATCCAGAGAGGTTAAGTGACTTCCCTGAAATCACACAGATGGGGCAAAAAGAAGACAAGAATCCATGTATCCTGACTCCAGGGCAAATGCACATTTCAAACATTATACAACTTCAAATCCTTTAACACAACCTCAAAGATTAATACACACTGGCAATTTAAAAGTAATCCCTCACTAACCCTGGGGAATCCACACTGATTTATAATTTTAAATAATTAAAACCCCACATTTATATTTTACTACAAATACATCCAGCTACTTCAGTGTGCTTATGGTACATTCTTTTAGCCACTTGCAGTTACATTGGGAGAAGGAATATTTTACCCCAAGATTCTCCATGAAAATGTTGGATCTGGAACCTCTGATGCCACCAAATTCAAGCAACTGTAAAAATGTTTTCTTTTTAAAAAAAATGATTCTAATAATTCATTTCCTAGTATACACTGGTCATGTAATTTACTGAAAGAACATAAGCTGTTACAGACATTCAGATGAAGTCAGGTTAGTAGTGGAACACAAGATAATGGGAAACCTGAAAGAACAAAAAAGATCACAGTCTTGACAACTGCGGTGAAACACTTATAACCTTACATATATGCAAAAAGGGGATTATGAAAGACAATGTCTAGGGCTGCAAGGAAGTTACTAGAAAATATATATTGAGGCTGGGCACGGTGGCTCACACCTGTAATCCCAGAACTTTGGGAGGCCGAGGTGGGCAGATCACGAGGTCAGCAGTTCAAGACCGGCCTGGCTAACATGGTGAAACCCTGTCTCTACGAAAAATACAAAAATTAGCCAGGTATGGTGGCAGGCACCCATAATCCCAGCTACTCGGGAGGCTGAGGCAGGAGAATCGCTTGAACCCGGGAGGCGGAGGTTGCAGTGAGACAAGACCAAGCCATTGCACTCCAGCCTGGGTGACAGAGCGAGACTCTGTCTAAAAAAAGAAGAAAAAAATATATATAGAGAGAGAGAGAGAGAGAGACGGGGGGGGGGGGGGGGGCGGAGGGAGGGAGAGAGAGAGAGAGAGAGACGCAATGTTAGCTTTATCCAGGACCAAGATGTGGTTAGAACAATTTATGATATAAGAAGGGTGTGAAAGCAACCATGTGAAATCACCCTTTTCCAAGTTCTGAAAAACAATTATGTGTACAATAGTTTGTACTATATCGTCATGTGTTTGAGGTTCTTTCCTTCTATTTTTACATGTAATCTCTCCCAATCACTCTAACACCTTAAATACCTTAACACTCTAACGCCGTAAACCCTAAGTGTTCAAATTCTTTCATACACATTCATTTACTGTGCACCGACTACGTGCATTAAGAAAGGGTCCCTGCCACTGAGCAGCTCACTGTCCAGTAGGGAAAGCCAGATCCATAAACAGGTACCGCAAGACAGTAGAGCTGGTACAACTGATAGAAGATGTAGAAGTTGGGAAGAAAAGGACAAGAGTTCCAAAGCCGCAATGCAAGTCAACAACTGCATTCCCTTAGCCAGAAGTAGCAGAACCTGTTTTTGTACCCATCCACTCCCTCTAGACAACTCATTAGATGAGTGACATGAAGACCATCTTTGCAGTTGGGATAATTAATTGAAGTCAGTTAAAAATGAATAAGCCTTCCTAAAAGGGACTAGAGAGGAAAAATAAAGGGTGGTAGAGTGTAAACTGGAAGTAGGTTAAGGGATCATGCTTATAGAGATGCTTAAAGTTGCGCTTTAACTGTAATTTCAAAGTCAGGGTAATCTGTATTTCAACATGAGTCCTTAACACAAATTATTTTTATGAAGAATAAAGATTTAGGAGATGATGAGATCTAATACATCCAGAATAACCAATTATAACAAAGACCCTCAGTCAAATAGTTGGTAGTAGATAAAAGGCTTTATATGAATATTACAAGAATCACCACCACTCCAAATATAATAAGTGTACCAAATATGAAGTAAAATGACTTTAACAAGGCTGACTTGAAAGTGATAAAGAAGCAAGTTACTGCTAACAAGATAGTGGAAATACTGCACAGGCACCGATAAACAGAAATCACCAAGCTCAAGGAAAGAGAAACGAGGCATAGATCCAGAGATCACGTTAGGGTACACCAAGAAAGAGACGGTTCAAGGGAATTACCAGGAGGCGATGAGCCAGGTAAGCAAATTGTGGCAGTTAAGGGGATTTTCATAACCTGAGCAGGAGGGTCCAGACGTTTCTTTCTGATGGTGGCACTAGCGATATCACATCTCAGGGAGATACCACAGAGTAGGAGAGTTGGAGAAATGTTTACGTGAGACGCAGAAGTAGTCAAGAAATATCACTCGGGTCTCAAGGAAGGCGGGAGATGAAGCCGGTACCACAGAAAGCCGAGCTTCCCGGTGAAAACAGCTCTCCCCAGAGAAGACCCAGCTCTGGCGGGAAAGCCCCGGAATCGCAACCGGCCTTTCCCCAAGTACGGCTGGGCGCTGGGATGGGGCCTGCTGTAACGGCAGGGAGACGGTCTCTCCGCGGCCCAGGAGAGAGAGACCAGAAGGAACGGCCTCAGGTAGCCTAACGGCCACCGGCGGCCACAGCGCGGCCACCGGACAGCAGGGGGGAGGGGAGGTGGTCCCAGGGGGCGGGGCAGAGGAAAAGGCGCCGGCCCCACAGTGCTCCCCGCTTCCGCCCAGTCCAGCCCGGGCCGGCTGACCGGGTCCGACACAGTCTCCTGGACCAGGCTCCCTCCATCCTCACCCCTCCCCCAGCTTCCCGCCGCCACTCACCGAACCGGAACCGGCTGCCATGCGAAGGGGTTTCCGGCCGGGCGCGGAACGCAAAACCCGGGAACCGCCGCGAACCGGAACCGCCTTCACAGCACCGGAAGAGTCGCTAGGTGGCTGAAGAGGAGGGGGCTGGGGCAGGAGGTCAAAGAACAGAGTTAAGGACCAGTGGGGCGCCTGCGCGGTGTGGCGAGGCCCGAGAAGCGAAGGGAGCATTTAAGACTAGTCGTAATTTCTCAGTACCCTTTTCAGTCTGGGCTTTTTCGCTTTCTCGTACTCGGAATACTGTTAGTGAGCCCTTCGTCCTATGCTTTTCTCTGTTCCCTCTGCTCCCTTACCCGCCGCCTTCTGGTTCCGCCCGGCGAGTTTTGCTTGCTTGCGTTCCAGTTTCCATGGCAGCTTTTCGCGGTGGCCCTAAATCTGCGGAAACCTGTGGCTTCCCCCGACAGATAGGGACCTGAGATCTAAATCGATCTCAGGCTATCTCGTGTTTTATTGAGAATCACAGAACGTTAGTGCTTGTAGAGGTTATTGGAGATACTTTAGTCTTACCAGGTTCAGAGAAGTGAAGTGATTTCCCAAAGGTTTTAAGTGCACGGCCCATCTAGGACTAGGAAACAAGTTTCTTAACTTGCAATCCTGTACTCTGCACCACCTCATACTTGATTGACCATTCAGCAAGCAAACAAACAAACAAACAAGCAACTTGAGGACGGATTAGGCTAGACTCTGGCAAGATGTAGAACCTTCCAGAACTCTGGAGGAATTTGAAACAGGCAGAGCTGTGAGGAAAGCTTTTGGGAGCCCACTAGAGATCTGCTTTTCTGGGTAGAGATAGAGAAGGACCCAGGAATCACCTGTGACCTTTGAAGGGCTTTGTTGTTCCTGGGACACATTGATTAACCTGGAATCTGCCATACTTTCTAAGAGAACATAATGGGAAGAAATATGTTTGTTCATTCAGGCTTTTTGTCAAGCACCTCAGCTTGGCAGGCCTCTGGACCCAGGCCCTGTAGAAGTCTTAGAGAAATGCCCCCTTAATAGGTCCTTTACACCCAGATCACAGCCACAGGCACAGTCTGAGCTCAGACTTAAAGAAGGGCAGTTTCTGGAGGCCCCCAGCCTTTCTGATACTCTCAGCAGCTTGCTGAGTTCAGGGTTTCCTCCCCTGTCAAATACATCAAAGTAGATTATTTGTATTGCCTCATGTGCTGATACTTTTATATTATATTGTCAAGTCCTAAGGCCAAGTAGTCATGAGTGTAGCTGGTCCATGTCAGTCACTGACATCTTATTTCACAGCTCTGTTCGTTTGGATTAAACTCTGTCTCTATTTCTAGGAGGCAGCCATGCATAAAGACGAGTTTCATCTGAAATTTTTCATGTGTGTGATTCAGTCTCGCCAGTTAGTCAGGACTCCTCAGAGAACAGGTACCCTTGTCTCCTGATCATACTCCAGTGACAGAGAATGGGTTCTCTCACAAGAAGTCTAAATACAGGATGTGAGGCTTTCTAGTGTAAATACGGATTTTAGGGGTCAACTGACCTTGTTTATCACATTCTCACTTTGATAAAATATTGATCACTGAGTCGTGTATTTTCCAGGTAAGATTTTGACCTGGTTTGTTGTGATAGATGCCAGGCAGATAAGGAGGACTTGAGAGTTGAGGGGGGAACAAAATTTATCCCATGAGCTTGTCATTATTGTGTTGTTATGTGAATTACTTCGACCAGTCTGGGCTCATCTGTGGGAATCTTTATTGTCATTATAACTGACACTCCAAAACTATCAGATAAATCAAGCCCTAAGGAAAAATGGCCTTCTCATCCACCCCACCTCAAAGTATCTAGTTATATGTTCTGCTTTCCCCCATGTATGTCAAGGGAATAGAATCTTTTTGAGGTACATCGCGTCTCTAATTTTTCACTGGATTTTTGGAAAGAAAGCCCTGGACAGCTCAGAGTCATAGGGAAAATGAAAGGGAGTAAGGAACACTCCCTTCCCAGAATCCCACCTTGAGGGTGACCTAAAGCTATTGTTTCTCAGCTGGGGAAGCTTCTACTTCCAGCATGCTCATACCAAAGCCACCACCAAAGACAGACATCTTGAAGAGTCTAGATACTATGGATGATCCAGACACCGTGGGAAGCATACCTGTTTTCAAAACTGGTGAGGCATGTGGGTCAACAGTGAGAAATGTTCAAAGGAATATGGGAAAGTGAAAGTTGTATGCATAGTATTATAAATCAGCGTAGACCTACTAAAGCTGAAATATAAGACCCAAGGGGGAAAGTCTGTGTGTGTGTGAAACAGAGAGAGAGAGAAAGAGAGAGAGAAAGAGAAAGAGGGATGGGGAGGGAAAGGAAGAAGGGAGAGAGGTGGGGATGGATCATCTGGGAAATTGTAGGGAAACAGACACATCTCTATGCAGAATAACTTAATTTGGTCAATATTAAATCAATTGGCTCATAACTGTAAACTACTAATCTGGTTTATCCTATTGTCAGCATCCTTGATATATAAATATGTGAAACTTAAGAAAGTTGACTAAATGAGTTATTATTTTACAAAATGATTCTAAATATTGTAAAAAATTTTCATCTTAGGAAACCATTTAATAATAGATTTCTCATGTATTTTTAAATGTTCAATTCACAGGCAATTTATATGAAGCTTCAGAAACACATCTATGTATTTCGTCTTAACTTAAATACATCTATATTGGAGTCAATTCACTGGAAACCTTTATTGAGTTCCCGCTATTTGCCCAATAATATACTGGAAATGATAGATTATAAAACATATGTATAAGGCATATCCTTGCCATTGCCCCAATAGCTTACACTTTGGAAATGCCTTAGCGATTATTTACCCCAACTCTCTTATATTTTCAGAAGGAACTCAGGACTAAAAGGTTTTCCTCAGAAAGTTGATAATTTCATTAAAGTAACAACTCCTAGCACTTATGAAATATATATCAGTATTTAGCCATATTTTTGAGCACTCACTATTTGAAATCATTGGGCTAGACTCTGTAGGAAATGAGAAAATGAAATAGACACTTTCCCTGTTCCCTAGGAGCTTATGATTAAGGACGGGAGATAATATGGAACAATGTGTAAGTTAAGAACTTAATAATTTTGGTTCAAAATGTTGAATTGGTTCAAAATAAGATGCCATAGAAATGTAGGGTTCAAAATAACTTTGGTTCAAAATAAGATGCCATAGAGATGTAGGGAAGAGAACAGCCAGCTGACTGCTCAGAGCCAGCTTTTCTTTTCCTTCCTTCCTTCCTTCCTCCCTCCCTCCCTTCCTTCTTTCTTCCTTCCTTTCTTTTTCTTTTCTTTCCTTTTTTCTTTTCTTCCTTTTGCAACTGTTTGTGGTCTACATCCCTTTAATCAGACTTCCTTTGCCCCTGCATAGAAAGCAGCAAGAAATAAACCCAGCTGATGGTTTTTTCCTATTGTTTATTGAATTTGTACAGATTATTTCTTATTTGCCCTCATCTTTCCTGCTTTTTTCATTCTCCTTTTGCTCTGGTGTACCTAAAACTCACCTCAGACTCCCTTTGCTCTGATGACTCATTTGGACCTGCTTCTGTGGTTTGAACTCAGCATTGTCTCATGGACAAAATTCTGATGTTCAACTTCTGCCTTTAAATCCTGGGGTCTGTGTGGCTCAGTTAAGTGGCCACTCTTAACCCTTTCAGCTTTCCTACTAGAGAAAGGAAATCTAATATTTTCCCAGCACCAATAAGGCCTCCATTCCTCCTCTTCTGCCTACCTCCCTGCTTCCTTCCTCATCCTTTCCTCTTCCCTTCCTCCTTCCCTCCTACTCTTCCTCCTTCTTTGACTTCCTTCCAAGAGAATGTGTTGAGCACATACTATGTCAAGTACTGTACTTGGCACTGGGAATAAAGTAGTAAACAAAACAGGTACATTGTCTGCTCTCATGAAGTTTATAGTCTTGTGGGACTAAGACAGTAATCACACAATCACACACATGGTTATATAACTAGAATGGTGTTAGTGCAATGAAGGAAAATAACTCCATGTAATCAGAGGATAAAACAGGGGGTGTAATATGGCCTGAGAAGTCAGAAAAACCTTTCTCAGGAAGACCTGAGGGATGAGTATGCATTAGCCAGGCAAAGAGAGAAGAGCTTTCCAGAAAAGGGGACAATAGGCTGTGAAACGGGAAAGAGCAGAATGGGCCAATGTGACTTGATGATGGGAGGAATAGCGGGAGAGTGAACTGTACAGGTGGTGTAAGAGCCAGATTGTGCAGTGCCTTCTAGGTCTTATGGACACTTTTGAGCTCTGGGAAATCACTGAAGAATGATAGGATCATATTGCGTTTTAAAACATCTTTCTGGCTCCTGGGTGGAGGATGGATTGGAGAGGTACGAGGGTAGTTATCTGCTCTAATGAGATGGATGCCACTGCCTTGCTCCATTTCTCACCTCTAGGCAATGCATCACTATAGGGCACCAGTGAAATGGTGAGGAACTCATGTCGTCAAACAACAGAGATGAGCACAGAGCTACTGGTGCCCAAACATAAAAAACCCCTGGCCTGATGTCTTTCTGCTTCTGCCAGCCCAAGAAATTCACAGGGACTCCCTCCAGGGTGTTCTGCTCCTTGTTCTAAGTGCAGTTGTATATGGAGATTCTGTGCTCTAGTCCTTAAGAAAAATGGAATATATTTCTTTCTTGTCTCTTACCTGGCAGGGAAGCAGCTGCTGTTTTTTCCAACATCTTGCCTATCAGTATAAGCAGCTCTGCCTGTACTATAATGAGGCAGGCTGTGTGTGTGTGTGGCCCATAGAGGATCAGCTCCTGGCATAAGAAAGCCACTTGATCCTACACTGGGGCATAGCAAGGGTGTGAGTCATCTAGGCTGTACACTTTACCCCTATGTCCTGACCCCTAGGCTTTTCAAAGAAAGGTGGTTAGCATTTCAAGATAGGTAAGAGTGTGGGACAACTACTTCCAGGAAAAAAGCTCAGGGGTAGCAGGCACCTTTGTGGTCCAGGCTCTGATCCAGCAGATCCAACTGCCCACTAGACATAAAGCCTCTCCTGTGTATAAAGACTTCGATGATGGGCAACCTGCCTAGGTAACTAGTGACTCTCAAGACTACTTCTAGTGACCTGAAAATGTGGGAAGCATTCCAAAGGAGTGCTGCTTCACCCATTTGCTCCTTGTGTCACAGCTTCTCCCTGGAAGATAAGAGCTTTCTATCATATTTTTCACTTCATCTAGGCCATCTATCACCAGCATTGCCCATGCCCCCTGCTGCCCTTCTGATCCTCTGTACCTTCCTTTGGAAGTAAAGCAGCCTTGAGAAGAGTTTTTATTAAAGAGGCATTAATGATGGAGGACCTTTGCGTAGCGAGGAAACCTTTCTGCCTATGTAACAGCATGGTGGTGCAGGATATGGAAGGCATATTTAGAGTCAGTATAAATATTGATGCGTAGTCCCTTTGCAAGAGTGAGAGCTCAAGTTAAGACAATGAGTTCAGCTTGCTGAGAGGTAGTGGAGCGGGGAAGATCAGTAGCCTCAATGATAGATGTGGAAGATACTATAGCATAGCCTGCCTTTGCTGGTGAGTGGCGATTAGGCCTGGTGGAACTGCCATCAGTAAACCAAGTGTGATCAGGGTGAGGAACAGGAAAGAAGGAAACATGGGCAAATGGAGTGAATATCGGGTGGATCAAAGAGAGACAGTCATGGGGGTCAGGTGTGGTATCCAGAATAATGTGGGAGGCCGGATGGAAGTCTGGGCCAGGAACAATGGTAATTGTGGGATACTCAACAAAGAGTGAGTATAGCTGAAGGAGCCAGGGAGCAGAAAGTATATGCATCAGGTGTAAGGAAGAAAATAGATTTTAGAAGTTATGAGAGCTGTAGAGAGTGAGTTGAGCATAGTTTGTGATTTTGAGGGCCTCTAAAAGTATTAGGGCAGCGGCAGCCGCTGCACAGAGGCATGATGGCTAGGCTAAAACAGTAAGGTCAAGTCATTTGGATAAAAAGGCTACAGGGCGCGGTCCTGGCTTATGTAAGAACTCCGACTGCACGGCCCTGCACTTTGGCTGTGTGTAATGAAAAGGGTTGGGATGAGTTAGGGAGAGCTAGTGTGGGGGCAGCTTCTAGGGCTGTCTTTAAGGAACAGAAAGGAGCGGCGAAAGGATTTAGGATCTGTGGGGTCAGCTAGGTTTGCTTTTGTGAGTTTATATAATGGTTTAGTCAGGATGGTAAAACTAGGTATCCAAAGGTGGAAGTACCTAACCATGCCTAGGAAGGAAAGGAGTTGTTGTTTTGTAGAAGGGATTGGGGTTTAGGAGATTTGCCAGACACGATCAGCAGAACACGTGTGTTTTCATGAAGAATTATGTTGAGATAGGTAATGGATAAGGAAGAAATTTGGGCCTGACTGAAGTAATGGGGGCTGTCCGTGAAGCCTTGTGGCAGTACAGCCCAGGTAATTTGCTGAGCCTGATGGGTGTCAGGGTCAGTCCAAGTGAAAGTGAAGTGAGGCTGGGATGAAGGGTGCAAAGGAATAGTAAAGAAAGCATGTTTGAGATCCACTACAGAATAATGGGTTATGGAGGGGTTGTGGAGGGAGGTATTGAGGTTAGGAGAGTATATGCCTTTGGCACCACGGGGTGGATAAGCAAGACAATTTGGTTGATAAGGCGCAGATCCTGAACTAACCTGTAAGGCTTGTCTGGTTTTTGGATAGGTAAAATGGGGGAATTGTAAGGAGAGTTTATAGGTTTTAAAAGGCCATGCTGTAACAGGTGAGTGATAACAGGCTTTAATCCTTTTAAAGTGTGCTGCGGGATGGGATATTGGCATTGAGTGGGGTAAAGGTGATTAGGTTTTAATGGGAGGGTAAGGGGTGCATGATCAGTCGCCAAGGAGGGA
This sequence comes from Homo sapiens, assembly GCF_000001405.40. Classification (NCBI taxonomy): domain Eukaryota; kingdom Metazoa; phylum Chordata; class Mammalia; order Primates; family Hominidae; genus Homo; species Homo sapiens. The sequence goes on from NC_000012.12 coordinate 48,112,955, forward strand.
GTAGAGGCATCCTATACCTGTGGTTTAAGGTGAGGAGATACAAGGAGAGGATATGAAGGAGACTTTGAACTGGGAAAAAAGGCAGCAATGAGGTGTGGCTGTAGCCCAGGAACAGTCAGGGAAGCAGATAATTTAGTTAAAATGCCTTGACCTAACAAGGGAACTGGGCAGGTGGGGATAACTAAAAAGGAGTGCTTAAAAGAGTATTGTCCAAGTTGTCACGAGAGTTGGGGAGTTTTAAGGGGTCTAGAAGCCTGGCTGTCAATACCCACAACAGTTATGGAGACAAGGGAAGCTGGCCTTTGAAAAGAAGGTAATGTGGAGTGGGTAGCCTCCGTATTGATTAAGAAGGGGACGGACTTACCCTCCACTGTAAGAGTTACCTAAAGCGTCTGTGATGGTCCAGGAGGCTTCCGAGGCGACTGGGCAGCGTCAGTCTTCAGCCGCTAAGCTGAGAAGATCTGGGAAGGAGTCAGTCAGAGAGCCTTGGGCCAGAGTTCCAGGGGATCTGGGAGTGGCTGCCAGGTGAGTTGGACAGTCCGATTTCCAGTGGGGTCCCGCACAGATGGGACATGGCTTAGGAGGAATCCCGGGCTGCAGGCATTGGTTGGCCCAAGTGGCCAGATTTCCGACACTTGAAGCAAGATCCTGGGGGAGGCGGTCCTGGAGGAACACCTGGCCGCTGGGGTTCAGGCATTGTGAAGTTCTTGTGTGCTGGAGATGTGGCTGGGGTTTCTCTCACAGTGGAGGCAAGTAATTGCAACTCAGAAATACGTTGCCTCTACTCTATTATTGTACACCTTGAAGGCAAGGTTAATTGAGTCCTTTTGTGGGGTTTGAGGACCGGAATCTAATTTTTGAAGATTTTTCTAATGTCAGGAGCTGACTGGGTGGTAAAATGCTTATTAGGAATAAGGTGGCCTTCTGGCCTCTCTGGGTCTAGGGTGGTAAAGCGTCTAAGGGTTGCTGCTAAGCCGGCCATGAACTGGGCTGGGTTCTTTACCTCGGGTAGTTTCTTTAAGTTTGTCATAATTAACAGCTTTGTAAGCTGCCTTTTTAAGCCCTTCAACTTGGCAGGAAACCATGTAGTCTCGCCTAGCTATATCTGGGGAATCGGCCGGATAGTTCCATTGGGGATCGCCTCAGGGAACTGCTCTAATGCCTTCCTGGAGGTGTGGTTCATGAAGCCAGCAGTTATCAGCATGCGATTGGGCTAGAGAAAAAACTTTCCCATTCATCTGGGGAGAGGGTAGAAGTTAGGATGACATTTAGGTCACTCCAGATTAAATTGTAGGACAGAGCTCGATGTCGGAATTCCTGTATATATTTAGTGGGGTCTGATGAGAAAGAGCCTAAACGCTGGCTGATTCGGGAAAGGTCTGATAGAGAAAAAGGCACATGTACCCTGACTATGCCTTCAGCTCCAGCCACCTCTCTAAGAGGAAATTTTTGGGCAGGTGGGGGAGAGCTAGTCCTAGGACGAAACTGTAAACCGGACCGGGTGTGGGGAGGGGAGGTAATAGAAGGGTTATAGGGTTGGGGAGCAAAGGCTGAAGAAGAGTTGGAGCCTGATTCAGCCTGGCGGGGAGCGACCTGAGGAGGAGCAGTCTGGGGAGGAGGTGAGAGGTCAGATGGTTCAGTAGAAAAGGAAGATTCAGAAGACTCAGCAACGCTTGGGGTTGGGACTGAAGGGACAGGCCAGAGGGAAAGAAGGAGGATTTGGGACGAGTTGCATTGGGAACACAGACTAGGGAGGGAACAAAGTGTGAAAAATGCCTGGATGTAAGGCACCTCAGACCATTTGCCCATTTTTTCAACAAAAATTATCTAGGTCTCGTAGGATGGAGAAATCAAAAGTGCCGTTTTCTGGCCATTTAGAACCATTGTCGAGTTTGTATTGGTGCAAAGCGGTGTTGCAGAAGAAAATGAGATGCCTAGATTTTAGGTCAGGTGAGAGTTGAAGAGGTTTTAAGTTCTTGAGAACACAGGCTAAGGCAGAAGAAGGAGGAATGGAGGGTGGAAGGTTGCCCATAGTAAAGGAGGCAAGTTTAAAGAGAAGAGTAGAGTCATGGAGAAGGGGGATGGGGAGCAGCTCTGGGCTGCAATGTGGGTGAGCAGCCAAAGCAGGCATCCCTGCAATTGACTTGCCACCAAGGGAACACGGGTGAATGATCAAGGCAGGCGTCCCTGTGGAGATCAGACACCAATGGAACATGGGTGAATAATCAGAGAGGCATCCCCACGATAATTAAACACCAAGGGAAGGCTGCTGACCCGGGTCTTCGGCACCAAATGTTTCACGTGTCCATGTGAAGAGATCACCAAACAGGCTTTGTGTGAGCAACGAGGCTGTTTATTTCACCTAGGTGCAGGTGGGCTGAGTCCGAAAAAGGAGTCTGCAAAGGGTGGTGGATTATCATTAGTTCTTATAGGTTTTAGGATAGGCGGTGGAGTTAAGAGCAATGTTTTGAGGGAAGGGGGTGGATCTCACAAAGTACGTTCTCAAGGATGGGGAGAATTACAAAGAACCTTCTTAAAGGTGGGGGAGATTACAAAGTACATTGATCAGTTAAGGTGGGGCAGAAACAAATCACAATGGTGGAATGTCGTCAGTTAAGGCTATTTTCACTTTTGTAGATCTTCAGTTGCTTCAGGCCATCTGGATGTATACGTGCAGGTCACTGGGGATATGATGGCTTAGCTTGGGCTCAGAGGCCTGACAGCCTGACCATCTTGGGCACATGTTCTCAGGATCTCCTGAGGGCTGTATCACAGGCCATTGGTCACTCATATTTGGCTCAGAATAAATATCTTCAAATATTTTACAAATTTTGACACTTTTTGTCATATTTATATGACACATTTTATTTATCCATTCTTTAGTTGATGGACTTTGGGCTCTTTCCACATTTTGCCAACATTGTGAATAATGTTGCTATGAACATTGGTATACAGATTTTGTGTGTACATATGTTTTCATTTTTCGTAGGTATATACCTAGGAGTGGAATTGCTAATTAATATGATGACTCTATGTTTAACATTTGAGGAACTGCCAAATTTCCACTGCAGCTGCACCACTTTACATTCCTACCAGCAATGCAGAAGGGTTCCAATTTGTTCACATCCGCTGTAATACTTTTCTTTCTTTTTCCTTTCCCCCCTTCCCTCCCTTCCTTCCTTCCTTCCTCTCTCTCTCCCTCACTCCCTGCCTCCTTCCTTTCTTCCTCTCCCTCTCTCCTTCCCTCCTTCCTTCTTTTCTCCTTCCTTCCTTCCTTCCCTCCCCCTCTCCCTCCTTTCTCTCTCTCCACCCCTCCCTACCTCCTTCCTTCCATCTTCCTTCCTTTCTTTTTTTCTTTTTTGATAATAGCCATCCTAATGGATATGAAGTAGTATTTTCACTTCAAATGAAGTAGTTTTGATTTGCATTGCCCTAATGGCTATTGATGTTGAGCATCTTTTCTTGTACTTTTTAGCCATTATATATCATTTTTAGAGAACTGTCTATTCAAGCCTTTGCTCATTTTTAAATTTTTTATGTTTGAGACAGGATCTCACTCTGTCGCCCAGGGTGGAGTGTGGTGGCGCAATCTCGGCTCACTGCAAGCTCTGCCTCCCAGGCTCAAGTCATTCTTGTGCCTCAACCTCCTGAGTAGCTGGGACTACAGGCATGTGCCACCACACCTGGCTAATTTTTTGTATTTTTGTAGAGACGGGGTTTCACCATGTTGCCCAGTCTGGTCTTAAATTCCGGAGCTCAAACAATCCACCTGCCTTGGCCTCCCAAAGTGCTGGGATTACAGGTGTGAGCCATTGTGCCTGGCCAGTTTTCCCTACTTATTAACATCTTGCATTAGTGTGGTACACTTGTGATAATTGATAACCCAATATTTATACATTATTATTAGCTAAGTTCCATAGTTTACATTAGGGTTTACTCTTTGGATTGTATAGTTCTATGAATTTGACAAATGCATAATGTCATGACAAATGTATGTCATGTATCTGTTATAGCATCATACCGAATCATTTTAGTGCCCCTAAAATCCCCTGTGCTCCACCTATTAATCTCTCCTTCTCTATCCCAAGCCCCAGTAACAACTGATATTTTTATTGTCTCCGTAGTTTTACCTTTTCCAGACTGTCATACAGTTGGAATCATACAGTATGCAGCCTTTTCACACTGGCCCGTTTCACTATGTCTTTTCCTGGCTTGATAATTTTTTATTGATGGAAAATATTCCATTGTATAGCTGTATCACAGTTTGTTTATTCACCTTTTGAGGGACATCTTGGTTGCCTCCAGCTTTTGGCAATTATGAATAAAGCTTTTATAAACATTCATGTGCAGGTTTTTTGTGCAGACATAATTTTCAGCTCATTCAGCTAAATACTTAGGAGTGCTATTGCTGGATCATGTGGTAAGACAATATTTAGCTTTGTAAAAAACTGTCAAACTGTCTTCTACAGTGACTGTACCATTGTGCATTCCCACCAGCAATTAATGAGAGTTCCAGTGGTTCCACATTCTCATTAGCATTTGGATTTTTGAATTTTAATCATTTAATCATTCTAATAGGTGTGTAGTGGTGTCTCACTGTTTTAATTTGCAGTTCGCTAATGACATATGATGTTGACATCTTTTCATGTTTATTTGCCACCTGTATATCTTCTTTGGTCAACTCTTTTGCCCATTTTTAAATTGAGGTATTTTCTTTTTATTGTCACTGAAAAGAGTCAAACTGTAAAACATTTGAAGAGATTTATCCTGAGCCAAATACGAGTGACCAATAGCTCCCCCATGACACAGCCCTCAGGAGATCCTGAGAACATGTGTTCAAGATGGTCGGGCCACAAGTTGGTTTTATAAATTTTAGGGAGATATAAGGTATCAATGAATATATGTAAGATGTACATTCATTTAGTCCAGAAAGGCGGGATAACTGGAAGCAGGGAGGGGGGAGCGGGGCTTCCAGGTCATAGGTAGATTCAAAGATTTTCTGATTGGAAATTGGTGAAAAGAGTTAAGTTATTGTCCAAAGACTTAATAGAAAAGCAATCTGTGAGGACCAAGGTTTTATCAGGTGGACAAAGCTTCCAGGTAGCAGGTTTCAGAGAATAGATTGTAAATGTTTCTTATCAGACTTAAAGAGTCTGTTCTATCAGTAATTCCAAAAGGGAGGAGCATATAATGAAGTGTGTCTGGCTTCCCCTTTCCATCAACGTCTGAACTAGTTTTTCAGATTAACTTTGGAATACCCTTGACTGAGAGGAGGGGTCTATTCAGATGGTTGAGGGGCTTATAATTTTATTTTTGGTTTACATTCTTAATGAGTTGCAAATGAGTTCTTTATTTATTCTGGATGCCAGCCCCTTATCAGATACATGATTTGCAAATATTTTCTCCCATTCTGTGGGTTGTCTTTCCACTTTCTTGATGGTATAATTTGGAGAACAAATGCTTTTATTTTGTGTAGTCAAATGGGGTTTTATCTCCTAGTCACTTGCATTTGTATTGTTTGTGCCAGAATGTGCAGAGGTAGAGATACAAGTAAGCAAGAGGAAGAGGGCAGTGGTAAAAGCAAGAGGAGACCCGACTGTGGAGACAATGAAGCAAAGGGAAGGTGAGACTTGAGTAATGGATGCACCTCTTGCTCTGGGAGCATCTGACCCTTTTTCCAGAGTGGATCCTGTTTGCTGTGAAGCCCAATTTATATGTTTGCTTCACTGCCAGAATCCCGCCCCCATCCCTCCCCACTGCAGGCTTGAGAAGTGGCCTCACAGACACGCCCTTCCCTCTTGACACTTTCATTCCAAATAGCTAGCTTTTCTGTACTTTCTCTGAGAAAGGTAATGTAAATGTAAAAGAAGTTTTTGAGGCTATTCTATAGAAGATGTCATAATTCAATGTTCCTCAAAGGCAGGGACTATATTTATTTTTTTTAAACCTCTCGGCACCTAATGCAAAATCTAGCACACAGACTCCCAAGAAATGTTTGCTTAAAGACGGATAGAGGGCCACAGGGGCAGGTTTTATTAGCAGTTGCTGAAGATGTTGGAATGCAAGGTGTCTCAGGCAGTCTGGACTAGGAAAAAGTTCTGTGTTGAAAACAAGAGAAGCAACGAAATAATTTATTATTCCCATTAAATAAAGATGCTGATGGCTCTCGAGATAGATATGAGGACCCCAGGACTCTGGGGAGTGAAGGAACTAAGCCGCTGCCATATCTGAGCTGAGTACTTAGGGGGAGGAGGAAGAGGAGGAGAAAGGCAAGCAGGAGGAGGCGGAGCCTTCTTGTCAGCATCTGTTAGTGGAGGTTGGGAAGCCTCTCCTCCTTCCCCCTCCCTCTTTGCCTCCACCTGGCTCCTCCCCATGTTCGTCCATCACCCCTCCCCCCTTTCCCAAGGACAATCTGCAAGAAAGCAGCGGCGGAGGAGAGCTAAGACTAAAAGGCAAGAGGGGCCATTGAGTGAAGAGCAAGGGGGAGAGCTGGGAGTGAGGTGGGAAGGTATGGGCCGGGAGCAGGCGGTAGGGAGAACTGAAAGGAGCAGAAAGGAAAAGAAGAGATACGGCATCCTAAGCTGGAGCCGAGAGGGGGATGGGCAGGGCAGTCGTGAAGGATCCTAGCCCCTTGGCCAGTCCCCTCCGCTTGCAGGCTCAGCTGCATTCCCCAGGAATCTGGGATGGGTGGGTGGGGCTCGGACGGGTTGCCCTTGGCTGCCTGACCCTACCCTGGCACTCACCCAATTCAAATCAGTGCTCCTATGATGCTGCTTTTCTGTTCCTCCCTGCCGCGTGCTTATATACGCACGTGATTTTAGAGATATGTTTTAATATCTGTCTGTTTTTGTCTACGTGCGTGTCATTGTGGGTCTGTAAGGGATGCTTATACATGAGTCTGCATGAATTTCTGTGTCCTGTGCCTCTATAACTGTCTTAGAGATTTCAGGAGAAGAATATGAGCGGTTTTTACAGGTCAGCACTCTTAAACTCCTCTTGTTATGGCGAATTTTCTCCCTCACTGACGCTTCCAGGGGTGGAAGAGCTCTGTGTGGGATTCTGCCCCCGTCATGAGCTCCAAGAGTGAATGAGAAGAAAAAACGGGAGGAAAGGGATCAGCATACCCAGATGTCTTGTTTTTTCCTTTCCACCTTTTTGCCTTCCTATTTGCCCTAGTCACTTAATCTTTCTTTTTGGAAAACAGCAGAAATTTGGACATGAACATTCCAGTTAAATAAGAGCGTCTCTAGTCACGCGTGTCTCTATGTTCCTTTCACTGTTTGTCACTATATGATTTCTCAAGTCCAAGTTAAAAGTGTGTTTTAAAGTAGAATATGGAGGTATATCTGTATCTAAGCCGATTTTACATTTTTCATATATTTGTATTTCATGTAGTTCATCAGTTCATTAACGTTTTCAACAAGTATTTATTGGGGTCCTGTAATGTGCATAGACTTTGCAAGTCTTTAGTGAGCTGTGGGAGAGTTTTTAAAAATGATCATGATCCCTGCCCTGGAGGAGTTCTCAGTCTAGTTAGGAAAAATGACTTTAGCAGCCATCCAGTCCAGTGGTTGGCAAACTTCGTCTGTAAAAGACCAGATAGTAAATATTTTAAACTGCAGGCTTATGAGTCTCTGTCACAATATCCATTCTGCTGTTGTAGCACAAAAACATCCATGATAATACGTGAATGAACGAAGGTAGTGCACATACTGAAATTTGAACTTAACATTTTTCACATGTCATGAAGTACTTTTTGCAACCACTAAAAAATATAAAAACCTTTCACAGCTTACTGCCATACAAAAATGTGAGAAGGGCTGGATTTGGCCTACAGGCTGTTGTATGCTGACCCCTGATCTAGTCCAACCCTCTTATCAGTGCGTACGAAACTATTAAAATGCCACATAAAGCAGGCCGAGCATGGTGGTTTATGCCTGTTATCCCAGCACTTTGGGAGGCAAGGTGGGCGGATCACCTGAAGTCAGGAGTTCAAGACCAGCTTGACCGACATGGTGAAAACCCGTCTCAATTAAAAATACAAAAATTAGCCGGGTGTGGTGGTGCATGTCTGTAATCCCAGCTACTCGGGAGGCTGAGGCAGGAGAATCACTTGAACCTGGGAGGCAGTGATCCAGTTTAGACAACATGTGGTTAGAGGAAGTCCAAAAGAAGGTTTCCTTGACCTGTGGTAATCAGTGAAGGTTTAATAAGGGTACAACTATCACTGGTCTTAAATGATGGAATGGGATGTGAATCTGTGGAAAGGGCCAGGGTAGCCACCTGGACAAGGGATGCAGTGTGCCCAGGCACTAAAGTGGGAAGAGCAAAGTAATGTTCAGGTGACAATGGAGCAGAGAATCTATAGGACCAACAGTTGAAGCTATATGCAAGGGCTAAATTGTAGAAGCTTCGAATGCCAACCCAACAAGTTGGGACCTTATTTGTTAGTACTGATTATATGTAGTACGTTCATTAATCTCTGTCTGTTAACACAATGCATGTTTGTGAATGTATGTCTTCATATATGTCTCATTGCATTATTTTATTATTTGTGTGGATTTGGGTGTTTATGTGACTTATGTCTCTATAGGCAGCTACCCTGAGTTCTCCAAATGCAGGGTAGAAGCAAGCACAAGCTGCCCGTAAAACTTGGGTTCCTGTGAATGAATACACATCTCCACTGAAGCCTAGGGACCTATGACCTTCCTATGAAGGTTTATTTTGTGTGTCTAATAGAGTGAAGAAAGGAACACAAGCACAGGGAAACCAGCTATTGTAGTAAGCAGTTCAGGTGGAAAATGGCAATGAGGATAGAAAGGAGGGGATGGATAAAGGAAGATAATAAGAAGGGAGAATAATAGGATTTAGTTACTGTTTTGAATCTGAGAGGAAGGGAGGAGATAAATTTAAAATAACAGGTTTTAGCCTGAAAAACTGGGAGAGTGATAATTCTACTGGCATTTTATGGATACAAAAATACGTCCTCTTGTGTGTTCCTTTGAGAGAGGTGATCCCTAAAGAATAAAATATGAAGGTGTTCCCATGTCGTATGTACACATCTGTGTATATACGGCAGTGACTTTGTGTTAATTTTCTCATTTCATAGCATGTAGTAATGTGAGGGGCAAGACCCAAAGACCAAGGATCAAGAGATGCTCAGGAGGCTGACATCCTGAGAGGGAAGAGCCATAGAAAGCCCCTGACCATTCTTGAGACTGACACCATTAATTTGCCTAACTCTGATGTGCCTTTATAGCCTCAGACTCCAGTTTCAACTCCATATCACCTAACCCCATTCCAATAGCACAATTCCATAACACCCAACCCTAATCTTAATTATAATCCAACCTACCCTTGCTCTTCTACTTCTACTTTGCTGATTGTCATCAGTGCCCTAAACCTCATCTGATTCCAGCCCTCTGCAATAACCTATCCCTTCATTGAAAAGGGAGGGATCGTTGAGGCTAACTCAACTTTTTCTCCTCCCTTTCTCATTTCTATTCAGTCAACTTCTCTTTTCCCTGACCTTAGTTTATTCCCCAAATAGGTTCCAATTGGGGTGGGAGGGATCAGGGAGGAATTAGGACCTTAGTAGTCTTGGGCTTGATTACATGACATTTCAGCTTGTCAGTCTACAAGGGTGTGGCTTTCCTCTGGAAGAAGTCCAAAGCTCTCAGGCTGCAAAGCTCAGACTTGGTATAGTGGGAGAGCCTGACTGAGGTGGCTCTAGCCAGTCTAATTGCCGTTCCTTTAGCTAGTGGCATCTTGATTCCTGCTGTGTCTTAACTGACCATTGTCTTAAATTCTAGAGTGGATCATGACCCATGAAGAGCACCATGCAGCCAAAACCCTGGGGATTGGCAAAGCCATTGCTGTCTTAACCTCTGGTGGAGATGCCCAAGGTAAGGAGGAGGGGACAAAAAACATGGCTGGTGGGACTTTTGGAATTTACTGACTCCCTTAGCCTATACAATAGAATTATTCTTCTGTAGGTTCACGGGAATTTTGGGCTTTGCTAAAAATTTCTGTGAGGCCTAAGTCCTCAAGTGCATTTGAATTTTATTTGCCATGCGTTTATTTACCCACATCTTCATAAAACTTATTTCCAAGTTTCTTTGAAGACAGGGGGCTCTTTTGGTCTTTGGGAACCTAAAAGAGTGGTGTTTTCTCAAGCAGCATTGGAAAGAAACTAAAGAGATAAAGTTATTGAGAAGGCAGTAAGTGGATTAACTTCATGTACTTTGGTAATGGTGGGGATGGGAGGAGACCCAGAATTAGTATATGGTGGGTCCCAACTAGGTCTTCAGGTATTAACTCTGATGTCTGGAGAGTTCCTGCACTGACCAAGGTCAGTCAGGCACTCGGTTTTCTCTGGCCTTTCCTCCTCTTCCCTTTCATCACCCCTTGAACAAATAGGAACAGCAGCAGTTAATCAATACAGATCCGGTATGAGGTGGAGGGGCAGAAAACAGAGCCAGCAAAAACCCTTTTCTAGGTTGAATTTAAGAAACCTGGGAGTCACGAAAATTAGGTATATAGGAAACACGGAGTGGGAGTAAGAGGGTATTGATTTTTTTAAAAAAAACTTTTTCTCCTTTGATCTTCTGATATATTCTGATACATTGAAAAGAGGTAGAATTTCTTTGAAAAGGATACATGACATGGAGACAATTAGAAAGAGAGAAGGAAAGCGATTTCAGCTAGGCTCCCCTCCTCTGCACCACTGTTCCTAGGCTTTTTTAGACTTTGCGCTAAGGACCCACTTTGTATAGAGCCCTGTCTTGTATGTTTTGAAGAAGTTGAATTCCTTTAGGAATTTATAGTTTAATGAGGAAACTAGAATTCTTACATAAGGCACATAAATAAAAATAAGCAAGTGTGCATTAACCAAGTGGAATCTACTTACATAATGAAATGATAGCCTCTGATTGAATTAATCAGTGAAAACTTCATGGAGAAGGTAGATTTCAAGACACTGAACTCTTTATTTAAGTAAGGTGCTTAGAACAGTAGCAGGCACATCGTAAATACTCAATACATGTGATCATTAATTAAAAATGAATTAGTGAGTATCTACTGTGTCAATCAGGATGATGATGAGGTTCACCAGTGATACATCAGTGAAAAAGTCTGACGCAATCTTTGTTCTTATGATACTTATTAGTATATTAGTAAAGCTAGACTTTTTAAACTAATATTTATTATAATTGTGATATAGGTTATGAATCAGAAAGTGCTAGAATGAAGAAACTGAGGAAGGAGGGTACGGAGGTCTGAGTTTAGGAATAGTGACCAGATTAGGAATGCAGAGCCCTAGTTGAGTTTGCAGAAACCACAGATCTGGCTTTTATTGCATCTGTCTTCTCTGCTGGCAGAGTACCATGCCAATACTGAATTCTTTAACATGTACTTGAGCATTGATCCTGAAACCTTGGTAGAATGATCTGTGGACCCAGATTGTCAGATTAGGGGAAGAAAGAAGAAAGCCTGCTAAACAAACCAAGTGAGATGCACAGAGTTATAAAATGAAGAAGAGCTTTTTAGAGAGGGAAAGAGAGAAAGAAAGGTCAGACTAGGATTTAACTTGGGTCTCAGAGCAGCAGAGCCCTTCCACCTTCTGATCCTGAGCAGTGAGACCCTCTTATTCTAGTGAAGACCATAACTCACTGCTGTAAGAAAAAGACCCTGTTTTATGGAGGCAGGGACTATAGATAAGCTGATTTCTGAAGGACCCAGCTGATAGGCACAGTGTAGCCAGGGAAATAGCCCACCTGCAAATCCCCATAACATCACAGCCACATGTCACTAGGGATTGAGAGTGATAGAAACTGAAATTCTATGGAGGCAAGGAGGCAAAACAGAAAACTCAAAATAGAGCTGAGAGGTCCTAGCTGAAGGAGAAGCTCAAATTCAGAAGTCGCCTGCCCAGAGCTGAGTTTGATGGACTCTAGTTCTCCCGGGGAGAAAACATAGAAATGTTTTGTTTTGTTTTTTTTCCCTTAGGGCTTGTGGGCCACATGGGAAAGTGAGATTGAGCTGTGTAAAATCCATAGAGGTCACAGCTTTGTCATTCTCCAAATTCAGCAAAGCTAATCATCTCTTGAGGTAGAAAAATGGCCAGGAATCAGACATCCTGAGCTCAAAAACAAAGAACTCTGGGATGCTGGGCTGATGCCGTACCAAATCCTAATTCCCTTTCCAGCCTAGGAATGGCTTCAGCCGCCAAAACTATGCTACCTTTAGCCTTATGACATCGGCATATTCTACCCCTGGAAAGGACCTCAGTCAGTCATCTGCTCTGGCCCTCTGTCTCCAGATAGCCAGCCATTACAAATGTATGTTTATCTTTTTGATTTTTTTTTTTAAGAGATGGGACGGGATCGGCCAGGTGCAGTGGCTCACACCTGTAATCCCAGGACTTTGGGAGGCCGAGGCGGGCAGATCACCCGAGGTTGGGAGTTCGAGACCAGCCTGACCAACATGGAGAAACCCCGTCTCTACTAAAAATACAAAATTAGCTGGGCGTGGTGGTGCATGCCTGTAATCCCAGCCACTTGGGAGGCTGAGGCAGGAGAATCGCTTGAACCCGGGAGGCAGAGGTTGCGGTGAGTCGAGATCACACCATTGCACTCCAGCCTGGGCAACAAGAGTGAAACTCTGTCTCAAAAAAAAAAAAAAAAAAAGATGGGAAGGGATCTTTTTATGTTGCCCAGGCTGGTCTTGAACTCCTGGCTCAAGCAATCCTCTTGCCTCAGCCTCTCAAGTAGCTGAGACCACAGGCCATGTGCCACCACACCTGGCCTTTTCTATTTTTAAAGGTTCGCACGAACAGAGATCCTTTTACCTCTCTGGCTTGCTATTCTAAGGTTTATAATTTTTACTTATGATATCCATTAGGAAGTGCAATTCATCTCTAACAAATGTTTATTCCTCATATATTTTTAAAAATCTTATGAAAGTTAAGGCAGAAATAAATTATTTAGTATCAGCTTTAAAGTCATGCTCAAGTCATTTATTAGATTTTTTTTCTGTCTAGTCTCATAGAGACCCATTACCCACAGTTCTTCTTTCTAAAACCTCTTCCCAATATGCCGTAATTGGAGACTCCAAACTACGTGCTTATGATGTTCTCCAGAACCCCTCCTGACTACACCCAGAATACCTACTGGATGGTGCCTGTAATCTTATCCTTCGTCTTGCTTCTAATAAGTCAGACAACTGCCATGGAGGGTTATTTAGGGCAACATGGAACAGCCAAGGAGACTCTGGCCAGGACTGGCTTGGGGCCAGACTAAGCTAGTCAGGTTGGCTAGGAGAGCTCAAAGAATTACCGGGGCTCCTTAATATAAACTATTTGTATACCCCAAAGTTTGTGATTTTTAGGGAACTAGGGGTTTGAGGCATAGGTACCAGGTACATGAAGAGCATCCTAAAGTTTGGTTTCTAGGAAAACACTCAGATATTCAAGTTGGAGACAGGATGAATGACTTCTGGAAGTTGGTAGAGTTGAGGTAAGAAGAAGGCAGAGGGAGAAGAGAATTTCCTTATTGTGAGATTTTTTTTGTATGCCCAACAGATTTGGATAGTCCCTGCCCACCATCTGTTGTTTGCTTTTGTACTGAAAACGTTCGGAGTCACTTGTCTCTCTTAACCCTGGGTATACCAACAGGATTGCATTAAGTTAGAGTTTTTACAGGACCATTTACTCAGCTTGGGAACAGGAAACAATGTTCCAACCTATACATTTCAGAACAATTTTTTCCCTTATTTCCTGAAATTACAAATTCATACTCCAGAACTCCAGGTATCCAGAAGAGAATCCCATAGGCCTTGTGAAAGACTGGAAAACAAACTTTAGTTTCATATCTATTCTGATCTTATTGAGCTAACTTTATTCATCTTTCCTAAAGCATTGAAGGCTTTGTGTTGACTTTTGACCTTGTTCCTTTCACACACATAGGCTATTCCTCAAGCTACTGAGAAGCCCCTCTCTTCACAGATTTTTTGGTTTTGATGCCTTCAACTTAAGGTTGTGAACTTAGGCTTCTAGACTTCATGGGGCTTTGCCTTAGTGATGTCATAAGTAAGCTTTGACATCAGTGCTCACCAATGGCTTCTTGTTGACAAGCCCAAACTTTCAGGCCTTACCTTAGATCAGTTATCAGAAGCATTTGGCACTGTTCCAACTTCTTGAAACTGTCCACTTTTGGCTTCTAAGACATTGCTAAATCCTGGTTCTTTTGTATTTCTTGCTGCCCCTTATTAGTTTTTATCATGGAACCCCCCTTCCCCTTCCTGTTCCTTCAATGTTGGTTTTCCTCAGGGTTGCATTCCTTGCCCCTTTCCCTTATAATTCTGCATATTCTCTTGAGATAGTCTCTTCTGTGTTCACATGGATACTCCACAAGAACTTCAAACAGCATATCCAAATATGAATGTATCACCCCCACTGCCACCTGCCCAAACCAAAACCTGCCTCTGCTGAGTCAGTGGACCACGCTTTTACCCTTTGTCTAAATCAATCACGGGACATTTTCTCCTTCTCTGACCCTTGAAATGTAATCACATTGCCAACTGGATATAAGTCCTGTTGCTTCTGTTTCCTAGATGTCTTCTGTCCAGTATTTTGTTTTGTCCCAAATGCTACTCTTCCAGTTCAGGCCTTCCACATTTCTTTTCTAGGATGCCAGGTAGCCTCCTAACCCTAGAAATCCCTCTCTCAAGCTGTCTTTCACACTGCTGCCAGAGTTATCTTTCTGAGATACAGATCGCATCATGTCCCTCTGCTCTCTAAATTCTTCAGGGATTCTTTGTTGTATGCAACTTTTCTTTTTGGAGGGGCCACAGACCCCTTTAAGAATCAAATGAAAGCTGTGGACCTTCTCCCGAAAGAAATGTCCATGCCTGCAGAACTTTTCATACAGTTTTGTGGGGTTCCTGGATTCCCTGAAACCCATCACCCATGGATCCCTGATTAAACCCTGGCCTGTAGAAGACAAGTCAAACTTCTCATGGCACATAGGTGCCTGCCCACCTGTAGAGCTTCATCTCTCACCATTTCCTAGTTTATATTTTATTCTTTATAATACTAAATTACTTAAGGTTATTTTTTGACCCTCACCTTTATTTGTGCTATTCCCTCTGCCAAGAATACTCTCCCTCAAATTATCCACCTGACAGAAAAATTTTAAAGGAAATTGTCCTTTAGGTCCCATGACAAATGCTGTCTTTTCTGTATAACCTTCTCTGACTTCCTTCTGGCAGGCTTAGATACTCTTTGTCCCTGTTTCGACTGTACTTTGTCTCTCTCTCTCTCTCTCTCTTTTTTTCGAGAGATGGGGTCTCACTGTGTTGCCCAGACTACACTTAACTCCTGGGCTCAAGTGATCCTCCTGTCTCAGCCTCCCAAGTAGCTGGGACTATAGGGATGCACCATTGTACTTGGCTCATGTCTTTTATAGGGACCAATAGACCATATTGTAATTCTCCACATGTCTTGAAGACCATTACCAAGTCCTTTATCTTGGTATTCCCAGACTCTGTGGTGGTCATTGCTGTACCCCCAGTGCCTAGCATAGTGCCTGAAACATGATAGGTGTTCAGTTAGTATTTGTTCAGTGAACAAATGGACCTTCAATTCAATTTGGAGCTAATAGCCATGTAATACCAACCTGCAAAAAAAAGAAACATTTTGATTTTTTTTATTCCATTCTATTCCTGATAGCCTTGGATTATTCAAAAGTTTGTGATGGTTTTTTAGTTTGGTGCTGCAGATTTTTCCGATTACTAGCTCTCTTAGTGCTTGTTGGTATATTACATTTCTCCAGGCAGGGTTAAGGACAACATGAACAGATTTTAGATTAAAACAAAAATATGTACTAGAATGTCTAAGAGAGACTGGCTAAAATGGTTTACAAGAAGTTGACCCTTCATGGCTCTTAAGATTCCCTGTGCATCACCATGTGCTCCTTGTCACATTACATGGTAGGAAAGGAATGTCTCCCATCTCTCACCAATAAGGCCATGCTTAGCAGAGGATCAGTGCATTGTTCCTAATATGAAACACACATATGGGACACCTGCTGTGTGTTTTATGTTGGGACGGGTTGGCTTTTTCACAGTGCTCCTGGAAGAGAGTTCTTTTCACTGAGCAGCTACTAGGAGAGGGATAATATCATCTGTGAAAAAGGGAAAAGGATTGCCTCTCTATTTTAGTCCTAAGTTTTTGTTCTGTTTTGTTTTAATTTTCTTTCTTTTTTTTTTTTTTTTTTTTTTTTTTTTTTTTTACAGATGGAGTCTTGCTATGTTGCCCAGGCTGGTCTCAAACTCCTAGGCTCAAGCAGTCTTCCCAGCTTGACCTCCCAAAGTACTGAGATTACAGGCATGAGCTACCGTGTCCAGCCCTAGTTCTAAGTTTTTCTTCCAGTAGAAGCAGAGAGAGAATGATTTACAGTATACTTTTTGAGTTCCCCATAAACATCTTATATACAGGGCCACAGGAAGAGACTAGCAAATATTTGTTGACTAATTGAGGAAATGCCAGGAGAACGCAGTGAGAGAATAGAGTCCCCACCAATTCTTCCTGCACACTTGGTCACAGCCTCTTCTGGCAGTGTGATAACTAGTAAATCACAACTGTGTGGCACACATTGGAACATAGACCAACTCAAGTGACACAAAAAAGGGGGGTGTGTGTGTGTAGACTGAGAGAATCAGCTGTCTGGTAACAGATATACTGTGAACTTGTGAATAAACTGTGACTTGCCAGGTTACTGAACCATATAGAGTCATGTCTTTGTCCTGAAATGCCAACTAAAAGCTGATGTCTCGATTCAGTGCAGAAAGCAAGGAAAAACCTAGTACAGCCATTGACATTAGTAGGACAAGCCATAGAGGCTAATAATGTTAACTTAGGCATCTGAGAACTTGAATTCTAATCTGAACTTTCTAAAAGTACTAGCTTTGTGCCCCTTGACCTTTTTGAGTTTCAGTTTCCAAATCTTTAAAATGGAGACAATTCCAGGATTGTTAACAGCATTAAATAAGATGATGTTTGACAAGCTCTTGGCAGTGTCTAGCCCACAATACACATTCAAGAAAATGTGTTATTCTTGTTGTTATTGTTTCCCAGATGGTCCTATCAAGGAAAGGTCTTGGGAAAGGCAGGATTTTGGGGGGGCTTGAGGAGCAATGAATGCAGATTATCTGAAGCTCCAGTAACATTGACTGCAGTAATTGGGAGTGGGGAGGCCAGAAGACTTTGATGAGAGGATTATTCTAGATTCAGAGAAAAGACTAAATAAAGTACTGATTCGTTATCTTTAGCCAAATGTAATATCTCTGGATTCCAGGGCGCCTTTTCTTAGGAGCAACCTCTCCGTGACTTCTTTTGTCCCTCCTTTCAGGTATGAATGCTGCTGTCAGGGCTGTGGTTCGAGTTGGTATCTTCACCGGTGCCCGTGTCTTCTTTGTCCATGAGGTTGGTTCTGTACTTTGTTCTTCATCATTCTTTCTCTGTCTTCTTCTAAATCTGCCTTCTATCCCCTTCCCACATTCTGTGTCCTTACCTCCCAGTTAGTTACATTGCTGTGTTTGATTTTCCTTGACTCCGTAGCTTCATGAGTCACTCTTTCCTACTTGACTCCAATAGTGATGGTGGGACCTGAGCATCTACAAACTGGGTCTTCATGTTGCCTGTTCAATTTAAAGGAAAAAGTAACTCTCAGTCCTCCTTTTATCTCCCTCAAAACAGAGAAAGAAATGGAAATGGGTAGTATTTACAGCAAATTTAGTATATCCAGAGGAAGAGCCCCAGGAGAAAAGAGACTTGCTGCATTTCTGTAGTTTGCATAACTTTCTGAGGTTCTCAAATCTTCTTTTGCACCCTTCTCCCAGTACCCTCTCATGCTTCACCCACTCTTCTTTTTATAAGGTCCACCTGCTTTCTTGTATCAGATTTTATAATCTTTTAGAGCAAGTCGCGTTTCTTTCCTTCCCTCCCACCAACTTCCCCTTCTCCTTTTCTCCATGGTTATCAAGACCATCTGTTATCATTGGCCCCCTAGGAAGCAGGTTGGAGGAGATAGGATGAGCCAAAAATAAGAATTAAGATTAACTATTAGGAAGGATATCCACATCCCAGTATTTCAAAAATGGGAGAAAGTAGAAGAGAGTATTGCAAAAGTTGATGCCTCCTTCTTTGGACTGTGTTAAATATGATAGTCTCACGAGCATCCAGGACTCACTAATGGGAGGAGGTGGCTTGACTCTCAGAGAATCTCTTCCCAGGGATCCTGTCTTAATCTTGGGAATTTATAGAGAAGCCTAACGGGCTGAACAGGTATAATGTGTCACACAGGGTTATCAAGGCCTGGTGGATGGTGGAGATCACATCAAGGAAGCCACCTGGGAGAGCGTTTCGATGATGCTTCAGCTGGTATGTTCCAGAGAACTCCCTGTCCCATATTTGCTCTGTCCTTGTTTCATCCCACTCTGTTTTGGGCTCATGGTCTCCTAAATTCCCTGTCATGTGGTTTCATGGGAAGGAATTCAGTGACAAGAGAGGGACCCTATTTGCCCTTTACTCTTAGCATTTGAAAATACCACCCTGGTTTCCTGGGGCAGGGAGAGGGTGGAGGAGTGATCACAGGATGCTTTGCTCTTTATGGAAAGGTCATAAACAAGACTATGGGGACTGACACATAAGCAGATCTTACTCTAGGGTCACAGGGAAGGTCTGGCCCTGAAAATAACCTTACCAGAGGACTGGAGCCAGAGCCAGAAGTGGAGCTGAAATCTGCCAGTCCTCATGTGATGGAGATGAGGTGACCTGAAACCAGACCACTTAAAGGACGAAGGAACTGAGACAGCCTTTCGGAGTCTCAAAAAAATCCTAAGAGTATCCTGAGGATTTCCACAGTCCTTTATGCTACTTGCTCCATGTTGTTTTAGGCTTCTCATGTGTATCCACTGTGGGCTAGCCCACAGTGAGTGAGAGAAATACAATCATTTGCTGGTTTACTGAAAATTTGTAAATTACATTTGTATCCCCCTTTTTTCAGCTCAGTTCCCTAAAAATCCATGGGCAAAAATTTAATATGCAGTGTCTAGTGAAGGCTCTACCTAGGTGCTAAGTAATGGTGCCTGCCATAAAGTGGTCTGAGAATGAGCCAGAATTCTCCACCAGTATCCCAAAGTCATGGCTGCCCAGGAGTACATATGATATGAAAACCT
The DNA here is from genome assembly GCF_000001405.40 of Homo sapiens. NCBI lineage: Eukaryota > Metazoa > Chordata > Mammalia > Primates > Hominidae > Homo > Homo sapiens. Next base: position 48,132,191 of record NC_000012.12, read on the forward strand.
AAGTATACTTACCTCTCTCAGGTAAGTATACTTTCTCTCAGGGATAGAAAGCCTTAATTTCCCAGGGACTTATAGATACCTCTCTTGGGGTATCTATAAGGCTTTCTTTACCTAGAGCTATTTTTCCTGTGAATACCTGGATATTGCAGCTTCTGCTGCTAGCACCATGGATTGCAAGGAGCTAAGGGGAAAGGATTGGCAGTACCTGGGTACAGTTAGAAATCTCAGTGCAGAGAGAGGAAAAATACTACAAAACACATTGGGATGAACTCCTAATAATAATTTGGACACAATCCAGTAATGTCAGGCCATTAGGGAGAATTTCTAAAGACTGAAGTCACTGCTTCTAAGATGTGAAAGTTGGAGATTATTTGAGAAGCCAACATACATGTATGTATTCACTTGTTCTCTTTAGGATAGTCATGGATGACAAAGCCTTCAATGAAAGGAGTTCTTAGCAGTCTTCTCAGATGTGTAGCAAAATATGGGAATGACCCTATGATGCCTCAGCCAGCATCATTTCCCTTTCCTTTGGAAGGGACAGATCACTCTTAAGGATGTCAAGGAACTTTCTAGGGAGTCACACAGTTATGTTAGGCCATCACAGCATTGGAATAGGGGATATCTCAGCATGTTGAGCCCTGTCTCTGGGGAGCTGACTTCTACCTCTTCCAAAGGGAGGCACGGTGATTGGAAGTGCCCGGTGCAAGGACTTTCGGGAACGAGAAGGACGACTCCGAGCTGCCTACAACCTGGTGAAGCGTGGGATCACCAATCTCTGTGTCATTGGGGGTGATGGCAGCCTCACTGGGGCTGACACCTTCCGTTCTGAGTGGAGTGACTTGTTGAGTGACCTCCAGAAAGCAGGTAAGAGAGTTTTCACATCAGTATTGCTTATTTGTGTCGGTACGTGCACGCGTGTACACACACACATCGCCCCCGCCCTGCTTTTACCTCCCATTGGAGAAAAATGTTACCCAGACACAAATAGGCAGTCTTTGCCCTCCTTTTTCTGGTATTGTCTACAATTCCTTTTGGCTAGAGTTTCTCTCTCTCTAGATATCTCCTCTTTAGGCATGCCAGGTGCCTCACCCAGTGGCTCCTGGTTTGCTTCTCATTGTCAGGTAAGATCACAGATGAGGAGGCTACGAAGTCCAGCTACCTGAACATTGTGGGCCTGGTTGGGTCAATTGACAATGACTTCTGTGGCACCGATATGACCATTGGCACTGACTCTGCCCTGCATCGGATCATGGAAATTGTAGATGCCATCACTACCACTGCCCAGAGGTAAGGGGACTTGGGAGGTAGGCAGTGTAAGAAGATGGCAGCTAGGACAGGCTAAAGGGCTAGAAGCTCCTGAAGACTAAAGCGTTTGAGCTATGGTGACTATAATGGCCAGTTTTCTGGGGCTAGAACACTATTTTTAACGAAAAATTATCTAGAGCACTGAAATTGCACTGTTCCCTTAATGATATATGATTTGTCTTTTGCCACTGTCTGGCCCACTGTCCAAATATGCAGCTCTGAGGTCTTTCATATCATTGGGGTAAATGGTTATTCTTCAGACTGGGCAAATCTAGGGAGCCCAGACATGAGCTACGCTTTCCAACCATATCATAGAAAGTATAGGTGCTGCTATGACCACGACAGCTCAGAGATAAGGGGACCTGGGGGGAGGCAATGTAGGATGGGAGGATAGAAGGGTAACAGTTTACCCCAGGGTAATCCTAAAGGATTCCAGTTAGTCCAATTCTCCCTTCACTTCTTATCCTTTCCTTTCCTTCCCTTCCCTGACCCGGTTCCTCCCTGGAACAGAGCCTCTGTTTAGACACTTTTTACTGCTGTGTTTTCTCAGGCCTAGGAAGGATACCTTGTGGCTAAAGTATTTCCCCTAGGTCTTCCTGGTCTCAGGAAGCCTGCTAGAAGGCCTGGCAGCATACATGTATCTCCCAGAGAGGGTAATTGGCCTAGATGTGGGTGGTGGCTTGATCTTGGCCATAGGGTCACTTGGACTGTGTCATATGTCTATCTCTTGCAGCCACCAGAGGACATTTGTGTTAGAAGTAATGGGCCGCCACTGTGGGTAAGATCCTCATTCTGACCCATTTATTCCGTGGACCTAGCGATAGCCCTTTCCTTTTCCCCAGAGAGTCCAGTGAGGTCTCTCAGTAGCAGCAGATCTGGAGGTGCACATGCTCCTTGTGGTGTGGTTCCCTTTCCGGCCTCCATCCCCTCTGTTACATCCCCACACATGCATGTGTGTACGTGCTCAGGCACGTGCTTGGTGTAAAGAGTGGGTAGTGCTCTGAGGCTGGAAGCCACTGTGGCAGGTGAACATAAATGGAAGGTATCCGTTAGAGACAGAATCTCATTGAGGGGCCCCGGTGCTCTTACCCTTGCCCCACGAATAAAATGGAGGCTCTCCAGACCTTTTATCAACTATGAGGACTAGGAGAACTTGTTGGGTATGGGTGAGGCTATTTGTAGAGTACAACTTCTAGCAGGATGCTTCTGACTCTCATCTCAGATACCTGGCCCTTGTCACCTCTCTGTCCTGTGGGGCCGACTGGGTTTTTATTCCTGAATGTCCACCAGATGACGACTGGGAGGAACACCTTTGTCGCCGACTCAGCGAGGTACTTGCACTTTATTTTGCCCTTAAGAAATCCCTCACCCTGTTCCACTGATGATCTCTTTCCCACCCATCAGCTTCATTCCATGGACCATTTTACCCTTTGTTCTCAACCAGACAAGGACCCGTGGTTCTCGTCTCAACATCATCATTGTGGCTGAGGGTGCAATTGACAAGAATGGAAAACCAATCACCTCAGAAGACATCAAGAATGTTCGTATGAATGAAGCCAGAGAGGCCTTAGAATCCATAGCCCATTCCCTTCTGGCTTCTGAGTCTCCTGACATTGCTTCTCCCCTTGGTCCTTCTGCACATCTCTCCCTGGTTCCCTGCCCCTGATTGCCTCCCACAAAGAACCATTACAAGACAAGAGGCTGAGCTGTCCATGGTTTACCCAAGTCTCTGCTTGTTTTCTTCCTTTGACTCTGCGTAACCCTCTCTCTGTCCCTCTGTTGGTCCCTTCAGCTGGTGGTTAAGCGTCTGGGATATGACACCCGGGTTACTGTCTTGGGGCATGTGCAGAGGGGTGGGACGCCATCAGCCTTTGACAGAATTCTGGTAAGTCACTGGGCTGTGTGGCCCTCATGCCTTGAAACCCTCAACCTTGTAGTCCTGCCCCCTCAGGGCTGCACTTCACCAGACAGGGACTTACATCACTGGTCGCATTGCCTCTCCACCAGCCTTTGGGCTGCAGTGGCCACTGACCCATTCCCATACACTTGAGGGTTCTCTTCTGTTACAAAAATGGTGAGAGACTACGCCTTCCTAATGGTGAGGAACAATATCTTTTTGTTTTGTTTTGTTTCATATATTTTTAATACGAATTTTGAGATAATTGTAGATTCACATGCAGTTGTACAGAATAATACAGAGGTAGTCCCACATACCCTTTGCCCAGTTTCTTTCAATGGTAACATCTTGCTTAACTATAGTACAATATCATCACCAGGATATTGACATTGATATAGTCAAGCTACAGAACATTTCTGTTACCACAGGATATCTCATGTTGTCCTTTTATAGCCACGTGTACTTTACCCCCACCCATCCCTCCTCATTATTATTATTATTATTATTTTTTGAGACGCACCATTGCACTCGCTCCCAGGCTGGAGTGCAATGGTGCGACCTTGGCTCACTGCACGCTCTGCCTCCCGGGTTCACACCATTCTCCTGCCTCAGCCTCCCAAGTAGCTGGGACTACAGGCGCCTGGACCACGCCCGGCTAATATTTTGTATTTTTAGTAGAGACAGGGTTTCACCGTGTTAGCCAGGATGGTCTTGATCTCCTGACCTTGTGATCCACCCGCCTCGGCCTCCCAAAATGCCGGGATTACAGGCGTGAGCCACTGCGCCTGGCCCTCCCTCCTCATTCTTAACCTCTGGCAACCACTAATCTGTCTCTTTGTCTGTAATTTTTAATCTTATGTATATTATATAAATGGAATTGCATAATATGCAACCCTTTAGGATTGGCTTTTTTTTCCACTCAGCATAATTCTCTAGATGTTTATCAAAGGTGTTGTTTGTTTCTATAGTTTGCTGTTTTTTGCAGAGCAGTACTCCATGGAGTGGACGTATTACAGCTTGTTTAATCATTCAAACATTTGAGTTTTCAATTTTTGGCTATTAGGGATAAAGCGACTATGAACATTTGTGTACAGCTTTTTGTGTGAACTTAAATTTTCATTTCTGCAGAGTAATTGCCCAGGAGTTCAATTGGGTTGTATGGTAGTTTTTTGTTTCTTAAAAAAATTTTTTTTCAAAGATACTGCCCAACTGTTTCCAGAATAGCTGTACCATTCCATCAGCAATTTATGAACCACCTGTTTTGTTTGCATCCTTACCAGCATTTGGGGGTCGTCACTTTTTTTTTTTTTTTTTTTTTTTTTACTATTCTGATAGGTATATAGTGGTATTTCTTTTTTCTTTCTTTCTTTTTTTTTGAGATGGAGTCTCTCTCTGTTGCCCAGGCTGGAGTGCAGTGGCATGGTCTCAGCTCACTGCAACCTCTGCCCCCTGGGTTCAAGGGATTCTCCGGCCTCAGCCTCCTGAGTAGCTGGGATTGCAGGTGCCTGCCACCATGCCCAGCTAATTTTTTAAATTTTTAGTAGAGATGGGGCTTTCACCATGTTGGCCAGGCAGGTCTTGAACTCCTGACCTTGTGATCTGCCTGCCTCGGCCTCCCAAAACATTGGGATTACTGGCGTAAGCTACTGGGCCCAGCCTTTTTTTTTTTCTTTTTTTTTTTTAAGAGATGGAGTCTTGCTCTATCACCCAGGCTAGAGTGCAGTGGTGCAATCTCGGCTCACTGCAGTCTCCATCTCCTGGGTTCAAGGGATTCTTCTACCTCAGCCTCCTGAGTAGCTAGGATTACAGGCACATGCCACCGTGCCTGGCTAACTTTTTGTATTTTTAGTAGAGACGGGGTTCCACCATGCTAGCCAGGCTGGTCTTGAACTCCTGACCTCAGGTGATCCGCCTGCCTTGGCCTCCAAAAATGCTGGAATTACAGGCATGTAATTCCAACCTTAGACACTCAGTTTAAACCCTCTTATCCTATCTTCACTGGAAGAGCAAAGCAATCTCCTACCTTGTTTTGTCAATAAGAAGGGAATATTATTAAGCCCCAGTAATCCTGTTGATTACCATAGTGGGCATGTTTCTCTAGAAGTAAGTAGAATCTTTGGGGTTCCGATGGCAAGAATACAGAGTCATCAAGCTTTAGATGAAATCTGTTTGGGGAGGTAAAGCCCAGTAAGTTCTTTGCTGCAGTTCTTAATTGTGAGACTCAGTCTTGTGATTTGGAAAAGGGCTCGAGTATCCTGACTCTCTAGGCTGAGCCAAGATGGGGCAGCCTGAGCCAGACTGTCTTTGTTCTCTGGGCTCCTGCAGGGCAGCAGGATGGGTGTGGAAGCAGTGATGGCACTTTTGGAGGGGACCCCAGATACCCCAGCCTGTGTAGTGAGCCTCTCTGGTAACCAGGCTGTGCGCCTGCCCCTCATGGAATGTGTCCAGGTGGTAAGTACTGATCCTAAACCCCTTTCTTAACACTCTCAAGCCCCTGCCTTGGAGCTCAAGGGGCATGAGACTATGTCTAAGGCCACTGGTATAGGAGCAGGTGGAAAGGCAAGATGGTATAGTAAGAGACATGTGGGGAAAGAACACAGTGGGCTTTGCATAGGAGCTCTTAACTAAGCTTCAGTGTTCCCATCTGTAAAATGTTCCTAAGGAAGGTGGGAGATTCTACATCCTCCTTAGTAATGAAACCCAGTATCTCATAATATACAACCTCAAACCTTTTTATCTTGTCTTTATTGGAAGAATAATGCTATATTCCTCCTAACTTTATTAAGAACAGGAGAATATTATTAAATTCTAGCTGGGTAGCTTTTGTCTCTATGATTTCTATCTTGAACATGTTTCTCTGAACCAACACGAGGTTACTAATGCTAACGTTGAGGGTTATTGTAAGGATTGGAGATAAGCTATATTAGCATGTGATACAGTACCTAGCAAATGTTGAGTGCTCAGGAAATGGTGGCCTTTATTATGAAGGAATCACTCCTTTGATACCACAGAGCGAACGTGGCGGCTGAGAGCGAGAACTAGGCTGTGTGGCCTGGTTCTGAGGGCTGGTCTAAATACTCCCCATCTCCCGGCCTCCTTCTCTCTGAGACTCAGGAGTCCCAGTTACCTGCAGCCTTGCTTGGAAATGTATCTGTAAAAGCTCCAAAGTGAAGGCACTGCCCCACAGAGCTGAAATCAGTAGTTGAGAAGCACACAGCAGGAATCAGTCCTTCCTAACTGGGTTACCTGTAGGATCTTCATTTACTCATGACTTTAGAGGCTGCTTTAAGGCCGGGGACCTGGGTGTGGAATGGAAGATACTATTTATCTGTGAGCATTCTTCCACTCTGCCCATACTTCTAATAAACAGAGCATAGTGCCAGGCACGGTGGCTCACGCCTATAATCCCAGCACTTTGGGAGGCCGAGGCAGGCAGATCACAAGGTCAGGAGATTGAGACCATCCTGGCTAACATGGTGAAAAATACCAAAAAAATTAGCCGGGTGTGGTTGCACACGCCTATAATCCCAGCTACTTGGGAGGCTGAGGCAGAAGAATTGCTTGAACCCGGGAGGCAGGGGGTTGCAGTGAGCCAAGATCACGCCACTGCACTCCAGCCTGGGCGACAGAGCGAGACTCCGTCTCAAAAAAAAAATAAAATAAACAGAGCATAGAATCAGTTCTTTTCTTTTGCTGCTCATTACTTAGACAACTCAGGAAAAACAAAAATACTTCCATGAAAGTTTGGGGGCATAGGAAAGGTGGGGTGTAGAATGGACAGGATCTAGTCACAATCCCAGAGATGGGCAGAGTTCGACTGTGGGATGGAGTTCCAGCTGTGCAGAATCCTGACCCTGGAGTTGAAACTGTCGCTGTGCTCCCCCCTCAGACCAAAGATGTGACCAAGGCCATGGATGAGAAGAAATTTGACGAAGCCCTGAAGCTGAGAGGCCGGTGAGGAGATGACGGGAAGCTCACTAGCTACAGAAATCAGAGGCGTGAACGAAGCCAAAGATCTCCATGGCTCCAGGCCCAAAACATGAGCTTCTGCTGCTTCCTTTTCTGATTCTCTCTGCAGCAAGTTCCTGCCCAAGAAAATTAGTTGTGAGGTGACTGGGAGGCTCAGTTCATCTCAGGGGTGTGGTCCCTGGCATCAACCTTTTATAATCTGTTATTTCTATATGTGAGCCCCAGCAAGATGATAAGTTCCTCTAGGCAAGGGACAGTCTCTTGTGCTGAGCATAGTGCCTGAAGAAGAGTACTGAGGGAGTGTTTGATGAACTAGTGGCCCTTTTGCAGCCCCTGCCCTGTCCCTGCTCTGCCCCAGTTCTGTCCTCAGAGGTTTGCCCTATGGAACTTCCCTCTGGGAGCAACACTTCAGACCAGGATCTCCATGGCTGCTGGCTGTGGGGAATGGCCTGAAGACACCTCTCTCTATTTGTACTTCCTACAGGAGCTTCATGAACAACTGGGAGGTGTACAAGCTTCTAGCTCATGTCAGACCCCCGGTATCTAAGGTACTGGCAAGTTGACTTGCCCTCTCCCCTTTTCCTTCTCCCTCCCCCAGTCTCTCTTCATAAATGCTACCACAGTCCATACAACATAAGCCTTGCCAACTTCTCTGCCCCACTCTGATCTTCAGTGCTGGGTCCCTGGCCCTATTATAATGATTTCCTCTTAACCACCCCAGATACCAGAGCCCCCTTCTTAGTGTACCCTGGATATCTCTAACACAAGACCCATGCCCACTTCAGGACTGGCAAGATAGCATGCAAAGAATGGGAAAGAGGGCTTATGTACTTTTTCTCTGGGAAAATATGGGAATAATCACATCTAAGTGTATCTAAGCCACTTCTTCCACTGGAGTAGTGGTTCTCAATATTAAGTATATATCAGAATTGTTTGGGTTGCTTATTAAACATGCAAACTCCTGGGCCCCTCTCTCAGAGGAGATTCATATCTGGGTAGAGGCCAGGAATATGCAGGTTTAACAGGCTCCCCCAGTGGATTCTGATGCAGGTGATCCAAGGAACACACTTGGGAAGTGCTGCTCTGGAAGGTCTCTCATTCATTGTATAATAATGATATCTGAGATGGGGGACAGCAGCTTTATTTATTGATCTGTGATCAAGAATTTTGCTTCCATGTATGTGGTAGCCAGCTGTGCTGGCATTCCTTGGGAGAGGGGTGTGTGTTGTGTTGTCTTAGGCAGATATCCTGATCCCTGGATGACAAGGGCTTAGAGCCCTTGCCCTCCTTTACTAACCTCCTCCCTGTTCCCCTGCTGGGTTTCTGTCCTCATTTTTCCCTGCTTCCTCCTGTATAGAGTGGTTCGCACACAGTGGCTGTGATGAACGTGGGGGCTCCGGCTGCAGGCATGAATGCTGCTGTTCGCTCCACTGTGAGGATTGGCCTTATCCAGGGCAACCGAGTGCTCGTTGTCCATGATGGTTTCGAGGGCCTGGCCAAGGGGCAGGTATGGGGACTATTCTGGGACCTAGGAGCAGTCATGGGGAAGATAAGTGTAGCAAGAATGACCTGTCCATTCTCTTGGCTTCCTCTGTTCCTCACTACCTCTCTCTCCTCTCTCAGGGTCCAGGCAGAAGTAGATATTTAATACTAGGGCAGTAGGAACAGCAGGAATTACTGCAGTGAACCATTGCAAACAACATGTCTTATTTAATTCTCTGTCCCAAAGCTCAGCACAGTGCCTGGCATAGGTAGATGCTTAATATTTGTGAATGAGCAGTAAGGGTAGAAGAAGTTGAGTGCGTGGGGAAAAGCTAATACCTGGTGTACCTTTTCCAACCAAGGGGGATCCAGGGGTAGGGTTAGAACTCAAGCAGTGGCACCAGTCCCACACAGGCCTCCTAGTGCTTTAGCCTTGTGCAGAGCTCTGTGGCTTATCCCCACAGATAGAGGAAGCTGGCTGGAGCTATGTTGGGGGCTGGACTGGCCAAGGTGGCTCTAAACTTGGGACTAAAAGGTAAGTAGCACTGCAGAGGCACCTCCTCCCAGTCACCTCTTAAAGTTGCCCTTGGATGTGGGTTCATTATGCCATGGTCTGCTTCAACCACCCTGTTGTCTGGGTCCTCCACCCTCAACCTCACAGTTGCTGCCATGAGGGCAGACATGCCCATCTCAACATCTTTAGCAGCTCTGGCAACTTAGAGCTCCAGTATGTATCCTTGGATAGGACTGAGAGGGTGGGCTAGGGAGGGCGGCACAGGTCAAGAAATTAAAAATAAAGTGCCTCTAACTCTAGCTTTTCTCCCCCTCAATTTTCCTGTCTCTTCCCCAAATTCCAATTCCCCTTCCCCTCCCCGCCATCACTGATCAACTAGGACTCTACCCAAGAAGAGCTTTGAACAGATCAGTGCCAATATAACTAAGTTTAACATTCAGGGCCTTGTCATCATTGGGGGCTTTGAGGTGAGTGCCTGCCACCATTTCTTCCTCTCTCCCTCCTACCTCCTCTCCCTCTCCCCAATCCTGCCCTTGTGCTCTCTTCTTCTTAGGCTTACACAGGGGGCCTGGAACTGATGGAGGGCAGGAAGCAGTTTGATGAGCTCTGCATCCCATTTGTGGTCATTCCTGCTACAGTCTCCAACAATGTCCCTGGCTCAGACTTCAGCGTTGGGGCTGACACAGCACTCAATACTATCTGCACAGTGAGAGCCTATCACCACTTCCCATCCCTTTTGGCCAGGATTATAATCCTTAAACTGAGTGTGGTCCCAAACAGTGAGCTACTCTTTATATCAAGCAAATGGGAATGTTTGAAAATGATTCTTCAGCTGGGCATGGTGGCTCACACTTCTAATCCCAGCACTTTGGGAGGCCAAGGCAGGCAGATCACTTGGGGTCAGGAGTTCAAGAGCAGCCTGGCCAACATGGTGAAACCCCATCTCTACTAAAAATACAAAAACTAGCTGGGTGTGGTGGTAGGCGCCTGTAATCCCAGCTACTTGGGAGGCTGAGGCAGGAAAATTGCTTGAACCTGGGAGGCGGAGGTTGCAGTGAGCAGAGATCGTGCCACTTTACTCCAGCCTGGGTGACAAAGTGTTCAGTTTCCTCACCTAGAAATGCACCAGTACCCTGAATACCAAATGTTTTGTTTGTTTTTTTTTTTCTTTCTGAGATCATGCAGTCTAATTTTCTGAGCAGTAGAAAGGATAGGTACAGCTTTCTTCCCAGGAGAGACGTTCTGCAGTGAGGTTGGCAAATATGCCTGTTACCCTAAATGCAAGAACTTGATGAGCTCTAAGGGCCCTGCTAGCCTATGGAGAATATAGTTCCAGGGTTTAATTAATGGCAAAGATTAAAGAGTGATAAGAATCAGGCCCCTGATCATGTCTTTCTAACTATAACCCATTGTCCTTGCAGACCTGTGACCGCATCAAGCAGTCAGCAGCTGGCACCAAGCGTCGGGTGTTTATCATTGAGACTATGGGTGGCTACTGTGGCTACCTGGCTACCATGGCTGGACTGGCAGCTGGGGCCGATGCTGCCTACATTTTTGAGGAGCCCTTCACCATTCGAGACCTGCAGGTAGCTGGCCACCCAGAGCCTGCTAGATAGCTCTCCCCTGTCTCCAGACTGTTTCCACAGTGATCTGAACTATGAGAGCTCAAGTTGAGGACCGAGCTGATTGGTCTGTAGAATCCTGTGAAGACCAGAAAGAGCACTATGCAGGCATTCTCTGGTGTCACCTCATATGCATGACCGCAGCTACTGTTGTTGGAATGCTGATTTTGAGTCAGGCGACCTGGTGCTAAGCCCTTTATGGGCATTTTTGCATTTTATCTTCACAATAGACATGCAAAGAAGATACTATCTCCATATAACATAGAAAGTTTAGAGAGGTTAAAAAACTTTTCTAAACTCCTAAGTGAGCAGATGGTTTAAGTGGTTGAGAAAGTCAGTGATCTTTTTACTACATCATGTCTCCCCTTCAGATTTCCCTTGCTGTCATTCTGCTTTTGAGAGAGATACTCTCTCAAAACAGAGATATAAAGTGTCAACACTGACACTGTGACCACAAGTCAGCCCTCTGAGGCAAGGGGAACCAGAAAGGCTTGGAAAGGGAGATTGGAGAGGGTGAGGGGCTGAACACTGACAGTTACTGCAGCTGTCTGTAGTGCTCCCTCTTCCAGTTCTGTCTCATTTGGAGTCATTGTTTAAATTTCAGTCCACACTGAGCTTCTTACAGGAATTAGGCACAGTTCAGGCCCAGGATTGTAAACAACTCTCTTCCATGTGTCTCTTCCTTCCTGGAGAGGTGTGGTGTGGAAGATGATTTATACCCAACCTTATCCATTCCCAGTTAGGCTTAGGATTTACTCTTTCATTTTCAGGCAAATGTTGAACATCTGGTGCAAAAGATGAAAACAACTGTGAAAAGGGGCTTGGTGTTAAGGTACCTCATCCATGGTTTGTTCCTAAATGAAGAAGAAAAATAAGCTTTGGCTCAAACCCATAGAATGGCCATTGTTGGGACACCCTGAGGAATCTGTAGATATAAAGGGAGGGGGCCAGCCTATCCCTTGAATCCTTGGAGGAGATAAAAATTGAAAGGAAAGAACAAAGGCAGAAATGGGGGATGGGAAGCCAACCACAGAGTCACAGGCTTTTGGTCTCCACCTGGCAGGAATGAAAAGTGCAATGAGAACTATACCACTGACTTCATTTTCAACCTGTACTCTGAGGAGGGGAAGGGCATCTTCGACAGCAGGAAGAATGTGCTTGGTCACATGCAGCAGGTAGGGAAGACACCGTAGTCATGCCCTTCATCAGACAGCCATACCTGCCAACAGCCATACCTGCCAACAGCCACTGAGGCTTCCACTGGCCTTTTCCAGTCTTCTGGAGGAGCCTGTCAGTGCCATCATAGAGCATGGGCCTGCAGTCTCTTACAGTCATAGAATCAAAACATCTTTATCCTGGAAATGACTTTAGAGATTATATGGTCTATCCTTTTCAAAAGCCCTCATGGGAGGGCTTTTCAACCTTGGCAGCTTTGCCTTTTGGGGCTGGATGATAATTTGTCATGGGTGGCTGTTCTATGCACTGTAGGACAGTTGCACAGCATCCCTGGTCTCTACCCACTAGATGCCAGTAGCACCTCCCTCTCACTCCCAATTGTAACAAAAATGTCTCCAAACATTCCCACTTTCCCACCTGCTTCCTCTTAATTCAAAGGAAATCTGTATGATGTTTTATATTAATTCTGAGGTGCTACCAAGGGCAGCCAGATTGGGCCACAAAAAAAACACTTTTATGTCATCATTGACAGTGATCAACAAAAGCTGCTGGGCTGAAGAGGGGCAGGCAGCTGACCCATTGGCCAATAAAACTAAAACAGGATCTGGCAGCTGTGGAGCTAAAAGAGGGGATTGTGGGGCCAATCATCTTTAATTAGTTGTTATTATATCTGATACATGGCCAAATTTGCTGGGCCAGCTTGCCTTGGATCCTGGCACTGCCTCAGGGCACCCTTTCATAGTTTGACTTCTGGATTCCTGTTTTGGGCTGTAAGCCTGGGGCCCATCTTTCTTTTTTTCTCTGTGTGTCTAGATATCTCTGCCACTTCATTAGAGTCCTTCCCTCTGTAATTTTTATGTTTCTTTCTCCAGGGTGGGAGCCCAACCCCATTTGATAGGAATTTTGCCACTAAGATGGGCGCCAAGGCTATGAACTGGATGTCTGGGAAAATCAAAGAGAGTTACCGTAATGGTAGGTGGGGTGAGAGCGAGTGCCCTCTATAGAGGCTGGTTCCCCAGTATAGAAGCTGACTGCCCATCCCTCATTGCAGGGCGGATCTTTGCCAATACTCCAGATTCGGGCTGTGTTCTGGGGATGCGTAAGAGGGCTCTGGTCTTCCAACCAGTGGCTGAGCTGAAGGACCAGACAGATTTTGAGTGAGTACATCTGCTTCCTGGAGTGGTTCTTTTCCCTGGTAGTTTCAAGCTCTACTGTCCTCAACCTGTTCACTGTCTTTAATTCTTTTTTTTTTTTAAGGAGTAACACCTGTATTCTTACCCATTTCAGATGTGATGCACATGTCCTAAATCTAACCTCTTCTGTCTAACTTCTTCCTATAAACCTTTGGTAGAAGTTGATTGGGGTGCTAAAAGATTATATCATCATCTACCTCATTCCTCTGTAGGCATCGAATCCCCAAGGAACAGTGGTGGCTGAAACTGAGGCCCATCCTCAAAATCCTAGCCAAGTACGAGATTGACTTGGACACTTCAGACCATGCCCACCTGGAGCACATCACCCGGAAGCGGTCCGGGGAAGCTGCCGTCTAAACCTCTCTGGAGTGAGGGGAATAGATTACCTGATCATGGTCAGCTCACACCCTAATAAGTCCACATCTTCTCAGTGTTTTAGCTGTTTTTTTCATTAGGTTTCCTTTTATTCTGTACCTTGCAGCCATGACCAGTTCTGGCCAGGAGCTGGAGGAGCAGGCAGTGGGTGGGAGCTCCTTTTAGGTAGAATTTAACATGACTTCTGCCCCAGCTTTATCTGTCACACAAGGCTGGGCACCTCTAGTGCTACTGCTAGATATCACTTACTCAGTTAGAATTTTCCTAAAAATAAGCTTTATTTATTTCTTTGTGATAACAAAGAGTCTTGGTTCCTCTACTACTTTTACTACAGTGACAAATTGTAACTACACTAATAAATGCCAACTGGTCACTGTGCTTTTGCTTCTCCTGTTATCATCTTCCTAAGTGGAATGTAATACTGTCAGCCCCATGTATCAGACACTTGTCTGATGAAGCAGTAAAGACGTTAAGGGTATCACAGGGGGTGGAGGAAGGGATTATCTCTAGTACACTACTTGCTGGCTGTCTGAAAAATTGTCACTGCCAAACTCTAAAAACAGTTCTAAATAGTGACTGAGAAGGTTTGTTGCTGGAGTCAGGGAATAAGGCAGCCAAATACTCTTTGCACAGTTCTTTAGTGGGAAGAGAAATTAACAATAAATATCAAGCACTGTGGTAGGCATTTCATCATTGAATCCTCATAGTAGCTTTTGGAGGGCAATGGTGACAGCCTGACTTCAGAAAGGAGGACACTGGAGCTCAAGGTGATTGATTACATAATGTCTCCTTCAATATTATTCAAGTAGAACTCAAACTCAGTTCTGACTTCAAACCTCATCCTCATTCCCCATTCCTGCTTCCTTATCATGCCATATCAAATCCCCAGAGCCATAAGGCCTATGAAAACAAAGTGAAAGGGAAGGTTCAGGCATTCATTCAGAACATTTTAAATGCTAATTGCCATTGATTTATAGGTTCTCTGTCTCTTTCCTGTCTTTAATCTTAGAGCTGTTTCCTCAAGAAAATGAAGAGGGAAGGATGGCTCAGGGAAAGTTAATCAGAGGGAAAATGTCACTCTGTAAAGAGTAAAAAATTTAGGATGATGATACGATCTGGGAAAAAAAGGCATAGTGAAGACCACTTAAAAACAAACAAAAAAAACCTATGAAGGTGCATGCTATTTCCCCAGAGCTAAAAAGATAAGTGAAATTGTGTTTGAACTCTTAAGTGGAGGTGAAGCAGAATTTATTAGCCACCAACCACATAAGTGATTATGAAGTAACTGAGAAACAGGTAACATTTTTTCCCACATGGACAAAACTTTCTCTTTCTAGAATATTAAGTATCTATGATGAGAAATGAAGTAGCATCTCAAGCAGTTTATAAATCTACCAGAATATTAGAATCACCTGGGACCTTTGAACGTACTCATGCCCAGGTCTACTTTATTCATTTATTTTTTTGTAGAGATGGGGACTTCAACTCCTGGTCTCAAATGATCCTCCCACCTCGGCCTCCTAAAGTGTGAGGATTACAGGCGTGAGCCACTGTGGCCAGCCCTACTAGGTCTGCTTTGGACCAATTAAATCAATCTCTGGGGGTGGAGCCTGGGCTTTAGTATTTTTAAAAATTTTCCTAGGTGGTTCTAATTAATAACTAGGATTGAGAACCACTGACTAACACAGTGGAATCTCATTCCTGGCTATATTTGAAGCACTGAAGCCCCCAGTCCTACCCCAGAAAATTCCAAAGAATTGGTATGAGGTGAAATCTTGGCACCAGTGTTTTTAAAAAGCTTCCTTAGTGATTTTATGTGCAGCTGGAGTTGAGAACATAAAAGCAGTAATTCCAAATTTGGGGTGGGAGAAGGTATAAAGGAAGGGGAAGCTCTTCAGATACTCTGCCCAAGCCCTCCTGTTCACTCCAGCAATGCCCAGAATCACTGCTGCTAATGGGAGAAAGGTTGGGATGGAAAGTTACATAGAACAGCCAGGCAGTAAACGAAGAACTTTTTCTAAGGGGGGTTGGAGAAAAGTAGGAAAAGTAGAAATTGCCAAACTTGCTTTTAGAACTATTTATTCTTTTTTTTTAAGTGATGTTTTTTAAACACCAGCATCAATAGGACAGAAGAAGACATCTGTTTTCCAATTAGCTGTGTCAGTAGATTCCATTCATTGTTTGTAGTTCCCAATCAGCTTTAAAAAAAAAAGTTTTTCAAATTTGCATACAAGTCATCTAAAATCAATAACAACTTGATCTAATTTAGAAAAATGAAAGAGTATCGTTCACTAAAGCAGATCTCTTTTGGGTAGATGGACCATCACAAAAGGAGCTCTTACATGCTTTTCCCACTCCCATCCCAAGTCCACCCTCCCACCAATTGTATTGTATAAATCAATAAAAAGCAAAGGTTCCAGAACAACTGAAAGAAAAATAATTCCAAACTAAGCAGAGTGAACTTTCCATTGGGAATGAAGACCCATGGGAAAAGGCAGCCCAGCCCATAACTCCTCCCTGCTGGAACACACACCGTAGGTGTAGGAACTGCCTGGGAATCCCATTAGAACACACTGTTTCTCAGGAAGAGAAAAAGCTGCATTACAAGAAAAGTTCTCAGGACTTTAGGAGTTCTTAGGACTGTTATTTCAGAGCTATTTATTACTGTTATTACAGAGCTCTTGTTATTTCAGAGCTACTGTAGCCCTTGGGCACAACCAACAGAAAGAGGCAAAGACTGCTGTTTCCTTTGATGAGGGGAAAGAGGTCCAGTCCCTTCCAAATGCCCCAGGACATGGCACAGTAGGGATGTCATCCAGCCCAGTTCTGGATCTGCACCATTTGAGGTTATAGTATCTTCATCTTTGGGACACAATTGCTGTTAGCTGAAATTGTGATTTTCTTAAGTTTTTTCACAGATCAATTAAAATGGTTTTTTTTTTTTTTTTTTTTTTTTGAGACAGTTTTGCTCTTGTTGTCCAGGCTGGAGTGCAATGGCGCGATCTTGGCTCACTGCAACCTCTGCCTCACAGGTTCAAGCGATTCTTCTGTCTCAGCCTCCTGAGTAGCTGGGATTACAGGCGCATGCCACCATGCCCAGCTAATTTTTGTATTTTTAGTAGAGACGGGGTTTCATCATATTGGTCAGGCTGGGCTCGAACTCCTGACCTCAGGTGATCCACCTGCCTCAGCCTCCCAAAGTCCTGGGATTACAGACGTGAGCCACCATGGCTGGCCTAAAATGCTTTCTAGAAGGGATTCTTCTGGACCGTTAACCACGTCCCCAAAGGAAAACCACACACACATTATTTAAGTACTTTCCATCTTCCTAGAGAAATTTAGTTACACTGTTGACTCCTTCCCTAAAGGGGAGGATTGAGGGAGACCTCTTCTTTTGCAAAATGCAATATAAAAAGCCAGGTAAGCAATAAACAGAAAACAAAAGTGAGGGATTTTTTTTGTTGGGTTGTTTGGTTTGGGAAGGGGAGGTGCTATGGAGGTTATTGTTGTGACATGTTGCTTCGAAATCTATAAACCACACAACAGGAACAACTGTTTTTCTGTTTTCTGTGACAAGGAGTACTGCAGGGACAACCTCACCCAGAGCTGCCTGCACGATGGTGCAAACATCTTCTCCGGCTATTCTAAAAGTAACAGGTATTCCTTCAAAGAAGCTGGCAGTGGAAGGCCCTTCACTGCATCGGGGAGATACTGGAGTCCCAGGCTACGGCGCACGGCATAGCGAGCGAGTGTTTTTAGAGTTCCTGGAGCTGAGCACAGAACAGTCAGTTTTTCACATAGCTGCGGGTCTCTGGCCACCTCTCGTGGCATGGTGCCATTTTTCCTCAATTCAAAGTGTCCAACAGCTCTGTGGAGGAGCTCAAAGCAAGAGTCCTCTTTCTCTGTTCCAAGTCCCCTGACTAGCAGAGCCACCAGGCGGGAGATGGGTGTCTGGCCTATTAGGTTGATGACTCTGACCTCTGCGCCATAATCCAGAAGGATGCTGACACTCTCAAGATTTCCCTTCATGGCAGCCCAGCTGAGCGGTGTATCATTGTTGTAATCCAGGGCATTGACAGAGGCCCCGCTCTCTAGGAGAGCCCGCACACACTCAGCATTGTTCTTAAAGGCTGCCCAGTGAAGTGGGGTATCTCTGTTGCCATCCAAAGCATTGGGGTTTGCACCATACTCCAATAGGACCTCCACACAAGCCTCATCTTTCTCTGCTGCATAGTGGAGGGCTGTTCGGTTATACCCATCCAGGGCATTCACCTGTAAAAAGGGAGGAACTATTACAGTAGACAGACTACTGAGAGGAAGACAGGACAGCAGCAAAGAAGCTTGCATGGTTACCCACTACCTTTGCTATGCAGTGCTCTGAACAGGAGGGTCAGCAAGCAACTCCCAGGGAGTCCTGGTGATAAAGATGAAGATATGACAGGAGCTTAGGAGCAAAAAGGAAAAGAACTGTCCTCAAACAGTCAACACTATTATGTGCACTGACTAGCTGGTCTGCATTATTTTGGTTTTTGCTGCAATGTTCTTTTATCTATTCATTAGAATCTCTACCACAGAGTAAGGGGTAAGGCAGGAATAGAGGAAGTCTAAGTCCCCGTAACTGCTCTGAAACATTACTGGAAAGCTGCTTGACTATACAGAGTTTTGGATTATTTTACTTACCCTGACCCTTTCTGTACCCTGTGGCTAATGTAGCAACCAAACTGAAAAACATAGCTTTTGCTAAGTTCTTTAACCATACAGAGAAATTCAAAATGTTAGAATATAAGTCAGACCTTTGCAAAAATATGCTGTGGGTTCACAAGAGAACCCAAATGAAAGCATGTGATAGGAAGAGCACAAATCTCCCAGTGCTGGAAAAGCAGCTGGCTTGCTGACAGTCAGCATCACCTGTAGTTTTTTTCTTCAAATTTCCAAATAGCATATACCCTCATTAATGAAAGACAAAAACAAAAAAAAACCCTGAAACATTTAAGTAAATTCAACCTTTTATTTGGCTAAAACCTATCTTAAGTACCACTTCTTAAGTACTTTAAGTACTTTTAAGGGTACTTTAGATTTAATCAGAGTTGAGGGATCTCTGCATTTATATCTCCTGGATAGACAATAAGCAATGAGAAGATTAAACGGAAATATAAACAGCCCCTACAAGGTAAGCTTCCTGAAGTGATGGCCAGTGACAGCTTAAGTTAAGGAGAAGAAAGAAAGGCAGAGTATCAGCACCATACAATGGGGGCAAGCAGGGTGGGGACAGAAAGGTAAAAGAATGAAATCCTTAGATCATTTTATATATTTACCATTACATTTTCCTTAATATTGGCTATGCCAACATTACCTTGAGTTAGAAGTTCAGACTGGAGGAGGGAAGAGATGGAGGAGTGATGGGGAGAAATTCTAAGAAAACATGAAGCTCAAGTTTTAGTGAGTCATTAATGTGAATGTGTTAAAAACATTACCTCGGCTCCTTTTTCCAGAAGTAACTCCACACAGTCAGCATCTGACACCATACAGGCACAGTGCAAGGGCTTCAGTGTGCCATGAGTGCAGTTCACATCTGCTCCCTGTGGGCAGAAGACAACTTCAGTCAGTGTGTTCAGCTCTGGCTTGCCCAGCAGGACAGAATTCAGAACTGAGTCCAGGGGACAGAGAGTTCTAACTCTCACTATTTTATAGATACAGTGCTAGTTCCTGTTTCCTTTTCTATTAATATTATGTCAATGTCCAAACCAAAGGAGTACACTGAAGATGAAGGAAAGGAACTGTTAATTCCTTAGATCAAGTTACTAAGTTTCTCCACAAGGGAGGCTGCCAGATGGTCACCTGGACATCACTGAAGACAATCTTATGTATCAAAGCACTGGAAACCTTATCATCAGGCAGGAAAGCTGGACCAGCAATCCACTTTCTATGGCCACCATGCTCTGGAAAAGTAGGAAAGTGAGTCTGTCAGACTGAGGCCAGAAATGGCATGCTCTTTTGTCCATTCAACAAATGACCATCATTAATAGTGGCATCATCTTAACACGGTTTTTCCTTTTTTATAAACATCTTCAAAGTAGCCTCTTAGTATCAGTATTCTTTACCATCTAGCCTTTGCTGGTGCTTCTATTCAAAATCAAAGGAGAGGCCGAGTACAGTGGCTCACACCTGTAATCCCAGCACTTTGGGAGGCTGAGGTGGGCAGATCACCTGAGGTCAGAAGTTTGAGACCATCCTGGCCGACATGGTGAAACCCGGTCTCTACTGAAAATACAAAAACTAGCTGGGTGTGGTGGCGGGCATCTGTAATCCCCGCTACTCGGGAGGCTGAGGCAGGAGAATCGCTTGAACCTGGGAGGCGGAGGTTGCAGTGAGCCAAGATCGCGCCATTGCACTCCAGCCTGGGCGACGAGCGAAACTCCGTCTCAAAAAAAAAAAAAAAATCAAGGGAGATGGAGATACCAGTCAGACCAAAGTCACTGAATGACTCAGCAGCAGAGCTAGAATTAGAATGTTACAAGGTTTCTACCGCGGAGTCTCCTGACACTACTTTTGCTGACAATAAGCTAACACTGCATGACTTTTCCTTCTTCAGTTGTGTCCAATAACTCTGAAGCAGCTACAGAGATCTAGGCTGTAAATGACGAGCCTGAAGTCTTAGAATATACACAAGTAACCATCTGGATGCATTTTCTGGTGATCAAAAACTGTGTAACTTCTCTTCAACAAGAAAAATAAATAGAAGAGGATAGTAAAGACCTTCTAGGATACTAGTCACATAACAATTATTGAAGGGCCATGATTAAACATCCGATGGTTAAGGTGTTTTCTTAAACTATAATTACCATGCATTTTAGAGGTTGATATCCTCTACAGAGCTAGAAGTGGTAGCTGCTTTTAACATAGAATGTAAGTAAAAAATCTCTCCATGTAATTATTGTAACCCAGGTATGAAGAAAGGCTCACAAGGATTTAAAAACCACCTCTGTAGCCAGGCACAGTGGCTTACACCTCTAATCCCACGACTTTGGGAACCCAAGGCAGGTGGGTTGCTTGAGCATGAGAATTCAAGACCAGCCTGGGAAACATGGTGAAACACCATCTCTACAAAAAATTAAAAAAAAAAAAATTAGCTGGACATGGGTGGCATGTGCCTGTAGTCCCAGCTACTTGAGGGGGCTGAGGTGGGAGGATCGCTTGAGCCCAGGAGGTCAAGGCTGCAGTAAGCCATGTTTGTGCCACTGCACTCCAGCCTGGGTGACAAAAGTGAAGCCCTGTCTCAACAAATAAAAATAAAAACCACCTCTGCTTTGCTCACCTCCTCCCTTAATAAAACATGTATAGAAGACTTTGAGCTCAATGGATTACATATGCATCGTACTCAGATATTTTACAAAGAACATGAGACTAGGGTTATTGAGAACATATTCCATGAAGAAAAATATCAGATACACAAAGTGAAAGGGAGAAGGGAAGCGAAGCAAACATAGGGGAAATACATTTTAATGATCAAGTTAATGCAGTTAGCAAAATGTAAAAACTCCCTGTGATCTTGGGTTGAGTCAAAGCTGCAAATCTGTGATCCATGAGGATTTTGCCCACTTCATATCGCAAGGACTCTCCTGTCAATACCAGCACACTCACCCCTCTGATGAGGTCCTCTACATTATCATGTGGGAAGGAACGGATGGCAGCAATTGTTCGGATTAAGCGCTCGGAGAGAGAGTATTTGCTCTGAATGCTCTGCATAATATACCACATACTGGAACTCATCAAGGCTCAAGGTGTTCACATGCTCCAAACTGCCTGAAACAAAGAAGTTTTCGGCATATACAATATCACTGAGCACACCTGTCTTTAGGGTTAGGTCTTCTCTGAGGCCTTCCCAATGCTAAAAGCAGATTTCAAGGAGTGATTAATACTATTTCCATAATCATAAGGAATTGGATTATAATAGTTGCCTAGGGAGTTGGATAAACCTGGACACAAATGTTCTACTCTAACCTAGTCTAGCACGAGATTTCCCCAAGAGGTACTAAGACCCCCGTGGAGCTCTGTGTGGTTTACAAACGACTAGGCAAGGAATAGGATTTTTAAAAGGCTGAAGAGGTCAAAAAACATTATTTTCCTTCTTTGAATTTTTGTGGTTTTTATGATCAGCACCACCATTAAGTTATTTATAACACTGGGCCTTGCAATATAGTTATGTACATATTGTTTCTCCATCGAAACTGTAATCAACTGGAAGGCAAGGACTTTGTCTTCTACTTTTTCACCCATGTAAGGCCAGCCACAGAATCTCACAAAAGGTAGGTATTTAACAAATATTGGTTGGTCGACTGACTAAACAGTATAGAAGTGATTGTTATGTGTGAAAAGAGAGGAAGAAGGCTATGGAGCAAATATATCTTAATAATGAAAAGTTATCTGAAACATTTTCAAATGTGTTCAGAAGAGGAAAAAAAGGAAATATTTGGCAGGGCGTGGTGGCTCATGCCTGTAATCCCAGCACTTTGGGAGGCCGAGATGGGTGGATCACAAGGTCAGGAGATCCAGACCATCTTGGCTAACACAGTGAAACCCCGTCTCTACAAAAAATACAAAAAAATTAGCTGGACGTGGTGGTGGGCGCCTGTAGTCCCAACTACTTGGGAGGCTGGGGCAGGAGAATGGCGTGAACCTGGGAGGCAGAGCTTGCAGTGAGCCGAGATCGGGCCACCGCACTCCAGCCTGGGCAACAGAGTGAGACTCTATCTCAAAAAAAAAAAAAAAAAAAAGGAAATATTTGAGGTAGTATTCTAAAATAGGTAAGGAAAGCAAAAGTATAACTACCCTGGAGTCATTTATATAAAACTAGGAAAAAATTAAAATTCAGAATAATAAAATGTACTTTCAGTTTTAGGAAAATTTGCAGATTTTAAAATGAGTTAAAGGTGGGGCGTGGTGGCTCACACCTGTAATCCCAGCACTTTGGAAGGCTGAGGTGGGTGGATCACCTGAGGTCAGGAGTTCGAGACCAGCCTTACCAACATGGTGAAAGCCCATCTGTACTAAAAATACAAAAAAAATTAGCTGGGCATGGTGGCGCACGCCTGTAATTCCAGCTACTCGGGAGGCTGAGGCAGGAAAATAGCTTGAACCCAGGAGGCAGAGGTTGCAGTGAGCTGAGGCTGCACTACTGTACTCCAATCTTGGCAACAGAGTGAGACTCCATCTCAAAAAAATAAATAAAATGAGTGAAAATTTTTAATAATTGGCTATTCATGGCAACTGAGAAATAGATTTGGTGAAATATATGTTGAAACCACAATAGGACAGAGTTCTAGGATGGAAGAAGAAAATAATGCAATATACTTCAATTCAACTTAAAAGGCTTGGCTGTATAAGAGACAAGAGTTAGGGACCATTTAAAATTACAGCCAATAAGGTAGAACACTTCTATGAAACAGTACATATCAAAAACAATAGGGAAAATATAATACACAGTATCAGCTCTCTAGGTGCAACTGCTTAGAAATCTGTGTTCTTATTATAAGCTCTTTGGGAATAACGATACTGATTTTTTCAATAGTACCTGAACACATGGTAGGTTCTTAACATCTGTTGAACCAATGTAAAGTTTATTACTTTAGATCCTAAGAAATTCAAGACTTGAAATAAATAAGCACATTACCCATATGAAATTGTTTTGGTCATTTAATAATATATAATGTTTTGGCGGGGCGCGATGGCTCACGCCTGTAATCCCAGCACTTTGGGAGGCCGAGATGGGCGGATCACTTGAGGTCAGCAGTTCGAGACTAGCCTGGCCAACATGGTGAAACCCCGTCTCTACTGAAAATACAAAAAAATTAGCCAGGCATGGTGGCATGCACCACCCCTGGTAGTCCCAGCCACTTGGGAGGCTGAGGCAGGAGAATCGCTTGAACCTGGGAGGTGGCGGTTGCAGTGAGCTGAGATCGCGCCACTGCACTCCAGCCTAGATGACAGAGTGAGACTCCATCTCAAAAAAAAAAAAAATATATATATATATATGTATATATAGTCTTTTGCTTTATTTTTTTTTTTTTGAGGCGGAGTCTCACTCTGTCATCTAGGCTGGAGTGCAGTGGTGCGATCTCAGCTCACTGCAACCTCAGCCTCCCAGGCTCAAGCAATTCACGTTCCTCAGCCTCCTGAGTAGCTGGGATTTACAGGTGTGCACCATCACGCCCAGCTAATTTTTGTATGTTTAGTAGAGACAGGGTTTCACCATGTTGGCCAAACTGGTCTCAAACTCCTGACCTCAGGTCATCCACCTGCTTTGGCCTCCCAGAGTGCTGGGATTACAGACATGAGCCACCATGCCCGGCCTATTTTTGCTTTTTGTGATTGTGTATCCCTTTATATATTATATACTATAAATTCTGATAGTTTCTATTTTGTGAATCAGTAGCCATTTATAGTAGATGTAAATTCCATTAAAAGAATGCAAGTAAAAATATTCATATGTATCGATAATTCAAATTAGGTATTTTTCTCCCGTTATCATGCACGGATAAGCTGACACACTTGTTTATATGTCTCTATGACATTTTCTAGATAGTTTAGATTTGGCATGTGTTTTAATCTCTCCAGTAGCCACTAAACTGCTCTGAGACAAGTATCTGTATCTTATAATTTTTTTGTTTCAAGGAAAAAAAAAGACAAGTGCATTTGAGTTGGTAATTCCAAGAATGGCAGCAGAAGACAGAGCATCTAAAGCAGGAGGCTTGGACCAAAGTGGTTCTGTTGCCTGTAATCCCAGCACTTTGGGAGGCCAAGGCAGGAGGAACTCTTGAACCTGGAAGTTCAAGACCAGCCTGAGCAACATGGCGAGACGACCCCAAAACCCAATCGTCTCTACAAAAAAATTCAAAAATTAAAATAAATAAATAAAGTCGTTTTGTTAACCATTTCTGGGCCATGATAATCGGATGAAACTAAATCCTGAACTAATTTCCCGGGCGCTCTTGGGCTCTGGGCTAAGAACTCCTGAGAGTATGGTCAGTGGTCTGCTGCTGCCTGGAAGCTCCCGGTAAAGGAATGAAACTTCAGGGCAGACAGCATTCACTTCAGGAATGGTCAAGGAAAGCTAAATTCGATCTCACTAGACAGCAGCCCGTGTAAGGTTTGATCCCCTTGGAAGGCCCTTTCCTCTGCTAGAGCTGAAAGCCCTGTCTCCCTCGTTTTCTTTTGCTACGGGATCCAGAGAAAACACCAAAGGGCACTTACTGAGAAGCTGAAAAAAAAAAAAAAAAAAAGCAAACTGGAAAAGAGAAGACACAACAGCTCTGATGCGAGGGAGGCCTCGGCCCCGCCCCCTCCCGCCCCGGGAGAACCTTGGCCGAGCCTGCAGCGCCCGTAATCCCCACCGCACCTGCTGCGGGAGGGCCCGCGGCAGCTGTCTCGCTGAGGCTAGGGGGCGGGGGGCAAGGGCACGAAACGCAAGGACGTGCGGTGTCACTTTCTGCACGGGCTCTAAACAGATCGCAGCAATCCCGGTAGGTCCGGTACTGAAAGAGAATCACGCAATTTGCGCTGGGGGGCCTCAGACGCGGACCAACCCCCTCTTCGATCTGCCTTCTAAGGCCCGGAAATAAGTCTCAGCCTCGAGAACTAGAGCACTTCGACCAGGGAGTAGAGGAAGCGTTATTGGGCGTGGTACCCTGGGTTAGGAAACCTGGCTGTAGACCCACTCCAAGGACCGCACTCACCGAATTGCTGGGCTGAGGTGGGGGTTGAAAGCCGCTGTCAAGGCGTGACCCGGAAGCAGAAGCTGTCGGGGGCAGGCCCTCTGTTTACCGGACTAGAAGACCAACTAAGATGGGCGCCTGCGCACTGATGAGTGTTCGTCAGCGGGGCGCGCCTGCGCAGACTTGTGCAGCAGCTTTCGCCCTCCAGAGGCCTAGTTAGGGGGTTACTTTCTCCTTTTACTCAGAGGCTTTGCGCGCAGGCTCAGTGCAGCGTTCTCGGCCACAGCCGCAGGGTTCGGGTCTTGGTCCTGCAGCGGGGATAAAAAAGCTCAGGAACCCTGAGTGTTGGGCCGATTCTATATGGTTGCACCTGCGTGGACCAGGCCAGCAGGGGTCCATCCACAATGGTTCAGTTGCTTAGGAGACTAAACTCTTAGTAGGAAGTGTCTTTGACAAAAATACTTACAGCATTATTCATAATGGTGGAACGAATCTATGCTCCTTAGAACCCTCCTGTACATGTCCACCCTCCTTCAAGTAAACCATATCAAAGACAAACTCAACCACCCAAGAGGTGTAGTATTCTAAATGTAGAGGAATAAATGACCTTTATAACTCTTATTAGGGTTAATGAAACTTCCCGCACAAAAACATGATGACACCTCTGAGTGACAGACTTTCTGTGCAAAGCATAAACATTTTGAAGTCAGCAGCACATGGTGGTGGTGCATGGAAGGAGTGAAGCAGCAGCCCATTTAGGCAGACTGCAAGAGTTGTGGTCTGCCCGGTAGCCTGTTTAACCAGAGTGCCCCACACCTACTCCCCAGAGCTTGTTCTAAGCAACCAAATCTAACCAATTAGAGATTTAAAGCAGGCCCAGACAGATCATGTACATCAGTAAGAGGATGGTAAACTGAAAGTTCATGACCTGGTCTGAGGAGTGGGCCTCCTTTGAGCTCCAGACTCAAAGGAATTTTGCCAGGTAGGAATATGCCCTCCACTTCCTGCCACTGCACCATGGTGAGATCGTCCATTTTTCAAAAGAAGCTGAAATACAGATTTTTTTTAAAAAGTGAATTTTTCCAAGTTGCAAATGTTGGCAATGTTTTTATTATTATTATTATTATTATTATTATTATCATCATCATTATTTATTTTTGAGATGTAGTTTCGCTCTTCTCACCCAGGCTGGAGTGCAATGGCGTGATCTCGGCTGGCTGCAACCTCAGCCTTCCGGGTTCAAGTGATTCTCCTGCCTCAGCCTCCTGAGTAACTGAGACTACAGTCACCTGCCACCACACCTGGCTAATTTTTTTTTTGTATTTTTATTAGAGATGGGGTTTCACCATGTTGGCCAGGCTGGTCTCAAACTCCTGACCTCAGGTGATCCACCCTCCTCGGCCTCCCAAAGTGCTGGGATTACAGGCATGAGTCACCACACTGGACCACATCTCTCAAATTTCTTGGTTGGGAAATGCTGAAGTATATAAATTCTGGGAAACCATCAGCATCTTACAAATGTAAGAATGAGCGGAGTCTCCCAGGGAGTGATAAAATAGGCTCTCAATACAGGTTATTTTACTTATTTATTGAAAAACTGAGTACACTTTTATTTTACTTGGCCTGCAACTCAGTATATGCAGAAAACTACTCTATGTCACACTCATGATCAATATCTTCTTATTTCCATTTGGCATGTCATTGAAAACCTAGCCCATCACTTAGCTAAAAATCACATAAGAGACCCCTAGAGAAATCAAACTAACTTTTTTTCCCCCCAAACAATAGATCTCATCTTTATTAGTCAAATCAGTACCTGCTGATAGGGCAGTGGAGCAAGCCTGACAGTGATATTCATTAACAAAGAAGACAAAACTTATGCTTTCAAGTACAAAGATAAACTTTGAATGGCAGAGAGCCTAATCTGACTATCATCAGCCACCAAGAACACAGAAGAGCAAATAACTCAAGAAGAGAGAAGCCAAAGTGCTATAAAAATTATTCTTTTCTGTGAAATTCAGTTCCACAGCCTGTATGAGCAAGGGTCCAAAACACTGGAGAGCCAATAAAGCTGCTGGGAGGGCCCATTCATAATGGGAGATGCACTGGCTGTGCCTCCCTTGCTGTGTCCTTCCATGAGCGTCCTCCACTCTTCACTGACTTCATTTAGACTTGGTCCTCTGGTCTCACCACAGCTACCTGGGAGACTTTGAGTTGTAATCTTACAGTTTCAAGAGTCTATTTTGACTGAACCCAGGAGTAACATGCCAATCCAAAATAGAAACATTCTCATGGTACAATGGTGCAAAGGTCATTCTGTAGGTTGCATATATATAACATATATATATACACACAATATATATATTACATATGTACTATATATTACAGATATACTATATATATTACATATATATACACAATATATATATTTCTATGGAAGACAAAGCTTCCTTTTTTTTTTTTTTTTGAGATGAAGTCTCACTCTGTCACCCAGGCTGGAGTGCAGTGGCACGATCTCAGCTCACTGCAACCTCCACCCACCTCCCGGGTTCAAGCAATTCTCCTGCCTTGGCCTCCTGAGTAGCTGGGGTTACAGGCGGGCACCATCACACCTGGCTAATTTTTGTATTTTTAGTAGAGACAGGGTATCACCATGATGGCCAGGCTGGTGTCGAACTCCTGACCTCAGGTGTTCCACCCACTTCGGTCTCCAAAAGTGTTGGGATTACAGGCGTGAGCCACCGCGCCTGGCTGCTTCCTTCCTCTTTAACAAGAGAATATTGCACCCAGCATCACTGCTTTGGCTAGCTCTTTTTTCCTGTGTGCCCTCATGTGTGCAGCAATTGAACTGGCTAACAATTTCTGCATTCTTCCTGGTCTGGCCAAAATAATCTGGAAACTCACCATCTGGCCCAATCAAAGACATTGTTATTGTATGATTCACTAACATGGTCTTCATCTTCATCCTTGGGGCTAGAGCTGTAATATACTCTGTATGCTCTGGCCACGTGATTGATCTCTTCTTTCGTGCCAATCAGGCCAACCAGTTTGGGAGAAAATTCTTTCACATAATTTGCAATGGCCTTTTTTATGTCCCTCTCTGGGTCAATGGTGATGAAAAGTTAAATTTGGCAGAGTTGGAACACTATCTCACCCACAACTTGAATTATTTTTTTCTAGTTCTTCTGGACAGATATCAGTAATGACTGAAACCAGAATAAATCAACAGCCACTGACCCAGGTAGTCTTTGTCAGTTTCAGGCTCTCCAAATGTGTTGTGAGGGAAAATGGTCCCCCAGTAAAGGCTTGTTGATGCTTCACTGCTGTTCCTTCTCTAGCTTCTCTGTCTTTTCTATTTTGAATACTTCACTCCAGGCAGTAAACCTCCTCAGATAGCAAATGTGAATGCTAAAGACTTCCAAGAAATAGGCCTGGGCTTCAAGGGGCATGTGCAGTCTCTGCAGTCCTTCTGCTCAGGCCCTGACCACCTCAAGGGTGGTTGGTGGTATCACTGCCTGAGGGGCCAGCTTCCCAGGCAGCTATCAGCAAACCCCCAGTCCTGCCACACTTCCTCTTGCATGCAGAATTGCCTTGGCAACACTCTCACAGTCTACTTGGCTGGGCCCCAAAGCTCATGTCAGCCAGGCAAGAGACACCAAAGTTGGCCCATACTGATTACTTTGAAGTGCCTCAGAGAATTCAGTGCGCAACAAAAGTTGGTTTCGGATACATTCAATCATCCTTTCATCAAACATTTACTGAGCACCTACTTTATTCCAGGCTTTGTGCTCAACTCTCCAGGGAAGACAGAAATGAAGACAGACAGTCTCTTATTATCAAGGGTTGGGAGACAGATATGAACATCCTCAACTGCAATTAATGATGATTATTTCAACAACATTGTTATGTCCAAAGTCAGTGTTGACAAACAGTTCTACCTCATGGTGAGATCAAGAGAGTGAAGGAAGGAAGGGTCTGTGAAGAGACTTCTTGGGGAGAAATTTGTATGTGCTGAGTCCCTACTCTCCTCCTACCCAGAGGGAAAGGAAGTACTGATGTTGCCTAAAGAGGGGCTTCTGTGGGACCAGAGAACTTGAAGATTGTTCCCCATAGTTGTAAAACAAAAACTGCACCAGTGCTTACTTATAAATTAAAGAGGGCTGTAGCCACAAAGTAGAGGTGGCTACATTGGTATCTGTCTGGACACCCAGATTCAGGAGGGATGACGAATGTATAAATGTTTTCCTGGACCAGATGTGGGCCACATGGAAGACAGCCAACGTGGGGTTGCCTTCGGTCTATCCAAATGGGCTGTCTAGAGGTATAGGGGGACCCGGTGGCTAGAAGCCAGAAATGAACACAGGGATGCTACAATCCACAGTTTGTCACAGTCAACCACTTGCATTGGTTTTGGCCAAAGGAACTCAAGTAAGAGATCTCTGATGATGGGAATCTGCAAAGAACCTTTTAAAGCAAGCTTTAAGAAAAAGAGTCAGCTTTAACCATGTGCAAGACCCAGGTAGTACAGACCTACCCTACCAAGAAAGAAAAACCTGCCCTATCTCCTTAGCTTTCCTACCTCCTCCCACTTTTACACAAGCAGGTTCAATAGCAGTTATCTAGTGGGGGAGGAAGAAAGTTGAGGAGAAAGCTGCAGGCAGCCACCAGCCATATGCCTTACATGGAGGAGGAGGAAAAGCAGTCTTAGATTAGTACCTTAGAATGAAGACTAAAGTATTGGATTACAGTTTTGAACTGGAAATATTCTAATTACTAAATAGAGACTATTTGGTTTTTTTGTTTTTGTTTTTTGTTTTTTGAGACAAAGTCTGGCTCTGTTGCCAGGCTAGAGTGCAGTGGCACGATCTCAGCTCACTGCAAACTTCGCTTCCCAGGTTCAAGTGATTCCCCTGCCTAAGCCTCCTGAGTAGCTGGGATTACAGGCAGGCACCACCATGACTGCCTAATTTTTGTACTTTTAGTAGAGAAGAGGTTTCACCATGTTGGCCAGGATGGTCTCAATCTCTTGACCTCATGATCCGCCCACCTTGGCCTCCTAAAGTGCTGGGATTACAGGCGTGAGCCACCATGGCCGGCCGAGACTTTTTGGTTTAAAGTGACTGTTACTTAAAGGATTGCCAATTATCAAAGAGTGACCAAAAAGTCAGGGGATCTTCCCAATTTTCTATTCAGGAGCAGGAGATTATTATCCTCCAATAAAAAATGTTTGTTTGTTTTTTTGAGATGGAGTCTGGCTCTGTCGTCTAGGCTGGAGTGCAGTGGTACCATCTTGGCTCACTGCAACCTCTGCCTCTCAGGTTCAAGCAATTCTCGAGCCTCTGCCTCCTGAGAAGCTGGGATTACAGGTGCCTGCCACCATGCCCAGCTAATTTTTTGTATTTTTAGTAGAGACAGGGTTTCACCATGTTGGCCAGGCTGGTCTTGAACTCTTGACCTCAAGTGATCCATGCCTTGGCCTCCCAAAGCGCTAAGGTTACAGGCATGAGCCACCATGCCCGGCAAGAAAAAAAATATTTTTAAAGTGGAAAAAGACAAAAAATAAACTTGTATTTTGATCACAGCCCATGTATCTTGCATTCACTATTCAGATTCCATCTCTGCATATTTTAGTTGGTTATTTCTGTTCTTGATGTTTTGATTACAAGTGATTCCATGAATTTTGTGTTTTAGTGTGCTGTGTCTCCCATAAGACTTTTAGGCCACTGTTTTTTTTCTTCCCTTCCCTCCTGATTCCAGTTCCGCTCTCAAGAAGTGCTCATTAGATGATGTTGATCAACAGTATGACGAATGTTCCTATTTTCAGACCTTGGCATAAACTTGATCTGGAAATTTGATAATGATGTTTTGCCTGTAATGATTGCTGCTATCACTGTTCAGCAGTATTAGTATCCAGACTCTGCGGGTACGGGGTATCCCAGTTTACAGACCTGGGTGTCTTGCCCTTTGAGTCTTGCCAGTACTGAATGGCCACAGGCTTTTGAGCAACTCCTAATTGGAGTAAAAAACCTTTATTCACTTGGCTGGCTCCATACCCTTTCCTGATTTTGAGTGGATCTTTCAGAGTGACAGTGTGCTGGGGGAGAGGAATTCTGCATTGCAAGCTTCTAAGTGGTAACATGAAGCATTTCACAACAGCTTTTAAAATCTCTGGCCAGAAATTATCAAATACTCCCCTGTCTTAAAGGCCCCATCCTTCTCTATCAGGGGTTGCCTGGCTAATGTTGATGGCAACGTTTCCCTGACACCCTTCCTAGAAAAAAGCAAGTTAAGTAAAAAGGGACCCCTTTCAAATAAGTTCTCCATCAACAAAGAAAAAGAAACAAACCAAAAGGGAGTTTGAGATACCCTAAGAGTGAAGGAAAGAGAGGGAATCAGTCAATGTTTACAAAATAGGGTAAAAAAATAAGATCCAAGTGTCAGACTAGTTGGCTAGTTGGGAAAAAATAGCTTTCTTTCAATAATGGAATATTTTACTTTACTTTGAATTTGTTCAATTTTTAGGACTATCACTTATAGCACATTCCTCATATTTAGAAATAATGTAATATTATGCAAACTTCATAAAGACCAAGATTCCAGTTCTGATAGTAGCTCTAGTTACTTTACTTGTAAAAGTAAGTACTTTTATAAGTAAAAGTAAAATTACTTACTAAAGTAAGTAATACTTTACCTGAGTCTCAGTTGTACAATGGGATGAGAGTATTAACACCTACTCCAAAAGTTAATTTCATAAAACCTAGACCACATTTGTGAAAAGTGGTTTTGTAAACTACATAAATGTTGACATGTCATCTTTATATGATTTTATATTTGTTCAAGGAGGTTACCAAATATCTCATCCTCCCAGTTACATTGTGGCGCCTTTAAAAGAGCAGAGATTTAGATTTCTATACTCATCTCTTTTGTCATTGCACAGTTCTAAACACACAATAGTTATTTAATAAATACAATGGAATTGAACTAAAATGAACAGATCTCCCAAAAATGGGAATAGTGGAGTGCCTCTATGTCCTAGTCCCTGACGTAGAAAAATTGAAAAGGAAGCTTTGGAACTAGAGCAAAGAAAAAGAAAGTTCAGAGGAAACATAATGTAAGTCTCATGAAACCTTTCATATGCTTAAACCTTGTACTAGAGAAAGTAATTCAGCAAAGAAAAGAACAGTATTAATGTGCAGCAGGGATACTCTCCCAAGACATGCCATCAGGATTAAACAAGGACTTCTTTCAGAAACTGCTCAGAGGCAGACATGCGCTCAATAGCCAAACTCTACTCTTTTTTTTTTTTCCTTTTAACTTTCCCCAGGGCTTGGGAAATTTTATGAATTATCTATTTTTTAAAAATTGGCTTTTAATCAATATTTTGTTATTATTTTTGGTCATATAGTCTACCAATATTTTCCACTATCAGAGCAATTATAAAACATTTTCAGTCTTCATAGAGAAAAATTGCCTGAAGGATTTTGAAAAAAAAAGTACAGTAAAAATACAAATAACAATTTTAATGATAATACTGAAATTATATATATATATGATACTATTTTTCCAAGAATGTAGGCATTTATAGCTAAATTACCTAGCAAATCAAGACTGAAGGGGACAAACTGGTAGGAGAGTTAATGTCGTCCAGGGGAGGGAAATTACAGAGGAAATGACTACTTGCTTGGTACAATTGGGTGGTCCAGATTAATCTGGAGAGTTCTATGAGCAAGACAAAGAGAAAAGAAAGGAAAAGAAAAAAGATCTGGTTCTCTGAATCCATTTGAGAAGCAAATTACAATCAATGTCAGAATTTTCTGCTCACCTGGGTCTATGCTATTTCTAATGGGAGTGTGTCTCCCCCTGGAGGGCAAGTAGAGCATTTGCTCCTTCTTGCTTCTTGCCCAAAGTTGAATGATTCGTTCTTGGTTCATTCATTGAGTCTTTGATTATATCATTAATTGGTTGATTGATTAATTCACCCATTAATTCAACAAATACTTATTAAGTTCTGTCACTGTGCTGTTTGTTGTGATAGACACTAAAGATCCAGCCAGCTAAGATCAAGAGAAATATGGTCCTGATCACTAGGAAAATTACAGTTTGATGTGAGAAACAAATATTAGATAGTCACCTGTATGCCTAAATAGTCACAATAGTGATGACTTCTGTAAAGGAAAAGTGCAATGGACTGACTATTTATGTCATCTCAAAGTTCATATGTTGAAATCCTAACCACCCCCCAAGGTGACAGTATTAAGAGGTGGGGCCTTCATGAAGGAGGTTATTAGGTCATAGGAGCACAGTCCTCGTGATGAGACTAGTGCCCTTCTAAAAGAGGGAACTTTGCCCCTTCCACCATATGAGGACACAGTGAGAAAGTTCTATCTATGAGCAAGTGGGGCCTCACCAGACACCAACATCTGGGATTTCTTGGACTTCCCAGCCTCCAGAGCTGTGAGAAATAAATTTCTGTTGTTTACAAGACACCCAGTTTACAGTACTTTTGTTATAGTGCCCAAATAAACAAAGAGAAATAGTAGAGAGGGTAATAGGATGATTCAGTAGAGGACCTAATTCAGGCTGGGAGGTCAAGAAAAGCTTCCCTGAGCATAGACCTGGAAGATGGGTGGAAACAACCAGGTCAAAGGTGTGGAGGTGTGGGGAGGGGGCCTCCCAGCCAATGGAGCAGGGTCAGGGTATTCAAAGACCCTAAGGAGGAAAGAGCTTAGGAACCTGGAAGACAAGGAAGAGGCCAGAATGAGAAGACAAGAAGCTGGAAAGGTAGGGAGGCTCCAGATCAGGTGCGGTCTTGGGGGACATGTTAAGGATTCTGAACTGTATCCCAAAAGAACAAGAAGCCTATCAACAGGTTTTATTCAAGTGACATGACCACATGTGTGTTTTTAAAGGACCACTTTGACTTTTTAAAGAAGAATGGATTATAGTGGAGCCAAGGCAAGGATTAAAATAGAGAAAACAGCAGCCTAAGTGATCTGGACAAAAAGTCAAGCAGGCTTAGATTTGAGTGGTGGCCATAGAAAGGGAGAGAAGGGGGTGAATTTGAAATATTTTAGTGTTAGGACTGATAGAACTTGGTGATTGGTTACAAGTTGGAGAAGGGTATTGTGGTCAAGAATGACTCCTAGGCTGGGCGCAGTGGCTCACACCTGTAATCCCACCACATTGTGAGGCCCAGGTGGGTGGATCATTTGAGGTCAGGAGTTCGAGACCAGCCTGGCCAACATGGTGAAACTCTGCCTCTACTGAAAATACAAAAATTAGCCGGGCGTGGTGATGAGTGCCTGTAATCCCAGCTACTCAGGAGGCTGAGGCAGGAGAATCGCTTGTACCCAGGAGGCGGAGGTTGTAGTGAGCTGAGATGGTGCCACTGCACTTCAGCCTGGGCAACAGAGAGAGAGAGACTCTGTGTATATATCTTTCTTTCTTTTTTTTTTTTTTTGAGATGGAGTCTTGCTCTGCTGCCCAGGCTAGAGTGCAGTGGCGCCATCTCAGTTCACTGCAAACTCCGCCTCCCAGGTTCAAGTGATTCTCCTGCCTCTGTCTCCCTAGTAGCTGGGATTACAGGGGCATGCCACCTCGCCCAGCTAATATTTGTATTTTTAGTAGAGACAGGGTTTTGCCATGTTGGCCAGGCTGGTCTCAAACTCCTGACCTCAGGTGATCTATCCACCTCAGCCTCCCAAAGTGCTAGGATTACAGGCATGAGCCACCATGCCTGGCCTATATATATATCTCTTTCTAAAAGTGTCCAAGATGGTTTAAAATGATATTCTTTGAAGACCCCTTATCCCAATTCAAAAATTTTTAATGACATAAATATAGCATTGAAACCAAAACCTAATAAAGATTATACAAAAGAGATAATTACAAACCAATATCATTTATGAATATCATAGGCAGAAATGCTTAAAAAAATTAGCAAATTGAATTAGACAGCACAGTATGTCATGACAAAGTAGAAACTGTTTTGGGAAGGTAAAGATGGTCCAATGTTAGGAAATTCATTAATATAATTAATATAATTATATCTAAGAAGGAAAGTCCTGTAATTATCTTCCTAGGTGCTGAAAAAGCATTTGAAAAAATTAAAGTTGAATTTCCTATAAAAGTAAGTTACAAAAGAAGAATGGGAGATAATTTTCTTAACATCATACAGCATCTTGTTTATCATCATCTTACTATTTTCATAGGAAAACACTGGAGGCATTCCTGTTAATGTCTGAAACAAGACAAGGATACCCACCATTACTGTAACATTAACACGATGTTGGAGGTATTTGCCAATGCATTTTTACAAAAGAAACCTATTGGATGTGTGAAAACTGTTGATGATATAGGTATACCTAGATAACAAAAGCAAATCAATGAATAAACTACACAAACAAAAAGATGAATCTATATGGTAGCAGAATATAAAAGCTATATACAGAAGTCAACAGGCTTCACACGTAAGATACAAGGATGAACCAGTTAGAAAATAATATGGAATCAAGAGCCAATTGGTAATAGTGACCACAATTACAAAACTCCTAGGTATAAAGGTAAAAGAAATATGTAAAGCCTATGAGGAAAACTATTAATATAATAGCTTCAGAGACATAAAACAGACCTGAAAAAAATGAAAGACATTCTAAGTGAATTTGTAAATTTAACATTATTCCAATAAAAAAGCCAAGGGTTTTTTTGTTTCACTTTGTTTTTTAGTTATACAAATTGATTCTTAAGTTCATATGGAAGAAATAACAAGAATATCCAAGAAAGTCCTGAAAAGAAGAGCAATGAGGAGGGGCCAGTCTTATCGGACATTTAAGATATTACAAAACCTTCATAATCAAACTAGTATAAAATTGGTGCATATAGACAGACACACTAATGGAACATAGTAGAAAGTCTAGGCATCAATCTAAGTACATATAAAAATTTAATGTATGTTAGACATTATAAAACAATGTGAAAAATGGACTTTAAAAATATATGCTGTTGAGACAACTGGGTACCATGTGGAAGAAGGTAACATTGGATCCATAGCTTATACTGCACATCCAAGAAAAACTCCACGTGGCTTCGTTAGCTAAACATGACTACATGGAAACTCTTCAAGTCTAGAAGAAGGCACGTGTAGATTTCTGTGTAAACTACCCATGCATCCCTGGGAATAGCGGGCAAAGCATTCCTATGTCTCAAAACCCAGAATCAATAAAAGACTAGTCAATTCTATTACATATATATGTATATATATATGTTATTTTACCTTTATTTCCTTCACTTTAAGCCAATCATGAAATTTCACAGTGATTTTTGGGGTGGAGGGGGTGGGCGGCGGTGTTAAGAATCATCGGGGCTGTGGCTCAATTGGCCCGCGGAGGTGCAGGCAGAGTGGGCAGGCCCTCACTGGAGCAGCCGGAGGAGCACGGTCTGCCCCGCCAGCAGGTAGATCATGCTCCGAGAGCATGAGAGCTGTTACGCGATGTCCTCCGCAGCTTCCAGCTTGGGCAACTCAGGCCGTCTCCTGCAGTGGCCAGTGAGTTGGCAATCAGCTCGGCTGCTTTGGAGTCGCCCTCAGCAGAGATGATGGCTGCCTTTTTCTGCTGCTCAGCCGTTTCCACCACAGATCTGGCCCTCTCTGCTTCCTGCTGAGCCACCTGTTTGGCTTATAACGCTTCTGTGAATTCCTTCCCGAAGGTCAGATGTGTCAAGGACACGTCGTCCAGGATGAGCCCTAAGGTGGCTGCTCGCTCCGTAAGGTCGTTGTTCACCTGCCTGGAGACCAACTCTCTCTGGGTGATTACTTCTCCAGCATCGAAGCTAGCCACCACTGACTTGAGGACCTTGGTCGTGGTGGACGTCAGCACACGCTCATCATAGTCGTCTCCGATGCTGAAGATGCGAGGAAGCTGGCTAACGATGGGCCGGAAGATGATGCGCAGTGTGATGTTGACATTCTGTAAATCTTTGCTACCAGTGATGACTGGTACATTACGAGGTGGAGAATGGCAGTCAAAGATAATTGGTTTCTGTACCCATGGGATGAGAAAGTGAGTCCCTTCCCCCACCACAATGTCCTGTACTCCACGGAATCGGTCAAAGATGACAGCTCTGCCGCCCAGCATACACATTATATAAGGCGGAGTTCACCACGCCTCCTGCAACAGCAAAGGCCGGGCCAAACTTGCCGATGGACTCAAACACTTTGGCTGCCATGTTTTCTTCTGCTGGACCCTCTCACACCTGCTTCCACTCTGATCTACACATGAATTCCCCAGCCACCCAATTCTATTATATATTGTTTTTTTAAAAATGTATAGCCCAAATACCATAAGCAAAGCCAAAGACAAATGAGTCACTGGACAAAACAATCGCAATTTTTACAACAGAATAAAAAGTAATCTCCCTAATTTACAGGAGCTCTGAGAAATAAAAAGACACAGATCCAGTAGAAAAATGAGCACAAGACATGAACAGATAGAAACAATTCATGCAAGTGGCCCTTAAAATAGTAAAACATGCACAACTCACTGAAAAAAGAAAGGCAAATTACATTACATTGAAACAGCATTTCTTATTATGTTGGCAAAAATTCAAAAGTTTGAGAGTACACTTTGTTGCTAAAACTCTAGGGAAAAGAGACACAGTGATATGCTACTGGTAGAAGTATAGAGTGATATAGTCCTTAAGGAAGGGAATTTAGTACAATCTAGCAAAATTACAAATGGATTAATCTGTCCTTTAACCCAGCAATGATATTTTTGGGGACTCTACACTAAAAGTACTTCTGTACAAATTTGAAATAATATATACACGGCCTGGTGCGGTGGCTCACCCTTGTAATCCCAGCACTTCAGGAGGCCAAGGCGGGTGGATCACGAGGTCAGGAGATCGGGACCACGGTGAAACCCCATCTCTACTAAAAATACAAAAAATTAGCTGGGCGTGGTGGCAGGCGCCTTTAAGTCCCAGCTACTCGGAGAGGCCGAGGCAGGAGAATGGCGTGAACCCGGGAGGAGGAGCTTGCAGTGAGCCGAGATCGCGCCACTGCACTCCAGCCTGGGTGACAGAGCGAGACTCCATCTCAAAAAAAAAAAAAAAAAAAAAAAGAAATAATATATACACAAGGCTAGTATTCATTGTGGTATTTTGAATGACACAAGTCTAGAAAATCCCCAAATATCCATCAATAGGGGAGCAGTTGAGTGGTTAAATAAACTGTAGTATATAGTGGAGTACTATGAACCCATAAACATGAGGAATATATGTATGTGTTGCTCTAGAATGATAGCCACAATATTTTATGAGAAGCTACTTTCGTGCAAAATGAAGCATTGGAAAGACAAAAGCAATAAAAGACTAGTAAATATAAAAGTAATAAAAATGGTTATCTACACAAGAGTAGGGAAGGAAATGGATGGAAATGGGAGAGGCCAGCACGATGGCTCACGCCTGTAATCACAGCACTTTGGGAGGCTGAGGTGGGTGGATCACCTGAAGTCAGGAGTTCAAGACCAGCCTGGCCAACATGGTGAAATCCCATTTTTACTAAAAATACAAAATTAGCCGAACATGTTGTTGCATGCCTGTAATCCCAGCTACTTGGGAGGCTGAGGCGGGAGAATCACTTGAACCTGGGAGGCAGAGGTTGCAGTGAGCTGAGATCACACCACTGCACTCTAGCCTGGGCAACAAAGTGAGACTCTGTCACAGAAAAAAAAAAAAAAAGAAAGAAATGGAAGGGAGATATGGCTGAGTATACCTTTTTATGTAGTTTCGACTTTAGAATCATGTAATCATTTAATATATTCAAAAATTAAGTTAAACCAAAAAGAGAAAAAAGAACAATCCCTAAAATTGAAACAAGTGAAATAAATAAAGCTAAGTGTTTATGAGGTTGGTAACATAACCAAAAAGAAAGATTTATTTCAAATGACTTTTAAACACAAGATTTTCTTTCCCTAGTGAAATATATTCTAGGAACAAAACAAACTACGAAGAACTCTTAAGCTTCATTCTGTAATTTTATTGTTACTTCTAATAGTGGTATTATAAAACTATTTTATGTATTTTATAAGATAAAGCAAGTTTAGTGTAAGAAGCAATAAAAATGTGAAATCAAATAAGTTAAACATCTAGTGTTTACATAAAATCTGCCAGCTACAAGTGTTCTGAAGATGCCAGTAATCTCACTGAAGACTATGGACAAGCTGAACAACTTGGATCTGTGGATGAATCTCTGAGCGGGAAAACACAAAAGACTGTTCTTCAGTGGACCAAGCAAGATGACTCCTCAGACAACGTCTGTGAAGCTGATGTCATACGGCACCCTGATGCTGAATATATAGATCGTACCTTAATCCTGAGAATTACAGGTGCCAGATGCTTGGAAGATACGGGATATCATGATCTATGAGGAAGACTTTCAAATTACAGACAAAAGACCTTTAAATATTTTGGCACTTCTATCAAGGGAAATGTGAGCAGAACATTTTTCACAGTTGGACAAAAGGACTCTGTATATAAAAAGAGCATTCTACAGACTTATATCTGGACTACATGTGAGCAAGAATGTGCATTTGAGTGCAAGATAGCATTTATAAGGTACTTGGCCTGGCGCAGTGTTTCACGCTGGTAATCCCAGCACTTTGGGAGGCCAAGGCAAGCAGGTAACCTGAGGTCAGGAGTTCAAGACCAGCCTGGCCAACATGGTGAAACCCCATCTCTACTAAAATACAAATAATTAACCGGGCATGGCGTGCCTGCAGTCCCACCTACTCAGAGGCTGAGGCAGGAAAATCACATGAACCTGGGTGGCAGAGGTTGCAGTGAGCTGAGATCATGCCACTGCACTCCAGCCTGGGCAACAGAATGAGACTCCATCTCAAAAACAAAACAAAACAAAACAAAACAAAACAAAACAAAAACCCAACAACAAAAACATCAACATACTTATTTGGAAAAGAAATGGGGACACACATTACAGAATTCCATCAGAGGTTTGATGGCATTTTGACTGAAGGGGAAGCTCCAAGAAGGCTCAAGAACTTGTATTTTCTCTGCTTAATAAAATTAAGGCCTTAATCTAAAATGCAACCACTCTCTGAGCATCCAGATTTTCAACTATTCATTGGAAATTAAGTTCAAGGTTCAGAAAACAAAAAGTTGCTTCTGGAAATATTTTAGGAAGTCAAATCATTTCTTTTGTATTTTGATGGAATTCTTTTTTTTTTTCTTTTTCTTTTTTTCTTTTTTCTTTCTTTCTTTTTTTTTTTTTTTTTTTTTTTTTTGAGACGAAGTCTCGCTCTGTCGCCCAGGCTGGAGTGCAGTGGCGCGATCTTGGCTCACTGCACGCTCTGCCTGCTGGGTTCACGCCATTCTCCTGCCTCAGCTTCCCGAGTAGCTGGGACTATACAGGCGCCTGCCACCACGTCCGCTAATTTTTTTTTATTTTTTAGTACAGACGGGGTTTCACCATGTTAGCCAGGATGGTCTCGATCTCCTGACCTCGTGATCCGCCCGCCTCAGCCTCCCAAAGTGCTGGGATTACAGGTGTGAGCCACCGCACCCGGCCAATGGAATTCTTATTTAAATTTTTTTGGCTTGAGATGGAAGAAACAGCAAAGTAACTAAAGACAGATTTTAGGCTGCATTATAGAAGTGTTTCAAAAAATAGGGATTGCGTTGGTTGGTTTAAATGTCAACTGTGGGGAAAGCTTCAGGCTCAGGATTTGGCACTGCTCTCAAGATCTTGTTTTCAGAGAAATTGATAGCAAATGTGCCAGAAAGTGGGCCCGGTTAGGAATCCCATCTAACCAGACAAAAAATAGTATTGCTTAATGCATTTGGAAGAATTTCCACAAGTGTGAAAGGATTGTAAAACATCAGGAACTTGTTGCAAATTATTAATTTAAATATGATTTGAAATATGCCTGTTTCTAGACAATGAAGGCCAGGATTATCAAATTTTTAAATGAATAACATTTGAAGTATTCACAGAAAATGTATAGCAAATTATAGACTATGGAAGACAAGAATCAGGGAACTTGAAGACATAGAAGCTATTCAAAATGAAGCACAGAGAGAAAAGAAAAGATTGAAAAAGAAAGGACCAATGCAAAAGTGCTCTGTGTGGTATATCAAATATTTTAACATAATGCAATTGACATTTCAGAAGAGCCATGGGCTAAGAATGTATATTTAAAAATATGGCCGGGCGTGGTGGCTTATGCCTGTAATCCCAGCAGTTTGGGAGGCCGAGGTGGGTGGATCACCTGAGGTCAGGAGCTTGAGACCATCCTGGCCAACCTGGCGAAACCATGTCTCTACTAAAAATACAAAAATTAGCCAGGCATGGTGGTGGGTGTCTGTAATCCCAGCTACTTGGGAGGCTGAGGCAGGAGAATGACTTGAACCTGGGAGGCGGAGGTTGCAGTGAGCTGAGATGGCGCCACTGCACTCCAACCTGGGTGACAAGACCAAAACTCCGTCTCCAAAAAAAATGAAGGTATATTTTTAAATAATGGCTAAGGCTGGGCACGGTGGCTCATGCCTGTAACCCCAGCACTTTGGGAGGCTGAGACGGGTGGATCATTTGAGGTCAGGAGTTGGAGACCGGCCTGGCCAACATGATGAAACCCAGTCTCTACTAAAAATACAAAAATTAGCTGGCCATGGTTGTGGGTGCCTGTAACCTTAGCTACTCGGGAGGCTGAGACAGGAGAATTGCTTGAACCTGGAGGTGGAGATTGCGGTGAGCCAAGATTGTGCCACTGCACTCCAGCCAGGGAGAGAGAGTGAGGCTTCATCTCAAAAAATAATAATAATAATAATAATAATAATAATAAAAGCTAACATTTTTCCAAATTTGAAAGCTCAATAAAATCCAGGCAGAATAAACAAAGAAAACCATTCCCATGCACATCATAACCAAGTTGCTACAAACCAAGGATAAAGACAAAAATTCTAAAAGCAGCCAGATGAAAAAGATACATAGGCCAGGAGCAGTTGCTCATGCCTGTAATCCCAGCACTTTGGGAGGCCGAGGCAGGCAGATCACCTGAGGTCGGGAGTTTGAGACCAGCCTGACCCACATGGAGAAACCCCATCTCTACTAAAAATATAAAATTAGCTGGGCATGGTGGCGCATGCCTATAATTCCAGCTACTCAGGAGACTGAGGCAGGAGAATCGCTTGAACTCAGGAGGCAGAGGTTGCGATGAGCCGAGATCGTGCCATTGCACACCAGCCTGGGCAACAAGAGCGAAACTCCGTCTCAAAAAAAAAAAAAAAAAAAGAAAGAAAAAGACACATTATATATACAGCAGGGATTGGTAAACTATGACCCCTGGGTCAAATCTAGATCACTTCTTATTTCTGCAAAAAAAAGTTTTAGTGGAACACAGCCATACACACTCATTTATGTATTTGCTATGGCTGTTTCTGTGTTACAGTGGCAGAGTTGGTAGTTGCAACAGAGACCGTATGGCTTCCAAAGCCTAAAAGATTTACTATATGGATGTTTATGAAAGGTTTGCCATCCCTGATGTAGAGGAATAAATAAAAAATGCCAACAGATTTCTTATAAAAGCTATGTAAAGTGAAAGACAAGATTGAGCCAGAATTTTTTCTACCTCGCAAAAATGTCTTTCAAAAATAAAGGTGAAATAAAGATTTTTTTTATACCAACAAAGGTGAAATGAAAAGTTCTTCAGGCAAAAGAAAAATAATAACAAAAATTTGATCAATATAAAAAGATAGAGTGTGAAAAGTAATAAATATAAGTAAAATAGTTAAAACATTTTCTATTTATTTATTTAAAACAGAGTCTTGCTCTGTCACCCAGACTGGCATACAATGGTGCGATCACGGCTCACTGTAGCCTCGACCTCCCAGGCTCAAACAATCCTACTCCCTCAGCCTCCTTGGTAGCTGGCACTACAAGTGTGTGCCACCATGCCCGGCTAATTTTTGTATTTACGGGGTTTCACCATGTTGTCCAGGCTGGTCTTGAACTCCTGGGCTCCAATGATCCTCCCACCTTGGCCTTCCAAAGGGCTGGGATTGTAGATGTAAGCCACTGCACTCAACCTCTCACTTTTTAATCTCTTGAAAAAAAAATAAATGACTATTTAAAGTAGAAATAATAAAAATCCGGTTGGGTGTTAGCATACGTAGAAGCAATATGTATGACAAAAACAATAAAAAACATAAGGGAGAAACTGAAAGTAAATTGTTATAAGATTTTTACACTATCTAAAAGTAGACTATGATATGTTACAGGTGTATATTGTAAATCCTAGAGCTGCACTGTCCAATCTGCTAGCCTCTAGTCACATGTAGCAGAGGAATAGTCTTCCAGGCAGGAGATCGCAAGGGCCTGAGTATGGCATTGCTTGGGGAAATAGGGAGAAGAAAATGGATTAGAGAAGCATCTGAGGGTATTAAGAGACTGTGGTAATCTTTCTATTGTGAAAAACATGCAATCATTTCAGAATTCATTCAACTTTTGGTTTGGAGTTAAAATGTGGGAGGTAGAATTGCTGAAATAGCACAGAGCTGGTCTCAGGGATATGTAAAGCTGTTTTTTCCCAAGCTAAACTCAGACAAGTAAGACTGTCTTCTGGTTTTCAAGGCT
Source organism: Homo sapiens (assembly GCF_000001405.40). Classification (NCBI taxonomy): domain Eukaryota; kingdom Metazoa; phylum Chordata; class Mammalia; order Primates; family Hominidae; genus Homo; species Homo sapiens. Next base: position 48,176,081 of record NC_000012.12, read on the forward strand.
TCCTGGAGAGGAAATGCAGGCTCGTTCCTCTCTCACACATCCATCACTCTCAAGTTCTTTAAGAAATCTAACCTAAATGCTTTATCCTGCATCTTGACCTCACAGTGGAAGTAGGAATAATGCTAGTTTGTCTCAGAGTTACAAATCCTTTGAGAAATTCTTTCTAGCTTTTCCTTCTCTCACATCTGTTGACTATTTGCTTTCTTCCATTAGGTCTTAGGTCTCAAATTACAGCAGTAAGTTTCAAATTACATCATCTCCATCTCTTAGAATCTTTCTCCACCATCTCTCCTTTCTAGGAAGAGACTCTCCCCTAACACACTAGTTTAAGTCCACAAGTATGAAGCAGAGGAGCTTATGTCCCACAGACCTCCCTGCAGTTTAAACTCAGTGATTTCAGTGTGAATAATGTGAAATTGTGAGCAGTTTATCATTTAATATACCTGGAGGTGTCTTGGATGATACTCATTGTTCTAATGAGCAGCAAAACTACTAATGCCTTTGGTAAGAGGGAATTGGTTTTTAATAGTATAAGAAGCAGCTGGAAGCCCATGTGTGCTATGGTGATGGATGAACTGGGATGAATGAGAGATTGGATATGTGACTCAGGATCATCCTCTGAGGAGAATCTATCCCAGTTTAACTCATTTGATCCAGGCAATTACCAGTAAACCTGACATACTGTTCCCTTCTGCGTCTTAGAGACACAGACAACACTGTGGAGAATAACAAGACCTTACCAAAAATGTCTCACTTAGGTTGTTTAGAGACTAACCTCAATTTCTGGAATATTATTTTTCTGATCCATGTTTGCTGTTTGGTTTTAATTTAGTTTTACTATCCTGGGAAGGCTGACCTTTATGTATTTTTTGTTATATATTTGATCAATATGGGGAGTTTTTGTCTGGTTTGGTTTTAGAACAGAAGCAAGGAAAGGAGGCAGCAAGGGACAAGAAGGACTCAATTTTATTACAGTAAAACATGTAACTCGGTGATAGCACTACCCTAAATCACCCTAGTCTACCAGTTTAGGAACACAAAGAGAAGACATACACAAGCTTTAAAGCATAGTAATCTCTATGTTCATAATGTCCCTTTCTCAGTTAGCTACTAATCTTACAACCAGAAACAGGGTACTTTTTCTGAGGCTGTCTCCACCAGAATAAGAATATAAATCAGGAGTTCTCCTTAGCATGCAGTATGAAGATACAGGCTTGATATCATCCCATTCCCGGGTAATGCTGAGGGGAGCAGAGAGCGTGCATTTCTTTGACCCTGAGTTCTGACAAAACTTGGCCCTGGTATCTTTGAGACTTCGATGGGGATAGTGGTGGAATATCCCAAGGGAGGTTAGAGGGGTGGTGACAGCTCTCATTTCAAAGCTGCAAGCACTTTTCTATTTTGTAAGAAATAGAGACTTCCATTTGTCTCTGAAGTAAGTATTCCTTTGTTCAAGAAAGGCCACCAACAGGGCCACTTAATAGTGTGACCATAAGCCATAGATTACCGAAGTAGATGGTTGAAACTGAAAAAGCTAAAATGTTCTCGAAGAAAAGGCAGAGTTGGAGCTTTGCAGACTACATGTCCTTAAGGGAGTTGTTTCTTTTTCTAGGTATGGATTTAGACTTCATTCATTCATCTATTCAACACATATTTATTGAGCATCTGCCATGTGCCAGGCACTATTCTAGGTGCTACAGATAAGGCAGTGAAGAAAACAAACCCCCTGCTCTAATGGATCTTACACCCTAGTTGGGAGTAAAAGATAAATAAATAAGACATAAAATAAATAAACAAAAATACAGGATAACAGATATTGATAACTGGTGTGGAGAAGAATAAAGCAAAGCAAAAGGATTAGAGTTCCAGCATGAAAGTGATCCTGGTGCTTTAAAACAAACAAAAGAGCAGGCATTGTGCCTATGAACTGTGAACGAGTGGTCAACCGTAGAAGATGGAGCTATTTTTATGCAAGACTTCTTAAAATAGGGGCCTCGGGGTTCTAGGTGGAAAAGTTGGGGGAAAGGGTCCTTCTCCTCACTTTTGCCTAAGATCCAGCACTTCTACAGTACTTTGAAGACATGGATTACATTTTGGGGCCCCTGTCCATGGTATCATCACAAATACTAGTATAGTCTCCATCTGTGTTTGGGCAATGGAAACAGAATGCACCCTCACAGTGGCTGCTAAACTGTAACTGATAGTGCCTCGCTGGCCCTTGAGAATGTGGTAGAAATAACTTTTGACATTATTTGGGGGGGCCTCTGAGAGGGATGGACTTAGTATAACTAGATGTATTAGTAACAGGGAGACCTACAAAGTTTTGTAGAATTGCGTAGGATAGAATAGCACAGACTTCCTCAAGATATGACAGGCAAGGAAGGTCCTGGAAGTTTGCATAAGTCAGCTATGAGGGACATTAAATTCCTAAAAATACCTTTAATAGAAGGGAAGTTTATGGCACACATATCATAGTCCCTATCCTACCATAGATATTTGGACATGATTTCCTTCAAATTGGACTGATACTGTGGGAGAGGCAATTGGTCAAACAAAATTGCCTCCATTGAACTAGAAATTGGTTTTTCAGGTGGTGCAGCACTGTCAGTGCCTGACTTGGGGCCAAACCAGGCTCTAAGCTGTTGCAAAAATGGCAACTTTCTGGGGGCAAAATAATTTATGGAAAAGATGGAAGGTGCTTGAGACCATGCACCAGGGATCATTGGTGGTTCTGGAGTTCTGAATGCTTCTGTGTCCATGGCCAGCTACCTAGAGACTTGGGTTGGAACTGGTGACATCACAGTGATACTGAATACATGTTTGAATATGCACTGAGAGGGGGAAAAGGCTCTGCAAGTGTTGATCTAAGAGAAGCTGCTGCAGGGGGCAGTGCAGAAAGGGGAGATGGGATGACACTGGCAAAACAGGTTTAATTGGAATGGGGGGTTATTGTCAGTGGAGATTCATATTGCATGAGAAGTTGGAAGGTCCCCTAGAATTCTTGCTCTGAGTTAAATTAATATGGAAGAGAAATAAGAGGTTAGGGGTAGCCTTAAAGACTCCTAAAAATAGTTTGAAGTCACAGAGCAAGCAACTGGAAGTGTAGTTCAGGCCTTACGTGAGGTGTGGGTAGGTGGCTCACCACACGGCCATGTCTATGACACTAAATAATCTTGAGGGTGTGGACAGTTGGATCCCCTCTCCAGTTAGAGGCTCATAAGGGCCCAGGGTCTTTGCAAACCACCATGTCCATTTCTCTGTGCAAACGTCGGGGAGATGAACAAAGCAGATTGGCTGTAATGCCAGGTAAACCACTCTCTGGTGCTGAGAAAAACTAGCCTATGTGACAGGCAAAACCCACAACAATGCGAATATTCTCAGCCTCTCCATCTTTTTTATCCTCTGAGAAGACCCCTGTAATTGATAGCTGGGATTCCCAGTACTTATGCAGATTGGGGGAATGAGGAACAGAATCAAAAGAGCTAAAATAAGCTTGGCCTGATTTATGTGAGGACAGGAAGCTTCTTGGAGGAGAGAAAAAGAATACATCCAAGAAGTGAAGAGAGCCAGGGAGTGAGAAAGCAAGGGCCAGGCTTGAGAGAAAGTGTGGGAGTGTTTGGGGAGAGAGAGACCAGCAGCAACAGCTATGCCATAATGTGTGGAACAAATAGAGAAGGAAGGAAGACAAGTTTCAGATGTTTCGCTGTGCACTAAGAATGTAAACCCCTTTAAAGTTTGCCCAGAGACTGTAATAAAAATCTAAATTTCTTTTTAATTCTTTTGGCTATTGGATATGTTTGAGTGTGATATCAAGCTGTGATGGGCCACAAAACAGGTCAGCTTCATGAAAGTTATATTTGGGGGATACTGTCTGGGATTTGGCGCCTAAGGTACAGCAGTCAGCTATATCTTGTTTTAAATCATTGCTCTAGACCTGAGTCTAGCCAGCATCATCGGATTTATAGTGCAAAAAATACACCAGCTATAGAAAATAGAAACTAGAGATACACGAGACACCAGACAGAGGAAAATGGCAGAGCCTCTTCCAAATCCCAATTTTAGTGAGAATATGAGGTTTGAAACTAGGTGTACCTGATGGAAACCTATATGTAGATAGCATGAGGGTCTCTCCCTATCACAGATTGATAAGAGTGGGATGAAGAGAATAGCTAAGGGGATTCCCAGAGGATAATAGAAAAGCAGGAAGCAGAAGCTGTGCGGGGGTTATATTCTCTTATTATGTGGCAGTTCCTCTGAATATTCTAGTAGGATGGCTGGGGTATACATCTGGCCACCTTTTGCTTGGAAATGGACCCATGCAACTAACTATAGGGCATTGGGATCCAGAGGGCCCAGGCCTGTAACCCATCTAGCTGACTGAGGCTCTGCCTCTGTTCTCCTTATTCTCCTTATTTTCCTGAGACTAGACTTTTCTACCTCATCTCATTTTCACACAGAGTTCCTGAAATGATCTGGTTTTCTATCAGATGCACCAATGTCTCCTTCCTATATTTTCTTTTTCTTTTCTTTTCTCTTTTCTTTTCTTTTCCTTCCCCTTCCCCTTCCCTTTCCCTTTCTTTCTCTTTCTTTCTTTCCTTCTTTCTTTTCTTTCTTTCTTTCTTTCTTTTCTTTCTTTTTCTTTCTTTCTTTTTCTTTCTTTCTTTTCTCTCTCTCTCTCTCTCTCTTTCTTTCTTTCGACTAAGTCTTGCTCTGTCACCCAGGCTGGAGTGCAGTGGCACAATCTTGGCTCACTGCAACCTCTGCCTCCTGGGTTTGAGCGACTGTCCTGCCTCAGCCTCTGGAGTAGCTGGGATTACAGGTGCCCACCACCATGCCCAGCTAATTTTTGTGTTTTTAGTACAGACAGGGCTTCACCATGTTGACCAGGCTGATCTCAAACTACTGATCTTAAGTGATCCACCCACCTCAGCCTCCCACAATGCTGGGATTACAGGCATGAGCCACCGCACCCAGCCACCTTCCTATATTTTCAAATCCTGCTACTGGTCCACTCCCCCAGTTCCCACCTACCCTTGGCTCTCAAATGTTTGACCTGGAACTTGACTGGACCAGCCAAACTGCTTGATCTCTGCACATGTTTCCCATGGCCTTTTGTGCTTCTCCAATAATTTCCCCTCCCTCTGGGCTCAGATCCCTTGTACTCTCAGTGGACTTCATGGCCAGCACCTCTGGACAGCATGATGTAATCTTATGCTGAAAGCCTTCACATCCTCAAGAATAGTGGCAAAAGGCCTTGTATGATGACATACCATAGCTCCTCCTGTATGGGGGCTATGCTTAGTGTAAGCTTATGGGATTTCAACAATGAGAGGTCCCCCACTGGGACAGAGTCACTCTTTGTAGGTAGAAGGTAGGGATATACCTGAAGGGTGAATTGGCAAGATGAAATCTTCCATGTGAAGTGCTTGTCAAGAGATGTAAAGTAACAGACCTAGACAGAAAGTCTGAAAGCCATGCCAGTCTTTTCTGGCTATAGCAGAGCTCTCCTCGGAAGGATGAAAGCAGGGTTGGACCTATAAGCCCTGAGAACATGCTTGCTGTAGTATAATCAGAAACTTATGCTGTGTAAGCTCAGCTGTTTTCATGTGTTCTGTTTCTATTTCTAGTTTTCCTATAGTTTTTAATAAAGTCTCTTTGTAAACACCAGCCCACTTCAGCTGTGCTTATGGAAACCAAGGAAAAGCATTTCTGTCCTCTCTTGAGCCAGAGTTTCAGGAGTAATCTAAGGTGTTATTACCACGTGTGGGGTACAGAGCAGAGGTAGGAGTCCTAAGCAAGGTGAGAGTGCTGGAAATCTGTAGAATGAAGGAAGAAATGAGCAAGCAAATAGAATTGAATCATTAGTTTCAGAAAATACAATACTGTGTTTTTAAAATTTGTTCATATATTTGTTTTGGGAAATCAAATTTTTAATGGCTGCATAATACTTTATGTATCAGCAATTTTGCCTTAGTTTATTTAAACATTCTGCTGCTGGTCATTTAGGATAGTCCCCACTTGTTTCTATTTTAAAAGCAGTAAGATTGGTATAGGTCAAGCAGTCCTCTAGTGTCACAAAACTTTCCCTGGGCCAGCCTCACTCTTCATCACCAAGCACATAACCAGGGAAACCCAAAGGTAACACATTTGCTGTCACTGAACCGCCAGTCTACAAAACACTCACCTTTACGTAGTTCTTCTCTATCTTGAAGTGATATAGTTTGTTTCTCTTTCCCAGATTTATTCTTATGAACTTCATTTTTGGCTTCCGATCACTTGGCTTCCCTAATTTCCTAGGGTCATTATTAATTATTGTGCTCTGCCCAGGTGCTGATTCCTTCTCAATCTGCAATCATCTACGTATATTAAAGACAATTTTTCTTCTTCCTCCACCCTTCCTGCTCCACCCCTTAAATAGGGAAAGGGCTTGTCACAAAGGTTGGGGATACTCAGTGTATGTCTGAACTTGGGCACTGAAAGAGAGAGCGGGAATTACTCTAACACACAGTCCCCCCATCCATACCCTCCACACAACGGTCAACAGTTTACCTTTTCACCTGTGAGATGATGCAGACTGTTATTCAGAATTAGAAATAGTATTATAGATTATCCAGTCCAATTCCCTAACAGATGAGGAAAATGATGTGGCCAAGGTCGCTGAATGAATAAGTGGCAGAAACGAAACTGAATTCAGGTCTCCTAAAACCCACTACGTTTGGCTTGGGGAGTTCTGGATGAGAGCGTGGGACTTGGTGGTTTTTGTTATTCATTCAATAACTATATTAAGCATCTACATACTAGGTGCCAGGCACTATTTTAGGAGCTGGGGATTCCGTGATGGAGGGTGCAGGGGAGACAAAAATCTCTCCCCTTATGGAGCTTTCATTCTCAAAACTTAAGCACTTGGCCTCCCCATCTGGGACAAACTCCCAGAGACCTGCGTAGGAGCGGTAGGGTCTCATAAAGGAGGGAGTCCCATCCTTCCCCCGCTCCGGTGATTTCTATAGCTAGAGGGCTGATTTACTGCAGAAACCTCCGTAGCGCCCTCCTCCTGCCTCTGCACCGTCAGGCCCGGTGGGTCCGGCTCCAGAGCGCCACCGTGCCCCAGCTCAACTCTGGGATCATTAGCAACAGCCTCTCTACCCTCTCCGCTTTCCTGCGCATCGCTGGAGGACAGGGAGGCAGGACTCGACTTTAGCGCCATCCTCTGAGAAAGGAATGCGGGCTGGAAAAATCTTTCCAGGGCAGTCTCGCTGGGTCTCATACCCCGGCTAGGGGAGGGACGATCTCTCCCGGACTTGGAGGTTTCTGCAGCAGACGGCTCTCTCATACTTCCCTATTAAACATTGCGACCACACGCTCTTTCCAGCCTTGGCCGAAGCCACTGTAGCGTCCCCTCTCCTCCCCCCACCCCGCTAGTCCAGACTCCAGAGCCCCACTGCAGCTTCCAGCCATCCTCCCTTTTTCTTCGCCACTTCCTGGTTACCATGGAGACACACGTCATTTACGTGCCGTGCGTCGCCTTGGAAACAGAGGAGCATCCGCGACACCCCCGGGAGACCCACCCCAGCTGCTGCTGCCACACTCGCGGGCGCTGCCCGGTAATGGCCTGGGGGAGTCCCGAGTCCGACGCGCCGCTGGCCTCAGCCTGGACGCGGACCCCTCCGCGAGCGCGTCTGTGACCCACGGAACCGGCAGGCGCTCTCTGCTTGTGGCGCCCAGAGGGCGGCGCTGACACGGGCGCGATCCGGGAGGCGAGGCAGGGCAGGGCACTTTCGTCCCGGGGCGATCCCAAGAGACGCCGGCTCTGGGACCCTCGCCGGGTCCTCGTCCCGCAGCCTCTTCTCGGCCTCCCGCGATCCTGCCTGCGCCCTCTGCCCAGGACTCGTCTCTCACGTCGGCTCCCCGCCAGTCTCGGGAGCCTCCGCTTCCCTCGGCTCCCGCTAGCCCCTCCCGGGACCTCTCCCCCTCCACCCCCTCCCCCACCCCGGAGGCCGGGCTGGACGCGACCCAGAGCCTCCGCCACCCGCTTCTGCCACTCAATGGAGGACGGTCTGCTGGAGATCATGACCAAGGACGGCGGCGACATGCCGGCGCCCCTGGAGGTGTCCACCGTGCCGGCAGTGGGGGACGTGATCTCCGGGGAGTACAACGGCGGCATGAAGGAACTGATGGAGCACCTGAAAGCCCAGCTGCAAGCCCTGTTTGAGGACGTGAGGGCCATGAGGGGGGCCCTGGACGAGCAGGCCTCGCACATCCAGGTGCTCTCGGACGACGTGTGCGCCAACCAGCGAGCCATCGTCTCCATGTGCCAGATTATGACCACTGCGCCCCGCCAGGGCGGCTTGGGCGTGGTCGGCGGCAAGGGGAGCTTCCAGAGCGACCCCCAAGAGCCGGAGACTCCTTCGCCTGGGATCGGGGACAGCGGCTTGCTGGGTCGCGATCCCGAGGACGAGGAGGAAGAGGAAGAAGAGAAGGAGATGCCCAGCCCCGCCACACCCTCCAGTCACTGTGAGCGCCCCGAAAGCCCCTGTGCTGGTCTCCTTGGGGGGGACGGGCCACTTGTGGAGCCCCTCGACATGCCCGACATTACCCTGCTGCAACTGGAGGGCGAGGCCTCCCTGTGAGGGGACTCCGTGGGGCACTACCTTCCCGGGCTGTCTTTGGGTTTCCGAGTGCATGACGCGAGGGGGACTGAACGGCGCGGTGCGGCATGCTTCACTTGGACAGCTGCTCTTGTGGGTCAGGCAGAGAGAGACTCCCTCGAGGAAGGATTTGTAGGGTGAAGGACTTTGGGAGCATCGAGAATTCTTTCTGCCCAACTAAGCGAATTATAGCGAACTGCGGAAAGGTGAGGCTCCGGGAGAGGAAGCGCCCATCTCTGGACTCCCATCCATCCCTATCCTGTCCTTTCCCCCTTCCCAGACAACAGGAGAACCCGTGAATTGTGTAAATAAAATTCTGCTTTTTCTATTCTGAAAAAGGACTTACCTAGGACCATGGCAAATAATCTCTAACAATTTACCTGGAAATTAAGGAATTGGGGGTATTTTGTTCTGGCAACAGGAAATTTACCCTTCTGCTGAAATCCAAGATATTCAGTGCTCTGCAGAAGCCTCTCCCCCTCACAGATCTCTGCGGCTGCTGATTGGTAAAGGAAGCTTGAGGAGGGAACTGCAGCCCTAGGAATCTGGGTGAATGGGGTTCCAAGGGCCCCTGGGCTGGGAGGAGCTGGCTATGAATGTGCATGAAGACATAATAGCTCAACCTCTAGGATTTTGCATGCAGAGCGGATCCTGCCTTGTCACTGACTTCATCTGGGATTGCTTTTCCACTCCCTGGGGCTTAGAGAACAAAGAGCCCGGTTCACAGGCAGAGACTCGGGGGTGCTCAGCAGCAGCCCAGATTTAGGGGACATTTGAGGGACTCTTGGGGCCGCAGCCAAAAACTGTCTCTCCTGGCTACACCTGCTTAACTTCAGTTCCTTTTTCTGTCAATATGTCCTTGCCCACTGCCTCTCGGTGTTGCCTTCATAATGTCTTGTGTGTGTTATGTGTGTCTACTTGTGTAGTAGTGTGTGAGCCCTCAGGGGCAGGGCTTGTGGCTCTGGTGTTAGGTTCAGGGGCTTCAGACCCTTCTACGAGCTCCAAGCTATCAATGGCGCTTTTCTCTCCCTCTTCCCCCAACCAGGGCATGGAGCATGTGGCTGTCCTGAGGTTCTTTTACTGATGTGCCGCCCTTCCACCTCCTCAAGTGGTGACTTTGTGTGCCCTCCCCCTCCTTTGTGTATTCCTTCTCAATGCTTTCCTTGGTGTTAACCTTAATAAAAAGGCGTCATCTCCCCTCCTTGCTGACTGGTACTAAGGGGATATCAGGGTGGGTCTTAGTGGGAACTGCAGGGGCCATGCCTTCCCTCCTCTCTCCTTGCCTCCAGTTCAAGGAGTTGACTGTCCCTGCCCTGGTTGGGACAGGCATTGCCAACTCTCCCTGCTTTCCCTTCTGTCCTGGACCTTGACCTCAAGCTGCCCTGGGGAAGGAGGTGGTAAGTGTTGAGACTCCCATGCTAACATGAGTTTTTAGTAGCCAGAACTCCAAATGTGCAGGAGACTTCTTTTTCAGTGAAGCATCCCAGTGAAGCCCTGGGAAATGATTTCCAAATCTGGGTCCTGGAATGGCAGATACTGCACCTGTTCCATGGAGGGAGTGGGGTGGGGGTATTGTTCTGGAGGGATTGCCTGGGATCTCTGGAAATAGTGACACATCACAAAGGGAAACCACAATAACTGCCTCAGGCCTCTAGTGGAGAACCCGGGTAAGGTGTTCCCCAGAGGGCTTGACTGACAGCTCTAGTCTACTCCCTTGGGCAATGGAGATTTCTTGAGGCTGCCCCTGAACAAAATTTGAGAGCAGAATGAGCTAGGGTGCCGTGTGTATATGTGCATGTGTGTGTGTATATGTGCGTGTGTGTGTGTGTGTGTGTGTGTGTGTGTGCGCTAGCTGCTGGTAGCTGCAGAGTGGTGGAAAGAGAGAGCACTAAAGACTTAAATCTCAGTTCTAACAGTTGAGTGCTTGAGGCTTAGTTTCTGGATATGTAAAATGGGGACAAGAAGTTGTTGGGGAGAAAAATATATAGGACTCCTAGGAAGTCTTGTGCAAATGTTAGTTTCCTTATAGTTTTATTGGAGTAGGGGGTGGTGGTGACTGGCTCCTCTGGGAAAACAAAGCTACCCAGGGAAGGTTCTAGAAACTTTCTTTTTATATAATCTTTTCCTATCTGAAGAATCCTTGAGGCCGGGCGCAGTGGCTCACACCTGTAATCCCAGCACTTTGGGAGGCCAAGGCAGGCTGATCACCTGTGGTTGGGAGTTCGAGCCCAGCCTGACCAACATGGAGGAACCCCATCTCTACTAAAAATACAAAATTAGCCAGGCGTGGTGGCACATGCCTGTAATCCCAGCTACTCGGGAGGCTGAGGCAGGAGAATCACTTGAACCCGGGAGGTGGAGGTTGTGGTGAGCCAAGATTGTGCCATTGAACTCCAGCCTGGGCATCAAGAGCGAAACTTTGTTTCAAAAAAAAAAACCCTTATTCTTCTTTAGAATTAGATATTAGTTGTTCTATCTAATTCTACTTATCTGATTCTATCTACAGAATTCTAGTTATTTAGAATTAGACGGGACTAAGGAAAGGGGAATGGTGAGATTCCTAAGCTAGCATGGACCTTTTCATCATAAATGAAAGGGTCATCATGAATGTCATGTAACTATGGGCCAAAAAGGTCTTGGGGGACAGCCAGACCTGAACACATAGGCTGGCCAGAGGAATCTTGAGTTATGCAGTGATTGGGGAATGTGTGCTGGGGGCCCTAGAGAGAGCTGCTAAAGTATATAAGTGGGAAAGTGTCCCTGAGGACTGGGAGATAGGTTCCTATTATAGTTCCAGCAGTAGGCACTAAGAAAAACAGTAACTATCATTGATTGAGCATCTACTATGTGCCAGACACTGTACCTAATTTTATCTCCCAACAGCCCTATGAACTAGGCACTATTATTATTTTCATATAACAGACTCTAAGATGCTCAGGGTCACAGGCTAGTACTTGGCAGAGCCAGGACTTAAACCCAGATCTGTCTGACTTAAAAAGCCCTAGATGGAAACCACTTTGCTAACTGCTCTCTTATTTGGATCTTCAGAGAGCGATCTTCAGTTTGGAGAAATAAGGGTATCGAAGCCTAATCCAATCCTGAAAAGGAAATAACCTTAGTTTTGGTTACTTTTCATCTTCTTAGTTGGAACAAGAAATTGCAGTTCAGATTTTGGTTAGTGACCCTTCCCAGAGTCCAGTGGGTGGTAATATAATAACAGCACCAAGAAGATGGCCTCCTGAACCTGTTCCTTAAGAGGAAGAAGCCGATGCTCCCAGGTGTTCTCTCACACAGCTCCATTCTTGTGCCTCTTTCCTGTTCCCTATATCTCAGATTCTCCAGAGTCTGACATGAATCCCAAGGGCACCTTAGGGTGGGCGCGGTGGCTCACACTTGTCATCCCAGCTACTTGGGGGACTGACGTAGGAGGATCACTTGGGCCTAGGAGATTGAGGTTGCAGTGAGCCATGATTGTGTCACTGCACTCCAGCCTGGGCAACAGAGTGAGACCATGTCTCAAAAAAAGCCAAGGGCAGTTTAGCTCTTTAGCCTCTGTAGAACGTTCTGGCAGAGTCTTTTAGCCTTTGACTCCAGTTCCCCTTCTTATGCCCACTGTCCTCAGTCCCTTAGGGCCTCTTTGAAGTTCTTTAACCATTGCCCCCTCAAGTCCCAGATAGATAAAAATCTCTCCAGAAAAAGCAATGCTTCAACCTTATTCAGTCACCTGCGCCCAGCATCTCACAACGATCCAGCACAGATAGGAGGTCCTTGTTTCTCCCTATTCCCCACTCTCCTCTTGCATTTCTCATTTGTAATGCCTCCCGACCTCTTCTCTTCTCTGATGAGTGAGTTTCAGCTGGGATTCCTAAGCGCAGACTCATGGGCAAGGGTCACAACTGAACTTCAGAGGGCCACAACCCCTTGAAATTGAATGCAAAGTCATTACGTATGTACATTCTCTAGAGAAATGTACATTGTTTCAACTTTATTCTTAAAAAGTAAGAATTAAGTTAAAAAAAAGGTAAGAATCACTGAGATAAAGGGCAATGAGACTTTTTAACTTGAGAAATACCCAAGGGGAAATGACTTTTCCCTAACCTGGTACTCTTGGCATCCTTTCCTCCAGAGTTTTCCACACTGAATTGAATTTTTTTACATAAATCTGATTACTCATCACCTATTCAACACATTCAAATTCTGTTGACACTCATGATGTTCTAAAAATCCTGTCTCCCAATACTTCCGAGTCTGCTAGTACTTGGAGTTTGCTGGAGCATTGCTGATGTTGTGGAGGTGAGGAAATAGCCCCTGCCATGGCTTTATACCATTTTATGTCTGGGGCCAACACACGCTGTGCTGCGTGTAACTCATCACAACTCTTTCAGTTTCTGGCACTCCCGTCTCACACTAGTTTAAGGGGCCTCTCTCAGGATTTAGCTCCTATTCTCAAGATGAAAACATGTATAGCTTCATAGAAGTAAGCTACAATTTTATCCTGGTATGGCTAAAATCTGCTCTTAGAGAAATTGTTATTTCCCTAAGAGATGTAAGCTGGCCTCCAACATGAACACTCAGTTTTACATGATCTCAGGATCACCATAAATGATAGTCTCTGTTTGATATGTATGATGAAATGGCTCACCTAGTAGTTTTCCCAGAACTAAGGAATAGTCCTTACCCAAATATATTTAGGTGTATACTTCTTGCAAGACATAAAATTGCTTGCATCTTTGAAAAGGCAGGTTTTCAGAAGCATCTTCCTCGTTTGTATGCCTTGAAGAAGAAATTCAGCCAGGATACCTTGGTATGGTAAGAAATATTTTTGAACAAAAGACATGTTTTTGAATCTTTTACTCTAGCTACCATTTCCCCTCACATTTAGACTGTCCCCAGAAAGTGAATTCTCTTTCTGCTTGGAAGCACTGTGCTTATAGAAGCAACCCTGCTCTGTAAATAATGCTGTAATGGTGCCACCTGTCGGGAAATAGGGACATTACAAGGGGAGCCTCAGGGAATTTATGGCTTTCACTTCAACAAGCACTATCAGATGCCTGCTAAAGTCCTGGCTCTCTGTCAAATGGTGGGTGGCAAGGAGAGAAGAGAAAGTAAATAAATAGAATGTATATGAAGAATGTAAAAAACAACTGCAATATACTCCTGACTTGTCTCCCCTGGCCTTGCTCACATACCTTTCATCCGAAGGTTAATCTTCCTAAACCAGAGCTCTGAACATTCATTCTTCTCGAAATCTGTGTGTCCCTAGTGCTTCTTAAACTAAGTTTAAAATCCAGTGGGCGTGGGGAGTCAAGGTCCTCCCTAATTAGGCCCGGAATATTTTTTAACCTATATATTTCATTTCTCAACTACATCTTCTAGACACCATCCCACCAGGTAAGAAGCCCATATCATCCCAGTCAAAGCTGGAAATGATTCCCAGGGGTATCCCAGTTTCTTTAATCCCTGAGTGAGCCATCTAAATGAGCGCCCTCTGGCCTCAATTCCGTATCTCTCAGTCATGCTTCCCAAGTGCAGTCAGATGCACATCTCCTCCAGAAAAAGGACTTCTGCAGCCTGGGCCACCTGCACCAGCCTCTCAGAGGTGTTCCCCACCTCCCCTTGCCCCTTTTCCCTCTCTCACGCTGTGAATGGGAAATCCCCAGAAATAGCATGTAAAACTTTTTGACTATGAATTTGTGCTTTTATTTCAAGGAATAGGGTTCATAATTTTCATCAAATTATTAATGAAGCCTGTAAAGTCAGAAAGGGTAACTAACTCTAGTTAAAATGTGCATGCTACTCACCATTTCCCAGAAATGCCCCTCATTTTCCTGCATCTGGTTTTCTGGTCATTCTCTTTACTTTCCTGCTCCATCATGTCTCTGTTAGTTAGAACTCTACCGGTTCTCTAAAGCCTTTCTCTAATGCTACCTCCATCATGGAGCCTTTCCTGATGTGATCTCTTCCTCCTTAAAATGTCCAAATCTTTTTCTTTGTACCTATTTGGAGCATGGTAACTGTATTTTGCCTTACTTCTATTATTCCTCATGTGCTTTTATATTCTCCCTTCTGGATTATCAGTTATCTTGAGAGCTGGAACTGCTTTCTCATTTTTATAGTCTCTGAAGTATCTATTTTATTGACTTTAAGGCACAATTGACTGTATGGCATCCTATTTTAGGTACCATTAAGAAAGGAAAAAACACTGTCAAATTATCGCTATGCTTTCTTATATTTATATTTTAAAGTTTCATTCTTAAAGAACTCTTTTAGAGTTGCTTAGAAATAGAACTTAAAAAAATCACTACTATGCACTGAAATAACTGAGTCATTATGGTATTATTTAATTTTTTTCACACTGAGTCTGACACTTGAATCACTTTTTGACTCAGAATATTTGATGTATTTTCCCATGCATTTCTATTCTCTGGGCCATTTTGAGTATTAGTGAAGTGGCATTTCTTATAAAGAAAAAAAAGTCCTCTAGTATTGTCTATGGGAAATTCTTCCAGGCTACAATACCTAGTATGCAAGTTTTAATGCTGGCACATTTTTTGATCTTGCTAGAACATGTTCAGGGAAGGTGTTCAGACAACAACTAGGACTAATATTCCTTCAAGGGTCATTAAATGGTTGATTAACTGAAACATCAAGGGATTATAGATCAGGCATGTGTAGGCAATGACAACTATGTCATGACTGCTGTGTGGCCAACAGTAATTGAAGGCTGCCATCAATTATAAGACACATTCCATTTCAGAGATGTTACAGTGTGGGGTGGGGGAAAGTCTGTCTGGAATTAGTAGTAAGGGACCTGTCTTATAATAGGCAGAAAATGTGTGTAATTGAATCTTAAGTATATAACATCTAAAGAATTATAAGATTTTAGAGCCAGGAATAAAAAAACACATGTTACCATCCCTTAGAATCTTAGAAAATGTTATTGGTGAAATAAACTTTAGTGATGATCATACAGCCATTTTATTTTTATTTATTTATTTATTTTGGATACAGTCTTACTCTATTGCCCAGGCGGGAGTGTAGTGGCACAATCTCAGCTCACTGCACCTCTGCCTCCTGGGTTCAAGCAATTCTCCTGCCTCAGCTACCCGAATAGCTTGGATTACAGGCATGTGTCACCACACCCAGCTAATTTTTGTATTTTTAGTAGAGATGGGGTTTCGCTATGTTGAACAGGCTGGTCTCAAACTCCTGAAGTCAAGCAATCTGCCCACTTTGGCCTCCCAAAGTGCTGGGATTATAAGCGTGAGCCACTGTGCCCGGCCTCATACAGCCATTTTGTATGTAACTCAGATGTCTGAAGGGAGTGCCCATGTCATTAAGAATCTGATTAAATTTGACCCAAATTTCAATTTCAAACCTGGGAAGTCCACAGCATGCCATACAATTTCTGCAGTGTCCCATAGTTTGTTTTCCTCTTGATTCTCCACATATCTCAGGCCTTAACTAACTGTAAAGCCAGCCAAGTTGTACAGTAAGAGTCATAGTGGCATTTTATGAAGGATTTAGGAAGTCTAACAACCTTTGAATTGTACAACTTTTCTTGCATAAATTCCCTTTCACAAATCTTTTCATGACTTACACAAACCACCTATCACATGCTTGGACTATCTTACTTGCCCTAAACATCCCTCTTTTTAAACAACCAGTCATTTTGCTTTAGGATAATAATTTACCATACAAGATCATTCCTTATATAAAATCTCTTTTCTTTATAACCTTCTTTGCATAGCTAGGGGGCATGGCTAATTCCACATGTCCCCAGGCCTTATCTAGAATTTAATGGCTTCAAGGTAAGTAAATTGAACAATTTCCAAAAGTCAAAGAAGCAGTTTATGACCTTAAAGCATTTAGCAAACCTAATATCTGACCTAATTTAGACCAAATGTCTAAATTTTGAAGACATTTTTATTGTATCAATAGTCTTTAAAACTGTCTTTATTTTTGAAAGTTTACCATAGTCACATGAACTAAAAGGCATTAGTTTTAATTTTTCTGAGAAAATATTTAAGTGCTTTTCTTTAAGCCAATTAATTAGAGCTCTTTTATGTAAACATTACACACACAATACATACAAATACACAGATAGAAGATCCTGTAGTTGTAAGGCTTTTCATTTGCCAGTTAAGTTTCTCTTTAAAGCAGGCAGTTTTTAATGGCTTAATAAGCAGACACAGATGGAAGGAAAAACAGATTTCCAGAAATTAAGGGTCTCATTTTTATACCAGATCCTGGATTCCAAAAAGAGGGAATCAGCCCATCCCCAATCCCTTGCATCCAACCCCTGAGTCCATGCAGGCCGCCTCAGTTTCATTCCTTATCAACTGTAAGAAGGACTCATAAAACACCCTTTCATTGGTTTCAAGAGGAACTATTACATAATCCTGCTAGGCATTTAAAATATTTTACTGTAGATTGAATAGGAAAATGGGGGTGGGTGGGGTAGGGATCCCAGGGAAAGTCCCATGAAGAAGTTTATGCCTTTAACAGGCTCCTCCACCCCATCCTTCCTTCCTTTCTTTCTGCTCCTACCTGCTTGCTCAGCATTACCAGCACACTCTCATATTTTGAGAAAAATAGTTTATTTCACATGTAGCCCTCTGGGTAGGGGAAATTTATCTTATTTTTACCCCAAGTACTTCATTAAAAAGTACAGCTTCCTTCTAAAAGAATTGCTGGTGAGCAAATATTAATTATGCCATTGTACATAACTAAGGAAATGGGTGATATGCCCAAGGTTACACAGATAATGACAGTGTTAGGAACAGAAGCCTGTTCACCTGAACTATAGAACAATTTTTTCCCATTAAATGGTACTACACCTTAATCTGCTATAAATGGTTACAATATGCTAAGGAAAGCTTATTGTGACTTGAATCCAGCTTTGAGAATAAAGAGTCAAAAAACTTTTGTATAGCAGGTGAATAATTATATCAGCATGATGGAAAAATACATACAAAAAGAGAACCATGATTGAGTGAATTTGTCAGCAAGTGTTTACCAACTGCCTGCTATGTGTCATTGAAGGCTGCAGGCACTGCTGCAGACTCCAGGAAGTCATGGTCCCTACCTTTAAGGAGCTCACAGTCTAATTATGAGGGAATAATTGAATTGGGACTGAGTGTTCTTGAATCGGGACAGAGTGCTTCTCGGAAGATCAAAGGGAAAATCTGTTTTCTATGAGCATTGCCCACTAAATTGAAAGCACTTCAATTTTAAAATGGGAATGGTGTGTGTGTGGGAGGGGCAGGTGTGTATGCAGGAGGGACAAGGTGAAATGGAGAAGTTAAAAAAATGTGTGATGTTAGCTGTGGGCTTGTAAAAATTTTTTTTTTTTAAAGGGAAGTTTAAAAATGCCAGGAAAGCCATAACATTTTATGCTACAGAGGACATCAAGTATGATACTGGAGAAAGAGCCATAGCAGAGGCAGTATCCTAGTAATTTTCTGGAAAAAGTAAGTACAATGGAGTTGGCAAAACAAAACAAAAAACCTACTTATGGCCTCCACACCAATGCACAAAATACAGGTAATATAGAATTTTAGATTTTATTCAATGAGGAAAATAAAATCTCATAAAGAAACATGGTAGGATGGGATTGACACCTGGAACCTGGCAGTGAAAAAAGGTACAATACGTTGTTCCATAGAAACAGAACTAAGTTCTGATGCGCAGCTGGGAAAGGGTTGCTGGTTATGGGACACACACCATGTGTTTGTGGGAAACCTGTTTCTGGGTCAGAAGCAGCTTCTTTGCTGTGATCTACAGAAAGTTAGCCCTTGTCCCTGGCATTTGTAAAATTCAGGAAGGAAAGAGGGAAAAAAGGGGCAGGTAAGGGATGAAGGAAGGAAAGAAAGAGACAAAAGAAAATAAGTGCAAGGAATGTAAAAACAAAAGAAAATCATAGAAGGAAAGTCAGAGTAGCCCTTTAATCACGAAGGTAGAGTCTTGTGTGGGCTTTTTATATTCTTGAGCATGGAAACAAGAAAGGAATCATTTAGGTAAAGATAAAGGAGAGGAAATAAGTCATGTCATTTTTAAAATGTGCCAAGGGCTAACAAAACAGATACATAAACTGGATTATAGATCCCAGGAGCAAATAATGAAACTGGCACAAAACCAAGTTCCAGAATCAGAGGATATGTTGTTTAATGTGAATGTCATTCCTCAGAAGGAAGAGGTGACATAGTACAGATTGCTATTCTGGATCTAATTCTGACCCACAAAGATGGAACTGATTAGTGAAATGGAAGTGAAGAAAAATCTTTGAGAGAAAGTAACCACGTCACTGAGTTTCTGGTAGCCAAGGAGATAAGGTGAAATATGTGTCCAGGGTTATGAAAAACTTGACTTCAAACAGTTAAAGGCTATGATTTTCATAGCTTGAGACTGTATGAGGGAAAAGGTTCAAAGAGGGTTAAATTCAGTCAGAACAGTGACTTTGGAATTCAGTGAAGAGGAGTGAATGGAATGCCTAGAGACCTCACCAGTGAATTCAGATTTGGAGATATCTGGCAGAGAATAAGCACAACTAAGAAAGTGGTACCCATATTTCAACGTTTTAAAAGCGCAAGTCATAAAGCAAAAGCTGGGGAGCTTCATTATTAAAAAATTAAGGATTTCTGTTCCATAAAGGGCATCATTAACGAAGTTAACGGGCAGATGGCAGAATGGAGAATATATTTGCTTTGTCTAAAACTGACAACAGTGTAATATCACCCTAAAATATGTAAGGAACGCCTGCAAATGAACAGGAAAAAGCAACCCAATTTAAAAAAAAGAAGCAAAGAATATGAACAGGCAATTAATTGCAGAGGAGAAAGCTAATAAATATATGGAAATTTACATTAGTAATCAAATGCAAATTAAACAAATAATGAGATATCACTTTATTCCTATCAAACCAGTGATTAGAAATCTAGAAAATAGCACATGTTGGCTGGGTGCAGTGGCTCATGCTTGTAATCCCAGCACTTTGGGAGGCCAAAGCAGGAGAACTACTTGACCCCAGGAGTTTGAGACCAGCCTGGGCAACACAGTGGGATCCTATTTCTACAAAAAAATTAAAAAATTAGTTGGGCATGGTGGCATGTGCCTATAGTCCCAGCTACTCAGGAGGTTGAAGCAGGAGGATCGGTTGAGCCTGGGAGGCTGCAGTGAGCCATAATTACACCACTGCACCCCAGCCTAGACAGCAGAGTGAGACTCTGCCTCAAAAAGAAAAAAAAAAAAGAAAAGAAAAGAAAAAGAAAAATTGCAAGTGTTGTCAGACGTGGAAATACAGAATCTTGCACTGCTGCAAGATTGGTTCCACCACTTTTGGAAAGCGATATGGCATTACTCGGACACATTAAACAGATTTATACCCAGTAGCCCAGCAGCAATTCCTCCCCTAAGTAACATAAAACAAATTATTTACAAGTTCACAAGGGGATTCAATGCAGGGTTATTTGTAGTAGCATGGAGTTGGAAGCAGCATGGGAGCTCATCAATGGAAGAGTGGACAGATGCATACCGCGGACTATTAGGCATCAATGTGAAGTAACAGATTAAATATTAACATCTGGCAACGTGGATGGAGCCAAAAAACAGTGCTTAGGTTAAACAAATATAAGTAATGAGACAAATATCTCAGTAGGTTTGAAGTACATTTAATAATGCATGCTCACGAAATAATAACTATGTTTAGAAAACACATAAATGGAAATATCCACATTAAGCACATTAGAAAATTGCCTATTGTAGTGAGAAAATGGGACTTGAAGGGTATAAATAAATAAATAAATAAATAAAACAAGAGGGCCTCACTGTCATGGTCTGATGATAGTATGCCATGAACTGAGGAGTATGACTAACTCAATCCTTTCAGGAACAAACAAAACTTTAAAACATAGCAAAAAAAAAAACATAAATCATAACACCACCTGAAAGATGGAATGAGGAAAAACTTGCAAAAAAGAAAACTGGCTGGGCGAGGTGGCTCACGCCTGTAATCCCAGCACTTTGGGAGGCCGGGGTTGGGGGGGGGGCGGATAATCTGAGGTCG
Organism: Homo sapiens; assembly: GCF_000001405.40. NCBI lineage: Eukaryota > Metazoa > Chordata > Mammalia > Primates > Hominidae > Homo > Homo sapiens. The sequence continues at coordinate 48,196,790 of NC_000012.12, forward strand.
GGAGTTCGAGACCACCCTGACCAACATGGAGAAACCCCGTCTCTACTAAAAATACAAAATTAGCCGGGAGTGGTGACGCATGCCTGTAATCCCAGCTACTTGGGAGGCTGAGGCAGGAGAATCTCTTGAACCAGGGACGCGGAGGTTGTGGTGAGCCGAGATCTTACCATTGCACTCCAGCCTGGGCAACAAGAGCGAAACTCCGTCTCCGACTCAAAAAATAAATAAATACATAAATACATAAATAAATAAAAAGAAAAGAAAACTGACCGCAAAATGGGCTCTTATTTTGAGCATGTACAAAACACAGGTAAGTCTGATGGTCTCGGTACATGCGATACTGTTAACAGTTGGAAGAGGGGAGAAACATTTCTGGAGGTGCTAACTGAAGTGCTTGAAATACTTTATGTTATTTAATCCTCATAACCACACTGAAGCATCGTTGCCCTAGTTAAGCCTCTTCAGCTAAGACTCTTCAGTTGCAAGAAACAGAAACCCATTTCAGACAGCTTTAAGCCAAACAACAACAACAAAAACATTTGTTATATGGGCGTAAGGTTATTTCACAGAACCCAAGAGTGAGAATGCAGCTGGGTCTTCAAGGCTGACCCAAACCAAGTGCTCCTTGAGGATCTAAATATATTTTTCATCTCCTAGATAAACCATATTTCTATATGTTAAACTGAATATTTCAGAGGAAGTCACTAATAATAGGTGTCTCGGGGGCTTCCGTGAAGGTTCAGGGCTCTGGACATTCCCACTCCACTCCTATCAGAACAGCTCTGTTTTTATTTGGTTAATACATCAGGATTCTGCCTAAGAGTTCATTGAGGAAATAGCACTACAGCACCTCCTCTGGCCAGATACTGTGCAAAGAATTACAAAATAAATCACAGACGAGTGGAGAAGATAGGAAAGTAAATACACTCTAAAACAATAAAGGAGTACAGTGACAGAAAAACGCACAGATTATTAAGGGAACTCAAAGAAAGTCTAGTAAGCCCAGAAAGGGGTAGGGCTTATGGGAGGTTTCACGGAGTGGATACCTGGAAAGGGGAGGTAAGGCAGCTCAAAGGACACTGTTGTTCAACGGAGGGAAGCGGATTCAACAATTATACAATTCGCTGAGTCGGGGCTTTCACTGCGAAAGAACTTGGCTTCGGATCCGTGATCAAGGCTGGGAGCTATGGAGGTGGATGTGATTGGCAAAGACCTCTGCTCAGGTCTGCGTCAAACCTTGCTTCGCTCCCATCCCATTCTGCGCCAATAGGGCGCAGTATCCCAACCATTCCACTCGGCTAGGAGGGGATCCTAAGCCTCAAGGTCCGCATCTCCCGCTGGAGGGACTGAGCAGCCGCACTGGTGTCCCAGAATAGATCGTGTTCCCCAGAGGTTGTCAGGTTCCCGCAATTCGGCGCGGGCGAGGCGGCCAAAGAGAGGGCGCTCATTGGCTGCCACAGCCCCGGTCCGAGAGGCCGAAGAAGGCTGATTCGTCACAGGCCGTCAGCGCGGGCCACGCCTATTTCCTCTCCAGGTTCTAATTAGGTCAGGGGCCCTACAGCCTCTTGGGTAGTTTGCAAGTGCGTCGCGGAGCCGGCCTCGGAAATATGGCGACAGCTTCAGCTTTCAGTGTGAGGGAGCCGAGGGCCCAGCCAAACCCTGCGGGAGGCAATTCCTGGGTACCCTTCCCATATTTTCGGTCTTTGGGCTGCGCCGTGGTAACCTCAGAGCCTGGTTGCGTGCTCACCAGCGACAAGTGTCTTTCATTGGGACATGAAAGGGGACTGGGAAGTGCCGTGCAGTTTCAGGGTGGTTTCTGGTTAATTACATTTTCATGGGTTTTCGCAGAGTCTGGGGGCAATTTGTGTCCTCCAGAGACCAGGGACCAGGGCCGAAGCTACGGCAGGGGAGACGCGGCCAGGGCCGTGGCTTCTAGTGCGAGCTCGGTTCGCGTCCGTTCCCGTCTGGCGCCCGGGCCTCCGGGAGCCCAGGGCCTTGAATGAGACAGTGCTCGTCCTTGAAAAAGCAGTTCTAGGTCACTCGGCCTGCTTTGCCAGCATTCCGGGCCCCAGCTCACCTTCCGCCATCCATGTTGACAACACCAGTTCTACGACGAAGCGGGCGATTCCTCTTGCCTGGAATTTCACTCGTCCCCGGTATCGAACCCCCGCCCCAATTTTCTACGTTACAACTCCAGCGTATTTTTAACGGCGCAGCCAGTATCACCTCCTTGGTATAAAGCCTGCGCTGTCCTGGACCTTCTTAGGAGTGCAGGCTTAGGAACAGGAGCTATGCTGTTCTATTATTTTTCTTTAGTTTAATTTTTTTTTTTTAGAGATGGGATCTCGCTGTGTCGCCCAGGCTAGAGTGCAGTGGCGGGATCATAGCTTACTGCAGGCTGGGGTCAAGCAATCCTCCCGCCTCAGCCTCCTGAGTGTATGGGATTATAGGCGCAGGCCTCTATGCCATTGTAAATGCTGTGGATTTTGAGTATTTGACCTCTATGAGCCTCAGTTTTTGCATCTCAACATTGAGATAATACTAGTACCTCATAAGGTTATGTGACGATTAAATGGAAAGCTCTTACAATATAAGTGCTTAATAAGTATGTTATCATATGTGCTTCCAAAGTACTTTGTGTAGGCCTTTTATAACGCTTGCCCTTTCTATTACCATTATTTGTTCTTGCCTGCCCTACTAGACTGAGATTCTCAAAAGCTGGAACTGTCTTGTTTATAATCTCAGCGTCTGTCAGTGCTGGGCAAATGTAAAGCTAAGAAATGATTTCTTAGAAAACTTTTTAAAAGCAGTCTTTCTTCTCCTTTCCCTTTCTTCCTTTCCTTCACTTTTTCCTCTTTGAGATAGGAATTTTCAAACCTAGAGAAGAAGCTGAGACCCTAGGGGGAAAGATTGGGACCTTTTTGTTGTTGTTCTCAGTGGTGACCAAAAGAGCCTTAACATTCACCTCAGCCTGACAACTTTAGACAGGTTTCTTCTGGATGTTAGGGCCCTGACCTCCCCTTTCTTTGAGTGTTTACTTTAGAAAACTTGTGATTGCAAAATTCTTCTCTGCTCCTTTGAAATGTGTATAAATCTCCTTAGAAGCTTATGCCAGTTTTACGACCTAGGGAATGTCTTTCTCAAGGACCTGTGAGCCATCCCTTTGAAATGTAATCATCAAGGAAGATAGCACCCCTATCTCTCAGTCTCTGTGGGAGGGTGGGAGCCTAACCTCCTGTGGGTGCCTTGTTTGGAATTGTAAAACTACAGCTTGTTTTGAAGATACAAGAAAGTGTCCTTTTCCTTTGCAGTTAGCAAACACAGATGTCATGTGATTTCCCGTACAGCAGCTCTTAAAAACTTCCCAGACCCTTGTTTGAGTAGTGTTGAGTTTAATCTCGTATTGCAATAGTCTTAAGGTCTTTCTTGCCTGTTTAACTTTGATGCAAATTTTGACAATGGAAATTTTAGGTTCTGCATTTATCGTTTCTTCCCAATTACAGTGGTTTCTCCTTTCTCCTTGTTAAGAAGAGCTTCTCACATCCTCTGATTTCTGGAGAAATCAATTTGGACTCAAAAGATTGGAGTTTTGTGGAGTGAAGCTACTGTTTTTGTTTTGTTTTGTTTTGTTTTGTTTTGCCTGAGATAGAGTCTCACTCTGTCACCCAGGCTGGAGTGCAGTGGTGTAATTATGGCTCACTGCAGCCTCTGCCTCCTGGGTTCAAGTGATCCTCCTGCCTCAGCCTCTCAAGTAGCTAGAATTACAAGCATGCGCTACCACGCCCAGCTAATTTTTGTATTTTTATTAGAGACGGGGTTTCACCATGTTGACCAAGCTGGTCTTGAGCTCCTGGCCTCAAGTAATCTGCCCACCTTGGCCTCCCACAGTGCTGGAATCACAGGTGTGAGCCACCACGTGCTGCCAGAAGCTACTGTTTTAAGTCATCATTGCAAAGGGTAGTGTGTGATGCGCAGGAGTGGAAAGGGCAGTACATCTATTTGAGAGCATCCCAAATGAGGTCCATTCATATTATGGAAGTGCACTGCGAAATAAAGAACAGGCCTACCCCCTTGTTTTATTATGAAGGGGTATGAGAAAAATGCAATTTTCAAAGAAAGAGAACTGCTGAGGATGTAGTACCTTCTCAAAGAAAGCTGTGTTTGGTTAAGGTGAGAAGCTAGAGGAAGCCACAGAGGGCAGGGTTACAAATTGAAAGACTTCTGCAATGGTAGAGGTAGTATGCAGAAGGGTTCCTTAAAATACAGGGATCCATGTAAGATGAGGAGGTAAGGTGGAGTAGGATTGAGGTGGAATGAAATGAAAGATGGAAGAGAAAAAGGAAGGCAGTAGGGGGAGAGGGGAGTTAATTTGGGGTATGGATAACAGGGAAGGAAATAGGTAACCTGAGAAGCTTGGTAGAGGCACTTGCCACTTGCATGGGAAGGGAAATATCATGCAGACGGTCCTGTTGCTAAAGGAAGCTAGAGGATTTAGGAGAAGGGGTTTGGCACACTGGCCTCTATCACCCATCCGTCCCCGACAACACACAACACAGACAAATTGAGTGCACTGTTGACATTTAGTATCATTCTCCCCCCATGACTGGTGGAAGCTAAGAAGATGAAGTTCAGGGTGCTGATCTTTTTTTTTTCTTTAACTGACTTTTCTTATGTGAGTACTTACCCCTAGTTCCCTCTTTCTTCCCTTCCCTTCCCTCCCTCCCTCCTTCCCTCCCTTCCTTCCTTCCTTCTTCTTCTTCATTTTTTTTTTTTTTAATGAGACAAGGTCTTGCTGCGTTGCTCAGGCTGGAGTGCAGCAGTGCTATCATTGCTCGTGCAGCCTTAACCTCCCAGGCTCAAGCAATCCTCCCACCTCAGCCTCCTCAGTAGCTGGGACTACAGGCATGTGCCACCACACCCAGTTCATTTTTTAAATTTTTTGTAGAGATGGGTCTCCCTATGTTGCCCAGGCAGGTCTCAAACTCCATCCTCAGCCTCCCAAAGTGCTGAGATTACAGTCATGAGCCACTGCGCCCAGCCCTTTTTTTCTTGCTTCTTTACCTACTTTTCACAGGAATTGGGTAGATGAGGGTAGACCCAGGAAGTGAGAGTGGAATTTGAGAAAGAAAAACAGTAAAATGAAGAGCTGAAAAATAAAAGAGTTTATTTCTAAATGTATGTACGAAACTCAGGTTGGGGGACTAGCATGTAAAGGTATATACAAATAAAATGGAGTTAAGTGCACTTATTTATTGAATCCTGTTGTGAGAACTTAAGAGGAAAAGAAACTGAGGAAAAAAACTAAGGAAAATCCGAAATTCTCCCGAGGAAGGTCCAAGAAAAAACAATGTGGAAGTGAAGTCAGAGAGATAACATCAGGACATTGGACATCAGGAGGAACTTTCAGGTCTGATTCTAGTGCCAAGGAAGCCATGAACGCTCTTTCCTGGAGCCTTTCAGCATAGGAGAGTTACTCATCTGCCAGGGCTGGGGATGGGGTAACTCTCCCATTCCCCAGGTGAAGGAGCTTTCCTTTCAGGGCCTTCCTGCTAGACAGACTGTGGCTGGGCCAGCCTGGTTCTTCCAAGTGCCCTCACCATGGCCTCCTTAATTTCCTTGTTGCGGAAACTATAAATGATGGGGTTGCACATGGGGGTAATGATGGTGTACAGGAGGGAGAAAGGTTTGTCTTTGTCAGGCCCATGTGTGCTGTGGGGGTTCATGTAAGAGAACATAGCTGAAGTGTAGAGAAAGATGACCACAGTCAGGTGAGAGGCACAAGTAGAGAAAGTCTTCCCCCGACCTGAGGAGGAGGCTTTGCTGAGGATGGTGGCCAGGATGTGCACATAGGAAGTGACAGTGAGCACCATGGGGCTGAGAATTACCACGATGGCATCGGCAAAGATTGCCCACAGACTAAACTGAGGGTCCCCACAAGAGAGGCCAATCACTATGGGGGCCTCACAGAAGAAGCTTTCTATGTGGTTGTCTCTGCGGAAGGGCTCTCGGAATGAAATATACTCGAGAAAGATGCCATTGATCAGCCCAAAGAACCAGGCAGTTCCCACAAGCCTGACACAGACCTTCTGGCTTATGATCGGGACATAGTTAAGTGGGTAGCAGATAGCAACATAACGGTCATAGGCCATGAAAGCCAAGAGGATGCACTCGGCCACACCAACACAGAAGACAAAGTACATCTGGGTCATGCAACATACAAAGGAGACAATGTGGTCCCTGACCACGAGGTGGATCAACATCTGTGGGATGGTAGTGGTGATGAAGCAGACATCCAGGAGAGACAGATGGCCGAGGAAGAAGTACATGGGGCTGTTGAGCTTGGGGTCTGTCCAGGAGGTGATAAAGATGATGAGGCCATTCATGGCCATGGTGAGGCTGTAGAGGGCCAAGAAGAGGGCAAAGAGCAATGCTCGTGTGGAAGTGGAGCTCTGCTGAAAGCCCACGAGGATAAATTCCGTCACTATGCTGCCATTCCTTAGCATCTGGGGCCTGTTTGAGGAGGAAAGATGATGGGAAAAGCACAAGGGTATAGCTGTGGGGTAATAGAAGGTACCCACTTGGTCCCAGAAGCCCAATTATAAAACAGGATGGATGAATGGTGGTCAACCTTTTGGAACTTAGTAAACTAGTAATTTGGCAGTGTTACGGGGTGGTGAAAATGCCAGGGTCATCACAGGCTGCATACATAGAATCATAATATCAACAGATGAAGAAAGTGCTGGTTGTAATGTTCTTTACTCTGGTTTCATCAGGCATCAAGTGAAGTATTGCATCTGCTCCAGAGCCCTCAATATTGAAGGATTAGCCATTAACCAGGATGTATTCAGAGGTGAAAAAATAAGATAATTGGGTCTGGGACCATGCCAACTGAGGAAAAGTTTTAGGAATTGAAGAATGGAGTGTGTGAGGGAAAGGGCTGGTGGCTATCAGGTTATAGAAGATTGTATTTAGGAAGCACTTGAGATATTTGAAGGTGTATTTTTCTAGAAGCAAAAATGCTCAACCTCTGTGTACCTAATTTAAAATGATGAATGGGTTGAAGTTTCAGGGAAAATAAAAACATTCTAATCCTCACAATTGTCCCTCAGCTAACAGTGATTTGCACCTTTTTGGAGACAGTCATGTCAAGCTCTTCCCAGTCACCCACCTCTTCCCAGACTCACTCGCCCAGCAGTTGCTGCTGCTACCGCAGCCACCCATGCTGTGCATGCTGGAGCTGAGGGCTGGGTGGGGGCTCATGCATGCCTTCCTAATAGGAGATGGTTTTCCTCCTGGGGCTGGAATTTACGGTTACACACAATTGGGTGGAAAGGATCCAACCATCCCTGTGTGAAAAGGGAAGCTATGAGCAGGGCATATATCTAACCTTTCTAGAATGGACCTTCAGAGAACTTTCAACTGTCTCTTTGTCTCTGGCAACAAATCTTGTTCTTTTTCCATTTTCAAAGAATGAGCGGTCACAATTCTTATGCTCTTATCTCTCTATTGTAACTTTTAGGAAGTTGTTATGTTCATATTAAGTCTGTCTTATACTTTTCATGTTGTTTTGGAGCTAAGATGTATCAGATCCCTTCCACCTTCAGATGCTTATACTTTTTTTTTTTTTTTTAAGAATTTATAGAGACAGGTACTCACTATGTCACCTGTGCTGGTCTTGAACTTCTGGCTTTAAGTGATTCTCCTGCCTTGGCCTCCCAAAGTGCTGGGATTACAGATGTGAGCTACTGCACCCATCCTCATCTTCAGATGCTTATAGATGATAAGTATATTCCTGCTTAACTTTCAGTTCTGCCAACCATTTCTCTTTATTTTCTCCTCTCCTACTCTCTTTTCTACACACTCTCACACTACCCTCTGTTAGTCTTTTTTCGTTTTTCAGTCTACTTCCAATCCTCATTCTTCTCCCTCTCCTTTTCTCATTTGTGGTGTTGGTTGCCTGCCGTTTATCTTACTCTGGTCAAACTCCCCTGTCTTCTCCATGTCTCTCAATCTCACATATTCTCTATCTGGATTTAGAGCTACCTACCCTTTCACTGCCACTCCTTGCAGCTCTAGATTCCCTCTAGGTATGATTTGATGTTAGGTCAAGGTAGCGTCTGGGCAGTAGGCTATTCCCATCATCTTTACTTTGGGATACTTTTCTTGTGCCTAGGACTTCTCTTGGGGGCCCAGAAAGGGAAGGGAAGGGCAGAGAGCACTGTTTAAGATGTTTCTTGGAAGACTGTGCTCAATGGACATGTTGGGGCTTAGGTCACAGTCTGGGGAAAACAAGTCAGTGAGCTACCTCCAGAAAAGCCTGGGATTTGTCTAAGAATAAACTGAGGTTAGACCTGAGGAATTACTTGGTCCTACTGGAGGATAAATGCTTACCTGTGGTTTATTGTGCCAGAAAGAATTCTGTGATACCCAGCATTTAGTGCCTTGCTAGCTACCATTAGAGGTTACTAGGTGAAGGATTTGTCTAAATAAATGGGACAATTTCATGGAAATCACATCCTACCTCATTCTGTTGCTTGGCTGATAATGATGTTTGTCACTGAATCAAGTAACAAGTAACAGAAAACATCTCATAGTGTTTGAAGAGAAGCTGGTCCAAGTAGGATCATCTGACCTGGCAGGCCACTCTGGAAGAGAAGGTGTGTCTGATGACTTTGTTCTTTGACATCTATACTATTAGAGATGAATGTCTACTTAAATGACATTGATAAGTTTCATGTGTATACACTTAATAGTAGAGGTGTGAAAACTTACATGCCCCTCGAAGAAGTGAAAGATGTGCCACCCCCAAATATACCAGACTGGTACATTATTATTATTATTTTGAGATGCAGTCTCGCCCCGTCGCCCAGGCTGGAGTACAATGGCACGATCTCAGCTCAAAGCAACCTCCGCCTCCCGGGTTCAAGCAATTCTCCTGCCTCAGCCTGCTGAGTAGCTGGGATTACAGGCGCGCACCACCACGCCTGGCTAATATTTTTGAATCTTTAGTAGAGATGGGGTTTCACCCTTTTGGCCAGGCTTGTCTCGAACTCCTGACCTCATGATCCACCTGCCTTGGCCTCCCAAATATTGATTATTTTGTGTTAAAAACACTGAAGGCCGGGCGCGGTGGCTCATGCCTGTAATCCCAGCAGTTTGGGAGGCCAAGGCGGGCAGATCACCTGACTGTAAGGTCATAAACAAGCTTAGGTAACCATTATTTAAGATTTAAGATTTTATTTAAGATTATATTAAGGGTGGTACAGTAAAGCTGGAAAAGAAAAAATGGTATAAGAAGTAGAAATGAAAAACAAAACTCTATTTACAGATGATATGATTGTCTTCATAAAAACTAAAAGGATGCACAAATAATTTATTAAAATTAATAGAATTTAACAAGTTTACTGGATACAAAATCAATATGCAAAAATCTAATTGCAATTCTGTTACCAGCAAACAAATTAGAAAATGTAATTTTAAGATACCATTTTAAATACTATGCAAAGTATATAAAAAATGAAAACCATATGATCATCTCAATAGATGCAGAAAAACTTTTGATAAAATCCAATATCTCTTCATCATAAAAACTCTCAGTAAACTAGGCATCAAAGGAACATATCTCAAAATAATAAGAGCCATCTATGACAAACCAACAGCCAACATCGTACTGATTGGGCAAAAGCTGGAAGCATTCCCCATGAGAACTGGAACAAGACAAGGATGCCCCTCTCATCACTCTTATTCAACAGAACTGGAAGTGCTAGCCAGAGCAATCAGACAAGAGAAAGAAATGAAAGGTATCCAAATTAAAAAAGAAGAAGTCAAACTATCATTCTTCACAAATGATATGATTCTATACCTAGAAAACCCTAAAGACTCACTGAAAGGCTCCTAGACTGATAAGCAACTTCAGCAAAGTTTCAGGATACAAAATCAATGCACAAAACTCAGTAACACCTCTCCACACCATAACATTCTAGCTGAAAGCCAAATCAAGAATGCAATCCCATTTACAATAGCTGCAAAAAAAAAATAAAATACCTAGGAATGCACCTAACCAAGGAGGTGAAATATCTCTACAGGAAGAACTACAAAACACCACTGAAAGAAATCGTGGATGACACAAACAAATGGAAAAACATTCCATCCTCATGGATTGGAAGAATCAATATCATTAAAATGGCCATACTGGCCAAAGCAATCTATAGATTCAATGCTATTCCTATCAAACTACCAATGTCATTTTTTGTAGAACTAGAAAAAAACTATTGTAAAATTCATATGGAGCAACAATAACAAAAAAGCCCAAGTAGCCAAAGCAATCCTAAGTAAAAAGAACAAAGCCAAAGGCATCATACTACCCAACTTCCAACTATACTACAAGGCTACAGTAATCAAAACAGCATGGTACTGGTACAAAAACAGACACATAGACCAATGGAACAAAATAGAGAACCCAGAAATAAAGTTGCACACCTGCAGCCATCTGATCTTTGACAAAGTTGACAAAAATAAGCAATGGGGAAAGGACTACCTATTCAATATATAAAGCTGGGATAACTGGCTAGCCATATGCAGAAGAATAAAACTGGACCCCTACCTTTTACCATACACAAAAAGTAACTCAAGATAGATTACAGATTTAAATATAAGACTTCAAACTATAAGAACCCTAGAAGAAAATCTAGGAAACACCATCCTAAACATTGACCTTGGGAAGGAACTTATGACTAATTCCTCAAAAGCAATTGCAACAAAAACAAAAATTAACCGGTGGGACCTAATTAAACTAAAGAGCTTCTGTATAGCAAAAGAAACTATCAACAGAGTGAACAGACAACCTCCACAATGGGAGAAAATATTCACAAACTATGCATCCAACAAAGGTCTAATATCCAGAATCTAAAAGGAACTTAAGCAATCCAATTAAAAAAAAAAGTCATTAAAAAGTGGGCAAAATACATGAATAGACATTTCTTTTTTTTTTTTTTTTTTGAGACGGGGTCTCGCTCTGTCTCCCAGGCTGCAGTGCACGATCTCGGCTCACTGCAAGCTCCGCCTCCTGGTTCCTGCCATTCTCCTGCCTCAGCCTCCCGAGTAGCTGGGACTATAGGTGCCTGCCACCACACTGGGCTAATTTTTTTGCATTTTTAGTAGAGAGGGGGTTTCACCGTGTTAGCCAGGATGGTCTCGATCTCCTGACCTCGTGATCCGCCCACCTCGGCCTCCCAAAGTGCTGGGATTACAGGCGTGAGCCACCATGCCCAGCCTAGACACTTCTTAAAAGAACACATACAAGCAGCCAACAAATATTTTAAAATGTTCCACATCACTAATCATCAGAAAATGCAAATCAAAATGATAATGAGACATCATCTCACACCAGTCACTATGGCTATTATTAAAAAGTCATGAAATAACAGATGCTGTTGAGGTTGTGGAGATACCTCAACAATTGTTGGTGGGAATGTAAATTAGTTCAGCCACTGTGGAAAGCAGTTTGGAGATTTTTTAAAGAACTTAAAACGGAACTACCATTCGACCAAGTGATCCCATTACTGGGTATATATCCAAAAGAAAATAAATCATTCTACTGAAAAGACACATGCACTCATGTGTTCACTGCAGCACTATTCACGATAGCAAAGACATGGAATCAACCTATGTGCCCATCAACGGTGGACTGGATAAAGAAAATGTGGTATATATACACCGTGGAATACTATGCAGATATAAAAGAGAACAGAGTTATGTCCTTTGCAGCAACATGACACAGCTAGGGTCCATTATTCTAAGTTAATTAATGCAGGAACAGAAAACCAAATACTGCATGTTCTTACTTATAAGTGGGAGCTAAACATTGGGTATTTATGTACATAAAGATGGCAACAATAGAAACTGGGGACTACTAGATGGGGGAGGGAGGGAGGGGGGCAAGGGTTGAAAAACCACTGGGTACTATGCTCAATACCTAGGTGATGGGATCAGTCATACCCCAAACCTCAGCACCATGCAATATACCCAGGTAACAAACCTACACCTGTACACCATAAATCTAAAATAAAAGTTGAAACAAAAATAAATAAATAATACTGTGCAAACTATGAAGTACCTAAGAATAATTCCAATGTAAAGGGCAATTCTTCATCCCCATCAAGCTACCAATGACTTTCTTCACAGAATTGGAAAAAACTACTTTAAAGTTCATATGGAACCAAAAAAGAGCCCGCATTGCCAAGACAATCCTGAGCCAAAAGAACAAAGCTGGAGGCATCACACTACCTGACTTCAAACTATACTACAAGGCTACAGTCACCAAAACAGCATGGTACTGGTACCAAAACAGAGATATAGATCAATGGAACAGAACAGAGCCCTCAGAAATAACGCCCCATATCTACAACTATCTGATCTTTGATAAATCTGAGAAAAACAAGCAATGGGGAAAGGATTCCCTATTTAATAAATGGTGCTGGGAAAACTGGCTAGCCATTTGTAGAAAGCTGAAACTGGATCCCTTCCTTACACCTTATACAAAAATCAATTCAAGATGGATTAAAGACTTAAATGTTAGACCTAAAACCATAAAAACCCTAGAAGAAAACCTAGGCATTACCATTCAGGACATAGGCATGGGCAAGGACTTCATGTCTAAAACACCAAAAGCAATGGCAACAAAAGCCAAAATTGACAAATGGAATCTAATTAAACTAAAGAGCTTCTGCACAGCAAAAGAAACTACCATCAGAGTGAACAGGCAACCTATAAAATGGGAGAAAATTTTCGCAACCTACTCATCTGACAAAGGGCTAATATCCAGAATCTACAATGAACTCAAACAAATTTACAAGAAAAAACAAACAACCCCATCAAAAAGTGGGCGAAGGACATGAACAGACACTTCTCAAAAGAAGACAATTTATGCAGCCAAAAAACACATGAAAAAATGCTCACCATCACTGGCCATCAGAGAAATGCAAATCAAAACCACAATGAGATACCATCTCACACCAGTTAGAATGGCAATCATTAAAAAGTCAGGAAACAACAGGTGCTGGAGAGGATGTGGAGAAATAGGAACACTTTTACACTGTTGGTGGGACTGTAAACTAGTTCAACCATTGTGGAAGTCAGTGTGGCGATTCCTCAGGGATCTAGAACTAGAAATACCATTTGACCCAGCCATCCCATTACTGGGTATATACCCAAAGGATTATAAATCATGCTGCTATAAAGACACATGCACACGTATGTTTATTGCGGCATTATTCACAATAGCAAAGACTTGGAACCAACTCAAATGTCCAACAATGATAGACTGGATTAAGAAAATGCGGCACATATACACCATGGAATACTATGCAGCCATAAAAAATGATGAGTTCATGTCCTTTGTAGGGACATGGATGAAATTGGAAATCATCATTCTCAGTAAACTATCGCAAGAACAAAAAACCAAACACCACATATTCTCACTCATAGGTGGGAATTGAACAATGAGAACACATGGACACAGGAAGGGGAACATCACACTCTGGGGCCTGTTGTGGGGTGGGGAGGCGGGGAGGGATAGCACTGGGAGAAATACCTAGTGCTAGGTGATGAGTTGGTGGGTGCAGCGCACCAGCACGGCACATGTATACATATGTAACTAACCTGCACATTGTGCACATGTACCCTAAAACTTAAAGTTTAATAATAATAAATACATAAATAAATAAATAAATAAATAATTTTAAAAAAGGCAATTCTTTTTGTTTGTTTGTTTTTTGAGATGGAGTCTTGCTGTGTTGCCCAGGCTGGAGTGCAGTGGTGCGATCCTGGCTCACTGCAACCTCCGCCTCCCAGGTTCAGGTGATCCTCCTGCCTCAGCCTCCCAAGTAGCTGGAATTACAGGCATGTGCAAACATGCCCAGCTATTTTTTTTTTTTTTTGTATTTGTAGTAGAGACAGGGTTTCACCATGTTGGCCAGGCTGGTCTCGAACTCCTGACCTCAGTCATCCTCCCACCTCAGCCTCCCAAAGTGCTGGAATTATAGGTGTGAACCACCACGCCCAGCCAGAAAAGGCCAGTTCTTTGAATGTCATTAGAGAAAATCTAAATAAATGGAAATACGTGTAGACATACTTCACGGAATATCCATAAAGCTAATGATTCTTCACCCTGATAGCTCCAAGAGTTATTCCACTTTTAGGACAACTCTTTTTTGGTATAATTATTTTTTCACCCCAAACACACTAAATAAATACACTGTAAGAGTGATATTTCAACATTACAGTGTCAGATTAAAAACATACTAATTTTCTTCATACAGTCCTCTCTAGGAAGAGAATATTATTTGGAACAATTTGAATTGCCCATCATATTTGTGTTGGAATTTTGTCAATAAAATGCTCTGGATCACAGATTTTATGGAAGTGAGCAGTGAAATAAGCTTCCTACTTAGCATACCAATTAGTGGTATAGAAATAGATGCTTTTAAAGTGCTTGAAGAGTTTGCTTTTCTCAGGCACTTTTGAGTGGATATATGAAGGATCATCAGACATCTTGTACTGCAAAGGTCAATTTCCTGATGCCTAGCTTTTCTGTCTTATGTACAAACTGAATTATGCTACCAAAATGTCCCAGTTAGATTAGATTTGGTCAGATCCAAATTGGGAATGGTGGAGAAGGTATTCTTGTATTGTAGAATGGGAAGAAAAAGCCATCTTACCAACATGTAGAATGAATCAGGACACAAGCCTCATAAATTTATAAATTCAGTTTTAAAGCAGTCCAAGTATTTATTTATTTGTTTTTTCTTCTTTTTTCTGAGACAGGGTCTCAGTCTGTTGCCCAGGCTGGAGTGCAGTGGCATGATCATAGCTCATTGCAGCTTCAAACTCCCAGGCTCAAGTAATCCTCCTGCCTCCGCCTCCCAAGTAGCTAGGACTGCAGGCACCTGCCACCACATCCAGCTTTTTTTTTTTTTCAGTAGAGACAAGATTGTGCTATCTTGCCCAAGCTGGTCTCAAACTCCTGAGATAAGTAATCCTCCCACCTCAGCCTCCCAGAGTGCTGGGGTTATAGGTATATACCACCGCACGTGGCCCCAAGTATTTCAAGAGAAGAAAGGAAGGACTGCAGAGAATTGAGGGAGGGAGAGAATAACTGAACTTCTCTGGGTTATGCAGAATTTAAATGGTAGATAATTTAGTACTGGGCCGAACTTTGGAAAAACAGTGGGTAGGTCGGGGAAAGAAGGGTATACAGATCTGAAGAAGAAAATTGTGATAATGAAGAGGTAGAGAGGATGGGGGTTAGGAGGGGAGCAACTTATCAAATATATGCTCCATTGGACAGATCTTTTGTCTGTCTGTTTACCACTTTATCAGCAGTACTTAATAAGGTCCCTGGCACTGAGTGGGGCTCAGTCAATATTTGTTGTTGTGTTGAGCATAGTATACTGATATAACAAATATTTAATTAGGGGCACAAGAAATGGCAACTAAGTCAGCACATACTCTAGCTAGAAAATTAATTCAAAATAAAATTAGAAAATGGGTGGACAAAAGTTAAAGTGTTCCCAGATTTGAAGCTGAGGGCACAAGGATCATGATATATGCTAGGCTTCCTTATCTATCCAGTCATCTGGTAATGGTAATAGAAATTTCCCAGGGAAACCTGGAACTGCTCTAGACCTTCCTGGGCCACATGCCATGGACAGGGCCTCACGAGGGAACCTTGGAAAGGACTGGTTCAAAACTATCCCCCGGGTTGGAATGGTCAGGCTTCAAGAATAGACAGTTGGTCTTATTACAGTAACCAGTTAGAAGCTCAAGCATGCTTCTCTCTCTCTCTCTCCCTCCCTCTCTCTCTCTCCCCACCTCCCCCCCGCCGTGTGTGTGTGTGTGTGTGTGTATGTGTGTGTGTGTGTGTGTGTGTGTGTGCGCGCGCGCGCGCGCACTCAAGTGAGGAATGGGGAAGGAGGGTGGAGGAAGGAGCTTGTAAATGAGCAGCTGGTTTGCAGCAAAACCGCACCTCACTCTGCACCTTTGGATCCCTCTCAGCCTGAGGTTAGCACAGCCAATGTCCTCACCAGCGTCTGCCAAAGCCCATGGAGAAGGTCAGTGAATTCACTCACTTCTGCTGTGATAGCCGCCCCTGCCTCTGGACATCCCTGGAGATTAACACTCATGGCTCCCTCAGGAACAGCCCATGTTCAGATCACAACAGGACTCTCCACACAGCAGGCACTGGGGAGCTGTCACAAATCTTGACTCCGTTAACCCCCCTCTGCTCTGTTTCTCCTTCTCTAAGCTCGCTGTGGTCCCAACTTCCTCCGAGTAGTCACTTCTTCCTCTGCAGCTCCCCTCCGTGTTTCCATCAGGACATCAGTGTGCCCACCTGCCCTGTTGGCTTGGGCTAAGGGAAGATGCCTTGGATGTCACTGAGCGTGGTTTGCAGAGGCCTGTTTCTAATGGCTGGGGATGAGGAGACAAACCAGAGGGTCAGCCTCTTGTTCCCAGAACTTGGGAGGCACCTGGTTCCTTGGTTTTGAGTCCACGTTACCAGACACATGCCCAGCAGGCCTGATCAGCTTCTCAGTCACTTTTCCATGTTTGGCTTTTAGTGCCCTCTTTTTTTTTTTCTGTCTCTAGTTTGGTGTTCATGGTGACTGTGTCTTTAGATGTGTTTCTCTGTATAAACCTATTATATTTTCACACTCTTTTCCAGTCTCCCTATATTTCAGTCCCTCTAGTTCTTTCTTTGGCTTTAACATTTTTCTTTCCTTTTTAGAGAGAAGAGATCTTTCCCCCTGTGTCTGTCTCTCTGATTACTTCTCTCATTTATTTTCTTTCCTTTTTTTGAACCTTCGTCTTTATGTTTGTGCATGTCAGTATTTTCTATTTATCTGGGATTTTTCTTTCTTGTTCCCGGGGGAAAGGGAGTCAGAGAAGTAACTCAAGGATGGTCCTCTCTTAGAGACTGATACAGAGCATGAGTTCCACATTTGTTTACAATGTTTCTGGGAACCAGATTAGGAGAAAAGGTGAAGGCTGAGTTAGATGTAAATAATTTCCTGGCATTGAGAAGCCGGAAACATGAGGATGGATTCGAAAGGGCAGGTGAGACCCTCTCCTCTCTCTGGGTTTCTGCAGAAGCAGTTGGGCTTACAAGTGGAAGCCTGGCCAAGTCTGTACAATCTTCCTTCCATAGGTGAAGTGAAACCACAGGGAGACAGACAAGAAACAGAGATCAGAACTAATGTTTGTTGTCTATCTGTGTAAGCCACTAATCATGTATTATTTTAGTTAATCCTCATTTTGTAGGAGAAAAACTTGAGACTCAGCTAGCTGACTCCCATTGAGTAAATGGCAATGCCGAGGCTGAATTTCAGGTATGCCGGTCTCCGAAGTCCCTCTACGTTACCCTGTGCCATGCCTCACTGCTTCTCTGTAAAATGATGCACTTTCAAGTCTGTGTGTTTTTAATGTGTTTATACATCAGCTTTACAAATCATTTTTAAACTATTACGTCTGAGGAAAAAAAGGATTAAGTCTGCAAAGGAAAAAAATATTTTACAAATCATTTAGCTTGAGATAACAAAGCCATTTTACCTTGTACCCCCAGTCTGACTCAAAGTAAGACTGTGAATTCTTTTTTTAATTGGCAAAAGAATTATATATATTTATGGTGTAAAATATGATGTTTTAATATATGTATACATTGTGAAATGACTAAATAAAGCTAATTAACATATCCATTACTTCACATACTTATCATTTTTGTGGTGAGAACACTTAAAATCTACTTTCTTAGCAATTTTCAAGAATATATTAATACCTTGTTATTAACTAGTCATCATGTTGTACAATAGAGCTCTTGAAATTATTCCTCCCATCTAACTAAAAGTTTGTATCTTTTGACCAACATCTCCCCAGTCCTCACTCCCTACCAGCCCCAGGTAACCACAATTCTACTCTCTGTTTCTGAGGTTGACTTTTTAACATTCCACATATAAGTGAGATCATGTGGTATTTGTCTTTCTGTGTCTGGTATATTTCATTTAACATCACATCCTCCAGGTTCATCCATGTTGTTGCAAATAACAGAATTTCCTGGTTTTTTTCTAAGGCTAAATAGTGTTCCATTGTATATATATACCACATTTTCTTTACGCATTTGTCCATTGATGGACACTTAAGTTGATTCTCTATCTTGGCTACTGTGAATAATGCTGCAAAGATTGTGACAGTGCAGAGGTCTCTTTGACATACTGATTTCGTATCTTTGGATATATCATATGGTAGTTCTAATTTTAATTTTTTGAGGAACCTCTATAATATTTAAGAAATGACAATACCAATTTACATTCCCACCAACAGTGTGCATGTATTCCCTTTTCTCCACAACCTCACAACACTTATCTTTTGTCTTTTTGCTAATAGGTGTGAGGCAATATCTCGTTGTGGTTTTAATTTGCATTTCCCTGATGATTCGTGATGTTGAGCATTTTTTTCATATACCTGTTGGCCATTTTTTGTGTTCTTTTAAGAAATGTCTATTCAAGTCCTTTTGCCTATTTTTAAATTCAGTTGTTTTCTTGCTATTGAACTGTTTTGAGGTTTTGAATCTCATAAATACATAACTATTCACCTCTTAAAAAACATCTATTTCATAATCCAGGACTCTCAGTGTGTTTCAAATTTTTCTCTTCTGTGCCTTATTGCTATAGAGGATAGTACTAATTCTCTCTGTTAGGAATTCTCTCTCTCTCTCCTTCCCTTTCTCTCTCTCTCTGTGTGTGTGTGTGTGTGTGTGTGTGTGTGTGTGTGTGTGTGTCTTTCTCTCTCATATCTCTCATTCTTTCCCTTTCTTCTCTAAGCTATTTAGAGTTAGTCCAATTTTTTTCAGGCATTTAAAATAGCAAAATAGCTCAGATTAATCAATGCCATGGAACAGCTGAAGTTATTATCCAGTCCACTGATGTGTCGTGGTTCTTCTTGATTACTAAGTTCTTTTGAACATACACACAGAGGAGCATTATCATGGATAGCTTTGCATATCATTTTCTCTGTCTTTCCCTTAGATTTCTGGTTATTTTACTCTTTGTTTAAATCCCCATATTGAAGGTGACTGTGAGAAGGGGGAGGAGCAGCAAATCTCGTCTGGTTTTTGTTATAGCTTTTCTAGTGGAATAGTAGATTCACTTTAGGGCTCAGCTGGAGAAGGGATAGGGATCATGGAAGGCGATCATATCTTATGATATGGAGGGAGGCACAATACGGAATTAAAACCTCCACTATAAAATTAGGATGAGGTTATTTTTGGTATTTTCATTATTTATTATGTCTTCTGTGGAGTCCTAATTAGGGAAAAGGAGTCAGGCTGGCAGGACCAAGGGAAAGCAAAAAAAGAAAGCAGATACCTTTCTTCGTGGTCCAGGACATATAGCCCTCCTGCACAAATAACTCGCAATCTTCCTGTACCCAACTATTACCAGACACCCTGAAGTTAGTTCACTGCAACCTTGGCATTATCAGCACTGCACAAAGCTCTTTTCAGCATACAGCATAAACTCTATTCTATA
The DNA here is from genome assembly GCF_000001405.40 of Homo sapiens. NCBI lineage: Eukaryota > Metazoa > Chordata > Mammalia > Primates > Hominidae > Homo > Homo sapiens. The sequence goes on from NC_000012.12 coordinate 48,216,367, forward strand.
ATATAAACTCTCCAGCCAAGCCTGTTTCTTTGCAGTCAGCTTCTCTCATGCTGATACTGCCAGTTGCCTCTCTGGCAAAATATTTTCCTACTTTCTCTAGTAAATCTGCCTTTCTGTACCTACAATTAATTCTCTTGGTAAATTCTTTTACCCCTGCACCATCGGCTCAGATAGTTGTCTCTCCCCCATAACATCTCCCTTTAATGCAGACCAATAAGAAGGACCTTCCAGGACAGTTTGTGCCTTACACTTATTTTGTAGATCACAGGGATGTCTCATCACAGGGGTCTGGCATGCCAAGTCTGGATACATTCATAATACTTGGCCTTGGTTAGGCATCTTCAGGGGCTGCAGGTACTTCAGAGATCCTCACTTTCAGAGGGATATGGAGAAACTGAAGTGGATATGGTAGCAAAGAGGTGAATGGAGCAAAGTGAAGGCAGAAAAAACTGGGAGGGAAGCAATGAGAGAATTTAGAACACTTCTACAATTTAACTTAAATCTGTTGCAAGGCAAGGCACCATTAAAGGCAAACTACTCACTGTCCATCTTGCTGAAGAAAAGGGAAATGGGAATGAACTTAAAATAGAAAAGAAGGGAAATGGACAGGCCTGTAGAAGCACTTCTGAAGTGGGTTTGTGCAACATTGGAATGAGTTGCTACATTGCAACAGACTTGTCAAGCAGAGGCCTCCAGGAACTCTCACTAAGGCTTAGTTGCCCTTCATTAAAAGTCATTTACATCTGTCTTGCAAATGCCTCCCCAAACATGGGTCCACATGCTTTTGTCTCCACAACTTCATTAGGAAATACATGGCAAAACTTTATTGCTTGTTGTTTCCCGATTTTATTCCTAGCAGATATGTCTTAGTGAAAATCACAGAGTTCTGAGTTCTCAAATTTTAAAATCTTTAAAAATACCGTAATTCCAGGGCTTTCTGGGTTATATGTAAAATCAGATGGAGAAACAGCTTTTTTTTTTTTTTTTCTGGCCATTTAAGGATAGAGTAAGGGGCTGACCTTATGTTTCTAATGATGGGGCTGGTGCTAGGTCAGAGAGGTCTGGCGGACAAGGGCTCTGAGTTTTTATTTTACTTTATTTTATTTTATTTTATTTTATTTTATTTTATTTTATTTTATTTTATTTTTTGAGACAGAGTCTTGTTCCGTCACCCAGGCTGGAGTGCAGTGGTGCGATCTCAGCTCACTGCAACCTCTGCCTCCTAGGTTCAAGCAATTCTCTGTTTCAGCCTCCCCAGAAGCTTGGATTACAGGCACCCACCACCATCCCCAGCTAATTTTTTGTATTTTTAGTAGAGACGGGGTTTCACCATCTTGGCCAGGCTGGTCTTGAACTCCTGACCTCGTGATCCGCCTGCCTTGGCCTCCCAAAGTGCTGGGATTACAGGCATGAGCCACCACGCCTGGCCAAAGCGCTCTGATCTTACAGGGACTTTTGCTGTGGGCTGTTCTTTTTTGATTTCTCTCTTTTTGCTCCTGGTGAAGGGTCTCAGTGTAGTTTCATCTCTTTCTAGCATTCCTGATGCAAAACACCTACCCAACCAGATGCAATTACTTGGTTCTCTCCTTGCACAAATAGGCAGCTGAATCTTACAAATGACACTGCAACTTGTGCATTCACCCCTTATCTATCTGGTTCTGGGTAACCCTGGTCTCACTAATAAGGAACTCTGGAAGATCCTGGTTGAGCTTGTATTTTAGCAGGCCTACTTCCAGGGCTCATTCCTCATTGATTCCTAAAGCTGGTCATCTTATCTGTATTTTTGAATGAATAAACGTCCTTTCTTTGCTTTTATTAGTCTGATTTCTAAATTTTATTAGTTTTCCCATTTAATGAAAACATACACATTCTCTTATTTTTAGTTAACAAAGAGAAATTGATTTACCACTTTAGGGCAAACTATGTGCTCTCTGGGCTAGAATCAGGAGGGTGGATGGTTTTGCCTTCTTCCTATAGACTGCCTGTTGATTTAATCTTACTTGACCAGGGAAATTTTCAGAGCGGGAGGAGGGAAGACAAGTCTTGTAAATCCTAAGTGCTGGCTCTAGTTCTCTGCCTTGAGTAGCAAAGAAAATCTCCATTCAATTTTCAAATAAGCCCTAATTTAAATCTTTTATTTTATATATTCAATTTCAAAATGATTACGTATTGGCCATTATGGAATTTGGTACCTCCAATCAGTCCACTCATTGTCAAATTCAGGGACAGGAATCGCTGTTGTTTATCTTCCTTAATAAAGATGAAAGGGAACCTGCTTCTCTTCACTGAGTCTCTCTTTTATACCACAATAATCACATATCCACAAACAATTCAATTACCAAATGAACATTTTTTATGGCTACTCTCTGCCTCTTAAGGCATTCCTCAAAGTTTAGGTATAATTTCAAGTTTGTACCTAAATGGAAGACTTTCTAGACTTAATTCTTGATCTCACTTAGATTGGCCTTTTTTTTGGTTGTTGTTACAAAAATGTCTTTTTCCATGAACAAGATTCTTTGAATCTGTCAGTCATTAGCAGATATTTTCTCTTGTACCTATTTTTAAAAATTATTTGTGCATATTTTCCTATTTTATTATCTTATTACTGTTGGGATCCACCAGTACTTTACTGAAGCTCTATTAGAGGCTACTGGTGGTGGATGGCTGCTCAACTCTCTCTCAATCACTCTCCATTGGAGACACTTTTGAGGAAACAAACAATTCAGCAAGATAAAAGAATAATTTTCAGACCAAATAAATTTGTGGGAACTTTGTGACTTCAAAACAGAAATTTTTAACCCTTCATGGGTTCCAGCAGCCTTAGGGAAGCTGATAAATTGTGGACTCACCAAGAAAAATGCTCTATTGCTCACAACTTTTCCTACAACATTTCAGAGATGCGTGGACACTCTGAAACATATCTGTTGATTCCCTGGGGATCCATGAACACCACATTAAATTTTTCTACTATAAAGTTTATTCACCCAGAAAAAATGATGTTTTTCTGCATCGTGAAATGATGCATTTAATTTAATCGAAAAAGTAAGAGATTTATGTATGCATTAGATAAACCAGGTTTTAAGTGGTGTAAGGTTTGAAATTATGAGAGGCCCATTTTATTTAAAGCAGACTACAAGAAGATAGTCAAGCCTCACATAGGCTGAAGCTTTCTAACAGAAGACCCTACATGATTTAAACAAGATTGATGAGTTCATTTACAATGTAAGTGCACTAACCCCATTCCTAAAACAGATTCCATATAATAAACCATAAAATATGTATTATATTTTATTTCCTGTGTTTACAGCATGCTAAGAGAACAACAGAAACATTGTTGCTGTTGAATGTATTCAATACTGTCCTGCCCCTCTTAGGTAAATATGACAAGAATCAGAGCATTACATTATAATAAGACATTTTCCCACCAGTCTAGTCTACAATGGCATACTTTGTACATTGTGCTGCTGTGGTCATGGAATGCAGATTTCTGTCCCTTAATTCACCCGCACTGTACTTTGAGAATGCAAAATATGTGTATCACCAGCATTCTTTTCTTCCAGGACCTGCCAGACATTATTATGACTGAGTATATTTTAATTATAACCAAAACTCTATTGTTTTCTTTGTTTGCAATTTTATTTCCACACATATAATAATATCACTTAAAATAATTGTATGGGACCTCGAGGGGGATACAGTAAACAATATTACTCTCCCATATGGTTCTGAATCAACTGAGAAATAAGACAATGAGTCTGCAGATAGAGGTCAAAATATCACCTTTATTAATAACAAAGTAGACATGATCTTACAGATAATGCTTTTAATGTTTCACTATTAAAGATGATGTTTGCTATGCGGTTTTGGTTTATAATCACTTTAATAGCTTAAGGAAGTTCTTTTCTATTCCTGGTCTGCTGAGATTTTTTTCAAAAAATTACAAACAGACATGAATTTTCAATAAAATAGATGGCATTCCTGCATCTCTTAAGATGATTATGTGATTTTTCATTTTCTGTTCCTGTGGTAATTTACATTAATTCATTTTTTAATGTTAAATCAACTTCAAGGCTGGCACAGTGGCTCATGCCTGTAATCCCAGCACTTTGGGAGGCTGAGGTGGAAGGATCACTTGAGGACAGGAATTCGAGACCAGCCTGTGCAATACAGCGAGACCCCATCTCTAAAAAAAATTTTTTTATATTAGCCAGGCATGGTGATTCATGCCTGTAGTCCTAGCTACTCAGGAGACTGAGGCAGAAGGACCACTTGAGCCCAGGAGGTTGAGGCTGATTGCACCATTGCACTCCAGCCTGGGTGACAAAGAGAGACCCTGTCTCTAAAAAAATTAAATTAAATTAAAAAATAAAAATAAAAAATCAACTTTGAATTACTGGGATAAACTTTACTTTGGTCATGATATAAGGTATAATCTTTTAAATATATTGTAATATACAATTTGCTAAAATTTTGCTTAGGAGTTTTGCAACTATGTCCAAGAGTGAAATTATCTTTTTTGCCGGGGGCAAATTTTAGTTTCAAAGTTATATTTACATCACTAAAAAGGTTGAGGTACTTCCTTTTGTTCTAGTATAGTCAAAGTTAGCATTTTTTTCCTTAATTGTTTGATAGTATCTGCCTTAAAATCATATGTCTGGCTTTATAGAAATATTTTTAAACTATTCATTTAATCTCATGCTTATATGTGTGTTTATGTTTTTCTATTTCTTCTTCAACTTGGAAAATTATATTTTTCTAATAACTTTTCATTTATCTACATTATCAGATTTAATGGCATAAAATTTTCCATAGTATTTTCTTAAAAATATTTAAAACAGCCGGGCGCGGTGGCTCACGCCTGTAATCCCAGCACTTTGGGAGGCGAGGCGGGCAGATCACGAGGTCAGGGAATCGAGACCATCCTGGCTAACACAGTAAAACCCCGTCTCTACTAAAAATACAAAAAAAATAGCCGGTTGTGGTGGCAGGCGCCTGTAGTCACAGCTGCTCGGGAGGCTGAGGCAGGAGAATGGCGTGAACCCGGGAAGCGGACTTTGCAGTGAGCCGAGATCGCGCCACAGCACTCTAGCCTGGGCGACAGAGTGAAACTCCGTCTCAAAAAAAAAAAAAAAAATTAAAACATATATTAGTTTTCTATTGCAGTGTAACGTTACCACAAATTTAGTGGCTTATAGTAAAATTTATCATATGATTTTTTTGCTTTATCTTATCTTACAATATCTTAAAATTTATCTTACAATTTTTCTTTACTATTACAAGTGAAAATTATCTCACCATTTCCATGGGTTGGGAGTCTGGGTATGAACTAGCTGAGTCTTCTGCTCAGTCTCACTAGGTGGAAATCAAGGAGTCATCTGGGGCTGCCATTCTCATCTGAGGCATTGGTCTTCTTCCAAGCTCACTGGTTGCTGGCAGAATCATTTTTTTGCAGTCGTATGACTTACTAGCTGTCATCTGGGGATTGGTCTCAGCTCCTAGAGTTCCTGGCCACACGGCCCCCACAGGCAGTTCACAGCATGGATGTTTGTTTTCTTCCAGGCCAGCAGGAGCATATCACTGTGACTTACAACCCTTCTCTAGTCTGCTACAATGGAATCTTAAACAAGAAAATTTTATATTTTGACTTGCATCATTGAGAAAAACACTGCCAACCTGATCGTGGTTCCTTTGAAGGTAATCTGCCTTTTTTTTTTTTTTTCAGGCTCCTCTTAAGTTTTTCTCTTTGCCTTTCATTTTCAGAAGTTCTAGTGATGTGTCAAGCTATGGCTTTCTTTTTATAAATAAAATATTTTGAAGATATTTAAGGCCTCTTTAATTCCAAGCTATTTTCTCTTCAAATATTGCTTTTGCTCTATCCATTCTTTCTTTCATCTTCTTTATGACATACCTTCATCTTTACCAATTCTTTCTTTCTTTTTGTTTTTTTTTTGTTTTTTGTTTTTTTTTTGAGACAGGGTCTTGCTTTGTTGCCCAGGGTGGAGTGCAGTGGCATGATCATGGCTTACTGTAGCCTTGACCTCCCGAGCTCAAGCTATCCTCCCACATCAGCCTCCTGAGTAGCTGGGACTACAGGCTTGCACCACCACGCCCCGATAATTTTTTGTATTTTTTGTAGAGACAGAGTTTTGCCATGTTGCCTAGGCTGGTCTTGAACTCCTGGACTCAAACGATCCTCCCATCTCAGCCTCCCAAAGTGTCTAGATTACAGGCATGAGTCACTCACTTTACCAGTTCTTTCCTCAGCTACATCAGCTATTGCTTTGCTTTGCTTCTTTCTTTCTTTTTCTTTCTTTCTTTTTCTGTCTCTCTCTCCCTCCCTCCCTTCCTCCCTCTTTCTTTCTTTCTTTCTTTTTTTTTTTTGAGACAGAGTCTCGCTCTGTCACCCAGGCAGGAGTGCAATGGCATGATCTTGGCTCATTGCAACCTCTGCCTCCCGGGTTCAAGCGATTCTCCTGCCTCAGCCTCCCGAGTAGCTGGGTCCGCCACCACTCCTAGCTAATTTTTGTATTTTTAGTAGAGGCAGGTTTCACCATGTTGGCCAGTCTGGTCTCAAACTCCTGACCTGAGGTGATCCACCAGCCTCGGCCACCCAAAGTGCTGGGATTACAGGCGTGAACCACCACGCCTGGCGACATCAGCTATTTCTAATGTGGCTAAATACATAGTGAATGCTCCTGGATCTTGGCTCTAAAATTCTTCACTGCATTTTTAGTTCTTTAATGCCTTTATTGTAGATATTTTAAAATGTGTCAAGCTTTTGGTTGTTTTTGTTGAGATGGTTGATCCAAATTACCTTGTCTATAAATATCAGAAGCAGAAGCCCCCCTTATAATTCAGTCTGCAACATCTGTGCCCCTTTCATTTTTAATATTGTTTATTTAAGTCTGTTTTTTTATAACATAAATCATGCCAGAGAACTGTCAAAGTATTAATTTCTTCGACCTTTATTAGTTTAATCAATCTTTGAATTTTGTTCAATCCATCTATTATGTGCATTTTTTCTTCCTTTCCCTTTCCTTGCATAATGTATTTTATTCTGTGATTAAGTTGTTTGCTAATTTTTAAAATTTTAACTTCTTTTAAGAGAAAGTTCTGCCCTAATTACTGCCCTAGTTATATTCCACAAAATTATATGTAGTTTCATTGTTATTTTGGGTTTCACAAATTTTTCTAATTTTTATTATCGTTCTTTTGCTGAAAGCCAAACATGGATGTTTACAGGTTTTCCATTTAGAAGAGAGAATTTACTTTGTCTGTGTAACCTCAATGAATAAGACTGGAACCAAAGAGAAGAAACATCAGAGAAAAATATTGACTGGTTTTTCTAATTAAAATGCACCAATTATAGCTGACTCCAGATTAGGGAATATACTACAAGCCCAGTTGGGAGAAAGGAAAGAGGATAGAAATCCATTTTTATTTGAATGGATCACTGGGGCCAATTGCACTCCACCTACTTTACAGCCAAAAAGAGCTCATTCATTTGATAGGGGAGTGCCTGTTATGTTGTCAGTATTGTGCTATGTGGCCAGGATACAAAATGACACATGGAAACTCTCTCCCTTCCCTCATTGGTATTCTCCTACATCCCAAGTCATTCTTATATCAGGAAGATAAGTAAGAATATAGAGAACCCATGATATATAGACATTACTACAGAAAAGGATATGTTTATCAGTAGAAATATTTTAAAATCTATCATCTCCAAATAGGGAATATACCTTCTTGTGAAGGGTCGTGGAACATTTACAAAATACTACTGTTGACATATTAGACTATAAAGAAAACTGAATTCCAAAGAGCCAAAACAGTTCAGACCATATTCACTACACTAAAACTAGACATTAAAATTCTGTTTATTTCTTAAATTTTCTTAAACATTTCTTAAACTTCTGTTTATTTTCTCCCCTTGAGATATGAGGAAAGGAGAGCAGGTATCAGCTTGTGCATGGGATTTTCCTTAAGAATATTCTTTCATGTTTTTCTTTTCACTGCAAGAAAACAAATAAATTCATATGGAATATTTTAAATTTAGAATGTGTTATTTTGATTAAGTAAATTGTAGATAACATTCTTCTGGTCAACCAGCTGTGTCATGCAGTCTGTGCACTGCATAGAGGCTCCTGAAGGGAAGAATAGATGCTGAAATCTGGCCTGCACTCAACTGACCAAGCTGTGTATCCTGGCGAGGGGCTGTGTGAATTCAGAAGAAGTGGTGCCTTTGTGTATGTTCATTGCAGCACTATTCACAATAGCAAAGACATGTAATCAACCTAAATGCCCATCAGTGATAAACTGGATAAAGAAAATGTGGTACATATACACCATGGAATACTATGCAGCCATAAAAAGGAGCAAGATCACGTCCTTTGTAGGGACATGGATGGAGTTGGAAGCCGTTATCCTCAACAAACTAATGCAGGAACAGAAAACCAAACACTGCCTGTTCTCACTTATAATTGGGAGCTGAATGATGAGAACACATGGACACACAGAGGGGAACAACACACACTGGGGCCCATTGGGGACTGGGGGGAGGGAGAGCATCAGGAAGAATAGCTAATGGTTGCTTGGCTTAAATACCTAGGTGATGGGATGATCTGTGCAGAAAACTACCATGGCACATCTTTACCTATGTAACAAGCCTGCACATCCTGCACATGAACCCCTCAACTTAAAATAAAAGTTGAAGGAAAAAAAAGCTGTGCCTTTTTTCTAATTCTTCCCTGAGAGGGAGTGACTTTTTATAATTAGCCTAAAGTTTCCATATGTGTTAGAGAAGCCTTGCTGGCTAGGAAGTTCTGGACATGAGACTATTTAAATTTCAGCATTTAGAAGTTTTTGTCTCATAAGATTGATGAAGTCTTTAAATAGTAATAAAAAAGCCTATGTTACTCTAAGTGGGTTCTAGCAACAAAAAGGCAATAAGGCATTTCCTTGAATGCAACGATACTCAAAGTGTGGCCTACAGACCACCAGGAGCAGCATCACCTGGGAGTTTGATAGAGATGCAAACTGTTGAGGTTCATCCCAAATCTAGGGAATCATGAACTCCAGGGATGGGGCTCAGAAATCAGTGTTTTAAAAAACCCTCCATGGTATTCTGATGCACATAAAATGTTGAAAAACAGTGGTTTAACGCAGAGGTGGACAAACCATGGCCCTCAGGCCAAATATAGCCCACTGCCAATTTTTATGAAGTTTAACTGGAATGCAGCCACACCCACTGATTCAAGTATTGTCTATGGTTGTTTCCCACTACAACAGCAGGGCTAAGTAGTTGCCACAGAGACCATATGGCTTATAAGTAGGGTGGCCAGATTTATCAAATAAAAATATAAGTCACCCAGTTGAATTTGAGTTTGAGATAAACAATAAACAATTTTTTATTATGAGTATGTCCCATATGCAATATCAGTAACCCAGCACACGAAATCTATAATACTTACTATCTGGCCTTTCATAGAACAAATTTGCTGACCCTTGCCTACCATAATGACCTTACAGTGAACTTGCTTCTGACAGAGCATGGAAGGAAGCAATGAAAAAAGCCTCACTCCTGGTTGCACACCTGGGATTCTGTACCTGACGGACACCATCCATCCTTTTAGATGATGCATTGAGTCCTAACTATTCCCTTCCCAAGAAAGTTCAAGCCAGGAGATCAATCTGCTTGGGATGGAAAGGTATCTGGTGCCAGTTCTTCTGTTTATAAAACTCAATAGATCAGTTACTTTTCCTATTGTTTAAGTGTCTAGTGTTAAACATATTCAATTAAGTTTTACCAAGGAGATGTTTTCGAAGGATTGTTCAACCAATTCAGAAGTGATTCCGTGACAATAATAAAACTGACATTACCTACTTGAAAATTGAAAAACTAAGAAGCCATCCAAAAACAACTCTTATATTAAGCAGGAACTCAAAACAATTGTAAGTGATCTTAAAAAATTCAGATAAAAGTATTATATATTAACGAATACTGTACACAGATATTTATTGGAGGAAAATTTAATAGCCTGAAATACTTCTATTACTTAACGAAAAGAATAAGGATAAATGAACTTAAATGACACAAAACAAAATGAAATTGCCAAAGAGATTAGAAGCAGATAAACAAAATTAACAAAGGGAAGACCAGAAGCAGAAAATTTGTAAAGATCAAAGCAGAAATTGTTGAGTAAGAAAACAGAAAAAGGGTTGTATGTTTTCAGTAATTTATCTATCTCCTCTAGGTTTTCTAGTTTATGCGTGTAAAGGTGTTCATAGTAGTCTTGAACAATCTTTTTTATTTTTGTGGTGTTGGTTGTAATATTTCCCATTTTGTTTCTAATTGAGCTTATTTGGATCTTCTCTCTTTTCTTGGTTAATTTTGCTAATGGTCCATCAATTTTATTTATATTGTCAAAGAAACAGCTATTTGTTTCATTTATCTTCTGTATTTTTTTTGTTTCAATTTCACTTTGTTCTGCTCTGATCTTTGTTATTTCTTTTCTTCTGCTGGGTTTGGGTTTGATTTGTTCTTGTTTCTGTAGTTCCTTGAGGTATGACCTTAGATTGTCTATTTGTACTTTTTCAGACTTTTTGATGTAGGCATTTAAGGCTATGAACTTTCCTCTTAGCACAGCCTTTGCTGTATCCCAGAGGTTTTGATAGGTTGTGTCACTATTACCGTTGAGTTCAAAGAATTTTCAAATTTCCATTTGGATTTCATTGTTGACTCAATGATCATTCAGGAGCAGGTTATTTAATTTCCATGTATTTGCATGATTTCAAAGGTTCCTTTGGAGTTGATTTCTGATTTTTTCCACTGTGTTCTGAGAGAGTACTTGATATAATTTCAGTTTTCTTAAATTTATTGGGACTTGTTTTGTGACTATCATATGGTCTGTCTTGGAGAAAGTTCCATGTGCTCATGAATAGGATGTATATTCTGTGACTATTGGGTAGAATGTTCTGTAAATATCTGTTAAGTCCATTTGTTCTAGTGCATAGATTAAATCCACTGTTTCGTTGTTGACTTTCTAGCTTAAATCAAGAATAATTAGAAACCCTGAACAGAACAATAACAAGCAGCAAGATTGAAATGGTAATACAAAAGTTACCAAGGAAAAAAAAGTCCAGGACCAGATGTATTCACGGCTAAATTCTATCAGACATTCAAAGAATTGGTAACAATCCAATTGACATTATTCCACAAGGTAGAGAAAGAGGGAATCCTTCCTAAATTATTCTATGAAGCCACTATCACCCTAATACCAAAACCAGGAAAGGACATGACAAAAAAGAAAACTACAGACCAATATCCCTGATGAACACAGATGCAAAAATTCTTAACAAAATACTAGCTAACTGAATCCAACAGCATATCAAAAAGATAATCCAGCATGATCGAGTGGGTTGCATGCCAGGGATGCAGGGATGGTTTAACATACACAAGTCAATAAATGTGATATGCCGCATAAACAGAATTAAAAACAAAAATCACATGATCATCTCAATAGATGCAGAAGAAGCATTTGACAAAATCCAGCGTCTCTTTATGATTAAAACCTTCAGCAAAATTGGCATACCAGGGACATACCTCAATGTAATAAAAGCCATCTATGACAAACTCACAGCCAACATAATACTGAATGGGGAAAAGTGGAAAGCATTCCCTCTGAGAACTGGAACAAGACAAGGATGCCCACTCTCACCACTTCTATTCAACATAGTACTGGAAGTCCTAGCCAGAGCAATCAGACAAGAGAAGGAAATAAAGGGCATCCAAATTGGTAAAGAGTCAAACTGTCGCTGTTTGCTGATGATATGATCATATGCCTAGAAAACCCTAAAAACTCATCCAGAAAGCTCCTAGAACTTATAAATAAATTCAGCAAAGTTTTAAGATACAAAATTAATGTATACAAATCAGTAGCTCTGCTATACACCAGCAGCAACCAAACTGAGAATCAAATTAAGAACTCAACCCCTTTTACAATAGCCACAAAACAAACAAACAAACTTAGGAATATACCTAACCAAGGAGGTGAAAGACCTCTACAAGGAAAACTACAAAACACTGCTGAAAGAAATCATAGACACCACAAACAAATGGAAACACATCTCATGCTCACGGATGGGTAAAATCAATTATTGTGAAAATGACCATTCTGCCAAAGGCAATCTACAAATTCAATGCAATTCCCATCAAAATATCATCATCATTCTTCACAGAACTAGAAAAAAAATCCTAAAATTCATATGGAACCAAATAAGAGCCCAAATAGCCAAAGCAAGCCTAAGCAAAAAGAACAAATCTGGAGGCATCACATTACTGATTTCAAACTATACTATAAGGCTATAGTCACCAAAACAGTATGGTACTGGTATAAAAATAGGCACATCAACCAATAGAACAGAATAGAGAATCCAGAAATAAACCCAAATACATACAGCCAACTGATCGTTGACAAAGCAAACAAAAACATAAAATGGGGAAAGGACACTCTTTTCAACAAATGGTGCTGGGATAATTGGCTAGCCACATGTATGAGAATGAAATTGGATCCCCGTCTCTCACCTTATACAAAAATCAACTCAAGATGAATGAAGGACTTAAATCTAAGACCTGAAACTATAAAAGTTCTAGCAGATAACATTGGACAAACACTCCTAGAGATTGGTTTAGGCAAATACTTCATGACCAAGAACCCAAAAGCAAATGCAACAAAAACAAAGATGAATAGCTCAGACTTACTAAAGAGCTTTTCCACAGCAAAAGGAAGAATCAGCAGAGTAAACAGACAACCCACAGAGTGAGAGAAAATCTTCATAATAATACATCTGACAAAGGGCTAATATCCAGAATCTATAAAGAACTCAAGCAAATTAGCAGGAAAAAATCAAACAGTCCCATAAAAAAGTTGGCTTAAAAGAAGATATACAAATGGCCAAAAAATATGAAAAACTGCTCAACATCACCAATGATCAGAAAAATGCAAATCAAAACCACAGTGTGATACCACCTTACTCCTGCAAGAATAGCCATAATCAAAAAATCAAAAAAGAATAGATGTTGGCATGGATGCTGTGAAAAGGGAACACTTCTACACTGCTGGTGGGAATGTAAACTAGTACAACCTATGGAAAACAGCATGGAGATTCCTTAAAGAACTAATAGTAGAACTGCCATTTGATCCAGCAATCCCACTATTGGGTATCTACCCAGAGGAAAAGAAGTCATTATACAAAAAAGATACTTGCACACACATGTTTATAGCAGCACAATTCGTAATTTCAAGAATATGGAACCAGCCCAAAGGTCCCTCATTCAATGAGTGGATGAAGAAGTTGTGAGATATATATACATATATATACGTATATATATATGTATATATATGTGTATATATATACGTATATATGTATATATATGTGTATATATATACGTATATATACTTATATATGTATGTATATGTGTATATATACGTATATATACTTATATATGTATGTATATGTGTATATATACATATATACGTATATATATACACATATACATATATATATATATATATATAAAATGGAATACTACTCAGTCATAAAAAGGATTGAATTAATGGCATTCATAGCAACCTGGATGGAACTGGAGACTATTATTCTAAGTAAAGTAACTCAGGAATGGAAAACCACACATTGTATGTCCTGAGTCATAAATGGGAGCTAAGCTATGAGGATGCAAAGGCATAAGAATGATACAATAGACTTAGGGTACTCAGAGGAAAGAGTGGGTGGGGGTGAGGTATAAAAGACTACAAATAAGTGCAGTGTATCCTGCTCAGGTGATGAGTGCATCAAAATCTCACAAATCACTACTAAAGAACTTACTCATGTAACCAAGTACCACCTGTTCCCCCAAAACCTGTGGAAATAAAAAAATTAAAAAAAACAAACCAGAAATAGAATAGAATCAGTAAATGAATTCAAGAATTGGTCCTAGGAAAAAGCCAATAAACGCCGGGCATGGTGGCTCACACCTGTAATCCCAGCACTTTGGGAGGCCAAGGTGGGCGGATCACCTGAGGTTGGGAGTTTGAGACCAGCCTGACCAACATGGAGAAACCCCATCTCTCCTAAAAACACAAAATTAGCCGGGTGTGGTGGCACATACCTGTAATCCCAGCTACTCAGGAGGCTGAGGCAGGAGAATCGCTTGAACCCTGGAGGCGGAGGTTGCGATGAGCCAAGATCGCGCCATTGCACTCCAGCCTGGGCAACAAGAGAGAAACTCCGTCTCAAAAAAAAAAAAGCCAATAAAATAGACAAACTACTGTCTATCTAATAATTAAAAATGAAGTGGTAGAAAGAGAGCAAAAATACACAAATTTTAAAAGGTGAAATAATCACAGCCACAAAGAAAATAAAAATAATTATGCAACAGTACTTTGCAAGACTCTATGGCAATCACTTTGAAAGCCAGAAAGAAGTAGGTAATTTTCTGGGTTAATATGAATCAATAAAATTTGTTGAATGAAAGATAGAAACAAAATTAAATATACTGAGTGAAATGAATGTAATGCAGTAGTTCTGAACCTTGGCTTTACATTGTGGTCACTTGGAGAGCTTTTAAATATCCCCATCCCTAGGATGCATACCAGACCAATTAAAATAACATATTGGAGCTGGGCATGGTGGCACATACCTGCAGACTCAGCTACTCAAGAGGCTGAAGGGAGAGGATCACTTGAGCCTGAGAGTTCAAGGCTGCAGTGAGTTATGATTGCACCACTGCACTCCAGCCTGGGCAACAGAATAAGACCCCTTCTGTGAAAAAAAAAAAAAAAAAAAAAAAAAAACCAGGAAAGAAACACTCAGGTATTAATATTTGAAGAAAATCTAATTGACAATAATTATATATTTATAGAAAACAATGTGATGTTTTGATATGTTAGCAAAATGATTAAATCAAGCTAATTAATGTATCTACCACATCACATAGGCAACAGTATTATTTATTTATTTATTTATTTATTTATTTATTTATTTATTTATTTTTACTTTTTAAACTTTCATTTTAAGATCAGGGGTACCTGTGCGGGTTTGTGACACTGGTAAACTTGTGTCATGCGGGTTTCTTGTACAGATTATTTCATCACCCAGGTATTAAGCCTAGTACCCATAAGTTATTTTTCCTGATCCTCTCCTTCCTCCCACCCTCCACTCTCCATCCTCTAATAGGCCCCAGCATGTGTTGTTCCCCTCTATATATCCATGAGTTCTCATATTTAGCACCCACTTATAAGTGAACACATGTGATATTTGTTTTTATGTTCCTGTGTTAGTTTTCTAAGGATAGTGGCCCCTAGCTCCATTCATGTCCCTGCAAAGGACATGATCTCATTCTTTTTTATGGCTGCATAGTATTCCATGGTATATATGTACCACATTTTCTTTATCCAGTCTATCAGTGATGGGCATTTATGTTGATTCCATGTCTTTGCTATTGCAAACAGTGTTGCAGTGAACATACATGTGCATGTGTCTTTATGATAGAATTATTTATATTCCTTTGGGTATATACCCAGTATCTGTCTTTAGGTCTTTGAGGAATCACCACACTGTCTTTCACAATAGCATCAGTATTTTTTAAAAGCTCCCCAGGTGATTTCAATGTGCAACCAACTTTGAGAGCCATTCAGATAGAGGAAGTTAACAAAAGGCTATGCCTCAAAATAGCTTCAGGCCCCGATAGCTCCATAGGTAAATTTTAAATCTTGTAGCAATCGGATATTTTCAAGGCTAATGAAACTGTTTGCAAGGACAGAAAAAATAAGGATCGCTGATTACTTTCACAAAGTCATCAAACCATTGAGACTAAAACTTGAAAAATTATACAAAAGAAAATTATAACTAAGGTGATTTATTAATAATGGTGAAATAGACTAAATTATTAGCAAATGGAATTCAGCAGTGCATTCAAAGAATAGTACATCATGACCAGGTGAAATTCATTTGAGGGATTAAAGGTTCTTCTAATAGGGGGAATCCCACTAATACAACTCACTATATTAATATTTCAAAGATGAAAAACTTCTAATCAATTATATAGATGTTTAAAAGGCATTTGATAAAATTTGATGTTGATACCCAGTTCTTAAAATTTTTTTAGTAAAATAGGACTAGAAGGATGCTTCCATGTCATAATTAAAACTAAATTAACATAACTAATCTAAATCAAAGTAATTACATACTGTGTGTTAGGTATTGTTTGTTCTGTATGTGTTATTAGTAGTAATCGTTTTAAGCTTCACAGTAATCCTATGAGGTAGGAGTTCTTCTTTTATCCTCATTTTACAGATACAAAGAAAGGGTCAGTAACTTGTCCAAGGTATACAGTAAGTGGTAAAGCTCAAATTTAAACCTCAGGAGTCTGATTCCAGAAGCTGCATTGTCAACTAACTCTCCACACTGCTTTGAGCTTTTGGGTGCCCTGCAAGTACTAGCCAAAAGCATTTAGACAAATGAATTAAATGAGTGGTGTGCTGGTTAAGTGTTTAACAAATGGCTCTGGGTGGGGGGTACCTTATTTGTAGCATTTGCCAATTTTCATGGTATAAACAATTCCACAATGACTTATTTCAAATTACCCATGAGACACCACTAATCATGGAGCTGGGAAGAGATATGTTAGGTTGCTATTATACGGCTTTCCTACCATACGGATACAATAGACATAAATAATCTTGAGAGTATAGATAATAGTAAAATATAGTGACAAAATTAGGAAGTGATGATGAATTTTAAGTATTTATTACCTTCGTTTTAAAATATTAATAATGGCTATGTTTAACAATCAATTTTCAAAACTCTTGAAATTTAACAATTGGCTCTTGAGAGCTGGTACCAGCTGGCTCCACTACATCACTTGGAATGAAAATGAACAGGCAAAATTATTATTTGAAGATGACATTTCTGGGAATAGGGTGCATTTCTGCCCCTCTCTTCATGTCTCTGCCTCAGCCTGTAGGGAGGCCAGAATTTCTACCTAAACTTTTTCCATTAGGAGGAAATAACAGGTAACAATTCTGACCCTACTGTTCATCTTTGCCCTAGAAGTAGTCTTCATATCCCTCAGATTGGGCACTGGTTACATATATCATGGCATGTACACAAAATGGGACAATTTTTTTGGAAATCTTGTCTTACCTCCTTCTATTGCTCTGACTGGGAATGATCTGTTTGTTGCAGAATCACTGCAGCAGGTGCGAGAGAGGACTCATGGAGCTTGCAGATGAGCTAGCCCAGGTAGGACATCTGATGTTGGGACCCTCTTCAGAAGTGAAGCATATATAATCCCACATGAAATCTCTCAAGCCATTCCAGAAGAATGTTTTCTCAGATAAAGGTTATTTACCTATTTATAATAATTTATAATTTACAAAGCATATTCATATATATGATCCCATCTAACTCATAAAATTATATGAAATGTATACTATCTCCATTTTACAGATGGGGAAATTGAGCCTCAGAGTGATAAAGTAACTTCCCCAAAGTCATGTAGCTAGTAAATGAAAGTGATGAGACTCACACTAGGTTCTTCTAAGTTTTTAGAGTACTTCGTCCACGGCGCCAAGGTGTCTAGGGCAGAGACACCACAACCTCCTAAGGTAGGTTATGCCATTAATGTTCCACTTGGGTGGGAATACACACACACCCACACACACACTATAATTCACACTTCCTTATAGTTATATTCCTCATTCTTTGAACTTAATCCATGGTAAAGAATTATTTATTATGGTGGGGTAGAAGGAGACCCTTTGAGATTTGAAGACACTGATTAACCATGTTAGTGTTTTTCCTCAGGCAAAATATTCATGGGCTCTTTTACCATAACTTGCTGTCCTTATTTCCTCATTAAATTTCAAGTTTCCACAAAATAAGAAAAGAAACAACTAAAGAAGAAATTGTTGGAAGGCATGGAGCAAAGTGTAAGAACAACTAAGTAAACATGTACATTTTGCATTTTTAAAAAATTCAGTGGCCATAATACCACTGGCCAACAGGCTGATCAAATAATCCCTGAAACAAAGAGTTATATGTTACGGAGGGGATTGAATCAGAATACAGAAAAGAGAGACTTGAGAGGTTAAGACAAAACATCCTGGGAAATACACCTATTAAAATATGGTAACTAGCTGTTCTCCATTTCTTTCAAGACAGAATGGGAAATGGAGGTAAACACAGCAAGAGTATTAGTCGGTTAGACAACAGGAATATTTTGCTGATTTTTGTTGTTGTTGTTTTGTTTTTGTTTTTGTTTTTGAGACAGTGTCTTGCTGCGACACCCAGGCTGGAGTGCAATGGCATAATCTCGGCTCACTGCAACCTCCGCTTCCCGGGTTCAAACAATTCTTCTGCCTTAGCCTCCCTAGTAGCTGGGACTACAGGTGTGCACCACCACACCTGGCTAATTTTTTTTTTTATATATATTTTTAATAGAGATGGGATTTTATCATATTGGCCAGGCTGGTCTCAAACTCCTGACCTCAAGTGATCTGCCTGCCTAGCCTCCGAAAGTGCTGGGATTACAGGCGTAAGCCATTGCTCCTGGCCTTTGCTGATTTTAATGAGGGATTTGAAAGCATCAAAATGACTGAACAAAGGAGCAGTGAAAAATCTTTCCTGGGGTCTTTGGAAAAAAAACAGATTCCAGTGTGTCAGATCTTTCAAGGCAAGATGGTCCAAGAGCAACGAATGGACAGTTGCCTTCATGTCCTTCTGTGTTTTCTTTCTTGTTTAACAGCATCAAGGTACATCCACTCATTTAAGTGGGAGCCTGAATGTCATCGTCCACTCACTCATCTCCATAGCCCTTCATGTTCTTATTTAAAACCTCCTTCACCCTTCCCATGTATCCTACAATCCAGTTACTATTTACCATACACAAACCCATCCATTTGTCTTTACTTTCTATAACCTCATATTAGAAGTGATGATGTATTTGTTCATTCAGTTTTTATTTGGTGCTATGATGTGTTCTCCTCTCCCTGCCTCCATGTTTTTAACACTTGCTTTTTCTATGGAATGTTCTTTGACTCTATGGGCACCTGGTGAATTCTTTCTCGTCTTTTGTGATGCGGATCATATGCTATCTTCTCAAGAAAGCCTTCCCCCCCAAACCTAGCATTTTCCCCTTTCTTTTAGAGAAAGCAGCTTTATTTTTTTAGAGGCAATCTCTTTTATCTGCATATTTGCGCTTTGGGCCACAAGTGTCGTGGACAGTTTATACAAGGTCCAAAAAATAATAAGAAGAATTAAATTGGCTTTGTAACAGATGATTCTGGGCAAGAGACCAATACTGAGAGATTTAACAATTTTATCATGAATTAGCTAAGAAATAAATACTAACTATAACAGAACTAATTTAAAAAACTAGAAATAATATAAAATAATGAAACCACCTTTGCAAAAATTGTAACAGTGAGAAAATTATGACAGTGAAAGAGATCTGACCTAAGTGACTCCATCTTGCTTCCAACCTCCAACCTGTCCTCGTTCATTCCTGGGCATAGGCCAAACTAACTTTGGGAGGAACTTAGTTTATAGTTTCAACTTTGAAACAAAGATGATAACAGCTCTTTCCTGAAACAAACCCTCTTCTTGCTTTATAGGACTAACAAATTAGCCACAAGTTTAGAAATTATGGTTTAGGAGTTAGGCAGCGAGAGGTCACAGATTCCAAACCTCCCCATTTACAATAGGGATGACATCACTATTGTAAAATCTAAGATTGGTGCTCAGAATATTTTTCAGACCCTGAACTTGATGGGTCAGCTGCCACCACGCAGATGGATAAAGTGGCTTATCTGGTACTGTGGCCCCCACTCAGGAACTGACTCAGCGCAAAGAAGACAGCTTCAACTCCCTATGATTTCATCTCCAATGGGACCAATCATCACTCCCCAGTCCCTGGCCTCCTATGCACCAAATTATCCTTAAAAAACCCCAGTCTCTTAATTGTCAGTCTCTCCAATCTCTGAATTTCCAGAAAGAGTTTAATTCATGCAGAGGCAGCTGAACTGATTTGAGTATGAATTAAACTCTTTCTCTATTGCAATTCCTCTGTCTTGATGAATCGGCTTTATCTGGGCAGTGGGCACAATGAATCCTTGGGCGGTTACAATAAAACTGAAAATAGATAAAAACTGTGTGTGGCAAGATTTAGATCTATAAATTTTGACCTTGGAAAATAGAACTCCATAAAAATAATGCCCCCAAAATAAAACTCACAGTAGTAGAAGCTGTTATAGTAAAATTTGAATTGAACAAAAGACTGTTAAAACAGGACTGTGTTGATAAGTTACACATAAATGAATTCATCCGGATCAAAATAATTTTAGTATTTTTACTCATGACATTGTATTCATGTTTATTTATGACAACATAAATAGTAATTTTATTCACATGACAAAATTGGAAATACTTTAAGTGTGCTATGTAGAAAACTAATCAAGGAATTAATTTGGGTTAATGAAATTAATTGTTAAAAGTAATTTCTTGTCAACAACTTTTGTTGCTGGTATAATTGTTACATGCCAGGTTCTGGTCTGTTCTACCTTCAAGCAGTAAATCAATCACTATGATTCAGGTTTTGCAAAAGAGAAAAGATTTATTCGAAAGGACACCCAGCGAGGAGGCGGTGGGAGAACAGCTCTCAAATCTGCCTCCCCAAAGATAAAGCTTAAGGGTATTTATGGGTTAGGGAAGTGAGGTGGTCTAAGGTGTGGGGAAAGGTGGTTGCTAGTGGGGAAAAATGAAGTAACAGGTTCATTCTGCAACAGCCTAGCTGGAGTTTGTGGCATTCCACAGCACATATGTACAGAAAATGGCAGCATTAGCATGGACTGAGGATGGAGTCTTTGGCCCTCCAACATAAAAAGGCCGCCTCTCCAGCACTTGAGCAGACCCAGTTAAAAGGTCAGTGGTCTCAACCAGTTTGAACTGGACAGAAGCAGGTCCAAGTTTCTGAAAAACAACTGAAGTAACCGTTACCATGGTGACCTGTGAATGTTATCTATAAAGTAGCTGGTGAAGGTTACGTTTCAGCATTCAGTGGCATGCCCTTCAGTGATTGCAGACTTCAACTTCAGGGAGAGATAAAAAATAACAAAAAGCAAGCAACCAAAAGCAAGCAGGACAGGCAGACCTGACCAAACTAACCCCTCAGTTTTATAATTCTAATTTTAATGTTTGTATTCATTAACACAGAATCACAGCACTCCCAGGACAAAAGTGAGGGTAAAAAAACTACAAAATAGTAATAGCAGGACAAAAACATCTACTGTTGCTCCAGCACAGAGTAAGCTTTTGATTAATGATTTTTGAGAAAGGAAATGAATATTTAAACAATGTGATGTTTGTTAATCACTTTCTAACTATAAGCCCACTAACTAAAATCTGCCTGAAATTCACTTATCAAATCTGCAATATTTAATGCAAGATTAGATTGATTGTTTTAATCCTCTGAAAGTTTTGCATTACTTTGGATACTTTCCCCTTTCTGTTAGTTTTCTTTTGAGCATTTCAAGGAGTTTTAAATTCCAATTTATCTATGGATCCTTCTGCCTTAATTTCAAGCAAACAAGCAAATTATATACTATAATTCAGGAAATGAGAGTGTTCAGTGTAAGTCAATCATACAGAGAAAAAAGGCAACTTTTTCTTCAAGATTAGAGAAACCACTATCATAACATTTAATATTTCTCCATCATTTCATTGATCCTTCTGCAAAGGAAGAGAACTTTGAGACATAAATCCATCTCTTTCCTTTCTTGGTTTTATGGAAGCAACTAGATGCTTGCTTCACACCATAATGCTAAGTACAAGTAGTATAAAAATTTGAATATATAAAAAACTCACTAAAAAACCTGGAAGGAAATATAATTAAATACTGATCTAAAATTTTGAATGGAGAACTTCTGAGGCAAAAGTGATAAGTTATGAGCCCTCTGTCCCACCCCAATGTTTTATTAAGCCTGCAGTGTTTCCTTTGAAGGATGTTGTATGTAATAATCTGGATTCTGGAAAAATTCAGATCTTGCCACAGTGGGCCTATTCTTATCAACAACAAATTGGAATTTAGTGGTGTTCCTCCTGTTTGGACAAGCTGCAAGTTCTTCCCAGTTTCAAGACTACCTGTTGCCTTGTATCGGGCCCACATCAGCCCCACATCAGCCCCACATCAGCCCATTGTATTATCTCTCTGACCAGTGGTGGAGTTTGAGCTTGTGGACTTTGTCTACATCATAGAAGAAGTCATGAAGAGAAAGATGACATATCTGACTAACATCAAGTGGAAAACTTTGGTATATAAAAATAAGCCACTTCACTTATTTTTAACAAGTAACTGATTAGAAAAATGAGCAAATACAAGAGTCAACCATATATTAAATTTATGATATCAAGAGTTCATCAAAAATACCAATATCTTAAGGGACAAAAGGATAAGAACTCAATTGATAGAAGAGGAAACACCATCCAAAAGCATTCAAACTCATTAGTAACCAAACAATAGTTTTAAAACAATTACATATGATTTCTGATCCATTAAATTAAAAAAATTAAAGTATAACATCAATGCTAATACTCCATTGTTGGCTGGAAAGTAGTTTGGCAATATGTACCAAAAGCTTTCAAAATGTTTATTCCCTTTAATGTGGAGTCCCTATACTCACACAGATCCCAGAGTCCAAGGGCCTGGATTCAAATCCAGACTCCTCCATTTATCAACGATGTAAACAGGGGTAATGTAAACCAGCACATCTCGATTTCCTCATCTCTAAAATGAGAATAATCATAATAGTACTTACATTATTGGATTACTGTGATGATTAAATGAATAATAGGACTTTTGGGAACAGTGCCTAGCAAACAGTGGTACAATATAAGTTTGCTAAATGAATAGATTTATCTATTTTAAAAATTTACTTGAGGAAGCTACCAACTGAGAAAAGGATTTATGCAGAAAATTGTGTATTATAGTACTATTTATAATATTTATAATAGCAAAAAATTAAGAGCTATAATAGAGAATGATTAGCTATTTCATAGAAAATGAAATTAATGAAATGTGATGCAGTCATTAAAATTATGTTTATGAACTTTGTGTAATAATGTTGAAATCATAATTTTAAGTGAAATAAAAAGCAAAATATATACCAGCATATTTGGCATATTACAATAATTAAATTACAATAATTAAATTTTTATTTAAATTACAATAGATTTAGATTACAATAATTAAAAAGAAATTTTCTTTGCTTTGGAAGGAAGATTAGATAAAGGATTGGAAGGAAGTCAGCCAAAATGTTAAGAGTAGCTGCTTACAGATAGTGGAGCTATAAACGATTTATTTTTTAATGTTCTTCTCTATTTTCTATTTGTTTTTAAACTCAGCATTCTTTAGTTTTGTATATTTTTTAATTCACATTTTTAAGGTAGAAAGTGATACTTTGTGTAAGGATTTGGAAGGCTTAAACTCATGGTATAATTAACCAAAATACATCAAATTTAATAATTCTTAGATATACAAACTTCAGAAGTCATATTCTGAGATAATTTCTTTAAATATTAAAATTAAGAGAAAAAAAGACAGGCTCTTAAGCAGATGCAAAAATACCTATGTTACAAGCCTGCACATTCTGCACATGTATCCCAGAACTTAAAGTAAAATAAAAAAAATAATAATAAGATCATGCCAGTGGTTTTTAAACATACTTTATGTATTTAATTGAAAATCACATCTCCTTTACCTTCTTTCAGCATATATTGTACTTAAAACTCTGAACATTAGCCCTCAGAATAAGGAAATGAATAATAAAAAAAGCAAAAATAGAAAACTCTAAAATAACTGAAATAATCTAATCACATATAAGATGTAATGAATTTAATAAATGTGAACTTATATTTATATACAATTTATATACATATTGAAAATTAATCACTTAGGCTCACAAGAGAATTCGTTTTAGGATACTTTGTCTGCTCCCTTTAGGCCTTGATGGAATTAATGTCTAAATAGCTTTTGAGATTGTTATGGAAACTAAAAGGATACTGGTATCAAATATCTGGCTATGTCTTACCTACATTTCTTCTGGTCTTATTTATGTTGTCCCAGCCTCACCAAAAATTGAGATTTATGTTTAACCTTTTGTTTACCATGTGATGGACAAATTTGGCAAGTTTGTCAATTTATAATAGTATTTTCTATTGTATCATCTAGACCTTTTTTGAGGTAAATATGATTTCTTTCCCTTTTCTCCATCAATTCTAGATTTTGCCCTCTTGTAGTTTCTTCCACTGCAAATTCTCCGTATCTCTGCAATTGAGGAGCCCTGAACTACACTTCACATTTAATGATGATCTGACTGACACTTTGAGGGATTTTGCTTGGCATGCCACATTTTTACTGCTATCGAAAAGGCAAAAGTACATGCTCTGTTCACAAGGAAACTTCTCTAGCATCCACATGAGTGGGAGATAGCAGATAAGCTTATGGATCTCATATCCACTTATTCTTTCCACCTAAATACTTGATAGTTGTTTATCATCTTCCCTCCAGAGTCCCAATCTAAATTACAAATAAATTAAATATCAAACAAATCTTGGAATAGATTCCTTCTCCTGACAGTAGCCACCCCTAGAAGGTACTTTAAATAATTTGTAAAAACAAACAAAAAAATACCCATTCTGTCACCAAAAAAAAAAAAAAACACCCTAAAAGGTAGAGAGAAAACATAGTTGAAAAGTGACCAGTTACTCCACACATAGATTAGGACCTGCATATTAAGAGTGTGGTTATTTGTACAAGATGAATTTGTAGGAAATTGTACAGAAGGACTTTGTCATTGATGATGGCAAGACTGAGCATTAGACTGGATTTTTTCAATAGTCTTAGCAGGACTATGGTTAATGTGAACTACAGTGCTGTTTATGTTGTCTTGAAAAATTGTACTGATGGTAAAAATAAACAAAGATAAGGGGATGAGATACTGTAATCATATGGGAGATCTTGAATTAAAGAGTTATCTAATCAATGACATAAATAGTATTAGGAAGTGAAATTGATACAAACATACCTTGTTTTTTGTCCTTTGCTTTATTGCACGTCACAGATAGTTTTTTACAAATTGAAGGTTTGTGGCAACCCTGCATTAAGCAAGTCTGTTGGCACCATTTTCCCAACAGCATGTGCTCACTTTGTGTCTCTGTGTCACATTTTGGTAGGTCTCACAATATTTCAAACTTTTATTACTATTATTATTATTATTATTATTGTTATCTGTTATGGTGATCTGCCTTTAGTATTTTTGATGTTACTGTTGTAATTGTTTTGGGGCATCACGGACCACAACCATCTAAGAAGACAAACAATAAATGTATTTGTTCTAACTGCTTCACTAACTGGCTGCTCACCCTCTCTACCTCTCCTTGGCTTCCTTAGTCCCTGTGATATGGCAATACTGAAGTTAGGCCAATTAATAACTCTACAATGGCCTGTAAGTGTTCCAATGAAAGGAAGAGTCACACATCTCTTACTTTAAGTCAGTAGTTAGAAATGACTAAGCTTAGTGAGGAAGGCATGTTGAAAGCTGGGAAAGTCTGAAAGCTAGCTTCCTGCACCAAACAGTTAGCCAAGTGGTGAATGCAAAGAAAATGTTCTTGAAGGAAATTAAAAGTGCTACTCCAGTGGACACACAAATGATAAGAAAGTGAAACAGCCTTATTGCTAATAGGGAGAACGTTTTAATGGTCTGGATAGAAGAACAAACATAAAAGTGTAGGGGAAGGCAGCAAGTGCTGTTGGAGAAGCTGCGAGTTATCCAGAAGATCTAGCTAAGATCAATGATGAAGGTGGCTATGCTAAACAAAAGATTTTCAATATAGACAAAACATCCTTATATTGGAAGAAGAAGCCATCTAAGACTTTCATAGCTATAGAGGAGAAGTCAATGCATTGTTTTAAATCTTCAAAGGACAGGCTGACTCTCTTGTTAGGAACTAATGCACCTGTTAACTTTTAGTTGAAGCCAATGCTCATTCACCATTCTGAAAATCCTAGGGCCCTTAAGAATTACACTAAATCTGCTCTATCTGTGCTCTCTATAAATGGAACAACAAAACCTAAGTGACAGCACAGCTGTTATAGCCTGGTTTATGGAATACTTTAAGTCCACTGTTGAGACCTACTGCTCAGAAAAATAGATTCCTTTCAAAATATTACTACCCATTGATGATGCACCTGGTCATCCAAGAGCTCTGAGGAGATGTACAAGGAGATGAATGTTGTTTTCATGCTGCTAACATAATATTCATGCTGCTGCCCCTGGATCAAGGAGTCATTTAGACTTTCAAGTCTTATTATTTAAGAAATATATTTCAGGAGCTTCCAGATAACTGAACACACAGAGGTTCTTTGAGGGTACTGCTCCAAGAAAGAGTATGGAAGCTTCATGCCCCTTCCTATATACCTTACCATATTCATCTCTTCATTTGTTGCTCACTGATACTGTTTGTAATATCCTTGATAGTAAGCTGGTAAAGTAAATGCACACCTAACAGCATAGCAAGCCCTAGAAGGATGGCTTCTGAAGATTACAAAGAAGCCTGAAACTTGAAATCACTCCAAGGACTCTCAGCTTCTCTTTCTCTTGGGATGTTTATCTGATGCTGCCACAACCAGTAGAAAGAGTGGAGGAAGAAGAGAGTCACCACATACCATACTTAGAGTTCCTACAGAAAGGACACAGCGAATTTCATGTTTGAGACTCGGTTTCTTTGCCCAGTGGATGCATAGGCAAAGCATCGCACATCTGCTCCATAGAAATGATCCTGGCTAACACGGTGAAACCCCGTCTCTACTAAAAATATAAAAATTTAGCCGGGCATAGTGGCGGGTGCCTGTAGTCCCAGCTACTCAGGAGGCTGAGGCAGGAGAATGGTGTGAACCCGGGAGGCGGAGCTTGCAGTGAGCCGAGATTGGGCCACTGCACTCCAGCCTGGGCGACAGAGCCAGACTCCGTCTCAAAAAAAAAAAAAAAAAAAAAAAATGATAATGAGCCCTGTCTTTTCAGATGCAATTCCAGGAATGCCAGGAAGCAAACCAATTCCACCCCAAGATACAAACAAAGAACAGCACCCTCTCAAATGATGCTGCATGATAAGTGGCCACAGAGAGCACCGCTGTAATCAGTCAGAAAGGCAGGTGAGCTATTAGCTTACCCAGGAATGTCCTACCTAATGTAGAATCAATGGTGATGGTTAACAGACCCTGGCTATGGTGACAGGCCTGGGACCTGATTGAGGAAATCCAAATGAAAAACAGCCAAGAGGAACAACAAGCTAGAAAAAGATGTTCCAGGCCGGGTGCAGTGGCTCACGCCTGTAATCCCAACACTTTGGGAGGCCAAGGCAGGCAGATTGCTTGAGCTCAGGAGTTCAAGACCAGCCTGGGCAACATGGTGAAACCCTGTCTCTACAAAAAATACAAAAATTAGCCGGACATGGTGGCATCCTAGCTGCTAGGGAAGTTGAGATGGAAGGATGGCCCAGGAGGTGGCGGTTACAGTATGCCGAGATTGCACCCCACTGCACTCCTGCTTGGGCAACAGAGTTAGACCCTATGTACAAAAAAAAAAAAAAAAAAAAAGAACGAAAGAAAAAAAAAGAAAAGAAACATGTTCTAGCTAAGAGGAGGTGCATGCATTTCACCTGAATATGTAGTTGGGATGGGATGAGAGCATTCATTTCTAAATATGTAAATTTTACCTCTTCCTCCATATAGATATTGTTAAGTTCAATTGTAGCCATCCACATTAGTTTTGTCAAATTTTCAGCAATTTCTTAAAAATAAGATTTCAAAATGATAACAGATATTAAGGGAATTCAGGGCATTTGACTTATCTACCCAGTTTTCCTAAAACATTCCAGTTAAATAATCTGTTCTTCAACTTCAGTCTCATAGCAATTAAAAAGTATCTTAAAAATTGCCCACTCCTCAAAAGAAATACATTTCATAAGGCTGTAGTTGACATAGATAGTGATTCCTTGGATGGATATGGGCAAAGTAAATTGAAAGCCTTCTGGAAAGGATTTGCCATTCTAGATGCCATTAAGAACATTTGCAAATCATAGGAGGAGGTCAAAATGACAACATTAATGGGAGTTTGGAAGAAATTGAGTCCAACCCTCACGGATAAATTTGAGTGGTTCAAGACTTCAGTGGAGGAAGTAACTGCAGATGTGGTACAAATAGCAAGAGAATCAGAATTAGAACTGGAGCCCGAAGATGTGACTGAATTGCTGCAATCTTATGATCAAACTTGGATGGATGAGGAGTTGCTTCTTATGGATGAGCAAAGAGTTTTTTTTTTTTTTTGAGATAGAATCCACACCTGGTGAAGATGGCGTGAACATTGTTGAAATGACAACAAAGGATTTCAAATATTACATAAACTTAGTTGATAAAGTAGAGCAGGATTTGAGAGAACTGACTTCAATTTTGAAGGAAGTTCTACTGTGGGTAAAATGCTATCAAACAGCATCGTATGCTACAGAGAAATCTTTTGTGAATCGAAGAGTCAATTGATGCAGAAAACTTTGTTGTCTTCTTTTTTTTTGAGAGACAGGGGTCTCTCTGTGTTGCCCAGGCCAGAGTGCAGTGGCTTTCACGTATGCTATCATAGTGCACTACAGCCTCCACCTCCTGTGCTTGTGTTATCCTCCTGCCTCAGCCTCCTGAGCAGATGGGACTCTACAGGCCTGCGTCACCATGCCCAACTACATTGCTTTCTTATTTTAAGAAATTGCCATGGCCACACTAACCTTTGGGAACCACCACCCTGATTAGTCAGCAGCCATCAACATTGAGTCAAGACTTTCCATCAGCAAAAAGATTACTATTTGCTGAAGGCTCAGATGATCGTTAGCATTTTTTAGCAATAAAATATTTTAAAATTAAGGTATATGCATTAATTTTTAATAATAATGCCATTGCACACTTAGAAGACTACAATATAATGTAAATATAACTTTTATATGTACTTGGAAACAAAAAATGTGTGTGACTCTCTCTTTATTGAGATATTGGCTTTATTGCATAAGGTATGCCTATACTTTTTTGAGACTCAACATCTACATTTGAAACCCATATATATATATATGGCAGATGTGTAGAAAAAGCTCAGGGTTTGGAATTAGATAAACCAGTACTATATCTCGGCTTTACCAGTTACTACTAGCACTTTGGGATAACCTCTTTCATCTGCCAATTTGTGTAAAGATGAACTGATAATGGAAATAATACACTTAATGTGACTGGCAAGCAGTAATTGCTTGGTTCGTATTCATTACCTTCTCCTTTACCCCCTTTCTCCTTTCTTTTCTTCTTTGCACCACATATGTTGGAAAAGATCTTTTAAGGTTTTGACCGATATTCTACTTCATGAAAAATTACGGGGTAGAAACTATGGTTTTAAAGAGATCACTTTTCCAGATCAGGAAATTCCTTTATGTAGCAGATTAAGTTCTTGTCCCTTCTCCAACTCCTCATCCTACTTCCTTTTAATTCTATTTATTCTTTAGATCTTACAGAAAACAGGAACAACTAGACCATGTTATTTATCTTATTTTGTCATATATCCGCAAACCTCTTTGAGACACCTCAACCAGCTTTTGTCAAAGGAGCAGGAAAGAAAAATGCATAAACAGGAAAACTATTCATACAGGCAAATGGATTGAGAGAAAGGTACAGACGGGAAAGGAGGAAAAGACAAATTAAAAATTTTTTAAATGAAAAAGAGAATTCTCAGGCAACTATAGTATCCTTATGGAGGGGCCTGGCTTTTCTTACTTCCTCTTCTGGAGTCAAATAAAAAATACAAATTGAAAAAAAAAGGAGAAAGAAGGAAAACAAATAAACCATGAGGCAGATAAAAAGAAAAAACAAAACAGATGAGCAGAAAACAGAAGAAGTGTAAAAGAGAAATAAGGTGAGAAAGTTAGAAATAAGAGGAGATCAAGGCTCAGTTGTGAAAAACATAAAAATTGTGACAATCTTTCCCATTTCTGTGACTCTCCAAGGTTTATATCCTCCCATATGCGCCTCATGACAACCTGTGAGGGAGTTGGTGCTCTAAAAAGGTGCTAATAATGTGTCTTCATGATAGAGAAATGGCACCTCAGGCAACTTCTCAAGTAGCTAAAGGGGGACAGAGGCAAGACTCTAATTATGGCTTTTTAGTATCAGAACCTCTGTGGATCAAGGCTACTTAAGAATAAATTATTAAAACTAAAAGAAATTACCTGGCTCCTAGAACAGTGCCCTTTTTACTATTCCTGTTGAAAGAAGATGAAATGGTGGCGGGGGTGGGGTGTGTCTAGAGAGATGAGAGACATGGGAAAAGCAGACAGAGAGCTATAACAAGAGACAGAAAAACAAAAACAAAAACAAAAACAAAAAAACCAGAAAGGCAAAAGCCAAATAGGAAACAGATTGAGAGGCCCACATGAGCATAATGGCACATGTCCTTGGATCATGAGGAATCAGCTTCCCAATCCAGGAGTTTGGAATCCTCTTACCTCAGCCAGGTGGCTCTGAGAACACTTGGTCTTTTCAGGCTCTTTCTACCCTGTACATAGGTCAAAACCAGGCTGGCCCTCTCAGTCACACCCAAGCCATCTGCCCTCAGCCAGAGCCAGGAAGGGAGGTGGTGAGACAGAGATCCTGATGGAAACACAGAGGGGAAATAGAGAGGCAGAAGCAACTAACCAGAGAGAGTTGGGACAACAGAGAGGGAGAAACAGAGCAAGTGGGGAGGTCAACAGTGTCAAGATCTGTGACATCTCCCCCATGGTCACTGTGTTCAGAGTCCTGGTGTGATCTGAACAGGTGGCTGCTGAGGGAGCCAGGGAGTGTTCATCACATGGGTTGCTCACAGATGCAGGATGAGCTTTCACTGCAGCAGCGAGCACATTCACTGACCTTGTTCACGAGCTTTTGCACAGGCTGGTGAAGACATTGGTTGTGCTGACGTCAGGCTCAGGGTGAAGGTGCAGTGAGTTCTGGTGCAAACCAGCTGCTCATTTATAGTGGTGTGAGTGCCTGCACACACACAACACACACACACACACACACACACACAGCAAGACATCCAATGTGCTCTTACCATCAGGGAGGTAGAAGATGCCTTTCATTGATCACAGACAGGAAAGTGACTCAAACAGATGAGCAACCCTTTCTGGATGTCCACCTTAGTATGACCAGATCTCAGGGGTGCAAGCAGATTAGACCAACCCTAGGATCCTCAGGGAGACTTGTCCGTTGGCAAAGGGCCTTGGAATTTCTGAGACAGTTTCAGATTTCCCAGGCAGAATCTTTTCCCAACCCAAGACTGCTGTTTGAAAGAACCATGAGTCAGGTTATTTCCATGTTTCCTGCCCCCATATGCTAGACAAAAGACTCCCATCTGCAGAGTTAGAACCTACATAGAACCGATCACCCTGATCCCCAACTCAAGGCATTTAGGGAGATTTAGTTTAACATGGGACTCCAGAAATTGCAAAGGATAGTAAGTTTACTAATTCATTACCATGTAGTGCTTCTATCTCTCTGGATATGAAAAAGTAGCAGAGGAACTTGAGAGGCTGTGTTTTCTGAATAATCCATATCAACTCTTTCATCTTCCCATTAGGCTGCTCCAGACAAACTTTTCTAGTTGTTTGAAACTACCAAAAGTCTTTGAAAAAAATATTGATTCAATCCTCTTTGTACCAGTTTCCTTACATATCTCTTTTAATCTTCATACCAAGATTCAAAAAGATCAAGTGACTTGCCTAGTATCATACAGCTGAATAAGAGGAGACATAGCAAGGCCTTGCACCCAGGTTGGCCATGGGTCATAATCTTTCAACTACATCTGGCTAATTGTCCCTTTCTTTCTTGTTCAGAGGTTGCCAGGAAAGATGCATCCACAAATTCTTTTAGCATCTTCTATGTAGCATTATTTTTCTGTGTGCTACTTGGATTATCTCCATCAGGATCTAACAGTGACCCTTGTTGAAAAGGCAGATTCTCTGGTCCAACTTCAGAACTCATGAATCAGAATCTCAGAGAATGTACCAGGCAGAATATATCAGCAAATTCCCAAAACAGAAACCAAGCAGGTCACATCTGCTGATCCCAATGCAATACATTAAAACACAAAAATAAAAGGATCATTAAAAATAAAAAACAGATGGATATGTTTATGGCATTAATTGTGGTAATGGTTTTGTGGGTGTATACTTATCTCCAAAATTCATCAACTTGTATATATTAAATATGTACAGCTTTTTGTATGTCAGTCATAACTCAGTAAAGTGGTTTAAAATAAACAATAACAAAAATGAAGTTAATTTTTGCCCAAAAAAGGTAATAAAAATAAAGTTTTCAAATTATTCAGGAATGAATGACCAGTGACAGCACTGCATATCAAAACCTGTGGGATGCAGACCCAGTACTTATATGAAAGCTTAATAAAATCTAAACTAAATACAAATTTTTCTAAGAAAATGTAAATGATCTACATGAACTCAAGGATAATTTGAAAGTTTATATAGCCTGTTAATCACAGCAGAAATTGAAAAAGCAGTAAAATATTCCTAAAACAGATACCAGGCACAGATGGTTTTAGGAGAAAGTTCTAGAAAAGCTTTAAGAAATAGGAATTCACATATTAATACACTGTTCCAAGCACCATAATAAGATGAAAAGTTATCTTACATGAGGCTACTATAATACAGTACAAGAACTGCACAAGAAATCTATTTTAAAAAGCATATGAACGTAGATGCAAAAATACATCGTGATTTAGTAGATTTAATTCCATGAATGTAAAGATAAACATTAGTAACTATTTCAATGTAATTAATGGCACACACACATATATACACATATGCCCTTAGTATGTATATATACACATATATGTATACATATATATGCAGAATAACTAGCATAGCTGATAAATGCCAATACATCGTAAAATTCAAAGGCATGTGTGAAAAAGTTTTCAGCAGATCAGAAATAGAAAAAAAGTCCTTAACTTGATAAAGAATATCTACTAGAAAAAATAATAATAATAAAACCATACTCTGGAAACAGAACAAATTTCATTAAAATTAGAAATATGACAAGCAAGTCAAGCATGTCCATTATAACTGTTAATATTCAATATTGTATTTGAGATCCTAAGCAACACAGTAAGACAAGAAGAAAGAAATATGAGATACATGAATTAGAAAGAGTGGAAACTATTTGCCCTGCTAAAACCTAGAAAATCAATTAAAAATGCCAAAAACAGGAGAATTCAGTAGGATAGTCAGATAAAAGATTTATATAACAATATCAAGAACTTTAATATGCAATAGAAATAAGCCAATTAGAATATAATAAAAAGGATCCCATTACAAAGGAGGAACATTAATTATAAAATAAGAATAACCTTAATGTAAAATATGTAAGACTCATAGGAAATAACCTATATATTTCACGGAAGGTCATAAAGGACATGCATAAATAGAGCACTATACCATGTCCTTTTCAAATTAGAATAATAAATGCAATAAACACAATTAAAATATCACCAGATTTTTTCTAGAACTTGGTAATCCAATTTCAAAAAGGATTGGGAAAAGTATACATGCAAGGATAACCGAGGCATTTGTTTTTAAAAGATCAGTTAGAGACCATTTGTCCACCCAGGTACTAAAACACATCATAAAGCTGTAATAATAAAAACAGTGTAGCACTGGCAAAAAGGTAGAGCAATGAAACAGAATAGAGTGTACAGAAACAGATCTATATATATATATATAGGAATTTGGAATATGAGAATGCAGCATTTCAAATCAATGGAGAAATAAATGATTAATTCAACAAATGATATCAAGGCAATAGACTATTCAATTAGGAACAATTTCTACCATTTGCATTGTAGGTAGCATTTCTACCATTTGCAAGGCAAACTCCAAGTGGATTAAAGAACCAAACATAAAATAGACTTTTAAAGTAGTAGAGAAAATATATTTAATCTTGATGTCAGAAAAGCCTTCTTAATTAAGGTACAAAATTCAAAAACCATAAGGCTTAAGACAATATATTAAGTCAAATGAAATGTCTTTTGTACCACAAAAGACATCATAATCAAAATACTAAACAAGATGTAGACCTGGGAAAACATTTGCAATATATGTAACTCATGTAAGATTGATACAATGAATATCAGTCAGTAAGAAGAAAAGAAACCATTAATAAAAATGAGCAACAGAAATTAAATAGAAAATTCAATAAAAATGAAATATGTATAGAAAGCAAACATATCAAAAATCCCCAACCCACAAGTAATCAGGGAAATGCAAACTAAAACAAAAAACTATTTTCATCCATCAGATGTGAAAATATTATCAAGATTGATAATAAGGCCAGGTGCAGTGGCTCACACCTGTAATCCCAGCACTTTGTGAGGCTGAGGCAGGAGGATCGCTTGAGGTCAGGAGTTTGAGACCAGCCTGGCCAACATGATGAAACCCCATCTCTACTAAAAATACAAAACATTAGCCAGGCGTGGTGGCAGACACCTGTAGTCCCAGCTACTTGGGAGGCTGAGGCAGGAGAAACGCTTGAACTGGGGAGGCGGAGGTTGTAGTGAGCCGAGATTGTGCCACTGTACTCCAGTCTGGGCGACAGAGGGAGACTCTGTCTCAAAAAAAGAAAAAAGAAAAAAAAAAAAAGATTGATAATAGCAACTGTAGGCAAAAGTCTACGTTGCTGGTAGGAGAGTAAATTAAAACAACCTTTTTGGAGGGCAATTTGTCAGTATCTACTAAAATTAAAGAAAGAACATGCCCTTCAACCCAGAATTTTACTTTTGAGTATATGCCCCAAAGAAATACCTACACAAATGTGTAAGAAAGTATTCACAAACATTTTTACTCAGCACCATTTCTGAAGGCAAAACATTGGAAACCACTGAAATAGCTATTAATTGTTGAATGAATTACCCATTTATACCAAAGATTGTTCTATTAATTGTGTGAAAAAGAATAATGACAGAGCAGATTCTCTTAAAACAGGCTGCTAAGTGAAAAAGCGTGTTGCAGAACAATACATATCATATCATATCACATGTATAAAAGAGAGCCCATGAACAATATAAAGCCATCTCTGTCTATCTTGTATGTCTATTTAAATACATGCAAAAGATCTGGAAGAACACACATCAGTGTTTTGTTAACAGTGGCTGGGTCTGGGAAAAGACTGAGATTGAGCAGACGTTCAAGAGAAATGCTTCACCTGAGTTGAATTCTTCACAATAATGAATCCCTTGTATCGTCTTTTGAAAACTGGAAAAGGTCAATGAGAGAACAACCTCACTGCTCAACACACTCTGTAGCCCACCCCAAGTCTTTTCTTTTCAGTGCCTTTTTCCATGCATCCTGTCTCCCTGATCACTTGTCATTTAGTTGTTCTTTAATTGTCCTCTCCATACAGTTTCCTCATCCCTAGGAAATTTTGGAATGATGACAGACCCCAAGATTATGGCTAGAGCACGGCTAGGGATAAAAGTAACTGAAATAAAATAAAAAAGTCCAATACTCATTTTGTAAAATAAGAATTAAAAAGGAAAAATGTGTTGTCATATTTTGATAAAATATTAAATATTTCTTCCAACCATTCCCTCTGTAGTCCCTCCTTCCATCTTCTTTACTAAAATGGAGATTTCTTTCACAGGAGTGTTACCCGTGATGCCAGGTGCAGGTGAAAGAAGTTGGAATTGAAAAGAGCAGCAAAAAATGTACTGCTTTTTAGTGCATAAGATCATGAAAATATTGCACTGTGAGGGGAAAAGGTTGGTTTTCAGAGTTGGACTCTGTTGTCACCAAGAGAAGCACCAAGAAAGGGTGTGGATAACTTACAGTCTGCTCATTATAGTCATCTTAGCAAAGTATATTTTTCAAATAATTTTGCATAATCTTTCAACAGGCTTATTCTTGTCATATTTTGTCATTTCTCTCACCCACATCATCTTAATATTGTAAGCCTTATATTCCTCCAAATAACCTATATGTTATCTTTGAACTGAAATGAACTATTAGGGAGCTGCACATTAACAGCTCTATTCCTGCTCCATCTCTTTTTTTTCTACAATAAGCATTTATTTATTCTTTAAATTTTTTTTTAATTTTATCCATCTCCTCTAGGATTTCTAGTTTATCCTCTTTGCCTATAGGTTTTTGGGGAACCAGGTGGTACTTGATTACATGAGTAAGTTCC
Source organism: Homo sapiens (assembly GCF_000001405.40). Taxonomy (NCBI): domain Eukaryota; kingdom Metazoa; phylum Chordata; class Mammalia; order Primates; family Hominidae; genus Homo; species Homo sapiens. Next base: position 48,252,737 of record NC_000012.12, read on the forward strand.
TTAGTGGTGATTTGTGAGATTTTGATGCACCCATCACCTGAGCAGTATACACTGAACTCAATGTGTAGTCTTTTATCCCTCACCACCTTCCCAACCTTTCCCCCTGAGTCCCCAAAGTACATTGCATCATTCTTATGCCTTTGCATCCTCATAGCTTAGCTCCCACTTATGAGTGAGAATATATGATGTTTGGTTTCCGTTACTGAGTACTTCACTTGGAATAATAGTCTCCAGTTCCATCCAGGTTGTTGCAAATGCCATTAATCCATTCCTTTTTATGGCTGAGTAGTATTCTCATATATATATGGGAATTATATATATATTTTTTATATATATATTTATATATATATATACACACCGCATATCACATATATATACCACATATATATACCACATATATATCTGGAGGAAAAATAACAAAACTGGAGAAATCACATTACCTGGCTTCAAATTACACTACAGTTTCTATAGTGACTACAACAGCACAAAAACAAACACATAGACTAATGGAACAGAATAGAGAACCCAGAAAAAAAATCTACAGTGAACTCATTTTCAACAAAGATGCCTAGAGCATACACTGGGGAAAAGACAGTCTCTTCAATAAATGGTGCTGGGAAAACTGGCTATTCATATGCAGAAGAATGAAACTAGACTCCTATCTCTCACTATACAAAAAAATGAAATAAAAATGGATTAAAGACTTAAGTCTAAGACCTCAAACTGTGAAACTACTAAAGAAAACATTGGGGAAACTTTCCAGGACATTGGCCTGGGCAAAAATTTCTTGAGTAATACCCCGTAAGCACAGGAAACCAAAGCAAAAATCAAGTTAAAAACCTTCTGCACAGCAAAAGAAACAATTTAAAAAGTGTAGAGATAACCCACAGAATGGGAGAAGATATTCACAAAGTACTCATCGACGAGGGATTAATAACCTGAATATATAAGGAATTCAAACAATTCTATAGAAAAAAATCTACTAAATGGATTTTAAAATGGGCAAAAGATCTGAATTTCTCAATAGACACTGCTCAATAGAAGACACACAAATGGCAAACAGGCATATGAAAAGATGCTCAACATCATTGATTATCAGACAAACGGACATTAAAACTACAATGAGGTATCATCTCACTCCAATTGAAATTGCATTTATCCAAAAGATAGGTAATAACAAATGCTGGAGAGGATATGGAGAAAAGATGTACGCTGTTGGTCGGAATGTAAATTAGTACAACCACTATGGAAAAGAGTTTGGAGTTTCCTCAAAAAAACTAAAAATGGAGCTACCATATGATCCAGCAATCCCACTGCTGGGTATATACCCCAAATAAAGGAAATCAGTATATCGAAGAGGTATCTGCGCTCCCATGTTTGTGGCAGCTCTATTTACAATAGCCAAGATGTGGAAGCAACCTAAGTGTCCATCAACAGATGAATGAATAAAGAACAAGCGGTACTTATACACAATGGAGTACTATTCAGCCAATGAAAAGAATGAGATCCTGTCATTTGCAATAACATGGATGGAAGTGAAGGTTATTGTGTTAAGTGAAATAAGCCAGGCACAGAAAGACAAACATCACATATTCTTCCTTATCTGTGGGATCTAAAAACTAAAACAATTGAACTCATGGAGATAGAGAGTAGAAAGATGGTTACCAGAGGCTAGGAAGGGTAGTTGGGGGTACATGGGGGAAGTCAGGGTGGCTAATGCTTACCAAAAAAGAAAGAAAGAAAGAAAGAAAGAATAAATAAGACTTAGTATTTGATAGCATAACAGAGTGACTATAGTCAAAATAATTTAGTTGTACATTTAAAAATAGCCAAAAGAGTATAATTGGATTGTTTGTAACACAAAGGTTAAATGCTTGAGGGGATGGATACCCCATTTTCCATGATGTGATTATTACAAATTGCAAGCCTGTATCAAAATATCTCCTTTATCCGATAAATATATATACCTACTATATACCCACAAAAATTAAAAATTAAAAAAATGATAAAGCAAATTAACTGTAATTTGGAATATTTCCAAAAATGCAAGGTGAAATATTATAGACTACTGATATGGAAATATATGAAGGATTTCTTACTCTGTTAACTTGAAAATTTTAAATTAAAGAACCAAGGGGAAATTCAGTAAAAAAATTAACAGACTGAAACACAAGACAGAAAGATGAAAGATGAAATCAGTAGAAATTATCTTGACATCAAGATGCTAACTGTAACAAAAATTCTTATCATACAATAGCATGAATTGATTAACAGAAGGAGACAAATTTCAAATAGAAGAAATGGTTAGGCTTTTACATTATTTGATAACACAGTAACAAGTCATATGAGCAAACTGGAAATAATTAAAATATATTGCTAATTTGACAAGAAATGTTGACATCCATGGAGATAAGATTAAACTCGTGACAGCATTTCAATTAGAATATTAATGACAATGTCATTAAAAGTATTAGCAATATTTTAATACATTAAAAAAGTATTTTAATGTTCTTAGTATATTAAAAGACTATTTAAAAAATTGACATCAATGGAGATAATTTTAAACTCATTATACCACTGCAATAAGAACATTAATGACATTGTTAGGAAAAGAGTGTTGAAGATTAGTCACTGCACAAGAAAACTTGCAAAGCCTTTACATTTCATAGTGCAACACGTCATAAAAATTGAGAGATTTTTTTCAAATTTGACATCCATTTTAAAATTTTACATGACATTACTGGATGTAATAACTGGAGCCATGAAGCTGAGAAATCTTTTTTAAACTTTTTTTTTTTTTTTTTTTTTTTTTTTTTTTTTGAGACGGAGTCTCGCTCTGTCGCCCAGGCCGGACTGCGGACTGCAGTGGCGCAATCTCGGCTCACTGCAAGCTCCGCTTCCCGGGTTCACGCCATTCTCCTGCCTCAGCCTCCCGAGTAGCTGGGACCACAGGCGCCCGCCACAGCGCCCGGCTAATTTTTTGTATTTTTAGTAGAGACGGGGTTTCACCTTGTTAGCCAGGATGGTCTCGATCTCCTGACCTCATGATCCACCCGCCTCGGCCTCCCAAAGTGCTGGGATTACAGGCGTGAGCCACCGCGCCCGGCCTAAACTTTTGATGATAAAAAATGGATTTCAACTAACTACGGTAAAGACCAAATTATCTATTTTTTCTTTTTTGTGGAAAATAATATAACAAAATTTATACTTATACATGTTAGTAACATTTTTCTTTTACATTAAGTAATATTTAATTTTTATGTTAATATATTTCCTAACTGAGCCAAATAGAATTAGGATATTCTCTGGTTGTAAAGCTTTTTGTTTTTCCTGGAGTAAATCCCTTTTTCTTTTCTTGTTTAGAGAGGGGGACTTGCTGTTTCACCAAGGCTGGAGGGCAGTGGCGTGATTTTAGCTCACTGCAGCCTCGAACTCCTGAACCCAAGCGATCCTCCCACCTAAGCCTCCTGAGTAGCTGGGAATACAGGTGCTTGCCACTGCACCTGGTTAATTTTTTTTTCTAGAGACGTATTTCATCTTGTTGTCCAGGGTGGTATACTTTTTACTTTTTCTCATTTGGTTAGGTTTCTACACATCTATTTTTAATTTATTCCCAATCTCTCCAAGAAAACTTTTTCATCTTGATGTTTTAATTTTATTTTAAATAATGCTCTTAATGGAAATGTTCAGATATTCAAAAAATAGAATAGAATAAATTTTTATGTTCCCATCATTCTGCTTCAACAGTGACCAACACATCTTCAATCTTGTTTCATCTATACCCTCACCTCACTCTCTAATCTCCACTAAATTATTTTGAAACAAATTCCAAACATCATACAATTTCATTCATAAATACTTCAGTATGTATTTCTAAGATAAGAAATCTTAAAATTAGCATCACAATCACACCGTTATCTTACCTAAAAATTCTTTAAAATTTCTTAATAACTTCAAGTCCAGTCAATGTCCATATTTCCTAATTATCTTCTATATTGTGATTGGTTGATGTATCTGTAAGTCTCTTAATCTATACTGCTCTTCTGCCATATATTTTTCTTATTATTCTAACTTTTGTTGAATAAATCAGATTATTTGTCCTGAATGATGTTACATACTTGGGATTTTGCTGATTGCCTTTCTGTGGTGGTCTTTAACATTATTCTGTCCCATGTATTTTCTGTAAATTGGCAATTAGATCTAGAGGCTTATCAGGTTCATGTTTGATTTTTTTCTTCTAAGACTGCTTTATAATTGGTGTTGGATACTTCCACCAGGAAGCATATAATGTCTGACTTTCTCTCTTTTTGTGCTGTCAGCTATTAATAATTGTTAGGTCCAGGAATTCATTATGGGCTGTAAAATGTTGATATTCTAATTCTATTATTTCATCTTTGACTTTAGAGAGAAAATTCCTCTCATCAATTATTCGATTACCTACCAGTCGCTACATCAATACCTCTCCAATCACTTTGATTGTCTGAAGCTTATTCTGTCATAGATTCCTCAGCAAAAAATTCTTTTGGGTTCTTGCATACATAACAGCTTGAGTGTGATCTTTATAGTTAAAGTTCAGTTTAGTTAGATAATTCATGGCTCACCTTTTCTATCTTGACTGCCTAAAATACGTTAATCTGTTGTTTTCTGGTGTACAGCATTATTACTGACAATGTGATGACAATCTGGTTTTTTTCCCTTATCAGTGACTTTGTCTATTTGTATGGATGCCCAGAGGGTTTTTAAAAAATTTTGTTTAAAATCTTATTATTTTACAGACTATGTCTTGATAGTGACCATTCCGAATCCATTTTCTCAGGTACACAGTATTTTCTTCTTACATGGACATTCAAGTAATTTTTTTATTTTAGGAAAGTTTTTTATTGTTGTTATAGTTTTTAGGATTTCTTATGTTCCATTGCTTAAATTTTCTACTTTGGGGATTCCTGTTATGCCAGGGAGTGTTGAACCTCCACTGAAGATTGTAATCCCTTTCTTAGAATGATGTTTTCAGGGCCGGGTTGTGGTGAGTCTCTCCTGTAATCCCAGCACTTTTGGAGGCTGAGGTGGGAGGATAGCTTGAGGCCAAGAGTTTGAGACCAGCATGGGTAACATACCCATCTCTATAGAAAAAAAAAAAAAAAGTCGGTCATGGTGGTGGGAGGATTGCTTGAGCCCAGGAGTTTGAGACTGCATGGAATATGTTTATGCCATATGATCATGCCACTGCACTCCAGCTGGGGTGATAGCCTGTCTCTAAGAAAATAGCAATAATAAAAAATAGTGTTTTAAAATTCGTAAAACACAGACCGGGCTGGTGGCTCACACCTGTAATCCCAGCACTTTGGGAGGCCGAGGTGGGTGGATCACCTGAGGTCAGGAGTTCGAGACCAGCCTGGCCAAACTGGTGGAACCCCATCTCTACTAAAAATACAAAAATTAGCTGGGCGTGGTGGCACATGCTTGTAATCCCAGCTACTCGGGAGGCTGAGGCAGAAGAATCACTTGAACCCAGGAGGCAGAGGTTGCAGTGAGCCTAGATCGTGCCATTGCACTCCAGCCTGGGCGACAGAGTGAGACTCCATCTCGAATAATAATAATAATAAGACACAATACATAGGTTTAGAAAGGAAAGCAATTATATGCTGCAATGTAGTTTTGTCAAAACTACATTTGGAAAACACAGGTTGAAAAGATATTTGCACACCCATGTTCAACAGCAGCCTTATTCACAATAACCAAAAGGTGGAAGTAACCCAAGTGGCCATCAATAGATAAATGGACAAACAAAATGTGGTATAAGCATACAATGGAATATTATTCAGCCTTAAAAAGAAAGGAAATTCTGCTACAACATGGATGAAACTTGAAGATATCGTGCTTAGTGAAAGAAGCCAGTCACAAAAGGGCGAATATTGTATGATTCCACTTATAGGTGGTATAAAAGCCAAATAGTCGATAGTAGTCAAATTCATAGAGATGGAAAGCAGAGTGATGGTTGCCAGGGGCTGGCAGGAGGAGGAATGGAGAGTTATTGTTTAATGGGTACAGAGTTTCAGTTGGGAAAGATAAGAAAGTTCTGGAGCTGGATAGATGTTTGCACATAGGTCGTACTTAGTGCCACAGACACTTAAAATGATTAAAATGGTAAATTTTATGCTATGTATATTTTACCACAATTTAAAAAAACAGAAAACGCAGTTGTATATGTAACATGTATGCTTCTTTATATGTACTAAATAAAAAGTTTTATATGTATTAATAACAAGATTACACATAGGTATCTACGGTAACATGTGATCTAGTGGCAAGTCTCATAATTACCAGAATTCTGAAGTAGTGATGAGTCTAAACAATATTTTAAAATATCTGCAGCATTGGCAATGTGATGTAAAAATATCTGGTGACAAAGTCAGAGGTTCTGCTAATATTACTGTGGCTTCTTAGCTAAGGTCACAATTAAATAAAAGGATAAATTTCAGTTAGGTTAAGTGAAAATGAAGATGTAATGTTCATCCAAGTTCGCAGACCTCCTTTTTTCTAAGTAGGTATCCCTTCAGAATTTGTGGACTCTCAGATAAGAATCCTTATATTTGTGTTAGATCTTCTTTTTTTATATTTGAAATTCATTATTTTTCCTTTATCTTTTTAAAAACCTTTTTAAGATTTCTCTTTTTAAATTGAGATAAAATATACGTGCATAAAGGTGGCCAAATCAGTGAGTTTTTTACAAAATGTATGTAGTTGTATAACCAAGTATCCCAATGAAGATGTAGAACATTTCCATCATCCTAGAAATTTTCTTTGTGTCGTATTCTAGTTCATTTCTCTAAAGCTCAGAGGCAACCACTTTTCTTGAATTTCATGTAAATATAATTACATAGGTAAGTACTCTCTGTTGTCTGGCTTCCTTCACTGAACATACTGTTATTGAGATTCATTCATACTGTTATGTGTATACTCTTTTATTTATTTATTTATTTTTGAGATGGAGTCTCGCTCAGTTGCCCAGGCTGGAGTTCAGTGATGCAATCTCGACTCACTGCAGCCTCTGTCTCCCGGGTTCAAGTGATTCTCCTGCCTCAGCCTCCCAAGTAGCTGGGATTACAGGCATGTGCCGCCATGCCTGGCTAATTTTGTTATGTGTATACTTTTTAATTTTATTGTTGAATAGTATTCCGTGAAATGAATATATCACAACTGTTCATTTATTCTGCTGATGATAGACATTTGGGTAGTTTCCAGCTTTTCACTATAATGAATAAAAGTTCTGTAAACACTTGTGGATGTATGTTTTTATTTCTCTTGGGTAAATACCAAAAAGTAGAATTGCTGGATCATATAGTGGGTGTATGTTTAACTTTACAGAAAACTGCCAGTTTTCCAAAGTGAGTGTACCATTTCATACTCCCACTAGTAACATATCAGAGTGGGTGAGAAGTGGTGTTTCATTATGATTTTAATTTGCATTTTGCCTGCAACTAATACTGAGAATCCTTTTATATGTTTTTTTAGCCATCTGTACTTTTTTTTTTTTTTTTTTTTTTTGAGAAGAGTCTCGCTCTGTCGCCCAGCCTAGAGTGCAGTGGTGCGATCTCGACTCACTGCAAGCTCCACCTCCCGGGTTCAAGCCATTCTCCTGCCTCAGCCTCCCGAGTAGCTGGGACTACAGGCGCCCGCCACCACGCCCGGCTAATTTTTTTGTATTTTTAGTAGAGACGGGGTTTCACCGTGTTAGCCAGGATGGTCTCGATCTCCTGACCTCGTGATCTGCCCGCCTCGGCCTCCCAAAGTGCTGGGATTACAGGCGTGAGCCACTGCGCTTGGCCCTACATCTTTTGTGAAGTGTCTGTTCAAGTCCTCTGCCCATGTTTTGAAACTGTTGTCATTGTAGGACTTCTATGAATGTTCTGGATACAATTCTTTTATTTGACAAACAGACTGTAAATATTTTCAACTGGTCTGTGATTTGCCTTTTCATTTTTTAGAAGGTGTCTTTCGGCTGGGTGCTGTGGCTCATGCCTGTAATCCCAGCACTTTGGGAGGCCGAGGCGGGCGGAATACCTGAGGTCAGGAATTTGAGACCAGCCTGGCCAACATGGTGAAATTCCGTCTCTACTAAAAATACAAAAATTAGCTGGGCGTGGTGGCACGCAGCTGTAATCCCAGCTACTCGGGAGACCAAGGCAGGAGAATAGCTTGAATCTGGGAGGCAGAAGTTACAGTGAGCCGAGATCGCGCCACTACACTGCAGCCTGGGTGACAGAGCGAGGCTCCAGGCTCCCTCTCAAAAAAAGAAAGTATCTTTCAAACAGCAAAAATGTTAATTTTGATATCTAATGTATCAATTTTTAATTTCTAATTATTATTTTGGTGTCTATTATAAGAAATCTTTGGCTCCTCAAGGTTGCAAGACATTCTTCTATATATACCTAAAAATTTTAATATTTCAGATTTACATTTATTTCTATGATTCATCTTGAATTAATTTTTATTTTCAGAAAGATGTCAATATTGAGCCAAGATTGATTTGTTTTCCTATACGTTTGTCAACTTGTTCTACTACCATTTATTGAAAAGCTTTCCTTTCCTCATTGAATTGTCTTGGAAACTTTGTTGAAAATAAATTCACCACATATATGTAGGTTTAATTCCAAATTCTTTGTTCTGTTCCTTTGATACTGTAGTGTAACTCCTCCAACTTTGTTCTTTTCCCAGATAGCTCTAAACATTCTAGGTTCTTTGGCTTCCCACAAAAATTTTAAAATTACTTTGTCCATTTCAACAAAAGATCTTGCTGAGATTTTGAATGGAATTGCATGAACTCTATAGGGCAATTTTAGAAAAATCGATGTCTTAATAATATTGAGTCTTCAAATCCTTAAACAATGTATTTCTCTTCATTTATTTAGGTCTTTTAAATTCATATCAGCAGTGTTTCATAGGTCAATGTCAAGATCTTATATATCTTTTGTTAAATTTATATATAAATATATCATGTTATTGGATAGCATTGTAATTTTTTTAACTTTCATTTTAGGTTTGGGAGTACATGTGCAGATTTGTTATATAGGTAAACTCATGTAATGGGGGCTTGTTGTATAGATTATTTTGTCACCTAGGTACTAAGCCAAGTATCCAGTAGTTATTCTTTCTGTTTCTCACCCTCCTCCCACCCTTCACCCTCCTCCCACCCTTCACCCTCCTCCCACCCTTCACCCTCCTCCCACCCTTCACCCTTCAAGCCCTGGTGTTTGTTGTTCCCTTCTTTGTGTTCATGAGTTCTCATAATTTACCTCCCACTTATAAGTGAGAATATGTGGTTTTGGTCTTCTGTTCTTGCGTTAGTTTGCTAAGGATGATGGCCTCCAGCTCCATCCATGTTTCTGCAAAAGACATAGGGCTGTACAGTATTCCATGGTGTATATATGCCACGTTTTCTTTATCCAATTTTTCCCAGTTGTTTGTGGCTATAATATAGAAATACCATAGAAATTTATATATAAATAATGCATCATATGACTTTGCTATATTCACTTATTACTGCTAATAGCTTTATGTAGATTGCTTAGGACTTTATATGAATGCAGTCATGTTGTCTATAGTTAAAGACAATTTGTATTCTTCCTTTACACTCCTCATAACTGCAGCTTCTTTTTTCTTACTTTATTGCACTGGCCAGAAATCCAGTGTTACATTGAATAAAAAATGCAAGAGTGGAAATACTTTTTAAAAATTCCACATTTGAGGGAAAAGTTTTCAACATTTTATCTTAAGTATGATGTGAACTATAGGGTTTTTTTTGTTTTGTTTATTCATTTTTTGGTAGATTTATTTTGTTAGATCAAGGACATCCACCTTTAGTATTTCAAATTTATTTTCTTGAGGTCTGCAATGTACCTCCAAAGATTTTTAAATTTCCTGTGTTTTAACAGTTATCATTTCTTTTGATATGTTTATTCTTTCTCTTTTTTTTCTTAGTTGGGTTAGGTAATAGTTTATTTTGTTTCAAACAATCAGGATTTTCATTTATTAAGTAAATATATCTTTTTCTGTTCTTCATTAATTTTTTATTTTATCTGTATTTATTATGCTTTTTCTTTTACTTTATTATTCTAGCTTTATAAATTATAAATTTAATTGATTTATTTTCATTATTTCATTTTTATTAATGTATATGTTTAAAGCCTTAAAATTTTGTCCGATCACTGCTTTAAATGTACTCTATAAATTCTTAAATGTCATGTTTTTTATTATAATTACTTTTTGGAAACTCTTGTTATTTTGGTTGTATGTCACCCTGGAATTGTTGGATAAAATGTTTTAAGGCTGGGTGCGGTGGCTCACGCCTGTAATCTCAGCACTTTAGGAGGCTGAGGTGGGCAGGTCACCTGAGGTAAGGAATTCGAGATCAGCCTGTCCAACATGGTGAAACACTGTCTCTACTAAAAACACAAAAATCAGCTGGGCACGTTGGCAGGCACCTATAATCCCGGCTACCTGGGAGGCTGAGGCAGGAGAAACACTTGAACCCAGGAAGCGGAGGTTGCAGTGAGCCAAGATAGTGCCATGCACTACAGCTTGGGTGACAGAGCAAGACTCCATCTCAAAAAGTAAAAAATAAAAAATAAAAATAAAATAAATAAAATAAAATGTTTTAAAATATTCTAGTGGAACTTTTTAAAATTTTAATTGTTGCTTATTTATGGTTTTATTATGTTGAGATCAGAGTAATTTTTGTAATATTTTTACTTTAACTTAAATAATACTTTCTTTATGACCTAATATGTAATCAACTTCTGTGAATTTCCCTCTTTACTAGAGAAAAGTGTAGTATCTATTATTAGGATATACTCCAATATGTCTCCACATGATCTACTTACTTGTTAAGTTGTATAGGTGTATTAGTCTGTTCTCACATTGCTATAAAAAAACTACCCAAGACTGCATAATTTGAAAGAAAAGAGGTTTAATTGGCTTATGGTTCTACAGGCTGTACAGGAAGCATGGCTGGGGAGGCCTCAGGAAACTTATAAGAATGGCAGAAGGTGAAGGGGAAGCAGGCATGTCTTACATGCTGGAGCAGGAGGAAGAGAGAGAAAGGGGAAGGCTACATGCTTTTAAACAACCGGATCTCATGAGATCTCAGTCACTATCACAAGAACAGCAAGGGGGAACTCCCACCAGGGCCCCCCTCCAACACCAGGGATTATAATTTGACATGAGATTTGGGTGGGGACACAAATCCAAAACATATCAGTAAGTCTTATACATATTCTTACTTATTTTTTGCCCAACTGAGAAGAGTTTGTTAAAATCTTCTATTATGTGTTTCAATGTATGTTTCCTATAGATTTTACTTTATAAATGTAATAAAAGTTCTGTAAACATTTGTGGATGTTTTCTGACTTGAATTCTACATTGTTACGAGAAACAGCCCTGCTTTCTTGTTTTTTTTGTTTTGTTTTGTTTTGTTTTGTTTTCCAATTTGCTTGCTATATATTTTCCCAGCCTTTTTTTTTTTTTAGCCTTTCTGAATCATGTTGTTTTAGGTGTGTGCCTTACCTATACCATAGAGTTAGGTCTTGCTTTGTGAGCCAATTTTAAAATATTTTTCTTTTAATAGGTAATTTAAGTTCATTCACATTTATTAATAAGTCTGATAAGCAATTATTTTATATGTCTTTCATGAGTACTATGTTTTTTCTGTATGTAAATGTTTTCTTTGTCCTTTTATTTAGAGGTTATTTAACCTTTTATTATATTTTTTCGGTTTTTAATAATAGTCTGATTCTCACCTATTGCCTATGCAACTATAAATGAGTCTATTCTACTCTGTTTTCCTTCTCCTTTCTCTTCTCCTTTTTTTGCATTATTCTTACATCTTTCTCTTTTCCTTTGTTTTATCCTTAGTTTTACAATTAAATATGTAAAATACTCCCCATCAGGTTTTTTGATGATGTTTTACCATTTATCCTTGATTGAATAAATCTGCCCCCCAGTAGGTTTCTCAGAAAGCACTCAAATGTACTGTACCCCCTGAGATTTTGCATGTTCAATATGCTTTTTTATAACATTGATACTTGAAGTACAACTTGGTTAGATATCAATCTTGGCTCACAGTTTCTTTTCTTAAGTTTCTTGAAAATGCCACTCCATTTTTGCCTTGCTTTGTAAGTTGCTCTTGAAAAGTTTAATGCCTAATTCTCTTGTCTTTTCAGGTTATTTGGTCTTTCCTTCTGCTGGAGGCCCTGAGTGTTCCTTCTTGATCTTTAAAGTTTACACTTTTTCTGCTAGCTGACCATTGGTACTCTAAGGTTCTTTCAATATGTAAATTCAGATTTTTCAAAATTTCTATAAGGTTTTCTTTTATTGTGATTTTAAATAAGTGTTCTATTTCATTGTCTTATTTTTCTTTCTTTCAGAGACTACAATTACATGCCTGTTGAATCTTCTTTACCTTCCTTCCGTTTCAATACTTTTCTAACTCTTCATATTTATTTTATCTTTATTTTCTTGGCTGTTTTCTTGCCTTACCTTTTATTACGTTTTTATTTGAATCTATTATACCTAAGGCAACTTGTAACTTTATCCTTGTATTTGAAGCGATTTTGCCTTTTTCTGACATTCCTCTTCTGAGTATAATCAGTTCTAGTTTTATTTAGCCCTATTTTTTGTCCATTTATTATGTTTTACAACTTCTGATTTAAGCTGGTTTTTCATATTAAAAAATGATTGTTTGAGATTATTTAATTCAGTTTAAAATGTTGTGCTACAGTTTTCTTCTGCTTTTTGCTTGTTTGAAGGGAATGACTTTTTATAAGCTGAAATGTTTTGATTCTTATTTTCTGTGTTTTTCCTGTAGTAATCTTGTCTGTATTTAGGCTGTTTCACCTATTCATTTTGTGGATTTCTGGTGATTTACAAGATTACTGGCTGAAAAACATCTTCTCCTATCAGTGGAGTAAAGTATAAGTTTTGTTTTTGTTTTTGAAATGGATAGATTTTTATTTTTGGTGGTCATGGTGGGAGGAAATGAGGAGTTTGAGTCCTCTGATTATTTTGGTTTTTCTTTTCTTTTTGTTTTTTTTGGTCTTTTAAGACTCTAAATTTCTTCCTTTTATCTGTTTTTCCTTTTACTCATATTTACAAAAGGTCTTTTCTCCCACATAAGCAATGCCTTTCAAAGACTGTCACTCTCAATTACATGCATTTTTGAGTTGCTTCCTTGCAATCATTGCTCTGATCCACCAGAGCACACATCCTCTCTCTGTTTCTCTCTCTCTCTCAACAACTTAATGAGTTTATATTTAATATGGCATTTCTCACCATGGGGATGCTACTCAGTTAATCAATATAAAGGTTTTACTTTTGGGCTTTTGTTTTACATTAAATATCTTCTCCATTTCAATGTTAATATAAAGGGCTTTTTACAGTAAATATTTTCTCTATTTCATTAATAGATACATTGAACACATTTTCTAAATATTTTGTCTCTAAGGAACTGAAACTTTCCATTTTTGACTGGCTCTATTTGATATTCAAGTACAATATTAACTTGGGAGATAACAAAACAAGTATCTAATTAAAATATAGAGAAAAGACTTCTCAACAATTTAGTAGGCAGTGATTATAACTGAACGGTGGTGATTTTCAAATATTTTGGGAAGAGATCTTTTTTCTTCCTATTTCATGTGCTTTCAAAACTATGAAATATTACTTATGCAAATTCCAGTCATCTTACTTTTTGATCTCTTTTCTAACTGTCAAATATAAATTATAGGTTGCATTTTTCAGCACATTATTTGTTGTGAAGAAAACTTTTTTCCCCATTTAACATATATCAATTGGTTCCCATTTATACAGAAACATCTTAGAATGTGAAATTAGCTCCATTTGTTGTTTCTTGGGAGCTTTCAGACACTGAAGCTCAGTTTTAACCTTAACAGTACAAAGGCTTTTAGGGTGAGATTTTTACATCTCATCTGTCTATTTTTCTTTCATGCATAAACTCAAATAAGCACAATTGCCTGTAATGCTGAGAATCATACCAAACAAGAGTGATTTCCTCTGGCTTCCCCTACTTCAACAACAATCAGCACTGAAAAACACAAAATGAGGATGTACAGTAATTATGCTAAAACAGGTCATAAAGTTGGGATATTATGGTGGCTGGATCTTGAGGACTTCAGGTTCCAAAAAAATGGTATAATTCTATCTGATGTGAAATACTCCCTTCCTGGAACTCTGGTTATGAGGTTAAGAGGTTCTACTTGACACCTGCTTCCTAGAAGCAGTCATTATAGGAATGAGAAAAGAACAGTCTCCAAACTGCATTTCCCACAATCCCATAAATCCTTTCCAGTCTTTTCAAACCTAGGGTGGCCCTTCTTCTGTGGAAGTGACTTTAGATAAATCCTAGGCACTCCACTAATTTCCCTCTTCTTTTTTCCACACAGTTCTTCTAAATGGCCTTTACGCACCATAAAAATTTGCCAAAGGAGCATGAGTGATAGATACGTTTGGATTTGATATTTATTTTTCTACTTAGAGCTATTTTGAAATTTGTGTCTTTTCTTTTTTCTATTCAATGGTCGCCTTCCTTCTTTCCTTCCTTCCTTCCTTCCTTCCTTCCTTCCTTCCTTCCTTTCTTCCTTCCTTCCTTTCTTCCTTCCCTCCTTTCTTCCTTCCCTCCTTTCTTCCTTCCAAGCCTATATTGCTTTTGGAGTACATTTGGAGAGATTGAGTTTTAGGTAGCCATCATTATCCTTGGCTAGCCAGAATTCAGCCATTTTGGTTCCTATTTTTGCTACTGAAAAGTTTCTTTTAGTCTAATTGTGTTTTCTCTTTATATTTGGTATTTTGAAATTTTACCAAATTGTTTCTTTATTTTTATTTATCCTGTTTAAGATTTGTGGTTCCTCTTAAATTTAAGGACAAACGTTTTTCATTAACTTGAAAAAATTTACCCAGCCATTATCTTTTTTAATAGTTTCTTTTTCATTCTTTTGATCATTACCACATGTTAATTTTTTCTTTTTCTATCTTCTACATCTCTTAACTCTCTTTTATTTTCGTTTTTATCACTGTTTTTTTGAGCTGCATCTGGGTAATTTTTTAATACCATTTTAGAAATTTTCTAGTTATTTCTTGTTCTGTGTGTAACATACTGTTGAAATGTCTGTTAAGTTTTTTATTTCGAAAGTTATATTTTAGTTCTATAAGTCCTGTTTTTTTCTTCTCAATATACCTAACTTCATTGGTAGTATCATGTTCCTTTCTCATGCTTTCAACTTCAGTCTTGCTTTCTTGAAACATCTTAAGCTTGTTTTGTAAAATAAAGTCAAAAAATTTCACTATCTGAGGTGTTTAATTTAGTGTTTCTTGTTTATTTTAACTATTGATCAAAGTGATTGCTTTGTAATTCTGGATTCTTAGTTCGTGGTTGGCTGGACTTTAGATATAGAAGTCCTGTGCAGTCTGTTTTGTGAGAGGCTTTATCTTTGCTTCTGCCAACTACCCTAGAAAGATACCAACTCAGAACTACCTTATAATAATTATTTGGCTTAACATTTCTGGGACCATACATGAAGTGTAAATTCATGAGAGAAGGTTTCTGGTTATACATTTTCAAGGGAGATTTTTTTCCCCCAGAACACTGGCCAACAGGGACAAGTCTCCACATTGTTTTCCTCTGTCAATGGCAAGATGGGAAGTCTTCTGCCTCTTTTTCTTTTTTTGGAGACAGGACCTTGCCCTGTTGCCCAGGCTGAAGTGCAGTGGCACAAATGTACTTCACTGTAACCTTGAACTCCTGGGCTCAAGTGATCCTCCCACCTCAGCCTCCTGAGTAGCTAGGACTGCAGGCATGCTGTCACAACTGGCTAATTAAAAAAAAAAATTGTGGACATGGGATCTCTACAAATGTTATGTTGCTCAGGCTGGTCTCCAACTCCTGGTCTCAAGTGATCCTCCTGCCTCGGCCTCCCAAAGTTCTGGATTTATAGGCATGAACCACAATGCCCAGCAAATTTTTGCCATTCTTTAATTGGGTGTATAAGCCTTTGAGGGTACAAGCATCAGTGATTATCTCATTTTCAACTCCCTACATTATGTAGGTCTATGCCTTTGCTTCCTCTTCTAGCATAATCATTTGTAACCTCTTATTTGTTAAAATCTGCAAACATTTCCTGACAAAATGGCGTTAGCACCTAACTGTCATTCTGACTTTCAGCTTTTACTCTTTTTGCCCACTGAGGACTTTTCTTATTTTCTTGAAAGCTCAGTAAGCATTTGATAGGATTTAATAAATATTTTATATAGCATTGCCAGGGTTTTATAGTTATGTGGGAGGGAGAATGGAAAGGTGGTTTAGTAATGGAAACCTTTCCCCAAATCCTTTTCTTTATTGAGATATAATAATTGATGAATCAGTACCAATAAATTTATTATTTGCTAAAGTCCATTGTTTACCATTAGCGTTCACTCTTTGTGTTGTATTTTCTGTGTTTTGACAAATATATAATGGCATGGATATACTATTATAGTATCATACAGAATAATACCTATTCATCCTCCACCTATTCATCCCTCTTTTCTTCCTGCTAAATAGCTAGCAACCACTGATTTTTTTTAACCATTTCCATGTTTTGTCTTTTCCTGAACATTATATAGTTGGAATCATACAAGACGTAGTCTTTTTAGATAGGCTTCTTTCGCATAGCAATATATATTTAAGGATCATCCATATATTTTTTGTGGCTTCATAGCTAATTTCTTTTTATTGTTGAATAATATTCCACTGTAAAGATGTACCACAGTCTGTTCATCCATTGACCTACTGAATGACATCTTGGTTGCTTCCAAGTTTGGATAGTTGTGAAAAAAAGCTGCTATAAACATTTGTGTGCAGTTTTCATCTCATTCAGTAGATACCAAGGACTGTGACTGCTGGATCATATGGTAAGAGCATGTTTAGTTTTGTAAGAAATTGCCAAACTGGATTCCAAAATGGTTGTACAATTTTGCATTCCCATCAGCCATAAATGAGACTTCTCATTGCTCCACATCCTTGCTAGCATTTGTGTTGCCAATATTTGGGATTTTAGCCATCCTAATAGGTATGCAGTTGTATCACACTGATGTTTTAATTTGCAATTCCCTAATGATAGATGATTGAACATCTTTTCATACACACATTTTCCATTTGCATGTCTTCTTTGGTGAGGAGTCTGCTCAGATTTTTGTCCACTGTTTGATTAGGTTGTTGTTTTCTTATTGTTGAGTTATAAACATTTTTGTATATTTTGGACACCAGTCCCATAACAGATACATGTTTTGCAAATATTTTCTTGCAGTCTATGGCTGGTTTTATTCTCTGAGCATTGGCTTTCACAAAAGCACAAGTTTTTAATTTTAGTGAAATACAACTTAGCTTTTTCTTTTATGCATCATGCTGTTGGTGGTGTTATCTAAAAAGTCATTGTCAAAGCTAAGGTCACCTAGATTTTCTTCTATATTATTTCTAGTATTTTTATAGTTTTTAATTTTATATTTAGGTCTATAATGTATTTGAGTTAATTGTTGTGAAAGGTGTAAAATCTATGTGTAGATTCATTTCTTTGCATGTGGATGTCTAATTTTTTTCAGCACTATTTGTTGAAAAGAATATCCTTTCTTTGTTTAATTGCCTTTGCTCCTTTGTCAAAGATCAATTGACTATATTTGTATGGGTTTATGTCTGGGCTCACTATTCCATTCCATTAGCCTATTTCTTTCTTTCTTTTTTTTGCCAATACCACACTTCTAATTATTATAGTTTTATATTAAGTCTTTTTTTTTTTAAGTTCCAGGGTACATGTGCAGGATGTGCAGGTTTGTTACATAGGTAAATAAACATGTGCCATGGTGGTCTGCTGCACCTATCAACCCATCAGGTAGGTATTAAGCCCCACATGCTTTAGCTCTTTTCCCTAATGCTCTCCCCCTATATTGAGCTTTGAAGCTGGGGAGTGTCAGTTCTCCAATTTTGTTCTCCTTCAATATTGTGTTGGCTATTTTGGGTCTTTTGCCTTTCTGTATAAACTGAAGAATCCGTTTTTTATACTTGCAAAATAACCTGCTGTGTTCTTTTTTTCAAAATTGTTTTGGATACTTTAGTTCATTTGCATTGCCAAATACATTTTAGAATTCGTTTTCTGATTTCTACGAAAATTTGTCTAGTATCTTTATGGAGATTGTTTTGAATCTATATATCAGTGAGGGAGAAAGGATATTTTAACAATATTTAGTTTTCCAATTCATGAACACAATATATCTTTTCACTTATTTATGTCTCCTTTGATTTCTTTTTTTCTTTGTAGTTTTTATCATAAAGGTATTGTAGATGTCTTGTTAGACACAATTTTGGACATTGACGTTGCTGAACTGACTTATTTTGCAGATTCTCTGTCAACAACCATGTCATCTGTGAATAGAGACAGCTTTCATTATGTCTTTCTCTCTCTCTCTTTTTTTTTTTTTTTTTTTTTCTGAAACGGAGTCTCGCACTGTCGCCTGGTCTGGAGCGCAGTGGCGCTATCTCGGCTCACTTCAATCTCCGCCTCCCAGGCTCAAGCGGTTCTCCTGCCTCAGCCTCCCGAGTACCTGGGATTACAGGTGCCCGCCACTACACCTGGCTAATTTTTTGTATTTTTAGTAGAGAGGGGTTTCTCTATGTTGGCCAGGCTGGTCTCAAACTCCTGACCTTGTGATCCACCTGCCTCGGCCTCCCAAAGTGCTGGGATTATAGGCGTGAGCCACTGCGCGCGGCCTCATTTATTTCTCTCTAATCTGTATCCCTTTTCTTCCTCCCTCTGCCCACCTTCTCTCTTTGTCACTCATTTCTTTCTTTTCTTTTTATTCCTTTTTTTCTTTTGGCATTATTTTACAGGCTAGACCTTCTGTATAATGTTGAATAAGAGTGGTGATAACAGATATTTTTGCCTTTTCTCAGTCTTAGGATAAAAAGATTTGGTCCATCATTATTAAATACACTATTTTAAGGTACTCTTAGAATATCTACTACTGCAGATTTTTTAAGGTATTCTTTTTCAGTTCAGAAAGGTTTCCTTCTATACATAGTTTCCAAGAGGTTTGGTAATAAATGGGTGTGGAATTTTTCTGCCTACTTTTGTATTTAACTTTTTTTTTTTTTTTGAGTCAAAGTCTCGCTCTGTTGCTCAGGCTGGAGTGCAGTGGCGCGATCTCGGCTCACTGCAAGCTCCGCCTCCCGGGTTCAGGCCATTCTCCTGTCTCCTGCCTCAGCCTCCCGAGTAGCTGGGACTACTGGCGCCTGCCACCACGCCCGGCTAATTTTTTGTATTTTTAATAGAGACAGGGTTTCACCATGTTAGCCAGGATGGTCTTAATCTCCTGACCTCCTGATCCGCCTGCCTTGGCCTCCCAAAGTGCTGGGATTATAGGCGTGAGCCACCACGACCAGCCGTATTAAACTTTTTTAAATGATTTCATTTTATCTTCACTATTGGCTTATCATTTATACATCTTTACAGTTTTTAAGTGGCTGCCCTAGAATTTTTTTTATTATTATTATACTTTAAGTTCTAGGGTACATGAGCAGAACGTGCAGTTTTGTTACATGGGTATACATGTTCTGTTTATGTGATGGATTATGGTTATTGATTTGCATATGTTGAACCAGCCTTGCATCCCAGGAATGAAGGTGACTTGACCGTGGTGGATAAGCTTTATGATGTGCTGCTGGATTTGGTTTGCCAGTATTTTATTGAGGATTTTTGCATTGATGTTCATCAGGGATATTGGCCTGAAATTTTCTTTTTTTGTTGTGTCTCTGCCAGGTTTTAGTATCAGAATGATGGTGGCCTCATAAAATGAGTTAGGGAGGATTCCCTCTTTTTCTATTGTTTGGAATAGTTTCAGAAGGAATGGTACCAGCTCCTCTTTGTACCTCTGGTAGAATTCGGCTATGAATCCATCTGGTTCTGGACTTTTTTTGGTTGGTAGGCTATTAATTAGTGCCTCAATTTCAGAACTTTTTATTGGTCTATTCAGGGATTCGACTTCTTCCTGGTTTAGACTTGGGAGGGTGTATGTGTCCAGGAATTTATCCATTTCTCCTAGATTTTCTAGTTTATTTGCATAGATGTGTTTACAGTATTCTCTGATGGTAGTTTGTATTTCTGTGGGATCGGTGGTGATATCCCCCATATCATTTTTTATTGCGTCTGTTTGATTCTTCTCTCTTTTCTTCTTTATTAGTCTGGCTAGCAGTCTATCTATTTTGTGGATCTTTTCAAAACACCAGCTCCTGGATGCATTGATTTTTTGAAGGGTTTTTTGTGTCTCTATTTCCTTCAGTTCTGCTCTGATCTTAGTTATTTCTTGTCTTCTGCTAGCTTTTGAATTTGTTTGCTCTTGCTTCTCTAGTTCTTTTAATTGTGATGTTAGACTGTCAATTTTAGATCTTTCTGGCATTTAGTGTTATAAATTTCCCTCTACACACTGCTTTAAATATGTCCCAGAGATTCTGGCATGTTGTGTCTTTGTTCTCATTGGTTTCAATAAACATCTTTATATCTGCCTTCATTTCGTTATTTACCCAGTAGTCATTCAGGAGCAAGTTGTTCAGTTTCCATGTAGTTTTGTGGTTTTGAGTGGGTTTCTTAATCCTGAGTTCTAATTTGATTGCACTGTGGTCTGAGAGGCTGTTTGTTATGATTTCCGTTCTTTTGCATTTGCTGAGGAGTGTTTTACTTCCAATTGTGTGGTCAATTTTAGAATAAGTGTGATGAGGTGCTGAGAAGAGTGTACATTCTCTTGATTTGCAGTGGAGAGTTTTGTAGATGTCCTTTAGGTCTGCTTGGTCCAGAGCTGAGTTGAAGTCCTGAATATCCTTGTTAATTTTCTGTCTCATTGATATGTCTAATATTGACAGTAGGGTATTAAAATCTCCCACTACTATTGTGTGGGAGTCTAAGTCTCTTTGTAGGTCTCTAAGAATTTGCTTTATGAATCTGGGTGCTCCTGTATTGGGTGCATATATATTTAGGATAGTTAGCTCTTCTTGTTGAATTGATCCCTTTACCATTATGTAATGCCGTTCTTTGTCTCTTTTGATCTTTGTTGATTTAAAGTCTGTTTTATCAGAGATTAGGATTGTGACTCCTGCTTTTTTTCTTTTTTCTTTTTTTTTGCTTTCCATTTGCTTGGTAAATATTCCTCCATCCCTTTATCCCTTTATTTTGAGTCTATGTGTGTCTTTGCACATGAGATGAGTCTCCTGAATACAGCACACTGATGGGTCTTGACTCTTTATCCAATTTGCCAGTCTGTGTCTTTTAATTGAGGCATTTTGCCCATTTACATTTAAGGTTAATATTGTTATGTGTGAATTTGATCCTGTCACTATGATGCTAGCTGGTTGTTTTGCCCCTTATCTGATGCAGTTTCTTCATAGTGTTGATGTTCTTTACAATTTGGCATGTTTTTGCAGTGGCTGGTACCAGTTGTTCCTTTCCATGTTTAGTGCTTCCTTCAGGAGCTCTTGAAAGGCAGGCCTGGTGGTGATAAAATCTCTCAGCATTTGCTTGTCTGTAAAGTATCTTATTTCTCCTTTGCTTATGAAGCTTAGTTTGGCTGGATATGAAATTCTGAGTTGAAAATTCTTTTCCTTAAAAATGTTGAATATTGGTTGGGCACAGTGGCTCACACCTGTAATCCCAGCACTTTGGGAGGCCGAGGTGTGCAGATCAGGAGGTCAGGAGATTGATACCATCCTGGCTAACGTGGTGAAACCCCATCTCTACTAAAAAAAATACAAAAAAAATTAGCCAGACATGGTGGTGGGTGCCTGTAGTCCCATGTACTCGGGAGGCTGAGGCAGGAGAATGGCATGAACCCAGGAGACGGAGCTTGCAGTGAGCAGAGATTGTGCCACCGCACTCCAGCCTGGGTGATAGAGCGAGACACCATCTCAAAAAAAAAAAAAAAAAAAAAAAGAATGTTCAATATTTCCCCCCACTCTCTTCTGGCTTGTAGGGTTTCTGCAAAGAGATCCACTGTTAGCCTGATGGGCTTCCCTTTGTGGGTAAACTGACCTTTCTCTCTGGCTGTTTTTTCCTTCATTTCAACCTTGGTGAATCTGATGATTATGTGTCTTGGAGTTGCTCTTCTCGAGGAGTATCTTTGTGGTATTCTCTGTATTTCCTGAATTTGAATGTTGGCCTGTCTTGCTCGGTTGGGGAAGTTCTCCTGGATAATATCCTGAAGAGTGTTTTCTAACTTGGTTCCATTTTCCCTGTCACTTTCAGGTACTTCAATCAAACATAGATTTGGTCTTTTCACATAGTCCCATATTTCTTGGAGGCTTTGTTCATTCCTTTTTATTCTTTTTTCTCTAATCTTGTCTTCTCGCTTTATTTCATTAAGTTGATCTTCAATCCCTGATATCCTTTCTTCCATTTGATCGATTCCGCTATTGATACTTGTGTATGCTTCACGAAGTTCTCGTGCTGTGTTTTTCAGCTCCATCAGGTCATTTATGTTCTTCTCTAAACTGATTATTCTAGTTAGCAGTTCATCTAAGCTTTTTTCAAGGTTCTTAGCTTTCTTGAATTGGGTTAGAACATGCTCCTTTAGCTCGGAGGAGTTTGTTATTACCCACCTTCTGAAGCCTACTTCTGTGAATTCCTCAAACTCATTCTCCATCCAGATTTGTTCCCTTGCTGGCAAGGAGTTATGATCCTTTGGAGGAGAAGAGGTGTTGTGGTTTTTGGAATTTTCAGCCTTTTAGTGCTGGTTTCTCCCCATCTTTTTGGATTTATCTACCTTTGGTCTTTGATGTTGGTGACTTTCGGTTGGAGTCTTTGAGTGGACATGCTACTCCTTTCTGTTTGTTAGTTTTCCTTCTAACAGTCAGGCCTCTCCGCTGCAGGTCTGCTGGAATTTGCTGGAGGTCCACTCCCGACACTGTTTGCCTGGGTATCACCAGTGGAGGCTCAGTTGGAAATGCAGAAATCACCCATCTTCTGTGTTGATCTCACTGGGAGCTGCAGACTGGAGCTGTTCCTATTTGGCCATCTTGCCAGCAATCTGCCCTAGGAGTTTTCATAAACACATTTATTTAATCACAGTCTACCTTCAAATAGTATTATGCCACTTATGTGTAGCGTAATAACTTCCCTAATTTCTCTCACTCTTTATGCAATTGTTATATGTTTTACTTTTACTTGTGCTCCAAACCCAGAGTAGGTTGCCTTTGTTTTTGCTTTAGACAGTAAATTATCTTCTAAAGTTATTAACAAGAAAAAATATTTTATATTTACTTTGACTTTAACAATTCCAAAAGATCTTTGCATAGATTCAAGTTTCTGTCTAGTATTACATTCCTTCCTCTTAAAGAACTTTCCTTTTTTTTTTTTTCTTTTTTTTTTTTTTGAGATGTAGTCTCACTCTGTCACCCAGGCTGGAGTGCAGTGGCGCGATCTTGGCTCACTGCAAGCTCTGCATCCTGGGTTCATGCCATTCTCCTGCCTCAGCCTCCCAAGTAGCTGGGACTACAGACACCAACCACCATGCCCTGCTAATCTTTTTTGTATTTTTAGTAGAGACAGGGTTTCACCGTGTTAGCCAGGATGGTCTCAATCTCCTGACCTAGTGATCCACCCACCTTGGCCTCTCAAAATGCTGGGATTACAGGCGTGAGCCACCACACCCAGCCAAGAACTTTCTTTAACATTTCTTGTGGCATAGGTCTGCTTAATTTCTCTTTCATTTTGAAAAGTATTTTCACTTGGTATAGAATTCCATGTTACTTTTTTTTTCTTTTAACATTTTAAAGATGTCACTCTATGTCTTAGTTTCTTGTGATGACTATGCTGTAAATTTAATTTTTTTCCTTTAGGTAATGTGTCTTTTTTGTCTGACTGTCTTCTAGATTTTCTCTTTATCTTTGGTTTTCAAATGTTTAAATAGGACACATCGTGTGTGTGTAGTGTGTGTG
This sequence comes from Homo sapiens, assembly GCF_000001405.40. Taxonomy (NCBI): domain Eukaryota; kingdom Metazoa; phylum Chordata; class Mammalia; order Primates; family Hominidae; genus Homo; species Homo sapiens. The sequence goes on from NC_000012.12 coordinate 48,276,756, forward strand.
TGTGTGTTGGTATTTATATCACTATGATTCTCTGAGCTTCTTGGATCTGTGGTTTGATGTCTTTCATTATTTTTTGAAAATTCTCAGCTATCATCTCTTCGTTTATTTTTCTACTCTGATCTCTTTCTCTTCTGGAATTCTAATTACATGTATGTTAGCCTGTTTAATATTGCCACATAACTCATATGTTCTGTCCTTTTTCTATTCTTTTTAATTTTTTTCCTTTAGTTTTGGTAATATCTGTTGACATATCTTCCAGTTTACTAATTGTTTTCCCTTTGGCTATGTTCAGTCTACTTATGAACCCATTGAAGGCCTTCTTCACCACTATTACCATACATTTAAATATTTTCTAACCTTTCTTTGGCCTGTTCTTAGTTTCTTTTTTTTATTTATTATTATTATACTTTAAGTTTTAGGGTACATGTGCACAATGTGCAGGTTAAGTTACAAATGTATATATGTGCCATGCTGGTGTGCTGCACCCACTAACTCATCATCTAGCATTAGGTATATCTCCCAGTGCTATCCCTCCCCCCTCCCCCCACCCCACAACAGTCCCCAGAGTGTGATGTTCCCCTTCCTGTGTCCATGTGTTCTCATTGTTCAATTCCCACCTATGAGTGAGAATATGCAGTGTTTGGTTTTTTGTTCTTGCGATAGTTTACTGAGAATGATGATTTCCAATTTCATCCATGTCCCTACAAAGGACAGGAACTCATCATTTTTTATGGCTGCATAGTATTCCATGGTGTATATGTGCCACATTTTCTTAATCCAGTCTATCATTGTTGGACATTTGGGTTGGTTCCAAGTCTTTGCTATTGTGAATAATGCTGCAATAAACATACGTGTGCATGTGTCTTTATAGCAGCATGATTTATATTCCTTTGGGTATATACCCAGTAATGGGATGGCTGGGTCAAATGGTATTTCTAGTTCTAGATCCCTGAGGAATCATCACACTGACTCCCACAAGGGTTGAACTAGTTTACAGTCCCACCAACAGTGTAAAAGTGTTCCTATTTCTCCACATCCTCTCCAGCACCTGTTGTTTCCTGACTTTTTAATGATTGCCATTCTAACTGGTGTGAGATGGTATCTCATTGTGGTTTTGATTTGCATTTCTCTGATGGCCAGTGATGGTGAGCATTTTTTCATGTGTTTTTTGGCTGCATAAATGTCTTCTTTTGAGAAGTGTCTGTTCATGTCCTTCACCCACTTTTTGATGGGGTTGTTTGTTTTTTTCTTGTAAATTTGTTTGAGTTCATTGTAGATTCTGGATATTAGCCCTTTGTCAGATGAGTAGGTTGTGAAAATTTTCTCCCATTTTGTAGGTTGCCTGTTCACGCTGATGGTAGTTTCTTTTGCTGTGCAGAAGCTCTTTAGTTTAATTAGATTCCATTTGTCAATTTTGGCTTTTGTTGCCATTGCTTTTGGTGTTTTAGACATGAAGTCCTTGCCCATGCCTATGTCCTGAATGGTAATGCCTAGGTTTTCTTCTAGGGTTTTTATGGTTTTAGGTCTAATGTTTAAGTCTTTAATCCATCTTGAATTGATTTTTGTATAAGGTGTAAGGAAGGGATCCAGTTTCAGCTTTCTACATATGGCTAGCAGTTTTCCCAGCACCGGCCTTTTCTTAGTTTCTAACTGCATACTGAAATTACCCACCTGTTGATGAATATTGCTTATTGTTTTCATTTCAGACTTTTCTACTTTGGATCTTTTCTACTAGGATCCAGCTGCTCTTTTGCAACTAGTAGATGACCTTGAGGATTCTAGCTTATTATCACTTCTGCCTACATCCCAGTCGTCAAAGCAAGCCACATGGTCATTCAATGGGCTGTATAGATCCCTAACATAGATAGGGATTATTATTCTGTTACAAGGAGAAAGAAAACAGTCTATTAAATTAACCTATGGAGTTGCCCATTTTAGAAACCTAGGAGTTATCTTTGATTCCTCCATTTTCCTCAGTCCCCACATTTAATCAGAAAGTGCTAGTGAATCTTTTGTCAAAGTACATATAGAATCTGTACATTTCTCTGTGCCATCCTAATCCAAGATACCATCATCTCTTCCCTGGGCTCCTAATTGGACCTTCTCATTTTTACTCTTGCCTTCCTCCTATCAATTTTCCCAACCAAAGCAAGAATTATCTTAAAATGTAAATCATTTCACATTGTTCATTCACTTAAAAAACAATATTCTGTTGCATTTGAAATGTTAACAAAAGAGCAATGAGATCTCTTGTGGAGGCAAAAGGAGAACTTTATTTTCTAAAAGCAACCTGCAGATTGAGGAGACAGCCTTCAGTGCAAAACAAAAGTGCACTCTAAGGAGGGGATTGGAGAGTTATATATCATAAAGATGAAGATTGCAGGCCAGAAGAGGAGTCAGGGAGTGAGGAACACAGTCTTGATTGGAAAACCTTTGATCTCCCAAATAACCAGTCTCTCTTAGTTGGCTGATTCCAGGTAATTGGCTGGCACCAGGTAACCTATTGGTGGTCAGTTGGGGAATTTCCAGCTGTAGTTGTTTTTGACATTGTTTTCAGGAACTGTTCTTTGACTTGATTGCAGAAAAACTGGTTTTACAATAGTTTTGACAGATACAGAGTGCATGATCACTCCCTCACTCTGCTATGGCCTCTTGGTTCTGCTTTTAGCTTTTGAGCCACAGGGAGTCTGCCTTGTCTGTCAATTGGGGGCATAATTTGATACATTTAAATTAAAATTTAAACTTCTAATAAGAGCAAGGCCATCCTCCCTCTGCCTCTCTTTCCAACCTCATCTCATTCTAGTTTCTTCTTTATTCACATTTCAGAAACTTGATATCTATAAGCTCTTCCCTATTTCATAGCTTTTGAATATGCTGTTCCGTCTCTCTAGAATGCTCTTTCTCTAACTTTTGCCAAGCCTTGCTCATTCTCTAACTTTTGCCAAGCCTTGCTCATTCTCATGCCTTAAGTCTTAGCATATGTGTCACTTTCTCAAATAGGCCTTCCCTGACCTTCCTCTCTAAAGCTGATCCCCTGCTGTTCTCTAACTAGCTCTTTGTTTAGTTCTATCATCATTCTAATTTGTCTGTTTACTTATCTTCCCAACTAGACTGTAAGGACCATGAAGGAAAGGGCCATTTCTGTGTTGTTTGCTGTTGTATCCCCACAGCTGGCCTTGACCTTGGTAATTTGTAAGTTTTTTTAAAAAGTGTTGAATGAGTGAGTAAATAGGTAGATGAGATAATGAGGGTATAATCCAGGGCAGCAGCCGTAGGCAAAGAAAAGAGAGAACATTGGAAACTTTTAAGACTCAGATTAAATGCTTAATCTTCTCTGAGGTCTCTCCTTATCTTTTCAGCCAGAAATTGAGTATAGTGTCTCACTTATGAACCTTTGATTTTGTTTATGCCTCATTTGTTGTGTTTAACATTCTCTACCTCTTGTAATGATTGTTTTAAATGACAGCTCTTTCCTGCCAGGATTTTACCCATCTTAAAGGAAAGACCATATTTTATTCATCTGTCTCCCATAATAGTCAACACCCTGCTTGGCACATAATAAGCTGATTATATGTTTTGAATGAAAAAGTGAGGGAAAGACTTGAACACTTTTGTGTTCTAGGGTGAGGAGAAAGGGTCTGCATAGATTGGGTTCTTGGATAACTTCCCTGTGACAGCCTCTCAGGGAGGGACCTAAGCTTCTTGAAATAAGTTTTCCAATCTTATTACAAAGGTTATTTTTCCATGATATGAGCTCACTATACTTCACTTTCTGAAGGAGACCAAAGAAAGATATAATGTATTGACCTTTTCTGGATTTGATAATCTCAATTTATAGTGCAGAGCATTGCCCGGCACATGCCAGTTAGGCCAATAAAAATGACTTTGAACTTCCAAACTTTTCTCCCTGGAGAAGCAGAGTAATAGTCTTGATCACACTCTAAGGAGGCACTTGGGTCCCAGCCAATCTCTGCCCAGTTGGTCCCCTCGTCCTTCCTCCTTCTCTGGTATCTGGGGGAACAGGCCTGAGGGGAGGGGAAGGTAGTGTTGAGCCGGGACCGTCAGGGTCTCATTAGCATTTGGTACTTAGATAATCCCAGCTGTTCCATGTGTGGAAATCTCCACGGGCAGCTTTACATCAGATCAATTAAGGCCAGCTTGAGTTTTGCTTTTACTCTAAATGATTCTCAAGAGTTTAGTTAGGAAGATACCTACAGGGACTGCTCAGTGACTATCCAAGGAGGATCACAGGAGCAACTGGGATTTATTAAAAGAGTGAGCAAAGGGCCCATGTCCAGGAGGTGTCCCTGCAGATCTTGTTCCAAGTATCATGAGTAAAATGGCAACTCCAGCACCAGCTCTCCCAGCTGTGTAACTTAAGTACTGTCCCTACAAAGTCCTCTCTATTCTCACCCTAAATCTTACCCTTGCAGTTATTTCTGGATTAGTCAGAAAGTCCCTGACTTTGGGACATATCTATTAACATACACTTCTCATATAATCTATCCCAATCACTGACTGGGATAAAAATTAAATCCCCTTCTGGAAAAAAAAGACATTAATCTCATTGCACCCGGCATCACAGAATGTTTCTAATAATAACAAATGGACAACAATTATTCTACAAGAGATAAACTGTTAAATTAAATATAGAACACCTACATAATGGCATTTTATACAGTCAATATATCTATGATGAGTTCTTTATACCACGGATACATACTTACCTATAATTTTAAGGAAAATTCAGGATGAAAATTCTACATATCATGTGAAAAAGTTATGCCAAATCACATTTAGGCAGTGGAAATATACCAAAATGATAACTATAGAAGTCATGAATATTTTTGAATTGTTATTCTTCTTTATAGTTTTTTTGTAGTTTCAATGTATTACTATCATAATCAGGAGAAAACACATTAAAATTGTAATGGGTCCACTCAACACAGATATTTCTAACATAACACCAAAGAAAAATGTCCAATCAATCTATTCATCTCCTAGGGCTGCCATAACAAACGACCACAAATTGAGTGGCCTAAAGGAGTGGGAATGTATTCTCTCACAGTTTTGGAGACTAGAAGTCCAAAATCAAGGTGTTGGCAGAATTGGTTCCTTCTGGAGATTCTGAGGGAGAATCTGTTCCATGCTTCTCTCCTGGTAACTGCCAGAAACCCCTGGCATCCTTTGCCTTATCATTACCTTAATCTCTGCCTCTGTCATCACATGACATTCTCCTTGTGCGGCTCTGTGTGTGTTCAAACTTCCCCCTTCTTCTAAGAATTAGTCATTGGATTAGGGACTGCCTTTATTTAGTTTGGCCTCATCTCAACTTGATTGTATCTACAAAACACTATTTTCAAATAAAGTCATATTTACAGAGAGGTTTGCTGGCAGAATAATTCCTAGATCTCACTCCAGTGTCCCCCTTGGTAGAACCCAAATGGAAGCCAGAGGACAAAGGAGCTCGCTGATGTAGAACATACAGATTAGCTACTATAGGGGTTCCCAGCCCCCAGGTCACAGACTGGTACTGGTCAGTGGCCTATTAGGAGCTGGGCCACACAGCAGAAGGTGAGTGGTGGGCAAGCAAGTAAAACTTCATCTGTATTTACAGCTGCTCCCCATTACTCACATTACCACCTGAGCTGTGACCCCTGTCAGATCAACAGTGGCATTTGATTCTCACAGGAGCATGAACCCTGTTGTGAACTGCACGTGTGAGGGATCTAGGTTGCACACTCCTTATGAGAATCTAATGCCAGATGATCTGTTGCTATCTCCCATCACCCCCCAGATGGGACCATCTATTTGCAGGAAAACAAGCTCAGGGCTTCCACTGATTGATTCTACATTATGGCGAGCTGTATAATTATTTCATTATATATTAAAGTGTAATACTAATAGGATATTAATAGAATAATAATAGAAATAAAGGGCACAATAAATGCTTGAATCATCCTGAAACCATCCCCAACCTAGTCCATGGAAAAATTGTCTTCCACGAAACTGGCCCCTAATGCCAAAGAGGTTGGGACCACTGAGCTACTAGGAGCATGGAGCAGGATGGAAAAGAGTGGGAAAATGGATTTGTGAGGGCAAAAGGAAGTTATCCAGCACATTGGGTTATTATTTAGTGTCATGTATGTTCGTATGTTTAGACTCAGGCCTCAGTGCTTCCCTAGTGGTTGGCTAGAGGCTGCCCTCAGTTCCTTGACATGTGAGCCTCTCCCTTTGTCCTCATCCAGTATGTGCACACAAGAGCCAGAGAGAGAAAATGCCACTGATGTGAAAGTCAGAGTCTCTTATGGCCTAATCATGAAAGTGACATTTCATCATTTTCTGTATCCTATTTATTAGAAGCAAATCATTAGGTCCAGTCCACACTCAAAGCAAAGAAATTAAACAAGAATGTGAACAACACTTCCTTCCTTCATTCTCTCTAATAGTTTTCTAATTTTGCTTCCCCTTCTCCTGATGACCAAATGCTTACAAGGTATCTGGGCCCCTTTCTAGCCCCGGAAGTTCAATCTTAGTTAGCCTAAACCAAACATGGTGATCCTATTTCCCTTGTGAAGGGTTACTTTAAATACAATCATGTGTCTCTCAATGAGGATGCCTTTTTTTTTTTTTTTTGAGACAGAGTCTCGCTGTTGCCCAGGCTGGAGTGCAGTGGCGCAATCTCGGCTCACTGCAACCTCCGCCTCCTGGATTCAAGCAATTCTCCTGCCTCAGCCTCCCAGGTAGCTGGGACTACAGGCATGTGCCACCATACCCAGCTACTTTTTTGTATTTTTAGTAGAGACGGACGGGGTTTCACCGCGTTAGCCAGGATGGAGAATACATTCTTAAAAATGCCTTTTTAGGTTATTTTGTCCTTGTGCAGACACGGAGTGTACTTCCACAAACCTAGACGGCATATCCTACCACACACCTAGGCAATATGATATCCCTATTGCTTGTAGGCTACAAACCTGTGCATGTTACTGTACTGAATACTGTGGGCAATTGTAGCACCATGGTATTTGTGTATCTAAGCATATCTAAACATAGAAAAGGCACAGTGAAAGTATGGTATTATAATCTTATAGGGCCACCATCATATCTGCAGTTTATTGTTGACCAAAATATCACTATGTGGTGCATGACTTATAAGATTATGATGAAATTCTAGTAAAAATTATGTGAGACTAATCTGGAAGACTTCTGGGAAAATTTATTCTGACTCTTAAAAGGGACACAAACACAGGGATGATTCCTGGTTCTCTGAATGTAGTGTTTTGCATTTGATCTCCACAACCATGTCACTCAACTTGGAAACATAAGGGCATTGAGTCTAAGAAGGCAAATCAACACCCCATGAAGAGGGCAGAGCAGAAAGATTTAGAAAATACCTGGATTTTGATGAGGTTATTGAGTTGCTGACTTAACCAACCCTGGATCATCGCCATCTCTGCAGTCCTTGTAATGTGACTTAACAATGTACTCATTGTTTTGTCACTTTTGGTTGGATTCATACTACATGCAACTGAAAGGATCCCAACAGATGTGTGCCTTATTTCTTAAATAGCAGCTATTATACCCAGAGTATCTAACTATTATTGGAAGTTGTAACTACGGGAAAGTTATTTAAGCTCTTTTTAACTCTGTTTTCTCATCTGCAAAATGGGAGTAATAATAGTATCTATACCAAATATTTTTGGGGAAGAGTAAATTCATCAATGTATGTATGCAAACTGAACAATGCCTGGCACATGACAAGGGTGCGATAAATGTGAGGTATTCTTATTACTTACATCAGACATTAAGTGAGGCTACTTATACAGTATTTTTTCTGCAGGTAGACATCACTACTTTTATTTTACTGTTGAAAAAAACTGGGGGTCAGTCAAAAAAAGAAAAAATTACTGTTGCATTAGCAGGTCAAAAAAAAAAAGAAGGGGTCAAGTAGATAAAATAATTTACTCAAGGTCACACAATAACCATATTATGTAGGAACCAGTATACCTCCAGTTTATAGATATAGAAATTGAGATATAGTCACATAACTGGTAAATTGCAGAGGCAGAATTTCAACCAGATGTTCTAGTTCCAGATCTCATGCTTTTAACCACTATTGCATGTACTGCCTCTGTAGGTGCATTATAATTTATTAAACTATTCTCTTACTGATGAACAATTAGGTTTTGAAATTTTCACTGTTATAAGTAAATGAACATCTTGTACACATATGCTTGGGACAGATGAACAACTATTTCTGTATGATAAATTCCTAAAGGTGGAAGAGGTTCTGCTTTTTATTACTCAAGAATGCCTTGCATAATCAGTAGAGCAAAGATAAAAAATTAATAAAAGTTTTTAACATGACCTAGGGTAAACCATTTGAGCTGTACAGGAGACAGATTTTTGTGTATGTTCTAAATTAGACTTGGACATACAAATTAGGAGCAGATCTGTTCTTCCAGCACCCCCTTCCCATTTTTCTTTTGTAGATGGAGTCTCACTCTGTCGCCCAGGCTGGAATACAGTGGTGCAATCTTGGCTCACTGCAACTTCCACCTCCCGGGTTCAAGTGATTCTCCTGCCTCAGCCTCCCGAGTAGCTGGGATTACAGGTGTACGCCACCACACAACCCAGCTAACTTTTTTTTGTATTTTAGTACAGACGAGGTTTCATTGTGTTGCCCAGGCTGGTGGCAAACTCCTGAGCTCAGGCAATCCGCCCGCCTCAACCTCCCAAATTGCTGGGACTACAGGTGTGAGCCACCGCGCCCAGCCCTTCCAGCCTGTTTTGTCCCACCAAACAAAACATTACAAGGGTGTAATAAATGTGAGGTATTCTTATTACTTATGTCAGACATTAAGTGAGGCTACTTATACAGCATTTTTTTCTGCAGGTAGACATCACTACTTTTATTTTACTGAGGTGACTAGAGTCACCCCAAAACTGAACCTAAAAATGTGTGCTTGCTTTTGTCTTGAAATGTCTGAATGTGAGAGGCTTGCTGGAGTTACCTGACCCCATGGGAAAATAGGGGCAATGAGGTAATGAGCTTTGGATGAAATTATGGGAGCACTCCACCAAATCCCCAAGGTCCTAGTAGATCGAGAAAGAGGAATTCAGTGGTGCCAGTGGCTTTGAGGCAGGACAGGGGAGCTCTAAAATTGCAGTTTAGCCCAGGAGGGTTCTTGGCTTCACCCAGGGAAGAATTCAAGGATGAGCTGGTGGTGTTAGACAACAATATTTTATTAAATGGTACTACTTCTAGCAAAGCAGGGCTAACTCACAGGCCATGTGCCCAGAATCAGCAATGCATGGGCTCTTGGCAACTATACTTTTACTCACTTATACTCACTTTCAATTACATGCAAATTAAGGGGTGGTTTAATGCAAATTGAGGAGTAGATTATTTAGAACTCTCTACCAAAGGGGTGGTAACTTCCAGGTCATTGCCATGGAAAGGGGTGGTAACTTCCTGTCACTGCCATGGCATTTGTAAACTGTCATGGTGCTGGTGGGAGTGTCTTATGCTAACGAGCAATGACAGCAGCTAGGGATTGCTTTCAGTCACCATCTGCTGGTTTTTGGCTAGTTTCTTAACTTTATCCTATCTGGACTAGATCCTGTTTTGGTCAGCAGAATTGTGACCAGAAAACAAGTTCTGCCAGTCTCCTAGCTCACATAAAGATGAGATGAAGAAAAGGACAGGAAACAGGGTTGTCTAGGCAGCCACATAGAGAGGAAACATCCTGTCTAGAGAGGGAGTTGGGTCATGAAGGCAGATGCCAAACAGAGGCTTCAATGCATGTCTCTGGGTTGGGGTGACTTAGGCAAAGGAGGATACCAGTTTAAACCCAAGTATCACCCCAGAAAAATATATATAGCATCTATATGGAAATTACCACATCCATGGAGGCCACCAGTAGGAAACAAAACCAAATTGAGTCCAAGGATAACTAGGAATACTTTTCTATCTTTAGCAGGTACATTACTGCATAATAAACTCCTGCTTCCCTTCAATTTCCCCTTCTAGTGCCTGATGTCAGACGTGTTAGGGTGTTGAAAATGAAGGGAAAAGCAACGTCTCAGAGACAGACCACTCTCCATCCAAAGCGCCCACTAGAAGGTGCTAGAGAGGGAGAGAGTGAATGAAAGATCATGCCTTCCCTCTTCTCTAAGCTATTACAAACCTGATAAGCATTGGAGGATAGGAGAGGAACCAGCTGTTTTTATTTTTTATTTTTATTTTTTAAAATAGGGTCTTGCTCTGTGGCCCAGGCTAGAGTGCAGTGGTATGATCATGACTCACTCCTTGAGCTCCTGGGCTCAACTGATCCTCCACCATCAGCTTCCTGAGTAGCTGGGACTACAGGCATGGACCACTACTCTTGGCTAATCTTTTAATTTTTTGTAGGGATTGGATCTCACTATGTTGCCCAGACTGGTCTCAAACTCCTAGCCTCAAATGATCCTCCCACCAAGTGCTGGGATTACAGGCATGATCACTGCATTCAGCCTCAGAAACCAGCTTTGAATTGACTGTAAGATAGGAATAGACTGTAAGTCTCTGAAAGTAACCAGGCAGTTATGGAATATTCATCAAAAGATCTGTTATCCAATAGAAGGGATTATTTGGCATATCACAGTTGGTGCCAGTAACTAGAGAAACATAAAACCATTTCACGATTCGTACTTGTGCCTCACTGTATGAAATTGTTCAATAAACTAGTTACATATACATATGATATAATAAACTCCATAGATATTTTTAATGTAACATTCTATATAATACTATATTAATATAATATTAATTATATATTAGTTATATAATATATGTAATCTATATTAATTAAAAATACTATATTAATCTAATAGAGATATTAGATTCTAGTTGTGGCCAGGCATGGTGACTCACGTCTGTAATCCCAGTACTTTGGGAGGCCAAGGCAGATGGATCACTTGAGGCCAGGAGTTCAAGACCAGCCTGGCCAACACAGCAAAACCCCATCTCTACTAAAAATACAAAAAAATTAGCCAGGCATGGTGACACATGCCTGTAAGCTACTCAGGAGGCTGAGGCAGGAGAATTGCTTGAACCCGGGAGGCAGAGGTTGGGGTGAGCTGAGATTGCGCCGCTGCACTACAGCCTGGGTGACAGAGAGAGACTCTGTCTCAAAAAAAAAAAAATTCTAGTTGTATGTTTAATGAACTTTTTATTTAAGAATACTTTTAAATTATGGAAAAGTAGCAAAGATAATACAGAGTTCCCATATACCACACAGCAAACTCCTCTATTATTAATATTATTAGTATGGTACATTTCTCACAATTAATGAACAGTTAATGTATTGATACGTTGTATCATATATTGGTACATTGTTATTAACTGAAGTCCATACTTTATTCACATTTCCTTCATTTTTACTGAATGTCCTTTTTCTGTTCTAGGAGCCCATTCAAGATAAGTTACATTTAGTTGTCATGTCTCCTTAGACTCCTCTCGGCTGTGGCATTTTCTTAGACCTTGAGAGTTTTGAGGATTACTAGCCAGGTATTTTGCATAATGTTCCTCAGCTGTGTTTTTTAAGAAGTTTTTTTTTTTTTTTTTTTTTTTTTTTTTCTCAAGGGTTGTGGGTTTTTGGGAGGAAAACCACAGAGGTAAAGTGTCATTTTCATCACATCATATCAAAGGTTCGTTATATCCAGAGGAATTATCACTTTTGTTAACCTTGATCACCTGGATGAAGCAGTGTTTGTGAGGTTTCTCCTGTAAAGTTACTTTTTTGACCCTCCCCTCATGCTGTTTACTTTGGAAGCAAATCACTAGGTATAGCCGGCACATAAAGGAGTCAGGAGTTATGCTTCACTTCCTTGATGGGGGAGTGGCTACGTAAATTATTTTAAATTCTTCTGCATGAGAGATTTGTCTATTCATCCTCATTTATGTATTTTTTCAATCATTTACATCAGTAGGAACTCATGGATATTTTACGTTTGGGGTTATAATTCAGTACTGCACTATTTTCTTGCTCAAATTGCTCCAGCCTTGGCAACTGGGAGCTCTTTGAGTTGGCGCCTGTGTCCTCTTGACATGTGCTTAGCTTTTCATGATTGTGTGTGTTTAGCATTCCCTGCATCTTTCCCTAGTTATGTGTGGTCACTTTCTATTTTTTCCCATATATGCAGTTGTCTTTTTAAAAGTCCTAGTCTTTAATGTTTTGCTTCAAAAATAAGAGACAGAGAAAAATGAAGGGAGAAAAAGAAGACTTGCCCTTTAAATACCCTGGAAGTCACTCAGCTGAGGGAAGATGAGGAAACTAAAACAATAATGGCTGCCTGCCTCTTTGTCTGCACCTGTGTGTTCAGAAGCAGCAATCAGTAACCACAGCACTGATCCCTAATATTTTATTTATTTAGTTAATTACTTTTTAGCTCAGACCTTGAACCATAATCGCTGATATTTAGAGGAAAAGGTCCCTTTTGGACACTGCAAGTTGTGTGTGAGCTGTTCCAGGAACATATGCACAGCTACTTGCCACATGGCTGACAATGGGGAATAGGTAGCTGCTACTGTGCAAAGTACTGTCACACTTTATTGTCCAAGCTTTCCCCTATGGAAGCTACAATCCTTCAAGAGACTCCAGAGTTCCAAAATAGTTAGTTATATCAGACTGATTCTGCCAGTGCAATTTTTGTCTAGGTAGGGAGACAGATTGTTGGTGCTACCTATTCTGCTATCTTCCCAGAATCTTCTCTGGACATTTGTTTTTGTTGAATTGGCATTCTACATATTGTTAGTGAATTCACTGAGGGCCGTTGAGAGATGTCAAAATTCTTGGGAACCTGAAAATTGTGGTTTGAACACTAACATCTAACTCTGCTCCCTTTTAAACAAAAACAAAAATAGATAAATGGGACTACATTAAACTGAAGATCCTTCTGCACAGCAAAGGAAATAATCAGCAGAGTGAAGAGACAACCTGTAGAATGGGAGAAAATATTTGCAAACTATTCATTCGATAAGGAATGAACATCCAGAATATACAAGGAATTCAAATATCTCAACAGCAAAAAAAAAAAAAAAGAGAGAGAGAGAAGGAAAAGGAAAGAAAAAATAAAAAAAACTCCACTAAAAAGCAGGCAATGGAACTCAGTAGATAGTTCTCAAAAGAAGACACACAAATGGCCAAAAAACATAAAAAAAAAATGCTTGACAACACTAATTGCCAGAGAAATGCAAATCAAAATCAAAATATCATGTCACCCCAGTTAGAATGTCTATTATCAAAAAGACAAAAATAACAAATGCTGATGAAGATGTGGGGAAAAGAGAATTCTTATACAGTGGTGATGGGAATATAAATTAGCATAGCCATTATGAAAAACAGTATGGAGGTTTCTCAAAAAACCAAAAGTAGAACTACCATATGATCCAGCAATTTCACTGCTGGGTATTTATCCAAAGGAAGGGAAATCAATATAGCAAAGGGATTCCCACATCTCCATGATTATTGCAGCACCATTCACAGTAGCCAAGATATGGAATCAAATGTCCGTGAGTAGATGATAAAGAAAATATGGTATGCATACACAATGCAATATCATCCAGCCATAAGAAATAATGAAATCCTGTCATTTGCAGCAACATAGATGAGCCTGGAGGACATGTTAAGCAAAACAGGCCCAGGTAGGTAAATACTGCATGTTCTCATTCATATGTGTGAGCTAAAAAAAATTTTTAGCATATGGAAGTAGAGGGTATAATTCGGATATTAGGGGCTGGGAATGCAAGAGGAGAGGAGGAGAGGTTGGTTAACAAATTCAAAATTGGAAGGGCACGGTGGCTCACGCCTGCAATCCCAGCACTTTGGGAGGCCAAGGCGGGTGGATCACAAGGTCAGGAGTTTGAGACCAGCCTGGCCAATATGGTGAAACCCCGTCTCTACTAAAAATACAAAAACTCGCCAGGTGTGGTGGTGTGCTCCTATAGTCCCAGCTACTTCGGAGGTTGAGACAGGAGAATTGCTTGAACCTGGGAGTTGGAGGTTGCAGTGAGCTGAGATCGTGCCACTGCACTCCAGCCTGGGTGACAGAGTGAGACTCCGTCTCAAAAACAAACAAACAAACAAAACCAAATTCAAAATTATAGATATATAGGAGGAATTAGTTCCGGTGTTATGCATCATTGTAGGGTAAATATGGTTAACTATAATTTATTGTATATTTTCAAAAATCTAGAAGAGAGAATTTCGAATGTCCATAATACAAAGAAATGATAAATATTTGAGGTGATATACTAATTAGCCTGAGTTGACTTTTACACATTTTATACATGTATTGATATATCATTCTATACCCCATAAATATGTATAATTATTACATGTCAACTGAAAATAAAAAGACAGCATTTCTGAGTAGAAGGGGAAACAATCCTGAGCAATGAAATTTTGCAAACAGATAAACAGATAGATGTGTAATATTTGATTTTGCAAAGCTAAGAAAGAAAAATTCCAGTACAGCAGCTAGGTAGGGGAATGGGACCAAGAACTAACTGTGATGTACATTGTAAAATCCTCTGGAAATTAGGAATGAAGGGTGGGGGGGTGAAAGTTAAGAAAGAAGAATTGGTTGAAAAAATTTTTAAAAACGTTTAAATTACTTTATCCCTTCCCCCATTGCACATAGCTGTGAGAACAATCTGTTATCCACCCTAACAGAAAATTGAAAATTTATTCTTTGGAGAAACAGAGTAATTTTGTTGCAGATACACCAGGTCTACTTGAAGATATTAATACTATGTGCAAAATAGAGAGACAAAAGAAATATACGCCTTTTGAGTGCTAAGATTTCCAGATCTCTTCTCCCATTTGAATTGCAGAATGTTGGTAACCAGGTATTTACCCTCCAGGTAAAGGACTGAAAGAGTCTTAACTGATGAATCAGAGCAGCTCAAGAGGAAAGACCTAAATATATTTATATTAGGGCTTCTCAATAAAAGAATCTACCTGATTAACCAATAAAACAGCTCAAAGTTGATAAGTTGATAAGTGCCAAAGCACTCAGAATTCCAATTCATATTACAGTCTTCCACTCTAATTGTAAACAGACAACCAAGTATCACCAGACAAATGAGGAAAGCTTCCGATATAAAAGATAAAGACCAAACCAAACTAATAGAAAAAAAAAGCACTTTGGAGGAAACAGAGAATATGCAGAGAGAAGAAAACAAAAGTCAAAACCGAAAAATACTCAGAGAGATAAACTGCATCCACAAAACAAGTACAGGATGCTATACAAATGATATTATAAAACAAACAAGAGTTCTTAGAATTAAACATGATAAGAGAAATGGAAATCTCAATAGAATAGTTGGGAAATAAAGTTAAGGATATCTCCTAGGAAGTAAGAAAAAGAGCCAAAGAGACTATCATGTGGGAGGAAACTATCACCACAATATAGCCATGTGTTGCTTAACAATGGGGAAAAGTTTTGAGAAATGTGTCATTAGCTAATGTTGTCATTATGCAAATGTCATAGAGTATACTTACCACGTCTTTTAGTATTTACAACGTCTTTTAGTACTATTTGTCTTTATTCTTAGTGTGCACATATTCTGTTAATCAAGAGGGGCCATAATGTCTGATTTTGTCCTATATTTAAGTTGGATATTCACTTGGAATATCCAGCTTGCTCTCCCCTTGTAAACGCTCACAGTTGACACTACAACCCACGCCCTGTTTCTTCCCAAAATGCACAATGAAATTTTGTAGACTTAGAAAAACTCTTAAGCTAACTCAGCCTGCAGCCTATTTTTGTATAAGAATAGTTTTACATTTTTTAATGGTTGAAAAAATCAAAATAATAACATTTTATGATACATAAAATTGTATGAAATTCATATTTCAATATCCCTGCTCAATTGTTTACATTTGGTCTCTGGCTGTTTTTGTGCTACAATGGCAGGTTTGAGTAGTTGTGACAGTGACCAGGTGGCCAGCAAAGTAATGAATATTTACTAACCGGCCTTTTAAAGAAAAAGTTTACTGTAAAACCTTTTCAGTGTAATGAGACTTAAAAACTCAGCATCACAGGATGGGTATATGTCTGAGCATATCTCCTCTTTTAGCACCTTTTTGAGATCATACTCCAGAAATACACATTTACAAGCAAACACACACTCCAAACTCTCAGAAAATCACCTCTTATAGCCTCACACCATCAAAGCTTTTTGTCAAATTTTATCATGACATTTCATGGTAGTCCCCATTCTTCAGCCTTATGATTTCTGAATCATAAACTTATAGCCTATTGTTTTTCTCAATAGAAACAAAGATAATTAAAACTTACTTAGGATTTGACTATAAGAAAATGCCATCTGGGGATGTCATGTTCCAGTCTCTAGAATTACTGTCAGTGGGAAGAGTGGAAAACTAGGAAGGTGGATGATCCAGAAAAGAAGAAAATCACTAAAAACTAGTAATATCTTGATTTTCCTCACTACTATTCTATCTTCCCAAAGGTAGTACTACTAACAACCCTAGAAAAATGAAAGCTAAAATGTATTTTTTCATCATTAACTTGAAATCTGGATCTATTTTCCATAAAATTTAGTTAGAAAGGTATTTTGCTTTTGAGAGCTTCTCTTGGTGGGCCTTGAGAACATTGAGACTTAGGGTTGTCCCAATCTGAATTTGCCTCAGGTGAGATTAAGAAGTTTTGGGTGGATGCAGAGGGATAGAAGTGATAAACTATTCTCTGCCCCATTCATCTATATTGGGATTAACCTACTGAAACATTTCCCTTCGTTTACCTGGGCCATCTCTGTTCCCACAATCTGGGATGCAGATGCTGTAACCCCTCTTTTTAGGGCAGTTCTTCAGGTTAGGTATCAGTTTTCTCTACTGTGGACTCAATGATGCCAGCCAACCCCATCAGAAGGACTTCCTGGTCCTGTTTCTAGATTGCAACCAGAAGACCATTTCTTGTTCCTATAGCATTCAGGATTAAGACTTCTTGTTATATTGAGTTAAATTTTGCATAACCCTAAGAAACAAGAGGAAGGGGAAGAGGGAAAAGACCTGTTTTCAGACGTTGTTAGTGACATTAAAGAAATTTCTGAAAGATTCTGGCCTAAAGCCTAAGATCCATTGAGATAGAGAGTACAGAGAGTTAGCTGAAGGACCTTGCAATCTCTACTTGAATTTGTTGCCCTGGCTTCTACTTCCAGTTTCATCCTTTACTATCGTGACCTCTGCTGTCCTACCATAGTTTATAACTTCAAGCAAAGAGGCAGATAAATATTGGGAGCTATGGAACCTCAGGAAAGAATCACTAACCTGTCTCGCAAAGGATTAGGGGCCCAAAAGAAATATAAATCTTCCAAAGACAAAGAAGGGATGCTAGCCCCATCATAAAGTCCTTCCTCACTGTTCACTACTTTGTTTTCTGCCAGATAATTCTCAAAAACCACCTACCAGTATTCTGTATATTGAATTTGTGTGTGTTTCCTTATAAACAGAGGCAATGAGCCCTGTTCCTTCTCTCCACCTCTGCCCTTCTAAACTCCCTATCTCTCTGATCACCCAAGTGCCCCATCTCACCTACTTTGTGAACTCCCGAGACTCTTACAGGATCAAATTCTTAGAACTCCAGGATCTGTTTCTGAGTGTGGTTCTGGCCTCAAGCTGTACCCTTAAGGTACAGCTTCTAGAATTGAGTCACAGTTCATTCAAAAACGCTACGGTAGGAAATCTTAGAGCCAAAAGAGTTCCCACAGGTTGAACTCCTGATTCCGGGGGAATATTCCTGAGTTTT
Source organism: Homo sapiens (assembly GCF_000001405.40). Classification (NCBI taxonomy): domain Eukaryota; kingdom Metazoa; phylum Chordata; class Mammalia; order Primates; family Hominidae; genus Homo; species Homo sapiens. Next base: position 48,294,570 of record NC_000012.12, read on the forward strand.
ACCACAGGGTACCCTTCTGACTCCAATGTCTGGCCCTGAAGGCATTATGTAGGTCAGATTATAACTGTAGGCCAGGAAAGAGCCAGCTTCTAAGAAAAGAGATACAGATTTTCAGAAGTATACCCTTGTACACACAGGAGCTCTGTGGAAATTAAATACCATCTCATTCTAGGTGCTAGCATTCCAAATTCCTATCATATACTCCTGCAGACTATCCTGTCAGGGAGAAAGATGTTGCCTAGAACTTCCTCTAAAAGTGTCTATTTGTGCTTCTTACTTTTTTAGTTCCTGAATTACAATTCAGGTACTTTTGGGGAACTGAGTGAAACCAATGTCCCTTTTACCTTGTGGTAGGTGCTTAACTCCAGTAAAAATTTCATTTGTTTTCTACCACAGCCTTAAGAAGTAAGTACTATTACCCCTTTTAACAGATGAGAATACTTAGAGAAGTAATTTGATCATTTAGTTTTAATTATAGAGTTAGGACTTGAATCTAGGCTTTTCTAAGGCCAAGGCCTCTGCTCTTTCCATTTGCCATGCGGCTGGTCATCACTCAATTAGGAATTCAATTTCTAAAGGGATCCAGGAAAGAAAGAATGAAATCTTCTAACTCCATCATTCCAGAGGCTACTATAGATCTGATGATAATTATCATTAAGAAGAGGAAGGCTGCTCTGCCTATGGAGTATCCATTCTTTTTTCCCTTTACTTTTCTTTCTTTCTTTTTTTTTTTTTTTTTTTGGAGACGGAGTCTCACTCAGTCGCCCAGGCTGGAGTACAGTGGGGCAATCTCAGCTCACTGCAAGCTCCGCCTCCCAGGTTCACGCCATTCTCCTGCTTCAGCCTCCCGAGTAGCCAAGACTACAGGCGCCTGCCACCAAGCCCGGCTAATTTCTTCTATTTTTAGTAGAGACGGGGTTTCACCGTGTTAGCCAGGATGGTCTCGATCTCCTGACCTCGTGATCCGCCCGCCTCGGCCTCCCAAAGTGGGATTACAGGCATGAGCTACGGCGCCCGGCCTCCCTTTACTTTCTTAATAAACTTGCTATCACTTTACTCCATGGATTTGGAAGAAGAAGGAAGAAGAAGAAAGAAGAAGAAGAAGAAGGAGGAGGAGGAGGAGGGGAGAAATGGGAGGAATCATATGGATTTTAGGATACAGTTGAAAGTTTACTTTAAATTTCCTGGGTTCCATGCTCCTTGTCATTGGCAATTCAAATAGTTATTCATTCCTTTCTGAGACTCACAGGAAGGGTAAACTCTCTTTGTTTAGCTAACCTACAGAACACATTACTGAAGAGCAGGAGACCTCAATCTGTCTTAGAAGAAAGGCCAGATTCTGGCATCGTCTTTCCTTGACACTGCCTTCCTAGCCTTTATTTACCCTCAGAGGTGTGAGAAGCTGATCTCCACACTTCATTGTCTGACCTGGAGGTAAACCATGGGAGGGGAGCCCTGGGTTCTAGTTTCAATGCTGTTGCTGTGTAGTGGTGGACCTTGGGCAGGCAGGGCCCTTTTATCTCAGTGTTCTGTGAAATGAAGCAGCTGACCAAGATGTACTGTGGAGGGTCAAGCCATGTGCCAGGACCACAGATCCTTTGACTCACACCATATATTCTGCCTCCCAAGTCCTTATCCCACGGTGGGCAATCATTTTCCTCTCAAAGCCCTTTATCATATTAAATTCAACAAACATCATATACCTCCTGGCTATTTTGCGCCGAGCACTGTTCTGGGCACCTTTACATATTTGGGCTTTCCAGTTTGCACTCTCAAGGAAACAAACAAAAAGAAAGAAAAACCTGACACGACCCCCTTCACCCCTCGCCCCACCCACTTTCCCACCTACACACCCAAAATGCTTAGGTGAGCAGAATGAAAGGCTGAGCTAGATTCTGGAACACTTTTAAGGAAAGAGACGGAAGGACAGTAGGGTCAGTTCTTCAGGAGGGTGAAAATTAGGAGGCTACCAAATTCTACCCCAGATTATCTATAGTCTCCCACCCATTTTTCATTCGTTTATGCCTCAGTAATAAGAAGCACGACAGTCTTTTCCCTCAGCAGTCAATGACTGAGTCAGCATTTTGAGGCAGCGCCGCCTCTCAGGCTCCAGGACACAGGACGCCTTGAGACTACATTTCCCACAGGCCACAGCCCAGCCTCCCGTCTTCTAACAGTCTTCCTAGAAAGGTGCGCATGTTCCGACCATTAGCACACGGCTGGTGCGCTCGGTGCAGGCTATCGGAGCCCGGGACAGGGCCGATCCAGCCAGGCTTCAGGGTGCGGGAAACGGGTGCGCCATGAGATAGAAGCTTTCTGCTTCCACCCACTCCAGGCGCCCAGTCTTTCTCCAGCACCTCTTAAGCTAGCCCCAGGACTCTGCAAGGTACCCGAGGACAGGAGTCACTGCTTGCATCCCCTCAGCCTTGGGGCAAGAAGAAGGAGCCAGAATCCAGGAAAGGGGCTTTGGCGAAACTGCACGGAAATCATTCCTTCCGTTTACGTAATTTTAGTTTTAAGTGTAGCAGCCGGGGAGAAAATTGTGAAGGGGAGTGAGACAAGCGTTCGATTACTTAGCCAATTGTAGTGCACAACTGAAGTTGCAGACCTGAAGAAGCCGCCGCATTGCCATGGCAACAGTACAGGGACTGAATCTCTGGTTTATTTCAATTTCATATCTACCCGGTAGAGGCCCACCAAATACGATCCAGCCCCTGCTCTCAAGGAGAAGTAAGGAGGACAGTCAATCGATAAATATTGGTTAAACTCCTACTGTGCAGGCAACCTACTGGACACGGAGATACAATTATGAATAAAACACTGCTCTTGCTCTCAAGCAAACTATTCTAAGTGATGATTGTTGCGATGTGTGCTATGGGAATAAAACGCAAGGACGCCTAACCCAGATTGTTGAGGTGGTGGGAGAGAGTCAAGGAAAGCCACCCAGAGAAAGCCATGGGTGTGAATTAAGTCCTGAAGTGTCCTAGATTTAGAAAAAACTTCGATCTTCGTTACCTGCACACAAAAGTAAAGTCCAGATGAATTAAAGAGCTAAACATTTTTTAATTGTAAAAATATTAAAAGAAAATATGGTATAATACTATTTATAGTCTAAGGTAGGGAAACAAGTCACAAAGCTAAAGAAGCCATAAAGGAGAAGATTGATAAAATTGAAAACATAAAATTAGAAACGTATCAGTAACAGAGATACCATAAACAAAGTTAGGAGACAAAAGAAAGGCCAGGAGAAATTATCTGTATCAAGCATCAGAGCAAAGGATTAACATCCAGAGGTCCAAAGATACCAGAAAACATACTTGTAGGCAAACAGAATTGGATCTATTAATTGTTGCAAAAAGAGATTGTGTGCCGGGGAACCTGTGAGATATCTCAGTAAGAGGCAGTTAAGAGGGGATTGTTTTGTGGTTTGGGCTTGTGTCAAATATTGGGGTGAGTCTTTCAGAAAGTGAAGCAATTCCATGATTGCATATCTTAATTATCATCTAGGAGGTAGGAGGTATCCAATGGAGCTAAAGTTGTAAATGGGTAAAACAGCAGCAGGCCCTCACTTTTGTGGTCATTTTTGTGATTTGCACAGTGTTCTTGTTTTTATCTTTGCTCAGACATAATTACAGAGTGGTCATATTTTTTGTCTTATTTTATCACAGATACAGAATAACCTTGTCTGATGTTGGTGTTCTCTGTTACCGTTTAAGTAGAGAACAACTGGACCAGCTCCTATCTGACACTGTCATTTCTCTGTCTCCCAGAATATAAAGAGCTCCTACAAGTCAATAAATAGCCCAGTGAAAAACTAGAGAAGGATAGGAAGAACAATTCACGAAAGAAGAAGTAAAAATAAACAGATGAAAAGATGCTCAGTTGCACCGATAAGGAAATGCAAATTAAAACAATAAAACACAGCCAGGCATGGTGGCTCATGCCTGTAATCCCACCGAGGCTGAGGCAGGAGGATCCATTGAGGCCAGGAGCTCCAGACCAGCCTGAACAACGTAGCAAGATCCCACTGAGAGGACTGTTTGAGCCCAGGAGTTCCAGGTTACAGTGAGCTATGATTGTGCCACTACACTGTAGCCTGGGCAACAGAATGAGACCCTGTCTCAAAACAAACAAACAAACAAACAATAAAACACTGTTGGGAGTAATTTAAATTAGCCCAGCCTTTTTGGAGGGCAATTTGGCAATATATACCAAAATATAAATGTATATACCCTTCAACTAGGAATTCCATTTCTAGAACTCTCCCAGAGAATTATATACATATATACACAAAGAAGAATATAAAAGGATATCCAGTGTAGCATGTTTGCAGTATTAAAAACAGAAAAAAATATAAGTAACTGTCAAAGGGCAATAATTAAATAAACTCTGGAATACTATGCAGTAGCTTAAGTTTGATCTTTAAAAATTTCTTTAATTTTTTAAATACATGAAAGTTAATATTTATATGTCTAACAACATAGTAAAATACTTACAATGTTTAGTAAAAAATCCAGCATTCATAATTATACAATATGATTTCAAGTGTTTTTTTAACTATACAAATAAAACAAGATTTAGAAAATACTTCTAAATTTGCATAAGGTATTGGATGGTGAAGCTATGGGTTATTTTTTCTTCGTTCTAATTTCCGGTTTTCCAAACTGTGATTAATAAGCATGCATTTCTTTTAAAAATGAATAAAAGCGTGTTTTAAACGTAGCAGCCTGCATTGCATAAGCAGGGACTAATCCAGACTATCTGGCCTGGCTTGTCAAAGAATAGTACCTATAGAGAAAAGAGCTCACATTGGAAAAAAGTTTTTCCAAAGCTACCTAGACTCTATGACCCACTTTAAAATTACATGAGGGCTTGCAATAGGGAGTCTGGTTACTCGTGTGCACAAATGCTGCCAGGTTCCAAACTGATTTAATGACCTTGGTGACACATTAACACTGCTTTAAAAAGCCTTTATTATTTTTCATTACCAAGCAATGTGAACATCAGGTGCCCTCTTATTTTATTCCTGAGACTTACCCCACTCCCGATCTTTTTCTCAATTTTGATCTTTGCCAGGGAAGGTCAAGGATTGGGTGAGATTTCAAGAATGAGGTCAGGGAGGAATATATAATATATTGATATGATATATAATCTATTAATTATCAAAATATTTAAAACCTTCCTATACTTCACTTTCACTGAAGCTTAATTTTCATGTTTTCACTTTTTTCTGGTGTATCTCATTTTATCAGCTCAAATGCAAAATTCTCAAAATCAAATATAATCATTTCCTCTCAGAATGAGCCATTATTTCCTAATTAATACAGAGCTTTGAAATGAATATAATCAAAGCATAGGCCTATACCATATCAATGTACAATGACCAAAGCCTGGTTGGCCTTTTAAAATGTTGACAAAAGTGTATCCCACAGTTGCAGATCTCATTTGACCTTATTCAAGTAATTTCCCCAAAAGTAACTTTATTTCTTTCATATGGTGACTATAGAGTACCACAAAATTAAGAATGAGGGTACAAGTTTTAACCCATATAAACCATTAACATGAAAACTACAGTAAAACTTATTTTAACCCATATAAATTATTAACATGAAAACTACAGTAAAACTTACTGGATTTGAACTACAGTAAAACTTACAGTAAAAATTCCCTGAATTTGTTTACTGTGAAAGAATGAAATAAAATCTGCTGGGAATGGGCTAATACATAAATAAATACATGTAGCTAGAAAAGAATATTTATAATTACTTTTTAAACTATTGGGGAATATTCAAATTTAATGTGGATTTCCAGTTACAACCGACATTTGTTATGACAAATGTGTGCTAGGGTATTTTATTAGTTGGTTCTTGTGGAACTCAGACGACATTGTGAAAATTGGGCTCTAAAAATTCTTTCACTTGAAATTTATGGAAAGTTGTAAAAATCTCTGACTTATAATATTAACTTGGTTACATTTATTGATATCCTTAATTGGGTTTATAAAAGTTGGACTATTGCAGCACTGAAATAATATCCATGTTATTGGATAATATCCAGTTATTGGTTATATTATTGGTTAATATCCAAAGGCCTTTGCAATGATCTACATGTTATATACCCCTAAAAGTCATATGTGGAAAGCTAATCCACAGTGTGATGATATTTGGAGGTGGAATCTTTGGGAGGTAATTAAGTAATGAAGGTGGAGCTCTCGTGAATGGAATTAGTGCCCTTATAAGAAGAGGCCAGGGAACTACCTCCCTCTCTTTCTTCCATGTGAGGCTACAATAAGAAGCTGGCAGTTTGCAACCTGGAAGAGGGCCCTCATCAGAACTCCACCATGCTGACATTCTGATCTCAAACTTCCAGCCTCCATAAATATTATATTAATATTTAATAAATAAATATTAAATCCATTAAATAAAATATTAAATAAATATCTGTTGTTTATAAGCCACCTAGGCTATGGTACTTTGTTTTAGTACCCAGACTGACTAAAACAGTGACCTTAGACCACCTGGATTTATTTCCTGACTTGCTGGCTTTGTGAGTTTCAGAAAGTTATTTAACTTGTCTGTTCCTCAGGTTTCCTTATCTATAAAACAATTTTAATAATACTTGTAAGACATTGTTGGAAGACTTATATATGATAATCTACGAAATCCAATAGAAAATATGCCAAATAACAGCAGGAATCTTGTCCGACTTGTTAACTATCCTATTCTCCATTAAAGTAATGCCTATTAACACATACTTGGTGCTTAAGAAAGATCAGTTAAATGAATAAATGTAAAATAAATGACCTTTGGACATATTAATCACTCAAGAATATTATTATAGTTATTATTATCATCATTATTATCTCATAAGGGTTAAAAGTAAAACTCTGCACCATTTTCTCACTCTTCTAGAGATATACCACCAATCTAGTTATAACACTGTCTGGATCCAATCATATTATAGCAGCTGTGCTTTGCTTATATCTTCTAATTGGTTCTAAACTCTTGAGTATATTCAATACTTTCTAACATCAATATTACATATCATCACAGTGTTATACACTAAACCCCTACAGTGGACCCACAGAAGCCCTCATTCTTACCCTTCTCTATAAAATCACTTCAAAGTCTATGTGGTGATTTCACTTGGAGCCTGACCCTTATCAGACGATAACCTTGATTTGTGTGTAAGTCCTGTTCTGACTCTTCTTTACCATGTAGGCCTACTTGAACTTGCTTATTCATTACATTTTCTAACCTCTTATTCATTAGTCACTAAATGGCCCATCAGAGATTCAGGCTTTGGCCAGCCTTGTGACACATGACAACACTTTGTTGTGGAAAAGACTGTACTGTGTTTATTAGGTATTGCAAAGCTTCATGGTTATTCAGCTATAAAGTTGGAAATGCTAACCCATCTAATCACCTTACTTTTTAGATAGTAAATAAGATGTATTATTAAATTATTTTAAATTGATTATTAGATACATATTAAGTACCAGGCCCAGTGTTTGACAGTTTATTATAAATCATTACTAATGTCATGACAACCCTGCCAGGGTGGTATTGGTACCTCAATTTTATAGATAAGAAAGCTGAGTAACTTGTCATGGGCTGCATAGTTAATACATCTGACATTTATTCATTGGTTTACTATATTCCAGGCACTACACTAAACGCTTGACACACATTTTCTCATCTACCCTCACAGCAACCTTAGAGGTAACAGCGACACACATCCTTGTACTTTTCATTCCCAAACATTTCCTAAATGATGAAGACATTGTTGTGACCAAGGACTAGTGGAAGCCAAGGTCAGGGAACATCTATATATGGAAATGTTTGTTGCACTAACAAGGAAGGTCACATAATAAGATTTCACATCCTGTGTGTTTCCCACCAGTAAATATTTCTTTGATTTAGCAATTTTCCTCTGTTATCCTATTGAGGCAGGAGAATAGGGTCTGGAGGCAGGGAGCCTAAGGACTTCCTAGAACTAAATCCAACAGAAAAACCCCAACTTTCTATGCCCAAGTAAATAACTTTGTAACTTCACTTCAGCTATGACAGGAAACTTCCTCTTCATTTGTACAGGGTGTACACCAAGTAAATAACCCTGTAATTTTACTTCACCCTCTTCATTTGCATAGGGCATACACCAAGTAACCAATGAGAAACCTCTAGAGGGTATTTAAACCTCAGAAAATTCTGTAACTAGTGCTCATGAGCTGTTTGCTCAAGACTGCTCCCACTCTGTGGCATGTACTTTCTTTTCAATAAATCTGTGCTTTTCTTTTGTTGCTTTATTTGTGCATTTTGTGCAATTCTTTGTTCAAAATGCCAAGAACCTGGACACCCTCCACTAGTAATGTAGAGTGGAGTAGATAAATAATTTAGTAGAATTATTAGATCTTTTTTTGCCTAATATAACTTTTTCAATACTTAAGTAAATAAAAAAAGAAATTTATTATAACATAGTCCAATAATAAATGGTATAATTAGATTTTGGTGAGTATGCTCTTAATTCTTTTGTTCAATCAATTAAAACACCAATCAGTAGCTGAATTAAGTTTGGGAATCCAAATAAAGAGGGAGTCTTGAGAAGTGACTAATTCTATCCCTGAATGATAAAACGTATTCTTTTATTTAGAATGGAAGGGTTTCTAGAAAATTAGCTGGTGTTTCATCGAGGAGGGGTTAAGGAGAAGGTGGTTTCAGGGGCCAATGGAATACAAGAGGGAACAAGGGAAAGGTTACTCAAGGTGAATCAATTAAGGATATTAAAAATGGTAGCAACAATACCAATTTGGTTACCTCGCCATTTATTCTACAACCTATATAGATTTTGCCTATGTTGCTCTGCAGATAATTAAGATTTCATTTCATTTGTAAAAGTATTTGCATTTAGTCTGTGAAAGTATTAATCTGTCCATAGCACTGTCACAGGGTATATCCTTTACATAGTGGGTTCCCAAGAAGATGTAACACCCTTATCTCAATAATTTCTTTGCACATCAATTGATAGTGATAACACATAAAAGCATTCTGTTTTGTTGATGGCATTTTATGTCTGCTTGATAATCAAAAGAAGGTAGTCTGCTACATTAATAGTTAGAATAGAAAATTTCCAACAGTGAGATGCATTGTATTTAGACTTCTCATCCAGCACTTTTGAATGGTGTGAACTATCAAGGATACTTGCTATGGTCTGATCCAAAAAAGAGCCAATAAGGAATTTCATAAATGGTTCTTGATTAGGACCCAGTCACTGTGTTGGAGTTAGTGATATGGTAGCACAGATCTCTCTGGGATGGAGGCCTCAATCTATGAATAACATTATACACAATGGCTCAATAATATGAGGTAATATTATCATTCGTAGTCTACTAGCCTTTTAAAGTCTTGAGGGCAAAAAAGAACAAATGGGTGGTCCCTGCCCTTGATTGTTTTATAATAGCCTAACACAGTTTTCCTGTTTAATGTGGCCATTATGCTTATTTGGGCAAATGGTTATCTCAAATATGTGATATGCAGTACAGTCAATTTCTTCCTTAAAAATATGTCTGTTTTCTCAACTCCTCTTACATTTTGAGGATAGTGCAAGAATTATTTTACATGGAAAAATGTATGGATTTTGTATTGAGTCAGTGGGATAACAACTTCAATGCTTCTCTTTTTATACTTTTGCCGAGGAATGAAATGGGAATACCAATACTTATGCTACTACCGCTGGCAATAACAACAGGCCATCTCCAATGGCGAACAGAGCATTATCTATCTTAAAAGAGAGAAAGTTAAATCTATCCACAGTGAAATATTTGAAAATATAAAAACAGAGAGAACATAATATCATAGAAAGAGCCCCACACAATTAACAGACATTAACAATGAAAGGGACAGCAGTGTGTTGGTATAAACACAACCTCATTTTCCTGAACTCCATTTCACCTTCTCATTCCTATTTCATCTCTTGGCAAAAGTATAGAAACAGAGGCATCGAAGGTGTTATCCCACATACTCAAGCACTGGTCAAGGCAATAATGATTACATCAGCACTGAGCCTTACAGATTCATTTAGTATTACAAGAAAGAACCTTGAAAACAAACCATTTCTATTGTGTTGAGCCCATGGTCTACAAACCTCTAGGCATTCATAAGCAACTCTCAATATTTCAGTGTTCTAAGAGAAATCACATAGCTACCTAAGTTTGTGCATGCTAAATAAAATCTTGTTTCTTTGTTTTTGGCTGAAATACCAACTCAGGGTGGCAACCATGGTTATCTTATGCTAACGAAAATGTCTTTGGCTAATATAATAAAAATTGTTCCACTTTGGGAGGCTGAGGCGGGTGGATCACAAGGTCAGGAGATCCAGACCATCCTGGCTAACACAGTGAAACCCCATCTCTACTAAAAAATACAAAAAACTAGCCGTGCGTGGTGGCGGGCGCCTGTAGTCCCAGCTACTGGGGAGGCTGAGGCAGGAGAATGGCATGAACCCGGGAGGCAGAGCTTGCAGTGAGCCGAGATCACGCCACTGCACTCCAGCCTGGGCAACACAGCGAGACTCCATCCGAAAAAATACATAAATACATACATAATAAATAAATAAATAAATAAATAAAATAAAAATAAAAATTGTTCAAAACATGGGACCCAACGGGGGAAAATAGTAACAGGTTAGGGGTCTTGATGGCCTAACTCCAGTAGTCCAATCTGTCCCCCATTTTGAGGACACTAAGACTTGCAGAGGTGAAATTATTTGCCCAAAACCACTACCCAAGAGAACACTCAGTTCAGCAAAGGTATTTTTAAACCATAGCACATAACATTCTATGCCTGCTTACTTTTTAGATAAAAGAAGAATGTGAAGCCAGTGGCCCGCCTGATGGTGGATAGGTGTGTTTTTCTAAACTTCAGCAGCCTTCTCTTACAATAAGTAATCTCAGTCATTATCCTCAGCCAGGTTTCCTCCTATAAGATAGAAATATTAACCCCTATCTGTTATGGTATTGATAAGAATTGCATGTTAAGTCAACCACTCCTTTAACATACTGCAGAAACTTCAGTAAATGCTACCTATTATAATTAGATATGCTAGACCAGTAGTTCTCAAAGTGTGGTCATCAGAACAGCAGCATCATCTGGAAATTTGTTAAAAATGCAAATTATTGAGCCTCACCCTGAACCTACTAAATCAGAAACTTTTCAGGTAGGGCCCAGCAATCTGTTTTTGTTTTGTTTTGTTTTGTTTTGTTTTGTTTTGTTTATTTTGAGATGGGGTCTCACTCTGTCACCCAGGCCAGAGTGCAGTGGTATGATCTCGGCTCACTGCAACCTCCACCTCCCGGCTCAAGTGATCTTCCCACCTCAGCCTCCGAGTGGCTGGGACCACGTGCCATCACAAGCAGCTAATTTTTTGTATTTTTTTGTTGTTGTAGAGATGAGGTTTCACCATGTTGCCCAGGCTGGTCTCAAACTCCTGAGCTCAAGCGATCTGCCTGCCTCAGCCTCCGAAAGTGTTGGGATTACAGGCATGAACCACCGTGCCCAGCCCAATGTGTTTTTTAAATCTTTCAGATGTTTCTGACGCACAGTCAAACTTTGAGAATTAGGTCCCACCATGACAAAACAAAACTGAAATTCCCCTGAGGATATATTTGTACTTACAAGCATTTTGTTATGTTTATCATTCGCACATTTTAAGGCATAAACTAGCAGTAATATTGGGAATTAATTTTAATAATATGGCTAGCTAAAAACTTGATGATGGGCAGGAGAATAAAGTCAAGAGAAAGCCTGAACACTCAGTGCCACTCCCTAGGCATGCCAAACAGAGAGCCTGTAGCAGGAAAGATTGTTAGAGAGGAAGCACTTGCGTGTGGATGGACAGAGGGAAAAATAATTCTTCCTTAATTATTCAGAAATCTAGGCCGGGCCTGGTGGCTCACACCTGTAATCCCAGCACTCTGGGGGGCCAAGTGGGAGGACTGCTGAGGCCAGGAATTTGAGACCACCCTGGGGCAATGAGGCAAAATCCTGGTCTCAGCAGCAAAATAAATAAATAAATACATAAAATCTATCTATCTATCTATCTATCTATCTATCTATCTATCTATCTATCATCTATCTATCTATCCAATTACCTGGAGTGTTAACAACAAAAATTCCAGATCCTTGGCCAGGCAGGTAGCTCACGTTTGTAATCACAACACTTTGGAAGGCCTAGGCAGGAGGATCACTTTCCCCCAGGAGTTCCAGAGCAGCCTGGGCAACACAGGGAGACCACATCTCTACATTAAAAAACAAACAAACAAAAAATAGCCAGCTGTAGTGGCGTGCGCCCGTAGTCCCAGCTACTGGGGTAGCTGAGGTGGAAGAATCGCCTGATCTCGGGGAGGTGAAGGCTGCTGCAGTGAGTCGTGATGGCACCACTGCACTCCAGCCTTTGGTAACGGAGCGAGAACCTGTCTCAAAATAAAATAAAAAGTCTGCATTGTATGGTGGAGAAAGGCTGTCTCTGCCTATGCCATTCCTTCTAACTAAACGTCTTGTTTCCTGTTCTCTACCCAGCCTAGCCCTTTGGTTAGCATCTCCTCCTCAACTCCAAAAGTCTCAGGCATCCATTTGGCCAGTATCTTTCAATCCTCAACCTCGCAGAAGTCATCCCCCTTGTGTTCCCTTCGCTCTGGGGCCTTATCCAAATGAGTACATTTTGCCCTTTGACAATTTGTCTTTTTTGTTATTCTGCTTCTCCTTACGGGAAAGCGCTCTTTATGGGCTGTAAAAGAAAAAAGTGCCCCTTTCAGTAACTATCCCCAGCAAGGGTCTAAGGAGCCATTTCTCTTCCACCTCCGGAAATAAGAGCGGACTGCGGTGGGGCGGAGCCAGGAGAACGGCGGCTCTCTCGGCCAACGGACTTGCTTCCCACCGCGCTGAGACTCCTGGGAGGAGAATTTCAGTTTTTTGGCTTTTGGTTTTGTTTTGTTTTGTTTTCCTTCTTGGATAGAAGTAGCACCCTAATCCCTGGGCTTCTGTGCCGTTTAGCATGTGCTTTCCTGGATCTCAAGGCCCATGGCCTACCTTTCTCTGTCCAGGCAGCTCTGGGAGAGTGGAAGAGTGGCTCATCCATCTCTGAAAAGGAGATTCCCCAGTACTGTGAGCTACCGTGTGAATTTGGGACTCCCCTGGCCTCCTGAGGGCCCCTCCAGCTCCCCTGGTGCCTTCTGCCCATGTCACTATGAAGTCTTCCTGTTATGAGCCCACACGTCTAGGGTGGGAAAGATTAAGAATTTTTGAAAATTCTTAATCTTTTAAATAATTCTTAGACTTAATTTTTGTTTTCAGAAGAACCGGGAATGGAGGTTTTCTGAAGACAAACGTTTTCCTAAAAATGGAAGAGGCAGAAAAAGGCCCATTATACCATCAGTGCAGGTAAAGTGAACAGAAGAAAGATGGAATAAGCAGAGGATGTGTTGCGTATTCCATTTTCTTTGGGAAAATTTCCGTTTCTTTTAGGAAGTGAAAAGCCCCTACTTTTTGGTGACTATTAGAGGAGCAAGCCTCCTTGGATTCTTAACTTATTTGGGGGCTCTCTCCCTTCCCTCACTTTTTTTCTCTTTCTAAAAAAGGTCTGCTTTAATTTCTTCAGAGTAGGTGATTTCATTTATAAGGCCTTAGGAATATGCACACTTTGTTTTCTTTAGTCTGTAGCAGCGGTCCCCAACCTTTTTGGCATCAGGGACCACTTTTGTGGAAGACAATTCTTCCATGGACGGGGGCGTTGGGGAGAACGGGGGTTGGGGAGATGGTTTCGGGATGAAACTCATCATCAGGCATTAGAGTCTCATAAAGAGTGGGCAGCCTAGATTCCTCACATGAGCAGTTCACGATAGGGTGCTGATCCTGTGAGAATCTAATGTCGCCACTGATCTGACAGGAGGCAGAGCTCAGGAGGTAATGCTGGCTGCCCACCACCTGGTGTGCTGCCTGGTTTCTGACAGGTACCGGTTGGTGGCCTGGAGATTGGGGACCCCTGGTCTGTAGTACTTTTTGTATTTTCTACATTCTATGCAATGCACTTATATTAATGAGTCAGAAAAGTAGGATATAACTATTATTTAAAAAGAAAAATAACTGTTGAAGTTCAGGAGCTGCAGACAGGACAGAATTAGTTTAACATATTATTTCGAAGTTTTTAGGACTAGGGATACCTTCTTCAGTTTTATCCAACTGTAGGCATTGCTGTTATTATTGGTGCATGATGAAGAGACTTGGTACTTGTGTCTTAGGGATTTTAAGGCAAATGGATCATGGAGAAAAGACCCATTTAGGTGACGGGCTTATGAAGAATGGCTATATGTAAGCAACTAGTGGACTAGGAGAAAGTAGCAACCGTATCTGAAAGTTTATAAGTGTCAACATAATAACTCAACAAAACAAACATTTTGTAATGTAAGTCACATGTAGCCTGGTCCTTGTCTTCTAGAAAGTCATATTTTAGAGTTCTAAGACATGAGATGAAGGATATTTTATCCTCTTCTGGTTAATTAAGGCCTTCAGATACTAGTCCTGAAATTCAACTTTTTTGCTAAGGTTTAAAAATACATTTTTCTCTCCAAAAGCTTCATAGAAGCCCTAGAGACTTTTTCCCCATTGGTTTTTTTTTAAATAGTTTAAAACATAATTATAAACTGTAAATTTTATTTATTCTTTTGATGGTTGAAGAAAGCAGCATATAAGACAGTGGGACAAGTATGATGAAGGCGAGTATTTCCCAAGCATCCAATAAGGGAAATTAGAAGTGAGTGGTGGAGAAAGAACATCTCAATATTTCTGAAATCTGAGAAATATGGAAGCTGATAAGTGAACAGGAATCCAGTGTTAGAGGAAAAACTTACCAAATATTTCCATATAGCAAAAATGTTGGGTTGATTTTAAGTTGGAGTTGTCCTTTGAAGTATTGGCCCATCAAAGCTGCTATTATAGCAGAGCTGTCTGGTTTTTGAGGGACAAATTGCTTCTGGTGGTGATGGAGGTGGGGGTTGAAATATGTGGGATTTGTTTCTAGGACTTGCTGTCATCCTGTGGCAATTAGTGCTAGATCAATGTTTATCTAGCACAGTGTATTAATAGAATTCTCTGTTTTAAAGAGTATAACTTCTGAACCAATTTAGGTGCTTTGTAAAGTTAGCTCTTTTATCTGTTAAGTTTTGTAGCAGGCTTGTGGTTGCAGTATTGTTACATGATTCATATTTCTAGCCTAAGTCCTTGGATCCATGAGTTTATTTATTTTGGGATTTGTAAAGAAGGCTGTGTCTCTTTTTGGCATACTTGTATATATTAGTGTGAAAAAAACATTTTTGTATACTATTTATCTGTAAAAATAATTTTAGAGGTCTTGTGTATATGGTTATATAGAATCTTTCCCCAGTAATGGAGGAGGTGGCGGGAGGTCTTTGCATGAGCTTTAGGGCTTCTAGTACATGTTACATGGTTCCATAAGACTTCACTTACAAAACACAAATTCAAAACTAAATTAAGAATTGTAAGACGGCAACTTCAGCATTAAAACCCAAGCTTGAAGCCCTGTGTAGTAACATGCCCATGAAGCCAGCCTTGCTGATTATATTAAAAGATTCTTCTCCAATGGATGAAGGATACCCATTGCTTATATATTCCTGTTGTGTGATTTGTCTTGTGCAAAATGAAAGGCTCATTCACACTGATGACATTCGAAGTGTTTCTCTTTGCTGCAACTGCTCATTGATTACCTAAGGACAGAGAAATTGTCCCGTACTCATTGGTTACATTCATAAGATGTCTAATATAAATTGTCTCATGTGCCTAACAGATGAAAGATCAATACGTGCTTTTCCACATTCATAGGGATTCTCCCCATTATATACTCTTATGTGTGGTAAATGAAGGATTATATTGGAAGGATTTTTTGTACTGATTACATTCATAGGGCTTTTCACTAGTGTGGTTTCTCATGTTTTCTAAGGGATGAAGTAATACTAAAGGCTTTCCCACCATCTTTGCATTCTATTTTGTATTCTCTTGTACACTGTAAGGGAAAAGCTGTAATCAATATGTCCCCAGTTTGAGCTCCCCAGTTTGCGCTCTCGTGTACATCAAACGTGAGTGCTTCCTGAATATTTTTCCAGTATAATCATGACAGTTACAGGGTTTTTCCCCAGTGTGAATTCTCATGAACACAATGGGAGTAGAACTTACACTGAAAACTTTTCTGTATCAATCACATTTATAGAGATTCTCCTCAGTATTCTCTTCTCTCCTCTAAGGACAGATCTAATGCTAAAGACTTGAAAATGCTGCTTACTGTCATTGTGCTTTATTCTAATGTGAATTATAATATGTATCCAAAGGGATGAGTGATAACTGAAGGCCTTCTGCAGTCCTTACATTCATAAGGTTTATCTCCATTTTGTATTCACATGTACCTCAGAAATTAAGAGTTACTACTGAAACATTTTTCATATTAGTTATATGCAGAGCAGAAAATTCACCAGTTTGAATTTTCTTGTGTTGAATAAGGTTAGACCTTGCACTGATGATATTCATTGAGTGTTTCTCTAAGATGACTTATCTCCATTTTTGCACAATTGTGTTGACTTTTACATTTTACCTAAAAATGTCCTACTTAAGATTTGACCCTTTGATTTTTAAGTAGAACATACAAATACTTGGGAAATTTCATCTTCTGTCATCAACTCATCTTCTTTCTCTAACCAAGAGATCAAACGGAGTTTGCCCATATGATGCCTAAGTGATACCACGTTGGTAGTTCTCCTGTATCTCATTCCTGTGCAGGTTTCACTGAGATGAGTCCAGTAAAGCCCTCTTCATTGAAGGTCACTGAGTCCTGTGATTAGCTTGTCAGCAGCCAGGCAGCCAACACTCCCTTTCTTGCGTTTCCTGTTTGGTGACAGGGAGGGTCCTGAGCAGACCAAATGCTAGTTAAGGGCAGATAAACAACTGCCATCCTGTGAGTTTGACTGTAAATCTTGAAATTCAGAGCAGTGGGACTCAAACATACCCTCTTTTTGTTCTCACAGTCCATTTGGGGCAAGGATCTTAGACTTTTTAGGTGGCATCTTCCCACTGAACTGTGATTTTTCAGATGAAGACAGTACTCAAAAGTTGAAATTTAGTACAATTAATAATTTTTATTGCTTCATCAAAAATATTGAAAATTAAACTTGCTTTTTTTTCTCTTCTTCCCTGTGAGTGTGTGGTGATGAAGAATACAGTGATTTATGCTAGGAGGCCAGAATTTTGCCCACTGTTGGTTTTGTGCCATCAGTGTAAATGTCAACATAGGTGGGTAATGTCTTAGAATTATTATGAAAATAGTTTTGACTTTGTGGCATTTCCTCCAAAGTGTTTGGTTTCCTGACGAGTATAAGGACAGTATTCTGAGAATCGCTGCCCTAGAGAATTGTAAGGGCTTTTCTTTTGCTTTCTAATCTTTTTCATGCAGAGAAGGCATTAAGCTTTAGTGAATTATTCAGTATCTCCTTTTTTGTGTGTGTACAATCGCTTATCCAGTTGTTGGAAATATCGTATTCAAATTACAACCCATAGAAGAGATTTTACAAGCCGTGTAGACCAATTACTAGTCATTTTTAAATGTTCCTCGTATTTCTGGCCTCAATGCAATCATTTGAATCTTATATTTATTTGTCTGCTTCCAAGTTTTTTTTTCCATATCTTTTCCCAGTTATCTTACACAGTTTGATTATGTTGTCTGACTGTGGTTTTCTTTAAGTTGATACATTTGGGTTTTGCTGTACTTCATGGATCTGTCAGTTTATGCCTTTTACCAAATTAGGGAAGTTTTCAACCATTATTTATTAAAATACATATTTTCTTCTATTCCAATGTCTTTCTCCTCTCCTTCTGGAACTTTTGTAACACAAACATGTTTTTTAAAAAATAATATCTCAGAGGTCTCTGATTCTTTTTTTTTTTTTAATTATACTTTAAGTTCTGGAGTACATGTGCAGAACGTGCAGTTTTGTTACATAGGTATACACGTGCTATGGTGGTTTGCTGCACCCATCAACTCGTGACCTACATTAGGTATTTCTCCTAATATTATCCCTCCTCTAATCCCCAGTCCCCCGACAGGCCCCGGTATGTGATGTTCCCCTCTCTATGTCCACGTGTTCTCATTGTTCAACTCCCAGTTATGAGTGAGAACATGCGGTGTTTGGTTTTCTGTTCTTGTGATAGTTTGCTGAGAATGATGGTTTCCAGCTTCATCCATGTCCCTGCAAAGGACACGAACTCATCCTTTTTATGGCTGCATAGTATTCCATGGTATTATGTGCCATATTTTCTTTATCCAGTCTATTACTGATGGACATTTGGGTTGGTTCCAAGTCTTTGCTATTGTGAGTAGTGCTGCAATAAACATATGTGTGCATGTGTCTTTATAGTAGAATGATTTATAATCCTTTGGGTACATACCCAGTAATGGGATTGCTGGGTCAAATCTGATTCTAAAAGAATTATTTTTTTCACTTTTTTCTTCTGTTACTTATTTTTTAATTTTCTAATTTTTTGAGACAGGGTCTTGCTCTGTCTCCCAGGCTGGAGTGCAGTAGTTCGATCTCAGCTCTTGGCTCACTGCAATCTCCACCTCCCGGGTTCAAGTGATTCTCCTGCCTCAGCCTCCCAAGTAGCTGGGACTACAGGTGCGTGCCACCATGCCTGGCCAGTTTTTGTATTTTTAGTAGAGATGGGGTTTCACTGTGTTGGCCAGGCTGGTCTTGAATGCCTGACCTAAAGTGATCTGCCCACCTTGGCCTCCCAGAGTGCTGGGATTACAGGCGTGAGCCACAGTGCCTGGCCTTTCTTCTGTTTTTCAGATTGGATACTTTCTATCTCCAAGTTCAGCAACTCTTTCTTCTGTCATCTCTATTCTGCTATGAGCCCCTAAAGTGATTTTACTATTTCTGTTACTGAAATTTCCAATTATGAAATTTATTTGGATCTCTTGTTATTTATTTATTTATTTTTTGAGACAGAGTCTCACTTTGTCACCAGGCTGGAGTGTAGTGGCGCTATCTCGGCTCACTGCAACCTCTGCCTCCTGGGTTCAAGCGATTCCCCTGCCTCAGCCTCCTGAGTAGCTGGGACTACAGGCCTGCGCCACCACAGCTGGCTAATTTTTTGTGTCTTAGTAGAGACGGGGTTTCACCATGTTGGCCAGGATGGTCTCGATCTCCTGGCCTTGTGATCCGCCCGCCTCAGCCTCCCAAAGTCCTGGGATTACAGGCGTGAGCCACCGCGCCCAGCCCTGATTCTCATCAATCTTAGCACGTACAACTAGGGGTGAGATAAGGACCTCCATACACAAACTTTAATGTGCCCTTTCTCCAGCCCCCTCATTTTCTTGGTTGTCTACTCACTCTTTGGTTCCTGGGGTTCCCCACTCCTGGGTTTCTGACCAGAGCATTAGCTTCCCTGCGCTGTTGACAGGGTTCTCTGCCGGATCTGCCACTGCCACACTTGCCTGTCCTAGGGTAGGAGGCAACAGGCTTTGCCTCTCAGGGGCCATCTCATTGCTGGTGAGGAGAGGGAGGGCACAGATTAGTTGCTTGTACTTCTATAAGCAGGGAGAGTCTATAGGGCTTTTACCCACATGTTGACCACCAGTTGGCTGGTGGGAAGGGGAAGGTGTGCTGGTTGTTTGCTGGCAATCCCCTGGAGTAGGATAAAATAAAAGATTCCATCCCTCCCCCCGTCACCATCCCAGTTTTCCATTCTTAAAACTAGAGGAGTCGATTTTTCTTGGGACTTTTTCTTTCTAGGCCCATTGACAACCATCGGCAGTTCTGGTTTTTAGGTTTTCAGGTTGCACTGCTGCCCAGGCTGGGATATGTGAGGCAAAACAAACCCTGGGGAACTTGCTGCTCCATTTTCCTTATGTCCTGAAATCCTTATCCAGTCATCTTGCTTTTATCTGCCTTTCAGAGTCTTCTGGTAGTTGTTCTATGTGTTTTAGTTATAGGTTTTTAGTTGTAGTTAATGGGAGAGGTGGGAGGTGATTAATCCGTCTTATCTGAAAATGGAAGTCTCATCTGTCTATCTTTTTATTGAAACATGGTCTTCGTCACTACACTAGGCAAAAATTATTGCTTATTTTGTATGTTAATTATAGCTGAAGAATGAGATTGTTTTTCATATATTAACCATAGTTTTCATTTATCCACTGGTTAATTTTGAGATTTACTCTTAATTTTGGGATTAATGCTTAGACTTCTTTTTGGGAGAATATTCTCTAGTTTGCCTTTGTACACTTGTTTTAAAATTTTTTAATGTACAAATTTTAAGATTTTTATATAATCTTCTATCAGTAATTTCCACTGTTATTTTTTCCATTACTTTTAAGCTTAGAAAATCCTTCTTCTGCCTGAAGTCAAATAAATATTCATACAAACTTTTCTCTGCTTTCATTTTCTATGTTTAAGTCTTTGATCCATCTTAAATTTATTGATGTGTGGTGAAACATGAGTATTTACTTTAAAATTTTTCAAGTTGTAAGCTATCAGATCTTATATATTTCTTATTAAAAATTATTCTTTTTTTTTTTGTGACAGAGTCTCACTCTGTCAGCAGGCTGGAGTGTAGTGGCACGATCTCGGCTCACTGCAAGCTCTGCCTCCCAGGTTCACACCATTCTCCTGCCTCAGCCTCCCAAGTAACTGGGACTACAGGCGCGTACCACCATGCCCGGCTAATTTTGTTTCTATTTTTAGTAGAGATGGGGTTTCACCGTGTTAGCCAGGATGGTCTCTATCTCCTGACCTCATGATCCGCCTGCCTCAGCCTCCCAAAATGCTGGGATTACAGGCGTGAGCCACCACGCCCGGCAAAAGTTATTCTTAACATGTTAAAAGTTCTAATGACAAACAGATAAAAGCTCCATGGTCTTTTTTAAAAATATAAAATGGTTTTAAAGACTGGGCTTCAATTTAAAGATGTACATTTGCTTTTCAGATTGAATTTAATAAACAGCCCACTTCTGCAACAAGAGGGCTACTTTTTTGCCTTTATTTTTATTTTTAATAATTCTATTTATGAGGTATGATATGATATTTTGATACATGTATATAATGTGTGATGATCAAATCAGGGTAATAGGGTTACTTTTTCAGTCTGGTCCTCAGGAGACAGAAACCACACAGTAGGTTAAATAGGGAAAGGTAATATAAAGAATTTTTAAGCAATGATAGAAGAGTAACAAGCAAGAACAAAGTTGGGATGGGAGTTTAGACCTTGTTGAAGAATATATAGTTGCAGCCCACTGGATGGAGGAGAGGTTTGCTGGTTTGCCCAGGCTACAGCTGATCCCTATTCACTGGGCAGGCAGGAATAACCTCCTGGGGTACTGACAAAACAGGCTGATAAGTAGGCCTGGAGAGAGTGTCAGATGTGCTACTTTAGGCATTCCTGGAACCAGGAGCTCGAGAGACCACCCTTTTCGGGAATCTAGTGTACGTTTGTATACGACTTGGACCAGGATGTCTAAGAGCAGCTATGTGGAACAAAGGCAGGGCAGCAGGCCCTGTAATGACCCTGGTTGGTGTGTACTCAAAACTGGGGAAAGGGTGTGGGAAACAGCAACCTGGGCTGGAGAGGCATTTGCTGGGAGTGGAGGGGGAAATAGAGGCAGGATGTTCTGTCTTGTTCTCTATAGCTCAAAATACTAGACCACTTGAGGGATTCCCTCAAGCCATACAAAAACAGGCAGCAGGCTGGATTTAGCCTATAGGCCACAGTTTTCCACACTCTGTTCTAGGAACCTGGTGATGGAGAGACCGGAGAGAACTAGCGAGGAAAACCCCTTCTTCCTGCAGCATCTCTACAATGGGCTTTACTGACAAGTTTTAACAGCTTGCCAGCTAGGAAATGTAAAATATTTAAAAGGCCCAGATCTGTTTTCACGTATCAGGCAACAAAGGGTGAATTTGATGCTGAGAGACAATACGTTGGAAACTGGCATAGCTGGTGTGGTAGAAATTATGGTAGGGGAAGGATGGTTGCTTGAGCAAAGCTTTGATTAATGAGAAGTTGTGAGAAAAGAGCTGATATGGCAACTTTTCTTTTCTGGATGGAAGATAGAAAAGGAGTGTCCTTGTTGGGTTTACCTATGAGGTATGAGAATGATCATTCTGAACTTTTCCCTAGGTGAGGTGTTCATGTTCTCTTCTGTAAAATGTGAATAACACTATTCACCTGCCAGTGGTGTTGAAAGAAGTAGTGATAATTTAAACACAATGCCTGATGAATAGGCCTTCAGTAAATGGTAGCTATTCTTTTTTTTTTTTTTTTTTTTTTTTTTTTGAGACGGAGTCTCGCTCTGTCGCCCAGGCTGGAGTGCAGTGGCGGGATCTCGGCTCACTGCAAGCTCCGCCTCCCGGGTTCACGCCATTCTCCTGCCTCAGCCTCCCAAGTAGCTGGGACTACAGGCGCCCGCCACTACGCCCGGCTAATTTTTTGTATTTTTAGTAGAGACGGGGTTTCACCGTTTTAGCCGGGATGGTCTCGATCTCCTGACCTCGTGATCCGCCCGCCTCGGCCTCCCAAAGTGTTGGGATTACAGGCGTGAGCCACCGCGCCCGGCCAGCTATTCTTCCCTATATGGATCAAAAGCTGAGAAAAAGCCATAGAAGCCGGAGCTGGGTTAAAACAGAAAATCAGTGTGATTTCCCTAGGAAATGGAGAATTTAGTGTCTTTTGAATGGAAATATTTAGAATTGGAATTTTGAAGGAAAAATGGAGGAAATTATGTTATTATGCAGTGTAATTATGGAATGTATTGTGAACTGGGAATGAAAATAAGGTTTGCTATTGGTTATATTCTTTAGCATGGACATGTATTTTCATGGTTACTTAATTTGGTGGAGAACAAATTTTAATTAATGAATTTGGATTTTGTGAACTTTCAGGTTTTTAGAGATTGGATAGAAATAAGGTTCTCTGAGGTGGGGATGTAGTACCATACAACATAAAATTAGGCATGTAGGTCTGAGATGTTTTAGTTCTCAGACTATAACAGCAGTTGCTTATATATATGGTAAATGATTTTCTGTGTTTCTGCTTTGGCTTCATTTGTGCAGTATTCTGGGATTCTGACAAGGGTGGATGTCTGGGGATTACTATAACAGAATTGAATGATGCCTAGAATGTAGTATTATTGTGAGGCTGCAGCTTGACTGTGCCTTGGGATGCCTCAAACCTCATATTGAAAGTATGAATCCTCAGAGAAATGGGTTTTCAGTTTGAGATTAACTGATCATAGTAGAATGGTTCTTAGAGACCTCATATTGTGGGCTCGTGCAAAGACCTAACTATTAGTAATGCTTGGATGAGGGGCTTAATTTATGTAGCACACTTGTGTTTGGGTAAGAAAAAGAACTTGGGTAGGAATTTGATAACACTAAAAGCCAACACTTCTCCCTTGCTGTCATTTGGGGGTTGGGGTACAGGTATAGATTTTATGTATGTTTATGTTATGTGGGGTATTTAGAGATCCTTAGTATTCTTCAATGGAAAGGGCCAGGGAGACCAGATCTTCATATTTTCAGGCTACTTGCTGAGAGATTTTCCTGCTCCTCTAGTGAGATCCCTTGGGTCTAGGCTCCCCAGACTCACTTCCAAACAATTGTGCTGAGGATTAAAAGGATGAATGCACAATTGCCAAACTATCCCCATGCTTTTAAGAAACATTGTTATTTTATTTTTGCATTCCTTTTTATAAGCCACGTTAGTCTTCTCCAAAGCTATGACTGGGACTGGTGGGATCATTTGTTCAAATGACTGTTGTTGGGGTCATTTGTATTAAAGTAGAAGCCACATAGTAGTGCAGGGGGAAGACAGGGTCTTAGAATATAAAACAAGATGAGTCAGAAAATGACTTTTGGAAAAAAAAGTAGTAGCAGGTTCAGGTCAATGGGGGAGTCTTAGTACACTGCTGAACAGGTTTCTGTCATTCATCTTGGGGTGAGATAAATTAAATAAATGCAAGATAATTGAGTCAGAAAGATGCAGGACCTTGGAATCCCAGGCCTGTGGATCCAGGGAGGGACAGTGAGATAGAATGAGGTTAGATCAGTATACTGCTGAATTCTGCTGTGCTCTGGCATGGAGTTATCCTTGGTGAAATTAAATCAGTATAACTCCGTATGAGTGAGTGAGATTAATGAAACCTCTGTCTGATGTTCTTGGGATTTAGCATTTAAAGGTTGCTCACTCTTTAAATCAACCAAGTTCCTCTAGAGACCTCCAAGAACAAAAACTATCTTGCTCTGGAATTCAAAGCAGAAGGATATAGGTTAGACATCATTCCCAAGTGTCCTTCCTCCCTACAACCCTCTCACCCCTGACCCACAAAACTTCATGAAATTAAGAGCTATTGCTCTTTCTCACAAAAGGTTGGTGCTGTCCTCTTTAAGTGATAACTTCTGATTTATAATCATAGACCATTAAAATTCAAAGAGATACTTCAGGCTTGTCTTTGTGGAGCTGGAGTTGGTATCTCTGGTTTAGTGGTGTGGTGCTAGTTTTTACTGACTTTTTTCCTAAAGAAATCACTTTTCTGAAGTATCTTTTCCTTTTGGGATGTCAGAAGAAGAGAGCTGGCAGTAGATTTCTTCCAAAGAGGAAGGAAAGAACTCTTAAGGGATTGGTGATTTGGAAAATATCTGTCAGCTAGCTTTCTTGACCTCTGAGCCAGCTGAGTGGCAAGTGGGGCATTTGTTTCCTGCTCTTATTAAAAAAAAGTATTCATCTACTACTTACAGCATATTTATACAGAGATCTATAAAAAAATGAATGGTTATATAGATAAATGAAAATGTTTGCTTTTTTGCTGTTGATGTTTTTGATTTTTTTTCTTTTTCTTTCTTTTATTTTATACTTTAAGTTTAGGATACATGTGCACAATGTGCAGGTTAGTTACATATGTATACATGTGAAATGCTGGTGCGCTGCACCCACTAACTCGTCATCTAGCATTAGGTATATCTCCCAATGCTATCCCTCCCCCCTCCCCCCACCCCACCACAGTCCCCAGAGCGTGATATTCCCCTTCCTGTGTCCATGTGATCTCATTGTTCAATTCCCACCTATGAGTGAGAATATGTGGTGTTTGGTTTTTTGTTCTTGTGATAGTTTACTGAGAATGATGATTTCCAATTTCATCCATGAGACTAAAATTCCTAAGACAGTAATCCCAGCTACTTGGGAGGCTGAGGCAGGGGAATCGTTTGAAGCTGGGAGGCGGAGGTTGCAGTGAATCGAGACCGTGCCACAGCACTCCAGCCTGGGCGACCAAAAGAGGCTGTCTTAAAAGAAAAAAAAAATCCTAAGAGAGTAAATGATCTGACATTGACCATGTGCCCATTTCTGGACCAGTCACTGTGCCAGGAAGAATGAGTGAATAATGACAGGGGTTGGGGGTGGGGAGGTGAGGGTGGAGAGGATTTGGGGATTCCATGATTAACAGTGTCTCTTGGAAGCATATTGAACCATGGAGTTCAGTTATTAGAGGAATGGTAGAGATAAGCTGAGCAGACAATAACAATTGTCTCCCCCCACCCCACAACAGTCCCCAGAGAGTGATGTTCCCCTTCCTGTGTCCATGTGTTCTCATTGTTCAATTCCCACCTATGAGTGAGAATATGTGGTGTTTGGTTTTTTGTTCTTGTGATAGTTTACTGAGAATGATGATTTCCAATTTCATCCATGTCCCTACAAAGGACATGAACTCATCATTTTTTATGGCTGCATAGTATTCCATGGTGTATATGTGCCACATTTTCTTAATCCAGTCTATCATTGTTGGACATTTGGGTTGGTTCCAAGTCTTTGCTATTGTGAATAGTGCCGCAATAAACATACGTGTGCGTGTGTCTTTATAGCAGCATGATTTATAGTCCTTTGGGTATATACCCAGTAATGGGATGGCTGGGTCAAATGGTATTTCTAGTTCTAGATCCCTGAGGAATCGCCACACTGTCTTCCACAATGGATGAATTAGTTTACAGTCCCACCAACAGTGCAAAAGTGTTCCTATTTCTCCACATCCTCTCCAGCACCTGTTGTTTCCTGACTTTTTAATGATTGCCATTCTAACTGGTGTGAGATGATATCTCATTGTGGTTTTGATTTGCATTTCTCTGATGGCCAGTGATAGTGAGCATTTTTTCATGTGTTTTTTGGCTGCATAAATGTCTTCTTTTGAGAAGTGTCTGTTCATGTCCTTCACCCACTTTTTGATGGGGTTGTTTGTTTTTTTCTTGTAAATTTGTTTGAGTTCATTGTAGATTCTGGATATTAGCCCTTTGTCAGATGAGTAGGTTGCGAAAATTTTCTCCCATTTTGTGGGTTGCCTGTTCACTCTGATGGTAGTTTCTTTTGCTGTGCAGAAGCTCTTTAGTTTAATTAGATCCCATTTGTCAATTTTGGCTTTTGTTGCTATTGCTTTTGGTGTTTTAGACATGAAGTCCTTGCCCATGCCTATGTCCTGAATGGTAATGCCTAGGTTTTCTTCTAGGGTTTTTATGGTTTTAGGTCTAATGTTTAAGTCTTTAATCCATCTTGAATTGATTTTTGTATAAGGCATAAGGAAGGGATCCAGTTTCAGCTTTCTACATATGGCTAGCCAGTTTTCCCAGCACCATTTATTAAATAGGGAATCCTTTCCCCATTGCTTGTTTTTCTCAGGTTTGTCAAAGATCAGATAGTTGTAGATAAGAGGCGTTATTTCTGAGGGCTCTGTTCTGTTCCATTGATCTATATCTCTGTTTTGGTACCAGTACCATGCTGTTTTGGTGACTGTAGCCTTGTAGTATAGTTTGAAGTCAGGTAGTGTGATGCCTCCAGCTTTGTTCGTTTGGCTTAGGATTGACTTGGCGATGCGGGCTCTTTTTTGGTTCCATATGAACTTTAAAGTAGTTTTTTCCAATTCTGTGAAGAAAGTCATTGGTAGCTTGATGGGGATGGCATTGAATCTATAAATTACCTTGGGCAGTATGGCCATTTTCACGATATTGATTCTTCCTAGCCATGAGCATGGAATATTCTTCCATTTGTTTGTATCCTCTTTTATTTCATAGAGCAGTGGTTTGTAGTTCTCCTTGAAGAGGTCCTTCACGTCCCTTGTAAGTTGGATTCCTAGGTATTTTATTCTCTTTGAAGCAATTGTGAATGGGAGTTCACTCATGATTTGGCTCTCTGTTTGTCTGTTATTGGTGTATAAGAATGCTTGTGATTTTTGTACATTGATTTTGTATCCTGAGACTTTGCTGAAGTTGCTTACCAGCTTAAGGAGATTTTGGGCTGAGACAATGGGGTTTTCTAGATATACAAACATGTCGTCTGCAAAGAGGGACAATTTGACTTCCTCTTTTCCTAATTGAATACCCTTTATTTCCTTCTCCTGCCTAATTGCCCTGGCCAGAACTTCCAACACTATGTTGAATAGGAGTGGTGAGAGAGGGCATCCCTGTCTTGTGCCAGTTTTCAAAGGGAATGCTTCCAGTCTTTGCCCATTCAGTATGATATTGGCTGTGGGTTTGTCATAGATAGCTCTTATTATTTTGAGATATGTCCCATCAATACCTAATTTATTCAGAGTTTTTAGCATGAAGGGTTGGTGAATTTTGTCAAAGGCCTTTTCTGCATCTATTGAGATAATCATGTGGTTTTTGTCTTTGGTTCTGTTTATGTGCTGGATTACATTTATTGATTTGCGTATATTGAACTAGCCTTGCATCCCAGGGATGAAGCCCACTTGATCATGGTGGATAAGCTTTTTGATGTGCTGCTGGATTCTGTTTGCCAGTATTTTATTGAGGATTTTTGCATCAATGTTCATCAAGGATATTGGTCTAAAATTGTCTTTTTCGGTTGTGTCTCTGCCCGGCTTTGGTATCAGGATGATGCTGGCCTCATAAAATGAGTTAGGGAGGATTCCCTCTTTTTCTGTTGATTGGAATAGTTTCAGAAGGAATGGTACCAGTTACTCCTTATACCTCTGGTAGAATTCGGCTGTGAATCCATCTGGTCCTGGACTCTTTTTGGTTGGTAAGCTATTGATAATTGCCAAATTTCAGCTCCTGTTATTGGTCTATTCAGAGATTCAACTTCTTCCTGGTTTAGTCTTGGGAGGGTGTATTTGTCGAGGAATTTATCCATTTCTTCTAGATTTTCTAGTTTATTTGCGTAGAGGTGTTTGTAGTATTCTCTGATGGTAGTTTGTGTTTCTGTGGGATCAGTGGTGATATCCCCTTTATCATTTTTTATTGCATCTACTTGATTCTTCTCTCTTTTTTTCTTTATTAGTCTTGCTAGCGGTCTATCAATTTTGTTGATCCTTTCAAAAAACCAGCTCTTGGATTCATTAATTTTTTGAAGGGGTTTTGTGTCTCTATTTCCTTCAGTTCTGCTCTGATTTTAGTTATTTCTTGCCTTCTGCTAGCTTTTGAATGTGTTTGCTCTTGCTTTTCTAGTTCTTTTAATTGTGATGTTAGGGTGTCAATTTTGGATCTTTCCTGCTTTCTCTTGTGGGCATTTAGTGCTATAAATTTCCCTCTACACACTGCTTTGAATGTGTCCCAGAGATTCTGGTATGTTGTGTCTTTGTTCTTGTTGGTTTCAAAGAACATCTTTATTTCTGCCTTCATTTCGTTATGTACCCAGTAGTCATTCAGGAGCAGGTTGTTCAGTTTCCATGTAGTTGAGCAGTTTTTGAGTGAGTTTCTTAATCCTGAGTTCTACTTTGATTGCACTGTGGTCTGAGAGATAGTTTGTTATAATTTCTGTTCTTTTACATTTGCTGAGGAGAGCTTTACTTCCAACTATGTGGTCAATTTTGGAATAGGTGTGGTGTGGTGCTGAAAAAAATGTATATTGTGTTGATTTGGGGTGGAGAGTTCTGTAGATGTCTATTAGGTCCGCTTGATGCAGAGCTGAGTTCAATTCCTGAGTATCCTTGTTAACTTTCTGTGTCGTTGATCTGTCTAATGTTGACAGTGGGGTGTTAAAGTGTCCCATTATTAATGTGTGGGAGTCTAAGTCTCTTTGTAGGTCACTCAGGACTTGCTTTATGAATCTGGGTGCTCCTGTATTGGGTGCATATATATTTAGAATAGTTAGCTCTTCTCGTTGAATTGATCCCTTTACCATTATGTAATGGCCTTCTTTGTGTCTTTTGATTTTTGTTGGTTTAAAGTCTGTTTTATCAGAGACTAGGATTGCAACCCCTGCCTTTTTTTGTTTTCCATTTGCTTGGTAGATCTTCCTCCACCCTTTTATTTTGAACCTATGTGTGTCTCTGCATGTGAGATGGGTTTCCTGAATACAACACACTGATGGGTCTTGACTCTTTCTCCAATTTGCCAGTCTGTGTCTTTTAATTGGAGCATTTACTCCATTTACATTTAAAGTTAATATTGTTATGTGTGAATTTGAACCTGTCATTATGATGTTAGCTGGTTATTTTGCTCGTTAGTTGATGCAGTTTCTTCCTAGTCTCGATGGTCTTTACATTTTGGCATGATTTTGCAGCGGCTGGTACTGGTTGTTCCTTTCCATGTTTAGTGCTTCCTTCAGGAGCTCTTTTAGGGCAGGCCTGGTGGTGACAAAATCTCTCAACATTTGCTTGTCTGTAAAGTATTTTATTTCTCCTTCACTTATGAAGCTTAGTTTGGCTGGATATGAAATTCTAGGTTGAAAATTTTTTTCTTTAAGAATGTTGAATATTGGCCCCCACTCTCTTCTGGCTTGTAGAGTTTCTGCTGAGAGATCAGATGTTAGTCTGATGGGCTTCCCTTTGTGGGTAACCCGACCTTTCTCTCTGGCTGCCCTTAACATTTTTTCCTTCATTTCAACTTTGGTGAATCTGACAATTATGTGTCTTGGAGTTGCTCTTCTCGAGGAGTATCTTTATGGCGTTCTCTGTATTTCCTGAATCTGAATGTTGGCCTGCCTTGCTAGATTGGGGAAGTTCTCCTGGATAATATCCTGCAGAGTGTTTTCCAACTTGGTTCCATTCCCCCATCACTTTCAGGTACACCAATCAGAAGTAGATTTGGTCTTTTCACATAGTCCCATATTTCTTGGAGGCTTTGTTCGTTTCTTTTTATTCTTTTTTCTCTAAACTTCCCTTCTCGCTTCATTTCATTCATTTCATCTTCCATCGCTGATACCCTTTCTTCCAATTGATCGCATCGGCTCCTGAGTCTTCTGCATTCTTCCCGTAGTTCTCCAGCCTTGGCCCTCAGCTCCATCAGCTCCTTTAGGCACTTCTCTCTATTGGGTATTCTAGTTATACATTCATCTAAATTTTTTTCAAAGCTTTTAACTTCTTTGCCTTTGGTTTGAATTTCCTCCTGTAGCTCATAGTTCGATCGTCTGCAGCCTTCTCTCAACTCGTCAAAGTCATTCTCCGTCCAGCTTTGTTCCATTGCTGGTGAGGAACTGCGTTCCTTTGGAGGAGGAGAGGTTCTCTGCTTTTTAGAGTTTCCAGTTTTTCTGCTCTGTTTTTTCCCCATCTTTGTGGTTTTATCTACTTTTGGTCTTTGATGATGGTGATGTACAGATGCGTTTTTGGTGTGGATATCCTTTCTGTTTGTTAGTTTTCCTTCTAACGGACAGGACCCTCAGCTGCAGGTCTGTTGGAGTTTGCTAAAGGTCCACTCCAGACCCTGTTTGCCTGGGTATCAGCAGCGGCGTCTGCAGAACAGTGGTTTTTCGTGAACGGTGAATGCTGCTGTCTGATTGTTCCTCTGGAAGTTTTGTCTCAGAGGAGTACCCGGCCGTGTGAGGTGTCAGTTTGCCCCTACTTGGGGGTGCCTCCCAGTTAGGCTGCTCAGGGGTCAGGGGTCAGGGAAGCACTTGAGGAGGCTGTCTGCCCGTTCTCAGATCTCCAGCTGCGTGCTGGGAGAACCACTGCTCTCTTCAAAGCTGTCAGACAGGGACATTTAAGTCTGCAGAGGTTACTGCTGTCTTTTTGTTTGTCTGTGCCCTGCCCCCAGAGGTGGAGCCTACAGAGGCAGACAGGCAGGCCTCCTTGAGCTGTGGTGGGCTCCACCCAGTTCGAGCTTCCCGGCTGCATTGTTTACCTATGCAAGCCTGGGCAATGGGGGGTGCCCCTCCCCCAGCCTTGCTGCCGCCTTGCAGTTTGATCTCAGACTGCTGTGCTAGCAATCGGCGAGACTCCGTGGACGTAGGACCCTCTGAGCCAGGTGTAGGATATAATCTCCTGGTGTGCCGGTTTTTAACCCTGTCAGAAAAGCACAGTATTCGGGTGGGAGTGACCTGATTTTCTAGGTGCCGTCTGTCTCCCCTTTCTTTGACTAGGAAAGGGAACTCCCTGACCCCTTGCGCTTCCGGAGTGAGGCAATGCCTCGCCCTGCTTCGGCTTGCCCACGGTGCGCTGCACCCACTGACCTGTGCCCACTGTCTGGCACTCCCTAGTGAGATGAACCCGGTACCTCAGGTGGAAATGCAGAAATCACCCATCTTCTGCGTCGCTCACGCTGGGAGCTTAGACTGGAGCTGTTCCTCGATTTTTTTTCATTTATTCGTTTTCCTTTGATTTCGCCTCTCCCAAAGGTTTCAACTTGGCCTCCCTTCTGATCACAGGGGCATCAGTAAACATGGTTGGTTGATTTTGTTCTTGTCTTTCATGATTACACCATTATGTACAGTCAGTCTATTTTTCTCTGGATCAGCTGACTTCAAGGGTCTGACTTCACTCATTTTCTTCCTTATTCTCAAAGCAAGCAGTTATGCCTCTTTTTTATCTGGTGTTTGCCCCATCCTGTGGCCACTGGTCTCTGCAACCAGGAAGGGTAGCTAGACCAAGAGACTATACAAATGGGAGAAATCCTGCTTAATGTGGTCCTGCCTTTCCATCTGGCAGTCCTTCCTGGGTGCACTGTCCCTGTGCTGATGCAGTAGTCCCCTGCCCATGTAAATCCTCAGGGTCACATTACTGTGCCCTGATTTTAAAGATGGGAAAAGGTACAGTGAGTGCCTTTAGATACTCTTGAATCTGAGCAGCTCTGAACTGTGATTATGGAGATAAACTAGCCCCTGCTTTATGGTGGAGATATATAATAGGGAAAGGGTCAACCTTAGAGAAAAGGAAACCTAACACAGTACTTAAGAACTTAGGCCTTAGGATTAAGTAGACTTAGGTTTGGTTCCAAACTCTACCACTTGCTACCGTGTCACCACTTACAGCTCTGTCATTATCACTAGTTGTCCTTCCCAATGTCCCTTAACTACCTTTTCAGTCGTATCTCCTGCTACTCCCCTTCTCATTGTCTACCCTCTCCCTGCCCCTCAACACACACCTGTGTTTTAACCAGATAGAACTACCTGGAAGCTTCTTAGAAGGTAAAACCTCTAGCCCTATCTTCAGACCTATGAATTGCACTTTATGAGTATCCCAGGGTATTAAATATGCACATTGAAGTTTAAGAAGCACTGGTCTGGCTGGGCGCAGTGGCTCATGCCTATAATCCCAGCAGTTTGTGAGGCTGAGGTGGGTGGATTGCTTGAGGCCAGGAGTTCGAGACCAGCCTGGCCAACATGGCAAAACCTCGTCTCTACCAATATATAAATAAATAAGGGCCAGGCGCAGTGGCTCACGCCTGTAATCCCAGCACTTTGGGAGGCCAAGGTGGGTGGATCACCTGAGGTCAGGAGTCTGAGACCAGCTTGGCCAACCAGCC
The DNA here is from genome assembly GCF_000001405.40 of Homo sapiens. Lineage (NCBI taxonomy): Eukaryota > Metazoa > Chordata > Mammalia > Primates > Hominidae > Homo > Homo sapiens. Next base: position 48,327,352 of record NC_000012.12, read on the forward strand.
TGGTGAAACCCCATCTCCACTAAAAATACTAAGATTAGCTGGGCATGGTAGCAGGAACCTGTAATCCTAGCTACTTGGGAGGCTGAGGCACGAGAATCACTTGAACCCAGGAGGCGGAGGTTGCAGTGAGCCGAGATTGCACCACTGCACTCCAGCCTGGGCAACAGAGTGAGACTTTGTCTCAAAAAAAAAAAAAAAAAATTAGCTGGATGTGGTGGCACATGCTTGTAATCCCAGCTTCTTGGGAGGGTGAGACACAGGAATTGCTTGAACCCAGGAGGTGGAGGTTACAGTGAGCCAAGATTGTGCCATTACATAGCCTGGGCTGAGCAAGACTCTGTCTCAAAAAAAAAAAAAAAAAGCACTGGTCTAAGCTACTTCCTGGAGCTTTGATTTTTAAAAGAAACTGTCACTGTCTAGCCTGTGACTGATGAATGTATGTGATTGCCCTCTGGAAAAGTATGATATGCTTGGCAATTTGAAGTATTCTTAGAATAATACTTTAAATTATTCCCAACTAAACTGTGTCCAAAATAGGTCCTTGATAAGCTAATCCTTACTTGGCCCCCTTCATTTCCAACCCTTTGAAATTCACTCTGCTCCTTTCTCCTGATCTTCTGGAAGTTTCTTTCTGAATCTAGAGAAACTCTCCTCACCAGAGAGGAATGATGTAAGCAGGCTCAATTAAATGCCCGCTGTGTATAATGAAGCATATTGTTAGGTGCAGCATGGGACATAGAAGTTCAAAGACTATAGCTCTTGAGGATATCTTTATTTAGTTGGAAATACAAGACAGAAACATTCAAAGTAAAGTAAATTTATTCCTTATATTTAGGTAGCCCTTGTTCATCTACCTCTTCTGAAATTTTGCAATAATTCTGTGATGTTGGTAGGAAGGGAATGTGATGTTAGATAAGAAGTCAGATGGCCGGCACATCCATCTGACAGCCACACCACTGATATTAAGGGATTTGTTAATGTCATATGGCTCCTAAAGAGCTAGGATATGCATCCATATCTTCCAGCTCCAAGTACGAGTTTTTTTCTTTTTAAAAAATATTGTGTCACATTATACCCTCTAATGCCAAATTCATTTAAAATAAAGAAAAAGCCATATAAGATTGCAGAAGTAATTTTGGTGGTTGTGGTAGTTAAGAGGCAAGAAATCATTTGAAAGAGTTTGGGGAGTCTTCAGTGAAGAAGGATAATGTAGCAGTACCTTGAAAGATGAGCAGGACTTATCTGGGCAGACAAAGAGGATGAGAAATCCAAGAGAGGGGATGAGATGGAAAAAAACACAGTATGTTCAAAGAATAATGATTAGACCAGTATCCTCAGGCGATGTGAAATCTAGATTGTTTCAGTACAGTTGAATGCGTCATCTAAATTTCCCAGGTGTGGGAATCAGTGTTTAGGGTAGAGGGATCACACAATTGGTTCCTTTTTTACTTCATGCTCTTGCACAGAATCCACTGTGTAGAATTAGGGAGACATGACTTCAGATACCTGACTGGTGGAATTAAAGGTGGGAGTTTCTAATCTGGGTTGTGTTTCATGGACTACCCCGTGTACTTTCTACAGGCAGTGTGTTGCTTGTTTTGGATAGTTGGGAGCAGCTTCGCTCACCTTAAGGAACTGTGGGTAGATGGTTTGCAGGACCACATACACACACAAAATAGCCGACTAAAGAAAGCGGTGGAGATCGAGATCAGTAAGTTTGATTTGGGAACAAAACCCTGGAGACTCTATAGGTAGGTGACTGTTGGGGGTGGACAGGCGCTGAAGACTTGGATTGGTTTAGACCTAGAAGGAAGTGGCATTTGATTGGTTATTATAAGTGAAAAGGGCCCCTCCCCGGGTGAGATATGCCAGCCCCATAATTAGGACCTGAAAATCTCTGCCAGGCCTGCCTTTGTGACGTGGCCCAGTCTACCTCAGCTATGGAACAGGCCTTGACTGGTGAGGCCCAAAGCCGGTGGCCCCGCAGAGGCGGGAGTGGGGCCATGGCTGAGGCGCCTGGGCCCAGTGGCGAATCCCGAGGACACTCAGCCACTCAGCTGCCAGCGGAAAAAACTGTCGGGGGACCATCGAGGGGCTGCTCAAGCTCCGTGCTCAGAGTGTCCCAGTTGGTGCTCCAGGCCATCTCCACTCACAAAGGGCTGACTCTGGCAGCTCTCAAGAAGGAGCTCCGAAACGCCGGCTACGAAGTGCGCAGGAAGAGCGGCCGCCACGAAGCGCCCAGGGGGCAGGCCAAGGCCACGCTCCTCCGGGTCAGCGGCAGCGACGCCGCCGGCTACTTCAGGGTCTGGAAGGTTCCCAAGCCCAGGAGAAAGCCGGGACGCGCGAGGCAAGAGGAGGGCACGCGCGCTCCCTGGAGGACCCCAGCCGCGCCCCGGAGCTCCCGGAGGCGCCGCCAGCCCCTTCGCAAGGCGGCCAGGAAGGCCAGAGAAGTGTGGAGACGGAACGCGAGGGCGAAAGCCAAGGCCAATGCCAGGGCGAGGAGGACCAGGAGGGCAAGGCCGAGAGCCAAGGAGCCGCCGTGTGCCAGAGCCAAGGAGGAAGCGGGAGCGACAGCGGCAGACGAGGGGCGAGGACAGGCCGTGAAGGAAGACACCACGCCGAGGTCAGGGAAGGACAAGAGGCGAAGCTCCAAGCCCAGGGAAGAGAAGCAGGAGCCCAAGAAGCCCGCACAGCGGACCATCCAGTAGCCAACGCGGGCTAAAACCGACCGGACATCTAGCGGGCAGGGGAAGACTCCACTAAAGACTTCCACAAAGACCTCCCCTAAATCTGAAGGTCTTCCTGATCCAGTTGGGAATGCATCTTGTGGGAGCAGCTTCACTCCCACCACGGACCAATGCCTTTCCCCCATAGGCCCCAAGAAGAGCGGCTGTCACACTCATTGAAATGAAATGGACCTCTAGACCACCTTGTGTCTGTTTCCTCTTTGCCGCACCTGGAAGGGAAGGGGTGGGTGGTGGTAACGTTCAGTGAAGACAGTAAATTAGCTGAGATTCTGTTCCTGCTGCAGAACTCAGAGAAATGTCTTTTAGAAGGAGAGAAAACAGAGGAAAACCAGCAGCTTAACAAGTGTTGAAGTATTGTTAGATACTCTAGCAAATCCAAATTGAGTTCTGGGGAGGAAGGCATGTTGGGAAAAGAGTAGACAGTCTTTAAGTTGAGTGGTCCCACTGATTCAAAGTGTTCTTACCTGAAATTCCTTTTAGGACAAAGTCCTCCCAAAATTGATTATAATGAGTTTGTAGTTTTTGCCTTGAATTGATAACCTATTTTAATTTAAAAGATATTCTTATGTCAATCCTCAGTTAAATAAGTGTATGAAAGCATCCAGCATAGGGCCTGGCATAGGATAGGTACTCATCACTGAGAGTTAAATATGTGTATAATTAATTCCCGATGGAGTGGTAATGTGCTATAGCAGAAAACTGCTGGACCACTATGTAGTAAGACCAAGATTCTAGTCAAAGTTCTGCTAGTCTGACCTTTGCTGAGTTATTTCTTAACCATTCATGGTCTTGGTTTTCTTCTCAGTAAAATGTTGGGATTGAGCTAAGATGATTTCTAGGTGATTTAAATGTCAGTAAAATGAAAAGGGGACTTAAACATCATGGCATAATGGTTTTCTTGACAAAATTCAGCAATAAGGAAATTATCTTCTGAGAAAGTGCCAACTCCTAAAGAGGAAATTATGAAGATTGACAGATTGCATAGCACAAATACAAGGAGATGGAGAAGGCTAGATAATGAATAGGTCTTTTGCTTTTCTTAACAATAACAACATGTATTGAGCACTGTGTAACAAGTATGAAACAAATGTATGATTTTAGTTCTGAATGCAGGGGTTAAGAAAAGTGCAGGAGTAGTTCTCATGCCATAGGCTGACAGGACACAAATGATTCCTCGGGAAGTAAAACGTCAAATTAGCTGATTGAAGGAAAGAGTAGCTGTTTTCAGCCGAAGTCAAAGGAATGGGGACATGGAAGCGGCTGGGAAGTACTTTGTATTCTTAAAGAGGTAAAAGTGGCAGTGGGAAGGTATTAGAACCTCCTGGGAGCTTTCTCCAGGTACACCTGACCAAGCTTTTCCTCAGGAGAGTCTTATATCTCCTACAAGCGGCAACAGGGTATGTGTATTTAAAACAGACCAAAAAAAAAAAAAAACACCAAAAAACCACCCTTAAGTGATGCTAATATTTACCCTTTCACACCCTTGAGAATCACTGCTTTAAGCCTATGCAAAGCCTAGTAACCGCAGAATTCTTGCAGCATTATCTCATCTATAGATGATCAGAACTTGACATTTCCCCATGTTGTAATTAAGTTTATTTTTTTTTTTAATTTATTTTTTTATTGATAATTCTTGGGTGTTTCTCACAGAGGGGGATTTGGCAGGGTCATGGGACAATAGTGGAGGGAAGGTCAGCAGATAAACAAGTGAACAAAGGTCTCTGGTTTTCCTAGGCAGAGGACCCTGCGGCCTTCCGCAGTGTTTGTGTCCCTGGGTACTTGAGATTAGGGAGTGGTGATGACTCTTAACCAGCATGTTGCCTTCAAGCATCTGTTTAACAAAGCACATCTTGCACCGCCCTTAATCCATTTAACCCTGAGTGGACACAGCACATGTTTCAGAGAGCACAGGGTTGGGGGTAAGGTCACAGATCAACAGGATCCCAAGGCAGAGGAATTTTTCTTAGTGCAGAACAAAATGAAAAGTCTCCCATGTCTACTTCTTTCTACACAGACACGGCAACCATCCGATTTCTCAATCTTTTCCCCACCTTTCCCGCCTTTCTATTCCACAAAGCCGCCATTGTCATCCTGGCCCGTTCTCAATGAGCTGTTGGGCACACCTCCCAGACGGGGTGGTGGCCGGGCAGAGGGGCTCCTCACTTCCCAGTAGGGGCGGCCGGGCAGAGGCGCCCCTCACCTCCCGGACGGGGCGGCTGGCCAGGCAGGGGGGCCGACCCCCCCCCCCACCTCCCTCCCGGACGGGGCGGCTGGCCGGGCAGAGGGGCTCCTCACTTCCCAGTAGGGGCGGCCAGGCAGAGGCGCCCCTCACCTCCCGGACAGGGCGGCTGGCTGGGCGGGGGGGCTGACCCCCTCCACCTCCCTCCCGGACGGGGCGGCTGGCCGGGCAGAGGGGCTCCTCACTTCCCAGTAGGGGCGGCCGGGCAGAGGCGCCCCTCACCTCCCGGACGGGGCGGCTGGCCGGGCAGGGGGGCCGACCCCCCCCACCTCCCTCCCGGACGGGGCGGCTGGCCGGGCGGGGGGCCGACCCCCCCACCTCCCTCCCGGACGGGGCGGCTGGCCGGGCGGGGGGGCCGACCCCCCCACCTCCCTCCCGGACGGGGCGGCTGGCCGGGCAGGGGGCCGACCCCCCCACCTCCCTCCCGGACGGGGCGGCTGGCCGGGCAGAGGGGCTCCTCACTTCCCAGTAGGGGCGGCCGGGCAGAGGCGCCCCTCACCTCCCAGACGGGGCGGCTGGCCGGGCGGAGGGCTGACGCCCCCACCTCCCTCCCGGACAGGGCGGCTGGCCGGGCGGGGGGCTGACCCCCCACCTCCCTCCCGGACGGGGCGGCTGGCCGGGTGGGGGGGCTGACCCCCCCATCTCCCTCCCGGACGGGGTGGCTGGCCGGGCTGAGGGGCTCCTCACTTCCCAGTAGGGGCGGCCGGGCAGAGGCGCCCCTCACCTCCCGGACGGGGCGGCTGGCCGGGCGGGGGGCTGACCCCCCCACCTCCCTCCCGGACGGCACGGCTGGCCAGGCGGGGGGCTGACCCCCCCACCTCCCTCCCGGATGGCACGGCTGGCCGGGCGGGGGGGCTGACCCCCCACCTCCCTCCCGGATGGGGCGGCTGGCCGGGCGGGGGGCTGACCCCCCCCACCTCCCTCCCGGACGGGGTGGCTGCCCGGCGGAGACGCTCCTCACTTCCCAGATGGGGTGGCTGCCAGGCGGAGAGGCTCCTCACTTCTCAGACGGGGTGGTTGCCAGGCAGAGGGTCTCCTCACTTCTCAGACGGGGCGGCCGGGCAGAGACGCTCCTCACCTCCCAGACGGGGTCTCGGCCGGGCAGAGGCGCTCCTCACATCCCAGATGGGGCGGCGGGGCAGAGGCGCTCCCCACATCTCAGACGATGGGCGGCCGGGCAGAGACGCTCCTCACTTCCTAGATGTGATGGCGGCTGGGAAGAGGCGCTCCTCACTTCCTAGATGGGATGGCGGCCGGGCGGAGACGCTCCTCACTTTCCAGACTGGGCAGCCAGGCAGAGGGGATCCTCACATCCCAGACGATGGGCGGCCAGGCAGAGACACTCCTCACTTCCCAGACGGGGTGGCAGCTGGGCAGAGGCTGCAATCTCGGCACTTTGGGAGGCCAAGGCAGGCGGCTGCTCCTTGCCCTCGGGCCCCGCGGGGCCCGTCCGCTCCTCCAGCCGCTGCCTCCCTGGCGGCGCTCGCCGGCGCGGCGGCAAAGACTGAGACAGCTCCGCTGCCCGCTGAACTCCATCCTCCCGGCGGTCGGGCGGCGGCGGCTGCCAAGTCTTTTTCATTGTTACCAATCTAATAGGTAATATTTCCTCAGAAATTCAGGAGTGGGGCAGAAGATAAACGTGAGCGGGAGAGATGAGGAAATGTTAGAGACTGGAAGGAGCACCTGTGAGCATTATAGCACCAGGTATTGGAGATAAGATAAATCAGAGAGAGGCCCCTGTTCTCAGGAAACAGGGTGGAGAGGTATGGAAGTTGGAGGATGATAGTAATTGAGAAGAGAGGTAAAACCAAAATGCAGTGGCTCACACTTGTAATCCCAGCACTTTGGGAGGCTGAGGCGGGAGGATCGCTTGAGCCCAGGAGTTTGAGACCAGCCTGGGTAACACAAGAAGACCCCATCTCAACAAAGAAAAAAAAAATAGCTGGGTATGGTGGCGTGTGTGCTTGCAGTCCCAGCTACTTGGGAGGCTGAGGTGGGAGGCTCACTTGAGCCTGGGAGGTAGAGGCTGCAATGAGCCGTGATCCTGCCACTGCATTCCAGCCTGGGTGACAGGGAGAGATCTTGGCTCAAAAAAATTAAATAAAAAAACCCCAAATGTTTCTAATTGCTAGTAATGTGCTCATTTGGTGCTAGAGCCTGAAGTAGCTAGAACTACATGTCTACTTTACAAGGCAAGGCAGAAAGCAGACATGCAGTGAGTTTTGGCTAAACCGGTTGGGTCAACTATCTTTGCAGCACCGTAATTAAGTTTATTATGCACGTGAATGCGAGTGGAAGAATGCCTCTGAAAAGAGGCAATGAGAAAATCAAACATTGTCTATTGAACACAATTAGAATAATCAAGTGCCTTGATGATAGCCAGATGTATTACCCCCTTTATAGTCTTAGGATGTTTTTACCTAAAGAAACAGTGAGAGAGGAGGCAATTAGAGGCTGGCTAGGTAGATAGAGAAGGAGGTTCTTGGGAGAGAGACAGCGCCGGTGGGACCGCACCTGTACCCTCCCTATGGTGTAACTAGCAGATGGAAATGTAGTTAAGAATTTCCTCTCATACCAGGATGTCTGCTCAGAAGGGACTGTCCCAACTTAGGCACAGGCACCATAAATCAACTAAATGTCCTGAACATGACCCAGAGCTAATTGTAATATCATTAGCACTGTGGTTTGGGCGCCTCCCCCCCACCATGGGTTTCGCTAAGGTGCTTGGGTAATAACCAAGATGGAATCACTATGGTGCAACACCCCTGGGGGAACTTTACCCCTCCCATTATGACAGAACCCACAGAAGACTTCTTTTGCCACATAAAAAACCCAGAACTCAGCCTCATTTCTGACAACCCACTTTTGAGTCCCCTCTTGCTGCTAAGAGCTTTTCTGTTGCTTAGTAAATTCTACTCTGCCTTACTTACTCTCTGGTGTCTGCTTGCCTTCTTCTTGGTCATGGGACAAGAACTCAGACCTCGCTAAACAAAGGAGTTAAGAAGGCTGCAATACTAGGTGGTCTAGTATTAGCCTTTTTCCTCTAAGGTAGGATGGGAATGATACTGGGAACAATTTGTTTTCTAGATTTCCTAAAAATCATCACACTTATATTTGTTTTATGATGGTTTCTTCATTTCAAACTTTCATTCATTCAGCAAAATGTATCCAATTTATTAAGTGCCCACCATATGCAAGAACAGTAGCAGACATGAGAGACCCAGACCTTGACCTTATATAGCTAACGATGCTCATTTCAGATTATTTTTCATTGATAAGCTTTAGGGTGGCTGTACTCCGATGAAATATAAGAAATGACCATGTCTCATTAGCAAGCCACACAGATTGTGAAGATCATAATGTTGGCTGGGTACTCAGCCAGAGGCATTCCCAAGAACAGCTAATCTCATCCCTAGTATTCATTCCTTAATGACTAAGTGCCTGCAAGATTCTAGGCCCTGTGCTGAGAATACTAAAATGGATAAAACATAATCTCCACCTTTCTGAGCTCACATTTGAGTGAGACATTTGGGTATTTAACTTTAGTCAAAGCAAATTGAATGACCCTGACCTCAATTCTTTGCTTTTCTTTTACCTCAACTGCTTAGTGTAATGCTGATCACATCATTGTTGGATTTGAGTTGTAACGAATGTTCAATGTCCTCTAGAACAAATATTCAATGGTTGTTTGAAAAACACTTAACAGAAACAAAAATGTCCTTTTAAAAACATGAAAAGGTCCAATTTAGAAATGCATGTTTAAACTATACTACACATAAATACCAAAAAAATAGTATTTTTAATCAGATGGGCAAAAATCCAAATGTTCAAGAGCCTACTCTACTGGTAAGGCTGTGGGGAAACAGGCACTCATATACAGTGTTGGTGGGAGTTTATACCATCCCCGTGCCTGCCAGATTTCTAGCTAGTGGGCAGTCATAGTGGCTGTGTTTCTCTTTTCCCTTTTCTCAATTCCCTTACCTCCTTCCCTTTTTGGTGATGGAAAAGACCAGACTCCAAGTGGCTGAGGGGAAGCGAGAGTGAACACAAGAAAATAAGGAAACTTATGAGGCCCAAGGGCAACAAAACAATCTGGCTGGGGTAAGGAAAGCTGCAAGGCATCTGAAGATCATCCCCTAAGCAATAGGCTTGAGGCTTTTTAAGGCAACTCCTGTAGAGGAGGAGCCACGCCTTTGACTTTCACTCAACACAGGCCCTTCCTGTCCAAGAGGGGAGGCTTTGTCACTGAGTTAATGGACAGTGGCTTCCGACCCTACCTCCACACCTGCTTTTCCATGTTTTCTCCTCCAACCATTTCCTACCCTATCCTCTCAATCTCAGGAATATCCAGTTATTGCAAACATGCCTCTAAGGGGTCAAGTCACACTCACTACCGCCACCACTTGGTGGCTCCACTCAACAGATCTTCACTCAACAGTTCAGCACTCAACAGATCTTCAAGAGCAGGGTCAGCCCTTGTAGGGCCTTGAAACTGAGGGCCTCCTTAAACTCGTGCTGGGTGATCTCCCTAGTCCTGGCCCTGCTCAGCAGTCTGCCGCTGAAGTGCTCCCTGGGAGCAGACCACCAGCCCAATCCTCCAGCCTCTCCAGGTTGGATTGAGTGTCTGGCTGACTCAGGAGCATCACATGGGGACCAGGATGCCAGAGGGAGGTGGCGAGGCCCAACCTGTTGCTTCTGGAGGCTTATGTTTCAGGCAGTGAGACGAGTTCGTTCTCAGAAGATTCTGCGACTTATCTTCTCCCGTTCTGTGGTAGTCTTTTTTGTCAGGAGCAAAGAGCAGGAATGGAGGGAAAAGTGAAGAAGACCTAGAGAACAAATAAGTGACACAGCCAATACATCTTTTATTCAACTGACAGGGACCATAAGTCCCCTGTTGGGTAACCCAAGGAAGTTCACAGTTCATCAGAAGGAACCAATTCAGATAATAGCTAGAAATCTGATAGGCACGGAGCAGTTGGGCTGCATGGCAAGTGGGCATTCATCCCCAAAGTTTCCTGGAAGAGGATGCCCAGGTGCCTGGTGGCAAGAGACAAGGCAGGAAAGTGGTGGTGGGGGAGGGCTTGGCTGAAGAACACACTGAGAGCAGGAGCAAGGGTCACATTTGATCTCCCAGGCCTGAAATTGCCAGTGCCTGGCACATAATAAGGACACAAAAAATTGCTTGTAGAATTGAGAGTTTGGGCTGGGCGCGGTGGCTCAGGCCTGTAATCCCAGCACTTTGGGAGGCCAAGGTGGGTGGATCACGAGGTCAAGAGATTGAGACCATCCTGGCTAACACCGTGAAACCCCGTCTCTACTAAAAAAAATACAAAAAAAAAAAAAAAAATAGGCGTGGTGGTGGGCGCTTGTAGTCCCAGCTACTCGGGAGGCTGAGGCAAGAAAATGGCGTAAACCTGGGAGGCGGAGCTTGCAGTGAGCCGAGATCGCGTCACTGCACTCCAGCCTGGGTGACAGAGCAAGACTCCATCTCAAAAAAAAAAAAAGAGAGAGTTTGATTCTCAGGAGTCACAGGAGACTGGAAGGAAGTAAATTAAAAATGGTGAAAAGTGGAAAACAACTTTGGAAGTTACCTGATTGGAAGAAGAACCTCTAGGGAATGGAGTAGAGGGGCCAGATTTGGCAGTACTAGGCAGGGGGTGGAGTAGTGGTGGTGTCCTGTGGGAGTGTGTATGAGAAAGGGGCAGAGTGGTGAGGTGGCTGATGAACTGCTATAGCCAAGCCAAGAATTTGGAGGATGAGAGTGGTAAGTATGAATTGACCCCTGCTTAGTAGGCTTAAAGCTGATAGAAAAGAAACTGGACAGTAGGCAGAGGAATAGGTAGTAAGTGGACTCATGATGGAATAGAATTGGCCAGAAGCTTGAAGAGATAAACTAGAATGGAAGAAGGAATGGGGGTTGGAGAGAACAAATGCCCTTGGAAGGGCATGTTATTGCTCAGTCAGAACAAAGCAAAACTCAAACAAACAAAAAAATCTGAAAAAGAGTATGAACAAATTGTAGAGGAAGAATGCTGCCTGTTGGGAAAAAGGAGGTGGTGGCAGGAAAGAGGGAGACAGCATGAGGCCTGGAGTTGAAGAAAGTCTCAGCCTTGGGGTCTAATCTTTTGACCTTGGAGAAGACCTGTGGGCAGATTTATAACTGTCAGTTCAGTCTGTCCTCATAGGTGCGCCTGGGAGAGGAACTGGAGGAGGTAGCAGGGTCAGAGACTGCAAGGCAGATTCCTCCCCACAGCCTGAATCTGTCAGAATCTTCTAAGCAGCAGAATGCATTTTGGGCACCATGGCTTCATTGGTTACAACCTCTACCTAGTAAGCAGAGTCTGGATTTAAATCTTGCTTGTGTCAAATCTTACTAGAAAAACCTAGTTCTCTCTTATGCCCTGGGGACTCTGATGTTCCTGCTGCCCTTGCCCATAGGGTATGCCAAATCATGGTTAGAAATCCCTTCCATGGCCCCTCGTTGGTCTCTAATCCAATTTTTATGTTGGAAAACTTGGGTTCTTAAGGGCTTGGCATGGTAGGCCTTACTCTACCTTTGTGCTAGATGCCCACTCCACCTGCCTCTTATTAGAAGAGCCAGTGAAAAGGACAAGGCAAAGGAGAATCATTTCCTCGGATGTCAGTTTTTCAGTTTTACATTGGATTTTCCACCTTTGAGTTGTTTATTCCTTTCTGTCCTTTCAGATTTCTGGACCCAAGTATCCTCAGTGCCCATATTGGAAGCCCCAGCCCCAATGAATCACAGGAGCTTGGTAGTTGCCCCACCATAGTTTCTGATATTGGTGACTAGCCCCAGTTCTTTTACTGAGTTAAGAGTGGAAGAAGACCTTGCAACTAAGGGGAATGGAACTGAGGTCTAGCCTAGTGAGGCTACAGAGAATAAACCTGACAACAGGAGTGTGAAGATCCATCCGAAAAGGGTGAGGTACCACTGCTTGAAATATGAATCCCCTAGCCAGTGGTTCTCAAACTTTAGCTTGTATCACACATCCAGGAGGGCATTTAGTTAAAAGACTGAACGTTGAGCTCCTTCCCGAGTTTCTGATTCAGTAGTTCTCCTGGGGCGGGGGCTAAGAATTTGCATTTCAAACAAGTTTCCAGGTGATATTTATGCTGCTGGCCCAAAGACCAAATTTTGAGAGCCACAGTTTGGTATGGCTCACAAGGGAAAAGAGGAAAATTTTGCTAGCTCAGGCTCTCTAAGGATCTAAAGGAATGGATTTCACTTTTCTGATATTGCCCAGCCCCACCCACTCCCATTCAGTGCATGCATCCTAATTCAGAGATGGAAAGAACTGGCCTTCTGGCCTTTGTAGGTCTGAGTCAGGACCTGCCCTTGATGGAAATAGGAAACAGTGATTTGATTGCAGGAATGTTGGAAAGGGAGGAATTTTGTCCCAAATTATCACCTCTTTGGTTCTCTGAAGCCATAACATTACTTTGACAAGGGAAAAGTTTTTCCTTCCACAATTAGAACTAAGGCGTAAAGTGTAAATAGCCTGGTGAAAAGCTAACACTTTCGGTTACAGTCTCCTATGCAAGGGATTCTTTGAAAGATACTATGTTGGGGTGGAAAGGGGAGGATACTCAGAATAGGGTGGAGGTACCAGATGGAAAAATGTGACAGGTTCCTGAAGATGATATCCCTGTTTTACATTTTGCCCAAAGAGAACACAGAGATTCTTTTTATTTAAAGGGGACGGGGTGAAACATGAACATTTGAGGCTGATTCCCTGTGGGAAAAATCATTCAAATCTATTCACTCATCTGATGGCTGTTGCTTGTTTTATTTTTTGTCCAAGAGAGGTGGTGTTGGACCGAGGTAGAGAAGACAGTGGTACACCAGAAATAACCCAAAGGATTGCCCCTTCTGTAGAAGGCCCTTAGACTCCATGATGCCTTTCAGCTGGGTGCTATACTTGCACCTAACTCTGGGGGCTTCACTTTCTATCCCTACAATTACTCAAACAGATAAAAGGCTGGATGTTAACATGTAGTTATAAGGGGCGTGATCTAATAGTAAGGAATATCACTTCCCACAAGTCCTTCAAACAAGATTTGTGAGGAGCTGGATTTGTCAGCATGTCAGATCTTTTTGAAAACCAGAGAGTAGAATGTAAGCAATACCCTTGTCGTAATTAAAGACCAGACTCCATCCTTATACCACTGATGCCTCTGGTACCTTAATCCTTAAAATATTTAGTGACCCTTGCCTTCTAATTCTTGACACAAATATATAATGACCATTTTAGATCGGGGAACTCCCTTTCTTTGAAGGCAGTTTAGGGATTCCACAGATGGGCTTTGAACCTGCTAAATGTGTATGGAAAACTGAGTGAATTACAAATGTCTTTTTCTCAAAAGTGCGTTTCTGGTTTCTGTCAGATTCAACAGGTCTGTACCCAAGACAGGTTCTGAACCATTGCTTATGCAGAGCTTTTAGTATTAAAGAGGGAGAGTAAAAGAAATGTCAGAGTCCAGATTTATCACTGAACCCAATACTTTCTTACTCCCTGGGGCATCTCCTAATACTGATCCTAAAATGCTCCTGTTTCTGAGAAGCTAGGGCAAGACCTGCCTTACAAAGACCAGCCATTTTGCCTTATTCATAGGATCATAAGCAAGAGAACTGCATTCCAGGAAGAATGAAGGAAGAAGGAAGGCTGCTCACAGTAGCAGAAGGGAGGCAGGGGCCAAGCTGTTCAAGTCACATAAACTCTAAGAAGCCCAGTCAGCAAAATAAGTCTATCTTCAATTCTAGTTGAGTCCAGGACTCTGAGGAGCTGTGATTCACCCAGTTTTTCCTGCAAAAGGCACAGTCGCTAAACTAAATTGGTGCAATTCACTTCCTCTTGCCTCTCTGGTTCATTCCACCAATTGTGGTTGAGAAACACATCTTAGGGAAGAAACAGTATCTAAGCATTAAAGAGAAAATATCCCACTTTGCTCCTCTTCCTCCCTAACCCCGAACTGCTCTTACATACAAGATAATTTTTAAATTATAAGATTGGTATTAACACAATTATTGATAAAGAGAAACAATGACCAACTCATTAGCTAACGATGCTAGAATACTTATGCAAGCCCTAGAGTTAAGGGTCTTAGTGTGGACACCTTTCCAGAATTGGAAGGAAAACCAACCAGAAAGCTTATTACCCTGCAGCAGCTGAAAAGCTAAGCCACAGCCATTTTCCCTAAAGTTCTGTTTCTGGGAGAATGAGATCTTCAAGAATAACTCTTGCCCCTTGATGAGGCAGTCAAATTCAAACCAGTGATGGCAACAACTTGCAAACACGTAATTCCTGCCCTAATTTTCCAGCACTTAAAACAAAATCCCCACTCAATACAAAGTTTCTATGTGCCTCTTGCCTGAAATCAACAAGAAACAGCTCACCTCCCCAAAGACTCCTCTTTCTCTGCCAGGGCAAAAGCAATCTGCAGCCCAGAGATTCAAACCTAGACATACACATCCACAATTGTCTTAATCTCAGCAGTACTGGGAAAGCTTTGTACTCAACTTAACCTGTCATTTAACCCTTTCCACTAGTTCTCCCTTAACCAGACTGCTTCCTGTCTTGAAACAAAGAAAAAACCCCATATAATCCCCACTACCCTCATCCCCAGAACACAGCCCCTAGAAAACCTAGCTTGTACAGTTTGCACATAGCATGCTGTCTTCAAAGACCCTGCACACAAATACACAGACACATAAAGACAGTCAAGAGGAGAGAGGGGACTGTTCAAGGGGATAAAGTTTTTTTTGTTTTTCTGTTTTTCTGTGTGGGCCAGGGCTATTTGGGGGTATTAGATCATCTCTTAGCCTTGTAGTGTGATCTCTCAGCTGGATATATGTATGTGCAGGATGAAGGGAGTAGGAATAATGGGTAAAAAGGTTATTTTTTCAGCAGGTGAGGGTGAGAGGTGATGTATATACTGCTGATTGGCATAAGGAAGACAGACCCACACATGAACAAGGTCTGGCCCCCCTGGCTTTCATATGGATAAAAAAGGGGGCTCTGGATGCCTGATCACTATCTCTTGTTTCCTTGTTACTCTCTAACCCAGTGTTCACCAGAGTGTTTCATAGTCACCAGTTCTGTGGGATGTAAATAGAAAGGATACTGAGGTCAAATACATTTAGGAAACACTGCCTTAATAGAACCTTCAGTTGGGTCTACTGCAGAAATTTTCAGAGCCTTTAATATTCTAAAATGGCCTTTCTGTCTATATATAGAGAAAATATAATAGTAACAGTATGCAAGAGTGATACTCAAAATGTTTAACAACTGGTATAGCATAGACTCCAACCAATCAGAATGGATTTCAGCCATAAACTGCCAGTACCACTCTCCTCTTGAGAACAGCTCAGGCTGAATATCAGCCCATGTAGGATGCATTGCTTCCCAAAAGTTTTGCCCAAAGAACTCTATTTTTATGTGCTATCTCACAGAACTGGTGAGAAATGCTCTGGCCATTGCTGGGACCTCATCTTTCTAGGGATGGGGTCAGGGCTTATGATTCTGGCCACTGGGGTTCAGGAGAACGGCAGCCCTGGCAGTGACTCCTGGTAGCACCGGCTGATAGACTTGACCATAGCTGTAGTGGAAACAGATTTCAAAAGACAGATGTTCCTCTGTCCCAGCTGTTCCGGGGACTTTGTCCCTGGTGGGTGAGCAGGTGCCTGTCCAGGTGATGTTTTCGGCCAAAGCTCTTCTCACAGCGAGGGCACTGGAAGGGCTTCTCCCCAGTGTGGGTCAGCCAGTGTCTCACAAGGTGGTGCCTTCGGCCAAAGCTCTTCCCACATTCAGTGCACACGTGACACTTTGGCACTGGTGGGGCACGCTGCCGTTTCCTTGTGCCAGGGCTCTCTCCAACCTCTTGGCCTTTGCAGGATTTGCCTTCTGCATGCACTCTCTGGTGGCTGGCCAGATGGGAGTTGCATCGGAAATTCTTACCACACTCAGAGCACCTGCTGGTCTTGTCATGTAGGTGGGTTTTCTGGTGCCTGATGAGGTGATGTCTTCGCCCAAAGGTCTTCTCACACTTGAGGCAGCTGTAGGGTCTCTCCCCAGTGTGTGTTTGTTGATGCCTGGCAAGGTGGGAACCCCATACAAACTGTTTCCCACACTGGGGGCATGTGTGGGGTCTTAACAGGGAATCCATCTCTGTGCTACACAGCAGGTTTGAGAAACTATCTTCCTGAAGAAAAGGGGGCCCCAGGAGCATTCCTCTGGAGCTGCTGGGCATGGAATCCCAGCTCTCATCATGCTCCGGGTTCCAGAGAACAGTATCTTCAGACACGCTGGATAACATTCTGGGAGGTTCTGCTTCTAGTTCAGGGGTATCCCCCTCATGTTCACTTCCATCTCCTGCGGAGAAGGGGAAATACCAACCCCAAGAGAAGAGTCACAAGAGAGTGCTTGAGGCCTAAGTCACAAATGAGGTTGTCTGATACCTGCCAGGGCCCAGACTTGACCCCAGAAGGGCTGAGAGAACATAGTCTAATGTCGTACAAGACAGTGCAATAGATATAGAGGTTAAAAGCCTAGGCTTAGGAGGCAGATTACCTAAGATGGAATCTCAGCTTTCCCACTTAACTTCCCTAAACCTTCATTTCTTCTGTAAAATTGGAATAATACCTCTCTCTCCGGCAGTTATAAGATAGATAGCACAGAACCTGCACATAGTTTAAGTACTTAGTAAATTGTATATGTTATTGTTATTATTTATTACCATTATTTATTTACTACTGTATATTACTATTAATCAGCATCTTTCTATCTAAGCATAGATGGAGAGAATTACAGAATGTGCCGCAATTGTCACTGGCTGAATGACACCTGTCGGCAGTCCTCAAGGCATTCCTGAAATGGGTGGGAGGTTGACAACAATATCAACAATAACAACAACTAACATTTATTGAGTGCTTATTATGTGCTTGGCACTGTTCTATTCTAATATTCTAATATATTCATATATTTAATTTTCACAATAATTTACAGATGAAGAAACCAAAGGGAGTTTTATTACTTTTCCAAGGTCCCACAACTACAGCCCAGAATTCAAATCCACAAAGTGCCTGCTACATCATTCTATTACACTCCCTTGCTTTTGAAGAAAAAAATCTCTAAACCTTTTGTCTCTGGAACTCTCTGAGGCAGAGGAGGGATTAAACGAACATGGAATGATGATGTCCCGAACTGTGAAGGAAGTGGCTGAAAGCCTATTCTAGGTTCTTACCTGTATATGTGACCCTCAGAATGTCCCTCTCCTCTAAGTCCTGGGGGTCAGGGACCCATTGTTCTTCTCCTCCTTCTAGTTGAGAAAGCATGTCCAGTTTGGGAATTGGAAATCCTGCTCATGGGAAAGGAAAATAGAGCTGTCAATTAGTTCAACAGCAATTCTATATTTCTGAAAAAAAAATACAAAAAACTGTTTCCTATTGTTTGGAACTCTAGACAAAAGAAGGTCAAGAAAGAAACATATCCCCACCCCAACCTCTTCCCCCACCCATTTCTGTTAAGTCCCTCTTCTCTGCCTAGAAAATCACTCTCCTTCCCAATGAACCTGTTTTCTTCCACTCAGATACTTCCAGCCCAGCTGGCCTTTCTGGGCGTAACTTCACTTTAGTCCTACTACGACAGTCCTACTCCCTGCATCCCTATCTTCCTCTACATGGTTCCCAAGTTTACAAGGACCCAGTTCCAGTTCTCTCTGCTTTATGAGAACCTCCTAATTCCCAACCAAGAAGAACCTCAAGTTCTACTCCACAATTAAGCATCATTTGCTTTTTTACTTTTTTTTTTTTAATGATATTTACTCTCATTCTCTTGGGATTGGCCCTAGTGTTCTTTCTCCAGCGGAAGCATAGACAGATTCCCTGCCACATAAAGAGTCCTAGACAGACACTATCCAATAGCCCTGAAGCAGATGGCTCCGTCCTCCCAGAGTCCAATCTTCTAGTGGCTGGAGAAGGTCATGCTTACTCAGAGAGACTACTATCCCACAGTTTTCCTGCATGACATATTCTCCATAAAAGTCTGTCTGAGAGGGGTCCAGGCTCCGCCACTCCTCCTGAGAGAAGCACAGTGACACATCCTTGATGGTTACCAGGCCCTGAAACAAAATGTAGCATCTTCTGTCAGCAGCTGTTTTTTAAGGAAAATGTGATTCAGTATGAAAGGCTAAGTTAGTAGAGGAGAGAGGGTGAGAAATGATCTGAGAAAAGAGCTGCCCAGAAGTCCCTGGGTAGGGCACATAGTTTTGGTAACAGGGAAATGAGGAGAGGAGTAAAGGTAGATGGTCAAGGAGTGAGTGAGTGTAATGTTACTGGAGGAATTTCCCAAGTGGGGCCATGAGAAGCTGGAGGCACCATAAACTCATCACCACCTCTGTTTAGCTACAGGTGTCTACTCAGTCACTTCTCCCTGGCCTTACTCTTTTTATGAAGAAATTATGTACCATTTCCTCCTTCTTCCACTGGACCCTGCCTTTTCTATCAGCACAAAATGCTACAGATAAAACATTCTTTCTTGCCTCCCTTGCCACAGCATTTTTTTTTTTTTGAGACGGAGTCTCACTGTCGCCCAGGCTGGAGTGCAGTAGCACAATCTTGGCTCACCGCAACCTCCACCTCCCAGGTTCAAGCGATTCTCCTGTCTCAGCCTCCCAAGTAGCTGGAATTACAGGCACCCACCACTACACCCAGCTATTTTTTTTGTGGTGTTAGTAGAGACGGGGTTTCACCATGTTGGCCAGGCTGGTCTCGAACTCCTGACCTTGTGATTTGCCCACCTCGGCCTCCCAAAGTGCTGGGATTACAGGCATGAGCCACCGTGCCTGGCCATATCTTTATATTTTTAGGCAGCACAGTATGGTGGTTAGGAGCTCAGAATCTGGAGCCAAGTGACTCAGCTTTGCCACTTTCTTGCAGCATGACCTACACAAGTGCCTTAATCTCTCCCTGCCCCATTTCCTCATCTGTAAAATTGGATAACTGAGTTGTTCTCAGAATTAAATGAGTTAATATACATAAAGCACCCAGAAAATGGCATACATGATAAACACTCTGGGGGTGTACTCTATTAGTACTAACACTATTAGTATTAGCTTTCCACAGCTCTCCTATTGCCTTCTGAATCTAAACCTAATTTCCTTTCTAGCTCTGCCCCTCTTTATAACCTTCTTCCTCTTCTTTTCCATAAATGCTCCCTCATCTACCCAATCCTTCCACTTTAGGTTCTTCTAAGCTTTCTTCAGGTCCTCTTTTCCTAATCTTTCCAGATTTATTTCTTAAAGGAAGGTAATTAATTATTCTTAAAATCCTCCTGTGGATAACAAACACAGCCATCCATTAAAAACCCTAACCTTGGCCAGGCACGGTGGCTCATACCTGTGACCCCAGCACTTTGGGAGGCTGAGGTGGGCAGATCACCTGACGTCAGCAGTTCAAGACCAGCCTGGCCAACGTGGCAAAACCTTGTCTCTACTAAAAACACAAAAATTAGCTAGGTGTGGTGGCGTGTGCCAGTAGTCCCAGCTACTTGGGAGGCTGAAGCACAAGAATCGCTTGAACCCAGAAGGTGGAGGTTGCAGGGAGCCAAGATCATACCACTGCACTCCAACCAGGGCAACACAGTGAGATTCTGTCTCAAAAACAAAAAACAAAACAAAACTCAAAAAAACCCTAACCTCAAGGAATTCCCTTTCTTGTAGGTCCATTTAATTTTCCAAGGGTCTTATGACCCCTTGGAAAGGGATAGAATCTATTCAGTTATAAGATGAACATACCATTGATGATCATGTGAGCCAACTCATCAATGGGCTGATGCGAAAGCAATACAAAGGCAGCAGTGATGGGACCACAGGAGACGCCAAGGGAAGCAGAGCTCACCTGTGATCCAGCCGCAAGAAGTGCAGCTGCCATCTCCCAGTCTCCAGTGTTCCCCTCCTGGGGAATTGCAGGAACCCAGGGAGCAGACTGAGCTGATAAGGAGAGAGAAGAAACATTAGAGAATAACGATCTACCCTTTCTCAATGGGGCCTGGGCCCCATTTTAGAGAGGCTTAAGGGTCACAACTTCTGTATCTATGCCCATTGGTAAAACTCAAATGCATAAATGTAGATGAGAAGGCCATCACTCAAAATGTTCTGAAAGGGTATCAGATGGCTTTTAGTTAGACTAGCTATAGTTTGAATTTACAGTACTTGAATGTAATTTTCATCTAGTAAATTACATCTTACTGAGTGGGTTATCCAACAGTAATCAGGTTGCTGTCACTTCCTTCATCTCCCTCATTCAGTATCACTAATTATGCATTTGCATGTGGAGGGAGTAATTATGAAGAAACAAGAGAAGCCCAGTTGCATGGTTTGCTGAATTCAGGAGCCTATTCTGTACCTGTGACCAGGGCTGAGAAAGAATGGGCTGGTCCTGGTACAGGTTATGCTATTTAGTCCATGGCAATTTGGAGATTTTTAACCCTACTTTTGGAATAAATATTAGGAGACTATGCACTGTGCTTCCCACACACTCTGTGAGTTCTCACCCTTCTCCTGAAGGGACTGTGGCTCCTCTTCAAGGTCACAGCACAGGTGCTCCAGAGGTCCTGGTACTGTTCTCCATGGCCGCTCTTCCTGGCTTCCCCTTTCCACCTGGGGCTCTGCTCCATCCAGCTGTACATTCATTGATTCCCATCCTGTCCCCAGCGCTGCTGTCTGTTCTGAAAGCATTTCTGCTGCAGACCCAAATTGTGACCTGGAACAAATTCATATCAGCAATGCCCATGAAAATGGGAAAGGAGTGATATTTCTAAGGGAGTTATGAAGAACAGGCCCAGGGATAATAGACAAAACTAGATAGGAGGAGCTTGCTGGAAGATGAACTTTAAAAGCTTGATGTGTTCCGATCAACGGAGCCTGCACCAAGCTTCTTGGAGGAACTAAGAAATTGGCAGGTGCTACGTAGCAAAGCCACTAACTGGTATTTTGTGGACCTCATTATAGAAACAGAATATACCTGAAGGTTAGAAGAAGTTCATTTAAAAAAAAAGAACTGTCCTGGAAATTCAAAGGCTATCCATTTAATTTCAAGCACATGAAGTACAGGAAAGTAAGCAATTTGGAAACATACAGGAAGAAATACATATAGACCTGCACTCAACAAGATGGATGTAATCACACAGAAGATTTTCTGCCACAAATCACAGTCTCATCAGTTTAGAATGAAATGATTACTATAGGTAAAAGTCCCAACCAAGGGGCGTATTTGTATCATGAGGCTGGGCCAAAAGGTACCTCACTTGGGACAAGCCTCAATAAAAAGGCACTTGGTCTACCATCCAATGAAAACTGGTAGTAAATATGGTAGAAAAACTGATAACTTGGAAAGCAGGTGTTAAGACTCCAAAGTAATCCTAAGAGGTAAGAGAAATTGTTGGTCTGTGAGGAGCTGAAGTTTAATCAGGAAAAGTAAAAAGGAACAGAAAGAGTTTGAACCAGAGCTGGAAAAGGGGGGAAGAACTGCTGCTAACATGACCCAGAAGAACAAACCTGTTTATTTGTCAGGCACCAGTCAGATCTCATTAGAAAAATATATTCAGTTTGAAAGAAGCGTATGGTGAAGCCAGTGTGTGTTCATCAGAAAACATCAAAGTCAAGAAAGGGATTGGAAATACAGCCACTGGGAAAGTTAAAAATGTCGGATGTAGTTTTCTCTGTCTGGAGAAGAAGGCTGATGAATGATGCTACTAATGAATAAAAACAGAGGTCCCTTCTATCTCTATATAGGTCAAACAGAAAAAAATGGGTCTTGATTGCAAGAGAAGAGATTTAGGTTATTTTTTTTTAATTCTTAATAATCCTGCAGTGTACAATACCAGATAGTGGGCTCTTCTTTTTCTTTAGACAACTTAAGAGCAGGATGGGTCACACTTCTGTTGTGATAGGGCTTTATGGCAGAGAAATAATCTGAGACTCAGAATCTCTTTCTGTTTGGCAACATATTTTGGGTATTCTTATTCAATATCCAAACAGTCAGAGTCAGTGAAAGGCTTCCAAGAGCAGTCAGAAACTTGGTAACTATCCTGGCTTACTTACATCCTTTCAATAACACTTGCAAGAACCTTGAAGGCCAGGGTAGGTAATCACAGATGTCAAGTCGTCTATTTTCTTGCCTATTTGTCTTTGACAAAAGAGGTAGGTGGGAACCCTAAGCCCAATGCACAGGAAAAACAAATTCCCTTTTTATCTCAGAAGTCCAAAGATGGCTCAGGGCCTCATGGGAGCACCCTGGACTGATTCCCAGCCTAGGAGGTTTCCTTTTCAGAGACTTTTCATGAGAAAGGAAAATTCTTGCTAAAGCAATAAAGGGAAACTTCCATTTTAGCTCTCTTCTCTGAATTCCAGCTCTGTATCCACTTTTAACACACAGGGCACTAATTCTCCCTCTTCGTCCCATCTTTCTGGTTCTCTAGCTCCTGTGCAAATCCTCCCTGAAGGCTTTACCTCTAGCTACATATCTGGACACTTGTCTCAAACCCTTTCTCCATCTCCCCCAGGTAGCAGAGTCTCTTAATGGGAAGCCTCTTTGTGCAGAGCCCATTGGGCCAGCTGTAAGTTTTTCTATACCACTGACAGAAATCCGTGGAAGTGCTAGCAAAAATCTCAGCAAAGGATGGGATGGGTACCTGTCCTCAGCTTGCATTTCCTAAGATATTCACGCAGAGCCAGCACCTGGGCGGTTAAGGTGGTAGCCCTAACCTCGTTTCTCCTGGTTCCAGGATGATCCCATGCCCACTGCAGTGTGGGTTCTAGGGCTTTCATTTCCCCCTTTTCTTCACACATATGGGTAGCAAGGGACCTGCAAAAGGAAGTTTCTGCAGCCAGTGCTGATGAACAGAAAAGGGGCCATGTTATAAAAATGAGTAGCCCAAGGGCACACGGACGAGTTGGCTCCGTCCATCAGAGAACCCTGGCCCCTGCCACGGGTAGGGCATGGGCGGGACGGGAGCCTGCTCAGGGGTAAGGTTGCTTCTTCCCTTCTTCTTGTCACAGTGCCCCTGGAAAGGGTCAGATTTCAGAGAATCCGAGCAAGGCAGAACTGGAGCAGGGGAAGTGAGGTCAGAAAACAGGTTTCCCATGAGCTGGGGCATGAGCAAGTGAAGAGAAAGGGAGCCACGGGGTAACCTGTGCGCGAGTGACAGCGGCGGGAGCCCGCAGGGCCTGACAGTTGCGATGGGCACGGGGAGACAGGGCGAGAGGCGGGCACAGAATGTCAGCGGGGCAGACCCCCGGGAAAGGCAGCAACCCGGAAGACGCGCCGATCCTCCTCCCAGCCCCTATGGGTGACCGAGCCCCCACCAGCCGCCCCGGGAAGCCAGGCGTCCCTCCCTCCAGCCGCAGCTCCCTCCGGCCCGGCTCCACTCACCCCCGGTAGGCTTGGCCCGCGGCCCGGTGCCTCCCTCCCGGGCGCCGCCTGCCCCTCCCCTCCGCCCTCCGCTTGCGTCTGGGAGCCGGCGGCCGGCGGAGCCAGCGACAGGCGGAGACGGCGGCCCGGCAGGCGCGGGCGGGGCGGGGCGGGCACAGGAAATCCCCGCCCGCTTCCGGGGCTCTGCGGCGGCGGAGGTGCGGGGAGTGGGAGGGAGAGGAGTGGGAGGGAGAGGAGTGGGAGGGAGGGAGGGAGGGAGGGACGGGAGGGGGCGGGGCTGCGGCTCAGGCGCCCCCAAACGCGAACCCGGGACCTCCGCGCCCGCCGCTGTGGGGAGGGTGCGGCCCGAGACGCTTGGAGGGCGGCGGGCGCCGGAATCGCAGCCTGCTGTGGCCACTTGCCCGCACTCTTGCCTGACTGACCATTTTCCGCTCTGGCTACTGGGCCTCCCACGGAGTTCTGTCCTCAGGGTTCGTCAATTACCTGGAATTGCGTAACCGCCCGTTACAGGCCAGACCGAGGCCGAGAGCGATTTCTCCAGACAACAGTCTGGAATTCCTCAAGGAGCGTACCCTCTAGTTTTCACGATAGGATAAAGGGCTTGAGAGAGCACTGAGGAGGAGTCACTTATTCTGCCTGAGGGGAAGTCAGGTTGCTATCTGAAGTTGGCCTTGCGGCTGCTGTCCCATTTGCGGGAGCCGTAGCCGCAGGTGACACCTGAGCTCTCGAAATGTGGCTGGTCTGAATAGAGATGTGTTCCAAGATTTAGAAGATTTAATTTAAAAAGTGATATTTTGGGTATATTGGGTTAAATATATTAAAATTAATTTCACCTGGTTTTAACTTTTTAAATGTGGCTATAAATATGGCTTGCATTATATTTCTATTGGATAGTGCTACCTTGCAGCATTAAGATGGATTTGACTAGAAAAGATGAGAAGGGCCTACAAACAGTGAGTAAACCCATTGCTGTTAGAATCTGTTTATAACCTACAAGTCACATTCACATTCCTTATTTCATCATTACAACAATTTTCAAAAATTTTATTTAGTAGACTTAAAAAATAATTGACTCACTTAAGGTCATATGTGACAATCATTCGTTTAATGCATATTTATTTTCTACGTGTGCCAGACACTGTAACTAAATGCTGGGAGTTAAAGGATTCACAGTCTGGGGAAGCACATGTCAACAAATATTTGCAATAAAAACGTAGATTCTAAAACAGAGGAACGTACGCTGCACTTGAAGCAAAGAGAAGTGACCACGTATGGGACGGAGGTCAGAGAAGGCCCCCCACTCTGACAGAAATCGTGAGGCAGAGAAGAGTCAGGAGGGCTGTCTAATGAAAGAGGAAAATGCAGTAGACACGCAGTTGGGAAGAGTATAGAGCATATTCTAGGAGCAGATCATGGGATATGTCGGGGTAGTAGTAGAGCCAGAATTTTTATCCCGGGTCCTGGAACTAAGTCCAGGGGTTCTTTTCACTTATGCTACCACTGGTGGTAAATATAAGGTGCGTTAATTGGAGTAGGCTAGCAAAACCAGTATCTCGGGGCTTAACTCCATAAAGGCTTATGTTCATACAAGTCACAGTGTGGTAACAAGTTGGTTGGGGCCAGAGGGTGGGGTCTGTACTTCTTGAATTCATTGAAGGACCAGGCTTCTTGCATTTGGTGGTTCTCCCATGCCGAGGCCTTGGTAATGTAGTCAAATCTGTGGCCCTCAGATAAGGGAGGCTGGCCGTGGTTAACTTGTCAGAGATATTAGGGGCCAGTCCTGGAAGTGGTGTGTATCATTTTCACCCCATTCCCTTAGCCAGAACTCATGCGCATGGTCACATGGCCCTACCCAGAAGGGTGGCTGGGAAGTAAAGAATGTGTGCCTCATGGAAAAGGAAATGGGCGCTGCTGGACACAGCATTGCCTCGTCACACAGAGTTAAATTGAACATAACCAAGTACGTAAACCTGACTTTACCTGAAAAGAATGTTTGGAAAGAACTGATAGATATTATAATAGCCCAAACTCTCCTCGACTGTTTTGGGAAACAAATCAGTGTGAGATTGTTTCCAAAAAATAAAAAAAGCCAGGTGCAGTGTCTCATGCCTGTAATCCCAGCACTTTGGGAGGTAGAGGCGGGCGGATCACAAGGTCAGGAGTTCAAAACCAGCCTGGCCAACATAGTGAAACCCTGTCTCTAGCTGGGCATGGTGGTGCGTGCCTGTAGTCCCAGCTACTTGGGAGGCTGAGGCAGGAGAATCGCTTGAAACCAGGAGGTGGAAGTTGCAGTGAGCAGAGATCGTGCCACTAATACTCCAGCTTGGGCAACAGAATGAGACTTCGTCTCAAAAAAAAAAAAAAAAAAAGAGGCTGAATGGTATCATCTTCTTTATACCAGAACCTTTTCTTTTTAAAAATAACTTTTATAATTTTAAATTTGTGTAGTTACATAATAGGTGAATATCTTTATGGGGTACATGAGATATTTTGATGCAGGTATGCAATGCATGATAATCACATCATGGGAATCAGGTATCCATCCCCTCAAGCATTTATCCTTTGTGTTACAAACAATCCAATTATACCCTTTTAGTTACTTTAAAATGTACAGTTATTATTGACTATAATAACTATTAAATACTAGGTCTATTAAATACTAGGTTGTTCTATTAAATACTAGGTCTTATTCATGCATTCAAACTATTTTTTGTACCCATTAACCATCCTCACTGTCCCCATTCCCCCATTACCCTTCCCAGCCTCTGGTAACCATCCTTCTACTCTCTATCTCCATGGGTTGAATTGTTTTGATTTTTAGATCCTCCAAATAAGTGAGAACATGTGATGTTTGTCTTTCTGTGTCTGGCTTATTTCGCTTAACATAATGACTTCCAGTTCCATCCATGTTGTTGCAAATGACTAAATCTCATTCTTTTTTTATGGCTGAATAGTGCTCCATTGTGTGTAAGTACCATTTGTTCTTTATTCATTCATCTGTTAATGGACACTTAGATTGCTTCCAAATCTTGGCTATGGTGAACAGAGCTGCAACAAACATGGGAATGCAGATATCTCTTTGATAAACTGATTTCCTTTCTTTTAGGTATATACCCAGCAGTGGGATTGCTGGATCATATAGGAGCTCAATTTTTAGTTTTTTTGAGGAACCTCCAAACTGTTCTCCCTAGTAGTTATACTAATTTACATTCCCACTAGCAGTGTATGAGGGTTCCCTTTTCTCTACATCCTTACCAGCATTTGTTATTGCCTGCTTTTTGAATATAAGCCATTTTAACAGGAGTGAGATGATATCTCATTGGAGTTTTGATTTGCATTTCTCTGATGATCAGTAATATTGAGCACCTTCTCATATGTCTGTTTGCCATTTGTATGTATTCTTTTGAGAAATGTCTATTCAAATCTTTTGCCTATTTTTTAACCAGAGTATTAGATTTTTTCCTGTAGAGTTGCTTGAGATCCTTATATATTCTGGTTATTAATCTCTTATCAGATAAGTAGTTTGCAAATATTTTCTCCCATTCTGTGTGTTGTCTCTTCAATTTGTTGATTGCTTCTTTTGCTGTGCAGAAGCTTTTTAACTTGATGTGACCCCGTTTGTCCATTTTTGCTTTGGTCGTCCGTACTTGTACAGAACCTTGTCTTAAACATCACAAGGAATAAATTCAAAATGTCTTTATATTATGCTTTGGTGTGCCATCTCTTTAGTTATCAGTTAACAAACCCTGCAAGGTGTAGATCTGCATGGGTTCAGGGACATTAAGTGAGCCAAGAGGCACAATCAGGAATTGAGCCCTGGTCTGACTTCTCACTGGGTGCACCTTTAACCAGAGTGGTACTTTACCTTTTACAATGGACAAGTACAAACTCCTATGCAATGTTACAGCAGGGATTAATTAACTATGCATTGAGTAGCAGGCAGATGATTCCATCTTTTTCAGACTTTCTGATGGAGGAGTTTCAAGATCAGCTTTGAAGGTGAAATGTAGGAAGGGCATCCCATATAGAATCAGAAGGCAGAAATGGACATGCTGTGGCATGTTGTGGAATGAAGAACACACATATGTGGGGGTGTCAGTCTAGAGTAGAGAAGAAACAGGGAAATTGATAGAATAGTGGATGAAGGTGGTGGATGAAGAATTTTTTATTTGCTATATCAGGTGATAGGGAGTCATTATATTTGTGTTTAAAAGGAAGTGATACACCTGATGGTGCCAATTATATCATTGTAAGGAGACTTGGTGGTCCTGGGCTGCTCTGTTGATGGAATTCTGGTAACTGGGATGAGTTGGGCACACAGGTGGATTCTAATGTGTGGAATACAGAGTTCCTTGGGACATAGCAGCATTCTTCCTGCTGCTGTTGGTCATAAGTAGATACAGGGTATGAACTGTGAGAGTGAGTGGCTGCAGTGGTGAACACAATCATTTAAGGTAAAATAAAGCCAAGGAACTGAGAGACTAGAGTGCTAGCAGGGATAGGGTTCAAAATATTTAACTACTAGTGCTAGCATGGCATGGACCCATCAAAATAGATGTAGCCCATAACGCTGGTGCAGGGTCCTGCAGGCACCTTGTTGTGTTAGATGATTACTTTTTGTTTCTGAATCGTGAAGAGATCTGTTGAATCCTGATGAGGGGCTAGAGCATTGAGGCATGACATTGAAGAGGATTGACAGTGGCTATGAAAATATTTCAGTATTTTAGCAAGGAATACAATTATACTTGCACATATTCATATGCATGAGATGCATTGTCCTCATGGATGTTGAAGTCACTAGGAATAATGAAGGCATTATGGAGAGAGGGATAGTAAGCCAGTTGATGGAGTCTTAAATGAAAGGTGAGTGACCAGGAGTGTGGTAGGTAATAATAACAAGGAGGAGTGTGTGTGGAATAGTTTGATGACATGTGCTTCAATGCAGCTGGACATTATTTAGAGAGGAAGGATGAAAATGGTACTTGAAGCAGCAAGGAGAAAAGAGAGTTCACTATACTGAACAGAGACCACTTGCCCCAACACCGAACCTGAAGTAGAGCCTGGGTATCTGAAAAAAGCTGTCCCATAGAATGAGAGAACCACAGCGAGATGAGAAGGGCATGCGGAGAAGGCTTTGCCTTGGCCCTCAGAGGAGCAGATGCTCAGTATGACAGATGTGATTCTAGAGTAAGAGAAGAAGATTAGGGAAAGTGTCAGTAGCCCCCAGAATGCCTGTGACACAGCTAGAAGAATCTCATTGACAGTGGGATCAATGTAGGACAGAGGGAAGAATGGAGGCAGCTTACACCTGAAATAAGGATGATGTCAGGCCCACAGAAATGTAACTTGTGGGTGAAAAGACTGTCCATCAAGGAAATCAGAAATCCCGCTGCCCAAGCAATTCTCAAAATCACCATACAGAGAGATCTGTTCATGACCATGGTATAGACCACAGGGTGGCGGATGGTAGCATAGTGATCATAGGCCATGGCAGAGAACAGACAGGCTTCCGTTCCCCCAGAGAGAGTGAAAAAGAAACTTGGTGAGGCAGCCCCACATTGAGATGCTTTTCTTCTGAGAGGAAATTTTGTAGCATCCTGGGCACAGTAACTAGGAGTAGCTGAGATCCAGAAAGGACAGATGTCAAAGGAAGAAGTACATGGGTCTTTGAAGGTGAGAATCAGCCCTGATCTCCAGGATCATCACCAGCTTCCCCGTCAAAGTCAGGAGATGAATCACCAGGATTAGCACAAAGAGCATGATCTGGATCTCTGCATCACTGGAAAATCCCACAAGGACAAACTCAGGACTAATATTGACATTTATTATGGTTGCTTAGAGATTCTGTCCCTCAAAAGAAATGAATGGTTCTCTACTTGGCAGGGCATTCATCTGAGTCATTCTCACTGAACAGGAGTTTTCTACTTACAGACGAGTATACCTCCTTACCTATGGCCCAAAATGGGAAACTCGGGATAAGGAAGTGTCATCTTAAGTACAATCTCCTCACTTGCCCTTCTTTCCTACCTTCTAGTACTGTCTCTGCATGATCTTGAAGGCTTTACTCTGTACCTCCATCACTGTTTAGTAAATGTACCAAGTGCATATGAATCAGGTAGGTCCTGGAGTCAAAATGAGACAAACTGCCCCAGTGGCAAAGCCTAGAAAATCTTCTCTGGATAAGGGTTGGGAGGCCTATCGGAAAATGATTCCTTCTCAGAATGGTAAGATCATAGACTCACACTATGTGAGGACATTTACATAATATACTTTAATCCCTTCATTTTACAAATGAAGAGAATGCATTGCCTATGGTCTCATAGCAAAGTGAGGACTAGGTTGGGACTAAAACCAGTCAAGGTTGGAACTAGAACCAGGTGTTTCAGCTAGTCTTGTATGCATCCAAGTGCATCATACTTGGTGATTTTGAATTGTTAGAGCTGAGTCTTGTGTGGTTAGGGGATCATGTGCAACTTTGCTAGTAGGGAGTTCGCTTCTTAAAAATTTTTTTCTTTCAGCTCCCCACACATCTAAATATTTTGTAAGGAGATACTTTGAAAGGGTAAGTCTGGCTCCAT
The DNA here is from genome assembly GCF_000001405.40 of Homo sapiens. Lineage (NCBI taxonomy): Eukaryota > Metazoa > Chordata > Mammalia > Primates > Hominidae > Homo > Homo sapiens. The sequence goes on from NC_000012.12 coordinate 48,357,364, forward strand.
GAATGTCCCATCTGTATAGCTGCAAAGTATCCTGATTTAGAAGGGTCCTGAGCTCTGGCCCTGTTTACTTTTTTTTTTTTTTTTTTTAGACAGGGTCTCACCATGTTGCCCAGGCTGGAGTGCAGTGGCACAATCACAGCTCACTGCAGCCTCGACCTCCTGGGCTTGAGCGATCTTGCTGCCTCAGCCTCCTGAGTAACTGGGACTACATGAGTAGCTGGGACTACAGGTATGTACCACCATGCCCAGATACTTTTTTTTAATTTTTTTTTTTTTGTAGAAACAGGGTCTTGCTATGTTGCCCACGGTGGTCTGAATTCTTGGGCTTAAGCCATCCACCTGCTTTGGACTCCCAAATTGCTGGATTTACAGGCATGAGCCACCATGCCTGGCTTAGTAGGAAGTTCACTTAAATTATAATATATTCCAGTAATCCTTGGCTCTGACACCCAGCCAATGGTCTCTATAGTTCTGTGTCAACTGCTACTGAAGTAAAAAGAGCACTAGTCTTAGAGTAAGGGGCTTAGTTTGTCCTGGCCCACACATTCTAGTGGGATAATCTGGGAAAAGTTCATTTTTTTAAGCCTTAACTTATTTATTTGTGAAACTGAGTAAACAAAATAAATACCCTTGTAAACCATATAGCCTATGATCTTCTGTACAAAAATTAAATTTATATATGTATGAGCAAAGACTGACATTGAATTTTGAAAAATAGATTTCTCTACTGGGTATTAGGCTGATGGACATTTTTCTTTGTCTTTCTTTTAATTCTTATATATTTAGAGGGTACAGTGAAGTTTTGTTACTTGGATATATTGTGTAGTGGGGAAGCCTGGGCTCTTGGTGTAGTCATCACCTGAATAGTGTACATTTTACCCCTTAAGTAATTTCTCATCCTTCAGCCCCCTCCCACCCTCCTACCCTTCTGAGCCTCCATTGTTATTTCTCTGATGTTGTAAAATTATTTTTTCATTGTATATATATGTTTGTGTGCATGTGTGCAGTAAAAAGGACTTGGAGATTTTCAGGAAATACCCAGCCTAGTTCTGTTTTCTCCAGAGATAAAAGGCAAAGGAAAAACCTGAATTGAAGTGAGAGAAAAGTGCTAGGGCAAAGGAAGCTAAACTTCTAAAGAAAAATTTGTCTCGTGGTCTCTTCCCCCCGTCATCATTGGACATCTCAGTAGTTTGATTCCACTTGGGTACATGTGACTGGACCAGATGCCCTCTTGAAATGCCCCAGACCTAGGATCCCAGACCACTGCCCCGGCAGTGTTTACAAAGTGTGTTAAACAGAATCCTATATGCTCTGTTATAGTGCTTCAGGGGCCACCATATGTGTTGAAGGGGTGAGGAGTTAGAGGGTGCCTCTCTGCCCTCATAGCCACCCTAATCAATTTGTCTCTCCTTTTATCTGTTTAATAGTACTTGATTTTTATAGTAGGATTTCATTGAAGCAAGGATTCCATTACTAAATCCCTTTCTAAAACTAGAGCTTTAATGGCCAGAAGAAATAAAAATTTCTATCCCTGTTTTCCACTCTCTTCATTTCTGATCCTCCAGGAAATCTCCCTCCTACTCTTCATCTGGCTGCTGCAGCTAGTAACACATTTTAAAATAAAAGGCTAACTTTTGGGGGGTCCAGAACTTGATACATAAAGAAACAGAACAGAAAGACTTCAGATGGAGGAAGGGCAGAAGCCTCAACCTTCCGGCTCAGCCATTACTTGATTGGCTGAGATAGCACTGTTTGACTTTGAGAAACACACATCCCTAATCTGTGTCCAGTTTCCTCCTGTGTAGGATATGGGGCTTGGACCTGTTGTTTTTGCAGATCCCTCCCGTTACATAGTCTGTATGCCTCCGGGTTTCTCTCACCAACCTTACTGAGCAGGGGTGCTCCGGGTCTGACAGGTCTTCTGACTTCTGAGCTGGGCTGCCTGCCATAAGGCACTGCTGCTGGAAGGAGACTCGGTTCCTGCAGCTGGAGTTGAGAGGCCTCCAGACAGTCCCCAGGAAAAGTGGACTTTGCTTTCCAGTGAGTGACATGACCAGAGACAGGTACAGACAGGCAGCGACTTAAAGCCAAAGTGTTCAGTATCTATCCGCTGGCACAGGCATGGGTCTTTTTGGAGATGGCTCTCTTAAGACAGGATTTTCTCTTCTTTTATCACCTTTTACTCCCTCAGTCTTGAGGAGAGCTCCTGATCAGTTTTTGTGACTTCTATTTCTTCTTTCATCAAATCCCTGGGATCTTGTGCCAGGCAGGCCCTGGTGTGGGGGGTGGTGAGAAGGGGCCCCAGAGAGTCAGGAATTGCTCAGTGCTCATGGAAGAGGTGGCATTAGCCAGAGCAAAGGGGCCTCTGGTCCTGGGACAGAGTGGCTACTGACATGGCTGTTACCAAGAGAGGTCTGGCTAAGGACATAGGAGTGTAGAAAGCTCCTAGCCACAAATTCTACTAATTAAGAACCAGGGGATCAAGAGGCTCTGGAAACGATTTGTCTTGTCTCTGATCGCTCTGATTCTGAACATGAGTGTGTGCATGCCCATGCACACATATACCTAAGTAAACACAGTTGAAAAGTTTCATTACTCCTATGATGCCATTTACCTTTTTAACTATTCTTGCTTCTCCAGCTCTCAGCTTGGGCTCTTGCCTCCTATTTCACAGAGATAATGTTCCTTTCTCTACTTTAGTTTTATTATATCTCCCTCTATATATTGGGCTTTACCACTGGTTATTGCTCAAGTTTTTCCTATTTGAAAATAAAGTGGGCACAATTAGTAGCCCTTCCTCCTCTGGAGAGAGTTGGCCTCCCTAAAACCAGCCTTGGTTGTCCTGGGAATGGCAGGGAAATACCAGCTATGCTAAAGAAACATGGTGAGTACAGACACAAGAAAGATGAAACCAAAACTTTGGCTTACCTCTGTAAACTGGGAATTACTCTTCTGTAACAGGACTGAAGGGAAGCTAAGCATTTGGAGTATAAAAGAAAGCCTAGGCCAGGCACAGTGGCTCACATCTGTAATTCCAGCACTTTCGGAAGCTAAGGTGGGCGGATCACCTGAGGTCAGGAGTTCGAGACCAGCCTGGCCAACATGGTGAAACCCCATCTCTACTAAAAATACAAAAATTAGCCAGGTGTGGTGGCGGGTGCCTGTAATCCCAGCTACTTAGGAGGCTGAGGCAGGCGACTCACTTGAAACCGGGAGGCAGAGGTTGCAGTGAGCCGAGATCAAGTCATTGCACTCTAGCCTGGGTGACAGAGCAGGACCCTGTCTCAAAAATAAATACATAAAAATAAAAATAAAGGCTATCCAACTCCAGGCTGTTTGATCCCCCAACTACTTCCTTGTCTTTCCTTCTCTTTATAGCCAGTTTTTTTTGGAAGGTTAGTCTATGCCACAATCTCCTCCTTCACTTCTCAGTCCATTGTCATCTGCTTTTTTCTGCTACCTCTATCGCCCCTAGAGACCATTCACTTACTATATTCAGAACACCAAGAGATACGTAAAGACTGCGGTTGATTGGTGAGCTTTGCTGGACTCAGGTGGAGAAGGCTTTGCCTTGGCCCCCAGAAGAGCAGATGCTCCAGTCAATTCTGGAGTAGGAAGAAAAGATTTGGAATACTTTATGACTCCCTGTGATATGGTTTAGATGTTTTGTCTCCTCCAAATCTCATGTTGAAATGTGACCTCCAGTGCTGGAAGTGGGCCTAGAGGGAGTTGTTTGGGTCATGGGGGCAGATTCCTTATGAATATCTTGGTGCTGTCCTAGTGGTAATGATTGAGTTCTCATTCTACGAGTTCACATAAGATCTTGTTGTTTAAAAGAGCCTGGCACCTCCTTTCTTTCTCTCTTGCTCACTCTCACAATGTGACACACTGGATCCCCTTGACTTTCCACCATCATTGTAAGGCTTCTGAGGCCCTCCTAGAAGCAGATACCTGCACCATGCTTCATGTACAGCCTGCAGAACTGTGAGACAAATAAACTTGTTTTCTTCTAAATTACCCAGTCTCAGATATTCCTTCATAGCCGTGCAAATGAATGAACACAGTCAGAAATGGAAGTGATCTCACCAAAATTACCTGTTGGCAATAAGATATGTGTTGAATGAAGGAGAAGTAGAGGCAGCTCAGAGTTGAAGAGAGGTTACAGGGCTTACAGAAGGGTAAGTTTAATGTATCCGTCAACTTAGGCCAAGTTATGCTGTGATAACAAGTGACCCAAAATTTCAATGGCTAACAACAATAAAGATTTAATTCTCATGCTACATGTCACTGAGACAGTGGTGGCTTTGTTACTACATAGCCTTTACTTTAGGACCTAGGCTTAGAGAGCAGCCTTTAAACTGGGATATGGCTGGTGTTTGGACTTATGAAAAGAGAAGAATGGTGAACTATAAACTGGTTTTTGAAACTTGTGCTCAGAAGTGATACCTGTGACTTTTTTTCCAAAGTAAGTCACATGGCCACATTTGAGTCAATCAGGACAGAGATAAATCATCCTCTTACAGGGAGGTGCGTTGAGATTACATGGTGAAACCTGAGATCAATGGGGTGGGGAGAAAGTATAATTCTTCCCCAGGAGGGTTAGCAAATATTTTGAAGAGTAATACAATCTTCCATGTTATTAATGAAATTATTGGTCAGCAAGGAGGTCAGAACCTACTTTTCACCACTTTCTGTCCCCTCTCCTTCTCCAGAGAAATGCAAATAAACTGCTTTTGACTGAGAAATAGAACAAGAGTGACACTTGACAGTTTATCTGTCACAGGCCATAGCAGTGAATAGTCAGGCTTCAGAGTATCCTGAAGAGATGAACAAAACTCGGGGTCATACAGTCCCCAATGTGAAATATAGCCTCTTTGATTTATTTGCTTCTTGCTAGGATACCTTCCCAATAGGAGTTTTCAAATAAGGTGGCAGTTTGGTAAATTTTCTGAGGTTTTCTATCATTTAAAATATTGGGCCCTAACTTTTAAGAGAGAGTATCACTGGACACATATTCATAGTTTTGAAATTTATTTTCTTCAAGACTTTGGAAATTTTATGTTACTCTCTGTATCTGATGTTACTTTTGAAAAGTCTGATTTCAATCTGATATTTTTTCCTTAATAGGCAGTTCTTCATCTCTACAAACATTTTTAGAATCTTTTAGGAACACCTTATTTGTCTTAGAAGTCCTCAAGATTCATTTTAAGTGTTTAAGTGGTTTTCTTTATTTGTTATGTTTATCTGTCTTGTATCTAACTTGGAACTCTGAGTACTTTTAATCCTAGTTTGTTTTTTTCTGTTTTTACTCCATATGAATTTTTTTCTTTACAGCTTTATTGAAATATAATTATTGTACAATAGACTGCATATATTTAAAGTGTGTAATTTGATGGGTTTTGACAGATATATGTACCCATGAAACCATCAATGCAATCAAAATAATGAACATTTCCATCACCTGCAAGTGGTAGATTATTATTTCTTTAAATATGCCTCAGTCATTTTTTTTTCCTTCTTCCTCCAGGATGGTTATTGAAAATTTTTTGTTTTTGCATTTCTCATCTTTTCATTTTGAATTGTTCATATTTTGTCCATCTTGGTGTTATCTAGAAGAGCTTTTCAACTAGATCTTTCAGCTCAATAATTAACTTTTTGGTTATATTATTTTACTATTTGTCTCAACTATTTATTCATTTTAACCATTATATATTTTCTATTTTAATTATGAAGTATACATAAAAAGACTATATGTAATGTCTGTATGCAGTAAGAATGAAGATAATTGGACCTCAGTGTATCTCACCCAGATGAAGAAATAAAACAACAACTCCTCACTCCTTCCTATAATAACCATTACCCTGAGTTTTGAGTTTATGGTTTCCTTGTATTCTTTTTATAATTTTACCTCAAATGTGTGCATTCCTAAACAATAAATTTAGTTTTGCACATTTAAAAATACTACATAAAAGAAATAATAACACATGTATTATTCTGTGATATGTTCTGTTCTCTCAAAATTATATTAGATGAAAACAATATTTGACAAAGTGGACATAGCAAATCAGTGGGAAAGGGAAGAGCTATAAAATAAATGAAACAGTTGGTATTATTTGGAGAAAATAAAGTTGGTTCTTATATCAATGTACACAAAATCAATTCTAGATGGATTACAGTCTTAAAATGTAAAAAACATGTTAAAGGTTTCCTACAAAATACAGGGAAATATATGTTTGGTTTACACTGTCAGCTTTGTCATCAATTTTTTTTTTTTTTTTTTTTTTTTTTTTTTTTTTTTTTTTGAAACAGAGTCTGGCTCTGTTGCCAGGCTGGAGTGCAGTGGTGCGATCTTGGCTCACTGCAACTTCTGCCTCCTGGGTTCAGGCAATTCTCCTGCCTCAGCCTCCCGAGTAGCTGGGACTACAGGCGTGTGCCACCATGCCCAGCTAATTTTTGTATTTTTAGTAGAGACGGGGTTTCACCATGTTGGCCAGGATGGTCTCGATCTCCTGACCTCATGATCTTCCCACCTTGGCCTCCCAAATGCTGGGATTACAGGCATGAGCCACTGCTCCCAGCTGTCATCAATTTTTCAAGTGTATACTCGTTTATTTCTGGCCTAGTCTCTATTATGATCTCATTGGTTTATTTATCTCATTGCAAATACCATATTATCCTTATTATAAAACTTTATGATAAATTTTGATATATAAGAAGGAAAATCTGTTCATCTTATTATTATTCAGGGTTATATTGACTTCTTAATTTTATGTTCTATCTAAACTTTAGAGTGAGTTTGTCAAATTTGCAGATACTATGATATCTTTAACTTTAAAATGCTTAAGCGTAGCAGGATATTATATTGTGTTAGTTACTTTACACTATACTGTAAGGGAGGTCAACTGTCCTAATCTGGAATATATGCTCATAGTGTGGTTAATTAGCATGTAAGTGACACATTACAGTCAAGAACTACAAGCACTTTTAACTGTATTTCTCATTATTCCTTGAAGCACTTTCAGTATGGATTGCCTCATTTATTTCTGATGCAAAAAAGTAGTAAGGTTTTCACCTTTTCAAAATAGATGTGTGGTGGAGGATCGCATAGCATAACTCCATAACTAAAGAACATTAACATCAGAGCATGGTGCTAATTATAGCAGAAAACAGGCTGCACTCAGAAATAGAGATATATTGTGAATTTATTTAGAATAGGTTAGCAATGTTCTTAGCGTGAAAATTCCAAGATTTGTTGCACAAATAAACAGTTTAAACAAAATATTGATCACAGCAGAGTACTCTTAGGAGTCAAAAACTTCATACAAGCTTTTCTTGATAGAGTGGCAGAAGTTAGTGTTTAATTTTTAGAAAAAGGCAGACTGCCCAAATTTCAGGTCACACCAGCTTATGCTTATCCTTTCATCTGGGCACACACATGCACTGCCAGTTCCTATCTAAATGGAAACAACAAAAATCAGCAGATAAATGTCCACCATAGCTTTAAAAATATCTTTTGCACCTGTGGTTATGTCCTCTTTTTATTCCTAATTTTTTTTTGTATTTTCTTTTCTTTTTGCTCAATCTTCCAGAGGTTCTTTTGGAGAACAATTTTTCAGTTTAAAAATTATTTCTGTTAAGTATTTTCTTTCCATTTTATTAATTTCTTCTAACATTCTTTAGATTTATGCTCTTTTCCTTTTAATAAAGTCTTAATTTGAATACTTACCTTATTATTTTCATTTTTCATCATATAAGAATATAGTTCTCTTTGTTGCTATAGGTATGTGCCACAAGTTTTGACATGGAGAATTTTCATTATCTTTCATTTCTAATTATTTAAAAATACCCAATGTTATTTTATCTTTATAATGCTTGACTTATTTAATTTTAAAACATTGCAAGAGTCTTCTTTATCTTTTTAAAACTTAATATAATCAGAGAATTTGATTCATGATACTGATTTTTAGAGACTTGCTTTATGCCCATTTCACAAAAATTTCATGAGTGCTAATTTTTTGTTTTTGTTTCTGTTTTTGTTTTTTTGAGACGGAGTCTCGCTCTGTCGCGCAGGCTGGAGTGCAGTGGCGCGAACTCGGCTCACTGCAAGCTCCGCCTCCCGGGTTCATGCCATTCTCCTGCCTCAGCCTCCCAAGTAGCTGGGACTACAGGCTCCGACCACCACGCCTGGCTAATGTTTTTGTATTTTTTTAGTAGAGATGGGGTTTCACCGTGTTAGCCAGGATGGTCTCAATCTCCTGACCTCGTGATCCGCCCGCCTCGGCCTCCCAAAGTGCTGGGATTACAGGCATGAGCCACCACGCCTGGCTTATGAGTGCTAATTTTTAAAAACTCTGTCTGATTATTTGATGCAGTGCTCTGTATATTCTATCAGATCAAAAATTGTAATTAGGCTGGGTGCAGTGGCTTATGCCTGTTAATCCCAGCTCTGAGAAGTCAAGATGGGAGGATTGTTTGAGGCTAGGAGTTTGAGACCAGCTTGGCTAGTATAGTGAGACCCCCATCTCTATAAAAAATTAAAAAATTAGCCAGGTGTGGTGGTGCATGCCTAGAGTCCCAGCTACTTGGAAAGCTGAGGCAAGAGGATCACTTGAGCCCAGGAAGTTGAAGCTGCAGTGAGCTATGATTGTGCCACTGCACTTCAGTCTGGGCAACAGAGTGAGACTCTGTCTAAAAACAAAAAAAAAATGTTGTATAGTTTGATTCTTTTTTTCTTAGTTTTGGTCTATGCGGTTTTTTGTTTGTTTGTTTTTTAAGAATGAGGGAGGTGTATACATGTCTTGTACCTGCTGTAATAAATTACCACAAACTTGGTGTCTTACAAACAAAAGAAATTTTTTTCCCTCACAGTTCTGGAAGCTAGGAGTTCAAAACCAAGGTAACCACAGGGTTGTGTTCCCTCTGAAGACTCTGTGGAAGGATTCATTCTATGCCTGTTCCCAAGCTTCTGGTGGTTGCTGGCAGTCATTTGCATTCCATGGCTTGCAGCTCCAATCACTCCAGTCTCTGCCTCTGTCTTCACGTTGCTTTCTCCTCTGTGTGCCTGAGTTTTCTCCTCTTTCTTCTGTCGTAAGGACATGTGTCATTGGGTTTAGAGCTTACTGGATAATCCAGGATGATCTCAAAAACCTTAATTATCAATTTAAAAAGCCATTTGCCGGTAACATTCACAGGTTCCAGGGATTTGAGCATAGACATATCTTTTGGGGGGCCACTACAGGTATATGAAAATCTCCCAGTTCATTTATGGTTTTGTTACCTTTTTCTTATAATTATGTCCATTTTTGCTTTATATATTTTAAGGTTATATTAGGCTGATACATGTTTTGATGAAACAACTTCTCTGTGAAATAAAACTTACCATTTTACAGTAATGCTTTGTGCCCTAAGCTTTAACGGCTATAGTCTATTTGGTTTGACATTAATTAGCTTTTATTTTGTTAATATTTGTATGTATATCCTTTTTTATAATTTTATTTTTAACTTTTCTTTGTCATAATGTTCAAGGCATGTTTTGTGTATAGTATATAAATTGAAGTTTAAAAATTAATCCTCCCTGAAAATATTTGTCTTTACATGGAGATTTTAGTTTATTTACTTTTTTGTTATTATGGATATTTTGGAATTTTTCTGTCCTTTTATTTTGTGCTACATATTTGACTTGTTCTCTCTAAGTTGATTTATTTTTTTCTCTTTATGCCTTCGTTTGGATTGAGTGGTATAATTATCATCCCCTCACTAATTCTGATATACAGCCTATTTTTATTACTGTAATTGTAACCTAGAAATTTTAGAATGCATATCTGACTTTACAAACCTAAAAGTTAATCAGCACCTCCCTTATTTTTTAAAAAAAGCTCCAGATCCAATACCCTTACTGGTGAATTCTTTTTTTTAAATATGAACTTGTTTAGGATGAATTCTATTAAATGTTTTAGAAATATCAGTGCAAAATGACCTCTTAGAAAATAGAGGAGAAATTACGCTTCTAAACTTGTTTTATGAGACACATATTACCTTAATACCAAAATCTGAGAAGAATATTACAACAAATGAAAGTTACAGACCAATACACTCATTAATACAGATGCAAAAGTTATAAACAAAATATTAGTAAATAATGCTCAGCAATATATGAAAAGGACAATACAGCATGACCAAGTAAGGTTTATCTCAGGAATGCAAGGTTCGTTTGACATTTAAAAAATCAATATAATTTGTCACTTTAAAAGAAATTCATGACAAAAAGTCTTAGTAAACCAGGAATAGAAGAGAACTTTCTCAATGTGATAAAGAGAATGCCCACAAAGTCTACATTTAGCATCATATTTACTGTTGAAATATTGAACAAGGCAAAGATATTAGCTAAGACTTGGGAATAAGGCAAAGATGTCAGCTCTCACCACTTCTATTGTAAATTGACCTGGAGGTCCTAGCTAGTGTAATAAGGCAAAGAAAAGAAATTAAAAGCATTATATTGAAAATGAAGAAGTAAAACTCTGTTTATTCTGTGATGCATTCTTACTTATGGAAAAAATAATAAGGAAATTACAAATAAACTATGTGAACTAATGAATTTAGCACTGTCTAATGATAAAGATCAACATATAAAATCAACTGCAATTGCATATACTAGCAACAAAGAATTAGAAAATGATATTTTAAAAATATAATTTCCAGTGGCATGAGGAATCATAAGATACTTAGAATAAACTTAACAAAATATAAAAGCCCTCTACACTAAAAATTACAAATTGGTAAGAGAATTAAGACTACCTAAATAAATGGAGAGATATATCATGTTTATAGTTTGGAGAGTTCAATATTGTTAACATGTCAAATCTTTTCAACTTGATCTATAAATTCAAATGCAATACTAATCAAAATTCTAACAGGTATTTTTTTTTCGGGGGGGAAGCAGATAGAAATTCACAAGCTTACTATAAAACTTATCTGCAAAGACCTAGAATAGCCAAAATAGTTTTGGAAAAGAATAATAGCAGGGGGCCTGACATCATAAAAATGGCAGAATAGGACTTTCCAGTGTTCATCTCCCCATAGAAACATCAATTTGAACAACTATATGCACACGAAAATACCTTCACCAGAGCTAAGGAAACGAGGTGAGAGATTACAGCACCCAGGTGTAGCATAGAAGTAAGAAAAGACATATTGAAGAGGGTAGGAAGGACAATTTTTCATTACCTGTATCACCCCTTTCCAAATGCCAGGCAGTATAGTATGAAGAGAGATAACTCTGTTCCTGGGAAAAGGAGAAGGAAGTGACCACTGGACTCACTGGTGCTTGGCATACTCCAGCCAGGACTCACAGACAGATCCTCCAGATCCACCTCAGTGCCAGGCTGGATCCCACAGACCTAGGCTCCAGGCCTGCCTGGAAAACCCGGTCTCTAGGCCCATCATGTAGTTGACCTCAGTGGCCCCAGGCTCTGGACTGGCTTCAGTGCTGGGCCATCCCCAGTGGCCCCAAGCTTCAGGCTTACCCTAGCACCAGGCAGCACCCATAATCCCAGGCTCGAGACCTGCCCCAACTCAAGACTGGCCCTGGCTCCAGGTCATCCATGTGTCCCAAGCTCCAGTAGACCTAGGGCCTAGGCCTGCTCCAGCAGAAAAATCATACTGAGACTGCACTATTGCACCTACCCAGAACGAAAGCCAAAGCAGCCTACTCAACTGACACTATAGGACACATCTACAAGAAAAAATTATTTCCCTAGGAAAGCTACTTTATAAAGTTGGAAAAAGTGATGACTATTCCACCAGACGTACAGATATTAACACAGGAACACAAGAAACATGAAAAAGCAAGGAAACATTCTACCTTCAAAGGAACATAATAATTCTTCAGTAGTAGACTCCCCCATAAAGAGGAAGTCTATGAAATATCTGAAAAGGAATTCAAAATAGTGATTTTAAGGAAACTCAGTGAGATATAAGAGAACACATATAGTTCAATGAAATCAGGAAGACAATTTATTATTTGAATGAGAAATTCAACAAATAGATATAGAAAAGAACCAAACAGAAATCTTGGACCTGAGGAATCCAATGAATGAAATAAAAAATACAGTTGTGAGCCTCAACAATAGACTGGATCAAGCAGAAGAATTTCTGAACTTAAAGACAGATCTTTTGAAATAACCCATTCAAACAAAAAATAAAAAGAAAGCCTACGAGACATATGGAACACCATCAAGTGAACAAATATTCACATTATGCAAATTCTAGAAGGATAAGAGATGGGAAAAGGCATAGAAACCTATTTAATAAAGTAACAGCTGAAAACTTCCCAAGCTTTGGGAGAGATATGGACATCCAGATACTGGAAGCTCAAAATTCCCCAAAGAGATTGAATCCAAAAAGGTCTTTTCTGAGACACATTATAGTCAAACTGTCAAAATCAAAGACAGAGAATTCTAAAAACAGCAAGTGAAAAAAAATAAAAAACAGCAAGTGAAAAGCATCAAGTCAAGTATACTTGTGGTCAATCGGTTTTTGAAAAAGATGGCAAGTACACACAATTGTGAATGGACAGCCTCTTCAATAAACAGTGTTAGGAAAATGAACATTCACATGCAGAGAAAATGAAATTAGACCATTATCTCACTCCATATACAAAAATTAATTCAAAATGGATTAATCATTTAAACAAAATTAGTAATTTAAAATGTACTAGGAGAAAACATATGGGAAACCTTCATGACATTAGTCAATGAGTTTTTGGATATAGCCAGGAAAGCACAGACAACAAAAGCAAAAATAGACAATGGGATTATATCAAGCCAAAAAGCTTCTGCAAGGCAAAGAAAACCGTCAACAGAATGAAGAAGCAACCTATGGAATGGGAGAAAATACTTGTAAACCATACGTTTGATAAGGGGTTAATATCCAAAATATATAAAGAACTCAATAGCAACAAAACAAATAATCCAATTTGAAAATGGACAATGTACCTGAAAAGACACCAAAAGAAGACACAAATGGCCAACAGATATATGAAAAATGCTCAACATCACTAAGCATCACGGAAATGCAAATCAAAACTACAATGAGCATCGCCTCACTCTTGTTAGAGTGGCTGTTTTTTTAAAAGATGGAAGATAATTGTCAGCACGGATGTGGAGAAAAGGGAACCTTTGTATGCCCTTGATGGGAATGTCAATTAGTACAGCCACTGTGGAAAACAGTATGGAAGTTCCTCAAAAAATTAAATATAGGACCATCTTATGACCCAGCAATTTCATTTCTGGGTATATATTCAAAGGAAATGAAATATCGAAGAGATAGCTGCTCTCCCATATTCATTTCAGCATTATTCAGAAGAGCCAAGATACAAAATCAACCTAAGTGTTCATCACCAGAGGAATGGACAAAAAAATTGTGGTACACTTACAGGCAATAAATACTATTCAGCCTTAAAAACAGAAGGAAATCCTGCCATTTGCAATAACGTGGTTGAATCTGGAGGGCATTATGTTAAGTGAAATAATCCAGGCACAGAAAGATTATCATGTATTAATAATCATATAATACATGATATTATATGTAGAATCTAGAATAGTTGAACCCATGGAAGCAGAGAGTAGAATGGTGGTTACCAGGGACTGGGAGGTGGAAGGTTGAGGAGATGTTAGTCAAATGATGCAAAACTTCACTTAGATTGGAGGAATAAGTTCAAGATATCTATTGTACAACACGGTGACTCTAGTTAGTAGCAACGTATTATATTTTGAAAATTGCTGAGTGCATATTTTAAGTGTTATCACCACATAAAAACAATTATGTGAGGTAATACATACATTAATTAACTTGATTTAGGCATTCCACAATGTATACGTGTTTCCACCCATCATGTTGTACATGAGAAATATATACAATTTTTATCACTTAAATAAAAAAAGGAAAATTAGGAAGATTTATGTTATTTTAACACTTGTGGAAAGGTACGTAATAACTGCAGTGTGGTATTTGTAACAATATACAAATAGATAAATGGAAGAGAAGAGAAGGCCCAGAAATATACACACGAAGTTACCATGAATTGATTTCCAACAATGGTACCAATATAATTGAATAGAGAAAGGAAAATATTTTCAATGGATGATGCTGGAACAACCAAATAAATATATGGGGAAAAGTGAACCCTGACACTTTCCTCACAACATGCATAAAACTTATTTTGGAATGGGTCATAGACCTAACTGTAAAAGCTAAAACTAAAAAGATTTTGAAAGAAAATATGCAAGAGTATCTTCATGATTTCATAGTAAGCAAGCCTTTATTAGAGGAGGAAAAAGAAAAGCCTTGCTTATAAAGAAATGGTAAATTGGACTTCATCAGTATTAGCAACTTGTCATCAAAGGATACTTTTAAGAAAATTAAACTTAAGGTCAAACCATGGACTGGAAAAATATTAGCATTATACACAACTGATAAAGAATGCATTTATCAAAATTAAGAATTTCTATAATTCAATCATAAAAACTATAAACAATATGAGAAAAAGTTTGAACAGACACTTCACAAGGAATTTATATGTATGGGAAATAATCACATGAAAAAATCCTCAGCGTCGTTAGTTCTCAGACTAATGCAAACTAAACCATAATGAGATAACACTTTATAAGCATTAGAATGACCAAAATTAAAATGATTAACAAGGCTAAATGTTGGTAAGGATATGAAGCAAATGAAACTCTCATACATTAATGGTGGTAGTTTAAAATGATACATTTACTTTAGAAAACTATCTGTCAATTTCTTATACAATTAAATATATTCCTTTCTATATCTCAGTACATTCATTTCTATGTCCTCAAAAGAAATAAAAACATGTCCTCTAAGAGACTTATACAAGAATATTTCTAGGGAAGAATCTTGTTGACATCTGCCTTGGCAATAATTTCTTGGATATGACACCAAAATCAGAGGGAACAAAAGCAAAAATCAGGTGGGATTACATGAAACCAAAAAGATTCTGCACAGCAAAGGAAATAACCAACAAAATGAAAGGCAACATAAAGAAAGGGAGAAAATATTTGCAAACCATATGTCTGATGAAGTTCCTTACATATAATATCCAATATATATAAGGAACTCCTACAACTCAATAGCAACAAAACAAAACAAAAACAAAACCTTCTAACAATACAATTTTAGAAAGAGCAAAGGACTTGCATAGACATTTTCCAGAGAAGACATAGAAGTGGCTAACAGTTATATGAAAAAATGTTCAACTTCACTAATCATCAAGGAAATGTTAAAGCTACAATTAGCATCTCACATTTGTTAGAATAACTTTTTAAAAAAGCAAAAGATAATAAATGTTGGCAAGAATGTGGAAAAAAGGGAACTCATACATCGTTGATGGGACTGTAATGAGTGAAGCTACTATGGAAAACAATATGAGGATTCCTCCCAAAATTAAAAATAGAACTACCATATGATCTGGGAATTTCACTTCTGTATATATATACAAAGGAATTGAAATCAGGATCTTAAAGAGATATCTGCACTCCCATGTCCATTGCAGCATTATTCACAATAGCCAAGACATGGAAGTAACTTAAATGTCTATTAACTAACAAATGACCAAAGAGAATACTATGTGTGTGTGTGCGTGTGTGTGTGTGCACAATAGAATATTCAGCCTGTGAAAAGAAGGAAATCCTGACATTTTCAATAACATACATGAACCTGGGGGACATTATGCTAAGTGAAATAAGACAGACACAGAGCGACAAATACCACATACACTCACTACACAAGGAATCTAAAATAGTGAAACTCATAGAAGCAGAGATTGGAAAGATGGTTGTAATGGTCTAGGTGATGGGGGAAACGGACCTATTAGCCAAAGGGTAGAAAGTTTTAGTTATACAGGATGAATAAGTCCTAGAGATCTACTGTACAGCATTATGACTATAAATAATATTATATTGCATACCTTAAAATTTACTAAGAGGATAGATCTTAAGTGTCCTTATACACAAAAATTATAAGGGTGGGAGGAAACTTTTGGAGATGATGGATAGGTTTATGACATAGATAGTAGTGATGGTTTCATGAGTTTATACTTATCTCCAAATTCATCAAGTTGTAACATTAAATATGTATAGTTTTTTGTATGTCAATAATACCTCAATATAGTGGATTTTTTTTTTCAGCAAACTATCGCAAGGACAAAAAACCAAACACCGCACGTTCTCACTCATAGGTAGGAATTGAACAATGAGAACACATGGGACCATCACACACCGGGGACTGTTGTGGGGTGGGGGTGGGGATAGCATTAGGAGATATATCTAATGCTAAATGATGAGTTACTGGGTGCAGCACACCAACATGGCACATGTATACATATGTAACAAACCTGCACGTTGTGCACATGTACCCTAAAACCTAAAGTATAATAACAATAAAATTTAAAAAATATATATATAGTGGATTTTTAAAGATAACATAATTTTCTATGGAAAAAGCCAAAATAATCTGCAGCTAAGTTATTAGAATTAATAAGAGAATTTAGAAAGTTCGCCACATGGTGTCAATATGCAAAAACTAAATTATATTTTTATAAATAAGCAACAATTAGAAAATGAAATTAAAATGCCATATTATAGTAGCATTACTGAATACCTAAAAATATATGTAACAAAAGATATTCAGTACCTCCACACAGAAAACTATAACACTTTACTTAGATAAATTAAAGAACTAAATAAATGAAATGATGTACTAAATTCATGTCTATGGGTTGGAAAACACAATACTGTAAGGATGTCAATTCTTCACAATTTGATTTTGTCTGTTATTAGACTGATTGCTCCTCAGCTCCAAATCCACCTTTCATTGTCTATTCTGTGATAATGGAGAATGAATCTGTGAATAAGTTTTTTCATTATCAGCTGACATGATATTAACCCTTGACAGTAGAGGGCAATGGAGGGATAGTGGTGAATGATAGGGTTTTCTTCCTGGTTCAGGTGTGCTCCTCTAGGCAGGCTCCTGCAGTGTGTGTGGCTTTTGTAGCTTCAGGCTCTTGCAGCCTTCATGGCTTTTTAAGTGCCAGGCTCATTCAGTGCACATGGCTATACATTGCCTGACACTATTAACTCCATGACTTTTGCAGTGCCTGGTTATAGCAATGCTCAGCTGAGCAACTCCTACTCCTATGAATGGCTTCTCTTGGCACTCACTTGTGTGTCTTTGCAGTGGAGTGATGCCAAGTTGCCACTTCCCTGTTAATGGCCTCCCCTGGCACCCACTCAGATGCCTTTGCAGCCTTGGTGTACTTCTCTACCATTCTGTGAACCACGGGTATTCCCTTTCTAATTAAGTGTAGATATTTGCCCTGGTTGGTTGTGAAGGTGGGGAAGGAGGAAAGTATTCCAAATTTGTTTCTTTCTTGGGTGCTCTATCTTGGTCTTTGGAATAGTGACCTCTTCCTATATCTGCTATTTCTCTATTCTTTAGAATTGTCTTTACTCTTCTGGCCTATTCCTCATTACACCAATCCTCTGTTATGGTTAATAATTCTCTATATTAAATTTTCCTGTTCAATATGCCATGTAGTTTATGTCTCTTGCCTGCACCTGAATGATATAGAATTGGTTCTTGGAATGTTCTTAGGATGTAGACCCACAAATATTGGATTTTGTGATTGGTTTGGTCATGCCCTTGGGTTTGAGTGCAGTACTCAGCTGTTTGCTATGGGAAATGGGTACTAGTAATCCATGGTATTCAGTGACATTATATTTAATCAATCTGTCATCTGTGGTTGATTGCCAACTGAGGAAAGTGCATTGGGGACCCACTTGCTATTATGGCAGTAAGTATGTCTGTAATGACTGTGGAGTGGGATGGATTCTTCTGAGTACTTGAATGCTTAGAGAGGAAAGTGACAAGCTTAGGTCCTTTAACTCTCAGCTCAAGTCAAGGTTTGAGAACCAGAGAGTTTTCATGGCAGCTCTAAAATAAGCTCTTATATTTTGTAATCACAGAGGTGATGTTGCTGAAAATCAAACACGAAACTTAATTGTTTGGGTTGTTGAAACACAATGACAGTTGAATTCCTAGTCTTACCACCTTTTTAAAGTTGCATTGATTGGAAATGAATGTAATCATGGAATCCTGAAACTTGGAAGGGGAACATCTGGTTGGGCCTAGATTGAAACATGATGTTGAATCCCCAAGCCACACTGACCCTCCCTTGCCATGGAGTCACTTGCCCTTATTGTCAGAGGACACTAGTCTTCTTTTGCTTGAAAACTCTGTAACAGCCTCTTGGGACAGACGACTTAAAAGGAGATATTCATTCTCCTCAACATCTATCACAGCCTCCCACCCTGGGGTCAAATCTCAGTGTGCTCCAGAAGGACAAATACACAATATGGGCCAGGAGGAAATAGCTCATATACCAAAAGAATTGAAATACTTTGCCAATGTATGTCAGCAGAAGCTTGGGTAACGTGTGGGAGCGGATCCTGAGGATGTTGAACCAGCGAGGGAAGAATATAACAATAGATAAGGCCAATTTCATTGATATGGGTGCACTTACTGGAGGTTCTAGACTTAACTGGTCAACTGATGCAACTGAAGGTGGCTCCATCCATTTACTTAGCTGACTGAATATCAAGCCCAATGGGCTACTTTAATGAGGTTGAGATGCCAGAGCTTCTTTGGTATGAATGGAAGAGGAAATCCAAAGATTTCTTTTTTCTTTTTTCTATTTTTTTTTTGAGACGAAGTCTCACTCTGTTGCCCAGAATCCAAAGATTTCATGCTGAATTTATCATGTGCAGTATGACCAAGCTCCAACTACATCCCATGAGCAGGCCCAAAAGACCCCCCCTTTACTAAGGCATTGAGAAATATGTTAGTAAGAGGAGAACCTGAATCACTGAAAATCTCTGCTTGGTAACTGTTGTAGACCAGCTATGACTGTGGAGGATGCCACCATTGAGGTATGCTCCCTAATTTTAGTGAGAATGATGGGATTCCAGTGCAGTAAAACCTAAAGTGGCAGCTTTTAGCTGTAAAAGACAGATGGGCAGCAGGGTTGTATGAGCATGCTGAGGCCCTCAGAGACCTTTGACAGTAGCTAATTGATCACAGTTTCTCTATGAGCAAAAATATATGGGCAGCCTACTAGAGTATTTCTTGATCTATATAATGGGGAAAACTCTAGATCTGGTAGCCAAATCCTGACTTGAGTCACCACAGTGGAGAATCTTAGCTTTTTACCCAGTTTCAAAGCCTAGTCAATACACACACCAGGAGCACCTTGATTGAAAGAGGGCCTCAAGGTCTACTTGAGGAAGGAAGCTGCACCACTGCTGCAAGTACATCCTATAAATCTTCCCCTAAGCCTTCCCCATGGGGATTTGTGGCCATTTACTAGAGTGACTGTACATTAGGGAAAAGGAAATAGGCCATGCGCCGTGGCTCATGCCTGTTATCCCAGCACTTTGGGAGGCTGAGGCAGGTGGATCACGAGGTCAGGAGTTCGAGACCAGCCTGGCCAACATGGTGAAACCCTGTCTCTACTAAAAATACAAAAAAAATTAGCCGGGCTTGGTGGTGGGTGCCTGTAATTCCAGCCACTTGGGAAGCTGAGGCAGCAGAATCACTTAAAACCGGAAGGCAGAGGTTTCAGTGAGCAGAGATTGTGCCACTGCACTCCAGCCTGGGCAAAAGAGCAAAACTCTGTCTCAAAAGAAGAAAAAAAAGAAAAAAAAAAAAAGGAAATAACCAGACTTTTGTCAGTTAATAGATACTGGCTCTGAATTGATGAAAATTTTCTGGGTAGCAACATTACTGCAGTTCACCAGTTGGGGCTTAAAGTGGTCAGGTGATAGATGGGGTACTAGCCTAAAAGGCTGATTGACAGTTGACCTATTTGGTTCACAATGCACTTTGGTTATTACCCCAGTTTGGGAACATACAAATGAAATAGACTGCATGGCAAGTGGCAGAATTCACACATTAGCACTCTTACCCAAGATGATGAGGGTCATTATTGTAGGGAGAGCTATGTGGAAGTCTTTGGACCTCCCCCAGTCTATCAAGATAATGACCTAGAAGCAATGTTGTATCTCTGGGGAATCTGCAAAGATTAATGACATCAAAGATGTGAATGAATCAAGAGTGGTGGTACCTCCATTTAACTCACCTGTTTGACTCGTGTAGCTGTCAGATGGATTTTTGAGAATGACTGTGGACTACAATGAATTTAATTAAGTGGTGACTCCAATTTCGCTGGCTCTGCTAGATGAGGAATCTTATTGGAGAAAATCAGTATGCCTCCTAATACTTGCTGTGCAGCTATTGACGTGGCTAATGCCATTTCCTTCATCCCAGCTTGCAAGGCCCATCAAAAACAGTTTGCTTTGACCTGGAAGCATTAACAGAGTACCTTCACAGTATTGCTTCAGGGCCAGGTCACTTCTACTCTGTGTCATAAAATAGGCTTCAGGGACCTTGATTGTCTCAACATTCCATAAAGAATCACTCTGGTTGGATCTGATAAGCAGGAAGTAGCAAACACTTTAGATTCCTTAGTAAGACAATGTGAACTAGAGGGGGATGAATCTTAAAAATTTCATATGCCTTCCATCTCAATAAGTTTCTGGTCATTCAACTGGTCTGCAGAATATTGACATATATCTTTCAAAGTGAAAGAGAAGTTGCGGCACTTTGCAATCTTTACCAAAAAAGTAGGGGCACGATGCTTTACTGGTTTTTTTGGATTTGGAAGCAACATATACTATATTTATTTGTGCTACCTCAACTAATTTAAGGAACTACTCATAAGACTCCCAGTTTCAAGCAGGGATTGTACCAAGAGAAGGTTGTACAAGAAGTTCAAGCTGCAGTATAAACAACCCTACCATTTGGACCTTCTGATCTAGAAAATCCAATGATATTCAAAGAATCCATGGCAAATAAGGATGATATATCGAGCCAACAGGGATATCATAACACAGACTTGTAGGGTTTGGAAGCAAGTTTATACACTCTTCTTTACATAACTATTCTCCTTTTGTGAAATAGCTTCTGGTTTATGACTGGGCCTTGTTAAAGACTGAATGCTTAACCATGGACCTCAAATGGACATTTGCCCTAAGCTTCCCATCATGAACTGGGGGTTGTTTGACCCACCTAGTCATAAGGTTAGGTACATATAGCAACAATTTATCATCAAATGGAAATAGTACATAGGCTTGGACAAATCTGGAAGGCATGGGTAAATTGTATGAGAATGTGGTTTAAACTCCTTTACACTAATAGCTTCTTTGTTTGTTTTTGAGATGGTCTCACTCTGTCACTCAGGCTGGAGTGCAGTGGCATGATCACGGCTCATTGCAGCCTTGACCTCCCAAGCTCAGGTGATCCTCCCACCTCAGCATCCCAAGTAGCTGGAACTACAGGCACCTGCCACCATGTCCAGCTAGTTTTTGTATTTTTGGTAGAGACAGTGTTTCACCATGTTGCCCAGGCTGGTCTCGAGCTCCTGAGCTCAAGCAATCCACCCACCTTGGCCTCCCAAAGTGCTGGGATTACAGACATGAGCCACTGCAGCCAGCCTACACTAATATCTTCTGTATTGCCTCCTCTCCTCAATCCATGGCTAGAGTATTCAATATAACCAGTTGACTGTAGATGAAAAAATGTGAATCTGATTTATAGTTGGATCTCTATAATATGCTAGCACCAACTGAAAGTGTACATCTGAAGCGTCATAGCCCCACTGAGGGTGTATGACCTTGCAGGACCATCATAAAGGAAAATCCTCCCAGTGGATAGACACTTAAATACTACACTTAGTTGTCCACTATGTCTGGGGTGACAGATGGCCAGAAGTATGTGTCTACACTGACTTTATAACCTATTGCTAATGCTTTTGCTGAATGACCAGGGACTTAGAATATCATTGAAAGATTGGTAACAAGGAATTCTGGGAAAGAGATACATAAATGAAACTCTCCAAATGGGCAGGGACTTTGAAGATATATCCCATGTGAATGCCCATTGAAGGACATCTACAACAGAGACAGCTCTTAGTAATCAGTTACACTGCATGATGTACTCTTTGGATTTCACTCAGCCTTTTCCCCTCAAGATACTCCAGTGTTTGCTAAAAGGGTCCCTGAAATAAAGTTACCCTTATGGCAGTGATAGAGTCTATGCATAGAATCAACAACATGGACTTCCCCTTATCAAGGCTGACCTGGATAATGCTATGGCTGAATGCCTAATATGCCAACAGCAGAGACAAACATTGGATCTTCAATACAGTGCTGTTGATTAGGAGGACAAGTCAATCATCTGGTGGTAATTGGTTATATTGGAACTCTTCTGTCATGGAGTGAACAGAGTTTTGTTCTCACTGGAATAGACACATGTTCTGGATATAAATTTTCCTTCCTTGCCTGTAATGTTTCTGCCAGCCTCATCATCTGTGGCATCACAAAATGTCTTTTCTACTTTCATGGCATTCCACATAGTATTGTGTTGTATTTACCCCACAGAAACAAATGTATTTCCAATCAAAACATGGTTCAGATGTTGAAACTGATGATGCAACACCTCGTATGAAAAGCTTTTATTAGTCACATAATGAAGCTTTCAGGGGAGAGTAGGGTGGCTCCCAGGCAGGTCCAAAAATTGCTTAGGAAAACAAGGAAAAGAGACTGGCTAGGGGTTTTTATGATGGCTAAAGGGTGGGGCGGGGATGAAAATTCCCATGCATAGTTTGAACTTCCCACTGACACCGAAGGTGGGAACGTCTGGACTTTCTTATCAGGTTGCCCAAATGTGGGCTAAAGGGGATGAGGGAGGGTGATGTTTAAAAGCTGTTAGCAGTCAAACATCAAAAAATTGATTATTTGATACATAGCTTTTAAATAGAGATTGCTTCCTGCCGAGGAATTCCTTACCCAGAAAAGGAAGTGCAATAATGAGCTCTTGCCCATGGATATAACTGGGCTTACCACATACCCCATCAACCAGAGGCGACTGAACTGACTGAAAGGTTGAATGGGCTTCCTGAAGACTCAGTTATGGTACCAGCTGGGAAACTACACCCCAAAATGTAGGGTCCTGTGTTAAAGCATGCAAGACATTATTTGAATCAAACTATTGTATGTTATTATCTCTCCCATATATCCACCTGAGAATCAAGGGGAGAAAGAGTGAGTTGTTCTCTAACTACTGTTACCAATAACCCATTCCAGCAAATTTGAGGTTGGAGGTCTTACTCCCCAAGAGGAAATGCTTCAACCAGAGACATAACAATGGTTCCAGTGTATTGGAAGATGAGACAGCCACCTGGCCATTTTGGATTCTTCATGCTTCTGAATCAACAGACAAAAAAAAAGTGGGGGTTATTCAACTGGCTGGTGTGACTAATCCTGATTATCAAGGGGAAATCAGGTGGTTGCCACCAAGTGAGGGCAAGTATGACTATGCCTGGAACTCTGGGTATCCTATGGATTTCCTCTTAGTCCATCCATGCCCAGTAGTAAAGGTTAACAGAAAACTATACATGCTCCCCCTCTAATCAAAGACGGAACAGTTGAGGACTCATACACTTCAGGAATGAAGATTTGGGATACTTCACAGGTAAATAATTCTGGCCAGATTCTGGCTGAGTGAAGGGGAAATATGAAATGAATAATGAAGAAGAAAGCCATGGACATCAATTATGGCTTCATGACCAATTAGAGAAACGAGGACTGTAGTAAGTTTGCATATTTCCTCTTTGCTTATAGATGTATATATTTATTTGTATATGCTAAAAAATTTTCCTTCTCTTTCTCTCTTTTTTTTATTTTGTATATGTTGTCATAATAGCTATTATTATTTTGAGCTACGTTCCATCCATACCTAGTTTATTAAGAGTTTTTAGCATGAAGCATTGTTAAATTTTATCGAAGGCATTTTCTGCATCTATTGAGATAATCCTGTGGTTTTTGTCATTGGTTCTGTTTATGTGATGGATTATGTTTATTAATTTGCATATGTTGGACCAACCTTGCATCTCAGGGATGAAGCCGACTTGATCATGGTGGATAAGCTTTTTGATGTGCTGCTGGATTCGGTTTGCCGGTGTTTTATTGAGGATTGTCGCACTGATATTCATCAGGGATATTGGCCTGAAGTTTTCTTTTTTTGTCGTGTCTCTGCCAGGTTTTGGTATCAGGATGATGCTGGCCTCATAAAATGAGTTAGGGAGGATTCCCTCTTTTTCTGTTATTTGGAGTAGTTTCAGAAGGAATGGTACCAGCTCCTCTTTGTACCTCTGGTAGAATTCAGCTTTGAATCCATCTGGTCCTGGGCTTTTTTTGGTTGGTAGGCTATTAATTAGTGCCTCAATTTCAGAATTTGTTATTGGTCTATTCAGGGATTCTACTTCTTCCTGGTTTAGTCTTGGGAGGGTGTATGTGTCCAGGAATTTATTCATTTCTTCTAGATTTTCTAGTTTATTTGTGTAGAGGTGTTTGTAGTATTCTCTGACGGTAGTTTGTATTTCTGTGGTATCAGTGGTGATATCCCCTTTATCATTTTTTATTGTCTCTTTGATTCTTCTCTCTTTTCTTCTTTAATAGTCTGGCTAGTGGTCTATCTATTTTGTTAATCTTTTCAGAAAAACAGCTCCTGGATTCACTGATTTTTTGAAGGGTTTTTCATGTCTTTATCTCCTTCAATTCTGCTCTGATCTTAGTTATTTCTAGTCTTCTGCTAGCTTTTGAATTTGTTTGCTCTTGCTTCTCTAGTTCTTTTAATTGTGATGTTAGGGTGTCGATTTTAGATCTTTCCCACTTTCTCCTGTGGGCATTTAGTGCTATAAAATTTCCCTCTAAACACTGCTTTAGCTGTGTCCCAGAGATTCTGGTACATTGTGTCTTTGTTCTCACTGGTTTCAAAGAACTAATTTATTTTTGTCTTCATTTCGTTACTTACCCAGTAGTCATTCAGTAGCAGATTGTTCCGTTTCCATGTAGTTGTGCCGTTTTGAATGAGTTTCTTAATCCTGAGTTCTAATTTGATTGCACTGTGTTCTGAGAGACTGTTTTGATTTCCGTTTTTTTGCATTTGCTGAGGAGTGTTTTACTTCCAATTATGTGGTCAATTTTAGAATAAGTGCAATGTGGTACTGAGAAGAATGTATATTCTGTTGAGTTGGGGTGGAGAGTCCTGTAGATGTCTATTAGGTCTGCTTGGTCCAGAGCTGAGTTCAAGTCCTATCCTTGTTGATTTTCTGTCACATTGATCTGTCTAATATTGATAGTGGGGTGTTAAAGTCTCCCACTATTATTGTGTGGGAGTCTAAGTCTCTTTGTAGGTCTCTAAGAACTTGCTTTATGAATCTGGGCTCTCCTGTATTGGGTGCATATATATTTAGGATAGTTAGCTCTTCTTATTGAATTGATCCCTTTACCATTATGTAATGGCCTTCTTTGTCTTTTTTGATCTTTGTTGACTTAAAGTCTGTTTTATCAGCGACTAGGATTGCAACCTTTGCTTTTTTTTTTCCTTTCCATTTGCTTGGTAATTTTTCCTCCATCCCTTTATTTTGAGCCTATGTGTATCTTTGCATGTGAGATGGGTCTTCTGAATACAGCACACCAATGGGTCTTGACTCTTTATCCAGTTTGCCAGTCTGTGTCTTTTAATTGGGGCATTTAGCCCATTTACATGTAAGGGTAATATTGTTATGTGTGAATTTGATCCTGTCATTATGATGCTAGCTAGTTACTTTGCCCATTAATTGATGCAGTTTCTTCATAGTGTCGGTGACCTTTACAATTCGGTATATTTTTGCAGTGGCTGGTACCAGTTTTTCCTTTCCATATTTAGTGCTTCCTTCGGGAGCTCTTGTAAGGCAGGCCCCGTGGTGACAAAATCTCTCAGCATTTGCTTGTCTGAAAAGGATTTTATTTCTCCTTCACTTATGAAGTTTAGTTTGGCTGAATATGAAATTCTGGGTTGAAAACTCTTTTCTTTAAGAATGTTGAATATTGGCCCCCACTCTCTTCTGGCTTGTAGGGTTTCTGCAGAGAGATCTGCTGTTAGTCTGATGGGCTTCCCTTTGTTGGTAACCCAACCTTTCTCTCTGGCTGCCCTTAACATTTTTTCCTTCATTTCAACCTTGGTGAATCTGACAATTATGTGTCTTGGGGTTGCTCTTCTCAAGGACTATCTTTGTGGTGTTCTCTGTATTTCCTGAAATTGACTGTTGGCCTGTCTTGCTAGGTTGGGGAAGTTCTCCTGGATAATATCCTAAAGAGTGTTTTCCAACTCGGTTCCATTCTCCCCGTCACTTTCAGGTGCACCAATCAAATGTAGGTTTGGTCTTTTGACATAGTCCCATATTTCTTGGAGGCTTTCTTCATTGTTGGAGTTTAGCATTACAGTTTTATCTTTAAGGAACAGATATTCAGTGGGACTATGATAGAACATGAGGAGTAATTAATACAACAGCAGTGGATACAATGATTATTGGGACTGGTGCAACTTTTCATTTAGGGAAAGGGTAAGAACTTCACTTATAAGAAAGATAAGGTTTTAAAATGTGCCTGACCATTTTATGGTTCTATTACATATACCTAGTTTGGTTTCTGAGATAATTTAATATAAATTGTGGTCAAATTATATATATATGTATATGTTTCTTTGCCCATTTTATCATTGTGTTTAATGATATTTATTATTTTATTTTAACCTTGCATAATTGAAACTCTTTTTTTGTATTTTGGCATACTTTTATTTCAAGACTTTTGGGGAGTGCATATACCTTTTTTTTTTTCCTTTTGAGTGGAGTTTTTTGCTCTTGTTGCCCAGGCTGGAGTGCAATGACACGATCTCGGCTCACTGCAACCTCCGCCTCCCAGGTTCAAGTGATTCTCCTGCCTCAGCCTCCCGAGTAGCTGGGATTACAGTTGCCCACCACCACGCCCAGCTAATTTTTTGTATTTTTAGTAGAGACAGGTTTTCACCATGTTGGCCAGGCTGGTCTTAAACTCCTGACCTCAGGTTATCTGCACGCTTCAGCCTCCCAAAGTGCTGGGATTACAGGGGTAAGCCACCACACCCAGCCTGCACATACCTTTTAAAGAAAGTTTAGCTCTTCAAGTTTGCACAATTTCATGTCCTGATTTTAAATTTATTTATTAATTTAATTTTTTTTACTTTTATTTTAGGTTTGGGAGTACATGTGAAGGTTTGTTACATAGGTGAATTTGTGTCACAAGGGTTTGTTGTACAGATTATTTCTTTATCCAGGTATTAAGCCCAGTACCCAATAGTTATCTTTTCTGTTCTGCATGACTGAAACTCTATACCTATGAACAGCAACTACCATTTCCATTCTATGTTCTGCTTCTATCAGTTTGCCTGTATTAGATACATTGTATAAGTAGAATCACACAGAATTTTCCTTTTTGTGATTAACTTATTTTATTTAGCATAATATCCTCATGGTTCCTCCATGTTGTAGTACTTGACAGGATTTTCTTCTTTTTTAAAACTAAATAATACTACGTTGTATGTATATACATCGTATTTTCTTTCCTTTTCTTTTTCTTATTTATTTATTTAGAGACAGAGTCTCACTCTGTAACCCGTGCTGGAGTACAGTAGCATGATCATGGCTTACTGCTGCCTTGACCCCCTGGGCTTAAGCGATCCTTTTGTCTCAGCTTCCTGTGTAGCTGTGACTAAAGGTGCATGCCACCATGCCCAGGTCGTTTTCTAGTTTTTTGTTTTTGTAGAGTGGGATCTCACTATGTTGCCCAAGCTGGTCTTGAACTACTGGGCTCAAGTGATCCTCTCACCTCAGCCTCCCAAAGTGCTTGGATTACAGGTGTGAGCCACCACAGCTGACCCAATACTACATTTTCTTTATCCATTCATCTGTCAATGGACATTTAATATGTTTATTCTTTGTTTTCACTACTCCTTGACCATTTGCAGGCACATATGCCATTTTTCCCTATGTTCAAAGTGAACAGCCTTCACTTCCTGTTTCTTGAAGCTATAGATGAGGAGGTTCAGCAAGGATGTGATCACACCTCTATACAATATACAAGTATGAAATTGTGCATACTGTATAGAGACCGCTTGCTCCAGGACTGATCCTAAAGGTGGGCTGATGTGCTTGAATAGAGCTGTCCCATAGAACAAAAGCACCATGGTGAGATGGGAGTAACAGGTTTTGCCTTGGCCACCCAGAGGAAGAAATACCTAGAATGGCAAACATAATTTTTGAGTAAGCAAAGAGGTTCAGAGGAAGTGTCACAAGTCTGAGAAATGCAATAGATCCAGATAGAAGAATGGTGTTAGCATGGGATCAGTGCAGGACAGAGGGAAGCGTGAAGACCGTTTCATAACTGAAGTGGAGAATGATATTGGGACCACAGAACTGCAAGTTTGGATACAAAGATTGTTCACTTGTGAGTTCAGAAACCCCATCTTGTTGGTTGCATTGACCGTTGCAGTGCAGAGAGGTCGGTTCATGACCATGGTAGAGAGCAGAGGGTGGCAGATGGCAGCATAGCAGGCATAGGTGATGGCAGAGAGCAAGCAGCCATTGGTGCCCCAAGAAAAAATGAAAAAGAAACTCTAGGTGATATAACCCCACACCAAGATAGGTTTTTATGAAACAGGAAATTCTGCAGCATCTTGGGCAGTGACTGAGGAGTAACATATATCTAGGAAGAAAAAATGTCCAAGGAAGAATTACATGGGGGTACGGAGGCAAGAATCAGCATTGATTACCAACAGCATCATCAGATTCCCTATCAGGGTCAGGAGATAAATCACCAGGAACAGCACAAAGAGTGGGGTCTGGATCTGGGGGTGGGGCACTGGACAGCCCCAGAAACACAAATTAATTCATCGATAATGCTAACATTTTTGATGGTTTCTTAGAGATACTATCCCCAGAAAGAAACATATATGAATATTTCATCTGGTAGGACAATTATCTGAGTCTTTCTCAGTGATTTTAACCTATAAAGAATTCACCTTGGCTGGGCACAGCAGCTCACGCCTGTAATCCCAGCACTTTGGGAGGCCGAGGCGGGCGGATCACAAGGTCAGGAGATCAAGACCATACTGGCTAACACGGTGAAACCCCGTCTCTACTAAAAATACAAAAAGATTAGCTGGGTGTGGTGGCGGGCGCCTGTAGTCCCAGCTACTTGGGAGGCTGAGGCAGGAGAATGGCGTGAACCCTGGAGGCGGAGCTTGCAGTGAGTCGAGATGGTGCCACTGCACTCCAGCCTGGGCAACAGGCAAGACTGCATCTCAAAAAAAAAAAAAAATTCACATTTTACCTTCAATCCAGATATTAAATCTGAGGCCAAAGGAATATCAAATTACTCTATTAAATACTGCAACTTTCCTTCTGCCAAGCTCTCCTAAGCCCCTCATCCAGCTAATCTTCTTTTCCCTCATAACACTTAATGCTTTCTAACAGATACTTGACTTACTTAGTACATTAAAAAATTATCTCTGCCTTCTGGAATTTATATTATACTATATTATACACAGGCAAGGATATTTGTCTTTTTTTCCCCTACAGAGTGTATGGTAAACCCACCTGATAGCAGTAACTTAAGCATACCCTGAGAATGACCCAGTACGGCAGACACACCTGAATGTGTGTTCCAAGCTGGGGAATCCGGGAGTGGCCAGCCCAGAGATTTGTTCCTTGTCCATGAGGAACAGCTGAGCCTCCGGCTCGTCCAGTAGAATGTGGGCCATACAGGGGATCAAGGTCCCTTGTTTTGGGTTAAGCTTAAGTTGCTGGATGGAGACTCTTTTGTGGGGGGTGGGGGAGGGTGTTGCTAAGTGACAATGCTATATAAACTGCAGGCCTTTTGCAAGCAGTTGAAGTTCTTCTGCCCAGTCTGCCATTGCTGTACTGTATGTAAGGCAGTTCTCCTGCCCAGCCTGCTGCCACTGGGCCGTGCAGTTATCTTATCTAGTCCATCGCCATTGGACTCTCTCCCCTCTATGTAAGCCCCCAATAAAACTCCATGTCTCATTTGCTGGCTCTGAGTCTCTTCTTTGGCCTCTTGAACCTGGTGCCATCCCCACTGGAGTTGATAGGGGTTCGGCACAACACTGATGCACTCCCCAAAGCCAATAATTGTCACCGTCTTAAAAACTTTTGAGTTAGAGAAGATGATCAGGGAAGTGTCACAGTCCTAGAAACGCAGTAGACCCAGTTAGAAGGCTCTCAGTATTTGCCAAATGAAAGAATGAATGCCTCCTCAGCTATAATGTCTTCCCCTAACCCTCATGCTACCAGCTCTCTGCTTAGAAGCAAGACACCTCCCACAGTCTCTATCCTCTTGTACTCTTCCCCAGCCTTTCAGCTGGTAACATCCAAGATCAGGTGAGCCCTAGAGTTGAAATGAGTAGAAAGATGCCAAAGTGAAACTCTTTTGTGGGAGGCTATTTTTCCAAACAATTGGAGCTTAAATTCTTAGCACATTTCATCTGAAAGGAACATTCAGAGGCATGTTATCTGACTCTGTATTTTCACATAAGGACAATATGGAAGAGGGAAATGACATGTCTTGCACAAGGTCACGTAGCTAGGTGGTTTCAGAGCCAAGACCAAGCAAGTTGTTCTGATTTCTCATCCAGTTCTCTTTCTGATGCTCCACACATGGGCAATAGATATTTGTGGATTTAAGCAGTTTTGCATTGAGCCTGGTGTGGACTGGGCAGGACAGGAGTGACCCTAATATTTCTTGGTCCTGTGAGTTTGCAACATGTCTTAAGTTTCTACAGCAGCTACTATGGCGGTAAAGTGAGCACTAGACTCAGAGTTAGGAAGCCCTTGCTGATTACCTTGAAAAGTCTGTGAAAACTTTTCAAGACATAACCTTCCCAAATGCAAAATGGGTATAAAATTGGAGCAAATGTGATTAAAATCTTCATAAGACATACTTTTAATAAAAGTTTTAAAAATATGTATAAGACTGAAATAGAATATGGGTAAAATAAATATTTGAGATCTTTTGGTGTCTAGATTGTGCACAATTTTCCCCATGAAATATTTCACCTGTGCTGTAAAATTATGTTTTCAGTAAAAGCATTTTTTTTTAAATAGGAAAAGTGCTTTCTGGCTCCCAGTTCCTCTCAGCCAGACTTCCAAGCCTTCTTCATTTTTTATTCTCTCTGGACATTCACTCTCCTCTCTCTTGCCAAGACATGCTGACTCACCGCTTGTATTTTATATTGCTCTCCCATCAGAAAAATACAAACATTTTTTTCTTTCCTTACCTCCTTCAAACCTCATTTCCTTATTCTTATTGCTGTTCCCACCTACTTACATACTCATATGATAATAACTATCATTTATTTTATGCATCATGTATGTCAGACACCATAACAGAATGCTGTTGATCTCATTTAATTCTCACAAAAACTGATAGTACAGGTATTTCTGACCCCATTTCTGTAGGTCAGGAAGGTTAAGTGGCACACTCAGTCACACACCTTACAAAGTGATGGAATTGAGACTCATGCCCAAGGCCCTTTGACTTCAAATCCTATGTTTTTACTGCTTTGCAATACTGTAAAAGTGTGCTTATGGGAAAATCTTTCTTGGTTTGGAGACTATGCATTTTCCTGAGGAGACTTAGGAGTCTAGGCAGGAATGTGAAGTGGCCCTGGGCATTTGAGTCATTGACCATGCCTGGAACTTCTTCCTCACATTCTCCCAATGCTCACAAAGATATGGGCATGAGGAGTCTGACCTCTTGGAAGAAAGATGGGGACTTCTGAGTCACGGAAAATTCCAGGAAGAGAAGACTAAGGTAAAGCCAGATGGAGGACTGAAAGCAACTCAGACTTAAAGAAGCGGAACTCTACAGGAATGGGGAAAATGGGGTATCAGAGAGGGCACTTCTAGTTTTCCCTGACTTGTTTCCCTACCTGAAGCATTGGGTGGTGATGCATCAAGTAAGTAACACGAGAAGGACTGAGATTTATTCATACAAAGAACAGTCCTCTTCTTGTCCCTTTCCTAAAAATAGCAATAGCAAATTTAACTTTTCATTTTTGATCTTTCTCACTCTTTATCATACTCTTTCAAGAGCTACTGTGCTATATTAGAAACACATCTGGAGGCAGAGCATGACCTCAACTGAACTCTAGAAAGCCCCAGGATCCCAGACTCTAGTGAACTTTCCAAGTGTGTTGCATGGAACGCAAATATGCTGCCCCCAAGCTTCAGGGGCCGCCACAAGCACTGAGAGGCTAGTCCTGTGTGTCGGTCTCTCCCTGTCCCTGCCTCATGCACTATAATCACCATGGCTCTTCATTTATTTGTTTTTATGTGTGTGGCTTTTGCAGTGGGTTTTATTTTAATGAACAAAATATTTAGCTAATAAAGCAACTTTTAAAATGAGTCACTTAAGGAATCTTTGATCAGAAGTAAGGAAAAAGACTCTTTTTTTCTGGTCTCTATATTCACCACTCCACTCATCTTTCATCTCAAAGAAAGCTTTTTTATTTGTTTGTTTTTGTCCAGATCCTGGTACATGAAAAAACAGAATAGAGAAACCCCAATGGGCAAGTGGGTAGAGAGATCTAACTTAGAGGACAGTCACTACCTGATTTTGTGACTTTGAGCAACAATATTACCATCCTGGGTCCAGTTTCCAATTCTAATAGTTTATTTTTAAAAAGAAATTTATAACTAAGGCCCATTCAGATTCCCCCAATTCGATGTAGCTCTGGCTCACTCACCTCCTCAGTGAACAGGGCTGTCCCGGGTCCAAAATACACACTGCATTTCAAGCTAGGCTGTCAGCTGCCTCCACAGCAGGAATGCAATATGTGCAAAAAAACTCTCTCCAGCAGTAATTGTCTTCCACAGAGGGCTACAATTGCATTTCCCACAAAGCACACTTAGCTCCCAGTCAATGCTAGGTCTGAAGTCATGCTCAAACTCAGAGCAGTTCACTTGAAGGTCACTTCTGGGTAGAGGCTAAGGTGCTGTGGCATCCAGTGGAGGCTGTCTTGAGTCTTTTGTTCCCAGCTAAGAGAATCTGGTATTTCTTATTTTACTCTTTCATCTCCTTCAATCCTGAGGAAAGCTCACGGCTAGTTTGTGTGACTTATCTGTATTTCTTCATGAATTTGTTGGTAATCTTGTGCCAGATGGTCCCTTGTGGTAATCTTGTGCCAGGAGGGATGTTGAGTAAGTACCCAAAGATAGCACCATTCTCCTTGAGCATCTCCTGGAACCAACCATGTTCTTTTTCTTCTCTTGTATCTGCCTTTCCATCAAGACTTTCTACTCAACTTATTTGTAGAAACTACTTATGTTTCTCCATTTAAAAACAAAGCAGGAGCATTTAGTAACCCCCTTTCCTCAGGAAGAAGCCTTAAAAATATAATCAAGTTTGAAAACCTTCCATGAATAATAAATTGACTTTAAAGTCCTCTACATATGAAAACACTAAGATTTAGATCTTTCTGTTGAAGAGAAAGAGGAAAGTACAAGTTAGTGAAAATTTAACCTTCACCCTTCTATACTTTAATTCATTTCTGAGATTGTCCCAATTCTTCAGAAAATAGACATATGTAATATACCACATATTATGCAACATGCCCATAATCAAACACATTACTATCTATAGTGAAACGTCTGAGTACTCCTAAGTGGGATACAGGGCTACAAATAGCCTCATGTCAGTTAACTTCCAATGTTCCTCCAAATTAGTTTTGAGAAAAAAAAAAAGTTTAGTTTTTAGAGCGTTTTGGAGAGTTTAGAATTAGAGATGAGGGTTTATAAACTTGTTCTAAATGCTTATATTAATGTTTTTGATTTCTACGTTTCTTATTACATTTCTTGATCTGTCTGTTCTTGCGATAGCACTATACTGTCTTTTTAAATTTTTTATTTTATTTTATTTTATTTTAAGTTCTTGGGTACATGTGCAAGATGTGCAGGTTTGTTTAATACAAAAGCATGTGCCATGGTGGTTTGCTGCACCTTCAACCCATCATCTAAGTATTAAGCCCAGCATGCATTAGCTGTTTTTCCTGATGCTCTCCCTCACCCTGTCCCCCACATCCCTACCCTACCCCTGTTGACAGCCGCGAGCGTGTGTTGTTCCCCTCCCTGTGTCCATGTGTTCTCACTATTCAACATGCATTGTTTGATTTTCTGTCCTGCATTAGTTTGCTGAGGATAACAATATCGGCTTCCAGCTCCGTCCATGTCCCTGCAAAGGACATCATGTCATTCCTTTTTATGGCTGCATGATATCCCATGGTGTATATGTACCACATTTCCTTCATCCAGAAGAAAATTCTTCATATCATTGATGGGCATTTGGGTTGATTCCATGTCTTTGCTATTGTGAATAGTGCTACAGCAAACATACACATGCATGTATCTTTATAATAGAATGATTTATATTCCTTTGGGTATATACTCAGTAAGGGGATTGCTGGGTCAAATGGTATTTCCGGTTCTAGGTTTTTTAGGAATCGCCACACTGTCTTCCACAATGGTTTAACTAATTTACATTACTGCCAACAGTGTAAAAGCATTTTTATCTCTCCACAGCCTCGCCAGCGTCTGTTGTTTCTTGACTTTGTAATAATTGCCATTCTGACTGGAATGAAATGATATCTCATTGTGGTTTTGATTTGCATTTCTCTAATTATCAGTGATGTTGAGCTTTTTTTCATATGTTTGTTGGCTGCATAAATGTCTTCTTTTGAGAAGTGTCTGTTCATTTGTTTGCCCACTTTTTAATGGGGTTTGTTTTTTCTTGTACATTTGTTTAAGTTCCTTGTAGACTGGATACTAGACCTTTGTCAGATGGATAGATTGCAATTTTTTTCTCCCATTCTGTAGGTTCTCTATTTATTCTGATGATATTTTATTTTGCTGTGCAGAAACTCCTTAGTTTAATTAGATTCCATTTGTTGATTTTTGCTTTTGTTGCAATTGCTTTTGCCATTTTTGTCAAGAAATCTTTGCCCGTGCCCTTGTCCTGTATAGTATTGCCTAGATTTTCTTCTAGGGTTTTTATAGTTTTGGATTTTACATTTAACTCTTTAATCTATCTTGAGTTAATTTTTGTATATGGTGTAAGGAAGGGGTCCAGTTTCAATTTTCTGCATATGGCTAGCCAGTTCTCCCAGCACCATTTAAAGGATTTTCTTTCCCCATTGCTTGTTTTTGTCAGGTTTGTCGAAGATCAGATGGTTGTAGAACTTATTTCTGAGTTCTCCATTCTGTTCCATTGGTCCATGTGTCTGTTTTTGTACCAGTTCCATGCTGTTTTTGTTACTGTAGCCTTGTAATGTAGTTTGAAGTCAGGTAGCATGATGCCTCCAGCTTCGTTCTTTTTGCTTAGGATTGTCTTGGCTATACAGGCTCTTTTTTGGTCCCATGTGAATTCTAAAATAATTTTTCCCAGTTCAGTGAAGAATGTCAATGGTAGTTTAATGGGAATAGCATTGAATCTATAAATTGCTTTGGGCAGTATGGCCATTTTCACAATACTGATTCTTCCTATCCATGAGCATGGAATGCTTTTCCATTTGTTTATGTCCTCTCTGATTTGGTTTGTAGTTCTCATTGAAGAGGTCCTTCACTTCCCTTGTTAGCTGTATTTCTAGGTATTTTATTCTCTTTGTAGCAATTGTGAATGGGAGTTCATTCATGATTTGGCTCTCTGCTTGTCTGTTGTTGGTGTATAGGAATGCTTGTAACTTTTGCACATTGATTTTGTATCCTGAGACTGCAGACGTTGTTTATCAGCTTAAGAAGCTTTTGGGCTAAGATGATAGGGCTTTCTAGATATAGGATCATGTCATCTGCAAACAAGACAATTTGACTTCCTCTCTTCCTATTTGAGTATCCTTTATTTCTTTCTCTTGCCTGATTGCCCTGGCCAGAATTTCTAATACTATGTTTAATAGGAATGGTGAGGGAGGGCAAACTTGTCTTGTGCCAGTTTTCAAAAGGAATGCTTCTAGCGTTTGCCTCTTCAGTATGATATTGGCTGTGGGTTTGTCATATATGACTCTTTTTATTTCGAGGTATGTTCCTTCAATACCTTGTTTATTGAGAGTTTTTAACATGAAGGGATGTTGAATTTTATTGAAGGCCTTTTCTGCAACTATTGAGATAATCATTTAGTTTTGGTCTTTAGTTCTATTTACATCATGAATTATGTTTACTGTTTTGCATATGTTTAACCAACCTTGCAATCCTGGGATGAAGCTGACTTGATCATGGTAGGTAAGCTTTTTGAAGTGCTCCTGAATTCAGTTTGCCATATTTTATTGAGGATTTTTGCATTGATATTCATTAGGGATACTGGCCTGAAGTTTCTTGTTGTTGTTATATATCTGCCAGGTTTTGGTATCAGGATGATGCTCACCTCATGTAATAAGTTTGAGAGGAGTCCCTCCTTTTCAATTGTTTGGAATAGTTTCAGAAACTATTCCAAACCAAGCAACCAGATTCTATGCAAGACATTCACAATGTTATTATTAGCACACCTGAAACAGTTATTTTTCCTTTGAACAGGTTAGGGCGAGTTCTTGGCAATCTGTGTCTTTGCTTTCTGGCATCCAGAAAGTTAGTCAACTCTAATCAGACACATCAACATTTTAGGGGAGCCCCAGTCAGGTGGATGAAGCAATCTTCCTTCAGTACCATCTTCAATCAGTAACTAGTTTACACTCTGAAGAGTATTTCACACTCTTATGTTTTAAAACCCTTGGGAGTTCTATACTTTCAAAACTCTTAAGCAAAACGAGCAGGTTTGGACTCTGTCTCCCCACACAACTCCATTCCAGGGCCTATTTCTCAGTGTTTATTTTCTTACCAAATACAATAAAATAAGCCATCTCACGCTTGAATCTTCTATTACCCAGACCCTAGAGGTTATGTTCATCAAACGGCAATTTTCTTAAGTGACGGAATGAGCCATTTATGTACTTCATCCTCTTGAGTATTTTTTCTCATTGCCTTCAGACCAAATGTAACATGAATCCTCCATACAGGGAGGGGCATGTTTACTGCTTCAACATTTTACACAGAGCTGTCTTCACCTCCTGGTTCTTGAGGCTGCAGATGAGTGGCTTCAGTGAAGATGTGATCACACTGTACTGAATGCAGACCACTTGCTCCAAGATGGAACCTAAGAGAGGGGTCGTGTACCTTAATAAAACCTTACCATAGTACAAAAGCACCACGGTGAGGTGGGAGGAGCAGGTGGAGAAGGCTTTGCCTTGACCCTCAGAAAAACAAATGGCTAGGAGGCAGAGATGGTGTTAGAGTAAGAAAAGAGGACCAGCGGCAAGTCACAAATCCTAGCAATGTACATGACCCAGCAGGAAGGACCTCACTGGCAGCTGGATCAATACAAGAGAGAGGGAAGAGTGAAGGCAGCTCACAGCAGAAGTGAGGGATGACACTGGGGCCACAGAAGTGTAAGTTGTAAATGAAAAGATTCTTTGTCAAGGAGTTTAGGAATCCCACTGCCCATGCTGCAATCACCATCCTGACACAGACAGGCTGATTCATAACCACATCGTTGAGCCGAGGGTGGCAGTTGGAAGTAGAGTGATCACAGGCCATGGCAAGGAGTAGGCAGGCTTCTGTGCTCCCAGAGAATATGAGAAAGAAACTCTGGACAATGCAGTACCACATAGAGATGGTTTACCTTTGAGTTAATAAATTCTGCAGCATCTTGGGCACAGGGATTGAAGGAAGGCAGAGATCTAACAGTGACAGGTGACCCAGAAAGAAGTACATGGTTGTTTTAAGGTGGGAATTGGTCCTGATCACCAGGATCATCATCAGGTTCTCCATCAGTGACAACAGATAAATCACCAGGAGCATACAGGTCATGGTCTGGATCTGAGGATTTCTAGATGATTCCATAAGGACGAACTCAGTAATGATGATGAGATTTTTCATAATTAGAGATACTAGCCCTAAGAAGAAATATAACACAGTTGAGTCATTCCAGATGCACAGGACTGCCTCTTCTGTAAAAAATGTTACTTTCAGCTTAAAGATACAAAAAAAAAATTATGAGGCCAAGGAGTTTCTGGATAACACCCATCATCCCCATCATTACTTCAATCCTGGATGAATTCAGGATTCCAAAGTCCCTCCTCCTAGACTGCTTTCTTAATACCCATTTATTTATTCAACAAATGTTAAACAAGTATGCAAATGCCGGACACTGTACCAGGCTCTGAGGATACGAAATTGAATAAGACATGATTCTTGCCCCCAAGAACTTATAATTTAATTGGGGTGGACAGAAATGTAAAGAAACAAAATAAATGCTATAATAACCTACCACACAGGATACGGTGGTAGCACAAATGTGAATCAGTTATCTCTGTATGACCTGGTAAAACTTTAGACAAGAGGTGATGCTTAGGCTAATTTTGACTGATATTTACTTTCCCTGGGAAGACAGCACCCCTGGAAGAGGAAACGGTGTGATCAAATATAGGAAGGCATGAAATCATAGTATCTCTCTGAGGAACTTCATTAGCCTGGTATAGATGGATGCAAGGTGATGCAAGGCGGCATATGATGCTAAGCACGGGGTCACATGATAAGATTGGTAGTTTAGAAACATTTGCCCTGAACAAATCAAAACCACAATGAGATACCATCTCACACCAGTTAGAATGGCAATCATTAAAAAGTTGGGAAACAACAGGTCCTGGAGAGGATGTGGAGAAATAGGAACACTTTTACACTGTTGGTGGGACTGTAAACTAGTTCAACCATTGTGGAAGACAGTGTGGTGATTCCTCAAGGATCTAGACCTAGAAATACCATTTGACCCAGACATCCTGTTACTGGGTATATACCCAAAGGATTACAAATCATGCTGCTATAAAGACACATGCACACACATGTTTATTGCGGCTCTATTCATAATAGCAAAGACTTGGAACCAACCCAAATGTCCATCAATGATAGACTGGATTAAGAAAATGTGGCACATGTACACTATGGAATACTATGCATCCATGAAAAGGATGAGTTCATGTCCTTTGTAGGGACATGGATGAAGCTGGAAAACATCATTCTCAGCAAACTATTGCAAGGACAAAAAACCAAACACTGCATGTTCTCACTCATAGGTGGGAATTGAACAATGAGAACACTTGGACACAGGAAGGGGAACATCACACACCAGGGCCTGCCGTGGGGTGGGAGGAGGAGCGAGGGATAGCATTAGGAGATATATCTAATGTAAATGACAAGTTAATGGGTGCAGCACACCAACATGGCACATGTATACATATGTAACAAACTTGCACGTTGTGCACATGTACCCTAGAACTTAAAGTGTAATTTAAAAAAAAAAAAAAACATTTGCCCTGGACACGTGGAAGACAAGCTGGAGGCAATGGAGCATATAGCTAGGGCAGTTTCATTCGTTCATTCAGTAGATAATTGTTGAGTACTTACTATGTGCCAGGCACAGGTCTAGACTCCTAGTGTACGCCATTGAACACAACAGACAAAAATGTTTGTCCTTGCAGAGCTTACATTCTAATTGAGAAAGACAGGAAAGAAATAATAGATATAATAAATAAATATCATATGTTAGAAAGTGCTATGGAAAATAACAGATCAGGGAAAGGGAGACTGTTAATGGGGGCAGGGTAGAGGAAGGCAGTGAGTTTCGCAACGTAAAATAGAGTGGTCAGGAAAGGACAAATGAGACAGTATCCCTTGAACCAAGATTTGAAGGAGGTGAGGTCACAATCCATGAGAACATCTCATCTGTGGAAGAAGAATTTGGAGAATATAGCAGCAACCCGGTCAGAGGTAGGCTAACAGAGGCTGTAGCACTGAAGGCAAGCTAGAAGAGACAGGTTTGAGAAATGTCATTGAGTTGGATGCTAAAGGATTTCATCCCCAATTAAATATTTAGAGTAAAGATAAGTGAATAAAAAATGATCCTCAGGTTTCTGGTTTTGGTGATGGAGGGGACCCATTTACTGAAATAGATGGCCCAGGAAAATGAACACGTTTGTGAGGAAGATGATAACCTGTTTTGAAAATGTTGCCTTTGATGAGCCTACGGATAAGGAGGGGATATCCAGGAGGCACTTGGATGTAGGTCCTGACATTCAGAAGAGATATTTGAGCTCAATATATGAGTTAAAGAGTCATTGACAAGCTTACTCAGAGAAAACCCACTCAAGAGAGAAGATGCTTTAGGACAGAGTTCCATGTGACAGAAGCATTTAACAGGAAAGAGAGGAAGAGAGGCTCACAAAGGATCCCTGCACTCACTCAGTATGTCAACCATGAACCCGAGTCATTCTGATCTGAAGGATGCCTTGGAGGTCCTGGAGCCCAATGCCCTCTCTTCCTAGGTTGGGAGACTGAGGCCCAATGGGGGAAGTGCCCCGTGACCCTTCCTGCAAGCTCTATCACTCACCAACCGACCCACCTCCTGTTCCTCTTTTATGTCTATCCTGTTAAGAAACTTCAGCTTTCAGCCCAGGGGATTTTTTCCTCAGGGAAGCCTTTACATCCTGCACACTACAATTTTATTTTTTTATACTTGTTTTTCTTTTATGACATCTATTATAATTGTAAAAACAAAGCAGAACATTTTGAGTATGTAAGAAAGGTCTCCCCATTCTCCCTCAGCCTGTCTCCGTCCCCTGCCGTCAATCTCTGTCTTATTGCCCTGCTTTGGCTCCACAGCACTTACTACCTGGCATTTTATAATATATTTATAATTGTCTCGTACACTGGAATGCAAGCTCAAAAACTTTATCTATTTTTATTAGCTTTTTAAATTTTTTTAATACTTTAAGTTCTAGGGTACGTGTGCACAACATGCAGGTTTGTTACATAGGTATACATGCGCCATGTTGGTTTGCTGCACCCATCAACTCGTCATTTACATCAGGTATTTCTCCTAATGCTATCCCTCCCCAAGCCCCACACCCCCGAAAGGCCCTGGTGTGTGATGTTACCCACCCTGTGTCCATGTGTTCTCATTCTTCAACTACCACCTATGAGTGAGAGCATGTGGTGTTTGGTTTTCTGTGCTTGTGATAGTTTGCTTAGAATGATGTTTTCCAGCTTCATCCATGTCCCTGCAAAGGACATGAACTCATCCTTTTTTATGGCTGCATAGTATTTGATGGTGTATATGTGCCACATTTTCTTAATCCAGTCTATCATTGATGGACATTTGGGTTGGTTCCAAGTCTTAGCTATTGTGAATAGTGCAGCAATAAACATACGTGTGCATGTGTCTTTATAGCAGCATGATTTATAATCTTTTGTGTATATACCCAGTAATGAGATGGCTGGGTCAAATGGTATTTCTAGTTCTAGATCCTTGAGGAATCACCACACTGTCTTCCACAGTGGTTGAACTAATTTACACGCCCACCAACAATGTAAAAGCGTTCCTATTTCTCCACATCCTCTCCAGCATCTGTTGTTTCCTGACTTTTAATGATCGCCATTCTAACTGGTGTGACATGGTATCACATTGTGGTTTTGATTTGCATTTCTCTGGTGACCAGTGATGATGAGCATTTTTTCATATGTCTGTTGGCTGCATAAATGTCATCTACTGAGAAGTGTCTGTTCATATCCTTTGCCCGCTTTTTGATGGGGTTTTTTTCTTGTAAATTTGTTTAAGTTCTTTGTAGATTCTGGATATTAGCCCTTTGTCAGATGGGTAGATTGCAAAAATTTTCTCCCATTCTGTAGGTTGTCTGTTCACTCTGATGATGGTTTCTCTTGCTGTGCAGAAGCTCTTTAGTTTAATTAGATCCCATTTGTCTATTTTGGCTTTTGTTGCCATTACTTTTGGTGTTTTAGTCATGAAGTTTTTGCCCATGCCTATGTCCTGAATGGTATTGCCTAGGTTTTCTTCTAGGGTTTTTATGGTGTTAGGTCTTACCTTTAAGTCTTTAATCGATCTTGAGTTAATTTTTGTATACAGCACAAGGAAGGGATCCAATTTCAGCTTTCTACATATGGCTAGCCAGTTTTCCCAGCATCATTTATTAAATAGGAAATCCTTTTCCCATTGCTTGTTTTTATCAGGTTTGTCAAAGATCAGTTGGTTGTAGATATGTGGCATTATTTCTGAGGCCTCTGTTCTGTTCCATTGGTCTATATCTCTGTTTGGTACCGGTACCAAGCTGTTTCGGTTACTGTAGCCTGGTACTATAGTTTGAAGTCAGGTAGCATGATGCTCCAGCTTTGTTCTTTTTGCTTAGGATTGTCTTGGCTATGCAGGCTCTTTTTTGGTTCCATATGAACTTTAAAGTAGTTTTTTCCAATTCTGTGAAGAAAGTCATTGGTAGCTTGATGGGGATGGCATTGAATCTGTAAATTACCTTAGGCAGTATGGCCATTTTCACGATATTGATTCTTCCTATTCATGAGCATAGAATGTTCTCCCATTTGTTTGTGTCCTCTTTTATTTCATTGAGCAGTGGTTTGCAGTTCTGCTTGAAGAGGTCCTTATATCCCTTGTAAGTTGGATTCCTAGGTATTTTATTCTCTTTGTAGTAATTGTGAATGGGAGTTCACTCATGATTTGGCTCTCTGTTTGTCTATCATTGGTGTATAGGAATGCTTGTGATTTTTGCACATTGATTTTGTATCCTGAGACTTTGCTGAAGTTGCTTATCAGCTTAAGGAGATAAGGAGATTTTGGGCTGAGATGATCAGGTTTTCTAAATATACAATCATGTCGTCTGCAACAGAGACAATTTGACTTCCTCTTTTCCTAATTGAATACCCTTTATTTATTTCTCTTGCCTGATTGCCCTAGCCAGAACATCCAACACTATGTTGAATAGGAGTGGGGAGAGAGGGTATCCTTCTCTTGTGCCGGTTTTCAAAGGGAATGCTTCCAGTTTTTGCCCATTCACTATGATATTGGCTGTGGGTTTCTCATAAATACCTCTCATTATTTTGAGATAAGTTCCATCAATACCTAGTTTATTGAGAGTTTTTAGCATGAATGGCTGTTGAATTTTGTCAAAGGCCTTTTCTGCATCTTTTTAGATAACCATGTGGTTTTTGTTATTGGTTCTGTTTATGTGATGGATTACGTTTATTGATTTGCGTATGTTGAACCAGTCTTGCATCTCAGGGATGAAGCCAACTTGATCGTGGTGATTAAGCTTTTTGATGTGCTGCTGGATTTGGTTTGCTAGTATTTTATTGAGGATTTTTGCATCGATGTTCATCAGGGATATTGACCTAAAATTCTCTTTTTTTATTGTGTCTCTGCCAGGCTTTGGTATCAGGATGATGCTGGCCTCATAAAATGAGTTAGGGAGGATTCCCTCTTTTTCTATTGATTGGAATAGTTTCAGAAGGAATGGTACCAGCTCTTCTTTGTACCTCTGGTAGAGCTTAGCTGTGAATTCGTCTGGTCCTCGACTTTTTTTGGTTGTAGGCTCTTAATTATTGCCTCAATTTCAGAACCTGTTATTGGTCTATTCAGAGATTCAACTTCTTCCTGGTTTAGTCTTGGGAGGGTGCATGTGTCCAGGAATTTATCCATTTCTTCTAGATTTTCTAGATTATTTGCACAGAGGTGCTTATAGTATTATCTGGTGGTAGTTTGTATTTCTGTGGAATCAGTGGTGATATCCCCTTCATCATTTTTTATTGTGTCTATTTGATTCTTCTCTCTTTTCTTCTTTATTAGTCTTGCTAGCAATCTATCTATTTTGTTGATCTTTTCAAAAAAAAACAGCTCTCCTGGATTCATTGATTTTTTTGAAGGGTTTTTTGTGTCTCTATCTCCTTCAGTTCTGCCCTGATCTTAGTTATTTCTTGCCTTCTGCTAGCTTTTGAATTTGTTTGCTCTTGCTTTTCTAGTTCTTTTAATTGTGATGTTAGGGTGTCGATTTTAGATCTTTCCTGCTTTCTCTTGTGGGCATTTAGTGTTATAAATTTCCCTCTACACACTGCTTTAAATTTGTCCCAGAGATTCTGGTACGTTGTGTCTTTGTTCTCATTGGTTTCAAAGAACATCTTTATGTCTGCCTTCATTTCATTATTTACCCAGTAGTCATTCAGGAGCAGGTTGTTCAGTTTCCATGTAGTTGTGTGGTTTTGAGTGAGTTTCTTAATCCTGAGATCTAATTTGATTGCACTGTGGTCTGAGAGACACTTTGTTATGATTATGATTTCTGTTC
This sequence comes from Homo sapiens, assembly GCF_000001405.40. Classification (NCBI taxonomy): domain Eukaryota; kingdom Metazoa; phylum Chordata; class Mammalia; order Primates; family Hominidae; genus Homo; species Homo sapiens. The sequence continues at coordinate 48,401,647 of NC_000012.12, forward strand.
TTTTACTTTTGCTGAGGAGTGTTTTACTTCCAGTTATGTGGTCAGTTTTAGAAAAAGTACGACATGGTGCTGAGAAGAAAGTATATTCTGTTGATTTGGGGTGTAGAGTTCAGTAGATGTCTATTAGGTCCACTTGGTCCAGAGCTGAGTTCAAGCCCTGGATATCCTTGTTAAACTTCTGTCTCATTGATCTGTCTAATATTTACAGTGGGGTGTTAAAGTCTCCCATTATTATTGTGTGGGAGTCTAAGTCTCTTTGTAGGTCTCTAAGGACTTGCTTTATGAATCTGGGTGCTCCTGTATTGGGTGCATTTATATTTAGAATAGTTAGCTCTTCTTGTTGAATTGATCCTTTTACCATTACATAGTGGTCTTCTTTGTCTTTTTCGATCTTTGTTGGCTTAAAGTCTGTTTCATCGGAGACTAGGATTGCAAGCCCTGCTTTTTTTTTTTCTTTCCATTTCCTTGCTAGATCTTCCTCCATCCCTTTATTTTGAGCCTATGTGCGTCTTTGCACGTGAGATACAGCACATCGATGGGTCTTGACTCTTTAATTTGCCAGTCTGTGTCTTTTAATTGGGGCATTCAGCCCATTTACATTTAAGGTTAATATGGTTATGTTTGACATTGATCCTGTCATTATGATGTTAGCTGGTTATTTTGCCTGTTAATTGATGCAGTTTCTTCCTAGCATCGACAGTCTTTACAATTTGGCATGTTTTTGCAGTGGCTGCTACCGGTTGTTCCTTTCCATTTTTAGTGCTTCCTTCAGGAGCTCTTGTAAGGCAGGCCTGGTGGTAACAAAATCTCTCAGCATTTGCTTGTCTGTAAAGTATTTTATTTCTCCTTCACTTATGAAGCTTAGTTTGGCTGGATATGAGATTCTGGGTTGAAAATTCTTTGCTTTAAGAATGTTGAATATTGGCCCCCACGCTATTCTGCCTTGTCGGGTTTCTGCTGAGAGATCTGCCATTAGCCTGATGGGCTTCCCTTTGTGGGTAACCGACCTTTCTCTCTGGCTGCCCTTAACATTTTTTCCTTCATTATAACCTTGGTGAATCTGATAATTATATGTCTTGGGGTTGTTCTTCTTGAGGAGTATCTTTGTGGTGTTCTCCATATTCTGAATTTGAATGTTGGCCTGCCTTGCTAGGTTAGGGAAGTTCTCCTGGGTAATATCCGGAAGAGTGTTTCTAACTTGGTTCCATTCTCCCCATCACTTTCTGGTACACCAATGAAACATAGATTTGGTCTTTTCACATAATCTCATATTTCTTGGAGGCTTTGTTTGTTTCTTTTGACTCTTTTTTCTCTAATTTTGTCATTTTGCTTTATTTCATTAATTTGATCTTCAATCACTGATATCCTTTCTTCCACTTGATCGCATTGGCTACTAAAGCTTGTGCATGCATCACTAAGTTCCCATGCTGTGGTTTTCAGCTCTATCAGGTCACTTAAAGTCTTCTCTACACTGTTTATTCCAGTTAGCCATTCATCTAACCTTTTTTCAAGGTTTTTTATTTTATTTTATTTTATTAACATTATACTTTAAGTTTTAGGGCACATGTGCACAATGTGCAGGTTACATATGTATACATGTGCCATGCTGGTGTGCTGCACCCATTAACTCATCATTTAGCATTAGGTATATCTCCTAAAGCTATCCCTCCCCGCTCCCCCCACCCCAAAACAGTCCCCAGAGTGTGATGTTCCCCTTCCTGTGTCCATGTGTTCTCACTGTTCAATTCCCACCTATGAGTGAGAATATGCAGTGTTTGGTTTTTTGTTCTTGCAATAGTTTACTGAGAATGATGATTTCCAATTTCATCCATGTCCCTACAAAGGACATGAACTCATCATTTTTTATGGCTGCATAGTATTCCATGGTGTATATGTGCCACATTTTCTTAACCCAGTCTATCATTTTTGGACATTTGGGTTGGTTCCAAGTCTTTGCTATTGTGAATAGTGCCACAATAAACATACGTGTGCATGTGTCTTTATAGCAGCATGATTTATATTCCTTTGGGTATATGCCCAGTAATGGGATGGCTGGGTCAAATGGTATTTCTAGTTCTAGATCCCTGAGGAATCGCCACACTGACTTCCACAATGGTTGAACTAGTTTACAGTCCCACCAACAGTGTAAAAGTGTTCCTATTTCTCCACATCCTCTCCAGCACCTGTTGTTTCCTGACTTTTTAATGATTGCCATTCTAACTGGTGTGAGATGATATCTCATTGTGGTTTTGATTTGCATTTCTCTGATGGCCAGTGATGGCGAGCATTTTTTCATGTGTTTTTTGGCTTCATAAATGTCTTCTTTTGAGAAGTGTCTGTTCATGTCCTTCACCCACTTTTTGATGGGGTTGTTTGTTTTTTCTTGTAAATTTGTTTGAGTTCATTGTAGATTCTGGATATTAGCCCTTTGTCAGATGAGTAGGTTGTGAAAATTTTCTCCCATTTTGTGGGTTGCCTGTTCACTCTGATGGTAGTTTCTTTTGCTGTGCAGAAGCTCTTTAGTTTAATTAGATCCCATTTGTCTATTTTGGCTTTTGTTGCCATTGCTTTTGGTGTTTTAGACATGAAGTCCTTGCCCATGCCTATGTCCTGAATGGTAATGCCTAGGTTTTCTTCTACGGTTTTTATGGTTTTAGGTCTAACGTTTAAGTCTTTAATCCATCTTGAGTTAATTTTTGTATAAGGTGTAAGGAAGGGATCCAGTTTCAGCTTTCTACATATGGCTAGTCAGTTTTCCCAGCACCATTTATTAAATAGGGAATCCTTTCCCCATTGCTTGTTTTTCTCAGGTTTGTCAAAGATCAGTTGGTTGTAGATATGCAGCATTATTTCTGAGGGCTCTTTTCTGTTCCATTGATCTATATCTCTGTTTTGGTACCAGTACCATGCTGTTTTGGTGACTGTAGCCTTGTAGTATAGTTTGAAGTCAGGTAGCGTGATGCCTCTAGCTTTGTTCTTTTGGCTTAGGATTGACTTGGTGATGCGGGCTCTTTTTTGGTTCCATATGAACTTTAAAGTAGTTTTTTCCAATTCTGTGAAGAAAGTCATTGGTAGCTTGATGGGGATGGCATTGAATCTATAAATTACCTTGGGCAGTATGGCCATTTTCACGATATTGATTCTTCCTACCCATGAGCATGGAATGTTCTTCCATTGTTTGTATCCTCTTTTATTTCATTGAGCAGTGGTTTGTAGTTCTCCTTGAAGAGGTCCTTATATCCCTTGTAAGTTGGATTCCTAGGTATTTTATTCTCTTTGAAGCAATTGTGAATGGGAATTCACTCATGATTTGGCTCTCTGTTTGTCTGTTATTGGTGTATAAGAATGCTTGTGATTTTTGTACATTTATTTTGTATCCTGAGACTTTGCTGAAGTTGCTGATCAGCTTAAGGAGATTTTGGGCTGAGACAATGGGGTTTTCTAGATATACAATCGTGTCATCTGCAAACAGAGACAATTTGACTTCCTCTTTTCCTAATTGAATGACGTTCATTTCCTTCTCCTGCCTAATTGCCCTGGCCAGAACTTCCAGCGCTATGTTGAATAGGAGTGGTGGGAGAGGGCATCCCTGTCTTGTGCCAGTTTTCAAAGGGAATGCTTCCAGTCTTTGCCCATTCAGTATGATATTGGCTGTGGGTTTGTCATAGATAGCTCTTATTATTTTGAGATATGTCCCATCAATACCTAATTTATTGAGAGTTTTTAGCATGAAGGGTTGTTGAATTTTGTCAAAGGCTTTTTCTGCATCTATTGAGATAATCATGTGGTTTTTGTCTTTGGTTCTGTTTATATGCTGGATTACATTTATTGATTTGCATATATTGAACCAGCCTTGCATCCCAGGGATGAAGCCCACTTGATCATGGTGGATAAGCTTTTTGATGTGCTGCTGGATTCTGTTTGCCAGTATTTTATTGAGGATTTTTGCATTAATGTTCATCAAGGATATTGGTCTAAAATTGTCTTTTTTGGTTGTGTCTCTGCCCGGCTTTGGTATCAGGATGATGCTGGCCTCATAAAATGAGTTAGGGAGGATTCCCTCTTCTTCTATTGATTGGAATAGTTTCAGAAGGAATGGTACCAGTTCCTCCTTGTACCTCTGCTAGAATTTGGCTGTGAATCCATCTGGTCCTGGACTGTTTTTGGTTGGTAAGCTATTGATTATTGCCACAATTTCAGCTCCTGTTATTGGTCTATTCAGAGATTCAACTTCTTCCTGGTTTAGTCTTGGGAGGGTGGATGTGTCAAGGAATTCATCCATTTCTTCTAGAATTCTAGTTTATTTGCGTAGAGGTGTTTGTAGTATTCTCTGATGGTAGTTTGTGTTTCTGTGGGATCGGTGGTGATATCCCCTTTATCATTTTTTATTGCATCTATTTGATTCTTCTCTCTTTTCTTCTTTATTAGTCTTGCTAGTGGTCTATCAATTTTGTTGATCCTTTCAAAAAACCAGCTCCTGGATTCGTTGATTTTTTGAAGGGTTTTTTGTGTCTCTATTTCATTCAGTTCTCCTCTGATCTTAGTTATTTCTTGCCTTCTGCTAGCTTTTGAATGTGTTTGCTCTTGCTTTTCTAGTTCTTTTAATTGTGATGTTAGGGTGTCAATTTTAGATCTTTCCTGCTTTCTCTTGTGGGCATTTAGTGCTATAAATTTCTCTCTACACACTGCTTTGAATGTGTCCCAGAGATTCTGCTATGTTGTGTCTTTGTTCTCGTTGGTTTCAAAGAACATCTTTATGTCTGCCTTCATTGCGTTATGTACCCAGTAGTCATGCAGGAGCAGGTTGTTCAGTTTCCATGTAGTGGAGCGGTTTTGAGTGAGTTTCTTAATCCTGAGTTCTAGTTTGATTGCACTGTGGTCTGAGAGATAGTTTGTTATAATGTCTGAGCTTTTACACTTGCTGAGGAGTGCTTTAATTCCAACAATGTGGTCAATTTTGGAATAGGTGTGGTGTGGTGCTGAAAAAAATGTATATTGTGTTGATTTGGGGTGGAGAGTTCTGTAGATGTCTATTAGGTCCGCTTGGTGCAGAGCTGAGTTCAATTCCTGGGTATCCTTGTTGACTTTCTGTGTCGTTGATCTGTCTAATGTTGACAGTGGGGTGTTAAAGTGTCCCATTATTAATGTGTGGGAGTCTAAGTCTCTTTGTAGGTCACTCAGGACTTGCTTTATGAATCTGGGTGCTCCTGTATTGGGTGCATATATATTTAGTATAGTTAGCTCTTCTCGTTGAATTGATCCCTTTACCATTATGTAATGGCCTTCTTTGTCTCTTTTGATTTTTGTTGGTTTAAAGTCTGTTTTATCAGAGACTAGGATTGCAACCCCTGCCTTTTTTTGTTTTCCATTTGCTTGGTAGATCTTCCTCCATCCTTTTATTTTGAGCCTATGTGTGTCTCTGCACGTGAGATGGGTTTCCTGAATACAGCACACTGATGGGTCTTGACTCTTTAACCAATTTGCCAGTCTGTGTCTTTTAATTGGAGCATTTACTCCATTTACATTTAAAGTTAATATTGTTATGTGTGAATTTGATCCTGTCATTATGATGTTAGCTGGTTATTTTGCTCGTTAGTTGATGCAGTTTCTTCCTAGCCTCGATGGTCTTTACAGTTTGGCATGATTTTGCATTGGCTGGTATGGGTTGTTCCTTTCCATGTTTAGTGCTTCCTTCAGGAGCTCTTTTAGGGCAGGCCTGGTGGTGACACAATCTCTGAGCATTTGCTTGTCTGTAAAGGATTTTATTTCTCCTTCACTTATGAAGCTTAGTTCGGCTGGATATGAAGTTCTGGGTTGAAAATTTTTTTCTTTAAGAATGTTGAATATTGGCCCCCACTCTCTTCTGGCTTGTAGAGTTTCTGCCGAGAGATCAGATGTTAGTCTGATGGGCTTCCCTTTGAGGGTAACCCGACCTTTCTCTCTGGCTGCCCTTAACATTTTTTCCTTCATTTCAACTTTGGTGAATCTGACAATTATGTGTCTTGGAGTTGCGCTTCTCGAGGAGTATCTTTGTGGCGTTCTCTGTATTTCCTGAATCTGAATGTTGGCCTGCTTGCTAGATTGGGGAAATTCTCCTGGATAATATCCTGCAGAGTGTTTTCCAACTTGGTTCCATTCTCCCCGTCACTTTCAGGTACACCAATCAGACGTAGATTTGGTCTTTTCACACAGTCCCATATTTCTTGGAGGCTTTGTTCGTTTCTTTTTATTCTTTTTTCTCTAAACTTCCCTTCTCACTTCATTTCATTCATTTCATCTTCCATCACTGATACCCTTTCTTCCAGTTGATCGCATCAGCTCCTGAGGCTTCTGCATTCTTCCTGTAGTTCTCGAGCCTTGGCTTTCAGCTCCATCATCTCCTTTAAGCACTTCTCTGTATTGGTTATTCTAGTTACACATTCATCTAAATTTTTTTCAAAGTTTTTAACTTCTTTGCCTTTGGTTTGAATTTCCTCCTGTAGCTCAGAGTAGTTTCATCATCTGAAGCCTTCTTCTCTCAGTTTGTCAAAGTCATTCTCTGTCCAGTTTTGTTCCATTGCTGGTGAGGAGCTGTGTTCCTTTGGAGGAGGAGAGGTGCTCTGCTTTTTAGAGTTTCCAGTTTTTCCACTCTGTTTTTTCCCCATCTTTGTGGTTTTATCTACTTTTGGTCTTTGATGATAGTGATGTATGGATGGGTTTTTGGTGTGGATGTCCTTTCTGTTTGTTAGTTTTCCTTCTAACAGACAGGACCCTCAGCTGCAGGTCTGTTGGAGTTTGCTAGAGGTCCACTCCAGACCCTGTTTGCCTGGGTACCAGCAGTGCTGGCTGCAGAACAGTGGATTTTCGTGAACCGTGAATGCTGCTGTCTGATCGTTCCTCTGGAAGTTTTGTCTCAGAGGAGTACCCGGCCGTGTGAGGTGTCAGTCTGCCCCTACTGGGGGGTGCCTCCCTGTTAGGCTGCTCGGGGGTCAGGGATCAGGGACCCACTTGAGGAGGCAGTCTGCCCGTTCTCAGATCTCCAGCTGCGTGCTGGGAGAACCACTGCTCTCTTCAAAGCTGTCAGACAGGGACATTTAAGTCTGCAGAGGTTACTGCTGTCTTTTTGTTTGTCTGTGCCCTGCCCCCAGAGGTGGAGCCATAGAGGCAGGCAGGCCTCCTTGAGCTGTGGTGGGCTCCACCAGTTCGAGCTTCCTGGCTGCTTTGTTTACCTAAGCAAGCCTGGGCAATGGCAGGCACCCCTCCCCCAGTGTTGCTGCTGCCTTGCAGTTTGATCTCAGACTGCTGTGCTAGCAGTCAGCGAGACTCCATGGGTATAGGACCCTCCAAGCCCAGTGCGGGATATAATCTCCTGGTGTGCCGTTTTTTAAGCCCATCGGAAAAGCGCAGTATTAGGGTGGGAGTGACCCGATTTTCCAGGTGCTGTCTGTCACCCCTTTCTTTGACTAGGAAAGGGAACTCCCTGACCCCTTGTGCTTCCCAAGTGAGGCAATGCCTTGCCCTGCTTCAGCTCATGCATGATGCGCTGCACCCACTGTCCTGCACCCACTGTCTGGCACTCCCCAGTGAGATGAACCCAGTACCTCAGATGGAAATGCAGAAATCACCCGTCTTCTGCGTCGCTCACGCTGGGAGTGTAGACCAGAGCTGTTCCTATTTGGCCATCTTGGCTCCCTGTCCTTTTCAAGGTTTTTAGCTTCCTTGCGATAGGTTAGAACATGCTCGCTCCTTTAGCTCAGAGAAGTTTTTTATTACCGGCCTTCTGAAGCCTACTTCTGTCAATTCGTCAAAGTCATTCTCTGTCTTGCTTTGTTCCATTGCTGGTGAGAAGCTGTCATCCTTTGGAGGAGAAGAGGCATTCTGGTTTTTGGAATTTCCTGCTTTTCTGCTCTGGTTTCTCCCCATCTTTGTGGTTTTATCTCCCTTTGGTCTTACATGTTGCTGACCTACAGATGCGGTTTTGGCGTGGATGATCTTTTTGTTGACGTTGATGCTATTCCTGTTTGTTGGTTTTCCTTCTAACAGTCAGGCCCCTCAGCTGCAGGTCTGTTGGAGTTTGCTGGAAGTCCACTCCAGACTCTACTTGCCTGGGTATCACCAACGGAGGCTGCAGAACACCAAATATTGCTGCCTGATCCTTCCTTCCTCTAGAAGCTTCATCACAGAGGGGCACCCACCTGTTTGAGGTGTCTGTCGGCCCCTACTGGGAGGTGTCTCCCAGTCAGGCTACACAGGGGTCAAGGACCCGCTTGAGGAGGCAGTCTGTCCATTTTCGGATCTTGAACGCCATGCTGAGAAAACCACTGCTCTCTTCAGAGCTGTCAGATAGGGACGTTTAAGTCTGCAGAAGCTGTCTGCTGCCTTTTGTTCAGATATGCCCTGCCCCCAGAGGTGGAATCTAGATAGGCAGTAGGCCTTGCTGAGCTGTGGTGGGCTCCACCCAGTTAGCACTTCCTGGCCTCTTTGTTTACACTGTGAGCTACTCAAGCCTCAGCAATGGTGGATGCTCCTCCCCCCATCAAGCTGCAGTGTCGCAGGTTGATCTCAATCTGTTGCGCTAAGAGTGAGCAAGGCTCTGTGGCATGGGACCCACCCAGCCAAGCACAGGAGGGAATCTCCTGGTCTGCCAGTTGCAAAGACTATGGGGAAAGCACAGTATTTGGTCAGGAGTGTACTGTTTCTTCAGGTACAGTCTGTCACGGCTTCCCTTGGCTAGGAAAGGGAAATCCCTCAACACCTTGTGCTTCCAAGGTGAGGCGATGTCCTGCCCTGCTTCAGCTCACCCTCCATGGGCTGCACCCACTGTCCAACCAGTCCCAATGAGATGAACCAGGTATCTCAGTTGGAAATGCAGAAATCACCCATCTTCTGCATTGATCTCACTGGGAGCTGCAGACCAGAGCTGTTCCTATTTGGCCATCTTCTTTTTTTATTTTTAAAAAATTTTTGTGGGTATCTAGGTGTATATATTTATGGGGCACATGAGATGTTTTGATAGAGGCATGCAGTATGAAATAAACACATCATGGAAAGTGAAGTGTCCAGACTTCATCTGTTTTGATCATTGCTATATCCCTAGCATTTATTAGAAGAGTGCCTAGAATGTAGAAAGGGCTCAGTAAATATTTGTTGAATGGCTAAATGACCAAATGAATTTGTTTCATGTCCCTCCATGTTTTGAGTAAGTTCCATGAGGGCAGGGACTCTGTCAGTATTTTTTATCATTTTATCTTCAGAAGTAAGCATGGCACCTGGCATTTAGTAGGTACTTAGTAAAGGTTTATAGAGTAAATGAATAAAAACATCGCAAAGCTACATTTTGCACAAGTCTATTCTATTTTAATGCATTTTAGGAGATCATAAAAATTTGTATATATTTTTGAGATGGAGTCTTGCTCTGTTGCCCAGGCTGGAGTGCACTGGCATGATCTCGGCTCACTCAATCTCTGCCTCCTCAGTTCAAGCAATTCTCCTGCCTCAGCCTCCTGAGTAGCTGGGATTACAGGTGCCCACCACCATGCCCCACTAATTATTGTATTTTTATTAGAGACAGGGTTTCACCATGTTGGCCAGGCTGGTCTGGAGCTCCTGACCTCAGGTGATCCGCCCACCTTGTCCTCCCAAAGTGCTGGGATTACAGGTGTGAGCCACCACTCCAGGCTTACAAACATATTTTGATTATTGAATAAATAAAAGAACAAATATATAAATGAATGCATGATTCATAGGCAACCCCATTTGTGAGACTGCAAGCTGTCCTGGGAGTAAGATGTCATATATGCTGTAATACCTATGGCCCTGTTCCAAGGAAGGGGCCAGTTTGAAGCTGCTGTGGCTCTCTTGGATGGATGGTGATGGGGCTGTATAGAGTCAGAGGACCTTGACATGAGTCTCAGCTCTGCTACTGGTCAGGCATCTGACTTTGGGCAAAGAGGCAAATTTAAATCTTCATTTTCTCATCTGAGATATCTTTCGAGGTTTACATGACATTCTATATAAAAATGAATTATTTTAAACTATAAAGTCTGGTCTGTGGTCCTAGTTCCAACACTAATTGGATTAGCTTGGAAACTTTGGACTACTTAGTTCACCACAGAGAGGGTCTGTTACATTATTGAAAAAAAAATAGGGATAATAACATGTCTTTAGTAGAGTATAATTGATTGCAAAACAAATGCAACTTATTAGTGTATGAACTCCCTATTTCTGATAGGAACTAGCTTAACTAGTTCTTAGTTGATTCTTCTTGGCTTAATCTAAGCACACTGCTAGGCACAAGGTAGTCTTCCCATTTCTGCCTAACAAATGTTATTACTCTTTTATTTGTCTCCTCAGTATTTTTAACTTTTCCTCTTTCAATATTATTCTACCATATTTGCCTTATGAGATTTCTCATCTAGCACTGAATGACTTCAGAAGTCTTATTCGTGGCCCCTTTGTCTGCAGGTTCTCTCCTTCTGCAATGATTTCTAACTTCTGCAATTTCTGGGACAAAACTAAAATGGTAACATAAATAGTCTGAAATTCTATGCATATACTATCAATATAATGAAAAATTTCCACTCTACTTATAATCAAAGACTTGTAAATTGAAACCAGATGGTGACACCAGGTCTACATCTATTTATATGAAAACTATTTTAAATCATAATACCCAGTGCTAGCAAGATTTGGTGAGACCGATATGTCCTTCCATGTTGTTGGAAGCATTATATGTTGATACAATACTTTTGGCAAGATGAAATCTCAAATTTCTTTTGAAAATATATCCTAAGCAAATGATTGAAAAGAAGAGAAAAGTAATCTGTGTGTGAAAAATTTATATTTCAGTATTTTTTTCAAGACAGTTACACTAGGATCAACCCAAAGGTCTAATAACTGAGGAATGGCTACTACATTTTAGTAGAAACACATAATGGAATATTTTCTAATTATTAAAATAATAATTACAGAGGAGAGACAGAAACGGAAAATATTCTTGATATGCTATCTAGTAAAAAGATCAGAAAACACAGTTAGTTTAAATTCATTTGATTATATAAAAATGTGCACACTGCAGGGGCTTATATGGAACTTAAAATAAACAGCTGAGTTGTTAGGGTGGTAACAGAGTGGACAATTCTTTTGGTTTTACTCTTTTTTTTTTTTTTTTTGAGACAGAGTTTTGCTCTTGTCGCCCAGGCTGGAGTGCAATGGCGCAATCTTGGCTCTGCAACCTCCACCTCCTGGGTTCAAGCAATTCTCCTGTCTCAGCCTCCCGAGTAGCTGGGATTACAGGTGCATGCCACCATGCCTGGTTAATTTTGGTATTTTTAATAGAAACGAGGTCTCACCGTGTTGGCCAGGCTAGTCTTGAACTCCTGACCTCAGGTGATCTGCCTGCCTTGGCCTCCCAAAGTGCTGGGATTGCAGGCATGAGCCACCATGCCCAGCCTGATTTTACTTTTTTAAAAAATACGTTTTTTATACTTTTAATGAAAAATATCTTTTTGGGTGGAGTAATATAAATTCACATTCTACTTTTTTGCTTCAAATTCAGCATTTAACTAAGCCTAATTCCAATAAGGAATATGCACCTCTTTCTTTTACCATTCTATATTTGCCCTACATGCCCTCTAATAAAATTGAATTTGGCTGAGAAGCCATTTCTTTAAGAAGGAGACTTGGTTGCTCAGTTGAAGAATAAAAATGGCTCAACAGTTTGATTTTTCTATTAGTTTTTCTGCCTTTTGCCTGCCCTCTGTCTAGCACTCTTCAACCCCAAATCTGTGTTCTAGGAAACTTGTCTGAAGAAGAGGGCGGTCCTGAGGCCACTGAGGAGGTTGGAGGCTGGGGCTTCTCTGCATTGAAATGTCCCTGGTAGAGAAGGCAAAAGAAAAGCTTTTGAAGAGTGTCTTGAAGTGAAGCATGCTGCGCTCCCGTGGAGTGGGAAGAAACTGGTATCAAAGATGTTCTTTTCCTCCTTCTTCCCACACCCTAGTTGCAGACTTTGTGGTCTCCCTGAGTAAATCTTTGTAGACACATGTTGTTTTGACTTTTAAGGAATGAAAACTTTTTTACACTTTTTATGACAAGAATATGAATGGGGATTATAGAGTTTGCTTTATCCTGAAAAATTATATGGAACTGCACAATTAGTCTCTGCTTTCTACCTACTTTGTATTGCTTGAGGATGAGACCTTGAACTAAATGACATCTCAAATTAATTTCAGCCAAAGATCTTGGCATTTAGCTAGGAAATCCCCCACCAGAGAAAATGAGAATACTCCAAACTCACTGTTACCCATAATTCAGGATTGCTCCTCCTTGGCTTCCATCCAGCTCCCCATCTAGCAACTATGGCACTTCACCCCCACTAATTTATTCCAAAGGAATCTTAGCCTTTTGTCCAAAATCTGATAAATGAAGGAAAAGGACAAACAATTACAGATTGATAAAGCGACAAACTGTTCAACTTCCTAAAATATCTTATTCCAGCTCTGTTCATGACCTACTTTTGTGAATTTGGCAGGCGCTTTCTGCTTCCTTTTTCTGAGCCAGTTCTCTGTGCTGTGCAATGAAAAGTCTGGAACAGTTGCTTATTAAGATTCCTCACATGTGGCAGTATGGGAAGGACTGACAAGGACTGTTGACTCCAGTTCTTCCTGGAGATAAGCTCCTGACTACTGCCTCACTTGGAGAAACAAATGATGTGGGGTGCTCAAAGAACTCACGCAGTTCTCCGGAAAATCTGGTTTTCTTTTCCAACCAGTTGACAACTGTATGGTAGTGCATTTAAACAATATTCAACATGTGTTTAGTTTTGGATAAAGGCTAGTGTGTTGGTATGCATGGGCTCTGGTTTCAGTCAGTACCTGCTAAGAGGCTTGGGCTATCCTCTTTTTCTTCCTCCTCATTACTCCTTTACCATTACTGGTTCAGAGGATGGCTCCTAGCCAGTTTGTGTGACTTTCTTCATTTTTTCTAGTCTTTTTCTACTTGGTATCCATGTGCCAGGCTGGCCCTTGGAGAAGGAAAGAGAGTAATCTGGGCCCTAAGTTGCTGGGGATTAATCTATACTCATGGGGAAGGTAGTATTATCCAGTGACCTGGGCCCCTGGGATGGGCATCCACTCCTGCCACTTTTGTGGTCTAGGGAAAGACCATGGAGTGAGGCACTGAAGGCTTGCTAACCCTTCTGCTAGCCAGGGACCAGCGTGGGGCCTCCTCAGGTTTGGCAGGACCTGATCTTCACTATACACCTGCATGCACACATACTCACACCCACGTTCTCTCACACAAATGCAAACAGCTAAGCCTTCCTTCTAGAATCATAGGAGTCTAAGGAGCATAAAAGATCACATGGATCACTTTATTTCTATCTCCAACTAATACATGAGCCCCATTCAGCATCTCCAGTAAGTGTCTATCCAGCCTCCGTTTGAATGTCATCAAGAACTCATTCCCATCAGTGGCTGTAGAAGAGATTCAAAGTTTGTTTGCCTCCATCCTAGCTAAAATCCTGATATTATATTGCCTATGTGACCATATCCATGAACACTCAAACTTCAGTATTTTTTCACGTACTAAAAACAAACAAAACCCAAAACAAAACCAAAAACAAATAGCTCCCTTGACTTCACATCCTCTAAACATACTGCTTTATTTTCTCAATCTCCTTCACAGGAACACTTCTCAATAAAGTTAACTGCGGTTGATCGCTCTACTTTTTCACCTACCATTCTCTTTTCAACTTATCCTAGCTAGCTGAAACTTCTCTCATCAATATTGCCAACTACTTTTAAATCCAATGTTACAAAATCCAGTGGTAGCTTTTCTGTTCTTTTCTTATTTGAATTTTCAATGGCACTCAACACAGCTAACCTCTCTATTCTTGAAGCACTCTCTTCTCTTGGCTTTTGTGATACAAAAATTTTATGATTTTCCTCCTTGTTCAATGGCTGCTGTGCCTCAGTTTCTCTTGGTGGATCATCCTCAGCTTGAACTAGAAATGCTGGCATGCTGCAGGTCTTCTTTCCAGGATTTGTTTTCCTTAGATGTTCTGGAAAACGTTTTCCTTAGATGTTCTATGCCAGTCTTACAGCTCTGAATACTCCATACACCCCATATATTAGCCCTGACCATTTGACCATTTTCTAGAGCTTCAAAATAATATATACAACTGGATACTTGACATTCCACTCTGATATCTAATACAGATTTGGGCATTTTAGTCAAAATGCAACCAACCAGCCAAACTAACAGAAAACAAATCCTCAAGTTTCGCCTTCCTAATGTGCATGTCCCCGATTATCCTGACTTCAGTAAATGATGTACCATCATCTACTCAGTTGCCCAAGAGAAAATCTAGACTTACCTTGAGCCCTCTCTCTCTTTTCTGGTCTATATCTAATGTAGCAGCAAGCCCTATAACTGTACTTCCAAAACATATTCCAAATTTCTCTTCTCTTTTTATCTGATCAATTTTAGTAAAAAAATACCGTCAGATGTCACATGGAGTCTTGCAATAGCTCCTAATCATCATTCCTGATTCTACTCTTGTCCTTCTATAATTAGTGCTCCATAGAGAAGCCAGAGTAATCTTTCAAAACTCTCCTATATCACTGAGAATCAAACACAAATTCCTGACATCATGGTCTAAAAGTTACTATGGGATCTGACTGCGGACAGCCTTTTTTACCCATCGCTTGCTGAGCTTCAGTCATACAGCCTTCTTTCTGTCCCCAATTAACTCAAGTTTCTTCTGTGCCAAAGCCTCTGCATTAGCTCTTTCTTCTGACTGGAATGTCCTTCCTTCTGAGGATGGTGGGCTTCTTTGGTCAGTCAATATTGGCTCAAACAACACCTACCCCTCCAAAAGTCATGTTGAAATTTAATTGCCATTGTATCACCATTAAGAGGTGGAGCCTTTAAGAGGCAATTAGTCCTTAAGATGTGGCTGGGCACAGTGGCTCATGCCTGTAATCCTAGCACTTTGGGAGGCCGAGACAGGTGGGTCACCTGAGGTCAAGAGTTTGAGACCAGCCTGGCCAACATGGTGAAACCCCATTTCTCCTAAAAATACAAAAATTAGCTGGGCATGGTGGCGGGCATCTGTAATCCCAGCTACTCGGGAGGCTGAGGCAGGATAATCACTTGAACCCAGGAGGTGGGGGTTGCAGTGGGCCTAGATTGTGCCACTGCACTCCAGCCTAGGCAACAGAGGGAGACTCCATCTCCAAAAAAAAAAGAGAGAGATGATTAGGCTCTACCCTCATGAATAGATTAATGCTGTTGCCATGAGATGGGTGTCTGATTAAAAGGATGAGTTTGGTATGATCTCCCCTCAGTCTCATGTGCATGCTTGCCCTTCCACCATGTTATATGACACAGCAAGAAGGTCCTCACCAGATGCAACTCCTCAATCTTGGATTCCCAGCCTCCACAATCATGAGTCAAATAAATTTTTTTCTTCATAAATTACCCAATCTATGGTATTATGTGACAGCAGAAAAATGAACAAATACATCCCAGAAAGAAGTGCATGGGTATGCAGAGGTGGAATCAGTTCTGATCACCAGTGGCATTACCAAATTCTCTATCAGGGCCAGGAAGTAAACTCCCAGGAACAGCACAAATAGCAGAGCCTGAATATGGCTGTTAGTAGACACCCCAAGAAGGATGAACTCGGAGATAATGCTGTGGTTCCTCAGAATCAAACAGAAAACTTTCCCTTGGAATAAAATAAATGTTTTAAAACTTCATTTTCTGCTTCCCTATTTCCTCTGAGTCTTAAATCTTTCTGCACAGTATTTCTTGACCTTGGAATCAAGGTTAAAATTCTGAACCATCTTCACTAATTCTTTAGACACAATTAACATCTTTGATTTTGTTATATTCTATACCCTCAACCTTAGTCCAGTCTGATGCCATTAGGTCTTTCAAAAAATTTTTTTTATAATTTCAGCTTTCGTTTTAGATTCAGAGGTAAATGTGCAGGTTTCTTACAAGGGTATATTGTGTGATGTTAAGGTTTGGGGTACAATTGATCCCATCACCAAGGTAGTGAGTGTAACACCCAACAGTTAGTTTTTCAACCCTTGTCCCCCTCCCTCCCTCTCCCTCTAGTAGTCCCCAGTGTCTATTATTGTCATCTTTATATCCATGAGTACCCAGTGTTTAGCTGCCTCTTATAAGTGAGAACATAAGTTCTTTAGTTTTCTGTTCCTGCACTAATTTGCTTAGAATAATGGCCTCCAGTTGCATCCGTGTTACTACAAACAACATGATCTCATTATTTTTTATGGCTGCACAGTATTCCATGGTGTATATGTGCCACGTTTTCTGTATCCAATCCAGCGTTGATGGGCACCTAGGTTGATTCCATGTCTTTGCTAGAAAAAAAAATTTAGATAGAAAACAGACCATAGCATTTGCCAATGCAGGGAGAAATTGCTAATGCAGCAGCAGAGGGGCTGATTGAAGCCATGAATTTATTGCAAATGGGAATTCCATAATGATCCAGAGAATAGTGGAGATCACGTTGGGAATAGGGATTCCTTATCCACTGCAAAATGAAGGAAAGCAAAGCATGTATAAAATGGTACAGGGAAGGCAGGAATTGTAGTGTCTGGAAGGGAAAGACATTCTCTATTTACTGCCTCTGTGCTGTCAATAAACGGCAAGGTAAGTCATCAATAAGCGTGTGCTAGGGAGGCTAATGTTGGCTTGATGGTAGTGTGGAAGGTCTATTCAATATTTTTATTATTAATTTGAGTCCAGTGGTCATTGTTGTGTGATTTTTCTCCAGTTTGCTATGTGTGAAGAGTAAGTTGCCTTTATGTCAGACATGTGAGGGGATAAAGGAAGAGATGACTTAACAAGTGAATTTAGTCTGTGTAAAAAGAGAAGTGATGATATGAGTGGCATGAGAATGAAAATGTGGCAGACACAAGGATCAGCATTCTCAATGCATGTGAGGAATGGTTGGCTTGGGAACACCAAATCATATTAATTAGAAAAGATGTGGCTGTGTTAGAATAAAGTGGTTGAAATTGAGGTTTTTGAAGGTGGTGTATGTAAAGGAAACAGGGACACAAGGAATTCAGTTGGTGTTATTTTAATTAAGATGAAGATTTTTCTGTTGTTTAGTTCTTCCTCTTTTAGAAAATAAGCCACATGATGTTAAAAAAAATTTTAATATGTTACAGTTTTAAATTTTATAAAGTAGAGCCCAAGTAACATAGCCCAGAGATAGCCTAGATGTTTGGTTGTAAGAAGGCACCTGCCCTCATTTTCTCCAGAAAAAAAAAAAAAAGCCTGAATCTTGCATCATTTGCATTTCCTGTAACTCACTGTCCTGATAGGTGGACAGAACTAGAGATCATTATAACAGCAGAAATATCAATGTTCTGGCATCCATAGAAGTGGGATGTTGGTTGAGATGATGTATTGAGCCACAGGGAACTCAAATTACCTTCTTAATGTCCTCTCTTCTATCTCTTCTAGACTGGCAAGTGCCAGAATCCTAATTTCAGCTTCCCTGAAGTTTCATTACCCTAAAGAAATGCAGGCTTTTTGCTCCAAAGACCAGAGAAGGCAGCAGGATATACGAAAATAAACATGGCCTTGAAGACATAGTTGGGATTAGGTCATAAAGCCCTAGTTCTGTTTCTTACTAGCTCTATGATCTTTGGAAGGGTTTTAAGCCTTTCTTATCTCAATTTTTCCAGTCATAAAATGGCATGTAACATCTCTCTTGCGTGGTTTTAAGACTTTTATTTAGATAACTTATGTGCAGTGATCCGCACAATTAACCAATTGGTTATGATTAGACTTTGATGTTACCCATTGCCTTAATTTTAATCTTTCAATGTTCCCAAGCAAAAGAAGAGTCAATTCTGAGAGCAGATCGGAATATGTTAGTGAATAGAGAAATAAAAACAAGATCAAGGAGGGATAGATGATGGGGGGTAGGAGAGAATGACCCCACTATGAGAGCAGAGCTGCAGGAGAGCTCAATGACAAAGAAAGCACACAGCAAGGGAGACATGGAGGAGAGGAAGGGATGAAAAGAAGTGATAAGTGCCCAAGGAGCTGGCCAGAGATATCAAGGCTGACATAACTCTTGTTATCCCCAGTGGAGAGAGCCTCGAGGTACTCTGACCCATTAACAAATGCCCCAGTAAACCTTCACACAGGAGGAAAAGAACAACAACTATCTTTCTCTAGGAAAAGACTTCTTTTGTCTATATAGGTGTCAGTATTAGAAAAAAAGAAATATATTAGCTCGCATGCCAGGAGCCTTCCAGGTAAAGAGCTCAAAACCCTTTTCTAGATTGTTCTAATCTTGTGCTGAATCCAAAAAGAAAAAAGAGAAATATAATTTTGAGAAGTTCTGATTCTTGACAAATAGATATTTGAGCACTTAGACTATTTCAAACACGATTCCACAGTTGGTTTTTTTTTTCACTACTTTCTCTTATCGTTCTAAATATTACCCCAAGAATGTGATGCAAATAAAGACTTCTAAAATCCAGCCATTCAGAAAAGCAGCTAGATGATAATACCCAGTGGGTGGGCAGCTGAGCCTGCAAGCCCAGGAGGCAGCTGAGTTGATGCCTTGCATTCCTTGGGGTTCAGCCAGAAGCAAATTTTTTACCTCATTATCTTAGAAATTTCCTTATATGTATGGATGTATTGACCAAGACAGCCTCAACATTCACCTCAGCTTGACTAAACTTTAGACAGGTTTCTTCCTGAATATAAGACTTAGCCACCCTTTTTTTAGAGCATTTACTTTAGAAAACTTGAAGTTGCAAATTCTTTCTCTGCCTCTTTGAAATGTGTGTAAATATTCTCCAATCCTCTTGCCAGTTTTACAACCCAGGGAATAATCTTTCTTAAGGACCTGGGAACCATCTCTTTGAAATGAAAACTCTGAAGGAGAAAGCATCTCTATCTCCCAGTCTCTGTGGGAGGATAGGAGCCCAACTTAGATGCCAATTTGTAAACACAGATGGCCTAATCACAGAGAAAAATGTAGCAAACTCAGGAATAAGTTAATGTGGTGGACGTACTCCATTAACCAACCTCTCTGCTAATGTCATCTAGTACTTTTCTAAATGATTACCCTGTGTTGAAAAACTCCCCTGCCTTTGGTTTCAGAAGAGTTGAGTTTAATCTCTCTCTGCTATTGCTATAGTCTTGAATAAAGTCTACCTTGCCTGTTTGATATGTCTGGTGCCACATTTGCTTGTATGGTACATATTGATGGATGGATTTAATTTTAACTCATGCACAGAAGGTCAAGTTAAACAAAATTTCTTAGTTCATAGCACCTCATCATCATTGTTCATTTAAAGGCTCTATTCTTCACTGGTTTCCTTTTAACCTCATATTCTACTCCTATTCCTCTCCTCTCCACAGGCACCTCTTCTAAGATATTTAATTCTTATCCTTTTGTCTGTATGTCATATTAGTCCATTCTTGCATTGCTATAAAGAAATACCTGAGCTTGGGTAATTTATATTTTTAAAAAGATGTTTAATTGGCTCACAGTTCTGCAGGGTTTACAGGAAGCATGAGGTTGCCCATCTATTTGGCTTCTGGGAAGACCTCAGGAAACTTACAAACATGGCAGAAGGCAACGTGGGAGCAAGTGTCTTACATGGAAGGAGCAGTAGAACAGAGAGCGCAGGGAGGTGCCACACATTTTTCAACAATAAAGTAGCAATGACAACTCCAAAGAGGGTGGTGTTAAACCATGAGAAACTGCCCCCAGGATCCAGTTACCTCCCACTAGGCCCTGCCTCCAACATTGGGAATTACAGTTGAACATGAGATGAGATTTCGGTAGGGACACAGATCCAAACCATCCATATCATGTGCTTTTTTTTTTTTTTTTTTTTTTTTTTTTTAGATGGAGGATGGAGTCTCACCCTGTCAGCCAGGCTGGAGTGCAGTGGCACGATCTCAGCTCACTGCAACCTCCACCTCCCCAGTTCAAGCGATTATCCTGCCTCAGACTCCCAAGTAGCTGGGGCTATAGGCGCACGCCACCACACCTGGCTAATTTTTGTATTTTTAGTAGAGACGGGGTTTCACCATGTTGGCCAGGTTGGTCTTGAACTCCTGACCTCAGGTGATCCACCCGCCTCAGCCTCCCAAAGTGCTGGGATTACAGGCGTGAGCCACTGTGCCCAGCCAGCATTTTGAATTATTGTTGTGAGTGGTTGCTTTTTTAAAGAATGCAAAAATGAAACCACTGTATGAACACTAGAAAATAAGTAAATTGTATATATTTGGTGTTGATATGCTAATTTGCCAAGAACAATCCAAGAGACTCTAAAACAAAACTAAGAGAACTAATAAGAATTAAAAAGAGAATTTTGTAATGCGGATGGTGTATCTATTAATGTTCAATTAGCAGAAAATAGAATCCACTCTAAGAAAAAAAAGATTTAAAACAGTAAATGTTGTATTAAATAATAATTGTAAGAAGGGTTAAAAGAAGAGGCTCTATTCTCAGATTCTCTAATGAATATCCTTGCACTGAGAATAGCTTTGCTTCTGTTGAAAAAAAAATACTGATAACAGCATTGCAGGAAGTTGATGAATCAGGGAGCTGCTATTGCTACTGCTGACTGCAGGACTTCTAGACATCTGTCTCCATTGTAAAAACACCTGCTGGATGGAGATGCCAAATGCTGAATTAGGATATAGTTGCTACAGTTTCTGCTTAAGAACCATTTCTTTCCATCAGGATTTATATGAGCAAAATGCATCTGACTAATTGGAACTGAATTATGTCGGGAGGCCATGCTTTTTAGCTTTCTACACTTTGAACTCTAGAAGAGTTTTGGAATAAACTGGAATGACCCAATCTAGTATCTTCTACACTGAGTAAAAAATGAGTACACAAAACTTGACCTTTTTTTCTGTACTAGAAATTGTTTGTCATATCATGGAAACAGGAAAACATACTCATTCACAATGGCAAAAATCTCAGAAGTTCTTAGAGGCAACTTGTATAAGAAAAATTAATATTTCTTTGAATGATGTAAAACAATATATGAAGAGATTGAGAAACAATGTTTATGGTTGGAAAGACAGTGAAAATATCAATTTTCTTCAAATAAGTATGTGCAGCTGATGAGAATTTAATTAGAATCCTATTTTTTCATGATTTGATAAGAAGATTTTGATACTCACATGGAAGAATAAATTCTTGAGAATAGACAAGAAAGGGATGAAAAGGATCACTAGTTAAAGCATTCTGGGAAGACTTATTTTATCAGGTATTAGAACAGCTAATACATTTGGTAAAGAAAAGCATGAATTAATATAAAATAATAAAGCCAGACAGCATTGCCAAACTATGTCACGAAGATTTTATTTTTCTTCTGTGAAGAAGGAACAACTTTCATTTCAAATGCATCTGTCAGAGGTGGCTGTGTATTCATAACATAAAACAGTTTACACCCATCTTGTACAGTTTACAATAATTTCTGAGTTGTTTTTGTTTTATATGAGAAGATATTAGAAGAGAACATGTAGACAACGTACACTTGTAGGGTGAGGAAGAACTTCTCAGCCAAGATAAGAAATTTACACAGGAAATGCTATAATAAAAAGTGTAGTTGACTATATAAAATTAAAATTTTGAATGACACAAATTCCACAAGCTAAGTTGATAGAGAAATAATAGAGCTGGAAAAATATTTTCAACAAATACTACAGGAAAGAGATAAGATATTTGACATTCCAAGAATACTTACATGTAGATAAGCAAAATACAAATGCTCCAAAGAAGATTAAGTATAGGCAAACTACAGGAGTGTAAACCAGATGGTTCGCAAAAAGTGAAAGTATGCAAAAATTCAGTAGTGGTCATAGAAATAAAAATTATCATAAAATCAAGCATTTAATTTGTACCCATCTGAACGCCCCCAAATTAAAGAAGAATAAAGTGATTCAGTTTAAGCTACATAGCACTCTGGCTTCCTCTATCAAAACTGAATGTAGCAATGTACTTTGTTTTCTTGCTAGTATATAGAAATACAATTGATTTTTAATATCTTGTACTTTGTACCTTGTGACTCTGCTAAACTGACTAGTTCTACTAACATTTGTAAATTTCTTAAATTTTCTCCATTAATCTATTAATAAAGAGAGTGCTACTCTTTTCATTTCAATCTATCTTTTTTTTCTCTTGCCTTACTATACTGGCCAGAACTACACTACAGTCTTGAATAGAAGTGGTGAAAGCAGGCATCCTTGCCTTGTTCTCCATCTAAGAGGGAAAGCACTCAGTGTTTTTTCCTTTAAATATAATGGTAGATGTTAATTTTTAAAATATATATGTCCCTTTACAAGTTAAGGGTGTTCTCATCTATTCTTAGTTTGATGAGTTCTTTTCTTTTTAATTATAAGTGGAAGATAAACATTATCAAAGACTTTTTCTGCATCTGTTTAGATGATCATATGCTTTTCTTTTCTGGTCTAATAATATGGTGAATTACATTGTGTGATTTTAGAATGCTAAGAGCAACCTTGCATTCTTGGAGTAAATCCCATCTTGTCGTGAAATGTTACTGATTTAAATATTGCTGGATTTCACTTGATGATGTTGAGATAATAAGTTTTGCATGTATATTCATGAGGATATTTGTTCGGAGTTTTCTATTCTTGTATGTTTTTGTCTGGTTTGGGTATCAGAGTCCCAAGAAGTGAATTAGGAAATATTTATCTGCTTCTATGTTTTGGAAAATTTGGTTTATAATTAGTATTATTTCTTTCTATAAATGTTTGTTAAAATTCACCACAAGGCCATCCGGACCTGGAGTTGTCTTCATGAGAAATTTTTAAGTAAAAATTCAATTTTTTTATGCTCACTAGAATGGTTCAAATGAAAAATATCTTCAATAGCAAATATTAGCAAGGATTTGGAGAGCAATTGAAATCCTCATATGTTGCCAATGGGAATACAGAATAGTACAGACACTTTGGAAAGTACTTAAGCAGTTTCCAATAGAGTTAAACACATACTTACCATGTGGCCCAGCAATTTCACTCATAGGCATTTACCAAGATAGATGATCACATATGTCTTCACAAAGACTTCTACTTATATATGTGTATGGTGGAATGGATAAATATATCAACATCACTACGCTAAGGCAAAGAACCCAGACACAAATGACTACCTTATTTTGATTCTATTTATGTGAAATTGTAGCAAAATCAAAACTATAGTCATAGGAAGTTGATCTGTGGTTGCCAAGGGCCAAGGGGTGGGAGGAGGAAACAATCTGTTGCAATGGAAATGTTCTGTATTATCATTGTCATTGTGATTAATACATATATACATTTTTCAAAAATGATCAAATTGTAAATGAAAATTGGTGAATTATATGTAGGCTATATCTCAGTGAAGCTTATTTAAACAAAAGCAATTTTTTAAACTTTTATTTTAGGTTCAGGGGTACATGTGCAGGTTTGTTATATAGGTAAACTGGTGTCACAGGGATTTGTTGTACAGATTATTTCATCACCCAGATAATAAGCCTAGTACCCAATAGTTATTTTTTCTGATCCTCTCCCTCCACCCATCCTCCACCCTCAAGTAGGCCCCACTGTGTGCTGTTCCCCTCTTTATGCCCATGTGTTCTCATCATTTCACTCCCATTTATAAGTGAAAACATGCAGTATTTGGTTTTCTGTGTTAGTTTGCTAAGGATAATGGTCTCCAGCTCCATCCACGTTCCCACAAAGGATATAATCTCGTTCCTTTTTATGATTGCATGGCATTCTGTGGTGAAAATGTACCACGTTTTCTTTATCCAATCTGTCATTGATGCACATTTATGTTGATTCCATGTCTTTGCTGTTGTGAATAGTGCTGCAATGAACATATGTGTGCATGTGTCTTTATGGTAGAATAATTTCTATTCCTCTGGGTATATACCCAGTAGTGGATTTCTGTTTCAAATTGTAGTCCTGTTTTTAGCTATTTGAGGAATCACCACACTGCTTACCACAACAGTTGAACTAACTTACACTCCTACCAGCAGTGTATATTAGCATTCCCTTTTCTCTGCAACCTCGCCAGCATCTATTATTTTTTTACTTTTTAATAGTAGCCATTCTGACTAGTGTGAGATGGTATCTCATTGTGGTTTTCATTTGCATTTCTCTAATGATCAGTAATACTGAGCTTTTTTATATATACTTGCTGGCCACATATATATCTTCTATTGAAAAGTATCGGTTCATATCTTTTGCTCATTTTTTAATGGGGTTGTTTGGCTTTTTTTTTTTTTGTAAATTTGTTTAAGTTCCTTATAGATGCTGAATATTAGAACTTTGTCAGATGTATAGCTTGCAAATATTTTATCCCATTCTGTAGGTTGTCTGTTTACTCTGTTGATATTTTATTTCGCCGTGCAGAAGTTCTCAAGTGTAATTAGATCCCATTTGTCCCCTTTTGCTTTTGTTGCAAATGCTTTTGGCATCTTTATCATGAAATCTTTGCCACTTCCTATGTCCAGAATGGTATTGCCTAGGTTGTCTTCCAAGGTTTTTATAGTTTTGTGTTTTACATTTAACTCTTTAATATGACTTGCATTGTTTTTTGTTTGTAGTATAAGAAAGGGGTCCAGTTTCAATCATTTGCATATAGCTAGCCAATTACCCCAGCACCATTTATTGAATTGGGGACCCTTTCTCCATTGCTTCTTTTGTCATCTTGTCAAAGATCAGACAGTTGTAGGTTTGAGACCTTCTTTCTGGGTTCTCTATTCTGTTCCATTGGTCTTGTGTCTGTTTTTTAATAACAGTACCATGTTGTATTGGTTACTGTAGCCCTGTAGTATAGTTTGAGGTCAGCTAGCATGATGCCTCCAGCTTTGTTCTTTTTGCTTAGGATTGCCTTGGCTGTTTGGGCTCATTTTGGTTCCGTATGAATTTTAAAATTGTTGTTTCTAGTTCTATAAAAAATGTCATTGGTAGTTTGATAAGAATAGCATTGAATCTGTAAATTCCTTTGAGCAGTATAGTCATTGTAATGATATTGATTCTCCCTATCCACGAGCATGAATGCTTTTCCATTTGTTTCTGTCATCTCTGATTTCTTTGAGCAGTGTTTTGTAATTCTCATTGTAGAGATCTTTCACCTCCCTGGTTAGTTATATTCCTAGGTATTTTGTTTTTGTGGTAATTGTGAATGGGATTGTATGGCTGATATGGCTCTCAGCTTAGCTGTTGTTGGTGTATAGGAATGTTAAGAATTTTTGTACACTGATTTTGTGTCCTAAAGCTTCACTAAAATGGTTTATCCACTGAAGGAGCTTTTGAGCCATGCCCATGGGGTTTTCTAGATACAGAATCATGTCACCTACAAACAGCGATAGTTTGACTGCTTCTCTTCCTATTTGGATGCCCTTTATTTCTTTCTCTTGCCTGATTGGTGGACAGGTCTTCCAATACTATGTTGAATAGGAGTGGTGAGAGAGGGCATCCTTGTCTTGTGCCAGCTTTCAAGAGGAATGTTTCAAGCTGTTGCCCATTCAGTATGATGTTGGCTGTGGGTTTGTCACAGATAGCTCTTATTATTTTGAGGAATGTTCATTTGATACCTAGTTTATTGAGGGTTTTTAACATGAAGAAATTCTGATATTTATCAAAAGCCTTTGCTGTATCTATTGAGATAATCATGTGGTTTTTGTCTTTAGTTCTGTTTATGTGATGAATCACATTTATTGATTTGCATATATTGAACCCACTTTGCATCCAAGAATAAAGCCTACTCGATTGTGGTGGATTCGCTTTTTAATGTGCTGCTGGATTCAGTTTGCTAGTATTTTGTCAAGGGTTTTTGCATCAATGTTCATCAAGGATATTGACCTGAAGCTTTCTTTGTTTGTTGTGTCTCTGCCAAGTTAAAAAAGACAAAGAGGAATATTATATAACGGTAAGTGGCCTTGTCCAACAGGAAAATATCACAATCCTAAACATATATGCACCTAACACGGGAGCTCCCAAATTTATAAAATAATTACTACTAGAACTAAGAAATGAGATAGTAACACAATAATAGTGGGGGACTTCAATACTCCATTGACAGCACTAGACAGGTCATCAAGACAGAAAGTCAATGAAGAAACAATGGATTTAAACTATACCTTGGAACAAATGAACTTAACAGGTGTATATAGAACATTCCATCCAAGAACCACAGAATACACATTCTATTCAACAGTGCATAGAACTTTCTCCAAGATGGACCATATGATAGGCCACAAAACAAGCCTCAGTAAGTTTAAGAAAGTTGAAATTATATCAAACTCTCTCTCAGACCACAGTGGAATAAAACCAGAAATCAACTCCAAAAGGAACCTTCAAAACCATGAAAATACATGGAAATTAAATCACCTGCTCCTGAGTGATCATTGGGTCAAAAATGAAATCAAGATGGAAATTTAAAAATTCTTCGAACTGAATGACACTAGCGACACAACCTATCAAAACCTCTGGGATATAGCAAAGGCAGTCCTAAGAGGAAAGTTCATAGCCCTAAACACCTACATCAAAAAGACTGAAAGAGCACAAACTGACAATCTAAGGTCACACCTCAAGGAACTAGAAAAACAACAAACCAAACCCAAACCCAGCAGAAGAAAGGAAATAACCAAGATCAGAGAAGAACTAAATGAAATTGAAACAAAAAAAAAATACAAAAGATAAATGAAACAAAAAACTGCTTCTTTGAAAAGATAAATAAAAGTGATAGACCATTAGCAAGATTAACCAACAAAAGAAGACAGAAAATCCAAATAACCTCAATGAGAAATGAAAAGGAAGATATTACAACTGACACCATAGAAATACAAAAGATAATTTAAGGCTACTATGAACAACTTTATCCACACAAACTAGAAAACCTAGAAGAGATGGATAAATTCCTGGAAAGATATAACCCTCCTACCTTAAATCAGAAACAATTAGATACCCTAAACAGACCAATAACAAGCAGTGAGATTAAAATGGCAATTTAAAAATTACCAACGAAAAATAGTCCAGGACCAGGCAGAATCACAGTGGAATTCTACAAGACATAAAGAAGAATTGGTACCAATCCTATTGACACCATTCCACAAGACAGAGAAAGAGGGAATCCTCCCTAATTCATTCTATGAAGCCAGCATCACGCTAATACCAAAACCAGGGAAGGATATAACCAAAAAAGAAAACTACATACCAATATCCCTCATGAACGTAGATGCTAAATCCTTAACAAAGTGCAAGCTAACTGAATCCAAAAACATATCAGAAAGATAATCCACTATGATCAAGAGGGTTTCATACCAGGGATGCAGAGACGGTTTAACATACGCAAGTCAATAAATGTGATACACCACATAAACAGAATTAAAAACAAAAATCACATGATCATCTCAATAGATGCAGGAAAAGCATTCGACAAAAATCCAGCACCCCTTTATGATTAAAACTCTCAGCAAAATCGGCATACAAGGAACATACCTCAATGTAATAAAAGCCATCTATGAAAAACCCACAGCCAACATAATACTGAATGGGGAAAAGTTGAAAGCATTCCCTCTGAGAATGGGAACAAGACAAGGATGCCCACTCTCACCACTCCTCTTCAGCATAGTTCTGGAAGTCCTAGTCATAGCAATCAGACAAGAGAAAGAAATAAAGGGCATCCAAATCAGTAAAGAGGGAGCCAAACTGTCACAGTTTGCTGACGATATGACTGTTTACCTCAAAAACCCTAAAGACTCCTCCAGAAGGCTCCTCAAACTGATAAAATAATTCAGCAAAGTTTCCAGATACAAGATAAATGCACACAAATCAGTAGCTCTCCCATACACCAACAGCAACCAAGCAGAGAATCAAATCAAGAACACAACCCCTTTTACAATAGCTGCAAAAAAAAAAATACTTAGAATATACCTAACCAAGAAGGTGAAAGGCCTCTACAAGGAAAACTACAAAACATTGCTGAAAAAAATCAGAGATGACACAAACAAATGGAAACACATCCCATGCTCATGGATGGGTAGAATCAATATTGTGAAAATGGCCATACTGCCAAAAGCAATCTACAAATTCAGCACAATCCCCATCAAAATGCCATCATCATTCTTCACAGATTAGAAAAAACAGTACTAAAATTCATATGGAACCACAAAAGAGCCTACATAGCCAAAGCAAGTCTAAGCAAAAAGAACAAATCTGGAGGCATCATACTACCTGATTTCAAACTATACTATAGGACCGTAGTCACCAAAACAGCATGGTACTGGTACAAAAATAGGCACATAGACAAATGGAACAGAATAAAGAACCCAGAAATAAACCCAAATACCTACAGCCAACTCATCTTCAACAAAGCAAACAAAAACATAAAGTGGGAAAGGACATCCTTTTCAACAAATGGTAATAAGATAATTGGCTAGCCACATGAAACTGGATCCTCATCTCTTGCATTATACAAAAATTAACTCAAGATGGATTAAAGAATTAAACCTAAGGCATGAAACTATGAAAATTCTAGAAGATAACATTGGAAAAATCCTTCTAGACATTGGCTTAGGCAAGGATTTCATGACCAAGGACCCAAAAGCAAAAGCAATAAAAACAAAGATAAATAGCTGGGACTTAATTAAACTAAAGAGCTTTTGCGCAGCAAAAGGAACAGTGAGCAGAGTAAACAGACAACCCACAGAGTAGGATAAAATCTTCATAATCTATACATCTGACAAAGGGCTAATATCCAGAATCTACAAAGAACTCAAATCAGCAAGAAAAAAACAAACAATCCCATCAGAAAGTGGGCTAAGGACATGAATAGACAATTCTCAAAAGAAGATATACAAATGGCCAAAAAACATATGAAAATAATGCTCAACTAATGATCAGAGAAATGCAAATCAAAACCACAATGTGATGCCACCTTACTCCTGCAAGAATGGCCATAATTAAAAAAATAAAAAAGCAGTAGATGTTGGCGTGAACGTGGTGATCAGGGAACACTTCTACACTGCTGGCGGGAATGTAAACTAGTACAGCCAAGACGGAAACAGTGTGGAGATTCCTTAAAGAGCTAAAAGTGGAACTACCATTTGATTCAGCAATCTCACTACTGAGTATCTACCCAGAGGAAAATCAATCATTACACAAAAAAGATACTTGCACATGCATGCTTATAGCAGCACAATTTGCAATTGCAAAATCGTGGAACCAACACAAATGCCCATCAATCAACGAGTGGGTAAAGAAACTGTGGTATATATATACGATGGAATACTACTCAGCCATAAAAATGAATCAATTAATGGCATTCACAGCAACCTGGGTGAGACTGGAGACTATTATTCTAAGTGAAATATCTCAGCAATGGAAAACCAAACATTGTATGTTCTCACCCATATGTGGGACCTAAGCTATGAGGATGCAAAGGCATAAGAATGATACAATGGACTTTGGGAACTTGTGGGGAAGGGTGGTGGGGGAGGGATAAAAGACTACAAATAGGGTGCAATGTGTACTGCTCAGGTGATGGGTACACCAAAATCTCACAAATCACCACTAAAAAACTTACTCATGTAACCAAACACCACCTGTACCCTCAATAACCTATGGAAAAATAAAAAGTAAAAAAGAATGTATATTAAAATGTTAATTATAAAATTTAGATGTGATTATCTGGGTATTCACTATAAAATTCTGTTAACTTTGCTGTATGTTGGAAACTTTTCATTTTCAAATGAAATGAATGCTGAATACATGAGTCAATATTTAAAAATTATAAGAGAATATTATGAGAAACAAAATACTAATTAAATTAGATGAAAAATAGTGATGAAAATTACAAATCACCAAAATTGATTCACTAACAAAATATAAAACACAAGTGTACAATAATCATCAAAGGAATTAAATTAGAAATAAAAAATTTTCTCAACAAGACAAGAAATCCTTAAAATGTCAAAGATGAGTTTTATAAAAACCTTCGAGAAAGTGATCATCTCTTCTTTAAGCAAATATTTTAAGAAAATACAAAGATGAATGAAAGCATATTATTGATATCAGTATTGGATGTCTAGAATAGGCAAATCTATATACATAAAAAGTAGTTTAGTGGAATTCTAGGGCCAAGAATGGGGATGGGATTGGAGAGTGACTACCCATAGGTGTGAGATTTCTTTGGGGATGACAAAATGTCCTGAGATTGGTGGTAGTGATGGGTGCAAAACTCTGTAAATATGCTAGAAACCATTGACTTGTGCACTTTGAATGGCTGAATATTGTGATGTATAAATTATAATCTCAATAAAGTTCTTAAAAAGAAAAGATGGAGTGAATGCAATAAAAAAATTATAGTATCTCACTTATAAATACAAATAGGAAATTCCTAAGTTAAATACTGGTAAAAGTTAATTAAGTTTTTAATACTCTACCTAAGTAGGCTGATTCCAGGAATGCAACAATTCTTCAAAAACAGAACATGCACTGATACAATTTGTTATTAACAAATTAAATGACAAAAACCATATAACCATTTCAATGAATTTATTTTTTTCCAAAATGTTTTTATTGCATGCCTATTGTGTGACAGACACTATACAGTACTGAACAAAAGAGAAACAACCGTAGTCCTCAATAGAAGCAGAAAAAGCTTGTGATAAAATCTCACACCAATTCTTAGCAAAATATGTTTAGAAAAGAACTCTCCTTTCAATATAATCCATAGGTTCAGAAAACACAAACAAAAAAGAACTCTCTTAATAACTTAAAGATATTCATCAAAAATAGAACATCATCCTTAATGCTGAAACATGAGAAGCTTTCTCATTGATCCTAACAGAAAGATATCTATACTGGAGGTCCTGGCTGCTGCATGAACTTTAAAAATGAGATATATAAAAATTGCATACAGCCAGGCACACTGGCTCATGCCTGTAATCCCAGCACTTTGGAAGGCCAAGGTGGGCTGATCACCTGAGATCAGGAGTTCAAGTCCAGCCTGGCCAACATGGAGAAATCCCATCTCTACTAAAAGTACAAAATTAGCCAGGCGTGGTGGTACATGCCTGTAACCCCAGCTACTGGGGAGCCTGAGGCAGGAAAATCGCTTGAACTCAGGAGGTGGAGGTTGCAGTGAGCCCAGATCACACCATTGCACTGCAGCCTGGGCAACAAGAGTGAAACTTTTTCTACAAAAAAAAAAAAAGCATATAAAAAATCTTACCCTAATTTAAGATAAAATAATTAAAATGTAATGTTAAAATCCAATAGTATGTATAAACAAGACAGTAGTACTAGAAAGATAGTTCAACAAACTTGACAGATACAAGATCAATGTACAAAATACCACAACGTTCCTATACATCAGAAATAACCAAGTAGTAAATATATCTGAATTTTTAATTCACAATAGGAACAAAAAATAGATGGTATCTGGTAATATATCTGGCAAAATTTATGTGTGACCTTTATCAAAATACCTGTCACCAATGGCAACAGCAGATCAGCCTTGGTGAATGAAAGAAAATGTTGCCGTTTGCATAACCACCACCTTGCTCAGCCACGGCTACAGTGCTTGTGCGTTCATGGACCAGAACTAGGCTCACCAGGAAGGAAAGACTGACCTTTGCATGATAGGCGATTCTATTCAAAAAACTATTTTGAACTGCCTTAGCAGTGGGATCCCTCTGGTGAGAACTTATCCTAAATGGATTCTCCATTTCTTGACTCACAACTTACACATTCAAAGTACAGTTACTGTGCAACAAGCTTTTTTTTGGGGGGGGGGGGGGCAGGATCTTGCTCTGTTGCCCAGGCTGGAGTGCAGTGGCTCAATCTCGGCTCACTGCAAGCTCCGCCACCCAGGTTCACACCATTCTCCTGCCTCAGCCTCCTGAGTAGCTGGGACTACAGGCACCCACCACCACCCCTGGCTAATTTTTTGTATTTTTAGTAGAGACGGGGTTTCACCATGTTAGCCAGGATGGTCTTGATCTCTTGACCTTGTGATCTGCCCACCTTGGCCTCCCAAAGTACTGGAATTACAGGTGTGAGCCACCGCACCCGGCCAGCCAGAAGCTTTTAAAAATATTCTTTGCCAGCGGTGGAGCCAAGATGGCCAAATAGGAACAGCTCCAGCCTACAGCTCCCAGCGTGAGCAATGCAGAAGACAGGTGATTTCTGCATTTCCATCTGAGGTACTGGGTTCATCTCACTGAGGCTTGTTGGACAGTGGGTGCAGGACAGTGGGTGCAGTGCACCATGCATGAGCCAAAGCAGGGCGAGCCATCACCTCACCCCGGAAGCATAAGGGGTCAGGGAATTCCCTTTCCTACTCAAAGAAAGGGGTGACAGATGGCACCTGG
Source organism: Homo sapiens (assembly GCF_000001405.40). NCBI lineage: Eukaryota > Metazoa > Chordata > Mammalia > Primates > Hominidae > Homo > Homo sapiens. The sequence continues at coordinate 48,434,043 of NC_000012.12, forward strand.
AAAATCGGGTCACTCCCACCCTAATACTGTGCTTTTCCAATGGGCTTAACAAACGGCACACCAGGAGATTATATCCCACACATGACTCGGAGGGTCCTACACCCATGGAGCCTCGCTCATTGCGAGCACAGCAGTCTGAGATCAAGCAGCAAAGCGGCAGCGAGGCTGGGGGAGGGGCGCCCGCCATTGCCCAGGGTTGAGTAGGTAAACAAAGTGGCTGGGAAGCTCGAACTGGGTGCAGCCCACCACAGATCAAGGAGGACTGCCTGCCTCTGTAGGCTCCACCTCTGGGGGCAGGGCACAGACAAACAAAAGACAGCAATAACCTCTGCAGACTTAAATGTCCCTGTCTGACAGCTTTGAAGAGAGTAGTGGTTCTCCCAGCTTGCATCTTGAGATCTGAGAATGGGCAGACTGCCTCCTCAAGTGGGTCCCTGACCCCCAAGTAGCCTAACTAGGAGGCATCCCCCAGTAGGAGGGGACTGACACCTCACACGGCCGGGTACTCCTCTGAAACAAAACTTCCAGAGGAATGATCAGGCAGCAGCATTTGCGGTTCACCAATATCCACTGTTCTGCAGCCACCGCTGCTGATACCCAGGCAAACAGGGTCTGGAGTGAACCTCCAGGAAACTCCAACAGACCTGCAGCTGAGGGTCCTGACTGTTAGAAGGAAAACTAACAAACAGAAAGGACATCCACACCAAAAACCCATCTGTTCGTCACCATCATCAAAGACCAAAGGTAGATAAAACCACAAAGATGGGGAAAAAACAGAACAGAAAAAACAGAAATTCTAAAAACCGAGCACCTCTCCCCCTCCAAAGGAACGCAGCTCCTCACCAGCAATGGAACAAAGCTGGACAGAGAATGACTTTGACGAGTTGAGAGAAGAAAGCTTCAGAAGATCAAACTACTCTGAGCTAAAAGAGGAAGTTTGAACCAATGGCAAAGAAGTTAAAAACTTTGAAAAAAAATTAGACGAGTGGATAACTAGAATAACCAATGCAGAGAAATCCTTAAAGGACCTGATGGAGCTGAAAACTATGGCACGAGAACTACCTGACAAATGCACAAGCCTCAGTAACTGATGCAATCAACTGGAAGAAAGGGTATCAGCGATAGAAGATGAAATGAATGAAATGAAGTGTGAAGAGAAGTTTAGAGAAAAAAGAATAAAAAGAAACAAACAAAGCCTCCAAGAAATATGGGACTATGTGAAAAGACCAAATCTACGTCTGACTGGTGTACCTGAAACTGATGGGGAGAATGGAACCAAGTTGGAAAACACTCTGCAGGATATTAGCCAGGAGAACTTCCCCAATCTAGCAAGGCAGGCCAACATTCAAATTCAGGAAATACAGAGAATGCCACAAAGATACTCCTTAAGAAGAGCAACTCCAAGACATATAATTGTCAGATTCATCAAAGTGGAAATGAAGGAAAAAATGTTAAGAGCAGCCAGAGAGAAAGGTCGGGTTACCCACAAAGGGAAGCCCATCAGACTAACAGCTGATCTCTCGGCAGAAACTCTACAAGCCAGAAGAGAGTGGGGGCCAATATTCAACATTCTTAAAGGAAAGAATTTTCAACCCAGAATTTCATATCCAGCCAAAGTAAGCTTCATAAGTGAAGGAGAAATAAAATCCTTTACAGACAAGCAAATGCTGAGAGATTTTGTCACCAAGCCTGCCCTAAAAGAGCTCCTGAAGGAAGCACTAAACATGGAAAGGAACAACCAGTACCAGTGACTGCAAAAACATGCCAAATTGTAAACACCATCAAGGCTAGGAAGAAACTGCATCAACTAACGAGCAAAATAACCAGCTAACATCATAATGACAGGATCAAATTCACAAATAATAATAATAATGTTAAATGTAAATGGGCTAAATGCTCCAATTAAAGGGCACAGACTGGCAAATTGGATAAAGAGTCAAGACCCATCAGTGTGCTGTATTCAGGAAACCCATCTCACATGCAGAGACACACATAGGCTCAAAATGAAGGGATGGAGGAAGATCTACCAAGCAAATGGAAAACAAAAAAAGGCAAGGGTTGCAATCCTAGTCTTGGATGAAACAGACTTTAAACCAACAAAGATCAAAAGAGAAAAACAAGCCCATTACATAATGGTAAAGGGATCAATTCAACAAGAAGAACTAACTATCCTAAATATATATGCACCCAATACAGGAGCAACCAGATTCATAAAGCAAGTCCTGAGTGACCTACAAACAGACTTAGACTCCCACACAATAATAATGGGACACTTTAACACCCCACTGTCAACATTAGACAGATCAACGAGACAGAAAGTTAACAAGGATATCCAGGTATTGAACTCTGCTCTGCACCAAGCGGACCTAATAGACATCTACAGAACTCTCCACCCCAAATCAACACAATATACATTTTTTTCAGCACCACACCACACCTATTCCAAATTTGACCACATAGTTGGAAGTAAAGCACTCCTCAGCAAATGTAAAAGAACAGAAATTATAACTGTCTCTCAGACCACAGTGCAATCAAACTAGAACTCAGGATTAAGAAACTCACTCAAAACCGCTCAACTACATGGAAACTGAACAACCTGCTCCTGAATGACTATGGGGTACATAACGAAATCAAGGCAGAAATAAAGATGTTCTTTGAAACCAACTAGAAAAAAGACACAATATACCAGAATCTCTGGGACACATTCAAAACAGTGTGTAGAGGGAAATTTATAGCACTAAATGCCCACAAGAGAAAGCAGGAAAGATCTAAAATTGACATGCTAATATCACAATTAAAAGAACTAGAGAAGCAAGAGCAAACACATTCAAAAGCTAGCAGAAGGCAATAAATAACTAAGATCAGAGCAGAACTGAAGGAAATAGAGACACAACAAACCCTTCAAAAAATCAATGCATCCAGGAGCTTGTTTTTTGAAAAGATCAACAAAATTGATAGACTGCTAGCAAGACTAATAAAGAAGAGAGAAGAATCAAATAGATGCAATAAAAAATGACAAAGGGGATATCACCACCGATCCCACAGAAATACAAACTACCATAAGAGAGTGCTATAAACATCTCTACTCAAATAAACTAGAAAATCTAGAAGAAATGGATAAATTCCTGGACACATACATCCTCCCAAGACTAAACCAGGAAAAAGTTGAATCTCTGAATAGACCAATAACAGGCTCTGAAATTGAAGCAATAATTAATAGCTTACCAACTAAAAAAAGTCCGGGACCAGATGGATTCACAGCTGAATTCTACCAGAAGTACAAGAAGGAGCTGGTACCCTTCCTTCTGAAACTATTCCAATCAGTAGAAAAAGAGGGAATCCTCCCTAACTCATTTTGTGAGGCCAGCATCATCCTCATACCAAAGCCGGGCAGAGACACAACAAAAAAAGAAAATTTTAGACCAATATCCTTGATGAACATTGATGCAAAAATCCTCAGTAAAATACTGGCAAACAGAATCCAGCAGCACATCAAAAAGTTTATCCACCATGATCAAGTGGGCTTCATGCCTCGGATGCAAGGCTGGTTCAACATAACGAAAATCAGTAAACGTAATCCAGCATATAAACAGAACCAAAGACAAAAACCACTTGATTATCTCAATCGATGCAGAAAAGGCCTTTGACAAAATTCAACAATGCTTCATGCTAAAAACTCTCAATAAATTAGGTATTGATGGGACGTATCTCAAAATAATAAGAGCTATCTATGACAAACCCACAGCCAATATCATACTGAATGGACAAAAACTGGAAGCATTCCCTTTGAAAACTGGCACAAGACAGGGATGCCCTCTCTCACCACTCCTATTCAACATAGTGTTGGAAGTTCTGGCCAGGGCAATCAGGCAGGAGAAGGAAATAAAGGGCATTCAGTTAGGAAAAGAGGAAGTCAAATTGTCCCTGTTTGCAGATGATATGATTGTATACCTAGAAAACCCCATTGTAACAGCCCAAAATCTCCTTAAGCTGATAAGCAACTTCAGCAAAGTCTCAGGATACAAAATCAATGTACAAAAATCACAAGCATTCTTATACACCAATAACAGACAAACAGAGAGCCAAATCATGAGTGAACTCCCATTCACAGTTGCTTCAAAGAGAATAAAATACCTAGGAATCTAACTTACAAGGGACGTGAAGGACCTCTTCAAGGAGAACTACAAACCACTGCTCAATGAAATAAAAGAGGATACAAACAAATGGAAGAACATTCCATGCTCATTGGTAGGAAGAATCAATATCGTGAAAATGGCCATACGGCCCAAGATAATTTATAGATTCAATGCCATCCCCATCAAGCTACCAATGACTTTCTTCACAGAATTGGAAAAAACTACTTTAAAGTTCATATGGAACCAAAAAAAGAGCCCACATCATCAAGTCAATTCTAAGCCAAAATAACAAAGCTGGAGGCATCACGCTACCTGACTTCAAACTATACTACAAGGCTACAGTAACCAAAACAGCATGGTACTGGTATCAAAACAGAGATATAGACCAATGTAACAGAACAGAGCCCTCAGAAATAATGATGCATATCTACAACTATCTGATCTTTGACAAACCTGAGAAAAACAAGCAATGGGGAAAGGATTCCCTATTTAATAAATGGTGCTGGGAAAACTGGCTAGCCATATGTAGAAAGCTGAAACTGGATCCCTTCCTTACATCTTATACAAAAATTAATTCCAGATGGATTAAAGACTTACATGTTAGACCTAAAACCATAAAAACCCTAGAAGAAAACCTAGACAATACCATTCAGGACATAGGCATGGGCAAGGACTTCATGTCTAAAACACCAAAAGCAATGGCAACAAAAGCCCAAAATGACAAATGGGATCTAATTAAACTAAAGAGCTTCTGCACAGCAAAAGAAACTACCATCAGAGTGAACAGGCAACCTACAGAATGGGAGAAAATTTTTGCAACCTACTCATCTGACAAAGGGCTGATATCCAGAATCTACAATGAACTCAAACAAATTTACAAGAAAAAAAACAAACAACCCCATCAAAACGTGGGCAAACAGACACTTCTCAAAAGAAGACATTTATGCAGCCAAAAAACACATGAAAAAATGCTCATCATCACTGGCCATCAGAGAAATGCAAATCGAAACCACAATGAGATACCATCTCACACCAGTTAGAATGGCAATCATTAAAAAGTCAGGAAACAACAGGTGCTGGAGAGGATGTGGAGAAACAGGAACACTTTTACACTGTTGGTGGGACTGTAAAATAGTTCAACCCTTGTGGAAGTCAGTGTGGCGATTCCTCAGGGATCTAGAACTAGAAATACCATTTGACCCAGTCATCTCATTACTGGGTATATACCCAAAGGATTATAAATCATGCTGCTATGAAAACACATGCACACGTATGTTTATTGCAGCACTATTCACAATAGCAAAGACTTGGAACTAACCCAAATGTCCAACAATGATAGACTGGATTAAGAAAATGTGGCACATATACACCATGGAATACTGTGCAGCCATAAAAAGGATGAGTTCATGTCCTTTGTAGGGACATGGATGAAGCTGGAAACCATCATTCTCAGCAAACTATTGCAAGGACAAAAAACCAAACACCGCATGTTCTCACTCATAGGTGGGAATTGAACAATGAGAACACATGGACACAGGAAGGGGAACATCACACACCGGGGCCTGTTGTGGGGTGGTGGGAGTGGGGAGGGATAGCATTAGGAGATATACCTAATGCTAAATGATGAGGTAATGGGTGCAGCACACCAACATGGCATATGTATACATACGTAATGAACCTGCACGATGTGCACATGTACCCTAAAACTTAAAGTATGATAATAATAAAATAAAAAAATAAAAAATAAGAAATAAAAATATTCTTGGCCAGTCACGGTGGCTCATGCCTGTAATCCCAGCACCTTGGGAGGCTGATGTGCGTGGATGGCCTGAGGTCAGGAGTTCGAGACCAGCCTGGCCAACATGGCGAAACCCTGTCTCTACTAAAAATACAAAAATTCGCCAACTATGGTGACAGGCGCCTGTAATCCCAGCTACTCGGAAGGCTGAGGCAGGAGAATTGTTTGAACCTGGGAGGCGGAGGTTGCAGTGAACCGAGATCGTGCCACTGCACTCCAGCCTGGGTGACAGAGTGAGACTCCATCTCAAAAAAAAAAAAGAAAGTATTCTTGAGAAGGTAGTAAAGATGGCAGAAAAATGTCCTTGTTCTCTTTGAGTTTATGCTGAGGAGTTCAAGGTGAAGGGAAGGATGACACTTGCCAGCTTGTAAATAAATAAAAAGTAAAAGGTAATTAGAAAGAATAACTAATTTTGGACCATGATAATTTTAGTCCACATGCCTCCCTCAAATATAGTTCTCATTAATCCTCCAATTGTGTTTCATCATCTAAAGGGTCTTTGTTAAATGTTTCTGGTTTCTTTTTGAAGTTTGCCACAGGCTCTGCCCAGTCCTTCCTCTGCCATTAGCTCTCTCATGGTCTACCATTTCTACAGCATTATTAGGGCCAAGCGGCAGAGCTACTTGTCTAGCAATGTGTATGAGCTGGTGAATCATCTCTGGTTATACATAGGTCCCCTCATAGCTACAGATGGTTGGCCATTGGATGAATAGTTTGAAGCAGGATAAACCAACATGTTATTTACAGTCTCTATGGGACATGCCTAGGTCCAAAACACAATTTCACAGATCCCAATTGTCCTCAGATGTCTATACTTGCAATTCTATTGTGGTACCAATATTTATCTTTTAGGGCCTTTCCTTGCAAATGACAGAATCTAATTCTGACTGACTTAAGCAAAATAAAATAAGATAACAATAATAAATCATTAAAAGGAGAATTCATGTATGGAGTCTGGGGTAGCTCACAGCTTCAGTGGGATAGTCAGTGTATCAAGGTGGTAAAGAAAACAGGCATTTGTGCAAGTCCCATTGGTTCCAAATTCTAACACCACGATTTATCTCCCTGAGCCAGTTTCCTCTTCTCTGAAATAGGAATAACTTAAGCATTTATCTAACGTATGTGTTGTGGTATTTAAATGGAATAAAGAATATAAATTGCTTAACACAGTGCCTGATAGGATGCAAATATCTAAGAATGAACTCTTATTATGATTCATGTTTATAAATCTGGCCTTGAAAGGGCAGAATCTAGGATAACTCTAGTGATCTTATCAGCAAGGGCATTTGCGTAGGCTGTCAGAGTGCTGCATGCAAAAAGGCTGACCTTTGACTCTCTCCTTTAGACTAAAATTCCTAAGACAGTAATCCCAGCTACTTGGGAGGCTGAGGCAGGGGAATCGTTTGAAGCTGGGAGGCGGAGGTTGCAGTGAATAGAGACCGTGCCACTGCACTCCAGCCTGGGCGACCAAAAGAGGCCGTCTTAAAAGAAAAAAAAATCCTAAGAGAGTAAATGATCTGACATTGACCATGTGCCCATTTCTGGACCAGTCACTGTGCCAGGAAGAATGAGTGAATAATGACAGGGGTTGGGGGTGGGGAGGTGAGGGTGGAGAGGATTTGGGGATTCCATGATTAACAGTGTCTCTTGGAAGCATATTGAACCATAGAGTTCAGTTATTAGAGGAATGGTAGAGATAAGCTGAGCAGACAATAACAATGTTTACCATACTGTGTATAATAAATACATATCCTTGTAATAAAAAATTGCTAAGCAAGAGGCTTATCCATCTTCTTCTGACTAGGACTGAACTGGTATCATCCCAAGAAAATAATTTTCCACCTTTTCTTCAGTATTTTTCAGAAAAGGTAAATTTTCCACCTTTTCTTCAGTATTTTTCAGAAAAGGTAAATTTTCCACCTTTTCTTAAATATTTTTCAGAAAAGGACCTCACAGATCCTGACATCAAGGAATTATCCTAGTGTCCATGCACTGCTTGTTGCAGTTCTATCCAGTTCCCTCATCATTCTGATTTCATAAGTCTATTGAAACACTAGAAATATTTTCTCAATGTTCTTCTCACAGCTGCCTTCACCTCCCTGTTCTTCAGGCTGTAAATGAGGAGATTCAGCATGGGAGTGATCACGCTGTACTGCAAGGAGAAGATCAGCTCTTGAATGGATCCTGAATTTGGCATGAGATAGCGGAGTAATCCGGAGCCATAAAAGAAAATCACTGCAGTGAGGTGGGAGGAGCAGGTGGAGAAGGCTTTGCTTCTGCCTGTAGTGGAGCTGATCCTCAGGATGGTGGACAAAATGCAAATATAAGACAAGAATATCATGAGAAAATTTCCAAAGAAATGCAGGAAGCTGGAGCAGAGCAGGGTGGTAAAACTTGCTGACACATCAGAGCAAGACAAAGGATAGAGAGAGGGCAGCTCACAGCTGAAGTGGTGGATATTTTGAGCCTCACAGAAGTCTAAATTGAGAGCTACAAGGATATTGATGAGGGCATCCAGAAAAGCCAAGCCCCATGAGCCCCCCACCAGCCCTGAACACAGCTGTCTGTTCATCACTTGGCCATAGAGCAAAGGAGAGCTGATGGCAACATAGCGGTCATAGGCCATCACAGCAAGCAGGGAGGATTCAGTGCCCCCAGTGGCAAACACAAAGAAGACCTAAGCCATGCAGCCCTCTACTGAGATGGTTTTCTTCTCAGACAGGAGGTTCTCCAACAGCTTAGGTGCAGTGACAGAGGAATGGCAGAGATCCAAGAAGGACAATTGTCCCAGGAAGAAGTACATGGGTGTGTGGAGGCAAGAATCAGCATTAATCACCACCAGCAGCAGCAGGTTTCCCATCACAGTCAGGAGGCAAATCACCACGAACAGCACAAAGAGCAGAGTCTGGGTCTGGGGGCCAGCTGACAGCCCGAGGAGGACAAACTCAGGGACAACACTGCGGTTTCTCATTGCCTTCAGTATTTTATTTGGAATAAGATAAATAAATTGAGTGAAGCCTCTTCTTATGCCTAACAAATATTTAAGTGTTTTAACCCTCTTCTCTATTCACAAATTTTCTTGCTTACCTAAACATTCATATGCAGAAATGATAAACTACTCTGTCCCTATATTTCCTAAACCTGTGATCATCTTTTCTGCAAGACCCCAACCTTAGATTCTCTCTCTCTCTACTTTTATGTTCTTTCTTTAATGTTTCAGTGTTTGTTGTTGCTGTTGTTTTATTATTAAGGCTACTAGAGAGTGTTTGTAAACTATTGCTAATGATCTAATAGGGAGAGATTGAAGGAAAAATAAGATTAAAATGGCAGAAATGGTGTCTCTGAGGGTGTTAGAGCTGAAGTAGAGCATGGCTTTAGGTGGGAGCATGTTTGCTTCATCCTTCTGACAGCATGAGGCGAGCAGATTTGGTGTTGGGGAGGAAGCAATTTCCATCCACTGACTTTTACTTTTTCAATAAATACTTAAGTGAGGTCAGTCATGGAAAGTGAAAAGGGATTGTGATTGGAGAGTTGCAGAGTACAGAGAAAGGGAAATAATCAGAGAGAAGGCAGCACAGAGAGACCTCCAATGCTATGTAAGTGATCATGAGAAACTGTTGGTCAATATAGGAACATACTCCAGTCATAATCTCCATGCCCCGTTTAATCTATATGTGATCTATTCAGATTCAGGTTCAGCTCTTGTCTGTACCCTCGTGCATTTGTAAACATAGATTACCTACTAACCCTAAAGTGTGGTCTTCTTTTTTGCCTACTCTGCAGTGACAGCCCAGATTAAAATCACAGACTCAGGAGAACCCTTCAGCTCTACTGACTACACCATTTTGGCCCTTCCTATTCTGCTCTATCTTTTGTGTTCATACTGCAAAACAGGCACATTCATTCTCAAAGGACTTATGGTTTCTCTCCCACTGTTTATCCAAACACCGCCCAGCATTAATGCTATTCTTTGGAATCGAGTCCATACTACCTGCATTTCTTACCCAGTTTAACAATAAACAGCACAGAATTAAAGAAAAACTTTTTCAAATCCAGAGGTCCAGACTAATAAGTTTGAATATCAATGTGAGAATTATGAAGTTGGGAGTTTGAAAATTCCTGTTGGATATAGATCTCTTCCTTGATTCCTAAAAGAGGAAAATAAAAGGTTAAATAGTGTGTATTATTTCTGAAAACCTAAATACTTCTGTCATGTGGGGAATGCATTTTCCATATTATTTTAATTGTTTTTCTTTTACTCACCAGTGTAGCTCTAGCTAGAGCAACCTGGATTCTTTTTGAGAACATCACATCATTGGCAGAAGATGCTGGAAAGTCAGGGAATCAAATCAAGAAATGCAGACACAGAACCGCATCACTCATTATAATTTGGAGGGCAGCAAAAAGAAAGGTCTCCTCTTTTCCACTTGTCTCCAGATGGAGCCCCATTCACCAGCACTAGAAACTTAAATCGTGGGGGGAATTTCTCCTTTAGAAATGAAGGTCAAAGAGTGAAAATCTTACAAAGGACATTTTCACAAAGGACAAAGTTGGAAATTCTAGCCTGTCAGGGCCTAGACTTCCTCACAGAAAGAAAAATACTGCGTTAGCATTATTCAAGGGGTCACAGGAATAAATAAAGTCATGTCTTATTTTTTTTAACCCGCTGCTGCAATTTCACTATTCTCACTGCTTCATCTATTCAAACTCTGAATCCAAATTTAGAATGGAAACAGCTCTGAGAATGCTACCACTATGGTTATTGATACAATCAGTTGGAGTCAGCTGACTAGATCTTTCCCAAAAAGGCCTGCCTGAGAGGAACTTTTTTAAGAATGAGACATACAAAAGTATCTAGTACTGTGGCAGTCACAAAGGTTGCTCCAAATATATTATTTAAAAATACAAATGAATGGCCGGGCGCAGTGGCTCACGCCTGTAATCCCAGCACTTTGGGAGGCCGAGGTGGGCGGATCACGAGGTCAGGAGATGGAGACCATCCTGGCTAACACAGTGAAACCCTGGCTCTACTAAAAATACAAAAATTAGCCAGGCGTGGTGGCTTGGGCCTGTAGTCCCAGCTACTCGGGAGGCTGAGGCAGGAGAATGGCGGGTGAACCCGGGAGGCAGAGCTTGCAGTGAGCCAAGATCGTGCCACTGCACTCCAGCCTGGGCGACAGAGCGAGACTCCGTCTCTTAAAAAAAAAAATTAATACATTGATGAACGGATGAGTATGTGAATGAATATGGCTCAGGAAGAGAATAGTCTAGGGCTTTGCTGCTCACCGAGAACAGACCTAATTGGGAGCCAGTCGAGGATTTTAGACTCCCTGGGCTTGCATTAAGCCAGATATAGTAAAGGTAATAGAGAAGAATTTCACCAACTGGACAGGTTTGCCCCAAAGCAGTGTGTTTTGCTCTGTTCTGCACTTTCGCATACCTCAGAGTATATAATTATAGGGGATATCCATAATTAAAGATATGGTTAGTTTCTGAATCTCATGTTTGGAGTTCTGGGAGAGGGTTCTTTTTGAGTCACAAAGTGCCCAGAGTCTATCGCTGAAGTCCTCATCTCCTCCCACCCCTTATAGAGAGCTCTCAAGTATTAGCCTCCCCAAACTTCCAGGTTTCTGGCATAATGCGGGCTTTCAGCACCAGAAACAAGGAATATAGCAAGATATAGGAAAGAGATCTTGTCTCAGTTGTGCCATTTGTACAACGGAATCAAGCAATAACTACCCTGCAAAGTGGTGAGGTCTTAATTGCTAACTTGAGTATAGTGCTGAAGACAATTGAGGGGCTGAAGAATCATCAAATTCTCTTTTCTTCACTCCCAATCCAAGTGTTTCATTTTCCCAAAAGGAGGAAGCGAAGTGATGTTGAGGAGCAGACCAAAACATCTTAGGTAACACAAATGGACACCATATTGAGAGAGTGGGGAGGGTACCCTTAAATACCTCTTAAATACCATGAGAACAAAGATCAGATGAGAGGACTGACAGGGAAAGGAAGTGCCTGATGGAAGAATGGCAGGAAGTAGTAGAAACAGAGGGGAACAAAGTAGCAGGGAAAATCCTGAAAGGACAGACGGAAAACATAACCATACTTCTGTCTTTTCCTGGTGCACAATGTATCCTGTTTTTCTGAGTTGGTGGGTGTGCCTCTGAACTTGGGAGAAATTCACAGGCGAGAAAATGTACCACAACTGTCTGATCTTGTGAGCTGACATTGTTTTTTAAGACCTTTTTTGCATAAAGAGAAATACATAAGCTCATTCCTCAAAAGCTCCAGGAAGTAAAGACTTTAAAAAGCTTTTCTGAAGTTTGACAGCATTTTTGCTCTTATGCTGTAACAACTCCAAAACTACAAAGAAAGGGAAACTAGAAACCTTCAAATTCTTAACAGCAACTTCTTTCATACTTCCCCTGGCATAATTACACAATCATTTCTCTATGCCTGTTAATATAGTACTAAGAGCATCATGCTAACAAAGGAGGCGCAGGTCTAGCCATTCAGAAGGGCTGCTGGGTTAAGTTGGCCAAAGGGATGGCAAAGTATGATCTGAAAACCCTGGGGGCAGCTGGGCCCATCCTGATTAGAAAGCTCAGCATGAAGCAAACACTAAGCTCATTAGCTAAAAATGGTTACTAGCTGATTCCACCGGGAATTCCCATTGAAGCTAAGTGACTCACGGCTTATTTTTAGATCATCTTGCCAATATTGCCATGTATTTAATTACTAGATATATTAAAAATAGTGATTATTATACATATGCTGTTATTATTATTAGGCAATCAATAATAATTCAAATCTACCCACATATTTAACTTTTGGTTTTTTGCTCAACTTTTCTGCGTCTAGAACTGAAAATCTTAATAGCTGAAACTGAGATTTCAGTGGATACATTTGACACAAAATAGACAAAGCAGAAGAAATTTTAGTGACTCAAAAGATAGGTAAGAAGAAAATAAGAACTTCCATCTATGAGCATTTTCTTTCTCCTTGAAGTCCTCCTTTTAAATTTTCTCTTAGTGCAAGTCTTTTAGTGATATATATAATTCACCTTAATTCTTAAAGGATTTACTACTGGCACAGAATTCTAACAGGGAGTTATTTTTTATTCAGTAATTTGAAGATATCACTACACTGTCTTCTGTCTTCTTGCTACAAGTCTAATGTGATGGGATTAGTGCCCTTGTAAGAGATATGAGAGCTCTCTCTCTCTCTCTCTTACTCTGTGTGTGTGTGTGTGTGTGTGTGTGTGTGTGTGTGTGTCCCCACCCCATGATGACACCGTGAGGAGGTGGCCATCTACAAGCCAGGAAGTGGCTATACCTTGATCTTGGACTTCCCATCCTCCAGAACAGTGAGCATATAGATTTATGTTGCTTAAGGCACTAGACTATGGTGTTTTGCTATAGCAGTCCAATTGACTAATACAATAGAGAAGACATCTCTTCTCAATTCAAAATAAATGCCTCTACCTGTGCTTTAGATAGATTATTCTGCTTCCTCAGAAGCCTTGCTCCTCCAGACTTGCCCTTCCTTTGCTTAGGATTCCAATTTTCAAAAGTAGGAAATTATAGAACTGAAGTCTTTTTTATACCATTCTCTAATCTATTCCTCCCTATCCATACATAACCACTATCCTAAAGTTAGAATATGGTTTCTCGTGTAGCTTCTTCTGCTACCCGTGGTAGCAGAATTGTCTTCTAAAGATGTCCATGCCCTAATCTCTGAAGTCTATGACTGCTACCTTACATGGCAAAAGAGATTTTGCAGATGTCATTAAAGTTATAGACCTTAAAATAGGGAGATTATCTTGGATTATCCAGGTGGATCTAATCTAATCACATGAGTTTTTAAAAGCAGAAAACTTTCTCCCACTGGTGTGAGAGAGATGTGATAGAAATGGAAGTCAAAGAGATTTAAAGCATAAGAGGAAGTGACCTATTGTTTGTTGCTCAATGAGGGACACACAGAATGCATGAGAAGTAATGTGGGCAGCCTCTAGGAGCAAAGACCAGCCCCCAGCTGGCAGCTAGCAAAAAAAACAGAGACCTCAGTCCCGCAACTGAAAAAAATCAGCTATCAGTCTAAGCTTGGAAGTAGATTCATTCCCAGAACCTCCAGAAAGGAATGCAGCCCTGATGACACCTTTGTTTAGGCTTGGTGAGACTCTGACAGAGAAACCATGTAAGCCACTCGGTACCTGGACTCCTGAATTATAGAGCCATGAGCTAATCAATATGTATTGTTTTAGTTTGCTATATTTATTGTAATTTCATTTGTTACACAGCAGTAGAAAATGAATATATTTCCCCATGTATGCTTTTATATTTTTATTACACATGTCTGTTTTTAAAAACTTTACATAAATGTCTCTTGTTATATGTGACATTCTGAAATTACCTTGTTTTCATTCAACTTGCTTTAGAAATTTATCCAGGTTGATATATGTAAAAATAATTCATTCATTTAATTGTTATAAAGTGTCGCATTATATGATTATACTACATTTCTGCATTTTTCAGAAGATTAAAGAACAAGTAAGAATTTGAACATGTTTTGGTTTATCTGCATATTTTATAGGATTTTCTATGTAGACAAGCACATCATCTTCAAATAATAACAAGCCCTTTTTCTCTCTCTTTCCCGTTGTTACATTTTAAATTATTTTATTTCCTTGTCATATTGCATTAATTGGGACTTTCAATACAATGTTTAGTTGTAGAGGTGAGTGGCCATGCTTGCCTTATTTTAATTGAATACAATACTTCTGTTGATGAAGAGTCTAACTCTGTAAAATATTTGAAGAGATTTATTCTGAACCAAATATAAGTGACCATGGCCCATGACACAGCCCTCAGGGGATCCTGAGAACATGTGCCCAAGGTGGTCAGGTGCAGCTTGGTTTTATACATTTTAGGGGGGCATGAGACATCAATCAAATACAAATTTAGAAATAAATTGGTTTGGTCCAGAAAGGTAGAACAACTTGAAGAGGGGGCAGCTATGGGCTGTAGCTTCCAGGCTATAGGCAAATTTAAACATTTTCTGGTTGACAATTGGTTGAGTTTGTCTAAAGACCTGGGATCAATAGAAAGGAAACATTCAGGTTGAGATAGAAGATTATGGAAATCAAGGTCCTTTTGAAGTCTCATAGTGGCTGCCCTTAGAGACAATAGATGACAACTGTTTCCTATTCAGACCTTTAAAATATGCTAGACTCTCAGTTCATCTCTTCAGGAGTGGGAAGGCCTGAAAGAAAAAGATCTAGCTATTATCTATCAAAAGATGTTAATAGAGATTCTTTACAGATGCAAATTTTCCCCCACAAAGGATGGCTTCATGGGGCCATTTCAAAATAATGCAAAGAAACATGTTTTGAGGTAAAATACTTTCGTTTTCTTTTTTGTCACATAATATTACTCCAGAGTCAAGTTGGAAAGTAAGTCACTATATTGGGTTAAATAAAACCCATCTCATGAGAATTTATGGTTTGTAGGCCATGACTCCCCAGACTGCTTAGATAGGAATTTGGGCAAGATAAGAACAAATCAGAATTTAGTCCTCATTTCTAAAATGTATATTTAAGTAAAAGTTTTCACTAGGCTTTGTACTCTACCATGTTAAGAAAGTTCCTTACTATTTCCAGTTTGCTAAGACCTTTATAATAAATAAGAGTTGAATTTAACTGAATGCTTTTCTGATCTGTTGAGATAACCTGATATTTTTTCACATAAAATTTTAATTAATGGATATTAATAAAACATCTTCTGAAGATTCAATTATAAAATTGTTCCATGATATGATTTGGCTGTGTCCCCACCCAAATCTCAACTATGTCCCCACCCAAATCTCAACTTGAATTGTATCTCCTGGAATTCCCACGTGTTGTGGGAGGGACCCAGGGGGAGGTAATTGAGTCATGGGGGCCAGTCTCATGAGATGTGATGGGTTTATCAAGGGCTTCTGCCTTTGCTTCTTCCTCATTTTTCTCTTGCCGCTGTCATGTAAGAAGCACCCTCTGCCATGATCCTGAGGCCTCCCCATCTATGTGGAACTGTAAGTCCAATTAAACCTCTTTTTCTTCCCCGTTTTGGGTATGTCTTTATCAGCAGCATGAAAACTAACTAATACATTGCATTAATGCTGTAAATCTAACCATTTTAAAACTAGAGGAATGGAGAAGAAACAATCCTTTCTAACAGTCAAAATATATATGTATATGAACAACCTGCCCCTGAATGAATTTTGACTAAATAATGAAATTAAGGCAGAAATCAAGAAGTCTTTTGAAATTAGTGAGCACAAAAGATACAACATACCAGAATCTCTGGGATGCAGCTAAAGCAGTGTTAAGAGGGAAATGTATAACACTGAAAGCCCACATCAAAAAGCTAAAAAGATCTCAAGTTAATAAACTAACATCACAACTAAAAGAACTAGAGAGCCAAGAGCAAACCAACCCCAAAGCTAGCAGAACACAAGAAATAGCCAAGATCAAGGCTGAACTGAAGGAGACAGAGACATGAGAAAACCCTTCAAAAGATCAATGAATCCAGGAGCTAGTTTTTTGGAAAAAATAATAAAATAGACTGCTAGCTAGACAAAGAAGAAAAGAAAGAAGATTCAAATAAACACAATCAGAAATGATAAGGGGATATTACCACTGACCCTAGAGAAATACAAACAACTATCAGAGAATATTATCAACACCTCTATGCACATAAACTAGAACATCTAGAAGAAATGGACAAGTTCCTGGACACATACACCCTCCCAGCACTGAACCAGGAAGAAATTGAATCCTGGAACAGACCAATAACAAGTTCTGAAATTGAGGCAGTAATAAATAGCCTACCAACCATAAAAAGGCCAAGACCAGACGAATTCACAGCTAAATTCTACCAGAGGTACAAAGAAGGGCTGGCACCATTCCCACTAAAACTATTACAAAAAATGGAAAGGGAGGGACTCCTTCCTAGCTCATTCTATGAGGCCAGCATCATCCTGATACCAAAGCCTGGCAAAGATATTTAAAAAAAAGAGAGAGAAAACTTCAGGCCAATATCCTTGATGAACATCAAAGAAAAAATCCTCAATAAAATACTACCAAACCAAATCCAGCAGCACATCAAAAAGTTTATCTGCCATAATCACGTTGGCTTCATCCCTGACATGCAAGTTTGGTTCAACATACACAAATCAGTAAATGTGATTCATCACATAAAGAGAATTAAGACAAAAACCACATGATTATCTCAATAGATCCATAAAAAGGCTTTGATAAAATTCAACATCCCTTCATATTAAAAAAAAAAACTTCTCAATAAACTAGGTTTTGAAGGAACATACCTCAAAATAATAAGGGCCACATATGACAAACCCACAGCCAATATCATACTGAATGGGCAAAAGCTGGAAGCATTCTCCCCTTGAAAACCAGCACAAGACAAAATTGCCCTCCCTCACCACTCCTATTCAATATAGTATTAGAAGTTCTGGCCAGGGCAATCAGGCGAGAGAAAGAAATAAGGGATATTCAAATAGGAAAGAGGAAGTCAAACTATCTTTGTTTGCAGATGGCATAATCCTATTTCTAGAAAACCCAATCATCTCAGCCCAAAAGCTTCTTAAGCTGATAAGCAACTTCAGCAAAGTCTCAGGATACAAAGTTAATGTGCAAAAATCACTAGCATTCCTATACACCAACAACAGGCAAGCCAACAGCCAAATCACAATGAACTCCCATTCACAATTGCCATAATGAATAAAATACCTAGGAATACAGCTAAGAAGGGAAGCAAAGGACTTCTTCAAAGAGAACTGCAAACCACTGCTCAAAGAAATCAGAAATGGCACAAATAGAAAAACATTCCATGTTTATGAATAGGAAGAATCAATATTGTGAAAATGGCCATACTGTCCAAAATAATTTATAGATTCAATGCTATTCCCATTAAACTACCATTGATATTCTTCACAGAATTAGAAAAACCTATTTTAAAATTCATGTGGAACCAAAAAAGAACTCAAGTGGCCAAGACAATCCTAAGCAAAAAGAACAAAGCTGGAAGTATCACTCTACCCAAATTCAAACTATACTGCAGGGATACAGTAACCAAAACAGCCTAGTACTGGTACAAGAACAGACACATAAATCAATGGAACAGAATAGAGAACCCAGAAATAAGACCACACACCTACAAGCATCTGATCTTCAACAAATCTTACAAAAACAAGCAATGGGGAAAGGATTTCTTATTTAATAAATGGTGCTGGGAGAACTGCCTAGCCATACGCAGATAGTTGAAACTGGACCCCTTCCTCACCCCATATGCAAAAATCAACTCAAGATAGATTACAGATTTAAATGTGAAACCCAAAACTGTAAAAACTCTACAAGAAAACTTAGGCAATACCATTCAGGACATAGGCACAGGCAAAGATTTCATGACAAAGATGCTAAAAGCAATTGCAACAAAAGCAAAAATTGACAAATGGGATCTAATTAAACTAAAGAGCTTCTGCACAGAAAAAAACACAACAACGACAACAAAAACTATCAACAGAGTAAATAGACAGCCTACAGAATGGAAGAAAATTTTTGCAATCTATGCATCTGACAAAGGTCTAGTATCCAGCATTTATAAGGAACTTAAACAAATTTACAAGAAAAAACAAACAACTCCATTAAAAAGTGGGCAAAAGACATGAACAAATACATCTCAAAAGAAGACATACATGTGATGAACAAACATATGAAAAAAACTTCAACATCACTGATCATTAGAGAAATGCAAATCAAAACCACAATGAAATACCATCTCACACCAGAATGTCTATTATTAAAAATAACAGAACTAGCAAGATTGTGGCAAAAAAGAAACATTTTTACACCGTTGGTGGGAGTGTAAATTAGTTCAACCATTGTAGAAGACAGTGTGATGATTCCTCAAAGACCTAGAGACAGAAATATCATTCAACCCAGCAATCCCATTACTGAGTATATACCCAAAGGGATATAAATCATTCTGTTATAAAGACACATGCACATGTCTGTTCACTGAAGCACTATTCACAATAGCAAAGACATGGAATCAAGCTAAATGCCCATCAATGATAGACTGGATAAGGAAAATGTGGTACATACATGATGGAATACTATGCAGCCATAAAAAGGAACGAGATCATGTTCTTTGCAGGAACATGGATGGAGCTGGAGACCATTATCCTTAGCAAACTAATGCAGGAACAGACAACCAAACACCACATGTTCTCACTTATAAGTGGGAGCTGAATGATGAGAACACGTGGATACACAGTGGGCAACAGCACACACTGGGGCCTGTTGGAGGGTGGGGGATGGGAAGAGGGAGAGGATCAGGAAGAATGGCTAGTGGATGCTGAGCTTAATACCTGGGTGATGAGATGATCTGTGCAGCAAACCACCATGGCAAGTGTTTACCTATGCAACAAACCTGCACATCCTGCACATGTATCCCTGAACTTAAAGTAAAAGTTGGAAATAAATAAATGTGTATATATATACACATACATATATATACACATATATATACATATATATACACATATACACATATATATGTGTATATTCATGTTCTGATATTCAAAGAAACTAATTTGCCCAGTGCCTCACAGCTAGAAATTTAAAGATAATGAAGAGCCAGGATTTATCCTCAAGTTTATTTAAACCTAAGGTATCTTTTAAAGAATAAAACAAAATATTTTGCACATTGCCTGTATCAAACACACACACACAATATATATGAAACATATAAGCATAATATCATATATCTATATTCATCTATCTACCTACCTATCCATATCCATATACATGTAATCGTTCACAGCTCATTTATTCTGACCTTGAGAAAACAAAGAAGGTGATATTTTACTTCTCAACCAAACTGAAAAAAGAAGTGCCTTCTTTTGATTTAGATTCATTGTACTTGAAGCCTTCTGTAACTTTGGAGCATCAGGATACCATGAGGTCAGGGAACTCCTGTTATTGTTGAAAAATAAATCAGGGGCTCTAAATTATAGGAAGGAAAATCAAGACAGTTCTCTCTCTCTCTCTCTTTTTTTGTTTGTTTTTTTTTTTTTTTTTTTTGAGACGGAGTCTCACTCTGTTGCCAGGCTGGCGAGAAGTCGTGCGATCTCAGCTCACTGCAACCTCTGCCTCCTGGGTTCAAGTGATTCTCCTGCCTCAGCCTCCTAAGTAGCTGGGACTACAGGCATACACCACCACATCCAGTTAATTTTTTTTGTATTTTTACTAGAGACAGGGTTTCACCATGTTGGCCAGGATAGTCTCCATCTCCTGACGTCGTGATCTGCCCACCTCGGCCTCCCAAAGTGCTGGGATTACAGACTTGAGCCACCGCACCCGGCCAAGACTGTTCTTTAATTCGATTAATCAGATTGGACAGGCTGCATAGTCATTTTTACCTGACATAGAAAAAAGATGAAGACTATCACAAACTGCAGGCAGATTAGAAAGGCCTAGGAGATGTGGGGTTTGCCTGAGCAGGTCTGATTGCTAAGAATAAAGCCTGTGGCCTGCTTTCTGTCCTCCTGCCCCTTCTTCTCTATCTCTTTCCTTCTTTATTTAATGCAGCCTCAGAGGAAAGTTATGCAGCATAAAATAAGTGTTAAAAGAAAAATGCAAAATTATACTTTGACTCTCTTTTTAAGATTGAAATTATTTCTTTGTAACATAAATTCCAAGTATCATATTTTACAAATACTGTTGGGTAACTATAGTAACTTAGTAAATGAAATATGCAAAGCTTAAGGTTGTAAGTCTAGGGAAGGCATTAGAATAAATATGCCAGCATCTTCAGACCTTACAGCTAGGACACTACTGCTTCCTTGTGGCTCAACTTTAGAATGACAAGTTTTGACTACTGCAAGTTTCTTCAAATCATAGGGGCTTCCTTTTGGGTTTGTTTTTCCTTCCAACTTTTAGGTTCAGAGGGTACCTGTGCAGGTTTGTTATGTGGGTAAATTGCGTGTCACTGGAGTTTGGTGTACAAATGATTTCATCATCCAGGTAGTGAGCATAGTACCAGACAGGCAGTTTTTCAATCCCATCCTCCAACCTCAAGTAGGCCCCAGTGTCTATTGTTCTCCTCTTTGTGTCCCTGTGTACTCAATGTTTACCTCCCACTTATAAATAAGAACATGCACGATTTGGTTTTCTGTTCCTGTATTAGTTCATTTAGGATAATGGCCACCAGCTGCATCCATGTTGCTCCAAAAGCCATGATTTTATTCTTTTTGATGGCAGCATAGTATTCTATGGTGTATATATACCACATTTTCTTTTTCCAGTCCACTGTTAATGGGCATCTAGGTTGATTCCATGTCTTTGCTATTGTGAAAAGCGCTGTGATGAACATATGCATACATATGTCTTTATGGTCAAATCAGAGTTTTGACTGCCAATTTTAAGCAGCTCACCAAACCCATGGCTTGGGATGCAGACAGAGTTGTTACAGATCTCAGAGAAACGTCAGCAGAACAGCAGTCTTTGTCAGAGACACAACCATATTCAGCCAAGTTTTTCTTTCAGATCTTCCAGGTTTTGGAGCAGAGAGGCTGAAGAAAAGATTTAAATAACAAGAAAACCTGGAGTTGAGCAGCACCTAAAGATCAGTGAGCAGCTCCAACATGATTGTACAGAAGAGCTAACAGGCACTGGAAGTCTAGAGAACAGGCAGAGATACCCCCTGCACTGTGTAAAATTATGAAAAATGTATCCATGAGGTAAGATTTGATACATACACATAAATGATCAAAATCTGTCCTTCATTGTCTGTTTGACAGTGAATAAGTTTCTTCGCCTTCTATTACTCAGTTGCCTTATTTATAGAACACTAACAATCATAGTAACTACTCAGTGAATTTTCACAATGGTTAAATAGTGATAATAATTAAAAAATAACGTGATTGAATCCTTACCATGTGCCATACGCTATTTTAAGTGTTTTACACTGATTATCTCATTTCTTCTCACAAAAAGTATAAGAGCATATAAAGCTCTTAGCTAATATTATGTCAGTAGTTTGTACTCAATAAATTATCATTTAAAAGTCTGTAAAGCTTTCTCTATATCTCAACGAAGTAGGGAAAACACATTTTTTAAGCAGCTCAGCCAACAACAATTGTTTTCCAGGCACTGTATTGGGCCCTGGGTATATAAAGACGAGTAGGAGAGAGTCTCTGCCTTTAAGACACTCACACTGTAATGAGGAATAAAGTTATACTGACAGCTGTAATGCAGTATAGTAAGTTATACTCTACCAGTGTGACAAGATTGCTATGGGAGTTCAGAGGAGGAAAAATTCAAGCTGTATCAAGTGGTCAGGGAAATAGTTACAGGAAAGATACCATTTGACCCTGCCTTATCTAGAGAAGCAAGTCTTAGAACGAGGAGTGGCAGAAGTCTTCCCGGCAGAGGAACCAGTTTAGTAAAGGAAGAGAGATGTGAACAGGTAGCATTTGAGATTAAGATCATGGACTCTGGAGCCAAAGAGGGTTAAATTTGAATCCCAACTCTGCTCCTCGCCTGCCGTGACCTTGGGAAAGCTATTTCTCTTTGTTTCTTTGCCTGGAAAATGGCTTTGACAATTGTTCTCCATGTTAGGTTGGTTGTGAGGATGAAATGAGATGTTCACATAACATTTAGCATATTGTCTAGCCCATTAGTGCTGTGTTATTATTAATATATTTCCCTCTGTCTAGGTTCTCATCAGTTGAAAAAACTGAACTATCTGTTAATTATCAGCTTTTTTCTTCTTTGGCAAGCAGAATAAACCACATTAAATGCACACATCAATTGTAAGAAGCAGCTGAATCTCAGAAACACCAAAGTACGAAAAGTGTGCATCTTCAAATCAAGGAAAGCATATTATCACCATTATGAGGACCAGTCTGCCAAGAATCTTTCATAGGATGCTGAATATTTAGATGTGATCCTACTGTTAAAATCTTTCCTTTCTTGGTGGTTTCTAGATACTTTGTAGCTCCTAAATCATGCATTAAGTTTAGTGTGTAGTTACTTGTGTCTGTCTCCCCTATTAATATGTGGTCTCTGTGTAATATGTCCCCAGCACATCGTGGGTAATCCATAGACTATGAAATTAAATGGAATCAGACCAAGCTGGGGGTGGTATAGAGTGAGAGGTGACCGTAGGGCCCCAGGCCCGAACTCAGAAGAATGGGCCGTAAGCTTGGTGCCAAATGAATGCAACAAGCAGTTTTTTGTTGTTGTTGTTGGTGGTGGTGGTGGTGGTGGTGGTGGTTTTTTATTTTTGTTTAGTTTTTTTGTTTGTTTGTTTTTTGAGATGGAGTTTCACTCTGTGGCCCAGGCTGGAGTGTGATGTCTTGATCTCAGCTCACTGCAACCTCTGCCTTATGGGTTCAAGTGATGCTCCTGCCTCAACCTCCTGAGTAGCTGGGATTACAGGTGTCTGCCACCACACCCGGCTAATTTTTGTATTTTTAGTAGAGACGGGTTTTCACCATGTTGGTCAGGCTGGTCTCGAACTCCTGACCTTGTGATCTGCCTGCCTCGGCCTCCCAAAGTTGGATTTGCTCTAGTCCCGGGCTTCTCTGCCAGGGAAAATTGTTCTGATGGTGTTTGGCCCCTCCAAGCCTGTCTCTAATGGGATGGGGAAGTCAGCTTCGGCTTCGGTGCCCAGAAGCTGTGAGCCTCTCCAGTCTGCTGCCTCCTTGGCTTTGGGTCCTCTTTCTGTGTGGCATTCTCTACCTCCACAATGACACTGAAATTGTGTCCTGCGGGAGAAGCAGCTATGAGGCCATTGAGCATCATTACCCAGAGGACGGGATGACTGGGGAGTGATGTTCTGCCTGGCGTTCCAGGGTCTCCTTATTGCAAGTTGGCACTTGTCCCTTCAGGCCCCAGCAGCTTCTCCCTCCTCTGACAGATCACAGAAAGCTTAGTTGACAGGAGTTTGAGGAAGCAGCTCCCCAGTGTCTGAGCCCAGGAACAATTGCTGAAGGCAAGGGTGGCCTGTGCTTTACTTCCCTCACCTACAGACTTTTGAAGAAACTGGCCAGAGGCCCACCTTGTTTTCGGCTTCCTCTCAGCAGAAATATCAGAAATGCAGAAAAGGAGGCAGACACCCTTGAGGCTTTCCTAGTGAACTCCAGCCTGACCTGCTGGAGTCAATTAAATGCACAAACTGCCCTTGGCCTCATTCACTGCAACTGCTCAGCAGCTAGTGAGGAGAATATTCTGGATTTAGAGAATATTTGTTGATTGGTACAGGAGAGGGATCTAAACAGTCAAAACTCTGAGCTATATGCATTGAAAACACATAACTCAGTATTTGAGTTAAACATACATGGAATTTTATTATCGGGGTGTTTGGACAGAATAGGCTTCTCTTTCCCATAATTGTTCATATCACCTTTCTACTGCTGTATTTTAACAACCACCTCTCTGTTGACCTCCATACCTGATTCATATGCTTATTTACTGCATGGCTCACCCAAACGTTACTGTTAACTACAAAGTAGCTTCTCAAGGACAGGGACCAGTCTCCTCCAGTTATTTTATTCCCAATTTGTATCTTAGTGCTCAAGACATGGGTGTTTAATAAATGTTTACAAAATATTAGTGTTACCATCAACATCATGATCTCTAGTCATTATTGTTTTATGCCTGACACCTGCTCCACAGAGGATACCTTGATTGTTCTTTTTTTTTTTTTAAACCAAACCTCATACCTCATCCTGATGGTACCTCACTTCCTATTTTGGAAAGACTGAAACGATTAAGCATGCATGAGCAGTCATGGACCTCTAGTCTTCATTGAAACATTACTATCTTACTTAGATTTTCAGAGATTTTAAGCATTTTAATAGAACTTATCAAATATTTTCTCTCATCTTTGCTGCCCAACTTTTCAAGCAGATGTCCAAGCATGCTGACATCCTTTCCTACCCATCAGCTCCTTTTTTGAACCTCCTGTAAGCTGGCTTCCATCTATCCTCCTCTTCAGGAATCATACACTTTTTCTGCACCAAAATCTTCTTGATAAATTGTAACTACCCCTTTCTCCTTTTATTTCTTTACTTGCTTAAATATTATGAAATTGCACTTTCCTAGCTCTCCCTCATTCTTATAATCATTTTTCTCTGCTTGATAGGTCCTGCTATCGCAGTGGTAGAAGACTCAAGCCAGGACTTTTAGAGCTTGTAGGTGCTGAGGTAATCAGGAATGCTTTCACCAATATTCCAGTCCTCTGTCTGAGCACACGGTGAGACGGAACTTCTCAGCTGCCTCAAAGGTAAGTGTAGCTAAATATCTAGTTTGGGCCAACGGAAAGTGAGTGGCGGTGATGTGTCAGTTCAAGGCAGAAGTTTTTAAAACAGTGTGATTCATCATGTTTCTTTTTCCATATCTCAACAATGCTGAAGGATGAAGGAGGAGGCTCCCTCAGCCTGGTTATCTGGGTGGAGATGATACAGAGCAAAGCCCTTCCTCCAAGCCCATCTAGAGAGGACATGTCATGTGAGTAAAAAAATAGAACTTTCCGATTTTCGGTCACTGAAATTTAAAGGTTGTGTCAGGGATTCCCAAGACCATTCTTAGGCTCAGTTATTCTCTAGAAAGACTCACATGACTCAGAAACCATCGTAATTACAGTTGCAGTTTATTACAAGGAAAGGGTACAAATCAAAACGAACAAAGGGAAAGGGCACATCTTGCCAAATCCAGGAGAAACCAGGTGCAAGTTTCCAGGTGTCCTTGTCCAGCAGAATCGCACAGGAATACTCTTAATTCTCCAGGCAGTGATGTGTGGCAACATGTGAAATACTGCCAAACAGGGAGGCTCACCTAAGCCTTGAGGTCTAGACTTTTAACTGGAGGTCAGTCCCATAGGCATGTACATATGAATGACCTCAGTTACTCAGACTCAAGTCCCCTCCAGATTAAAAAGAGGCATTCACCATAAAGATAATCTTGTCTGGTCAAACTGGTACAGGATGGCCTAAAGCCTCAGATGTACAAAAACACTCTTATCAGGCAGAATGTTCCAAGGGTTTAGGAGTTATCTTCCAGGAGCAATCCAAGAACCAATGCTGAAGACAAGCCTTTCTTTGGAATATGCAGAGTATGAAAAACCTAGGCTTACAGAGTTTATTCTTTCCTGCCCAGGGAGTTGATTTTGGGGGTCATACAGCCTCTTCTGATTGTTATAGAAACCCAAGTCATTTCCAGTTTTGAAACACTCATTATACTAAAAAATGAAGAAATGTCCAAACAAAACTATAAAGAAAGGTGAAATAATGTAAATATTTACATTTAGTAAAATGAAACTTTGGAAATAAGGCTTTTGGAGACATATAAACACTGAAGGAATTCATTACCTGGAGATCAACACTGTAAGAAATCTTAGGGAGAGTCCTCCAGGGAGAAGGAAAATGACACCAGATGGAAATCTGGATCTACACAAAGAAGTGAAGAGCCCCACACATGATACTTACAAAGGTAATTACAAAAGACTTGGTATTCTTTTTAAAAATCTTTTTATTTTAATGATAATTGACTATTTAAAGAGAAAATAGTAATATATTTTGGGGTTTATGCCATATGACAACAATAATAGCACAAAGGCTGTTGGGATAAATGGAAGCATATTGTTGTAATATTTTTACATTATAAATAAAGTCTACTTGAAGGTAGACTCTAATAAGTTAAAGATATAAGCTATAAACCATAAAGCAGCCTCTAAAGTAACACAGATGTAGTTATACCTAATAACCCAACAAAGGAGATCAAATGGTATCACAAAAATACTCATACAAAGATGCAGGAAAAACAGGAACAAGGGAACAAAGAATAGCTAAGACAAATAGAAAACAAAGAGTGAAATGAGAGTGAAAAACCTAAATGTCAACTAAATATCTCAATTAGAGGACAGAGATAACCAGATTTGATTTTTTAAAAAGAAGGAAACCTAACTGTATGCTGCCTCATAAGAAACCCACTTTAAATATAATACCACAAGGATATCAAAAGAAAAGTGATGGAAAAAGATATTCCGTGCTGACACTAATCAAAATAAAGTTGAAGTGACTTTATTAATATCAGAGGGAGTAGATTCAGGAGCAAAGAAAATTACCAAGGCTAAAGAAGGTCATCTCATAATGATAAAAGGGTCAATTCATAAAAAAAGCATCTGTGCATCTGACAAAATATATGTCACAAAGACAGAGAACTAAGGAGAAATAGACAAAATCATAATTTTAGTTGCAGATTTAAATACCCCTTCAATAATTGATACAAGTAGACCAAAAATCAGTAAGTGAATAGAAGATTTGAAAAACACTATGAATCAACTTGACATAATTGAAATTTATGTAATTCTCCACCCAACAACAGTATAATACACATTCTTTTCAAGTATACATGGAATATTTTCTGAGAGAGACCACATTCTGGGCTATAAACCATGTCTCAATAAAATTTTTAAAATTCAAGTCATAAAAATATTTTATCTGATTATTAAGCAATTAAATTATAAATCAATGGCAAAAAGATATCTGGAAAAATCTTCAAAATTTGGAAACTAACGTATATCTCAATAATTTAAAGATCAAAGAAGAAATCAAAAAGGAAAATTAGAAGGCATTTTGAACTAGATACAAATGGAAACAATATTTTGAAACTTGTGAGATGCAGCTAAGTCCCACAAATTTCCCATCAATTTAGAGGGAAATGTATAGGATTAAATGTCTGCATAAGAAATTAAAGGTCTAAAGTCAGTGCTTCTACTGTAAGAAGCTAGCAAATTAAGATCCAATAAAACCAAAGTAAGCAGAAGAAATAATAAATATAAAAATTATAATGGATATCATTGGAATAGAAAAAGAGAAATTAGTGAAATCAAAAGCTGATCCTTTGAGATGAATAAAACTGATAAATCTCTAATTAGACTGATCAGAAAAAAGAGATGGAGGGAGAGAGATGGATAGAGAAAGGAGACATGACATTTCCAGTGTCAAGATGAGAAAGGTGACTTTACTACAAATTGTATAGATATGAAAAAACTAATAAGGGAATTTTGAGAAAAGATTTATTTTAATAAATTTGAAAATGGATAAGAAATCAACATATTTCTTGAAAGATACAAACTACTAAAGCTCACTCAAGAAGAAATAGATAACTTGAATAGCCCTATTAAATATTTAAATTAAAGAAATAATTTCTAGTTAAAACCTTTCTATAAAGAAAAATTTAGGCCCATATGGCTTTACTAATGACTTCCACATTTAAATAATAAATAATAAAAAATAAACAACAACTTCTGGAATATTAGGAGGAAGGAATACTTCTCAATTAATTTTGTGATGCCAACATTATTATGATGCCAAAAATCGGACTATGACATCATAAGAAAAAACCAGAGAGCAATATCATTCATAAACATAGATGCAAAAATTTTAATAAAATTTTATCAAGCAAATTTCATGATATATAAAGAAGATAACACATTATAACTAAGTGGGGTTTACTCTAAGAATGCAACATTGGTTTAACATTCAAAAATTAATATTATATACCATATTAACAGAATAAAGAAGAAAAAATCTTAATATGTACAGAAAAAGCATTTGACAAAATCTAAAATCTATAATATTCCCAATGAGCAAATTTTGGCAAAGTGGGAATATAGGGAAACTTGTTCAACTTGACAAAGGAGATCTATAAAAAAATCTATATCTATAGAAGTATATCTATAACATAATACTTCATAGTAAAAGACTGAAAGCAGTCTCTTTAGGATTTGGAACAAGGAAAGAAATCTGCTCTCACCACTTCTATTAAACATTGTACTATAGATTCTAACCAGTACAATTAGGACAATAAAAGAGACAAAAGCCTTCCAGACTGGAAAGGAAAAATTAAAACTGTGCTTATTCATAGACAACATGATCATCTATGTAGAATATTCATAAAACAACTTCCACTAGAACTAATATATGAGTTTAGCAAGGTTGCAGAATAGAAAATTCAACATACAAACTAGATGTAGATATTCAAATACTAGGAACAACCGAAACTTAAAATTAAAAGGGAAAAATACAATTTACAATAGCATCAAGAAATATTAAATGCTTAGGTATAAATCTAACGAAAGATGTGCAAGATTGTACATTGAAAACTATGAAATATAGCTTAAAGAAGCTAAGGGGGATATTACTGCTGACCCCATAGAAATATAAATAACCATCAGAGATTATTATGAACACCTTTATGCACATAAACTAGAAAATCTAGAAGAAATGGATGAATTCCTGGACACATACACCCTCCCAAGACTGAACCAGGAAGAAATTGAATCCCTGAACAGACCAATAATGATCTCCAAAATCGAGTCAGTAATAAATAGCCTACCAACTTTAAAAAGCCCAGGACCAGGTAGAATCACAGCTGAATTCTACCAGAGATACAAAGAAGAGCTGGTACCAAGAAAACTATTCCAAAAAATTGAGGAGGAGGGACTCCTCTCCAATCATTCTATAAAGCCAGCATCATCCTGATAGCAAAACCTGGAGGACACAGTATAAAAAAAAAAAGAAAGAAAGAAAACTTCAGGCCAATATCCTTGATGAACATCAGTGCAAAAACTCTCAACAAAATAACTGGTAAACATAATCCAGCAGCATATCAAAAAGCTTAACCACCATGATCAAGTAGGCTTCATCCCTGAGATACAAGGTTGGTTCAACATATACAATTCAACAAATGTGACTCATCACGTAAACAGAACTAAAGACAAAAAGCACGTGATTATCTCAATAGATGCAGAAAAGGCTTTCTTTATAAAATTCAACCCCCTTTCATGTTAAAAACTCTCAACAAACTAGGTATTGAAGGAACATACCTCAAAATAATAAGAGCCATCTATAACAAACCCACAGCTAACATCATACTGAATAGCCAAAAGCTAGAAGCATTCCCCTTGAAAACAGGCACAAGGATACCCTCTCTCACCACTCTATTCAACGTAGTATTGGAAGTCCTGATAAGAGCAATCAGGAAAGAGAAAGAAATAAAGGGCATCCAAATAGGTAGAGAGGAAGTCAAACGATCTTTGTTTGCAGATGACATAATCCTATATTTAGAAAACCCTATAGTCTTGGCCCAAAAGCTCCTTCAGCTGATAATTTCAGCAATGTTTCAGAATACAAAATCAATGTGCAAAAATCAGTAGCATTTCTATACACCAATAACAGCCAACCTGAGAGCCAAATGAGGAACACAATCCCATTCACAATTGCCACAAAAAGAATGAAATACCTAGGAATACAGCTAACCAGGGAGGTGAAAGATCTCTACAATGTGAATTACAAAATACTGCTCAAAGAAATCAGAGATGACACCAACAAATGGAAAAACATTCCATGGTCATGGATAGGAAGAATCAATATTATTATGGCCATACTGCCTAAAGTAATTTACAGATTCATTGCTATTCCTATTAAACTTCCAATGACATTCTTCACAGAATAGAAAAAATGGTTTTAAAATATATGTGGAACCAAAAAAGTGCCCATATAGCCAGGGCAATCCTAAGCAAAAAGAATAAAGCTGGAGGCATCACATTACCCAATTTTGAACTATACTACAGGACTATAGTAACCAAAGCAGCTTGGTACTGGTACAAAAACAGACACATAAACCAATAGAACAGAATAGAGAACTCAAAAATAAGGCCACACACCTACAACTATCTGATCTTCAACAAAGCTGACAAAAACAAGCAATGAGGAAAAAACTGTCTATTCAATAATGGTGCTGGGACAACTGGCTAGTCATATGCAGAAGATTGAAATTGAACCCCTCCCTTACATATACAAAAATTACCTCAAGATTTATTAAAGACTTAAATGTAAAACCCAAAACTATAAAAGCCTTGTATTACAACCTACACAATACCATTCTGGACATAGGAACCGGGCAATGATTTCATGACAAAAATGCCAAAAGCAATTGCAATCAAAGCAAAAATTGACAAATGGGATCTAATTAAACTAAAGAGCTTCTGTACCACAAAAGAAACTATCAACAGAGTAAACAGACAACTGACAGAATGGGAGAAAATATTTGCAAACTATGCATCTGACAAACGTCTAATGCAGTATCTGTAAGGAACTTAAACAAATTTACAAGAAAACAAACAATCCCATTAAAAAGTGGGCAAGGGACATGAACAGACATGTCTCAAAAGAAGACATACATGCAGCCAAGAATTATATGAAAAAAAGCTGAACATCACTGATCATTAGAGAAATGTGAATAAAAAGCACAATGAGACACCATCTTACACCAGACAGAATGACTATTATTAAAAAGTCAAAACATAACTGATGCTGGCAAGGTTGTGGAGAAAAAGGAATGCTTATTCACTATTGGTGGGAGTGTAAATTCATTCAACCACTCTGGAAGAAAGTGTGGCAATTACTCAAAGACCTAAAAACAGAAATACCATTCAACCTAGCAATCTCATTACTGGGTATATAACCAAAGGAATATAAATTGTTCTAGTGTAAAGACATATGCATGCATATGTTCATTGCATCACTATTCAAAATAACAAAGACATGAAATCAACCTAAACACCCATCGATGATAGACTGGATAAAGAAAATGTGGTACATACACACCATGATACTATGCAGCCATAAAAAAAGAACTAGATCATGTCCTTTGCAGTAACATAAATGGAACTAGAAGCCATTATCCTTAGCAAACTAACACAGGAACAGAAAACCAAATTCCACATGTTCTCACTTACAAGTGGGAGCCAATGTGCAGGACTAATTGAATATCAACAAGGGAGAACTTCTATCTATGATATGTTTCACACCACTTCAAAAATTAATTCAAAATGAATAATAGAACTAAAAGTAAAGCCTAAAAATTCTGAAATTATGAAACTTCTAAAAGAAAACCTTAGAAAAACACTTGGCGACCTTGGGATAGGCAAAGATTTCTAAAAGGAAAAATTGATATATTGAACTTTATCGAAATTAAAGATTTTCATCTTCCTAAAAAACAGAGAGAAACAATTGCAATTCACATATATGATTAAGGAATTGAATCCAGAATAAACAAACACCCAAAACTTAATCTATTATTATAATACAAGAAACCCAATTATAAAATGGATAAAATATTTGTTCAGACATTTCATCAAAGATATATGGCTTGGGACTGGACGTGGTGGCTCATGCCTGTAATCCCAACACTTTGGGAGGCCTACGCAAATGGATCACCTGAGGTCTGGAGTTCGGGACGATCCTGGCCCACATAGTGAAACCCAGCTCTAATAAAAATACAAAAATTAGCCCTGGGCATGGTGACGTGCACCTGTAATCCCAGCTACTCAGGAGGCTGAGGCAGGAGAATTGCTTGAACTGGGGAGGTGAATGTTGCAGTGAGCCAAGATCGAGCCATTGCACTCAACCTAGGCAACAAGCGTGAAACTTTGCCTTAAAAAAAAAAAAAGATACATGACTTGCAAATGAAAAGATGCTTAACACGATTCGTTATTGCGGAAATGCAAATTAAAACCATGAGACAACACTACACACCTATTAGGATATTTAAAATTAGAAATAATGTCCATACCAAATTCTGGTAAAAATATAGAGCAACTTGAAATCTCATACACTGGTAGTAGGAATGTAAAATGGTACTGCAACTTTAGAAAACAGTTTGACAGTATATTAATTTTTTAAATATACAACCCCTACCATATGTCCCAGCCATTCCACTCCTATTTACCCAAAAGAAACAAAGCATATATCCATACAAAAATTTGTGAATGGATGTTCATAGCCACTTTATTTGTAATAGCCCCAAACTGAAAATAACCAAAATGTCCATCAACAGGTAAATGGAAAAACAAATGGTAGTATATGTATATGTAGTGATGTGAACGGTACCCCTCCCCAACAGATGTTCACTCAGAACCTGTAAATGTGACTTTATTTGGGAAAATGGTCTTTGCAAATATAACTAAGTTAAGGATATCAAGATAAGATCATCCTAGATTAGGATGAGACCTAAGTCTAATGACAAGAGTCTTTAGAAGAGAAGGGAAAAGACACATCAGAAGAGAAGGTGATGGGAAGACAGAGGTAGAGACTGAAATAAGGCATTACAAACAAACGAACTACACAGATTGTCTGCAGCCAGTAAAAGCTAAAAGAGAAGCTTGGAACCCATTCTCCCTGAAAGCCTTTAGAAGAAACGAACCCTGTCGACACCTTGATTTCAGACTTCTGGCCAACAGAACTGTGAGGGAATACATTTTTGTTGTTAAAGCCACCAATTTTGTGGCAATTTGTTATGGCAGCCCTATGAAATGAATACACCACATGATGGAATACTACTCAGCAATGAAAATGAATGAAATGAATGCTGTACATAATAACAGGAATCTCAAAATAATTATTCTGAATGAAAGAACCTGTACCATAAAAAGTACACAATGTATAATTTTATTTAAATAAAATTCTAGAAAATACATAACATTCTATTAATAGAATAAGGGAAAGAAAATCCATGGTTGCTTCAGGATGGGAGGGTCAGAATGGCAGAGAGGGCTAAGATGACAGATTACCAAGGGGCCCAAGGAAACTTTTGAATTCATGGATATTTTCATTATCTTGTTTCTGTTGATAATTTCATGGGTGTATACGCATGCCCAAAATTAACAAGTATGTGTCTTTTATTGCATGTCAATTATACCTCAATAAAGTTCTTGAAAATATAGTCTAAATTTAGTCTTTTGTTGGGGGGCCATGTAACAACTTAGCTATTTTAGATGATATCATGGCAGCAGAGGGGTGCCTCTCCTCTGTAGGATGCCCTTGTATCCTCATCACTGGCCTGGATAATAATGCGATGGCTTCCCACCCACGGGAAATGTCACTATGTAGTATTTATTGGCTCATTTATTCTACATACATTTGAGTTCCTTCTATTTTTCAAATATAGTTCTTGGTAGTGTAAATACAATCGATAATGATTAAGACAAAAGCCCTCATGAAGCTTACATTCCATGAGATGAATCAGACAAACAAAACTATTAGGTATTTATAATGTCCAGTGGGGATTTAAAAAATACAAATCAGAGTAAAGGGCAAGTGGTGGCAGCTGCTGCTTTAGAGAGGGGTTATAAGAAGATCTCTCTGAGGATATGTCATTTGAGTGAGGGAGCCAAAACCTTGAGACAGAAGTGCACATCTGGCACACCGGAGGGAAAGGAAGCTAGTGTGACTAAAGCAGAATGGACAGGTGGAGTGGGCAGGAATGATGTCCAAGGGGTAGGCCTGGACATGGAAGGACTGTGTGCTTTGTCCTAAGCATGATGCAGAGGGAACACAGGGTTTTGAGGAAGGCTGTGATGTGATCTATATGTGTTTTATGTATTTGTTTATTTATTTATTTTACAAGAGACACATTTTATGTATAAAGATACAGATGGATCGAAAGTACAAGGACCAAAAAAGATACCATGCAAACACTAACTACAACAACAATAAAGCTGTTATGGTTATATTAATATCAGACAAAGCAGTCACTTTTTTTTCAACTTTTATTTTAGATACAGGGGATACATGTGCAGGTTGGTTACATGGGTATATTTCATTCAGGTAGTGAGCTTAGTACCCAATAGGTA
The DNA here is from genome assembly GCF_000001405.40 of Homo sapiens. Lineage (NCBI taxonomy): Eukaryota > Metazoa > Chordata > Mammalia > Primates > Hominidae > Homo > Homo sapiens. The sequence goes on from NC_000012.12 coordinate 48,468,740, forward strand.
GTTTTCCAGCCCACATGCACCTCTGTCTTATAGGGGGAACCAGCCCCCAATATTTCAATGTAACAGTTCTTTTTTATTTTCCCTAAGTGTCGGCCTGTCTGAGAAATAAAGAGAAAGAGTACAAAAGAAAGAAATTTTACATCTGGGTCTCCGGGGGTGACATCACATGTCGGCAGGTTCCATGATGCCTGAGCCACAAAACCAGCAAGTTTTTATTAGCGATTTTCAAAGGTGTGGGAGTGTATGAATAGGCTGTGGGTCACAGAGATCACATGCTTCAAAGGCAATAAAATATCACAAGGCAAATGGGGGCAGAGCAAGATCACAAGGTCAGGGCAAAATTAGAATTACTAATGAGGTTTCATGTCCTGCTGAGCTCACATTGTCATTGATAAACATCTTAACAGGAAACAGGGTTCAAGAGCAGACAACCAGTCTGACTAGAATTCGCCAGGCTGGAATTTCCTAATCCTAGCAAGCCTGGGGGCGCTGCAGGAGACCAGGGAGTATTTCATCCTTTATCTACAACTGCATAAGATGGACACTCCCAGAGCGGCCATTTTAGGGACTCCCCCTGGGAATGCCTTCGTTTTCCCAGAGTTATTCCTTGCTGAGAAAAGAATTCCGCGATATTTCCTATTCACTTTCTGAAAGAAGAGAAATATGACTCGGTTCTTCCCGGCCCCGCAGACAGTCAGACTTTATGGTTATCTCCCTTGTTCCCTGAAAATTGCTGTTATCCTGTTCTTTTAGGATGCCCAGATTTCATATTATTCAAGCACACATGTTTTACAAACAATTTGCCCAGATAACAAAATCATCACAGGGTCCTGAGGCAACATACATCCTCATCTTATGAAGATGATGGGATTAAGAGATTAAAGTAAAGACAGGCATAGGAAATTATAAGAGTATTGATTGGGGAAGTGATAAGTGTCCATGAAATCTTCACAATTTATGTTCAGAGATTGCAGTAAAGACAGGTGTAAGAAATTACAAAAGTATTAATTTGGGGAACTAACAAATGTCCATGAAATCTTCACAATTTATGTTCTGCTGTGGTTTCAGCCAGTCCCTCTGTTTGGGGTCCCTGACTTCCCACAACACTGTCTCTTCCCACTCTAGTTGTCCCCAACATCTGTCATTCCCATGTTTATGTTCCTGAATGCCCAAAGTTTCACTCCCACAGGTGAGAACATGAAGTATTTGATTTTCTGTTCCTGCATTAATTTCCTTAGGATTATGGCCTCCATCTCCAACCACGTTGCTGCAAAGGACATGACTTTATTCATTTTTATGGCTACATGCTATTCCATGGTGTCTATGTACCACATTTTCTTTATCCAGTCTAACCATTGATGAGCACCTAGGTTGATTCCATGTCTTTACTACTCTGAATAGTGCAGCGATGAACATATGCATGCATGTTTCTTTTTGGTAGAATGATTTATTTTCCTTTGGGTAGATACCCAGTAATGGAACTGGTGGATCAAATGTATTTCTGTTTTAAGTTCTTTGAGAAATCTCCAAACTGCTTTCCACAGTGGCTGAACTAATTTACATTCCCACCAACAATGTAGAAGTGTTGTCTTTTCTCCGCAGCCTCACCAACATCTGTTATTTTTTTACTTTTTGGTAATAGCCATTCCAACTGGTGGAAGATGGTATCTCATTGTGATTTTGATCTGCATTTCTCTGATGAGCATTTTCTCATATGTTTACTTGTGTGTGTTCTTTCGAGAAGTGTCTGTTCATGTCCTTTGCCCATTTTTCATGGGGTAGCTTTTTGCTTGTTGATTTAAGTTCCTTATAGAGTCTTGATATTAGATCTTTGTCAGATGCATAGTTTGCAAATATTTTCTCCCATTCTGTAGGTAGTCTGTTTACTGATGGCTTCTTTGGCTGTGCAGAATCTCTTTAGTTTAATTAGGTCCCACTGGTCCATTTTTTTTTGTTTTTGTTGCAATTGCTTTTGGGGACTTAGCCAAAAATTCTTTGCCAAGGTTGATGTCAACAAGGGCATTTCCTAGGTTTTCTTCTAGAATTTGTTTTCAATTTTTATGTTTATTTATTCTTTTTTAATTTTTTAAAATTTTGTGGGTGCATATTAGATATATATACTTATGGCGTACATGGGATGTTTTGATACAGGCATGCAATGTGAAATAAGCACATCATGGATAATGGAGTATCCATCCCCAGAAGCATTTATCTTTCAAGTTACAAATAATGCAATTACACTCTTTAAATTATTTTTAAATGTACAATTAAGTTATTTTTATTATAGTCACCCTGTTGTGCTATCAAATAGTAGGTCTTATTCATTCTTTTTATTTTTTTGTACCCATTAACCATCCTCATCTCCCCCCAACAGCCCCCACTACACTTCCCAGCCCCTCCTCCATGAGTTCTATTGTTTTGATTTTTAGATCCCACAAATAAGTGAGAACATGCAATGTTTGTCTTTCTGTGCCTGGCTTATTTCACTTAACATAATAAACTCCAGTTCCATTCATGTTGTTGCAAGTGACTGGATCTCATTATTTTTATGGCTGACGAGTACTCCATTGTGTATATGCACCACATTTTCTTTATCCATCCATCTGCTGATGGACATTTAGGTTGCTTCCAAATCTTAGTAAACAGTGCTGGAACCAACATAGGAGTGCAGATATCTCTTCTATATACTAATTTCCTTTCTTTGGGGCATATTTTCTAGGATTTTTATAGGTTGAAGTCTTGCATTTAAAACTTTAATCCATCTTCAGTTAGTTTTTATGTATGGTGAAAGGTAAGGGTCTGGTTTCATTCTTCTGCATATGGCTAGCCAGTTATCCCAGCACCATTTATTGAAAAGAAAGTCCTTTCCCCATTGCTTGTTTTTCTTGGTCTTGTCAAAGATCAGATATTTTTAAGTGTAAGGCTTTATTTCAGAAGTTTCTATTCTGTTCCATTTGTCTATGTGTCTGTTTTTGTGTCGATACCATGCTGTTTTGGTTACTATAGCTTTATAGGATAGTTTGAAGTCAGGTAGTGTGATGTCTCTGGCTTTGTTCTTTTTACTTGGGGCTACTTTTGCTATTCAGGCTATTTTTTGGTTCCACGTGAATTCAGAGTAGTTTTTTTCTAATTCTGTGATGGATGACATTGGTAATTTGATAGAAATAGTGTTGAATCTGTAAGCCACTTTGGGGAATATGACCGTTTTAATAATATTGATCTTACAATTCATGAACATGGGATGTTTTTCCACTTATTTGTGCCATCTCTGGTTTCTTTGAGCAGTGATTTGTAGTTCTCCTTGTAGAAATTTTTCACCTCTCCTTGGTTAGCTGTATTCCTAGGTATTTCATTTTCTTTGTGGCTATTGTAAATGGGGTTGTGTTCTTGATTTATTCTCAGCTTGAATACTATTGGTGTATAGAAATGCTACTAGTTTTGTATATTGATTTTGTATCCTGAAATCTTACTAAAACTGTTTATCAGCTCTATTAACCTTTTGGCAGAGTCTTTAGGGTTTTCTGCATTTTAAAATGAGCATTCTGGCTGCTGCAGGAAGATAAGAATGATCTAGTTAGGAGGCTTTGACAACAGTCCGTGAGATATATACTATGGCGTGGCCTAGAGATGATGAGAAGTGATCAGATTTAGGATACACTGTAAAGGTACAGCCAATACATCTATCTGATGTAAAATAGAAAAATAGAGGAAGTAGTCATTATTCTAAGGTTTTGGAGCAACTGGGTGAATGATAGCACAATTTAATGTGATGGGAGATAATAGATTTTGGGTGTGTTTGGAATTAAGAATTTACTTTCGGAGAACCCAGCAGAGCTGGTTGAGCTTTCAAATGTGCGGTTGTGGGTTCGGGGTTTATTGGTTGAATTCCGCTGGCTCAGGAGCCTCTGCAGAGAAAGCGTGAGAGATGGAGATGGGCAAATGGATTCATTTAGAGCTGCGGAACAGGACGCCCTCCGATGTGAAAGAACTTTTCCTGGACAACAGTCAGTCAAATGAAGGCAAATTGGAAGGCCTCACAGATGAATTTGAAGAACTGGAATTATTAAATACAATCAACATAGGCCTCACCTCAATTGCAAACTTGCCAAAGTTAAACAAACTTAAGAAGCTTGAACTAAGCAGTAACAGAGCCTCAGTGGGCCTAGAAGTATTGGCAGAAAAGTGTCCAAACCTCATACATCTAAATTTAAGTGGCAACAAAATTAAAGACCTCAGCACAATAGAGCCCCTGAAAAAGTTAGAAAACCTCGAGAGCTTAGACCTTTTCACTTGCGAGGTAACCAACCTGAACAACTACTGAGAAAAGATGTTCAAGCTCCTCCTGCAACTCACATATCTCAACGGCTGTGACCCGGATGACAAGGAGGCCCCTAACTCGGATGGTGAGGGCTTTGTGGAGTGCCTGGATGACAAGGAGGAGGATGAGGATGAGGAGGAGTATGATGAAGATGCTCAGGTAATGGAAGATGAGGAGGACGAGGATGAGGAGGAGGAACGTGAAGAGGAGGACGTGAGTGGAGACGAGGAGGAGAAGGATGAAGGTTATAACAATGGAGAGGTAGATGATGAGGAAGATGAAGAAGAGCTTGGTGAAGAAGAAAGGGGTCAGAAGCGAAAATAAGAAACTGAAGATGAGGGAGAAGACGATGCCTAAGTGGAATAATCTATTTTGAAAAATTCCTTTTGTGATTTTACTGTTTTTAGCCGTATCCCCTCCCCCACTCCAATCCTGCCCCCTGAAACTTATTTTTTTCTGATTGTAACGTTGCTGTGGGAGCAAGAGAGGAAAAGTGTACTGGGGGTTGTGAGGGAAGGGAGGGGAGGAGGGGGTGGAATAAAATACTATTTTTACTGCCACTCTTTATTTTTTCCCCCTACTTTTTCCTTGTGTCCAGTTTTTGTCCCTGTAAATGCAATAGTTAAGTACACACTAAGCATTTGTTCCTGGCTCTCAAAGAAGATGGTTTGGAGTTCTCTTATGTTTCCTGGTATTTTCCAAGTCTCAGGTTGGGTGGAAGTCCGCGGCTGGTCTCAGTTTGGTTACTCAACACCCAGAAGGGTCTGAGCACCAGCCATAGCTTTTGCTTTGATTCACATGCTTTTCGCGGAACTGCTAGAGGCATCCAACACCCTGGTTTGTAAATAGCAACCTAAAGGTGTATTTTGGCACTGGTTTGGGGACATTCCCCATCTCTCATCCCTTTTCCCCCTTCACAGATCGTGGTGGGCTTCCTTCTACAAAGAGGACTCAGATGTTACTCTTGAGAGCTTAAGAGCCAGAGAGCTGAAAATGGCAGTCTTGTGAGTTACAAGGAAAATGGATTTGGTAATAATAATTAAAAGTGAAGAAACAAACCCTCAAACTTCAACTTCTTTACAAGAAAAAAAAACTGTCCTATCTTGTTCTGTAAAATATTAGAATGCTTTGTTTTACAAAAATGATGAGAGAATTCTTCTACATGTATTTCTGTGCTTAGAACAATTTTATGGAGCCAGGTGGAGGAGCCAAGATGGCCGAATGGGAACAGCTCTGGTCTACAGCTCCCAGCATGAGCGATACAGAAGACAGGTGATTTCTGCATTTCCAACTGAGGTACTGGGTTCATCTCACTGGGGAGTGCCAGACAGTAGGTGCAGGACAGTGGGTGCAGCACACAGTGCATGACCCGAAGCAGGGCGAGGCATCATCTCACCCAGGAAGTGCAAGGGGTCAGGGAATTCCCTTTCCTAGTCCAAGAAAGGGGTGACAGATGGCACCTGGAAAATCGGGTCACTCCCACCCTAGTACTGCGCTTTTCCAATGGGCTTAAAAAAAGCACACCAGGAGATTATATCCCACACATGGCTCGGAGGGTCCTACGCCCACAGAGTCTCGCTCATTGCTAGCACAGCAGTCCGAGATCAAACTGCAAGGTGGCAGCAAGGCTGCGGGAGGGGCGCCCGCCATTGCCAAGTTAGTTGTTTGATTAGGTAAACAAAGCAGCCGGGAAGCACGAACTGGGTGGAGCCCACCACAGCTCAAGGAGGCCTGCCTGCCTCTGTAGGCTCCACCTCTAGGGGCAGGGCACAGACAAACAAAAAGACAGCAGTAACCTCTGCAGACTTAAATTTCCCTGTCTGACAGCTTTGAAAAGAGTAGTGGTTCTCCCGGCACGCAGCTTGAAATCTGAGAACAGGCAGACTGCCTCCTCAAGTGGGCCCCTGACCCCTGAGTAGCCTAACTGGGAGGCACCCCCCAGTAGGGGCAGACTGACACCTCACACAGCCGGGTACTCCTCTGAGACAAAACTTCCAGAGGAACAATCAGGCATCAGCATTTGCGGTTCACCAATATCCGCTGTTCTGCAGTCACTGCTGCTGAAACCCAGGCAAACAGGGTCTGGAGTGCACCTCTAGCAAACTCCAACAGACCTGCAGCTGAGGGTCCTGTCTGTTAGAAGGAAAACTAACAAAGAGAAAGGACATCCATACCAAAAACCCATCTGTATGTCACCATCATCAAAGAACAAAGGTAGATAAAACCACAAAGATGGGAAAAAAAGAGAAGAAAAACCAGAAACTCTAAAAATCAGAGCACCTCTCCTCCTCCAAAGGAATGCAGCTCCTCACCAGCAACAGAACAAAGCTGGATGGAGAATGACTTTGACGAGTTGAGAGAAGAAGGCTTCAGAAGATCAAACTACTCTGAGCTACAGGAGGAAACTTGAACCAATGGCAAAGAAGTTAAAAGCTTTGAAAAAAAAATTAGATGAATGGATAACTAGAATAACCAATGCAGAGAAGTCATTAAAGGACCTGATGGAGCTGAAAACCATGGCACGAGAGCTACATGATGAATGCAGAAGCCTCACTAGCTGATGCGATCAACTGGAAGAAAGGGTATCAGTGATGGAAGATGAAATGAATGAAATGAAGCAAGAAGAGAAGTTTAGAGAAACAAGAATAAAAAGAAATGAACAAAGCCTCCAAGAAATATGGGACTATGTGAAAAGACGAAATCTACATCTGATTGGTGTACCTGAAAGTGACAGGGAGAATGGAACCAAGTTGGAAAACACTCTGCAGGATATTATCCAGGAGAACTTCCCCAATCTAACAAGGCAGGCCAACATTCAGATTCAGGAAATACAGAGAACGCCACAAAGATACTCCTCGAGAAGAGCAACTCCAAGACACATAATTGTCAGATTCACCAAAGTTGAAATGAAGGAAAAAATGTTAAGGGCAGCCAGAGAGAAAGGTTGGGTTACCCACAAAGGGAAGCCCATCAGACTAACAGCTGATCTCTCGGCAGAAACTCTACAAGCCAGAAGAGAGTGGGGGCCAATATTCAACATTCTTAAAGAAAAGAATTTTCAACCCAGAATTTCATATCAGCCAAACTAAGCTTCATAAGTGAAGGAGAAATAAAATCCTTTACAGACAAGCAAATGCTGAGAGATTTTGTCACCACCAGGCCTGCCCTAAAAGAGCTCCTGAAGGAAGCACTAAACATAGAAAGGAACAACCAGTACCAGTCACTGCAAAAACATGCCAAATTGTAAAGACCATCCAGGCTAGGAAGAAACTGCATCAACTAACGAGCAAAATAACCAGCTAACATCATAATGACAGGATCAAATTCACACATAACAATATTAACTTTAAATGTAAATGGGCTAAATGCTCCAATTAAAAGACACAGACTGGCAAATTGGATAAAGAGTCAAGACCCATCAGTGTGCTGTATTCAGGAAACCTATCTCACGTGCAGAGACACACATAGGCTCAAAATAAAGGGATGGAGGAAGATCTACCAAACAAATGGAAAACAAAAAAAGGCAGGGGTTGCAATCCTAGTCTCTGATAAAACAGACTTTAAACCAACAAAAATCAAAAGAGACAAAGAAGGCCATTACATAATGCTAAAGGGATCAATTCAACAAGAAGAGCTAACTATCCTAAATATATATGCACCCAATACAGGAGCACCCAGATTCATAAAGCAAGTCCTTAGAGACCTACAAACAGACTTAGACTCCCACACAATAATAATGGGAGATGGTAACACCCCACTGTCAACATTAGACAGATCAATGAGACAGAAAGTTAACAAGGATATCGAGGAATTGAACTCAGCTCTGCACCAAGCGGACCTAATAGACATCTACAGAACTCTCCATCCCAAATCAACAGAATATACATTCTTTTCAGCACCACACCACACCTATTCCAAAATTGACCACATAGTTGGAAGTAAAGCACTCCTCAGCAAATGTAAAAGAACAGAAATAATAACAAACTATCTCTTAGACCACAGTGCAATCAAACTAGAACTCAGGATTAAGAAACTCACTCAAAACCACTCAACTACATGGAAACTGAACAACATGCTCCTGAGTGACTACTGGGTAAATAATGAAATGAAGGCAGAAATAAAGATGTTCTTTGAAACCAATGAGAACGAAGACACAACATAGCAGAATCTCTGGGACACATTCAAAGCAGTGTGTAGAGGGAAATTTATAGCACTAAATGCCCACAAGAGAAAGCAGGAAAGATCTAAAATTGACACCCTAACATCACAATTAAAAGAACTAGAAAAGCAAGAGCAAACACATTCAAAAGCTAGCAGAAGGCAAGAAATAACAAAGATCAGAGCAGAACTGAAGGAAATAGAGACACAAAAAACCCTTCAAAAAATTAATGAATCCAGGAGCTGGTTTTTTGAAGACATCAACAAAATTGATAGACCTCTAGCAAGACTAATAAAGAAGAAAATAGAGAAGAATCAAATAGATGCAATAAAAAATGACAAAGGGGATATTACCACCAATCTCACAGAAGTACAAACTACCATCAGAGAATACTATAAACACCTCTACGCAAATAAACTAGAAAATCTAGAAGGAATGCATAAATTCCTCGACACATACATCCTCCCAAGACTAAACCAGGAAGAAGTTGAATCTCTGACTAGACCAATAACAGGAGCTGAAATTGAGGCAATAATCAATAGCTTAACAACCAAAAAAAGTTGAGGACCAGATGGATTCACAGCCGAATTCTACCAGAGGTACAAAGGGGAGATGATCCCAATCCTTCTGAAACTATTCCAATCAATAGAAAAAAAGGGAATCCTCCCTAACTCATTTTATGAGGCCAGCATCATCCTGATACCAAAGCCTGGCAGAGACACAACCGAAAAAGAGAAATTTAGACCAATATCCTTGATGAACATTGATGCAAAAATCCTCAATAAAATACTGGCAAACCGAATCCAGCAGCACATCATAAAGCTTATCCACCATGATCAAGTGGGCTTCATCCCTGGGATGCAAGGCTGGTTCAACATACACAAATCAATAAATGTAATCCAGCATATGAACAGAAACAAAGACAAAAACCACATGATTATCTCAATAGATGCAGAAAAGGCCTTTGACAAAATTCAACAATGCTTCATGCTAAAAACTCTCAATAAATTAGGTATTGATGGAACTTATCTCAAAATAATAAGAGCTATCTATGACAAACCCACAGCCAATATCATACTGAACGGGCAAAAACTCAAAGCATTCCCTTTGAAAACAGGCACAAGATAGGGATGCCCTCTCTCACCACTCCTATTCAACATAGTGTTGGAAGTTCTGGCCAGGGCAATCAGGCAGGAGAAGGAAATAAAGGGTATCCAATTAGGAAAAGACGAAGTCAAATTGTCCCTGTTTGCAGATGACATGTTTGTATATCTAGAAAACCCCATCATCTCAGCCCAAAATCTCCTCAAGCTGATAAGCAACTTCAGCAAAGTCTCAGGATACAAAATCAATGTACAAAAATCACAAGCATTCTTATACACCAATAACAGACAAACAGAGAGCCAAATCATGAGTGAACTCCCCTTCACAATTGCTTCAAAGAGAATAAAATACCTAGGAATCCAACTTACAAGGGACGTGAAGGACATCTTCAAGGAGACACTTCTCAAAAGAAGACATTTATGCAGCCAAAAAACACATGAAAAAATGCTCACCATCACTGTGCATCAGAGAAATGCAAATCAAAACCACAATGAGATACCATCTCACACCAGTTAGAATGGCAATCATTAAAAAGTCAGGAAACAACAGGTGCTGGAGAGGATGTGGAGAAACAGGAACACTTTTACACTGTTGGTGGGACTGTGAACTAGTTCAACCCTTGTGGAAGTCAGTGTGGTGATTCCTCAGGGATCTAGAACTAGAAATACCATTTGACCCAGCCATCCCATTACTGTATACCCAAAGGATTAAAAATCATGCTGCTATAAAGATACATGCACACGTATGTTTATTGCGGCACTATTCACAATAGCAAAGACTTGGAACCAACCCAAATGTCCAACAATGATAGACTGGATTAAGAAAATGTGGCACATATGCACCATGGAATACTATGCAACCATAAAAAATGATGAGTTCATGTCCTTTGTAGGGACATGGATGAAACAGGAAACCATCATTCTCAGCAAACTATCACAAGGACAAAAAACCAAACACCGCATATTCTCACTCATAGGTGGGAATTGAACAATGAGAACACATGGACACAGGAAGGGGAACATCACACGTTGGGGACTGCTGTGTGGTGGCGGGAGTGGGGAGGGATAGCATTAGGAGATATACCTAATGCTAAATGACTAGTTAATGGGTGCAGCACACCAACATGGCACATGTATACATATGTAACAAACCTGCACGTTGTGCACATGTACCCTAAAACTTAAAGTATAATAATAATAAAATAAAATATATATTTAAAAAAGAACATTTTTAGGGACCTAAGTGCTGGAGGCGTTGCTACATGTCAGCTGGGTTTTGTTTTGTTTTTTTTTTTCATACACCCGAGCACGGAAAAACTAATGCAAAATTTTATTTTCTTACCTAGTGGAAATCTGAAATGATTGCAATTCCTAGTGAATGTACAGTTGCTTTTGTGTCCCTCTCTGGTTGCTTCATAAGTGACATGTAATTTCTGAACCCATGTTTCATCTGTATAAAAGAACATCTGCACCCATTTTTCTCCTGCCCCTCAGACGAGCCAAACTTTGAGTTTCATGTCTGTTTGTCATTGATAAGTTTCAATAGATCTTTTCATACAATTTTTTGGGGGATGGCTTCTTTAAGTCCAACAGGCCATTGATCTTTTCAAGATGGATTCCAGATGAACTGCTAGGTGAGGGAGAAGCTTCATTTTTGTTACCTGATAGAATAGCTTTTCTTATTTTATATATATATATAATGTAACACTAGGTTTGGATACTTTCGGTCTTAAAGCAAGACCCTGGTATATCTTCATTAAAAGCTTCATTTAAAAAAGTTATAAAGTTACCAAAAACACAAATATCCAAACAATCAAGTTGGGCCAACCTTGGAACCTTGTTTTGAATATCTTTCAGTGTTTTGTTTGTTGTATTGTAAAAAGAATGTATGGTTGAAACTCAGGAATGTATAAAACAAATTGTTTCACAAAAAAATTACTTTTAAGAAGTGTCTGTTCATGTCCTTTGTCCAATTTTTAATTGAGTTGTTTGGTTTTTTCTTGTTTATTTGTTTAAGTTCCTTATAGATTCTGGATATTAGTCCTTTGTCAGATGCATAGTTTGCAAATATTTTCTCCCATTCTATAGCTTATCTGTTTACTCTGTTGAGAATTTTTGCTGTGCAAAACTGTTTAACTAAGCCAACAAATATATGAAAAAATGTGCAACATCACTAATTATCAGAGAAATACAAATCAAAATCACAATGAGACATCTCATCTCACACCAGTCAGAATGGCCATTATTAAGTCAAAAGATAACAGATGCTGGCTTATACACTGCTGGTGGGGATGCAAATTAGTTCGGCCCCTATAGAAACCAGTTTGAACATTTCTCAAAGAACTAAAAATGGAACTTCCATTTGACCCATCAATCTCATTACTTTGGATATACCCAAAGGAAAATTAATCATTCTAACAAAAAGACACATGTACTTGTATGTTTATCGCAGCACTATTCACAATAGCAAAGACATGGAATCAACCCAGGTGCCCATCAATCATGGATGGGATAAAGTGTGGTACATTTCTCTTCATGGAATACACCATGAAATACAATGCAGCCATAAAAAATAATGAAATTATATTCTTTCCAACAACATGGATGTAGATGGAGGTCATTATCCCAGGCAAGCTAACACAGAAACAGAAAACCAAATACCACATGTTCTCACCTGTAAGTGGAAGCTACACTCACACAGACATAAAGATGGGAACAATAGACTCCAAAAGAAGGGAGGGAGGGGGCAAAGATGAAAAGCTTCCTATTGGGTACTATGCTCACTGTCTGGGTGACAGGATCAATAGAAGCCCAAACCTCAGCAATATATCCTTGTAACAAACCTACATGTGTATCCTCTGAATCCAAAATAAAAATAGAGTTTTTTTTTTAAAAAAAATGACTTTTGGATAGCAAAAGACTTGGGGTGGTTTGAGAGAGGTAGGAATTGAGTTGGATTATGAGATACATCTGGCCATGAAAGGGTAAAAGTCCCTGTGATGTGAGATGATAAAGGGAGGAGCTTAGACTCCTTATGGAAACTGAGGTAAATAAAAAGGTAGATTATGATGGAAATGGCCCTGCTGGTCTCTTAGAGGGTGGGAGAGAGTAACCTCTAATCAGAGTCTAATTTGAAGCACTTCATGATAGTAAGAAGGTGGTGTGCAGAGAGGGTCCATGGTGGTCTCACTAGTAGCACCTGGAGCTCTAAAATCAAAACAAGGGATGGGACAGTATGCCTTTCCTTTAAAGTCTGCTAAAGACAGGTGGAGCGCCGAGCCAATGTTGACACCTCCATCTGTTGTACATACCCTGGCATTTTGTCGCAGGTTGCATGATTTGTGAGTCCTCTTTAGATTTTAGCCCTCTCCTTCTCCACTCTGCATTTCTGCATGAGGAGTTTTCCCACCATCACCTGGGCAGGCTATGGGACCTGAAAGGTACTATCTCAGGTCCTGTCTGCCTAAACACGCTATACCACAATTCCCACTTCACCACGACCTCCCCATGTAGGCACAGTGCTCTCTCTGAGGCTGCTCCTCCAGGGGTCTAGTTTCAAGGGAGAAGCTGGCCCTTGGTTCCTTCTGTTCTTAGATTTCTAGACATATTGGGATATTTTATATGCACCATCACCAAAAGGAAGCAGGTCCCAGAGTTGCACACCTACACCTAATGCCTCTTCCCTAATTTTCACTTCCTGCCTCCGTATTAAAACCCTATACTTTCTTCAGAAAAACTGTTTTCATCCCTTCTAAATCTAAATGGTTTTAAATCCATGATCATTCACAAATCTTTGGTGATTTTCTAGGTCAAAGACTTTGGGAATTCACAACAAAACCATTTCTCTCTGAAGGACCTAGCTCTTGAAATTGAAAGCCAGATTTCTCAGACCTGATTTTGAAATTCAAAGTAAAAACTGGATTCTTCTGGCCTCATTCCTTTCATCTCTAAGAATCAATGGATTTCCAATGCAATGGGTAGAAGGCAATGAAGAAGCAAAAATTCCCAGAAATTAAAATTAAAATCCCACAACATTATCCCTCCATTTTACCATTATCGTTTGGATTGAATGGAGCCTAGTGTGTGGCTGGGAGGGAAAGCAAGTTGTCCGTCTATGAGGTCACAGCTGAAGTCACAAAGTATTGAAAATGGCAAGGTTGATATGGGAACAGGAGGCTGTTGTGAGATGGGGCTCAAATAGGAAAAAGTCTAGGGGTGAAGGAGTGGGGCAAAGTGTAATTTGGGGAACCAAGCAGGGTAAGTTTCTAGGCATAATTGACCTCGTTCTTGACTGGGGCTTGGAGGCCAAGAAGGGTGGGAGTGGGAAAAGTGGGAGGGAAACTTCTCAAAGGAGGATTTGTCTCCTGTCTGGGCCACTGCCTATGAGCCCTTCTTCTCTACAAAGCACTTTAAGGCTGGAGCTGATGGCCCTCCATCCTGAAACTCCTCTATCCTTAGTTAACCATGAAAATTCTGACTGAGGTGGGAGGGGGTGGGGTATTTGACAATCTTGCATTCACTCTACACTATTTCCTGTCCTTGCCTGAACTCAAAGACCCTTTGGCCAATCCCCCATCCCCAATCTCAGCCAACTTATTTTTCACTTAGATTCTCTCTTTTTTTTTTTCGTCTACTTCCTCACTGCAATTTCTGTTGTTACTGACAAAGACTATAGGAAGATTTTACCCAGGGCAAATACTTCCTTCCTCTTACCCTCCTCTTACCTTCATCTTTCCTTATGCATATGTACATGCATATGCACACATACATGCACATATATGCAAGCACACACATGCACATGCACACTCACCCATTCAAAATACAAATGCTCCATTAACTGCTGGTAGTTCTCCACTGAATAAGCGCTTTTCTTCTCACCATGTACCTGCCTTCTCCGCATATTCATTTATGCCTCTCCAGGGCCTGGAGCTATCTCCATCTTCAGCTCCAGAGTCCTTGGTTTCTGTCTGAGAACAAATGGCACAGCATCCCTGCCAGGATCAGGAACAAAAGGTAGAAATGACCTCCAAGCAGCAGAGAAGGTAATGGGGCTAATGATGACCCTCAAACATCCTTAGATTGCTATACTCTATGGGAGAAGAACCAGGGCCTCCTGTCTTCTATGGCTCTTCATTTGGCTTCACTTGCTTCCTGGCTGAATAAGATGGGGACTTTCATGTGTCCTCCCTCTTCTCCATCTCCTTAATGAAAGAGATAATAGCAAATCTTTGTCATTTTAATTTAGAAATCAGGCATCAATTGCAATTCCTCTAGGGGTTGGCGGGGTATACAAACTAGGGACATTAATTTATTCCAGGATTGACTTTGCCTAAGTCCTTTATATCCTCTATAGTGTAAATCAAGGTCAACCATCTAAAATCAAGCTTCTCTTGGCCTACAGTGGAAAAGAGGGCTAGAATCTGCTGCTTGAGGCTAAATATGAGACCCAGGTGATGGTATCCATGAAGTCAGAAAAGAAGGAGGGTTTACTGTGAACTTATGGGTCAGGAAAGCTTCATAAGGAATCAGAACTTGGCTTGAGCCTTTGAACTTGCAGCAGATGTTTTGAGATAAGAGTTTGTAGAAATTTGGGGCTGGGTGCAGTGCCTCATGCCTGTAATCCCAGCACTTTGGGAGGCCAAGGCGGGCGGATCACCTGAGGTTGGGAGTTCGAGATCAGCCTGACCAATATGGAGAAACCCCATCTCTACTAAAATTACAAAAAATTAGCTGGGTGTGGTGGTGCATGCCTGTAATCCCATCTATTTGGGAGGCTGAGGCAGGAGAATCGCTTGAACCTGGGAGGCGGAGGTTGCGGTGAGCCGGGATCATGCCATTGCACTCCAGCCTGGGCAATAAGAGCGAAACAAAGAGTTTGTAGAAATTTGGGAAGAGAAAGTGAAAAATGACTTCTAAATTTCTAAGCTGCCTGAAAGTGCTCAGAATGGTTAACTGGACCTCAAGCCTGAGACCCAGTGAGGAATTGAGAAGACTGAATCTGGAGGAAGTTGGGAATCTGCTCTATCTAAGAGTATGAATTCTCTTCCAGACAGCTGCAGGACCTTGAGGAAAAAATAATGAGTAGATATTGGAGTCTCCTAGACTTCTATATGAGAAAGCACATAAACCACACCAGAGCCCTGGCCTTTCTGCCAATGAAGATATGCTTTTTTTGGTGGTAAAAGTGGACAGGACACTGTAAAAATAACACACAACAATAAGAACATTTGAAAAAACTTAACAGTTACAAATGCTTTCATATAATCATCCCCCAAATCCTTGAGAGAAAGATTACTCCTCTTGTTTTATAGGTGAGGAAACAAGCTTAGGGTTGAGGTTCAATAGCATAGTAGCGTGACTATAATTAACAATAATTTATTATGTATTTCAAAATAGTTAGCTGAGAAGAGCTGAAATGTTCCCAGCACAAAGAACTGATCAATGTTTGAGGTGATGGATATCCTAAATACTCTTGATTTGATCATTACATATTGTATGCATTATCAAACTATCACATGTACCTCATAAATATGTGATTATTATGTATCAATAAATAAAAGGATGTTTTCAGAATTAGGGGCATGGTTTGGATTTGCAATGAGTAGTAGCTCTGCCAGGTTCTATGGAGAAATAGCACTCCAGCTGGCAGAATTGTGTGCCTGAGCCATTTGATATGATGTCAATGCTATTAATGTTCATCAGGAGTCTCCTCTTAACTGGAAATCTGTAGGCTCAATGTCTTTTTATTTTTATTTTATTTTATTTATTTATTTTTAGCGACAGGGCTTGCTCTGTTGCCGAGGCTAGAGTGCAGTATCACAATCATAGCTCACTGCAGCCTCGAACTCCTGGGCTCAAGCAATCCTCCTGTCTCAGCCTCCTGAGTAAGCTAGGACTACAAGTGCCTGCCACCATGCCTGACTGGGTTTTTGATGTTGTTTCTGCTGTTTTGTTTGTTGTTGGTTTTGTTTTGTTTTGTTTTGTTTTGTTTGTAGAGACAAGGTCTCACTATGTTGCCCAAGCTGGTCTTGAACTACAGTGTCATCTAGAGCCCAGTTTTCTCTCTATTCTGGGTCCCCAGACTCCCTGTGACTACTGGCCTCCCTAGCCCTGTTTAGAAAAACTTACTGCTTTTTGTAATGGCAGGAACTGTACTAGCAGGAACCCCTGGGCAAGGAGATGAAGCTGAGTTTGCTCAGGATCAGCGAGCATGGTAGAGCAGACTGGTTGCCCCGATTTCACTCACTTTCACCCTTCTTCTTTCTTCCAGTTACCTGTTTATCTGTATACACTGCCTCCTAGGTGACTTTGGCACTGATTTAGGAATGAGATGGTATTTAGGAATAAGAGCTTCAGTTGTGCTGCCAAGAATAAGCAAATCTTTCCACTTCTTCAGCCTTCCATCCCCATTCCCACCCCATCAGAAGTCACGAAGGAAAAGAACACTTTTTCGGGGGATAAAAAAGGAAGCAGTTTGCTAATTGAGTGTACTTTCCAAAGAGGACCTGGGAAGTTTGACAGGTTAGGCGGGGTGAAGGGTAGAGAGTGGACATAAATTAGGCAGGCAGGAGAATGACAAGGTTTAATGACAGTGTCCATCACCTTCACTTCCATTGTTCTATGCTTTAGAGTTCTCAAAGGGCTTCCACAATAGTCAAGATACTTGGAAGATGAGGCAAGTATCTCTCCCCACACCTCCCATAAAGGGATATGAGAGGCAGGACCGTGGCTACCCTTCCTGGATTTTTAGTATAGAAACTTCAAGAATTCCTGCTAGGAGTGATAGAATAGAGTTAGGAGAAGGCTTTAGCCCACATTCTGTGCTCCTCATCAGGTTTATATCATTCTTTCTTTGCAGCACATCCATAGAAGAGACAATGAGACCACAGGTGGGTAAGGTATCCAAATTCTCTGGATCCTCTGGGGCTTCTAATTCCTAGGGAGAGGGGAGGAGAAGAGGTTGTAGACAGGAGGCCAAAAAAAAAAGCTACCTGACAAGGGACAGGGTGCCCTTGACTGGCTGGTGGAGTGGGTCATTGTCTACCAAACCAGGTAACGTCTCCAATGCCACCACTTCACCAGATGACTAAAGGGGCAGGCAGGCTTACAGGCATTGAAAAGATGGTAAACAAATGAGTCTGTTTGTACCTGTCATGCACCAGCTAGATCCAGAGCGAAGCAGGATATATGGGATGAAATGATTCACCAGGGCTGCAGGAGACTTTTGGCTGCCTGAGAAATGGGGTGATTTTGGGTGTCCAGCTCAATTCCAAGAAACATCTTGTCTTCCACCAGTTTCATAATGTGTCACTTCAGATTCTGGGAGAGTTGGGATATTGTTTCCAACATTTGTTCCTTATTTCTACAGGAAAAACAGGTAACCATCACTGAAACCCTGTGGGACCAGGTGAGTACAGAGGAATCATTTTTGACAGCATGGCATGAGGTGGGAGGTGGGGGAAGTCTTCAGGAAGGAGCACATTTCTTTCTCTTTCCTTGAGCGGTTTGTTGATTGACGGTGAAGGATCAACACGCTCCCTCCCACCTTGTTCTGTTGCTCGTGCAGTCTCATATCCTCAGAGCTCCTCGTGTCTGTGCATGTTAGTGCCCCTTCCTGGCACCCACTTGTTTGAAGCTGTCACAGGTCCTGTTTGTTTTAAGGGTGTTTAATCCCCAATTCTCAGTGATTGCTACAGACTTGAAAGCACAGGTTTGGCCTTTCACAAACATGAAAATGTTGGTTTCAATTCACAAACATAAAAATGCCAGGTTTCACTTTATAGTTGAAGGGTATATATGTGCAGAAGCTAGTAATGCCCATAAGATACCCACAGCAAATTGAACTTTCATAGAACACAGACATTTACTTGGAGTTTCTAAGAGGTCTTCACATAAATACCAGCTACTTCAACATCCCAATCTTACCATATTAGTTGCTTGTAAAACCTTAGATAGAGATGAGAATTAAAAGATAATTGATCACTTTTGAACTTATAGGAAACTGAGCAGGAAAAGACTGTTAATTAAGTCAATGGCTATGGCTTTCTGATTAAAATGAGTAAAATTCTCCAGAGCCTCTTGTGCCAGCCCCCACTGTACAATATTATTTAAAATGAATAATGTGTCCAACATGCTTTATTTTCTGTGACATTCAATGACTCTTTACATAAGGAAATAATCTTAATTACAATGCTGAACAGTAGCATAACTATTTCATGTTCTTACAATTATTATATTAGCTAAAGAGTAAGTTGCTTGTGTAAGAGTCAAAAGACCATCCTGTTGAGAACAAGTAAATAATCAGGCACTTATAACAAAGAGTAAACAAAGGGCAATGAATTGATCATTGAGAGGCAACGAATTAATCATTGGCACACTCTACCCCTTTGACCATTTATCTTCCATATGTACTCTTATATACAAATTGAAACTCCTAAATATCTACATACACTATATTTCCACCAAACAAGATACAACCATCTTAAAGTTCTCACACTTTCTCCCAAGGGAGACAACCCACAGTTCCAACAGTCACTGGATCCATTCATGGCTGGGTAACACAGTAGGTGGATATTTGGTTTTATAAGAAACTGCCAGCCCTGGCCCTGGATCCTATAGCCGCTGAGATGTTGATACCTAAGAAGAACTGGGTTGCCATTTATGAACTCCTTTTTAAGGAGAGTCATGGTGGCCAAGAAGGATGTCGACATGCCTAAGCACCCGGAGCTGGCAGACAAGAATGTGCCCATCCTTCACATCATGAAGGCCATGCAGTCTCTCAAGTCCCAAGGCTGCATGAAGGAACAGTTTGCCTGGAGACATTTCTACTGGAACCTTATGAATGAGGGTATCCAGTATCTCCATGATTACCTTCATTGGCCCCTGGAGTCTGTGCCTGTCACTCTATGCCGCAGCCATCCAGAGACTGGCAGGCCTCGGCCTAAAGGTCTGGAGGATTAGCGATCTGGAAGACTTACAAGAGGGGAAGCCAACAGAGATACCTACAGACAGAATGCTGTGCCCCCTGGTGCCGACAAGAAAGCCAAGGCTGGGGCTGGGTCAGCAACTGAATTCCAGTTTAGAGGTGGATTTGTTCATGGATGTGGTCATCTACCTCAGTAAAATTGGAGAGGATTATTTTGCATTGAATAAACTTACAGCCAAAAAAAAAAAAAAGAAAGAAAGAAAAGAAAGTGCCGGAACTTTTTCCAAAGTGAGCATATGATTTTACACACCCTCCAACAAGCAAATAAATACCTGTTGATTTGAATACCTATGCTAAGCTTCAGAATAAGAACCAATTAGACCGAAAATAAATATAATAGTAGGTTTCATTATACATTCAATGCACAGCCCAGTCTTCTTTAAATACTTTACTGTATTTTGCTCATTTACCATACAGAGAAATTGCAGCCCAGAGGTTTCTGTAGAGTGGAAGTCAATGAGGATTTATTGCTAGCGCTACAAAGCCACAGTCTCTTGGCATTCACATTCTACAGCCTAGTGGCTAGGAGACTAGGTAACTTAATTTTATATGTGAAATCCCTCTGTAATAAAGTGATCATCTACAATATTATTTTTTCTATATTTTTGTCTTCTGTCAGGTGCTGACAGTTTTTAAGGATATACAAAAGGAGGTGAGATTAGATTTTGATTCTCTGAATTCCCCAGCCCCATCATGTGCCTTGATCCCATTTTTTTTCTTACCCTACTGAGATGTTGCCTCTGACCAAGGTTTTAGCTTCATTTATTTTTCTAGTGATTTCTCCCTTAAAGAGTACCACTGACTTGTCAGTCCAGGCGGCTAAGGCAAGAAGATGCCTAACAGTTCCCTTGAGGAAATGTGATAATACAAACAGAAAATTGTATCTGCTAGAACTTGTCTCAGCAAGAATACTCTATGTGGTTGTATGAAATGCTGATAATGACTAAGCTGGGGAGAATCCCCTAGTGATGTAGTAAACTGCCTTATTAGGTGAGTATGTCTGTTAACTGCAGGGAAGTATGAATTAGAGACCAGAGCTAACCATCTTGGGTAAATAGAAATAAAACCTCTTCCTCTGCTCTCCTCGGCTCTTCTTCTATAGATTTCAGTGTCTCTCTCAATCTCTCTCTCTCTCTCTTTGAGACAGGGTCTCACTCTGTGCCCAGGCTGGAGTGCAGTGATGTGATCTTGGCTCACTGCAACCTCTGGCTCCCGGGTTCAAGTGAATCTCCTCCCTTAGCCTCTCAAGTAGCTGGGACTACCACACCCAGCTAACTTTTTTTGTATTTTTTTGTAGAGACAGGGTTTCGCCATGTTGCCCACGTTGGTCTCAAATTCCTGGACTCAAGCCATCTGCCAGCCTTGGCCTCCCAAAGTGCTGGGATTACAGGCATGAGGCATTGCGCCCAGCCTAAGAAGGATTTTTTTTTTTTTTTTGAGACAGTCTTGTTCTGTCACCCAGGCTAGAGTGTAGTAGCACGATCTTGGCTCACCACAACCTCCGCCTCCCGAGTTCCAGTGATTCTCCTGCCTCAGTCTCCTGGGTAACTGGGATTACAGGTATGTGCCACCACGCCCGGCTAATTTCTGCATTTTTAGTAGAAATGGGGTTTCACCATGTTGATCAGGCTGGTCTTGAACTCCTGACCTCAGGTGATCCACCCACCTCAGCCTCCCAAAGTGCTGGGATTACAGACATGAGCCACCCCGCTCAGCCAAGAAGGGATTTTTTAAAGATCCTTTACACGTACTTAAAGCTTCTCTGCAGAGAACCACTGGAGACTCAATGAGGAGTGTAAAAGGGCCCAGAAAAGACATAGCAGAGGGCCAGAGGGCCACAAAGAATAAAAGATGTGAGGCCTTGGTATGAATAGTTATGACTGTAAGTGATGAATTGTGTGTCTCCCACCCCTAAAGAGGCACAGCTTGCTCCTATTTATTCATTCACTATTCAAAAGACATTTATTGAGCATATGCTGTATGCAGGGCATTATCTTAAGTGGTTTGGTGTGAGAGATACAAAAACAATACAAACTGTGCTTTTGGAAATCTTGGGATTTTGGCCAGGCAGGGTGGCCAAAGTGGCTGGGTGGTAATCCCAGCACTTTGGGAGGCTGAGGTTGCCAGGTCACCTGAGGTCAGGAGTTCAACCATCCTGACCAACATGGTGAATCCCCATCTCTACTAAAAATGCAAAAATTAGTCAGACATGGTGGTACACACCTGTGATCCCAGTTCCTGGGGAGGCTGAGGCAGGAGAATTGCTTGAACTTGGGAGGTGGAAGTTGCAGTGAGCCAATATCACACCACTGCTCTCTAGCCTGAATGTCAGAGCAAGACTCCATCTCAAAAAAAGAAAGAAAGAAATCTTGGGAGTTCCATGTCCAAGAAGCCCATATTTTCCCAAACAGACATCCCTGCATTTGACCAAGTCTATAGCTAATACAGTGCAGGTCTGCAGGAGACCAGCCCCCATCATCTCTGACTGTATTCTCATTATTTTTCAGCTGCAGGAAGATGCTCGGATTCGAGGTAAAACAGCACCATTCCAAGGTTTGGAAAAGGAAACAAGGGAGGGGATTTGGAATTCAAGTCTCATTGTATCCATTTGCCATACAAAAGAAAATGGAGATAAGAAGTGAGATATGGAGTTCATCCCAAAGTCTCACCCTAGGATCTTCCATTTAGCTTACAGCCGGAGTCCATGTTCTCTTTTCTTCCCCTGCTTCAACCAAGCTGGGAATTGGCTTTCCTTAAAGCATTCATAAGCACTGCAAGTCTCTCCTCTGTCCAGCTCAATTGCCTCGTGTCTGAGTCTGTTCAGGCTGCTAGAACGGAATACCATACTGGGTAATTTATAATCAACAGAAATTTATTTCCCACAGTTCTGGAGGCTGGGATATCCTAGATCAAGGTGCCAACAGATTTGGTGTCTGGTGAGGCCCTGCTTCCCAGTTCATAGACAACCAACTTTTTCACTGTGTCCTCACATGGAGGAAGGAGTAAAGGAATTCTCTAGGTTCTCTTTCATACAGACACTAATCTGATTCATGAGAGCTCTGCCCTCATAAGCGAATTACCTCCCAAAGGCCCCACAACTTAATATCATTGCTTTGGGGATTAGGTTTCAATATATCAATTTGGAGGTGACATAGGCATTCAGTCTACAGCACGTGGACAGGGATGGAAGACTCTTTTTCTCCCTTGGAATGGTTGTTGAGGGCCTGAGAACACTCTCATGCCTCGGCTAGATATGATTCTTGTCTGTAAAGACAGCAAGTACAGAAAAGGGGAACAGCTTCCCAAGGCTGGCACAGGGATAGAATGGCAGGGAGGCTAGAATGGAATGATTATTCTGGGTGGTCAAGTTACAGTTTTCAAATGCCCAGATGCTAATTCTAGCATTTCGAGAAAATACTCAAAATACCCAGGAGCCTAGAATTATAGCAGAAAAGCCATATCTGGAACTTTTTTCTTCACTCATCCAAGAAAGAACTTACAAATTGGGGCTTTTCAAACTTTTGCTTATATACAAATCACCTGGGTCCCTTGTTAAAAAACAGATTCTTATTCAGTAAGTCTAGGGTAGGCTTGAATTCTGAGATCTGAGGTTCTATACCTCTAAGAGACTCTCGTATGGTGCCAAAGCTCTTGGCTCTTGAATCCCACTGATTATCAAGGATATATATGACTGAGCCCAAAGAGAGAGCTTCCAAAGTCAGAATTAAATAAGATTGAATTCAAGGATTTTTATACCCCATGGAAGGGGTGAGGAGCCTTCAGCTGTGGATACAAGAGACAGGGAGAGGAGGAAATCTGGAGATTCTGACTACTCTTGGGGTCTTTCTGGAACCACTCTATGCTTTTTCAGCCCCGCAGCAAAACGGAGTTCGTTAAGGGTACAAATCTTCTTGGGGATCTTTAAATACAGACATTCCCAGAGAAGACTCCCTCTGATCTTTCTCCAAACCTGGCCCATCACCTCCACTCCAGAACTAGGAACTATGGCCTCCACTGTGAGATCCAGAGGCTTGTGAGATACTTTCCTTGGATGCTGATCCCTAAGGTTCAAAAAGTCAAAAAGGGCCAAGCTTACCTCTGCTTAGAGAATGCTCTCCTTCATCCTCAGAAGCCTGATTTCCAAATAGGTCCCTGCAGGGCCCTGGGAACACCCACCTGATTACCTGGGCTGTAAAAAGGTGGATTTAGGATCTAACAGCTGCTGCTGCTTTTCCACTTCCTAAAAGATGGAGGGAGGGAGGGTGAAATCCAGGGTGAGATGAGGAGAATTCAAGTCTTATTGTACCCATTTCCCACACAAAATAATGGAGATAAGAAGTGAACTACCAGGGACTTGTTCCAGTGGCAGCGCCCTGGGATGGAAACATTTCTCTAACTCAGTTCCCAGCCCTGGATGAACAGACCTTCAGTGGCCATGATCCGCTCTGCTTCACAGGGGGCCAGATTTCTGGTGCCACATTCTGCAACTGCCTCTCTGATGGGCCTGTTAGGTGGTCAGTGTCCCTTCAAGTCTGGACCCTCCCACTTTGACTATACTTCAAATCAAGGATGTGAGCTGGGCAGCTGGGGAGACATGTCCAGGCCCCTGTAACAGAATGACTCTTCTCTGTGTCCACTTTAGGGATGAGCAACTGCTCCATGACACCCATGACATCAGCACCCAGGACTGGGTAAGTGTCCCTATTCTGACAATGTTCAAGGGAGATGGCACCCACCTGGATATGGGTGTGCTGGCCATGAATATAGCTAGCTCTGAGCCTTGAGCCTTCAGAAGCCTGTGCTTCCAAAGGGGCAAGAAGTGCCTCCCCACCCAACTGTGTCTACTAATGGTGAACTACAGAGCCTGGGCTTCCTCCTCCATCCTCAGCCCCATTAGAAATCCCTGAAATCTCAGAATCAGCCCTGAACCTCACCATAAGAGATTGTAAGAAAGTTTCTTAATTCAATTGAGGGAATAAGGGAACATAGAAAGAATGACAGCTAGGAAAGGAAGGCCACAAAGAAGGAATAAAGAATCAAGGACGTAGGCTGGGTGTGGGGTGGTTCACGCGTATAATCCCAGTACTTCTGGAGGCCAAGGTGGTTGGATCGCTTGAGCCCAGGAGTTCGACACAGTGAGACCTGTCTCCACAAAATATACAAAAATTAGCCAGGTGTGGTGGTGCATGCCTGTAGTCCCAGCTACTCGGGAGGCTGAGGTGAAAGGACAACCTGAGCCTGGGGAGGTGGAGACTGCAGTGAGCCATGATCATGCCACTTCCCTCCATCCTGGGCTGGAGACAGAGCAAAACACTGTCTCATTAAAAAAAAAAAAAAAAAAAGGGATCCGGGACTTAGAAGAAAGTTATAAAGAAAATTAATGAAAGTTAATTTTCAAAAAGAAAATTAACAAAAGTTAAAATGCCCTAATATTGAGAAATGTCACTTTCTCTTCCATAACAAGATGAGGAGAAAAAAGATCAGGCTACTGCAACACAGATTTAAATTAGACATAGGGAGGAAAGACTTTTCAATAGTGCAACTGAGAAATAGGACTAGGTAGTCAAGAAAGACAGCAGCGCCATGTACTTCAGAGGGCTTTAAAGATAAATAATGTTTAAAAAAAAAATTAGGCCAGGTGCGGTGGCTCATGCCTGTAATCCCAGTACTTTGGGAGGCCGAGGCAGGTGGATCACCTGAGGTCAGGAGTTCAAGACCAGCCTGACCAACACAGTGAAACCCCGTCTCTACTAAAAATACAAAAATTAGCTGGGCGTGGTGGCAGGTGCCTGTAACCCCAGCTACTCGGGAGGCTGAGGCAGGAGAATCACTTGAACCCAGGAGGCAGAGGTTGCAGTGAGCTGAGATTGTGCCATTGCACTCCAGTCTAGGCAACAAGAGTGAAACTCTGTCTCAAAAAAAAAATTAATTTGACATGCTATGGTTTTTCCCGAACCAGGAAATGGAAAAGGTGAACTCCCTAGATCCCTGTTTGAACAGAATTTGTCCCTATCTCAGAAAATTGACTCTTATAAAATAAAGCCATTTGTTTTAAAGAGATGGATTCTTATGCTTTAACTTGCTCAGTGCTGAAACCATGGAAGGAATAAATGAAAAGTGATTTCATATTAACAAAATTCTAAATGTAAACCTTTGCATATGAGGAGCACTTTTGATTAGTCAAAATCCTTTCAGATGTATGATATTATTTAATTTTAATTTTATTATTCCTCTGAGTCAAGCAAGAGGAATTTTCCTGATGAAAACATAGGCTGTAATAGGTTATGATGCTTCATCTCCTAAAGCCCACCCAACAAGAGCTTTTTCCTGTGAGCCATGCATCCATCAGGAAATTGCAACTCCCAGAGCCTGAGATGCCCATTCTTGGGGGAGTGTAATAATAGAATCTCTAAGGGCAGTGGAGGCCAGGAAGGGAACTGAAAGGGTAAGATCTCTTTCCCTCATGTCTACAACTTTCTCTATTTTGGCACAGAAGCATAAGGCCTCCAGATTCCTTGATGACCCCAAAGTTGAGAAGATTGCAGTTCAGCTCTGGAGAGCAGCCATCAGGAGGCCGTATCCACAACCTGAAGACACAGCTCTTCAGTCAATCAGCTTACTACCCTGGACCCTAACTCTACAATCAAGGAAGAAGGACATCTCTGCTTCCGCCAGGTGCTTTACCCAAGCAGCCTTTCCCCTGAGCTCCACCCTGCCCATCTGTGGTAGTCAGGAACCCAGGCCTCTTAGGCCCTCATCCCAACATGGCAGGGCAGCACCCCATGAAGCAGGTGCAGTCATACAAGGGGCAATAGGGTGAGAGGGTGGACAAGTGAAGGCAGGGCTAGGCCAGGTTCTTTTGGTCTCTGTGGTCAAGACAAAGGGCCAGAGTGCATCAAGTATGGACAGTTTTATACAAGGATCAAAACAAAGATCCAAACAGAGTGCATCAGGTGTGGATAGTGTTCAGGAATCAGGGACAGACAATTGTTGGATAAAGAGATGGAAAGGTGGAAAGTTTTAAAATACATTAATAAATGTGAGTCCTATAATTCCCTCTGGAAAGTGCTCTAGAAACTTGCACTACTTTGGGGGCTTAATTCAGTGTCAAGAGTCAGACACAGTCTATCCTTTATAGACTCCCTTGTCTGGGTTTTCTTTCCTAAAGTACTTGAGTATGCTTCCCCAAAGGCACTGTTTAAGTGACAGGCCATTTCCTCAACCCTTTTCACTCTCCTGCTCCATAGGCTCATCTGACACCTAACCCACCTGGAGAAGAAGACTGTCTCAGGTGCTCACCCTGTGGCAGAGACTATGCTAGCCACACCCTCTATATGGCCTTCTCTAGGGCTCATTAGGAATTCCTTTTAAGAAACAATCTGAGTTATAGGTGATGGAGAAAATTGGTTTCATCCACCTGTGTCTAAGTACAGTGACTCTATGTATTTTCTTGAATAGTCCCCTTTCAAATATTTTATCCTGTTTCCCCCACAAATCATCAAAATACACAAAGTATTTCCATATTTTATCATTAAGATTATATTTTGCTGAATGTAATACATACACTCACAAAACCTCTATTAAAACCCAGTTTGGGTTCAGATTGTAAGGCAGGAAGCTTCCTTCCTCTAGTACGACATAGACAGCAAGTGTAGGACAGCAAAATTCCTGATGTGGAAACTACACAGAGAATATTGTCTACAACTAATGGATCTCCTCCTTAGTTCCTGTTGGATATCTTGGGATGGGGTCATGAGGGTAGAAGCGTCACCACGAGGACTGCTTTTACTCTCAGGGTCACCTGCCTAGTAAATTGTCCAGCAGGGAGGAGAATAAATTTCTTTTATTCCCATCCATATGACTATGTCATCTACAGCACAGCTTCAGTTGGGGAAGATATTAGCAGACATCATCACTGAACCCAGAAGAGAGGGTGGTGCCCATGAGTGGAGATGCCAGGGTCTATGGCTGAAACTGGGAACTTGGAAATCAAGTGAGACCCAAGCAAGGAAACCAACTGCCAAAGCAAGGAAACCAGCTTGGTTTGGCAAACAGCTGATGAAATAAATGTGACGTAGAAGACTTGCCTTCCTGGTTCTTCCTGGGCTGTGGAATGGGTAGTGATAGAATTTCCAAGTATGATAGTGCATTTGGTTCAAAGAACAGCACTGTAGCATGGGAGAACCTGCACTATAATGTCATAAACTCAATCTGACTTTGTCTGAGTTTTTCTTCTTTGTGGGCCTCAGTTTCCTCTCCCATAAAGTAAGTAGCTGTTACTAGAAAATGCTGAAGGTGCCTTTCATTTCCAGTATCCTGTGATCTGGATGGTCTCACAGTCTACCACTTAAAGATAGTTACTCCCAGCCTGTGAAAAGACCACCTAGTACAAAAGTATTTCCTACAAGAAAGGACTATTTAGGGTATTTGTCAAAGATGGTAATCTTTGCATATATAAATGTGCATATTACATAACTGGTAAAGTAGAATTTTTATTTCTTTCCTTTTAAACAAAATCTGAACAAATGAACATAATATATTAAATATTCTATCATGTAAGATTTAACCCCTGAAGTAAGAATTTTTCACAACACCAGCAAAATAATAATCAGAACACATTATGGCAATAAGGTAACTTCATAAAAATCTTCTCCTCATAGATGTTGACTTGGCATTTGTTAACATAAAATTTTATTTTTTTAATTAACACTTTAAAAATTAAATTACCTGATCAGGAGACACTGTAATTATTGGATTATATTGAAAACAAAACCAGACAAGGGTGCCCTCTATTTTCATGCTAGCTCAACAGTATTAAAAATGTTGTCAGTGTTTTCCATTTCTTTATTTTATTTTATATATTTATTTATTTATTTTTGAGACGGAGTTTTGCTCTTGTCGTCCAGGCTGGAGTGCAATGACACAATCTCAGCTCACTGCAACATCCGCCTCCTGGGTTCAAGTGATTCTCCTGCCTCAGCCTCCCGAGTAGCTGGGGTTACAGGCACCTGCCACCACGCCCAGCTAATTTTTGTATTTTTAGTAGAGACGGGGTTTCACTGTGTTGGCCAGGCTGGTCTCGAACTCCTGACCTCAGGCGATCCACCCATCTTGGCCTCCCAAAGTGCTGGGATTACAGGCGTGAGCCATTGCACCCAGCCCAGTGTTTTCCATTTCTAAAAACACTTAAATATAAAATCCCAGCAAGATATTTTATACCAATAGGTAGCAAAATTCATCCAGAAGCATAAGACAAAATGTCCAAAAACAGGCTGGGCTCACACCTGTAATCCCAGCACTTTGGGAGGCTGAGGCAGGCGGATCACCTGAGGTCGGGAGTTTGAGACCAGCCTGACCAACATGGAGAAACCCCATCTCTACTAAAAATATAAAATTAGCCAGGCATGGTGGCACATGCCTGTAATCTCAGCTACTCGGGAAGGCTGAGGCAGGAGAATCGCTTGAACCTGGGAGGCAGATGTTGCGGTGAGCCGAAATCACGCCATTGTACTCCAGCCTGGGCAAGAAGAGCGAAACTCCATCTCAAAAAAAAAGAAAAAGAAAGAAAGAAATGTCCAAAAACAAATCAAGGTATTAATGGAGTTACCTTCAAATTTTTACTTCTCAAAGTTACAGCCACTGAAGTTATATTGTATCATATTAAAAGGCAGAAATAATTAGTGGAATAGAAATGCAATTTGTGATCCAGAAAAGTTTCAGCCTGTGATAGTCAAAAATTCCTAATCAAGAAGGATTAGAAGGGCTCATTAATAAATGATATTGAGGCCAGGTGCAGTGGATCCCAGCACTTTGGGAGGCCAAGGCAGGCGGATCACCTGAGGTCAGGAGTTCGAGACCAGCCTGGCCAACATACTGAAACCCCATCTCTGCTAAAAATACAAAAATTAGTCAGGTGTGGTGGCGGGTGCCTATAGTCCCAGCTACTCTGGAAGCTGAGGCAGGAGAATCACTTGAACCCAGGAGGTAGATGTTGCAGTGAGCTGAGATGGTGCCATTGCACTCCAGCCTGGGCAACAGAGCAAGACTCTGTCTCAAATAAATAAATAAATAATATTGAGGAAAGAACTTCATTCATTTACACAGAAAATATTGTCTATCGTGAGTCAGATACTGAGCTTAAAGAACATGGAGTAAAGAAATTGCTACTGGTAAAATATCTCCTGTATGAATGGCGTTAAGTGAGGAAGCACTAATGTCACTGAGGATAATCAAGGATGATCCAGGACTTGAACTGGAGCAACTGGATGAAAGGAAGCAACACATTACTAGAAATTGAGACGACTGAGAGGAAGAGACTTTGGAGGTGAAAACAAAAATTTACTTTTGGAAATATGTTTGAGAGTCTATGAGACATCAAAGCAGAGACTTCAAACACATTGTTAGACAGATGAATCTGCACTGCAAAGGAAAGATTTAGGAGCTTTTTCAACCACCTAGTCATTACACTCATTTGCTTTTGTTACCATGCCTTCATTCCTGGGCTAAGAGGTGGGGAGGATATTCACAAGTTTCCTAAATTTTAAGGGAAAAGAATGTAGCCCCTAGAGAGTATTAAGGACTTTTGGGGAGGAGACCCATGGGGAAAGTAGGGCTTTGAAGGAGCCAGGACAATGGAGGAGAGCAGGTTTTACAAATCAATAATGATCAGACCGAATTGGCATGGGGGGTTTCCTGCATTACAGTGTGTATGCGAGTGTGCCCTTGGCGCACATCCTCATTGCCTAGCACACCAGTCTGTGATCCCAAATTGATTAGCCTAGAATAAGCCTGAAAAAAAAGTAGCTTTCTACCTATTTGCTTAAGTATCAATGACACAGGGACAAGGGAATCAGTACATCAGAAGTAACACATTAAAAATGTCATTAAATTAAGAGAAAAGACTGATTTCTAACATTGTTGCCATATTTCAACAAGTTCTGAATGTTCTAGACAACAAAATATCCAAAAAAGGAAAAGAAAAAATAAGTGGAGGTCTAAACATTGGATAGGGCGAGATGATATGTAGGAAAGCATGAAGGTGGTCCACTTGTCTACTTGGATGCCCTCTCCACGTGCCTATCTATAGGGACGTCCTCTACTTGTGCACTAGGTCCATAATGCATCAAGCCTTCTCAAAAGCATTGCTCCCACAATTCTCCCCTTTTTTCCTGAATCATTTTTTCTTTCTTGTTGCTGTTGCAATTATTTCAATATCATCTATATATGCTATAATTTCTCCCATTTCTCACCACTTCCACTCTTTTCTCTATTAACAGAACTCCTCTAGCTTATGCTTAGAGCTTTGTGTGATGTCTTTTTCTATCCTTTTACTTTTAATCTATGTGTTTTATATTTATATTTAAATCATATTTATATTTCAAACTTATATTTGAGTCTTGCTTTTTTATTCATTCTAAAATTTCTACCTTTTTTTTTTTTTAATTGATCATTCTTGGGTGTTTCTCACAGAGGGGGATTTGGCAGGGTCAGGACAATAGTGGAGGGAAGGTCAGCAGATAAACAAGTGAACAAAGGTCTCTGGTTTTCCTAGGCAGAGGACCCTGTGGCCTTCTGCAGTGTTTGTGTCCCTGGGTACTTGAGATTAGGGAGTGGTGATGACTCTTAACGAGCATGCTGCCTTCAAGCATCTGTTTAACAAAGCACATCTTGCACCGCCCTTAATCCATTTAACCCTGAGTGGACACAGCACATGTTTCAGTGAGCACAGGGTTGGGAGTAAGGTCACAGATCAACAGGATCCCAAGGCAGAAGAATTTTTCTTAGTACAGAACAAAATGAAAAGTCTCCCATGTCTACTTCTTTCTACACAGACACGGCAACCATCCGATTTCTCAATCTTTTCCCCACCTTTCCCCCCTTTCTATTCCACAAAGCCGCCATTGTCATCCTGGCCCGTTCTCAATGAGCTGTTGGGCACACCTCCCAGACGGGGTGGTGGCCGGGCAGAGGGACTCCTCACTTCCCAGTAGGAGCGGCCGGGCAGAGGCGCCCCTCACCTCCCGGACGGGGCGGCTGGCCGGGCGGGTGGCCGACCCCCCCACCTCCCTCCTGGACGGGGCAGCTGGCCCGGCGGAGGGGC
The DNA here is from genome assembly GCF_000001405.40 of Homo sapiens. Lineage (NCBI taxonomy): Eukaryota > Metazoa > Chordata > Mammalia > Primates > Hominidae > Homo > Homo sapiens. The sequence continues at coordinate 48,500,405 of NC_000012.12, forward strand.
TCCTCACTTCCCAGTAGGGGCGGCCGGGCAGAGGCGCCCCTCACCTCCCGGACGGGACTGCTGGCCGGGCGGGGGGCTGACCCCCCCACCTCCCTCCCGGACGGGGTGGCTGGCCGGGCAGAGGGGCTCCTCACTTCCCAGTAGGGGCGGCCAGGCAGAGGCGCCCCTCACCTCCCGGACGGGGCGGCTGACCTGGCGGGGGGCTGACCCCCCCACCTCCCTCCCGGACGGGGTGGCTGCCGGGCGGAGACACTCCTCACTTCCCAGATGGGGTGGCTGCCAGGCGGAGAGGCTCCTCACTTATCAGACGGGGCGGCTGTCGGGCGGAGGGGCTCCTCACTTCTCAGACGGGGCGGTTGCCAGGCAGAGGGTCTCCTCACTTCTCAGACAGGGCGGCCGGGCAGAGACGCTCCTCACCTCCGAGACAGGGTCGCGGCCGGGCAGAGGCGCTCCTCACATCCCAGACAGGGTGGCGGGGCAGAGGCGCGCCCCACATCTCAGACAATGGGCGGCCGGGCAGAGACGCTCCTCACTTCCTAGATGTGATGGCAGCCGGGAAGAGGCGCTCCTCACTTCCTAGATGGGATGGCGGCAGGGCGGAGACGCTCCTCACTTTCCAGACTGGGCAGCCAGGGAGAGGGGCTCCTCACATCCCAGACGATGGGTGGCCAGGCAGAGACGCTCCTCACTTCCCAGACGGGGTGGCGGCCGGGCAGAGGCTGCAATCTCCGCACTTTGGGAGGCCAAGGCAGGAGGCTGGAAGGTGGAGATTGTAGCGAGCCAAGATCACGCCACTGCACTCCAGCCTGGGCACCATTGAGCACTGAGTGAGCGAGACTCCGTCTGCAATCCCGGCACCTCGGGAGGCCGAGGCTGGCGGATCACTCGTGGTTAGGAGCTGGAGACTGGCCGGCCAACACAGCGAAACCCCGTCTCCACCAAAAAAATACAAAAACCAGTCAGGCTTGGTAGCGCGTGCCTGCAATCGCAGGCACTCGGCAGGCTGAGGCAGGAGAATCAGGCAGGGAGGTTGCAGTGAGCCGAGATGGCAGCAGTACAGTCCAGCTTCGGCTCAGCATGAGAGGGAGACCGTGGAAGGAGAGGGAGACCGTGGGGAGAAGGAGAGGGAGAGGGAGAGGGAGAGGGAGAGCAAATTTCTACCTTTCAATTTGAGTTTTTAGACCACTTATGTATAATGTACATGTAAGTAGTTGGATATAAAATGACCATGATACTATTTTCTGTTTTTTCATTCCGTAATTTATTCCTTTTTGCCTGTTTTCCTACCTTCTTTTGGGCTGAATATATTTTAGCCTTTCACTTTATTTCCACTACTGGATTATTAGCTAAAAATTCTAGTTTTTTTAGTGTTTTCTCAGTTTGTAATACGAAGTTTTAATTTATCTACTTAAACTTTAACATATCTACTTTTTGAATTCTACTTTCAAATGATATGATACCATCTCATAAGGTAAAATGTGAAAACCTTGAAACAATATCTTCTATTTTTCCATTCCTATTGTTTTTTCTATTCATGACATACAGTTTACATCTGTGTAAGTTAAAGTTTATTATCTCTTTAGCATCTTTAATAATTTACATTAAATAAAATCAACCCATTTTAAGTATACAGTTTGATGAGCTTTGGCAAATCTAGGCAGCCATGTAATCACCACCAAAACAAGATACAGAATTGTTTCCATTAAAATAAGTTCCCTCATGTGCCTTTGCCATCGGTCTCTGCACCCAGCCTGCCAGGCCTCCCATCCTCCTTGACAATCATGGTTCTGATTTAGATCACTGTAGTTTTGCCTTTTCTAGAAGTTCATATAAGTTAAATCATACTTTATATAGTATTTTTATCTTTTTTCCTTCACTTAACATAATGCTTTGGAGATTCATCCTTATTCATCCATGTCTGGGTAGTTTATTTCTTTTTAATGCTGAATGTGTTACCTTATATACATATACCACCAGATTTTTATTCAAGAGTTAATAGATATTTGGTGTTTTCCCCACAGGTTTTGACTATTATAAATAAGGCCCACATGAACTTTATGCATGGGTGTGCAGTGGATAATATGATAAGGGTAACTTTATTAGAAACTGACAGGCCAGGCACAGTGGCTCATGCCTACAATCCCAGCACTTTGGGAGGCTGAGGTGGGTGGATCACCTGAGGTCAGGAGTTCAAGACCAGCCTGGCCAACATGGTAAAACCCCATCTCTACTAAAAATACAAAATTAGCCAGATGTGGTGGCACATGCCTATAATCCCAGCTACTTAGGAGGCTGAGGCAGGAGAATCACTTGAACTTGGGAGGCGGAGGTTGCAGTGAGCAGAGATCATGCCATTGCACTCCAGCCTAGGCAAAAAGATCGAGACTCTGTCCTCTGTCTCAAAAAAAAAAGGAAAAAAAAAAAGAAGGGAAAAGAAACTGTCCAATTATTTTCCAAATTGGATATACCACTTTTACATTCCTACCAATATATGAGAGATCCAGTTACTACACATCTTCATCAATACTTGGTATTGTCAGTCTTTTTAATTTTCAGCCACTCTGGAGTATGTAGTATATTTTTCTAATGACTAATGATGTTAAGCATTATTTCAAATGCTTACTTACATTGGTATATCTTCTTTAGTGAAGTGCCTGTTCAAATATCTTGCCTATTTTACTTTGGGTTGTCTTATTTTACTGAGTTATTAGACTTCTTTATATATTCAAGCTACATATCCTTTAATACGTAGCAATATAATATTAAAAGCCTGGGAGGTTTTTCATAGAAATTTGCAAGCTGATTCTAAAATGCATAGGGCAAAGCAAAGACCCTATAACAGCCAAAACTATGAGAACAAAGTTGAAGGACATATTACTTCATTTCAGGACCTACTCTAAGCCATGTAATCGATGTATACAGGATCGACATACAGAAAACTACAAAATCATGATTTTAAAAACCAAAGAAGATATAAATAAATTGGAGAAGACACAAATAAATAGAAAGATTCTGTGTTCATGGATTGAAGACTCAATATTGTTAGGATGTCCATTTTTCCCAATTTGATCTATAGATTGAATGCAGTATCAATCAAAATCCCAGAAGCTATTTTATAGCTATTAATGAACTAGCCCTAAATTTTATTTGGAAAGGCAAAAGCCATAGAGTAGCCAATACAATATTGAAGAATAACAAAGTAGGGGGACTCACACCATCTGATGTCAAGACCTACAGATGGCGAATAAGCAGATGAAAAGATGCTCAACATTATAAGTTATTAGGGAATTGCTAATAAAAACAACAAAGAGATACCACTACACACCTATTAGAATGGCTGCAATCCAAAAAACTGACACTATCAAATTCTTGGGAGGGATGTGGAGCAGCAGGAACTCTCATTCATTGCTGGTCAGAATGCAAAAAATGCAAAATGGTACAGGCACTTTGATAGTTTGACAGTCTCTTACAAAATTAAACATAATCTTACCATACCATCCAGCATTTATGCTTCTAGGTATTTATCCAACTGAGTTGAAAAATGTATGTTCACATAAAATCTCCACATGAATATTTATGGCAGCTTTACAGTCAATCCTCCTTACCTGCAGGTTTTATATTTGTGATTCACCTATTTTCTAAAATTAACTTGTAACCCCAAAATCAATGCTCATGATACTTTTGTGGTCATTCAAAGATGTGCAGAGAGTAGTGAAAAATTTGAGTCACCTGAAGTGGACGTTCCCAACTGAGCTTGAGCAACTGAGCTTCCCAACTCTGCCTTCTTGTTTCAATTCTCATATTGTAGACAAGTAACTCTTTTGCAGTCGATTTAGTGCCACATTTTTTATGCATTTATGTTTTTTGTTGGTGATTTCACTGTTTAAAATGGTCCCCAAGCATAGTGCTGAAGTGCTGTCTAGTATTTCTAAGTACAAGAAGCCTGTGATGAGCTTTACAAAGACAATACCTATGCTAGATAGGTCTGAATCAGGCAAAAGTTACAGTGTGGTTGGCCATGAATTCAATGTTAGTGAATAAGCATATGTACATCCAGACAAAGGAATAGGAAATTCACTGATCTGTATGTGAGGTCCTATGGAAAGTGCTAAAATAACAGGACAAAGCTATGGGAAAGATAGAAAAGCAACTAAATTTGTAAATTTATGAAATGATTAGCAATATTTAAAATGCATAGTGCCCTCTCACCCCTCCTTTTCAACATCATTCTGGAAGTCCTAATGCAGTAAGACAAAAGTAAAATTAAAGTATTTATGTGTGTGTGTGTGTGTGTGTGTATAATACATATGTGTGTGTATATATATATATAAGGAAGAAGTAAAACTATCTTTGTTCACAGATAATATGATCATCTGTGTAAAAAAATCCAAAAGATTGATGTAAAGACTGCTGGAACTAACAAGCAATTATTGCAAGGTTGCAGGATGCAAGATTAATATACAAAAGTCAATCACTTTCCTATATTTCATCAATGTAAAAATTGAATTTGAAGTTAAAAACACAATATCATTTACATTAGCACCCCCAAAAAAGAAAACTACAAAACTGGTGAAATAAATCAAACCATAACTAAATAGAGAGATATACCATGTTTGTGAATAAAAAGACTCAATATTGTCAATAAGTCAATCTTTTCAAGTTGATCTATAGATTCAACCTATGTCAATCTATTGACTGATTTATAGATTGAATCTATAGATTCAATGCAATCCCAACCAAATCCCAGAAAGTTATTTTGTGACTATCAACAAACTGACTGTCTAGTTTATATGGAGAGGCAAAATGCCCAAGATAACCAGGATAACCAACAATATTGAGGGAGAAAAATAAATGAGAGGACTGACACTACCTAACTTCAAGACTTACTATAAAGCTATAAATATCCAGATAGTGTGGTATTGGACAAAGGGACAAATAGACAAATAGATTACTGGAATAGAATATATATATACAGCCCAGACATAGATCCACATAAATATGGTCAACCGATCTTTGACAAAGGAGCAAAGGCAATGCAATGGAGAAAACATAATCTTTTCAACAAATGATTTTGGAACAACTGGACATCTACATGCAATAAAATGAATCTAGACACAGGCTTTATGCCCTTCACAAAAATTAACCTAAAAATGAATCAAATGCCTAAATGTTAAAGACAAAACTCTAAAACTCCTAGAATATAACACAGGAGAAAGTCTAAATGATTTGGGGTATGGAGATAACTTTTTAGATGCAACATCAAAGGCATGATCCATGGACATAATCATTGATCAGCTAGACTTCATTAAAATTCAGAATTTCTCCTTTCAGAAAGATGTTGTCAAGGGAATGAGAAGACAAACCACAGACTGGGAGAAAATATTTGCAAAAGACATATTCCATAAGGGACTATTATCCAAAATATACAAAGAACAATAAGAAAATGAACAATGCAATTTAAAAATGGGCAAAAGGACAGACACCTCACTAAAAAATAAATACAGATGGAAAATAATCATCTAAAAAGATGCTCCATATAAATGTCATTAGGTAATTGCAAATTAAAACAACAATGAGATACCACTACACACCTGTTAGAATAGCCAAAGTCCAAAATACTGACAACACCAAATTCTTGTGAGGATGTGAAGCAACGGAAATTCTCATTCACTGCTGGTGGGGATGCAAAATGGTATGGTCACTTTGGAAGATAGTTTGTCAGTTTCTTAAAAAACTAAACATACTCTTACCATATAATCATTTGGGTATTTACTCAAATTAGTCAAAAGTGTATATCCACACAAAACCTTGCACATGGACGTTTATAGCCACTTTATTCATAGTTGCCAAAAATTGGAATCAAACAAGATGACCTTCAGTTGAGAAGTAGATAAACTGTCATACATCTAAACAACAGAATATTATTCAACCCTAACACTAAAAAGAAATGAGCAATCAAGACATAAAAACACATGAAGGAAACTTAAACGCATATTACCAGGCAAAAGAAGCTACTCTGGAAAGGGTTCATAGAGGATGGTTCCAACTATATGACACTCTAGAAAAGACAAAACTATGGAGACAGTGAAAAGATCAATGGTTGCCAGGGGTTGTGGGGAGGGAGGGATGAGTAGGCAGAGCACAGAGGATTTTTAGGGCAGTGACAACATTTTGTATGATGTTATAATGGCAGATACATGTCAGTATACATTTGTCAAAATCATAGAATGTACACCAAGAATGAATCTTAATGTAAACTATAGATTTTGGGTGATAATAATGTATCAATGTATGTTAATTAATTATAATGAAAGGACCACTCTAGTGTGGGATATTGATAGTTGGGGAGGCTGTGCATGTTTAGGGACAGAGGTATATGAGAACTTTATACAATTTCAGCTCAATTTTGCTATGTGTTGGGAGAAAAGCTGAGGCAAGACTTGCTAGTCTGACATAATATAAAAAGAGTCTTGGAACATGTCCTGGGTCCAGAGTTTAAAACCTCTTGTGCCCTATGGAACACCAAGCTCTGTGCTTAAGGGTGGAAGGCTGCCCTGCTGCATTACAACCTAAGCCCAGGGCATAAAACCCCTCATGGCTTGAATGGAATCCAGGGCTCAGGGCATAAAACCCCCCATGGCCTCTGGAATGTGTCTAGACTTGCTGGCTCCTTGCTTCTAGCAGTTCCAGTCACATAGATTGATTGCATCTTAAACTAGAAGAACATGTTTCCCGTTATCTCCATATGCTTCAGAGAAAATGCTAAACCATCACAGCTGTAGATCACGCACTTGATGAATCACTACCTTTCAACCCCCACATCCTCACCACCTGTTTCTTTGTTTGATCACCAATAAATAGCGTGGGGTCCCAGAGCTCGGGGCCTTCACAGCCTCCATACTAGCATTGGCTCCTGGACCAACACTATGTACTCTTTAACTTGTCTTGTGTCATTCCTTTGACTCCACCGGACTTCATAGCCCCCATGGCCTGGTGTTGGGTCTGATCACCCCAACATCCCTGGTGCCCAATGTGGGGCGACGAAGATTCTGGCAATGGAATGCTAGAGCGTGTGGAAGTGGAGGACGCATCATCAGAGGACACCCGAGGACGACTGAAGGAAGCTCAGCAGGTAAGCTGGGTGCTCAGAAGAACCAGAGTAACTATGGGGCAAAGTGCAAGCAAACATACTGCTTATTTAAATTTCTTGAGGCATTTATTACAGAGAGGGGGAGTGAAGGTTAGTACTCAGAATTTGTTAACACTTTTCAGTACAGTAGAGCAGTTTTGTTCATGGTTCCCAGAACAAGGGACTATGGATTGGATGAATGGGACAGAATTGGAAGAGAGTTTAAAAAGGCGTATAAAGATGGAGCAAAAATTCCAGTTTCTGTCTGGTCAGTGTGGGCATTAATAAAGGCAGCTCTTGAGCTATTTCAAACAGATGATGAGGCAGATTCAGAAAAGGAAGAGAAAGATGAGTGTAAAAAACTAACTTCAGATTCTGAATGCGAGGAGCAAAAACCAGAGGAAATTAAAGAAAAGAAAGGGAAACTGAAAAGGGTATGTTTTACTAGCCCATTGGCTCTGCCTGCTGAATTGAATGGCCACCTCCTCCCCATCCCTCTAATGGGCAAGAAGATGAATTAGCTGCAAAAGTTACCACTCCTGTAGTGGCAACATTAAAATTTGGAGCAATTGGTGGTGCTACACAAAATTCTATTCAAAAGGCTAGAGCTACGGGAGACCTTGAAGCATGGCATTTTCCAGTTACTATAACCCGGCAAGGAGGACAGAATATAACTAATTGGGCCACCTTTTCCCTTACATTGTTAAAGGAATTCGAGGAGGCCATTAGTCAATATGGGCCAAACTCTCCTTTTGTGCAAACTTTGCTAAAAAATATGGCTCTTGATAGTAGGTTAATACCACATGATTGGGATACTTTAACAAAATCTGTTCTGATTCCATCTCAATACTTACAGTTTAAAACCTGGTGGGCGGGTGAGGCTCAAACTCAGGCAAGGGAAAACATACAAGCACAGCCACCTGTGCCTGTTTCCTTTGAACAGTTAATGGGGGTCGGCCCTAATTGGGGTCGATTAGAAAATCAAGCAGTAATGGAGGATGTTCTTCTGCACTTTGTGTGCTTACGGGCATGGGAAAGGATAAATGTTACTGGAGAAAAATATCCTTCTTTCAGTTCTGTCCAACAGGGACCTAAAGAAGCATATATTGATTTTATTGCTTGGTTCCAAGAGGCTGTGTATAAAGCCATAACTGATAAAACAGCTCAAAATGTTGTAATACAACTTCTTGCATATGATAATGCTAATGCAGAGTGTCAAAATGCTATTAGACCTATGAGAGGGAAGGCTCATTTGGCTGAATATATTAAAGCTTGTGATGGCATTGGAGGTAACTTACATTAAGTCTACTCTTTTATCTCAGGCTATGGCTGGATTAAAAGTCAGAAAAAATATGCCCCATTTTTCAGTTTCTTGTTTTAATTGTGGGCAATTTGGACATACAAAATAGGAATGTAAAAAAGGGAAGCAAAAGGCAAGAACTACTATCATCAAACAACAGAAAAGCCCTGGTGTATGCCTCCATTGTAAAAAAGGCAATCACTGGGCAAATCAGTGTCACTCTAAATTTAGAAAAGATGGACAACTTCTTTTGGGAAATGGGAAAAGGGGCCCGCCTTGGGCTGCTCAACAAACTGAGGCATATCCAGCACAGCCAATGCCGTTACAAACTTGCAATAATTGTTCCCACCACAGCAGGCAGTGCTGCCATAGACCTCTGCAGCACAATTCCCATCTCCCTACTTCCTGGAGAGCCACCAAAAAAGGTCCCCACAGGGGTTAGGGGCCCTTTACCCTCAGGAACAGTTGGTTTATTGCTTGGAAGATTTAGTTTAAATTTAAGAGGTGTCACTGTGCATACTGGAATAATTGATTCTGATTATACTGGAGAGATTCAACTAGTTATTAGTTCCTCAACTCCATGGTCTGCTTCCCCACGAGAAAGAATTGCTCAGTTGCTGCTACTGCCTTACACAAAACTAGGGAGCAGCACAGTGAAAAGAACAGGAGTCTTTGGTAGTACTAATCCAGCAGGCAAGGCTGTATATTGGGTTAATCAAGTGTCTGACAAAACACCTATTTGTACAGTAACAATTCAGGGAAAGGACTTTGAAGGGCTAGTAGATACTGGAGCTAATGTTTCTATTATTGTTTTAAATCAATGGCCCCAACACTGGCCCAAACAAAAGGCAAAGGCATTCATTGGTATTGCTGGAGTAGGAGTTGCTTCAGAAGTTTTTCAAAGTTCCTTGATTTTGCCATGTCTAGGGCCAGATGGCCAGGAAGGGACAATCCAACCTATTATTATACCTATTCCTGTCAGTGTATGGGGTAGAGACTTATTGCAACAATGGGGTGCTGAAATATCTATTCCTATGGACCAATATAGTAATAATAGTAAACTAATGATGAAAAATATGGGATATCTCCCAGGAAAAGAATTAGGAAAAAATGAAAGTGGCCAATTAGAATCTTTAGAATTAAAAGGGCAAACAGATTGAACCAAATTGGGGTATCATTTTTAGGAACAGCCATTGTTGAGCCTCCTGCTCCCAATCCTCTTGTTTGGCTAACTGCCAAACTGATTTGGGTGGAGCAATGGCCACTGAAACAGGAAAAACTGGAGGCTTTAAAAGAATTGGTGCAGGAACAATTGCAAAAGGGACACATAGAGCCTACTTTCTCTCCTTGGAATTCTCCTGTGTTTGTCAGTAAGAAAAAATCAGGGAAATGGAGAATGTTAACAGATTTACAAGCTGTTAATGCTGTAATTCAACCCATGGGTGCACTGCAACCAAGGCTGCCCGCCCCCAGCCATGATTCCAAAAATACTAGCCTCTTATAGTAATAGATCTAAAGTATTGCTTTTTTGCCATTCCTTTAGCTACCCAAGATTATGAAAAATTTGCTTTTACTGTTCCTGCCATAAATAACAAAGAACCAGCAGACAGATACCATTGGAAGGTACTACCACAGGGCATGTTAAATAGCCCAACTATTTGTCAAACCTATGTTGGGAAAGTTATTAAGCCAGTTAGAGAACAGTTTTAAAAATGTTATAGTATTCATTACATGGATGATATTCTATGTGCAGCTGAAACTAGGGAAGAATTAATGTTATGCTACAAACAGTTAGAAAAGACTATAACTGCAGCAGGGTTAATTATAGCCCCTGATAAAATTCAAACTTCTACTCCCTTTCAATATTTAGGGATGAAAGTAGAACAAAGTACTATTAAGCCTCAAAAGGTTCAAATTCAAAGAGATAATTTAAAAACACTGAATGATTTTCAAAAATTACTGGGAGACATTAATTGGGTTCACCCCACTTTAGGTATTCCTACCTATGCTATGTCTCACCTCTTTTCTACTTTAAGAGGTGATTCTAACCTTAACAGTAAACGTTCCCCATCCAAAGAAGAATTGGAGGAACTTCAGTTAAATGAAGAAAAAATTCAACAAGCTCAAGTGGAATGAATTGATCCAGTGCAGCCATTACAGTTTTTAGTTTTTCCTACTAAGCATTCCCCTACAGGAGTTATTGTTCAACAAAATGATCTAGTTGAGTGGCTTTTTCTACCTCGCAATACAACTAAAACACTCACTATATCTAGATCAAATTGCTGTGCTAATAATCAAGCAAGGCTGCACACAACAAAATTAATGGGATATGACCCAAATCTAATTATAGTTCCATTAACTAAACAACAAATTCAACAAGCTTATATTAATTCCCAGGAATAGCAAGTTAATTTGGCCAGTTTTATTGGCATTCTTGATAATCATTATCCTAAGTCTAAAATCTTCCAGTGTCTAAAATTGACATCATGGATATTGCCTTCCATTACTCAAAAAGCCCTTATTGAAGGGGCCATTACTGTTTTTACTGATGGGTCTAGTAATGGAAAAGCCTCATTTGTAGGACCTCAACAACAAGTTTTCAAACTGACTTTGCTCCTGCTCAAAGGGCTGAACTTATGGCTGTGGTAACAGTGTTGAAAACTTTTAAACAGCCGGTAAACATTGTTTCTGATTCAGCTTATGTGGTGCAAGTCACGCAAAATATTGAATGTGCCTTAATTTGGAAGGTAACTGATGACCAACTTAATCTTTTATTTCATTCTTTGCAGCAAGCAGTACAACAAGGACATTCCCCTTTCTATATTACTCATATAAGAGCACATACTAACCTCCCTGGTCCCACTTTATGCCTTAACCTGCCTTTTCTCATTCCTTTGACTCCACCAGACTCCATCGCCCCCATGGCCTGGTGTTCGATCTGATCACCCCAACAGCTATAAGCCTAAAACTTTTCTAAAATATAAAATTTATTTTAAAAAATAGATAGTGGACCACATTGCTGTGAGGCTGAAAGCCAAATAAATTTATAGTCACATTATTCAGGGTGAGGAAAATGCTAAATCTTTTTGGTTAGTGCTGGCTAAGTCACATGTTTTGAAAGGCAATACAGTATGAAAAGTGTTAAGCCAGGTGCAGTGGCTCATGCCTGTAATCCCAGCACTTGAGAGGCCGAGGTGAGCAGATCACCTGTAGTCAGGAGTTCGAGACCAGCCTGGCCAACATGGTGAAACCCCGTCTCTACTAAAAATACAAAAAAAATTAGCTGGGCTTGGTGGCACATGCCTGTAATACCAGCTACTCAGGAGGCTGAAGCACTAGAATTGCTTGAACTTGGAGGCAGAGGTTGCAGTGAGCCAAGATCGCATCACTGCACTCCAGCTTTGGCTACTGAGCAAGACTCTGTCTTCTGTCTCAAAAAAAAGAGAGAGAAAAAAGTATTACATGTGCAGGTGATACAGGTTCAGAGGGTAAGGAAGCTACGGATAAATTTTTAGAATACATGCTAAGCGTTATATGTGAAAAGAGTTGCGTATAACAGTAAGTGTTCAACACTGATGAGACTGGTTTCTTTCACAAGGACATTGGCAAATGAACCTATATAATGCAAATGACCTTCAAAGCCCTGTTTTTAAATCATGCAAAGACTGTGCAAATAATTCTTTGTAAGAAATATGTATTAAATAAAGTGTCTTTAAACAGAAGCACACATAAAACAAGGTTATCTATTAATCATTTGATGAAACTGTGACCAGAGATTTGCAGGAACCTAACCTTGTATTTCCGCAAGGAGCGATGGTTCTATATTCACTAATTTAATGTTCACAACACCTTTATAGAACATAACTACCATAAATAATTATAACTAACTGTATTTATAATTGTTCAAAACTGGAAGTAAGCAAGATGTTCTTCAATAAGTTAATGGATGACAAACTGTGGTACATCCATACAATGGAATGCCATTCAGCAATAAAAAGAAATGAGCTATCGGGCCATGAAAAGAGACATGGATGAATCTTAAATGCATATTGGTAAGTGAAAGAAACCAGTGTGAAAAGGCTACAACCTGTATGATTATATGACCTTTTGGAAAAGGCAAAACTATACAGAAAGTAAAAATATTACTGGTTGCTAAGAGTTCATGGGGAAGTGGAAGAAAATTGAATAGGTGAATCACTGGGATTTTTTAGGGCAGTGAAACTGTTCTGTATGATACTATCATTGTGGTTACATGACACTATGCACCTGCCAAGGCCCATTAAACTATGTAGCAAAAAAGAATGAACCTACATGTATGCAAATTTAAAATATATCTTTTAGGAGACTGGGGGAATCCCAGGTTTGAATGCTGAATTCACGTCACTGAAGTGGTTAGGGGGAAAAGGTATAGACGTAAATACCTTTGGAAATAAGTAGAGTCTGTAAGACTAAAGGCAAAAGCACCTGTACATGGGAACTGTATTCTAGTTAATAAACTTGTTTTCCAGAGGGGGAATAGGTTAACAATTCTGATACTGCCATTCATGTATATGTGAACAATTAAGTAAATAGATGGCAGATGGTGAAAGATAGATTTCTCTCACTGTTGAAATGGGAGAAGGCTGGAAGTATCTATGTAATAATAGATTAGAGTTGGAAATGTCAGAATGAACTCATGTTTAACTTAACACAACTAGAGATGATTACATAAAGGAATATTTATAGATATGCGTATATACACAAGTACATATGCACACATGTATTTCCTGCTCTCAATTGAGAGGGCCTGGAGCAATGACATCCCAGTAACAATCACATCTAGCACCCAAATCTTGGGTTTTTTTCACTTTTCCTTTTTGTAATTTGTAATTTGTCATTTTTATTAGTACATAGTAGGTGTACATATTTATGTATTACATGAGATATTTTGATACATGCTTGCAGTGTGTAATAATCACATCAGGGTAAATGGGGTATCTGTCACCTTAAGCATTTATTCTTTATGTTACAAACAATCCAATTATACTCTTAGTTATTTTTAAATGTACAATTAAATAATTTTTTACAGGCCAGGTGCAGTGGTTCACACCTATAATCCCAGCACTTTGGGAAGCCAAAGTGAGTGGATCGCTTGAGCCCAGGAGTTCAAGACCAGCCTGGGCAACATCGTAAAACTTTATGTCCACAAAAAAAAAAAAATTAGCTGGGTGTGGTAGTATGCACTTGTAGTCCCAGCTACTCAGGAGGCTGAGGCAGGAGGATCCATTGGGCCTGGGAGATTGAGGCTGCAGTGAGCCATGGTCATGACAGAACAACCACCCCGTCTCAAAAAGAATTTTATTTTTTTACCATAGCCACCTGTTGTGCTAGCAAATACTAGATGTTATTTCTTACTATTTTTTGTACCCATTAACCATCCCCAATTCCACCCCACCCCCCAACTACCTTTTACAGCCTCTAATAACCATCCTTCTACTCTCTATCTCCATGAGTTCAATTGTTTTAATTTCTAGTTCTGACAAATAAGTGCAAACATGAGAAGTTTGTCTTTCTATGCCTCATTTATTTCACTTAATATAATGACCTTCAATTCTATCCATGTTGTTGCAAATGACGGGATCTTATTCTTTTTTGTGGCTGAATAATACTCCATTGTGTATATGTATCACATTTTCTTTATCCATTCATCTGTTGATGGACACTTAGGTTGCTTCCAAATCTTGGCTGTTGTGAATAGTGCTGCAATAATCATGGGAGTGCAGGTATGTCTTTGATATACTAATTTTCTTTCTTTTCAGTATATACCCAGCAGTGGGATTGCTGGATCATATGGTAGCTCTATTTTTAGTTTTTTGAGAAACTTCCAAACTATTCTCCATAGTGGTTGTGCTAACTTACATTCCCATCAACAATGTACAAAGGTTCCCTTTTCTCCACATCCTCACCAGCATTTGTTATTACCCGTCTTTTGGATAAAAGCCATTTTAATTGGAGTAAGATAATATCACATTGTAGTTTTTGCATTTCTCTGATGATCAATAATGTTGAGCACCTTATACCTGTTTGCCATTTATGTCTTCTTTTGAGAAATGTCTATTCAGCCCTTTTGCCCATTTTTTAGTCAGAGTATTGGATTTTTTCCTATGGAATTGTTTGAGCTCCTTATACATTCTTGTTATTAATTCCCTGTCAGATGGGTAGCTTGCAAATATTTTCTCCCATTCTGTGGGTTATCTCTTCTCTTTTTTATTTTTCCTTTGCTGTCCAGGAGTTTTTTAAATTGATGTGATCCCATTTGTCCTTTTTTGCTCTGGTTGCCTGTGCTGGTTGTGTATCACTCAGGAAATCTTTGCCCACTCAAATGTCCTGGAGAATTTCCTCAATGTTGTCTTTTAGTAGTTTCATAGTTTGAGGTCGTAGATTTAAGTCTTTGATCTACTTTTTATTTTTTGTATATGGTGAGAGATGGAGATCTAGTTTCATTCTTCTGCATAAAGATATCCAGTTTTCCCAGCACCATTTATTGAAGAAAATGTATGTTTCCCTAATGTATGTTCTTGGCACCTTCATGAAACATGAGTTCACTGTAGATGTATAGATTTATTTCTGAGTTTTCTAAAACAAAAATTCATTCTAAGAGAGTGGATAAACTGGCAACAACCAACACAGACTAGTTTTAATATATCTATGTTGTCAATCAAATGGATAAGATAATCATTGACTACAATATATTAGGGATGGTAAAAGAAAGGAAGAAAATATCTCCAAAAGAATAAATATAATTAGTAAATAAACATAGTAAATGTATTATCAGTAATAACAAAAGAAATATTAATTCACAATAATTAATATCATTTCGTACTTTTCAAACTAGTACCATATTTTTTAAGCCAGTGGTATTTAATGCAGGGGAGAAACAGTTGTTTACCTCAGTTCTGGTATCAGAGTAAACTGGCCAACCCTTTTGGAAGGCAATCTGTCAGTGTATGACAGGAGTCTTACCAATATTTTTACCCATTAACCCACCAGTTCCATTTCAGGAGTGATTTTAAATACCAAAGAAATGACCAGTACAAAGGAGTTTAATATAATGTTGTTTATAAGCATGAAAGTCCAACTTTACTGTTCTAAACAATGTAAGGAAATAAATTATAAAAATGTAACAATGAAAAATGCCTAATGACATGCTTAGGAAATTGCTCAGCAAACTTTGGAGAAAATGCTTAATAGAACATTAAAATAACCAAAACTGTCTTTCACTATGTATGTAAATTATTATGGAAAAATTATTATAAAATTAAGCAGACAAAGCTAGATACAATTGTGCAGAGTGGATGACTGTTACAGTCAAAAAGCAGAATATTATAAAAGACATTGATTTGGACTTATCTTTTGTGCTCGATTTTATAATAGGGCTCACAGAGAAATAGATGCAAAAAGTTCTATATTTTAAAAGATGTTGCCAACAATTTTGGCCAGACATGTTTTCCCTGGACTTATTAATAGATGTTAGAACAGATATGTTATCATTAGCCACCACACCACACCTGCATCCCAATGTGTACAGGAAATCTAAGAAGACAGGGAGTCTACGATGTTCTCATTCTGTGGAAAAGTGCAACATTCAACTCGGTCACAAAATTGTTCCCCATATGTTCCTCTCCATGCCTGAATTATAGAAATGTCTGAAACTCTGGTAGAATAAAATATCATTCTTCTATTTGTGGACATTTGATAATTTAAACATATTATTTAAATTGGAAAATGAAGAACCTTGCTAGTGTTATAGAATCTCAGTGATTATTACATTTTAAATAGAGAAAAATAAATAAAATGGACCTGCAGTTGACCCTAGAACAACGCAGGTTTGAACTGCATGGATCTACTCCTGCCACTCCTGAGAAAGCAAAACCAACCCCTCCTCTTCCTATTCCTCCTCAGCCTACTCAGCCTGAAGACTATGAGGATGAAGACCTTTAGAATGGTCCACTTCCACTTAGTGAATAGTAAATATATTTTATCTCCTTATGATTTTCTTAATACATTTTCTTTTCTCTAGCTTACTTCACTGTAAGAATACAGTATATAATACATATAACATACAAAATATATGTTAATCAACTGTTTAGTTATTGATAATGCTTCTGGTCAACTGTAGGCTACTCGTAGTTAAGTTTTGGCAGGGCCAAAAGTTATTCACGGTGGCTGGGTGCGGTGGCTCATGCCTGTAATCCCAGCACTTTGGGAGGCCAAGGCGGACGGATAACCTGAGGTCAGGAGTTCAACCTGAGGTCAGGTCAGCCTGGCCAATATAGTGAAACCCTGTCTCCACTAAAAATACAAAATTAGCTGGGCGTGGTGGTGGGCACCTGTAATCCCAGCTACTCAGGAGGCTGAGGCAAGAGAATCGCTTGAACCCGGCAGGCAGAGGTTGCAGTGAGCCGAGGTGGCACCATTGCACTCCAGCCTGGGGGACAAGAGCAAGACCCTGTCTCAAAAAAAAAAAAAAAGTTTTTCATAGATTTTCAACCATGTGGGGGGCTGGCACCCCTAACCCCTTTGTTGTTCAATGGTCAATTGTACAAAATTTTGATATACACATACTAAGTCCACTGGCAACAGAGTAATACCTCATTACACAGAAACAAATGTATGGTAGATACTAAAACTGATAAGGCCCTATAATATAAAATATAGCCAAATATGAAAAAAAACAGCTTAAAAGGAATAAATTATTCAAAAAATCATGCTTAATATATCAATGTCTACTTGTTGATAAGCACTTTTTAGAATATGATGTCCAGGAGAAAATGCCTGGTGGATAATTTCAGTGGTTAATAATCCCTGAAATTATCAAATTACACAAAGGAGAACTATATACCAAGGTATTACAAGGAACAGTATGTTTCTATGCAGAATTTGTGTTATGACTGCATGAACGTATCATAAGAGAAATTTTCTATCAGCGAAAAGGAAATTTATTTATTTTAGAGTCAGGGTCTTGCTATGTTGCCCAGGCTGGAGTGCAGTGGTACAACTGTGGCTCACTGCAGCCTCAAATTCCTGGGCTCAAGTGATCCTCCCACCTCAGCCTCCAGAGTAGCTAGGACCACCGGCATATGCCACCACACTCAGCTATTTTTTCTTATTTTTTGTAGAGACAGGGTGTTGCTATGTTGCCCAGGCTGGTCTTGAACTCCTGGCTTCAAGAGATCCTCCTGCCTCAGCCTCCCAAAGTGCTGAGATTACAGGCATGAGCCACTGTGCCTAGCCCCCAGGATGTATTTAATGCTAACTCAAACCTTTCTCAGGCCTTTTTTTACAAGCTCACCTCATTCCAATTGACCATAATCACAACTTTTCTTACTCTTCTTGTCATTGATGTTCCCCATGTAATCCCTCTTCTCAACTGCTACTAAAAATCAAACCGCCAAACAAAACATTCAGTGAGCATTATAACTGTAAACAACAGAAGGTGCCTTCCATGAATAATAGAATGTTTCTGTCTTGCATTCCTGGACTTAAGGTGAGGCACA
Organism: Homo sapiens; assembly: GCF_000001405.40. Lineage (NCBI taxonomy): Eukaryota > Metazoa > Chordata > Mammalia > Primates > Hominidae > Homo > Homo sapiens. Next base: position 48,518,370 of record NC_000012.12, read on the forward strand.
GGCTACAACTCCAGGGGCAGGGCTTCCTTAAAATCAAAGTCTGGGCACAGGGGTGGCCTGTTGTAATCATTCTACTTGGGTGCTGGTTATAGTCAGTGTACTGGTATCACATGGATGACCATGATTGAGAGAAAGATACCAGAAGGCACAGGTAAAGTCCCTATAATGGAAAAAGAAAAGGGTAAGGCAGCATAACTGCACAAAGGCAGCCCTATGCCTCCAAGGTTCAGCAGAGCTCCTCACATCACAGGGCTATTCCCTGCAACTTCAATGTTCTCACTCAGTTAACCATATTTTCTGACCACGTTGAGGATTCCATCTGGTCTTCAGAAGGCTAGAGAATCTGGTTACTTATAAGCTGACCCATTAAGGATTAATCGCTGTTAATAATCCCAGTACCAAACTGCCATCACACCATTTCAAAAAATTTTTGTAGGAAATTCTGCAAGAGAGATGACCAAAGAGGCAACATAAATGATTGAGAGAGATCTTCAAAGCTAACAGTTGATCTATTTTTAATTTAACCTACTTTTCTATGTATTTTTATTATTGCAGGAACAACAATGTATTTTTTTTTCTTTTTTTATTTTATTTTATTTTATTTATTTAATTTTATTATTATACTTTAAGTTCTAGGGTAGTTGTGCACAACGTGCAGGTTTATTACATACGTATACATGTGCCATGTTGGTTTGCTGTACCCATTAACTCATTAGGTTCATTTACATTAGGTATTTCTCCTAATGCTATCCCTCCCCCTGCCCCCCACCCCATGACAGGCCCCTATATGTGATGTTCCCTGCCCTGTGTCCAAGTGTTCTCATTGTTCAATTCCCACCTATGAGTGAGAACATGTGGTGTTTGGTTTTCTGTCCTTGTGATAGTTTGCTCAGAATGATGGTTTCCAGCTTCATCCATGTCCCTGCAAAGGATGTGAACTCATCCTTTTTTATGCCTGCATAGTATTCCATAGTGTATATGTGCCACATTTTCTTAATCCAGTCTATAATTGATGGACATTTGGGTTGGTTCCAAGTTTTTGCTATTATGAATAGTGCCGCAATAAGCATATGTGTGCATGTGTCTTTATAGTAGCATGATTTATAATCCTTTCAGTAGATACCCGGTAATGTGATCACTGGGTCAAATGGTATTTCTAGTTCTAGATCCCTGAGGAATCGCCACACTGTCTTCCACAATGGTTGAACTAGTTTACACTCCCACCAACAATGTAAAAGTGTTCCTATTTCTCCACATCCCCTCCAGCATCTGTTGTTTCCTGACTTTTTAATGACCGCCATTCTAACTGGTATGAGATGGTATCTCATTGTGGTTTTGATTTGCATTTTTCTGATGACCAGTGATGATGAGCATTTTTTCATGTGTCTGTTGGCTACATAAATGTCTTCTTTTGAGAAGTGTCTGTTCATATCCTTTGCCCACTTTTTTTTTTTTTAATTGATCATTCTTGGGTGTTTCTCACAGAGGGGGATTTGGCAGGGTCATAGGACAATAGTGGAGGGAAGGTCAGCAGATAAACAAGTGAACAAAGGTCTCTGATTTTCCTAGGCAGAGGACCCTGGGGCCTTCCGCAGTGTTTGTGTCCCTGGGTACTTGAGATTAGGGAGTGGTGATGACTCTTAACGAGCATGCTGCCTTCAAGCATCTGTTTAACAAAGCACATCTTGCACCGCCCTTAATCCATTTAACCCTGAGTGGACACAGCACATGTTTCAGAGAGCACCGGGTTGGGGGCAAGGTCATAGATCAACAGCATCCCAAGGCAGAAGAATTTTTCTTAGTACAGAACAAAATGGAGTCTCCTATGTCTACTTCTTTCTACACAGACACAGCAACAATCTGATTTCCCTATCTTTTCCCCACATTTCCCCCTTTTCTATTTGACAAAACTGCCATCGTCATCATGGCCCGTTTTTAATGAGCTGTTGGGTACACTCCCCAGACGGGGAGGCGGCCAGGCAGAGGGGCTCCTCACTTCCCAGAAGGGGCGGCCGGGCAGAGGTGCCCCCCACCTCCCGGACGGGGCAGTGGCTGGGCAGAGGCACCCCCCACCTCCCTCCCTGACGGGGCAGCTGGCCGGCCAGGGGCTGACCCCCCGCCTCCCTCCCAGACGGGGCGGCTGGCTGGGTGGAGTCTGACCCCCACCTCCCTCCCGGACAGGGTGGCTGGCCAGGTGGGGGCTGCCCCCCCACCTCTCGGATGGGGCGGCTGCTGGGTGGAGGGGCTCCTCACTTCTCAGACGGGGCAGCTGCCGGGCGGAGGGGCTCCTCACTTCTCAGACTGGGCGGCCGGGCAGAGACGCTCCTCACCTCCCAGACAGGGTCGTGGCCGGGCAGAGGCGCTTCTCACATCCCAGACGGGGCGGCGGGGCAGAGGCGCTCACCACATCTCAAACGATGGGCGGCCAGGCAGAGACGCTCCTCACTTCCTAGACAGGATGGCAGCCGGGAAGAGGCACTCCTCACTTCCCAGACTGGGCAGCCGGGCAGAGGGGCTCCTCACATCCCAGATGATGGGCGGCCAGGCAGAGACACTCCTCACTTCCCAGACTGGGTGGCGGCCGGGCAGAGGCTGCAATCTCCGCACTTTGGGAAGCCAAGGCAGGAGGCTGGGAGGTGGAGATTGTAGCAAGCCGAGATCACGCCACTGCACTCCAGCCTGGGCAACATTGAGCACTGAGTGAACGAGACTCCATCTGCAATCCCGGCACCTCAGGAGGCCGAGGCTGGCAGATCACTCCCGGTTAGGAGCTGGAGACCAGCCCGGCCAACACAGCGAAACCCCATCTCCATCAAAAAAATACGAAAACCAATCAGGCGTGGCGGCGCGTGCCTGCAATCGCAGGCACTGGGCAGGTTGAGGCAGGAGAATCAGGCAGGGAGGTTGCAGTGAGCAGAGATGGCGGCAGTACAGTCCAGCTTCGGCTCGGCTCGGCATCAGAGGGAGACCGTGGAAAGAGAGGGAGAGGGAGACGGTGGAAAGAGAGGGAGAGGGAGACCATGGAAAGAGAGGGAGAGGGAGACCGTGGAAAGAGAGGGAGAGGGAGACCGTGGAAAGAGAGGGAGAGGGAGACCGTGGAAAGAGAGGGAGAGGGAGACGTGGGGAGAGGGAGAGGGAGAGGGAGAGCTTTTCTTTTATTTTTCTAAGATACTTTTGTTACAAAGAGTATAAAATATGTATGTGCAGTTTAATAATAATTTAAAATGAGCAACCTCAGACTCTGACATTTGTGAAGCAGTCTCTCATTAAGGTTTAAATTACACCTCCTAATAATGTTCATCATTTATTAATTTGCTTATTGGCTATTTAGAAATCCTCTTTTGTAAAAGGACCTTTTAACTGTTTTTCCTATTTAAATTTGTATTTGAAATTTTATTACTTATTTGTAGTACTTCTTTTCATATTCTATGTATACCCCCATAACACACATATATACTATATTTATCTTCACTCAATCTTTGGTTTGCTTTTTCACTGTCTTAATGTTGTCTGTCAATGAACAGAAATAATTTTTATTTTATTCAGTCCAATTAATTAATCTCCTGTTTTAAAAAATAACCCACAAAAGAGTAGATAATAACAATTGCTCATGATGGTTTATTAAAGCAAAAACCACTATAACACTTTCAATATACATTATTCAACTGCAACATACACACATATACACATGATCAAAGAGGTATGCATACATTTTTATATATGGGGATATACATTTTATATATAAGTATGCACTTTATATATTTACATATATAAATCTTATCAAATTTCAAGGAACTCTTAAATATACACATACATACATATATAAATTCTTAGATACATCTATGAATAAATGTTCTAATCAATAGATGAATAAAAATTAAAAACTTTAAATTCCTTACCAACAAGGAAAGCAAATGTTTTAAAAAATTGATTGATTATTCTAAATATCCTTAAGTTGTATTTGTTTTGCTTAGTTAATAAGTTGAGCCGAGTGCAGTGGCTCATGCTTGTGATGCCAGCACTTTGGGAGGCCAAGTTGAGTCCAGGAGTTTGAGACCAGCCTGAGTAATGTGGCAAAACCCTGTCTTTACTAAAAACACAAAAAATTAGTTGGGTGTGATGGCGCATGCCTACAGTCGCCCAGCTACTCAGGAGGCTGAGGTGGGAGAATCACCTGAGCCCAGGAAGTCAAGGCTGCAGTGAGCCGTGTTTGCACCACTGTACTCCAACCTGGGAAATGGGAGTGAGAGCCTCTCTCAAAAATAAATTGGCAAGGGACAGTAGGAAATAATCTTTTGCCAGAGAGTCTAGTTTGAATAAAAACATTATACCTCATTGTAAATAAATAAATACAAATTTTCATTTATACTACAGTCTGTTACTACTTATGACTCTAATAAACTATTAAACCAATGCTTCCCTAAATATCCCTATTCTGACCAATCAAACTGTAACAGGTTCCTGTGTAGCCATCAAAATGGATCGATCAAAGAAAATATATTTGAACAGACTTTATGCAAATGAATGTTTGTGAGCTTGTGAACTTTTTTCTTTTTAACTATTTGATCAAAAAATCATTTTTCACAACAAATTTGCCTGGAGGTGATTTCACCTGAGAAGTCCCAGAGAGACTAGGCTTTAGAATGTCAGTTGAAAACTATTTCTTTCCTGCTTGGGGAACAAAACACCATTTTCAACTCCCACTAGATTCTAAGGATTTAGATTTAATGATTATAGGCCATTGCATCAATCTAGATGTTCCAAAGGCCACACCTAGGAGATCCCCATTGGTCCTTATAACAATCAATGTTATTAAAGTTCTTTCTTATTAAATCTGACTTCGTATTGTGACTACAGAACATAAAAGCTGTTCTCCTGTCCAACAAAGGCAATCACCTGAACCGGCAACCTTAACATAGCTGCACTGCAGATTGGTTAAACCAAACTATACTGCATATAAATGAGACATTGGTTTCAGAAACAGGAAAACTAAAGGATATTTTAGAACCTTTGAAAAAAGGACCTGCCCTATGGCTATTTAACTTATTAGTGTAGAATTCACTAAAGCATTTTATCATCAATAGGACTTTATAAACTCAACCATGAAACAATATTTTAAAAGTAACCTTCTCCAGTTCATTGTTATTTTTAGCAGAGGCAGCTAAATAAAAATCCTGCAGCCAAGTTGGAGAGAAGATTGCCGTACTGGACAGGATGTACAGGCAATCTGTATTTGGGGCATGGGAAGGATTTTGAGGCTGAGTTTCTAGATTAAGATTTAATTAGTAAAGATTCAGATGTCCCCCTTGGCTGGGCTTTGAACTCATCAGGAATAGCCAGGACCAGGAAACTGATGGGGACATCATAATGAGTCCTATGGGTGACCCAAGGTCAGACTTAGGATGTAAGGCCAAAGCTGGGAGTTATGAGTAAACATTCACTGTTCAAGGAAATAGAGCACTGTTGTAACCCAGACCTGAAGACTCATGAAATACATACTTGAGGGCCATGAGGGAGAACACATTCTGGCCATAAGGGAGAAATCTGGCCATAAGGGAGAAATGATCAGAGAATAGTGGGACAGGACATCCCCCTGTAAGGTAGGGATTACCAGCAGCAGGCATTTCCAGCAGAAACTAGATGCTCAGAGTCCAACTTTGCAGTCCTACAAGATGAATTCCCAACTTTTTTCCTATTGTCTGAGACAGTGGTCCAGAATCTGCAGTACTGCACAGAATCCTGGCTGTTGCTACACCCTATATACCCACTCATGTATTCCTGTATCATGAAATCCTTTCAAGTCTTCCTCTTGCTTACTTGTCCAGAGATTCCAGGCATTCCTGGGATACACATCTTCCCTAGTAATTATATCGAAGATTCCCCTAGGTGTCTACATGAGTCCCAACCAACTTCTCTCCCACTTGTCATGTCTGGAGTCTGCTAGCAATACCTATTAGGAGGAATTACATGCCCTCCTTTCTGAATGACAGCATCCACAGTAACTGCAAAGTGGCTTATCTCTTAAAAAAAAAAAAAAAGCCTCCACACCAAAATAATTCCTCACCTCCTGTTTTTCTTCTAATTGAGGTAATGAGCAGGAGTGGGCTTCTACCAGTAATGATTTCAATGTGATTTTCTTACTAAAGGCACAAAGTAAGAATAACAACAGCAGCATTAGCAGAAACAACTTTGATTTTTGATAGTGCTTCACCCTATAGGAGAATTTATCTGAGTTTTATCTAGACTTACAAACTTAATAAATAATTTTAATAATAACAAATGTCAATGAACAGTTAGGAGTAGGTAGTTTGAAGCGCCTTATATATAATCTCATACTTAATCCTCAAAACCTTACATAGTACTATTATATGCATTTTATATGCTAAGAAATTGAGATACAGAGCTTTGTGTATATTGTACAAGTCATATAGCTAATTAATAGTACAGCTGGAATGTGAACGTAGTCTGACACAGGAGTCCACTTAGCCATTGATCTGTGTGGCTCAATTATACTCTAAGCATCAGCTTTTCAGAACTACCCATGTTTTACTGAACATGACTTGATTTTTCCTCAGTCTTGAGTGTTCGAACACATTCTTCATGCCAATTAATTGTCTCTTTGATATTTATTTTCCTAGGTCAATCATATGCTTGCTTTCTCTTTTTTTTTTTTTTTTTTTTTTTGAGACAGAGTTTCGCTCTTGTTGCCCAGACTGGAGTACAATGGCACAATCTCAGCTCACCACAACCTCCACCTCCCAGGTTCAAGTGATTCTCCTGCCTCAGCCTCCCAAGTAGCTGGGATTACAGGCGTGAGCCACCACGCTCAGCTAATTTTGTATTTTTAGTAGAGACAGGGTTTCTCCATGTTGGTCAGGCTGGTCTCGAACTCCGGACCTCAGGTGACCCACCCGCCTCGGCCTCCCAAAGTGCTGGGATTACAGGCATGAGCCACCGCGCCCGGCCAATCATATGCTTTCTTTAAAAATGTGTTCAAATTTCTTCAATGTATTATCATTACTGACCCCTATATAAATCAAAATTTGAGCTCTCTTCATATTAATTACACTGTTACAATTTCTTGTTTTCACATCCATGTTCTTCAGTGGACCATTTAAAGAGCAAAGACTACACCTCAATCACCTTTATGTTCCATGTGACCGATATGAAAAGAGAATCAGTACCATGAGAAAACTGTCTGGAGTAATCTTGACTTGGCTGCTATGATTTTACGAGTTATTTCTAGGGAGTAGCCTTTGTAAATGGCCTTGGGGAATCACAGCACCATCACCGAGTTCCTCCTCCTTGGGCTGTCTGCCGACCCCAACATCCGGGCTCTGCTCTTTGTGCTGTTCCTGGGGATTTACCTCCTGACCATAATGGAAAACCTGATGCTGCTGCTCATGATCAGGGCTGATTCTTGTCTCCATAAGCCCATGTATTTCTTCCTGAGTCACCTCTCTTTTGTTGATCTCTGCTTCTCTTCAGTCATTGTGCCCAAGATGCTGGAGAACCTCCTGTCACAGAGGAAAACCATTTCAGTAGAGGGCTGCCTGGCTCAGGTCTTCTTTGTGTTTGTCACTGCAGGGACTGAAGCCTGCCTTCTCTCAGGGATGGCCTATGACCGCCATGCTGCCATCTGCCGCCCACTACTTTATGGACAGATCATGGGTAAACAGCTGTATATGCACCTTGTGTGGGGCTCATGGGGACTGGGCTTTCTGGACGCACTCATCAATGTCCTCCTAGCTGTAAACATGGTCTTTTGTGAAGCCAAAATCATTCACCACTACAGCTATGAGATGCCATCCCTCCTCCCTCTGTCCTGCTCTGATATCTCCAGAAGCCTCATCGCCTTGCTCTGCTCCACTCTCCTACATGGGCTGGGAAACTTCCTTTTGGTCTTCTTATCCTACACCCGTATAATCTCTACCATCCTAAGCATCAGCTCTACCTCGGGCAGAAGCAAGGCCTTCTCCACCTGCTCTGCCCACCTCACTGCAGTGACACTTTACTATGGCTCAGGTTTGCTCCGCCATCTCATGCCAAACTCAGGTTCCCCCATAGAGTTGATCTTCTCTGTGCAGTATACTGTAGTCACTCCCATGCTGAATTCCCTCATCTATAGCCTGAAAAATAAGGAAGTGAAGGTAGCTCTGAAAAGAACTTTGGAAAAATATTTGCAATATACCAGACGTTGAGTTAAAAAACAAACATTGTTGGCCGAGCACTGTGGCTCATGCCTGCAGCAGGAGGATTGCTTGAGCTCAGGAGTTCGAGATTAGCTTGGCCAACATGGTGAAACCCTGTCTCCAAAAAAAAAAAAAAATAGGCCGGGCATGGTGGTGTGCACCTGTAATTCCAGTTACTTGGAAGGCTGAGGGAGGAGGATCACTTGAGCGTGGGAGGTCAAGGCTGCAGTGAGCTGAGATTGCACCACTGCACTCCAGCCTGGGCAACAGAGCAAGACCCTGTCTCAAAAAAAAAAGATTTTGGAAAATTTAGGTCAAGCTGCATACAACATGACACTGGATAAGTTTATAGTAGTAAGTATTCCTGGCTACCCTCAGTGTCTGATACTGCAAGCTGTAAATTAGAAGTGCATGAGAGAATGGTACAAAGTTATTACAAGTAGGAAGGTTAACTTTAATCCCTCTTAGTGACAAAGCAAATTATTAAATTATTACCTCAATAAAGTTTTGTTATGAACATATTGATTCATTTTTCTCATTCTAAAACATTCATCTTGGGCTTTGCATTTAGTAAAATCATTAGCGTCGCAAATCTATCATTATTTTTAATTTACTTTGGTGAACACACTAAAAGTCATGGCATTTAATAAGAACACAGTGTCATGGATGCGTGGGAGAGAAAAGTCACTAGATAAGACTTGATGGGAAGAAAGAGAAAGATTTCCAACCGTGTGGCCATAGAAGACATAAACACCTAAGAGAACTTCAGAGAGGGAATCAACATACTGAGGCAGAACTTGGACTCAGATAAAATTCCCAAGAACTTCACTGTGTGTGCAGCTTGGTGGCCAGCTCTCCGGTGCAAAAGATTGCAAGGAGGCTCTGTGGCTCTAGAAACTTCATTCCTCACATGGTCTTCATTCACTGTATACGGGATTTATATTTTTTCCAATTAGCTGATCTTATCAGTGTGTCTTTTCCTTGTAGAGTGCAGGCTATGTACCCTAGACAAATAATCTTGTTTTGACCTCATCTCAAGTGAATCCTGAAACTATCTTTGTCTCATCTTTCATTGTTTAGTGTCAGGTGGTTTGCCGGTTCTAAGGGCACTGAAAAACTCTCACGTAATAAACATTTTTTCCTATAAAACAAATGCTTCTGATTTGTTTAAGCTATATTTTACAATTGCCTAACTTACTGTAGTTAACTGAAAAGGTGCAAAAACTATCTACAAATTATTGAATTTATTGAATATTAACTTGCACTTTTCTCAAGCTTCTTTCACAAACTCTCTTCGTTCTAATTGTCAGTTTTAAAAGCTTTTCATGAAAAAAACGTATCTGTTACAAGGGGGAAAGAAGCCTCCGGGACAGCAGTCATTTGCCTCAGCTGCACAAAGGCCAGGCCAGATGGAAGAGACCAGCCTTCACCGAAGGCCGCAGGGAGCCCGGACACCCGGAGCTGAGCATTCCGGTCACGCCTCAACCCCAAGGGGCCTGCGCATGCTCCGCGCTGCGCGCGGCGCCCACGGCCCTGCCCTGATACGCAGGAGCCCCGGGATAGAGAAACCCAGATGAAAACACAAGCCCAGTGAGATGTTGGCCTCCTCATCTGCTACCCTCGCCGTCACCTCTGCGCACCAAGCCTTCTGTCCCGGAGAAGAAGCCGTATTTGGTCTCCCTCGATGGGCGAGACCGGGGCCACGCGGGCACCGTGATCCCGCCACTGCATCCCGGGGACCCGCCGCTCATCCTGGAGCGGCTCAGGGCCGTTTAGCAGCTTCCGCAGGTGCTGCCTGGCCCCCGTAGACACCAAGCCAGCTTATCAAAATTAAGGCAGAAGGCCCAGCATTCGGTGTCCACACACCTGGACAAGCAGGAATGGAATCCTACAATGCGCAAAAACTGATTGCGAAGTGGCCTGAGGCAGAGTGTTTTTCAGTCAGGGACGTTGAAAGCTGGAGTTGACGGGGTTCTTTATCAGATGGTGGATCCAGAACTAAACCACATCCCCAGGCCACCAGTGGAATGAGCAATTCACGAGATCCTGGGCGCCCAGAAGACAGCAATGGTGCCAGTGCCCCCTCCAGAGCCCAAAGACCAGTACCCTCCAGCCTTCCATCTCAGGGCGCTTCCCAAGAATATGTCCCACCCGTTTTGAAAGCTCCATTTGAGTTAATGGTGAAGAAGTAGCTTCGGTTACATGGTTACATAAGAGTGCAACTTCAGAATGAAGATAGGCCGAGGTCTCACTGATTTCGGTATTTCAGCCTTGACTGTGGGCAGTGTCCAGTTTGAACGGGGAGAGAGTTTGACGTTGGGGAAGTTGACTGTGTTGTCCCCTTCGTTGTGCCGCCATTTGACCAGCCTGTCCAAAGGTACAACGCCCAGTAGACACTACAGGGAGATAGAGAGACACTGCAGCAACCTGAGGTTGTCCTGAGACAAACTTTTATACTTGAACATGGAGACTGCACATGGATTTTGGGTTTGTGCTCTGTAATACACAAAAGCTACAATTAAAGAACATAACCAGTCCCAAAGATAATTTCAAAGAATAACGGCAATTTAAGAGGTAGCTGGAAGTGGGGATTTGACAGTGCTTATTTGACGTTACTTCTCAGAGTTGCAAACTAAAATGTACAAACCGTTAGCATCAGATATCTTGATGGTTGAAGGTTGTTATGACCTTCCTGTACATGAATCTTTTACGTTCCCTTTCCCTTGTAAGAGGTGACAAAACATGGAACCCTAGAATGTGTGAGGAAGCTTGGACATTAGGTATAAGGAAAAACATTTGCAAGCTGTCTGTCCAGGGCCTCTTCCTGTCCTGCAAGGGCTGGTGAGTCTTGGGTGTGTTTAGTTTATTCTCATGTTTGTGTTATTTGAAAAAGTGAATGGTCAATAAATGGCTTCAGATTTATAATAAAATCATTTGATACTAAAAGAAAGAAATTTCACTAGGAATTTATCCTGAGTAAATCATCATGAATATGCACAAATGTATTTTTACAAAGATGTTTATTTCAATACTATTTATAGAGGTTAAAATTTTTGTAGCAATCGCCGGGCACGGTGGCTCACACCTGTAATCCCAGCACTTTGGGAGACCGAAGTAGGCAGATCACCTGAGGTCGGGTTCAAGACCAGCCTGACCAACACGGAGAAACCCCTTCTCTACTAAAAATACAAAATTAACCAGTCACGCTGATGCATGCCTGTAGTCCTAGCTATTCGGGAGACTGAGGCAGGAGAATCGCTTGAACCTGGGAGGCGGAGGTTGCGGTGAGCCGAGGTCATGTCATTGCACTCGGCAACAAGAGGGAAACTCCAATGCAAAAAAAAAAAAAAATTGTAGCAATCTAGATGTCTAACAATATGGTTTTTGTTACATATATTCTACTACATCCAGAGAAATATTTCATTACACGGAAACATTCATGATATACACTGTTAAGTTTTAAAAAAGTATATCACAACTCAACATGTAAAGTACAATCTGATTTACGTTTTTATAACTATATTTATTTCTGTCTGTATAACTATGTCATTGTAAATTTATCTATCTACCTATCCATGTTTATATCTGTCATTATTGATATTGCCACAGAAAAAAATAGACACCTCCAAATATTCATTTCTTAATAATGTACAAAATAAAAAATACCCTCATCTGGCCATTGATATTTCACAAATGGTGTCTCCTCTCAACTGATACGCCAGAATACCCTAAACACACTATATATTCCAAACACAACAATTCAAGGCCTGATTTGCTTTCTTTGGCCTAAGATGAGGCATCAGTTAAAACCCCAAGTCAAGCTTCCTATGGTGAAGGAGAGTAGAAATACCTGAACCCTGGACTTGAAGTTGGTTATAGTCAGCGCACAGATGTCACAGGAGGATAGTGATTGAGAGAAAGATACCAACAGACCCAAATTCCTTTTAGCATAAGTAAAAGACATTAGATCATAACTGCATGAAGACATGTCTACAATTCTAGAGGCTCAGCAATGGTCTCCCCATTGCAGGGGCAATGCCCTTGAACTTCAATGCTCACATAACCCCACTGCTTACTATACCGCCCTTCAGTAAAAAGACCCCATCTAGTCCTTAAGGAAACTCTTCTTGTAATTCTCTCAAGGGTTTTTATGTTGTGGCCTCCAGAAATATGAGGAGACCTTGGCTATATATTGACCCTCCCAAGAAGTATAAATAACTGTTGACAATCCTAGCATATACCTGAGTGCTTATTAATGAGAGATTGAATTTATAGGGAATTTCTGAGCATTAATTTCCCAGATACACCGTCACCTTAAGAGGCCTGAAGTTTCCTCCTACAAGACAGATGACAAAAAGGGTGCAAATATACTAGAGACAAAACCACGCAAAGTAATAGTTCATGCTGAGGTTTTTCAATATTATTCTAGCTTCATTGCACTATTTGCTGTTTTACTATTAAAGCCTTTGCAAACTATAAAATTTCTTCTGTCTTTTATCCTCATAAAACATATCACACTTAAAAAGTATGTACTAAACATGTACATTCCAGTTAAAGAATGATTACAAATGAATGTACATGTACCCACTACCCAGCTTTAAGAATTATTCATTTTATTCCAGGCATGGTGGCTCACACCTGTAATCCCAGCACTTTGGGAGGCCAAGGCAGGCAGATCACGAGGTCAGGAGATCGAGACCATCCTGGCTAACATGGTGAAACCCCGTCTGTACCAAATATACAAAAAATTAGCCGGGTGTTGTGGCGGGCGCCTGTAGTCCCAGCTACTTGGGAGGCTGAGGCAGGAAAATGGCGTGAACCCAGGAGGCAGAGCTTGCAGTGAGCCAAGATCGCTCCACTGCACTCCAACCTGGGCGACAGAGCGAGACTCCGTCTCAAAAAAAAAAAAAAAAAAGTTATTCATTTTACCACCCCTCCTCTACTACCCAAAACTAATCACTACCCTGGATTTGTTCATCATTCCCCTTGCTTTGTCGGGGATCAGAACATGATACCCCAAAATGTGGCACTTTAGCATACTGAGTATTTTAAGCAGAAGGAAACAGAAAACCCCAGAATCAGGAAGATCACTCTCTGAACTTCTCCCACCTTTCTTCTTTGAAGAAGGTAATTAGAAAAATTCTCTGACCTATGTCCCCTGAAAGTAGGTCATAAGACCCTCACTCCAGAGGAGTCTTGCCAAGAAGAATCTGAAGCCGTTAACTACCATTAGATCACACCCCTTTGTCCTCCAATCATTCTTCTGTGTGACTGTCCATAAGAATACACAGTTTTCCCTGGGTTTTGGGGTCTTCATTTCTGAAGACTCCAATGTCACATAAAAGTTATATTAAATAAATTTGTATGCTCTTGTTATTCAGTCTTTTGATATAGGGGTATCAGCCAAGAACCTTGTGATAGATGAGAAAAGGATATTACTTTTTCTCTCTTACAATTTTCTTTAAATAATTTAGTTTTATCTGGTTCTGAAGTTTAGATAAATAAAATTATATTATAAGTATTATTGTGACTTGCTTCTTTTCACTCACAGGAAATTATCACCAGACCTAACTATGCTAATTATCAAGAAGACCTAACTATGCTGAATACCTATGCACCCAGATTCATAAAGCAAATATCCTTTTGCTTTAAATTTGCATAAAGCAAATTCTTAGAGACCTGCAAAGAGACTTAGATAACTGCACAATAATAGTGGGAGACTTCAACCGTCCATTGATAGTATTAGACAGATCATCAAGGCAGAAAACTAATAAAAAGATATTCAGGACCAGAACTTGACACTTGATCAATTGGACCTAATACACATCTGCAAAACTCTCCACACAAAAGCAACAGAATATACATTCTTCTCATCGCCACATGACACATACTCTAAAATTGACCATAAAATCGGACATAAAACAATCCTCAGCAAATGAGAAAGAACCAAAATCATACCAACCACAATCTTTCTATAAAAAAAGAAATCAGTACTAAGAAGATTGCTCAAAACCATACAATTATGTGGAAATTAAACAAACTGCTCCTGAATGACCTTTAGGTAAACAATAATATTAAGGCAGAAATCAAGAAATTTTTTGAAACTAATGAGAACAAAGATACAACATACCAGAATCTCTGGGGCACAGTTAAACAATGTTAAGAGTGAAGTTTATGGTGCTAAACACCCACATCAAAAAGTAGAAAGATCTCAAATTAAAACCTAACATCACACCTAGAGGAACTAGAGGAACAAGAGCAAACAAACCACAAAGCTAGAGGAAGGCAAGATCAGAGCTGAACTGAAGGAAATTGAGATGAAAAAAGCATACAAAAGATCAATAAATCCAGGAGATTGTTTTTTGAAAGAATAAATAAAATAGATAGACTACTAGATAGAATAATAAAGAAAAAAAGACAAGATCCAAGTAAACACAATCAGAGATGCCAAAGGGCACGTTACCACCAACCCCACAAAAATATATATATATAAAAAAGACTGCTATGAACACTTCTATGCACACAAGCAAAAAACCTAGGAAAAACAGATATGTTCCTGGATGCATATACCCTCCCAAGACTGAACCAGGAAGAAATTAAATCCCTGAACAGATGAATAATAAATTGCAAAATTGAATGAGTAATAAAAAGCCTATGAACCAGAAAAATCCCAGGATGAGGCAGATTGAAAGCTGAATTCTACCAGATGTATAAAGAAGAGCTGGTATGATTCCTACTGAAGCTAATGCAAAAAAAAAAAAAAAAAAGAGGAACAGGGACTCCTCTCTAATTCATTCTATGAGGCCAACATTATTCTTATGCCAAAACCTAGCAAAGACACAACAACAACAAAACTTCAGGCCACTATCCTTCATGAACATAGATGCAAAAACCCTCAACAAAATACTGTCAAACCAAATCCAGCAGCACATCAAAAAGCTAATCCACCATGATCAGATAAGTTTTATCACTGTGATGCAAAGTTGGTTCAACATATACAAATCAATAAATGTGATTCATCACATAAACAAAACTAGAAACAAAAACCACATGATCATCTCAGTGGATGATCCATCTCATCCATGGATTTCTCAATCCATCTCAATGGATTCAGAAAAGGCTTTTAATAATATTCAACATCCTTTCATGTTAAAAACCCTCAGCAAACTAGGCTTTGAAGGAATATACTTCAGAATAATAACAGTCATTTATGAAAACCCATAATGAACATCATACTAAATAGGCAAAAGCTGGAAGCAAAACCAGAACAAGACAAGGATGTCTTCTCTCATCACTTCTATTCAACATAGTTCTGGAAGTCTGAGCCAGAGCAATCAGGCAACAACAAAAGGCATCCAAATATGAAGAGAAAAATCAAACTTTCCCTGTTTGCAGATGATATGATTCTACACCTAGAAAACCCCATAGTCTCTGCCCAAAATCTCCTTGATATGATAAATAACTTTAGCAAATTTCAGGACACAAAATCAATGTACAAAAACCAGTAGCATTCCTGTACATCAACAATATCCAAGCTGAGAGCCTAATCAAGAATGCAATCTCATTCACAATAGCCACACAAAAAAAAATTCCTAGGAGTACAGCTAACCAGGGAGAAGAAAGATATTTACAAGAATTATAAAACACTGCTTAGAGAAATCAGAGATGACACAAACAAATGGAAAAACATTCAATGCTCATGGATAGGAAGGATCAATGTTGTTAAAATAGCCATACTGCCCAAAACAATTTACAGATTCAGTGCTATTCCTATCAAACTACCAAGGACATTCTTCACAGAAATTGAAAAAACTATTTAAAAATTCATATGAAGCCAAAAAAGAGTTTGAATAGGCAAGGCAATCCTAAGCAAAAGAATAAAGCTGGAAGCATCACATTACCCAACTGCAAACTATACTACAGAGCTGCAGTAACCAAAACAGCATGGTACAGATACAAAAACAGACACATAGATCAATGGACCATAATAGAGAGCCCAGAAATAATGCCACACACCCACAACCATCTAATCTTCAACAAAGTTGACAAAAAGAAGCAATGAGGAAAGAACTCCCTACTCAATAAATGGTGCTGGGATAACTGGCTAGCTATATGTGGAAGATTGAAACTGAACCACTTGCTTACACCACATACAAAAATCAATTCAAGATGGATTAAAGAATTAAATGTAGAATCCAAAATTATAAACACTCTGGAAGATAACCTAGGATATACCATTCTGGATGTAGGCCTTGGCAAAGATTACATGACAAAGATGCCAAAAGCAATTGCAACAAAACCAAAAATTGACAAATGGGGCCTAACTAAGTGAAAGAACTTCTGCACAGCAAAAGAAACTATCAGCAGAGTACAGAGACAACCTAAGAATGGGCGAATATTTTTGCAAACTATGCAGCCAACAAAGGTCTAATATCCAGACTCTATAAGGAACTTAACCCTTTTCCCACTTAGAAACAAAACGTGCAACTCGCTGCTGACGCTCATTTAATTTTACATAAACATGCTTTTTGAGACTGAAGCAAATCTGACTGACTTTTAATGTGAAAATAAAATATAAAAACTGTTCTTGGAGTTATTTATAAACAGAACTAACATCAGAATTGTCTGAATTATCAGAATCGCCTATTTTGGAAAAATCTGTTTCATCAAATGAATCTTTGGTCAACAACTGTTAGAGAACAATATTAACATCACACACAGGAATGCTATGTTTTCTAGGATTTGACATTTGCAGCAATTGAGAACTACTATGTTTCATGAATGGAAATACCACTACTAAAAACAGAATGCTTTAAAAGAACAATGTCTTTTGTTTCCAAAGTTGATATACTAAAGCAATGCAAAAATAATAATAAAAGCAAGATATTTTATGGCAAAGTTATCTTGGGGTAAACACTGCAGCCACAAGCACAACTGGTGAGTATTCTCAGGGCAAACAGGAAAAGGGTTAAACAAATTAACAAGCAAAAAACAACCCCATTAAAAAGAAGGCAAAGCACATGAATAGACACTTTTAAAAGAAAATGACACACGGCCAACAAGCATATGAAAAAATGCTCAACATCACTAATCATTAGAGAAATGCAAATCAAAACTACAATGAGATACCATCTCACACCAGTTATAATGGCTATTAATAAAAAGTCAAAAAATAAAAGATGCTTGTCAGGTTACAGAGAAAAGGGAAGTCTTATGCACTGCTGATGGCAATGTAAATTACTTCAGCCATTGTGGAAAGAGGCGTGACAATTTCTCAAAGAACTTAAAGCAGAATTGTCATTCAACCCAGCGATCCCATTATTGGATATATACCCGAAGGAATATAAATTATTCTACCATAAAGACACATACATGCATATGTTTCTCACAGCACTATTCACAATAGCAAAGACATGGAATCAACCTGGGTGCCCATCAACAGTAGACTGCATTTTTAAAATGTGGTACATATACACCCTGGAATACTACGCAGCCATAAAAAGGAATGAGATCATGTCTTTTGTAGCAACATGGATAGAGCTGGAGGACATTATCCTAAGCAAACTAATGCAGGAACAGAAAACCAAATACTGCATGTTCTTACTTATAAGTGGGAGCTAAATGATGAGAACACATGGACTCAAAGAAGGGAACAACAGACACCAGGGCCTACTTGAGAGCAGAGGGAGGGAGGGAGGAGGGATAATACTGAAAAACTACCTATTTGGTGACAAAATAATCATACACCAAAGCCCCATGACATGCAATTTATCCATATAACAAACCTGCACATGTACCCCTGAACCTAAAATAAAAGTAAAAAAAAAAAAAAGATAATGCACCACAATCAAGTGGGATTTATACTAGAGATGCAAGGATGGTTCAAAATATGAAAATCAATAAATGTGATAATATTATATCAACAGAATGAAGGGCAAAAGCCATATGATCATCTCAATAGATGGAGAAAAGAATTCTATAAAATTAAATATCACTTCATGATAAAAACTCTCAATAAACTAGACTTAGAAGAAACATACCTCAAAATAATCAAGGCCATATATGACAAACACACAGCCAACATCAAACTGAATGGGGAAAAACTGACAGACTTTCCTCTAAGAACTGGAAAAAGACGAGGATGCCCATTTTCACCACTCCTATTCAACATAGCACTGTAAGACTCCTGGCCATAGAAATCAGGCAAGAGAAAGAAGTAAAAGGCATCCACATTGGAAAAGAGGAAGTCAAATTGTCAAATTGTTTCTTAGTTGATGATATGATCTTATACCTAGAAAAATCTAAAGACTCCACTAAAAAACTCTTAGATTTGATAAATGAATTAAATAAAGTTTCAGGATACAAAATAAATGTACAAAAATTAATAGAATTTCTATAGAATGATAGTAATTTAACTAGGAAAGAAATCAAGAAAGCAATCCCATTTACAATAGCTACAAAAGTAAAACAAAATACCTATAGTGACAAATTAAACCGAGGAAGTGAAAGATCTCTACAAGAGAAACAACAAAGCACTGATGAAAGAAATTGTAGACAACACAAACAAATGGAAAAACATCCCATGATCACAAATCAGAAGAATTAATATCATCAAAATGACCATACTGCCCAAAGCAATCTACAGATTCAATGCAATCCCTATCGAAATGCCAACATCATTCTTCACAGAATTAGAAAAAGCAATTGTGAAATTCATATGGAACCAAATAGAGCCCAAACAGCCAAAGAATCTGGAGGATAAAGAACAAAGCAGCCCACATCACATTACCTGATGTCAAAATATATTACAACACTATAGTAACCAAACAGCATGGTATTGGTATAAAAATAGACACATAGACCAATGGAACAGAATAGAGAACCCAGAAATAAAGCCACAAATTTATAGCCAACTGATTTTGACAAAGCCAGCTAGAACTTACATTATGGAAAGGACACCATTTTGAATAAAAAGTGCTGAAAAAATTAGATAACCATATGCAGAAGAATGAAACTGGACCTATATCTCTCACCATATACAAAAATCAACTCAAAATAGATTAAAGACTTAAATTAAAAGACCGAAACTAGGCCAGGCACAGTGGCTCATTCTTGTAATCCCAGCACTTTGGGAGGCCGAGGCAGGCATATCACTTGAGCTCAGGAGTTCGAGACCAGCCTGGGCAACATGGCAAAATGTTGTCTCTACAAAAAGTATAAAAATTAGCCAAGCATGGTGGTGTATGTCTGTAATCCCAGCTATTCAGGGGGCTGAGGCAGGAGGATCGCTTGAGCCCGGGTGGTCAAGGCTGTAGTGAGCTGCAGTGGTGCCACTGCACTCACCCTGGGTGACAGAGCAAGACCCTGTCTCAAAAAAAAAAAAAAAAAGAAAACCTAGGAAAAACTCTTCTGGGCATTGGTCTAGGCAAAGAATTCATGACTAAGACCTCAAAAGCACAAGCAACAAAAACAAAAATAAATAAATGAGATTTAATTAAACTAAAAAGCTTCTGCAAAGCAAAAGAAATAACCAACACATGAACAGACAACCTGCAGAATGCAAGAAAGTATTTGCAAACTATGCATTCAACAGGGTATTAATATTCAGAATGTACAAGGAATGCAAACAACAACAACAAAAACAAATAATCCTATTTAAAAGTGGGCAAATGGCCAGGTGCAGTGGCTCATGCCTGCAATCCCAACACATCTGGACATCGAGGCAGGAGGATCACTTGAGCCGGGAGTTCAAGACCAGCCTGGGCAATGTAGCAAGACCCCGTCTCTATTAAAATTAAAAAGTTAGCTGGGCATGGTGGTGTGAGTCTGTGGTTCCAGCTACTGGGGAGGCTGAGGTGGGAGGATCACTTGAGCCCAGGAGGTTGAGGGTGCAGTGAGCTATGATTGCACTACTGCACTCCAGTCTGGGTGACAGAGCAAGACTCTATCTCAAAAAAAAAAAAAAAGTGAAAGAAGGATGTAAATAGATATTTTGCAAAAGAAGACATATGAATGGCCAACAAGTATAGGAAAAAATGCTCAACGTCACTCATCATCAGAGAAATACAAATTAAAATTGCAATAAGATATCATCTTACACCAGTCAGAATGGCTAGAATTCAAAGGACAAAAAATAACTGATGTTGGTGAGGATGCAGAGAAAAGGGAATGCTTATACACTGTTGGTGGGAATGTAAATTAGTACAACCTCTATGAAAAGCAGTATGGAGATGATGGATATGTTAATTAGCTCCATTACGGTGATTATTTCACAATGTATACATATATCAAAATATCAGTTTGCATATCTTAAATATATACAATTTTTGTTCATCAATTATACCTCATAAAAGCTGGGGGGAAGGATGTATTGGTGTATTTAATGAAATATTGAAAAGACATTTATTTTTCCTATTTAAGAATGAGGATATACAAGGAGGCTGCATGCCTTCAGATGACCCCTCAACGCAGTCACTGTGCCTAGGTATCTGTGTTTACATCTCAGACCCATAGGAATGACCCCACAAAAACACTGAATCTCATTTGAAAAGAATTACAAGTGTTTGGGGTGGGGATAAGTGTCAGAAGGGAGAGGAAATAAGGCAGGCAATCACTGACTCCCTTCTGATCCAGTGATACCATACTATATGTGATACAAGTGGTTTGGGAATAGAATTCAGTAGACATTTCAGAAGGGTCAGGCTTCTCTACTTAACTCTGACTTATTACAATAGCCCTAGAACTCAAGTGGTGGAACAATCAATAGTTTAGGTTAAGTATCCTTTCCCTTTACACAGAAAGTATCCATCAAACTCCAAAGGAAAGGAAAATGGTGGAAAGGCTAAATTAGCATGACTAGCAATCGTGGGAGTTCTCTTGCTGCCACCACTCTTAAGCCTTGGCTTCACCTCTGTTCCCACTCAGGTTGGTCCCTAAAGAGTACATGAAAAGAGAAATGAGAAGTGGACTTGGGCAGAAAAATGAGCATAGCTAAATGAGCTAAATGGTAAGCATCATGTTTTCATTCCCCAAAACATGTCCTCTCTCTTTCTTATCATCATAAGGTTAGTTGGGACCCAGAAAAATGGCAAGTCCCTTGAGAACTTCCCTGCAAAATATGGTGCAACCACTATGAACAAGAAATGGAAGAATGAATTGTACAGGTATAAGAGGTAAGAGATCCTTTCCTGAGTTCCCCTTAGCCTTAGAATGACAGGGGAAGGCAGTGACTACTAGTAGGGCAAGAATGTCAGCTTACAGGCCGGGTGCGGTGGCTCCTACCTGTAATCCCAGCACTTTGGGAGGCTGAGGAGGGCAGATCATGAGGTCAGGAGTTCAAGATCAGCCTGGCGTGTATGGCGAAACCCCGTCTCTACTAAGAATACAAAAATTAGCCGGGCATGGTAACGCACACCTGTAGTCCCAGCTACTCGGGACGCTGAGGCAGAAGAATCGCTTGAACCCGGGAGGCGGAGGTTGCAGTGAGCCAAGATTGCGCCACTGCACTCCAGCCTAGGTGACAGAGGGAGATTCCATCTCAAAAAAAAAAAAAAAAAAAGAATGTCAGCTTACGAGAGAGTTAGCAGCCCACTGTAGTATACTATAAGACACATATTGCAGCTGTAAGATTAATGATAACCATAAGGCCCACTCAAACATCTCACAGGACCTACACTATATATGATGATGCAACTTGTCCTAGTAATACTCTGGCCAGAGTTGGAAATCCCCAGGCCACCTTGCATCATACTGCTAAGTGACATATAGTGTGGGCCATGTGTGATATTTGAGTGGGCCTTATGGTTATTGTTAATCTTGTAGCCACAGTATGTCTCTAATAGTATACTACACCCACAAAGGGTCTTATGACCAGAACAAAAGGAAATTGACTTAGCAAATATGCCTTGGACAGCCTTGCCAGCAACTGGATAAGGATCATCTACGCCATGCTAGATTACCAGGAGAGAGAGGGCCACACCTGAGGGCCAGAGGGGATGAGTCACATGTGGAGCAGGAAATCAGCATAGAACCAAGGCAGGCCACCAGTGAGTAGATGCCTGTGGTCACCAACACCACAGTTACTCTAGGGTCAGCATAACATCAACCCCCAGTAAGAGACAAGAAGGGGAAAATCTTAATGTATAGTTATGAAACCTTAAATGACTGAGAAATCACAGAATTTTCCACTGAGTTCATACTTAACATGACTGAATTAAATTTTTGCTTCAGACATAAACAGAAGCTTGAAAGATAAATTAATACAGTTTGAGGATTCCTAATCCAAAATTCTCCAAAATTCAAAACTTTTTGAGCACCAACATGAAGCTCAAAGGAAATGCTCACTGGAGCATCTGAATTTTGGAATTTAAGATTAGGGATGCTCAGCTGGCAAGTGTGATGAAAATATTCCAAAATCTGAAAAACTGTGAAACCCAAAACATTCCCTCCCAAGCATTTTGGATGAGAGATACTCATCCAAAATGTGTATCTCCAAAATGTGTTTAAAATAAAATCATATTTTGCATACCTGAGTCTGTGGGCTAAAAAATTACAATACACCACTGATCAAGAAAATGCAAGTTAGACCAGGCACGGTGGCTCACACCTGTAATCCCAGCACTTTGGGAGGCTGAGGAGGGTGGATCACCTTAGGTCAGGAGTTTGAGACCAGGCTGGACAAAATGGTGAAACACTGTCTTTACTAAAAGTACAAAAAACTAGCCAGGCATGATGGCAGGCACCTGTAATCCCAGCCACTTGGAGGTTGAGCCATAAGAATCACTTGAACCTGGGAAGTGAAGGTTGCAGTAAGCTGAGATCACACCATTGCACTCCAGCCTGGGCGACAAGAGCAAAACTCCATCTCAAAAACAAAAAAAAAAGAAGAAAATGCAAGTTTGTGTTGACATTACCTTTACTCCCTGAGACATCTGTGTCTTTGGACAGGAGACAAAAATGATGAACTACCTAGTGTCTTTACAGATTTTCAGACAGAGTTCGAATTTTATCATTTTGTTGCTTGACTTCCACAATAATCAAGCTATAGATTATGAATTTTAAAAGTGTTACAATGCAGTCCTGCAAAGATAATGCAGGACTGCATGTGTTACAATGCAGTCCTGGTCACACACAGAAACCATCGAGGTGCTAAGGCAGCTGACTAAGCCTGTCTTGTATAATAGAATTCACCAGATATTGTGGGGAGAAGATGGAGAAGGCCTTGCTCTTACAGTTAGCTGAGCTCATTACCCATCGCTGATTCCTGATCTGAGGGTGAAGCAGGTCCTGGCATTACCTTATAGAGAGAGGACAGCTGGAACCCATGCCAGGTCTCACTGGACACCTTGTGTGAGACATCCTTTGGCTGTGACATTTCTCCTTACTTCAAGTTACTTCTGTGTTGTATCCTTTTCCCAAAGTAACCATAGGTTGGTAAGCATCATTATTTGGGGTCCTGTGAGGGACCAGAAGTGTTTTTGGACTTTGCAATTGAAGAAAAATTAGGTGTTTTGGACTTAGCCATTACTCTCTGCCTAACTGCTGCCATTAGTTCAGCCAGCCAGCATCATATGTGGGATTAGAAATTTGTCTCCCCAACTCATTTTTAGCTAAAACTATAACTAAGGCATTATTTAGATAGAAAAGGGGTGGTTCCGATAAAGAGGATGAAAATGAATCATTGACGCCATGTGGTTGGTTGCCTACTTGCCCTTAGTTTGAAGTAGCACATGCTTTGAAATCACTTGCTGATAATAAACCTTCCCAGTGAGATCTGAAAATTATAAAACTGAAACCTCAGGAGCTAGTAAAATGGATTGGCAGGAAATTTCAATCCAGTGGCAGGTCCACTAAAATTCAGTTCCACGGTTGCTGCATTAGCAAAGGTAAAAGGAAGCCCAAAGATCTCCTTTGGCTGAGCTTCACATTCTCTGGCCAGGAGACGGCGCTCCAACCAAAGGAAGCTGGGCAACCATAACCTGACACCGGGTTGTAACTATGAGACTAATTACTACTAAGAAGATATTTAGTTAAGTTGAAATGTATTTCTAATATGTAGGCAATTTTAATTTTGATGTAGTTGTTTAATTTTTCTGTAATTAATGGGCCATTGAAAATTGCATTCTTGTTAATTGTTGGAATTTTCTTACTGGCCTTACATGGCAAGTTTTGGTTATTCCTCAGCCATTATATATATATATATATGCCACCTTTTTATGGCAAAAATTACTTTTTGGTTGTAAAGTTGTTTATTCTGTGTTCTTTGCTAATAAAGATTTGTTATCGGCCGGGCATGGTGGCTCACACCTGTAATACTAGCACTTTGGGAGGCCAAGGGGAGCAGATCACGAGGTCATGAGATCGAGACCAACCTGGCCAATATGGTGAAACCCCATCTCTACTAAAATACAAAAAAAAAAAAAATTAGCTGGGCGTGGTGGCTCGTGCCTGTAGTCCCAGCTACTCAGGAGGCTGAGGCAGGAGACTCACCTGAACCTGGAGGTGGAGGTTGCAGTGAGCCAAGATCATGCCACTGCACTCCAGCCTGGTGAGAGAGCAAGACTCTGTCTCAAAAAAAAAAAAAAAAAAAAAAAAGACATTTCAAATGGGGCAAGCTGACTGATAATGGAAGGACGGCAAAAGGAAACATGAAAGTAAGGGGTTGTTAAGTGAAATCATTGAGACATTTTGTAGTGTTAAAAGCAGCTTCCCTTTGAGCCCTTGTTGAAATGGCTCCTGAGGGTTTTAGATCAAGGTGCAGTGTTCCTGTCCTTGAACACTGCTGAGTAGGGAAGAATGTTTGCCAGCTCCTAAGGGAATATTTGGGCTTACACTGGATCTTCAGTTGTCCGCTACCTTTGCAGGGACAGTTCATGGGGCAGCTGCTAGTTCACTAGACTGGATCAAGGGAAGGACGTGTCATACATACCCAGATTGTCTGAGCTCCTGGTTCTGATGTGTTTCACATACACATTGGTGGTTTCTAATCAAGAGAGTGAGCACATGCTAGTATGACCCTGTAGGGGGAAGAATATTGGAGCTCCCTCCAGGGCTGTCTCCAGGACTCCTTGATGGGAGGCAGCTTTTGGCTGTGGTGCATATCCTTACTTTAATGCTGTTGCTACATTTGTATCATTTTTCCTGCAAATCATAGATTTGTAAGCAACGTCATTTTGGGTCCCTGGAGTCTTCTTTATCAATGGAGTCCTGTCTAACTGTCATCATTAGTACAAAAAAACCTCTTACCCTCAGGAAGTCTGCAGTTTATTGGGAGCTGAATAGCAAGTGTGGGGTCAGCAAGGAGGCCCAGAAGGTTAGCAGGGAGGGTTTCTCATGAGCCAAGGGGAGAAATTGTAGGTTGGTCATTCAGACTGCAATGAAGTCTAAATGAGCTAGGGTTATTTTGCCCTAAGCCCATAACCAAAGAGCTTGCTGGGGATTTTGAGAAAGGCGGACATTAGAAGATATCTGGGTTTGAGGAAATTTTTTCTGGAGGGAGAATAAATCATAAGTACTCAAGGACTTGAATAAAGTCTCATAAAACTTCGAAGTGAAAATAATAGATTTTTCTATTAAATAATATAATTAGTATTTAATGGAATAAGCTAATGATATGCAAAATCAACTGAAGATGCAGCATGACTGACCATTAATATATCTAATATTATCTATATCTAACATGAACATGTCCCACCATACTCTCTAATCCCAAGTCCAAGGCTTTCCTGAGCTAAGCTGCAGCTACAGCAATCGGAAGGTGGGAGTGGTAAAGCCCCAGGTCCCATGGAAGTCCCGTCTGCAGCAGCAGCAGCAGCTGCTGCAGCGTGTGTGACCCTTTCTATCCGGGGGCTGAACATGGATGTTCCAGGAACATTAGCACTCGGGTGATGGATATACAGCTGAAAGGTTGGTATTGCCCCATGTAAATGCACCTCTCTATCTGACTCCCAAGCATCTAAGGAAGAACTAAAACAGAGGAAGTTTTCCCTGTCTTGAGGATGGGAAAGCATAAAACTGGAGTGCAGAGGTGGGTGCCTGGAAGTGGGACTGGCAACTTATCTGGTGCTACACTACAGGCGGAGATTCCCTTCTCTCATGAGACTGTTACCACTTAAAGAACTGAAATAGCCAGTCTTTTGCCACAATGAGCAAACGAAACAATAGTACAAACAGGCAATGAAAGACAACCATCAAGAGGAATAATCAGAACAACCCCATTAAAAAATGTTGAAGGAGATACACATGGACCAAAACAACTACCATGGAAAAAAATACATATATATATATAATGTTTTTGAGATGAAGTTTCACTCTTGTTGCCCAGGCTGGAGTGCAATGGCATGATCTTGGCTCACTGCAACCTCCATCTCCTGGGTTCAAGTGATTCTCCTGCCTCAGCCTCCTGAGTAGCTGGGATTACAGGCACCCACCACCATGCCCAGCTAATTTTTTGTATTTTTAGTAGAGATGAGGTTTACCTATGTTGGCCAGGCTGGTCTCAAACTCCTGACTTCAGGCAATCCACCTGCCTAGGTCTCCCAAAGTGCTGGGATTACTGCGCCTGGCCTGAAAAAAATATATATGAAGAGGAATTACAGATTCAAATACAGCACAATAAAAGGCATCCTGGAACCAGGAGCTCTGATTTTATTATCTTAAAACTCAGACTTCCAGTTTCCACTCAAAAACGCAGAGGGCTAGGCCAGGCATGGTGGCTCACGCCTGTAATCCCAGCAAATTGGGAGGCAGAGGCAGGCGGATCACCTGAGGTCAGGAGTTGGAGACCAGCCTGGCCAACATGGTAAAACCCCATCCCTACTAAAAATACAAAAATTAGCCAGGTGTGGTGGCATGAACCTGCGACCCAAGCTACTCAGGAGGCTGAGGCAGGAGAATCCCTTGAGCCTGGGAGATGGAAGTTGCAGTGAGCTGAGATCGTGCCACTGAACTCCAACCTAGGTGACAGAGCAAGACTCTGTCTCAAAAAAAAAAAAAAAAAAAAAAAAAAGGAGAGGGCTGGAAAGATGTCACTCCCACTCTTATTTAAAAAAAAAAAAAAAAAAAAAGCTGAACAAACTGAAAATCAGTAACTTTTCTTGGACCATAAGAGAACTGAGGTCACAGGGCAGATGGCCATACAGAAATCAATCTGGAGAGGCAGGTTCCTGCAAGGAGACACTGAACCTGAGCATTTGCTTACCTAGGACAGAAGCTGCTGGGTGTTATGTAAAGAAGTAGGAAGATTAAACTGGAAATTTTGACAAATTGCTGGTGACTGAGTGTATGGTAGTATGAGACTTTGAAGTTCCTGAGGGTCACAATCATAGAGGGGTTCCCAACTTTTTCCAGCCTTTTCCTCCAGGAGCTCCATGAGGCTCTCAAGAAAATCTCTCCCCATAGTTCTAGCTGGGGTAGGAGAACAGAAGCCACTGTTAAATCCTCCCAGACCCGGTTCTCTTGTCTCCCGTATAGAACAAAAGGCTAAACCAGAAGCAGGTAATTCATCAAAGCCCCTACTCTGAGGGTACTGGCGCAATCCCACTGTAGCCAGGAAAACAGATTCAAAACCTTACCCTGAGGAAACTGGTGAATATGTAAAGGCAAAGGTACTAGAATAAGCCCAAACAATTCTGAGAAAAAACAACAAAATTGGAAGATTCACATTATCCAATTCTAAGAATTACTATACAGTTATGGTAATCAAGACTATTGTACCACACATACACAATGGAGTCTATTCAGCCATTAAAAAGACTGAGATCCAGTCATTTGTAACAGCATGGATGGAACTGGAGATCATTATGTAACGTGAAATAACCCAGGCACAGAAAAACAAACATTGCATGTTGTCATTTATTTGTAGGATCTAAAAATCAAAACAATTGAACTCATGAACATAGAGTAGAAGGATGGCTACCAGAGGCTGGGAAGGGTAATATAGGAAATATAGGAAAGCTTATTTCTTTTTCTTTTTAATTTTATTTTCTTATTTCTCTGATTTCTGCCTCAAAAGTATTGCCACGTGGTTACAGGTTATGCTCCCAAGGACATGAAACAAGACGGAGTCCTGTACCCAGTTTGTTACTGATCGTTTTGCTGGGCTGGCTTGAACAGCAGGCTTATGGGGTCCTGGGACTGCTTCCTAAACTAAGATACTCTTTCTTTGACAGAACCAACGAGAAAGACATGCAAAGCACACCAGATAGTCTACAGCTTACAACCAACCTCACAAATTCTTTGTCATTAATTATAAATTTACAAAGAATATAAACAATGATTCTTTTTTTTTTTTCTTGCCGTTGTATACTGGATTTATTTTTTTTTTCTTTTTTTATTGTACTTTAAGTTTCAGGGTACATGTGCACAATGTGCAGGTTTGTTACATATGTATACATGTGCCATGTTCGTGTGCTACACCCATTAACTCGTCATTTACATTAGGTATATCTCCTAATGCTATCCCTCCCTCCTCCCCCCACCCCAAGACAGGTCCCGGTGTGTGATGTTCCCCACCCTGTGTCCATGTGTTCTCATTGTTCAATTCCCACCTATGAGTGAGAACATGAGGTGTTTGAGTTTCTGTCCTTGCAATAGTTTGCTCAGAATTATTATTTCCAGTTTCATCCATGTCCCTACAAATGACATGAACTCATCAGTTTTTATGGCTGCATAGTATTCCATAGTGTATATGTGCCACATTTTCTTAATCCAGTCTATCATTGATGGACATTTGAGTTGGTTCCAAGTCTTTGCTATTGTGAATAGTGCCGCAATAAACATACGTGTGCATGTGTCTTTATAGCAGCATGATTTATAGTCCTTTGGGTATATACCCAGTAATGGGATGGCTGGGTCAAATGGTATTTCTAGTTCTAGATCCCTGAGGAATCGCCACACTGACTTCCACAAGGGTTGAACTAGTTTACAGTCCCACCAACAGTGTAAAAGTGTTCCTGTTTCTCCACATCCTCTCCAGCACCTGTTGTTTCCTGACTTTTTAATGATTGCCATTCTAACTGGTGTGAGATGGTCTCTCATTGTGGTTTTGATTTGCATTTCTCTGATGGCCAGTGATGGTGAGCATTTTTTCACGTGTTTTTTGGCTGCATAAATCTCTTCTTTTGAGAAGTGTCTGTTCGTGTCCTTCACCCACTTTTTGATGGGATTGTTTGTTTTTTTCTTGTAAATTTGTTTGAGTTCATTGTAGATTCTGGATATTAGCCCTTTGTCAGATGAGTAGGTTGCGAAAATTTTCTCCCATTCTGTAGGTTGCCTGTTCACTCTGATGGTAGTCTCTTCTGCTGTGCAGAAGCTCTTTAGTTGAATTAGATCCCATTTGTCAATTTTGGCTTTTGTTGCCATTGCTTTTGGTGTTTTAGTCATGAAGTCCTTGCCCGTGCCTATGGCCTGAATGGTATTGCCTAGGTTTTCTTCTAGGGTTTTTATGATTTTAGGTCTAACATTTAAGTCTTTAATCCATCGTGAATTATTTTTTGTATAAGGTGTAAGGAAGGGATCTAGTTTCAGCTTTCTACATATGGCTAGCCAGTTTTCCCAGCACCATTTATTAAACAGGGAGTCCTTTCCCCATTGCTTGTTTTTCTCAGGTTTGTCAAATATCAGATGGTTGTAGATGTGTGGTATTATTTGTGCGGGCTCTGTTCTGTTCCATTGGTCTATATCTCTGTTTTGGTACCAGTACCATGCTGTTTTGGTTACTGTAGCTTTATAGTATAGTTTGAAGTCAGGTAGTGTGATGCCTCCAGCTTTGTTCTTTTTGCTTAGGATTGTCTTGGCAATGCAGGCTCTTTTTTGGTTCCATATGAACTTTAAAGTAGTTTTTTCCAATTCTGTGAAGAAAGTCATTGGTAGCTTGATGGGGATGGCATTGAATCTATAAATTACCTTGGGCAGTATGGCCATTTTCACGATATTGATTCTTCCTATCCATGAGCATGGAATGTTCTTCCATTTGTTTGTGTCCTCTTTTATTTCGTTGAGCAGTGGTTTGTAGTTCTCCTTGAAGAGGTCCTTCACATCCCTTGTAAGTTGGATTCCTAGGTATTTTATTCTCTTTGAAGCAATTGTGAATGGGAGTTCACTCATGATTTGGCTCTCTGTTGGTCTGTTATTGGTGTATAAGAATGCTTGTGATTTTTGTACATTGATTTTGTATCCTGAGACCTTGCTGAAGTGCTTATCAGCTTAAGGAGATTTTGGGCTGAGACGATGGGGTTTTCTAAATATACAATCATGTCATCTGCAAACAGGGACAATTTGACTTCCTCTTTTCCTAATCAAATACTCTTTATTTATTTCTCCTGCCTGATTGCCCTCGCCAGAACTTCCAACACTATGTTGAATAGGAGTGCTGAGAGAGGGCATCCCTGTCTTATGCCAGTTTTCAAAGGGAATGCTTCCAGTTTTTGCCCATTCAGTATGATATTGGCTGAGGGTTTGTCATAAATAGCTCTTGTTATTTTGAGATACATCCCATCGATACCTATTTTTGAGAGTTTTTAGCATGAAGGGTTGTTGAATTTTGTCGAGGCCTTTTCTGCATCTATTGAGATAATCATGTGGTTTTTGTCTTTGGTTTTGTTTATATGATGGATTATGTTTATTGATTTGTGTATGTTGAGCCAGCCTTGCATCCCAGGGATGAAGCCAACTTGATCGTGGTGGATAAGCTTTTTGATGTGCTGCTGGATTCAGTTTGCCAGTATTTTATTGAGGATTTTTGCATGGATGTTCATCAGGGATGTTAGCCTAAAATTCTCTTTATTTGTTGTGCCTCTGCCAGGCTTTGGTATCAGGATGATGCTGGCCTCATAAAATGAGTTAGGGAGGATTCCCTTCTTTTCTATTGATTGGAGTAGTTTCAGAAGGAATGGTACCAGCTTCTCTTTGTGCCTCTGGTAGAATTTGGCTGTGAATCCGTCTGGTCCTGGACTTTTTTTGGTTGGTAGGCTCTTAATTATTGCCTCAATTTCAGAGCCTGATATTGGTCCATTCTGGGATTCAACTTCTTACTGGTTTAGTCTTGGGAGGGTGTGTGTGTCCAGGAATTTATTCATTTCTTCTAGATTTTCTAGTTTATTTGCATAGAGGTGTTTATAGTATTCTCTGATGGTACTTTGTATTTCTGTGGGATCGGTGGTGATCCCCCTTTACCATTTTTAATTGTGTCTATTTGATTCTTCTCTCTTTTCTTCTTTATTAGTCTTGCTAGCTGTCTATCAATTTTGTTGATGTTTTCAAAAAACCAGCTCCTGGATTCATTGATTTTTTGAAGGGTTTTTTGTGTCTTTATCTCCTTCCGTTCTGCTCTATTCTTAGTTATTTCTTGCCTTCTGCTAGCTTTTGAATTTATTTGCTCTTACTTCTCAGTTCTTTTAATTGTGATGTTAGGGTGTCAATTTTAGATCTTTCCTGCTTTCTCTTGTGGGCATTTAGTGCTATAAATTTCCCTCTACCTACTGCTTTAATGTGTCCCAGAGATTCTAGTATATTGTGTCTTTGTTCTCATTGGTTTCAAAGAACATCTTTATTTCTGCCTTCATTTCATTATGTACCCAGTAGTCATTCAGGAGCAGGTTGTTCAGTTTCCATGTAGTTGAGTGGTTTTGAGTGAGTTTCTTAATCCTGAGTTCTAGTTGATTGCACTGTGGTCTGAGAGACAGTTTGTTATAATTTCTGTTCTTTTACATTTGCTGAGGAGTGCTTTACTTCCAACTATGTGGTCAATTTTGGAATAAGTGTGATGTGGTGCTGAGAAGAATGTATATTCTGTTGATGTGGAGTGGAGAGTTCTGTAGATGTCTATTAGGTCTGCTTGGTGCACAGCTGAGTTCTATTCCTGGATACCCTTGTTAACTTTCTGTCTCGTTGATCTGTCTAATGTTGACAGTGGGGTGTTAAAATCTCCCATTATTATTGTGTGGGAGTCTAAGTCTCTTTGTAGGTCTCTAAGGACTTGCTTTATGAACTTGGGTGCGCCTGTATTGGGTGCATATATATTTAGGATAGTTAGCTCTTCTTGTTGAATTGATCCCTTTACCATTATGTAATGGCCTTCTTTGTCTCTTTTGATCTTTGTTGGTTTAAAGTCTGTTTTATCAGAGACTAGGATTGCAACCTCTGCTTTTTTTTTGTTTTCCATTTGCTTGGTAGATCTTCCTGTATCCCTTTATTTTGAGCCTATATGTGTCTTTGCATGTGAGATGGGTCTCCTGAATACAGCACACTGATGGGTCTTGACTCTTTATCCAATTTGCCAGTCTGTGTCTCTTAATTGGAGCATTTAGCCCATTTACATTTAAGGTTAATATTGTTATGTGTTAATTTGATCCTGTCATTATGATGTTAGCTGGTTATTTTTCTCATTAGTTGCTGCAATTTCTTCCTAGCATCGATGGTCTTTACAATTTGGCATGTTTTTGCAGTGGCATGTTTTGCAGTGGAAAGGTACCGGTTGTTCCTTTCCATGTTTAGTGCTTCCTCCAGGAGCTCTTGTAAGGCAGGCCTGGTGGTGACAAAATCTCTCAGCATTTGCTTGTCTGTAAGTGATTTTATTTTTCCTTCACTTATGAAGCTTAGTTCGGCTGGATATGAAATTCTGGGTTGAAAATTCTTTTCTTTAAGAATGTTGAGCTCCCTCTCCCTCTCCCTCTCCCCATGGTCTCCCTCTCCCTCTCCCTCTCTCTCTATGGTCTACCTCTGATGCCGAGCTGAAGCTGGACTGTACTGCCACCATCTCAGCTCACTGCAACCTCCCTGCCTGATTCTCCTGCCTCAACCTACCCAATGCCTGCAATTGCAGGCATGCACCGCCACGCCTGACTGGTTTTCATATTTTTTTGGTGGAGACGGGGTTTCACTGTGTTGGCTGGGCTGGTCTCCAGCTCCTAACCACGAGTGATCTGCCAGCCTCGGCCTCCCAAGGTGCTGGGATTGCAGACGGAGTCTCACTCACTCAGTGCTCAGTGTTGCCCAGGCTGGAGTGCAGTGGAGTGATCTCAGCTCGCTACAACCTCCACCTCCCAGCCGCCTGCCTTGGCCTCCCAAAGTGCCGAGATTGCAGCCTCTGCCCGGCCACCACCCTGTCTGGGAAGTGAGGAGCGTCTCTGCCTGGCCACCCATCATCTGGGATGTGAGAGACCCACTCCCTGGCTGCCCAGTCTGGGAAGTGAGGAGCGCCTCTTCCCAGCTGCCATCCTGTCTAGGAAGTGAGGAGCGTCTCTGCCTGGCTGCCCTTCGTCTGAGATGTGGGGAGCGCCTCTGCCCCACCGCTCCATCTGGGATGTGAGGAGTGCCTCTGCCTGGCCATGACCCCATCTGGGAGGTGAGGAGCGTCTCTGCCCAGCCGCCCCTTCTGAGAAGTGAAGAGCCCCTCTGCCTGGCAGCCACCCCGTCTGGGAGGTGTACCCAACAGTTCATTGAGAACGGGCCATGATGACGATGGTGGTTTTGTCGAATAGAAAAGGGGGAAATGTGGGGAAAAGATAGAGAAATCAGATTGTTGCTGTGTCTCTGTAGAGGGAAGTAGACGTAGGAGACTCCATTTTGTTCTGTACTAAGAAAAATTCTTCTGCCTTGGGATGCTGTTAATCTATAACCTTACCCCCCAACCCCGTGCTCTCTGAAACATGTGCTGTGTCCACTCAGGGTTAAATGCATTAAGGGCGGTGCAAGATGTGCTTTGTTAAACAGATGCTTGAAGGCAGCATGCTCGTTAAGAGTCATCACCACTCCCTAATCTCAAGTACCCAGGGACACAAACACTGCGGAAGGCCACAGGGTCCTCTGCCTAGGAAAACCAGAGACCCTTGTTCACTTGTTTATCTGCTGACCTTCCCTCCACTATTGTCCTATGACCCTGCCAAATCCCCCTCTCTGAGAAACACCCAAGAATGATCAATAAATACTAAAAAAAAAAAAAAAAAAAAAAGAATGTTGAATATTGGCCCCCACTCTCTTCTGGCTTGTAGAGCTTCTGCCAAGAGATCTGCTGTTAGTCTGATAGGCTTCCCTTTGTGGTTAACCCAAACTTTCTCTCTGGCTGCCCTTAACATTTTTTCCCTCATTTCAACTTTGGTGCATCTGAAATTATGTGTCTTGGAATTGCTGTTGTCGAGGAGTATCTTTGTGGCGTTATCTGTATTTCCTGAATTTGAATGTTAGCCTGCCTTGCTAGGTTGGGGAAGTTCTCCTGGATAATATCCTGCAGGGTGTTTTCCAACTTGGTTCCATTCTCCCCATCACTTTCAGGTACACCAATCAGACATAGATTTGGTCTTTTCACATAGTCCCATATTTCTTGGAGGTTTTTTCATTTCTTTTTACTCTTTTTTCTCTAAACTCCTCTTCTTGCTTCATTTCATTCATTTGTTCTTCAATCACTGATACCTTTTCTTCCAGTTGATCAAATTGGCTACTGAAGCTTGTGCATGCGTCACGTAGTTCTTGTGCCATGGTTTTCAACTCCATCAGGTCATTTAAGGTCTTCTCTACACTGTTTATTCTAGTTAGCCATTCGTCTAATCTTTTTTCAAGGTTTTTAGCTTCGTTGTGATGGGTTCGAACATCCTCCTTTAGCTCAGAGAAGTTTGTTATTACCAATCATCTGAAGCCTTTTTCTCTCAACTCATTAAAGTCATTCTCCATCCAGCTTTGTTCCATTGCTAGTGAGGAGCTGCACTCCTTTGGAGAAGAAGAGGCTCTCTGATTTTTAGAATTTTCAGCTTTTCTGCTCTGGTTTCTCCCCATCTTTGTGGTTTTATCTACCTTTGGTCTTTGATGTTGGTGACGTACCGATGGGGTTTTGGTGTGGATGTCCTTTCTGTTTGTTAGTTTTCCTTCTAATACTCAGGACCCTCAGCTGCAGGTCTGTTGGAGTTTTCTGGAGGTCCTCTCCAGACCCTGTTTGCCTGGGTATCACCAGTGGAGGCTGCAGAACAGCAAATATTGCAGAATGGCAAATGTTGCTGCCTGATCCTTCCTCTGGAAGCCTTGTCTCAGAGGGGCACCCGGCCATATGAGTG
This sequence comes from Homo sapiens, assembly GCF_000001405.40. Lineage (NCBI taxonomy): Eukaryota > Metazoa > Chordata > Mammalia > Primates > Hominidae > Homo > Homo sapiens. The sequence continues at coordinate 48,553,603 of NC_000012.12, forward strand.
TCAGTTGGCCCCTACTTGGAAGTGCCTCCCAGTTAGGCTACTCAGGGGTCAGGGCCCCACTTGAGGAGGCAGTCTGTCCATTCTCAGATCTCAAACTCCATGCTGGAAGAACCACTACTCTCTTCAAAGCTGTCAGTCAGGGACACTTAAGTCTGCAGAAGTTTCTGCTGCCTTTGATTCAGCTACACCCTGCCCCCAGAGGTGGAGTCTACAGAGGCAGGCAGGCCTCCTTGAGCTGTAGTGGGCTCCTCCCAGTTTGAGCTTCCCGGCCGCTTTGTTTACCTACTCAAGCCTCAGCAGCGATGCCCCTCCCTCAGCCTCGCTGCCGCCTTGCAGTTTGATCTCAGACTGCTGTGCTAGCAGTGAGCGAGGCTCCGTGGGCATGGGACCCTCTGAGCCAGGCACAAGATATAATCTCCTGGTGTGCCGTTTGCTAAGACCGTTGGAAAAGCACAGTATTAGGGTGGGAGTGTCCCTATTTTCCGGGTACCATCTGTCATGGCTTCCCTAGGCTAGGAAAGGGAATTCCCCAACCCCTTGCACTTCCCGGGTTAGGCAATGCCCCACCCTGCTTTGGCTCATGCTCTGTGGGCTGCACCTACTGTCCAACAAGCCCCAGTGAGATGAACCTGGTACCTCAGTTGGAAATGCAGAAATCACCCATCTTCTGCATCACTCATGCTGGTAGCTCTAGACTGGAGCTGTTCCTATTTGGCCATCTTGGAACCTCTCCAACAATGATTCTTATTATCCCTTTTGCCATTTTGCACAGTGAGAGAGAAGACAAAAGCCTGACTGGTAAGAAATTTTTACCCTTTTGCCAGCATATTAGTCTTCTGGGTTCCCTTCCCCCAGCTCAACTCTAAGCCAAACATTTTTAAGTTTTGGAAAATTAACTTTTCCAGGTTGGGAGAACATTATAAAAGAGATAGAAGCCTTTTTAAACCATGAAAGAAGGAAAAACACCATGGAAAGGAGTTCCAGTTAGGGTTGTCAAGAGGTATTGCCTCTTTTCCTATTGGGAATGGTGTTTCCCCTATTTCTTTGCCTTCTCTATTTTCTCTTTCCCTTTTGGCCTACTATAGAAGACATATTGCTCATCCCCAAAATTTTCTCCTGTTTGCAGAGCTGCCTGTTTTAGCTGCAGTAGGGTTTGGCTTAGGAGCAGCATAACATTCCTCCATGAGAAGTCAAATACCTGAGTTAAACTTTGGAAAGCTTCTATACACCTATCAGTGTTATCAGAAAATTGGTCTAAGACTCCTTCACTTGACTAAGGTCCTGCAATGAGAAGGGAATGTGAAGGGGCCCAAAATAAGGGGGACACTCAGATTATTTCCCTGAAAGTTACTTTTTTAATTTTGGGGAACTATTTTCCCTGGGCCTGCCCAATATGGTTGCTAAAAGAGCTGGGTTGATTTTGCAACACTTGCAAAGGTCTAATAAAAATGCCATGCCCTTGTGCAGAAGAAAATAAGCCACTTTTTCTTCAAAGTTTAAAGGTCAAAGAAGTCCCAGTGCTCCAAAATACACTCCAGGGGAGTGCATGTTGAAGATGATCTGTTGCCCATCTAGAAAGAGAAGTGAGAAGAAAAGCGTCTCCTTCCTTTTGGTATGTGATCCAGGATGGAGAAGAAAGCAGTAGGAGGCGTCCCCCAATAATTTTCTCTCCTTGGCTCCTGAATCCCTGGCACCCATTTAAATGTGCCGCCCATGACTGCAGGCATGACCCTCTGCACCACGACACCAGAGGAACTATACTTTTGGGCCTTAGTCATGCTGTCCCCAAGAAGTCTTAGTCCTCTGCCTTTTATTTCCCTTTGACCTCCTAGACTTCTGTGGCCTGTGTGTCTTCCAAAAAAAAAAAAAACAAAATGGATTTCAAGAAAAACCACTTAATTGGGCAAGCCCCCTTTAAGGTGGGGGGCATGCTAGATTGAACTTTATATGCTATTATGGCTCATACTAAAGCACTTACCCGTAGAAGAATGGTTCTGGTTAACTTCCGGACTTAAAATCCCCTTACTAATTAAGTAGTCTTAATAGGAGACACAATAGGTGCCTTAAAGGAACGTAGAAACCGAATGGCCATTTTCCTGCCAGTGGGACAATATCAAGACTAAAATTTGTCTATGGAAAACATCTTACTCCTAACTGTTAAAAGCAGAGCTTTCCCACTTACAGAAGTAGCAGTAGAAAAGCGCAAAATAGAAAAGTTCCAAAGCTGCAATGTACCACAGAGAACCAGCAATGTGTCTCATGAAGAGGATTTTTATTTCCACTAGGTAGCTTAGAAATATCACGTGCTCACCAGAGAAGTTGTAGCAAGTAACCTCTCCTCAGGGGAAAAGGGGAAAATGCTGTTCCTAGACTGTAAAAATCCTTGCACATTTCACGCAGAGAAAGAGTAAGAGGCCACAGATAGAGAAGGAAGAAGAGTTTTGCAACAGGACAGTTGAGGATTCTCTACCAACACTGGAATGGACTGTCAGAGGCTGCATTCGGTCCAGAGGCATTTGAATCACACCAGGCCCTGGTCTGGAATTCTCAGTTGCCTCAGAACTTTTCCCAGCCTCGCATGATAGCAAAGTCTCCCTGTAAAAAGAAGCTAGTTCAAACATGGCCAACATTACCAATACCAGTGGGTAATGGGGGATTCTCCATGTTCTTCCCAGAAAGCTTCATATCTGTGTCTTCAGTACGGCAGCCAACGCTAAGCATATGTACTAGGCTGACAGATGCCTATTGATTTATTTGATTTATTCTAATATAGAGGCTAAGAGCACCTCTGAATGATAGAACAGGTTTTAAGCTTGCTTTCATATTCACCACTCCAACAAAGGCTTTACCTCAGATTCCCAGCCAATGCACCAAAATGATATGGCTCTGATAAGCAGAGGAACACCAGGATTCTTGGTCCCCATGCTAAATTAGATAAAACGTCAGGGACACACATGGAGTGGTTTTAAGGAGCAGAGAGTTTAATAGGCAAGAAAGAATGGAGAAGAAAGAAAGAAGAAGCTCCCCGTACAGAGACAGAGGGTGGGGGTCTCTAAAGCCGACAGAAGAGACCCCAAGTGTGGTGGAAACCAGCCAGGTGTATGAAGAGGCTGGAGGAGGTGGTGTCTGATTTGCATAGGGCTTAGGGGATTGGTTTGACCAGGCACGTCATTCACATAGCCCGCGAAAAAAACTGGCCCTCCCACTCTAGCCTTTTAATATACAAAGGCAGGGCACCATGATGTTCTACAAACATGGGGATATGTGGGGGTGGCCTTGTTGCCAGGCACGTAAGGAGGCAAGGGAAAGAGGACAATGGTGGGAATCGCCATGTTGGGTGGACCCAATTTCTAATGGCTTGCATTTGCATATCAAAGGTTGCACACCTGACATTTGCATATCAAAAGTTGCCAGCCTGGCTCTAAGACAGGAAACATTTCTGGAGCTGCTTTAAAAGAGATGAAAACTTTCCAAGGACCCCTTTTCCTCTCTATCTGCCTAAAATAATTTCTTAATAATTCCTACCACACTGTTTCCAAGAAATGCTGAAGGGGAAGAACATGAGTAGTTTATTCCGGTTCAAGACTTCCCACGAACTGTGGACCAAGTCCAAGACCAGTTGAATGACCTTATTATCAATGATGACTCCTCTCTAAAAGACCCTGTGATCCACAGCAATCAATCCAAATGCAGAGGAGTTTGCTCCTGGGGTGAAGTACTCACATATTTGAGCAGATGGGGTTCTCTTTTGCTGGGGGATTTGGATTGGCTTTTTGGAAGCTAAAATGGTTCCTTAGGGTTAAGTAATACTTGCTAAAGCCTAAACTTTTTTTAAATGCAGAAATACAATTAAGTTCTAACTGTTAAGTTGATTTCTCAGTTCAGACTTAAATTTGCATTTCTCCCCATCAAAAAGAATCTCCTCTTTGTGAGAAAGGCTGGTTAGTTAATTAGAAATAATTCATTATAGACCAGTATGTCTTTGGTTACTGAAGTTACAAGGTGGGGATCAGATAAGAACTAGTCCTGACTTTTATGGTGTATTATGTTGAAAATGTTAAATTCTGCTCCTAATATTACATCTGAGGTGATTTGAGAATTTCGTCTTCTTCTGAGGAATCACTGCATCATAGCCATGCCTGTGTGAAGTCTAATGTTTGACCAACCCATAATCCAACTGAACAAAGAGATTGTAACATTATGATTTGAGTGGTGCTTCTCCTCGCTTTGTTAACCATTACAACAATAGCACAATTTTTTAAAACAAAGCTAGATTAGTTTTGGCTTCTTAAACTTTGTATTCGGGTAGTTAAGCTGCCATACATGCTCAATAGGAATAGTATGTAATTTGAAAATACCGTAAAAAAATTTTTTTTCAAAGATACTTTAAAACATAATAGTAGACTTGAAAAAATGAAATTATTGGCCACCCTAGGGCCCTCTTGATGATGCAACCCACTGAAATGAGAATGATACAAGGGAGAAGTAGTTGGCCCTGGAGAACCCGTTCAGAATCAGAACAGGCCTCCTGCTTAAGGACCTCTCCAGGGACCTCCCTCACTCTCCAAGGCCTAGAGCTGAGATCAAGTCCCTCTGGCCATTATTATTTGGGAGGTAGATTCAAGGCTTCCCCTTGGACAGAAAGGCTATGGGGATATTTCCTCGCTCAGAAGTTTCACCCCTGCATTCTCTAAAGGAAGGACAAAGCCGATAGAAGCCCACAGAGCCCTCTCCTATCTGTGGCTTTTGCTCCACTCTTGGAAAGGATGCCATACAGGGATCCTCCATTCAGGGCATCTCGTTGGCCTAGGGAGCCCAAGTGAAGGCAAATTTCCTTCTCATTCAAATCAATCTTCTCCTAAAACTACCCACTCTGGGAACCCACGAGGGTACAAGTCATGAATCGAGATCAGATTCTCATTGATAACCTTCTTGAGTTAACCATCAAGGGGAGGGGGACTAGCCACTTTACCTTCCTCTGATCTAGACTAAATCCTCTAACTGTCCATTTTACCAGGTGTTCTTTTATTTCTCACCCCTATTTTTGGTCTTTAACTTCCTTCTGATGCATAAAAATATCCAAGTTTGATTTGGCTTTTTCCAAATCTTTTTCCAAATATTCCAAAGAATAGCATAGTCTTTGTGGATGCCCATGTTAAGACCTGAAATTGCAGTGAAAACAGTGGGCATCATAGATTCACAGAAATGCTGAAATGGGAAGGCCTTGGAATGACCGATGTTCACAGTCCTCATTTCTATTCAAGGGTTTCCCCCTGCCTGGCTTCTGTGAAACCAATACATTCATGTGTCATTTCTACTTGGATTGACACAGAATGGGAGAAGGGGCTTCTATTTAGTACCAGAAACACCACAGGAAGACTGTTTCCCCATCTTTTTAATTTCTAAGCTGGTAGTAGGTATATTGACTCACCTGTAATCCCAGTACTTTGGGAGGCTAAGGAGGGATGATCACTTAAGGCCAAGAGTTTGAAACTAGCCTGGGCAATATAATGAGACCCCATCCCTAGAAAAAAATTAAATTAAAAATTAAATTTAAAAAAATCTAAGCTGGACTGAGGCACGAGAATAGCTTCAACCTAGGAGGTGGAGGCTTCAGTGAGTCGAGATCGTGCCACTGCACTCCAGCCTGGGCAAAAGAGTAAGACTCTGTCTCAAAAAAAAAAAAAAAAAAAAATCTAATCTGGAATGAACTTTAGAAACCATCTATTTTTCTCAGACTTTTTTTTTTTTTAGAAACTTAAGTGGCTTATGAGCTTACAGTGGCTGAGAGACAACTTGCACCATGACCAGGTCTCATAATACTTCTATCAGTCACTCAGACACTCATCATGGTCTGCCACCCAGATGGTCAGCCAAAATGTTTATTGCTTATTCACTATGCCAGTTAGCCTTCCTGTGGTTTGAGCTCGGTTCCTTTTGGAAGTAGAGAATAGCACTTCTCAGCACTCAGGAGTCCCAACTCCCTTCCCTTCCTTCTCCAGACTGAATAATTGCTGCTTTCTTCTCCTTCCTTTCTAGGTCTGATTCTCTGAACTTTTCCTCCCCACCTTCTCCACCACAGCCAATAGGTTACTGCCCTGAGCTGGAAAGGACTGACGCAGCCTGACATGGCAAGGCTTCCTCTGCTACAGAATCTGTCCTGGGTCTGCCTTGAAGCTTTACTGCCAATGCCTCATCCCCAGGCATGCCCTGCCACTGATAACCCACTGGAGCATTCTTTTTAGTTCTTGTCAGTCAAAAGGGAAACCTGAATGCTCCATGGAAGTCAGCAACATGACCACAGTCACTGTGTTTATTCTCCTAGGACTGTCCAACAACCCTCAGGTTCAGGCACTGCTCTTTGTTCTGTTCCTGGTGATTTACCTCTTGACTCTACTGGGGAACCTGCTGATGGTGCTGGTGATCAGTACTGATTCCCACCTCTGCACCCCTATGTACTTCTTCCTGAGACAACTCTCCTTCCTGGATGCTTTCTATTCCTCAATTATTGTGCCTAAACTGCTAGAGAACCTTCTTTCTAAGGGGGAGACAATATCCTTCCTTGAGTGTTTCACTCAGATCTCCCTGGTCATATTTTCTGGAGCTACTGAGGCTTGCCTCCTCTCGGTCATGGCCTATGACCGGTTTCAGGCCATGTGTCATCCACTGTTGTATGTGGTGATTATAAACAGGAGGGTGTGTGCTGGCCTGGTGGGGGCATCCTGGGCCATAGGAATGGGGACTGGCCTAATTAACACCCTCCTCCTGGCTCAGCAGCACTTCTGCGGCCCTAATGTCATCCACAGTTTTGCCTGCGAGCTTCCTCCGGTGCTCTTATTGACCTGTTCTGACCCCTGCGCTAGCATCGTCTCCATTCTCACTACCATGTCAGTCCTGGGCCTTGGCACCCTTGTCCTTTTGCTGGGTTCCTACAGCTGTATCATCATGACAGCCCTGAGGATCAACTCTGCTACAGGTCGGAGCAAGATCTTTTCCACCTGCTCTTCCCATTTCCTTGTGGTCACCATCTTTTATACTTCAGGAGTTCTCAGGTATGTCATACTATACCCCTGAATATAAATGCGGGATATTCCTTACCCTAAGTGGTCTCCGTTGGCAGAAGAGAGCATTACAAAATAGCAGGACATTCAAAAGGCCTAGGCTCTAGTGCTGGCTCTACCATGGACTAGCTGTATGAATTGTAAAGAATCTATTTTCAGCTGGGTACAGTGGCTCATGCCTGTAACCCCAGCACTTTGGGAGGCTGAGGTGGGTGGATCACTTGAGCCCAGGAGTTGGAGACCAGCCTGGTCAACATGGCGAAACCCCATCTCTACTGAAAATATAAAAATCAGCCAGGTGTGGTCACGTGCACCTGTAGTCCTAGCTACTCGGGAGGCTGAGGCAGGAGAATTGCTTCAGCCTCGGAGGCAGAGGTTGCAGTGAGCGGAAATTGCACTACTGCACTCCAGCCTGGGTGACAGAGTGAGACTAGGTCAAAAAAAAAAAAAAAAACAGAATCTATTTTCTTTCTGAGGCTTCAATTGTCCATTCTGGAAAATGAATTTAGACCAAGATAAAGATTTTTCTACTTCATTAACCTAAGATTTGGGAGTTCGCAAAAAGAAATCAGAGAAGCTTTGTTAGATTTTTAATCAGTGTTAGACAAAAAATAAAACCTTTCTTTGAAACATATGCCATCTTTATTTCCTACTGGGAGATGTCGCCAAAGCTTACATATGTTGTAGCAATTTACTAGCCATTTACTATACACAAGCTGCTTTACATCGCCAAGCCAATTTGAGTATCCATCACACTACAAGAGAAATATTATCAACCCACTTTTAGGTAAAGAACCTGAGTTTGGGGAGTAATCAGGTAATTTCTCAGCAGTCCCAGAACAAGCTAGTAATGGAGCCATAAGTTGGACCGAGATCCGTGCCCTTCCTTACCATGCTTCTCAGACATCGACAGCTCTGTCTGCCTAGTCCTCCCTCACCAGGAGACAAAACAATCGATGCCTGTGCTTTCTACTAGTAAATTGAAGGTAGATTTGCACAAATTGTTCAATATTTTTCTCACCTGCCTGTGATTCAGAGAGAAGTCCAGGATGGAAATGGATGGTAAGAATAGCCCAGTACCTGTAGTCCAGTGGCTAGGAGAGAAAAAAAAATAAGTAAAATAAATAAATAAATAAATAGCCCAGGAGAGCTTACCTGAGCTGTGCACCAATCTCTTCATCTCCCTTTGTCTCAGTTTCCTCATCTGCCATGAGGGATGTGACTACTTACTTCATAGAAATGTTAGAAAGAATAAGTTAGATGACAAAAAATAACAGTAAAATGACTATTTTTTTTATAACCAAACACATTGGAACCCACAAGGAACATCCTTGGGATAGTCTATTCCAATAATGATGGTGCCACTGCAAATAAATAATAATACTAGTGCTTCTTTGGAAGATACTCCGAGTGGTACTTAGCAAAATGTACCCAAGATTTTAATCTTATTATTTTGGAATCATATTATGTGCTTAACACATTTTTATCTCCCATTTTACCAGTTTTGGCTTCTTTTCCAAACCAAAGAAAAATGCAACTAAAAGGGCAAATGTTTGTTCCACTCAACTTTATACAAATAACAGGCAAGGATTCTGAGGGTAATTCCCAGGGCCATGAAGGTTGGGAATAATGACGATATTTTAAACTAAGTGTACAGTTTACATGAACAGTCATCACAAGGTGAGAACATTGCGTTTCTGTACTGTTGTGTATAAAGAGAAAAATTCCTCATATGATCATCACAGCTATTAAGGAAGAATGCTTTGAAGAGTATGAAATGCTATGGAAATGTATGATATTATTATTCATTCTATTTTTTTGTTTTACTTTTTATCTGTCCCCAATATTAATTCTGTTCTAACCTGCAACATTTGATATGCTGCAGAACTGCTTGTTCCTCGGGGCAGCTCCTATAACTTTCTGTGTGAGCTCACTTATGTTTGGAAGTGTTTGAAGGCAGAAATGACTGACTTTTCACAGATCAGCCATTTCTAGATGCTGCCACCAGAGAAAGTCAGCTCTGAAGACCTCCTTTGCAGAGTCTTTGCAGGGAGGGGATGAATTATTGCTGCCAACAGTGAGAATTGTCACCATTGTCATAAGTTGCTTTTCTGTACAATTCCCTTCAAGGTATATGATTCCAGCATCTGGCTCAGCCCTAGAACAAGTGCTCTCCGTGCAGTACAGTGTGATAACCCCCCTGCTGAACCCCCTCATCTACAGTCTGAAGAGCCAGGAGGTAAAGGTGGCTCTGAGGAGGATGCTGGCCAGGAAGTCCAGGCTTCCCTTGTAGCCCAGCGTCCCTGCCTCAGCAGGAGGAAAAGTTATGGGGAAAAAAGGAGGGAGGAAGAGCTATCACCACTCAGCTACCTCAACATTCATCTCCTTCCAAAACAGAGACCTTAGTTTATCTTCCTCCAATGCCCTGTTCCCAGCCAAAGGCAATGAGGAAACTCTCACAGAGCAGGTAGCACCCATCAGAGGGGGTCCAGTCATTATACAAGAAAATCCTCAGGGCATCCAGGGCATCCTGGCCATTTCTACAGCTAATACTTTTTCCTCTCATTTCTTGCCTTTTTGACCCCTCTTCTTCCTGCCTCTCCCTCTCCCTTTTACTTATGTCTATGCACAAAAGGTAAATCGACCTATCAGACCACTAGCAAATGTCCTTCTGCATTCTGGGATAGTCCCATCTTGGCACTGTGACCCAACTCCTCTTTTGTTCTCATGCCAAAAAGTCCCTGGAAAGATCTACATCCCATAACAACTTAGAAAGAAGTCAAATAGGCCGGGCATGGTGGCTCACACCTGTAATCCTAGCACTTTGGGAGGCCGAGGCGGGCAGATCACAAGGTCAGGAGATCAAGACCATCCTGGCCAATATGGTGAAACCCTGTCTCTACTAAAAATACAGAAATTAGCCTGGTGTGGTGGTTCATGCCTGTGGTCCCAGCTACTCGGGAGGCTGAAGCAGGAGAATTGCTTGAACCTGGGAGGTGGAGGTTGCAGTGAGCACTCCAGCCTGGCAACAGAGCAAAACTCTGTCAAAAAAAAAAAAAAAAAGAAATCAAATAAAATAAGAGTGTCTCCTCCTATCTTCATCCTTAACAAGTAGCAGCTAAAGTAGAGCCTAAGCCATGTGTGGTGGCACATCCCTGTAGTCCCAGCTACTCGAGAGACTGAGGCAGGAGGATCTCTTGAACTCAGGAGTTTGAGGCTGTAGTGTGCTGTGCTCACACCTGTGAATAGCCACTGTCCTGTAGACTGGGCAACATTGTGAGACCCCATCTCTAAATAAACAAATAAATAAGTAAAGTAGTACCTAGCAAACAGCATATCCTCAATAACCACTTGGTGACAAATCAAGCAGTGAAGGAAGGAATGAATGTGGATCACCTGAAGTCTTTTCTCTTGCATGATCCCAGGAAATGGGAGGAGGGGAGTATCCCCCTCTAAAGTATAAGGGTCTTAAGAGAAAAACCTCTAATAGCTTCTGTATACCCAATATCTAGTACCTCCTGTCACCTAATAGGCTCTTAATTAGTGTTCAATAAATGAAAAAAATGAATGGATGAGAGAGAAGGAGAAGTGGGAGAAGAAACATGAAAAGAAATATTTGGGGCCGGGCATGGTGGCTCACGCCTGTAATCCCAGCACTTTGGGAGGCTGAGGTGGGCGGATCACCTGAGGTCAGGAGTTCAAGACCAACCCGGCCAACACGGTGAAACCCCAGGTCTACTAAAAATACAAAAATTAGCTGGGCATGGTGGTGGGCACCTGTAACCCCAGCTACTTGGGAGGCTGAGGCAGGAAAACTGTTTGAACTTGAGAGGCAGAGGTTGCAGTGAGCTGAGATTACGCCACTGCACTCTAGCCTGGGCAACAGAGAGAGAGACTCCATCAAAAAAAAAAAAAAAAGAGGCCAGACACGGTGTCTCACGCCTGTAATCTCAGCACTTTGGAAGGCTGAGGAGGGCGGATCACCTGAGGGCAGGAGTTCAAGACCCACCTGGCCAACATGGTGAAACCCCGTCTCTACTAAAAATACAAAAATTAGCTGGGCGTGGCAGCGCATGCCTGTAATCCCAGCTATTCAGAAGGCTGAGGCAGGAGAATCGCTTGAACCCAGGAAGCGGAGGTTGCAGTGAACCAAGATCGTGCCACAGCACTCCAGCCTGGGCAACAGAGCAAGATTCCATCTCAAAAAAAAATAAAAAACATTTGATTTTATCTAATGCAATTCCTGTCTTCACAACAAGATAGGTGTCAGGGAAAAGTAGCAGGGAGGAGAAAGCAGGATAAGAGGAGAGAACAAAACTCTGTATTGCTGTGAACCATTTTGAGTCTTTCTCACACAGAGCTCAGTAAATGGTCTGCTCTCTGAGAGCCACTCCCTGGAGCCTACCCGCTTCCCAATTAGTCTGGATGACTTCAGACCTTTGCTTGGCTTAGAGCTTCATTTTAGGCCTAAGGGAAAGAGACAGAGGTAGAGAAAGCAGAACCGATGCTCAGCTGCCATGCTGCCTCCTATTCAGCTCTCAAGAAAGTTCTCAGGAAGAGAACAGCAGTTTCCTGTCCTGCTTCTACCCAAATGCCAAGAGAACTGCATCTATCAAGCCTGCTTCTATGTCCAAAGAAAAAGAAAAGTAATCATGTGAGGCGATGATATGTTAATGAGCTTGACTGTGGTGATCATTTAAGTGTATACATATAACAAAACATCAAGTTGTACACCTTCAACATATACAATTTTTATTTGTAAAAAAGGAGGAGGAGGAGAAGGCGAAGAAGACTACTGGCATGTATGTCATGAAGCTGATCCAGCCATACCTCACTGGATAAAGGAGGCAGTGTATAGATTTATTGATTCATTTTCTCAAAAGAATTCTTAATTCAGTGGACACCATATTAGACATTGAAATTTAAAAAATGTACAGGCCAGTCACTGTGGCTCACACCTGTAATCCCAGCACATTGGAAGGCCGAGGTGGGAGTTCAAGACCAGCCTGAGCAACATGGTGAAAGCCCATCTCTACTAAAAATACAAAAATTAGCCGGGCATGGTGGCAGGCGCCTGTAATCCCAGCTAGTCAGGAGGCTGAGGCAGGAGAAACGCTTTAACCCAAGACGTGGAGGTCTCAGTGAGCCAAGATCGTGCCACTGCACTCCAGCCTGGGCAACAAGGGCAAAACTCCATCTCAAAAAATATATATACATAAGCTAGTGTGGGGAAAATAAGTACAGACTAGGAACAAGAGAGAGTTTGCCTGAGAATTCCAAATGCAGACCCCAAATGCCTTTGGTAGTGTTGCTTGTACCAAAGAACATGGCATTTTGTTTGTTTATTTGATTTAATACATGGATTATTTTACAACTCAACACACTACAATTGAACTGAATATAAACACAGAAAAACTGCTCTGTAGTACTAGTACAGAGTAGGCATCTATAAACATTTGTATCATAACCCACTGTAACAAATGAATAATTGAAAAAAAGAAAAAGATGTCTTTCCTGCCAGTTCCCTGGCTTCTATCTGTTCTTGATCTTCTGACCTCAGGCTGAGGTTCTCTCTACAGATAAATCTCTTACTGTCAATTCCTTCAGCAACAGCTCCTGAAGATCATGAACTCATATACGGTGTACTTGCCCACACAGGTGAACTTTCCTGTCTTCTCTGTGGGATGAAGGCCAGGGCTGTGGAGCTGAGCAACAATGCGAATGTCATTCTCAGCTCATTCAGAGTGTGACAAATTAAACTGTAGTTTGGAATGCTGGATTGTTAAAGCAGGAAGTGATCTCAGAAAACTATCTAGACCAAAATCCTTATTCTAAGATGAGGAAACTGAGGCACAGAGAATGGAGATGACCTGCCCAGGTTCAGACCCTCAATAAGTAGCAGAAACAGATTTTAGGACCCAAATTTCCTGATTCTTCTTCTTTCACATATCCCATAATTATTTAAATGAATGAAGTTCTGCAAATATTCTCCTTAAAAACCAAGCACAGCACAAGAAGAAATAATGGAGTGGAGGGTCCAAACCAAAAGGTCCCATTTTCTCAGATTCTTCAGCACCACTGTGCTGACTGTCAAGGTCCCTGTTCTCTCTCTGGTTTCCAGAGACAGGAAGGGTTCCCTTCACAGCTCCTCATGAAGGATAAAGAAATCCTTCAACAAGTCACCCATTTCAGATTCTTGGGTTCCCGTCCATGCTCTTCCTTTTCCCACCCCACATCTCCACTTGTCAAAATCCCACACAGACTTTAAAACCAGCCTAAATGCTCTCCCTTTCAGGAACCCTTTCTTGATTCCTTTTTCCCAACATCCCCTCCAAAGATAAGTTATCTTTCCTTTTGTGAATGCCCAGCGCACATTTCTAACCTCTCTCATGATGCTTATAACTCTCTTCCTTATATTGTAACTATTTATTAATGTTTATCTTGTCTTTCCCATTAGTCCTTGAGGGAAAAGGCTATTCAGCCAACTTTGTGTTTTTGTTTTTTGTTTTTGTTTTTGTTTTTTGAGATGGAGCACCCAGGCTAGAGCGCAATGACGCGATCTCAGCTCACTACAACCTCTGCCTCCCAGGTTCAAACAATTCTTCTGCCTCAGCCTCCCGAGTAGCTGGGATTACAGGCGCCTGCCACCACACCCAGATAATTTTTGTACTTTTGGTAGAGACAGGGTTTTGCTGTTAGCCAAGCTGGTCTCAAACTCCTGACCTCAAGCAATCTGCCCACCTCAGCCTTCCAAAGTGCTGGAATTACAGGTGGAAGCACTGCACCCGGCCAGTGTTTAGCCAACTTTGGATCCGTCTACAGTTCCTTGAATAGATTAGGTGATCAATAAAAGTTTGTTGCATTGAGTTGGTACAGACAGTAACCTTCACCTTTCTATTGTAAATTCAGCCTACTTCTTCTTCAGTAGAGATGGAAGGTGGCTATGACCTATGGCTTCAGTGTCCACCTACTCATCCTATTTCTTCCCCTTCCCTCCAGGGGGAAAAAAATTACAGCCAGTGACTTCAAAGTGGGACCTTTATTCAAGACAGAGGTGAAATCTGTGCTGTAGTGAAAGTGCCATCGAAGGCACTGAGTAAGGGTCTAGAGCTCAGTGCACCACTCAGGCATCCCTGGAAAATAGTCTTCAAGAATTCGGTGATGTCACTACAGGGCCCAAGGCTCAGAGACAGATAAGCTTTGGGGGAACAGAAAGAAACAAACTGAGGTGGCATTAGGGAAGAGGTATTCCAGGAGTGTGGAGTGGGCAGGGGTGCCAAGGACAGCAGACACTCACAACTTCTCACAAAGCCACTGTTCCAGCTTCTCAGTGCAGAGGGCTTTATGGGCCAACCTGATAATGGAGAAGGGGGACAAGGTGAGTTAGCTGACTGAATCTTTACATTCATTCCCAGGAGGGCTGAAGTGGAAGAGCGTGGACGAGAATTACAGAAAGACATTCCTGGCCTGATGTCAAGCGACACAAGCCATCAAGTGGAATACAGTCCATAAAAAATATCCAAGAAAATTGTAGGGTTAAAAAAGAGATGCAATGTTACCAACAGCTTGCTTTAGGGCATAGAACTAAACAAGTGGAATTAGATGTCCAAGTCTAAGTGAAAGGAGGCCTGGGTCTGAGCCCTCCATTAGGCAACCCCTTATTAGGAAAATTGCTACCAAGGAGCGGAGCGAGAGAGGCTTAATAACAGAAACCTGAGTCTCTAGGTAAGCTTTGTTTCAGACACTGTATTCTAGATTAAATGACCAAGAGATAGGGTAAGAGGAAAGGGGTGCTGGGCTAATGGGGTAAGGAGAAGGAGGATGGGGAAATAGAAAATAGAATAAGGATTCACCAGTAGTCAATTCCTTTAATATCCAGGATCTTCTTGGCACACATTATGTCATCAGTAATGTCATCATCCAGGAACTCTGGCAGGAGTTACAGGGAAAGGATTGAGACAGCTGACAAGTATTACCCAGAAAGGCACTGAGTTCCCCTAACCCCTGGATCCAGTGGGTTCTCTAAACTCAAGGCTTGTGCCTGTTGTCTTTCTATATGAAAGGACCAATGTGGTAATGTCTAACCCTGGGTAGGGACTTCCTTCATTTCCCTGGGATATCTCTGGAGGAATCATCAGCTTCATCAACTGACTTACCCTGAAAATGCAGACAATCAGATTCCAAGACTCTCAGACAGCTCCGATTGTCTACCACTGAACCTCAAGGAACTGTCTGGGGATTTGATGACCATGAAAAATCCAAACAGCTTCTTACTCAGTACTGCCAATTCAAGTCCCACAATTTTTATAGAGCCCAGCCAAGGCAATGAAGCCTGAGGTCTGCTTGGCACTAAAAAGGAGATTATCCCAAGGGCAGGCCTCAGAAAAACAGAGAAAGAGGGTTATAGGGGCTACTCACTGTCACAGGAGATGTCACAGATGTTCCTTGACTGAGGGACCTGGCTGCTCTTGCACCAAAGCTTATTACTGATCTGGAAGAGTCCATATTCCGTGCTTTCATTGTTTTCAACTATGGCTTGTGTGTCATAACCACTGGTGTGAAACATGGTACAGATCACTGAGGGAAAGATGAGAAAGAGATACCACAGAGATGTACAGGATCTGCATAAAGGAGGAACTGTAATTCTCAGACAAAAATGCTTTCCAGCCAATCTCCAAAGATGGCAAAGCTCAGAGTTTCTTGATGAGATGGAGAATTCCAAAAAAAAATCAGACAATAAGAGAAAGAAAGGATAGGAAAATAAATGGGGCCAGGCATGATGGCTCACGCTTGTAATCCCAACACTTTGGGAGGCTGAGGAGGGCGGATCACCTGAGGTCAGAAGTTTGAGACCAGCCTGGCCAACATGGTGAAACCCTGTCTCTACAAAAAATACAAAATTAGCCAGGCATGGTGGTGGGTGCCTGTAATTCCAGCTACTTGGGAGGCTGAGGCAGGAGAATCACTTGAACCGAGGAGGCGGAGGTTGCAGTGAGCCGAGATTACACCATTGCACTCCAGTCTGGGCAACAAGAGCGAAACTCCACCTCAAAAATAAATAAATACATACATATATACATACATGAAATAAAAGAGTATGCAAATGAGCAGAAAAGAGGATGATTAGATAATTAAGTAAAAGTGGAGGGGCGAAGTGGAAGAAAGAGGGGATGGAGGAGAGAAGCGTATGAGGAATGGATGAAACACAGAGGCAGGGAACTCACATTCAGGCAAAGCGATGCCTCCATAACCATCTATGTCTTTCAGCAGCTGGGACAGCTCACATTTTGTGAATTGCTTGGCCAGGATGGCAGGGAACAGGATGCCCACCAGGAACAGAGGGACAAAGAACCTCATTTTGGCTACCCCCAAGAACCTGAAATGGAAGCATCACTCAGTTTCATTTATTTATATTCATGCAGAAAGCCTCAGGGGCTCTGGTACCAAGCCCTACATCTAGGAAGAGAATGAAGAGAGACTGGTCATGCCAAGACAGAAACGCTGAGCCTGCCAGCTTCCTTCCATAATTCACCCTACTTTTCCTTTCCCTCTCCCAGTATCTAGTCCATAGCAGGTATTGTTCTCTGGCCAGAAAGAGTTCAAACCATGATCCTGCTTCCCATTTGGCTTTGTTTAGCCCTTTGTTTCTTGTAGGGTTGGTTCTGGGAAGCACTGTCTCTGGTTACTTGAGGAACAAAGAAGGGCATGGGGGCAATATAAGAAGTGAGGCAATCAGAAAATACAATAAAGTTCTATACCGAGCTTCCCCCTTCCCCCCTAGAGACATGCAGAATGTGGAGAGGGGGTGTATGTCATCACATGCCACAGTCCCAGGATCAGAGCTGGCACTTGTCCAACCAATCCAGCCATGTAACAAGGCCCAGAATTAGTTCTTTAATATGGTAGCTCATGACTGAAGGCTCAGAAATAGGAATAGAATATGGGAACGTAGACTACAACAATCCGATATAACTTGGATCTTAAGACTTCCTACTTAAGGAAAATGCATAATTGAAAAGCCTGTATGAAAGCATCTAGGCCAGGCACAGTGGCTCACACCTGTAATCCCGGCATTTTGGGAGGCCGAGTCTGGTGGATCACTTGAGCCCAGGAGCTCGAGACCAGCCTGGGCAACATGGTAAAATCCCATCTCTACAAAAAAAATTAGCTGGGCATGGTGACATGTGCCTGTAGTCCCAGCTACTTGAGGGGCTGAGGCAGGAGGAACACTTGAGCACAGGAGGTCGAGGCTGCAGTGAGCCATGTTCACTCCACTGCACTCCATCCATCCTGGGAGACAAAGTGAGACCCTATCTTTAAAAAAAAAAAAAAAAAAAAAGAATCTAGCTATCCTACGAGCTATTATCAGATTCCCCACCCCTAACCACTCCTACCGTAAATAACCAAATACTACACTGGCATTGAGACATTACATAAATCTAAGACCAATAACTTGTAGACAACCTCAGAGTTGGCCACAGAAAGTGGGAAGGACCCAAGCCAGTGGAAAGATTGGACTTTAAGGCTGAACAAGCTTATGTCTGGAATCTCTATAAGGTCAGTGCCCCTGAGCAAGTAGAGTTGAGGATACTAGTTCTGAATAGCTCCTTTAATTTGCTGGCATGAAGCTTCATGTCATGGTGACAAGTAGCTCTTAGCTCCTTCATGCCACCATTCGTCTTCTTTGTCCTCATCTCTAAACCTGATTTCTTCTTCTTCTTCCTTTTTTTTTTTTTTTTTTGACCAAGTCTCACTCTGTTGCCCAGGCTGGAATGCAGTGGCGCGATCTTGGCTCACTGCAACCTCTGCCTCCCAGGCTCAAGTGATTCTCCTGCCTCAGCCTCCCGAGTAGCTGGGACTACAGGCACGTGTTACCATGCCCGGTTAATTTATGTATTTTTAGTAGAGACGGAGTTTCTGCATGTTGGCCAGGCTGGTCTCAAACTTCTGAGCTCAGGCAATTTGCCTGCCTGGGCCTCGGCCTCCCAAAGTGCTAGGATTACAGACAGGAGCCGCTGCGCTGTTTCTTATGTTTCAGGGAACATTTATCCCAACCAATCTATTTAAGACTTACATACTGAAGGTCTTCCATATCGTTATCTCCTACATGTATTCAGAGTCAGGGAAAAGTCCTCTCAGTTAAATCCTGTCTTCTGTACCATGGATAACCAGTATATGAAGTGGCATGAGTGAAGGGAATGTGGAGGATCTTGGTGTGCCAGAAGGGATGAGCAGAAAGTTCTGATAGCAAGAGATACATGTTCAGAAACACAACAGAAGTGGAGCCACTCCATTTCTCCGCATTCCACCCAGAGGCACTGCAAGGGTACACGACAGGAATGGGAATTCTATCACTCTAAGCTTTGTTGAGAATATGGCTGAGAGTGACCTTGAACCATGTGTGAGAGGGAAAGATAAGAAAAGCTAGTCCTGAGGACTAGTCCTTCCAATAGTGGAGTCTTGTGTAAAATGCCTCCTGCCCTAGGCTATTGACTAAGTACCTGTGATAGAGTAAAAGGGTGGGCCAGGGTCTCAAGAATCACAGGGGTTTTCTACACTTTCAGCCAAGTCAAGACCTAAGGCAGCTGCCTGCTTGCCTATCATTTGATTATACCTTGGCCCTTCCCTATAAGCAATAAAAATAAGCATACAGGTCAGGAATCACAACTAAGTGCAGAAAAGAAAATAAACATGTCTCCGGCAAAAGGAACCATTATTTCCCTATAAATGTTCTTAAAATAGGATACGTGGGGGTCATCTGAAAAAGAAGATAGAAAGTGTCTAATGGGAACAACTGCAAACATCCAGAGAAAGATGCAGCCTCTTGGAGATTGTCCAAAGGAGAACAATACACAATGATCGCAGCACTGAAAGAGGAAGTATGTGGAAAGACATTAAGCACAGCTCGTGGAAGAAAGCTCCTGCTCAACAATTCCTGTCCAGGAAGAAACCTCCTCCAAAATCTCCCTTTCCAGAGAGGTTTACTCAGGGTGCTCTGCATGGAGGTCGAGAGCTGAATCAAGATGGTGAAGAGGCATTTACAATACACTTACCTAGATTTTGTTAGAAATAGACTAGAAAATTATGTTCATTCTCTCAGATGCTGTGGGGAAATATCCAGGTTTCTAAAACCAGAAATCACCTTTTTGAAGATGAACAAAATAAAAATTTTATTTCTAAAAGTAAATTTCTTTATTTATAAAATAAAAAGTTCAGGCCGGGCATGGTGGGTCATGCCTGTAATCCCAGCACTTTGAGAAGCCAAGGTAGGCAGATTATTTGAGGTCAGGAGTTCGAGACCAGCCTGACCAACATGGCAAAATTCCGTCTCTACTAAAAATACAAAAATTAGCTGAGCATGCTGGCAGGAGTCTATAATCCCAGCTACTCGGGCAGCTGAGGCAGGAGGATCGCTTGAACCCAGGAGGTGAAGGCTGCAGTGAGCCAAGATTGTGCCACTGCACTCCAGCCTGGGAAACAGAGCAAGACTCCATCTCAAAAAATAATAATAATAATAAAAATAAAATTAAAATATCTTTATTTCTGAAAATAAAGAAATTGAAAGCATGTGTTTCAAGGCACGTTTTCCATCTGAAACTGTAGTCTGTAGGTGAGCTGGAGTTTCTAGACAGAGCCTAGGCCTGCCATTTAGAGGGAACACCCTGAGAGCCACAGTCATAATGGCCATTACATCTTGCAGTTAATATCCTTACCTTGTGCCTGCAGTGGCTCATGCCTATACTCCCAACATTTTGGGAGGCTGAGGCAGGAGGATCACTTGAGGCCAGGAGTTGGAGACCAGCCTGGGCAACATAGCAAGACTCTGTCACTACAAAAAAAAATAAAAATTAGCCAGGCATAGTGGCACGTGCCTATAGTCCTAGCTACTGAGGTACGAGGATTGCTTGAGCCCAGGAGTTCAAGAATGCAGTGGGCTTTGATTGTGCCACTCACTCTAGCCTGGGCAATAGAGCAAGACCCTGTCTCTATTTTAAAATACACTTATATCCTCATCTTGTTCTACTTTCTCTCATAATTCAGGAAAATTATCACTAGGTAGACAATGATGCTAGATCTTGAAACCCAAATTTCATGAAAATGTTTAACCAAATTAAAGAGTTAATTAAAGTAATTAAGATTTAGAAAGGGAGTGATTTTTTATTGGCATTTTTCTTTTTCAGCTGCTTGTCCAAAAGTCCTTACAAAGTTACTCAGCATTATAGATTCACATTCTATATCCCACACCAAAGGCCTGCTTGCAATTTATATGGGCTTATTTTGGATTGCTATATTTGCATTACTATTTATATCACTGCTTTTATACTTAAATGAACCATTGATTCATTTGTGTGAATTGGGGATAGTATCAACCAAAAAATGCAAGCATGGAAATATAAATTATAACACAAAAATGATTTTAAAAGATACTAAAATAAATTTTACCTTTTTAACTGAATATTAGCTAAAACAAACCGATACACATGTAATTACCAAGAAGCTAAAAAAATTTCTATGCAAATTTTAATTGATTTTTCATTTTTAATTTATAAAATGTTTATTTTTAAATAAACATATTTACATAATTTTACATCAACACCTTTGATAGAATCTTACATCCTATTTTTTGTGAACATGGTAGTTTTTCCTTTCCTTTTAGGAATGGCTTCCCTTTCTTCCTCCTCATTTCTTCCTTGCCAAACATCATCCTGGCAACTCATATTAACAATCTACCACCGCATTCCCCATAAAGTATTTATTTCACATTGCATGCCTGTATCAAAACATTTTATGTACCCCATAAATATACACAGCTATGATGTACCCACCAAAATTTAAAAAACAAAAAAGAGCCTGTTATTGGTCTATTCAGAGAGTCAACTTCTTCCTGGTTTAGTCTTAGGAGGGTGTATATGTCAAGGAATTTATCCATTTCTTCTAGATTTTCTAGTTTATTTGCGTAGAGATGTTTATAGTATTCTCTGATGGTAGTTTGCATCTCTATGGGATCGGTGGTGATATCCCCTTTATCATTTTTTATTGCATCTATTTGATTCTTCTCTCTTTTCTTCTTTATTAGCCTTGCTAGCGGTCTATCAATTTTGTTGATCCTTTCAAAAAAACCAGCTCCTGGATTCATTAATTTTTGAAGGGTTTTTTATGTCTCTATTTCCTTCAGTTCTGCTCTGATTTTAGTTATTTCTTGCTTTCTGCTAGCTTTTGAATGTGTTTGCTCTTGCTTTTCTAGTTCTTTTAATTGTGATGTTAGGGTGTCAATTTTGGATCTTTCCTGCTTTCTCTTGTGGGCATTTAGTGCTATAAATTTCCCTCTACACACTGCTTTGAATGTGTCCCAGAGATTCTGGTATGTTGCGTCTTTGTTCTCGTTGGTTTCAAAGAACATCTTTATGTCTGCCTTCATTGCGTTATGTACCCAGTAGTCATTCAGGAGCAGGTTGTTCAGTTTCCATGTAGTTGAGCGGTTTTGAGTGAGTTTCTTTATCCTGAGTTGTAGTTTGATTGCACCGTGGTCTGAGAGACAGTTTGTTATAATTTCTGATCTTTTACATTTGCTGAGGAGAGCTTTACTTCCAACTATGTGGTCAATTTTGGAATAGGTGTGGTGTGGTGCTGAAAAAAAATGTATATTGTGTTGATTTGGGGTGGAGAGTTCTGTAGATGTCTATTAGGTCTGCTTGGTGCAGAGCTGAGTTCAATTCCTGGGTATCCTTGTTAACTTTCTGTCTCGTTGATCTGTCTAATGTTGACAGTGGGGTGTTAAAGTCTCCCATTATTATTGTGTGGGAGTCTAAGTCTCTTTGTAGGTCACTCAGGACTTGCTTTATGAACTTGGGTGCTCCTGTATTGGGTGCATATATACTTAGGATAGTTAGCTCCTCTTGTTGAATTGATCCCTTTACCATTATGTAATGGCCTTCTTTGTCTCTTTTGATCTTTGTTGGTTTAAAGTCTGTTTTATCAGAGACTAGGATTGCAACCCCTGCCTTTTTTTGTTTTCCATTTGCTTGGTAGATCTTCCTCCATCCTTTTATTTTGAGCCTATGTGTGTCTCTGCACATGAGATGGGTTTCCTGAATACAGCACACTGACGGGTCTTGACTCTTTATCCAATTTGCCAGTCTGTGAAATTGTGGCAATAATCAATAGCTTACCAACCAAAAAGAGTCCAGGACCAGATGGATTCACAGCCAAATTCTACCAGAGGTACAAGGAGGAACTGGTACCATTCCTTCTGAAACTACTCCAATCAATAGAAAAAGAGGGAATCCTCCCTAACTCATTTTATGAGGCCAGCATCATCCTGATACCAAAGCCTGGCAGAGACACAACCAAAAAAGACAATTTTAGACCAATATCCTTGATGAACATTGATGCAAAAATCCTCAGTAAAATACTGGCAAACCGAATCCAGCAGCACATCAAAAAGCTTATCCACCATGATCAAGTGGGCTTCATCCCTGGGATGCAAGGCTGGTTCAATATACACAAATCAATAAATGTAATCCAGCATATAAACAGAACCAAAGACAAAAACCACATGATTATTTCAATAGATGCAGAAAAGGCCTTTGAGAAAATTCAACAACCCTTCATGCTAAAAACTCTCAATAAATTAGGTATTGATGAGACGTATCTCAAAATAATAAGAGCTATCTATGACAAACCCACAGCCAATATCATACTGAATGGGCAAAAACTGGAAGCATTCCCTTTGAAAACTGGCACAAGACAGGGATGCCCTCTCTCAGCACTCCTATTCAACATAGTGTTGGAAGTTCTAGCCAGGGCAATTAGGCAGGAGAAGGAAATAAAGGGTATTCAATTAGGAAAAGAGGAAGTCAAATTGTCCCTCTTTGCAGACGACATGAATGTATATCTAGAAAACCCCATCGTCTCAGCCCAAAATCTCCTTAAGCTGATAAGCAACTTCAGCAAAGTCTCAGGATACAAAATCAATGTACAAAAATCACAAGCATTCTTATACACCAATAACAGACAAACAGAGAGCCAAATCATGAGTGAACTCCCATTCACAATTGCTTCAAAAAGAATAAAATACCTAGGAATCCAACTTATAAGGGACGTGAAGGACCTCTTCAAGGAGAACTACAAACCACTGCTCAATGAAATAAAAGAGGATACAAACAAATGGAAGAACATTCCATGCTCATGGGTAGGAAGAATCAATATCGTGAAAATGGCCATACTGCCCAAGGTAATTTATAGATTCAATGCCATCCCCATCAAGCTACCAATGACTTTCTTCACAGAATTGGAAAAAACTACTTTAAAGTTCATATGGAACCAAAAAAAGAGCCCGCATCGCCAAGTCAATCCTAAGCCAAAAGAACAAAGCTGGAGGCATCATGCTACCTGACTTCAAACTATACTACAAGGCTACAGTCACCAAAACAGCATGGTACTGGTACCAAAACAGAGATATAGATCAATGGAACAGAACAGAGCCCTCAGAAATAATGCCACATATCTACAACTATCTGATCTTTGACAAACCTGAGAAAAACAAGCAATGGGGAAAAGATTCCCTATTTAATAAATGGTGCTGGGAAAACTGGCTACCCATATGTAGAAGGCTGAAACTGGATCCCTTCCTTACACCTTATACAAAAATTAATTCAAGATGGATTAAAGACTTAAACATTAGACCTGAAACCATAAAAACCCTAGAAGAAAACCTAGGCATTACCATTCAGGACATAGGCATGGGCAAGGACTTCATGTCTAAAACACCAAAAGCAGTGGCAACAAAAGCCAAAATTGACAAATGGGATCTAATTCAACTAAAGAGCTTCTGCACAGCAAAAGAAACTACCATCAGAGTGAACAGGCAACCTACAAAATGGGAGAACATTTTTGCAACCTACTCATCTGACAAAGGGCTAATATCCAGAATCTACAATGAACTCAAACAAATTTACAAGAAAAAACAAACAACCCCATCAAAAAGTGGGCGAAGGACATGAACAGACACTTCTCAAAAGAAGACATTTATGCAGCCAAAAAACACATGAAAAAATGCTCACCATCACTGGCCATCAGAGAAATGCAAATCAAAACCACAATGAGATACCATCTCACACCAGTTAGAATGGCAATCATTAAAAAGTCAGGAAACAACAGGTGCTGGAGAGGATGTGGAGAAACAGGAACACTTTTACACTGTTGGTGGGACTGTAAACTAGTTCAACCCTTGTGGAAGTCAGTGTGGCGATTCCTCAGGGATCTAGAACTAGAAATACCATTTGACCCAGCCATCCCATTACTGGGTATATACCCAAAGGAATATAAATCATGCTGCTATAAAGACACATGCACACGTATGTTTATTGCGGCACTATTCACAATAGCAAAGACTTGGAACCAACCCAAATGTCCAATAATGATAGACTGGATTAAGAAAATGTGGCACATATACACCATGGAATACTATGCAGCCATAAAAAATGATGAGTTCATGTCCTTTGTAGGGACATGGATGAAATTGGAAATCATCATTCTCAGTAAACTATTGCAAGAACAAAAAACCAAGCACTGCATATTCTCACTCATAGGCGGGAACTGAACAATGAGAACACATGGACACAGGAAGGGGAACATCACACTCTGGGGACTGTTGTGGGGTCGGGGGAGTGGGGAGGGATAGCTTTAGGAGATATACCTAATGCTAAATGACAAGTTAATGGGTGCAGCACACCAGCATGGCACATGTATACATATGTAACTAACCTGCACATTGTGCACATGTACCCTAAAACTTAAAGTATAATAACAATAAAATAAAATAAACAGAAAAAAATCTACCATATGTTAGTCCATATTTTTATCAATTGTTGTATTTATATAAACATATTTTTTTGCTATTCATTTTAAATTTTTAATCCATCTGCAATTCTGTCTGGGTTTTGTCTTCTCTTCAACTTATCATATTTGCCTATTCTGACACAAATACCTTATTGATTTCATTGCGGCAGCTTTTCGCTATGTTCTGTTGTCTGATATCACAAGTCTTCCTTGTTATCCTCTTTTTAAAAAAAGATTAATTAAACTGTTTATTTTCACAAGTAATTTAAGGCTGGGAGGAGTGGCTCATGCCTGTAATCCCAGCACTTTGGGAGGCCGAGGTAGATGGATCACATGAGGTCAGGAGTTTGAGACCAGCCTGACTAACATGGCGAAACCCCGTCTCTACTAAAAATACAAAAATCAGCCAGGCGTGGTGGCACACACCTGTAATGCCAGCTACTCGGGCAGGAGAATGGCTTGAAACAGGAGGCAGAGGTTGCAGTGAGGCGAGATCGTGCCATTGCACTGGGCAACAAAGAGAGACTCTGTCTCAAATAAAAAAAGGAAAAAAAAGTCATTTAAACTTACAGAAAAGTTGTAAAATATTATCATAAGCTCACATGTATCTTTCCTATCTACCCACTCACTGTTAATGTTTTGCCACATTTGCATGTTCTGTCTCATAAACCTATTCCAATTTATTCTTTCATGAAATTTTTAATATATTTTAATCAATTTTCACCAAAAGTCTGTTGAGATTTGAATTGAGATTACAATATACATAATCATGCAGTCAATATACATAATAATTTTTGGAAAACTAACTTTTTATAATATTACATTTTAAATCTCAGGATATATGTAGTTTTCCTTTGTTCAGATCTTATTTTATACACTTCAGTAAGATTTTATAGTGTTCTTCATATGATTCAGTGCCTTTTTTATTAAATTTTTTTCTAAATATTTGGCACTTTTCATTGTTAATGTGAATGAGATATTTTTCTCTTTCCACTTCTAAGTGCTTATAAATAGTACAGAGGACAGATACTTTTTGCAAATGTATCTTCTACACAGCCATCTTGCCAAAATATTATAAATTCTAGTATTTTTTCACTGGCATTTTGGGGTTTCTAGGTTTATAATCCTATCATCCCCGAAAGTGATAGGTAGGCTCTTTCTTTTAATTATTTGCCTTCTAGCAAACGGAAGCCACCACAAAAGCTATCTGCCTCTGCCATAGCTCAGGGCATAAAATAATTAACAACAACAATAATAGTAATATTCTCCCATAAGAGTGTAAAATCATTGGCCTGTTCTCACTCAGGCCTGAAGTTCATGCTAACATAACCACATCTAGTCAAGGAAATTCCAAGCTGAGAAAATAAACTAAATTGAGATGTGGAAGAAGCATAAGCAATCCTCCTCGGAGGTCCTTGAAATTTCCACAGATTAAGTTAACTAACTAGGAGCTCAGAAAACAATACCAAACACATCAACCAGATGCATTGACTCACGCCTGTAATCCCAGTGCTTTGGGAGGCCAAGGCAGGAGGATTGCTTGAGGCCAGCAGTTAAAGACCAACCTGGACAACATAGTGAGACCCCATCCTTATTTCCCCAAAATCTAAAAGTTAGCCAGGCGTGGTGGCAAGTGCTTGTAGCCCCAGCTACTCAGGAGGTTGATATGAGAGGATCATTTGAGCCCAGGTTACAGTGAGCCATGATCATGCTACTGCACTCCAGCCTGGGCAACAGAGTGAAACTCTGTCCCTAAAAAGAAAATTACCAAACACAAAATGAACTATTATGAATGCAAGTGAGGAGAACCAACTCCCCTCCACTGAAAAGAGCCACCTTGCCCAAGGGACACATTTACTTCCCAGAAGCAGTTCACATCCAGTGGCTGGTTGATGTGGATAGAGAAGCTTGGCCCCTTTGCCTCAATGGAGGACAATTTTTCACAGCCATCCCAGTTCCAGAGGCTCTTATGAAATCAGCTGAAGCTTTGTTATGACTATATCACAATTCACCTTCTTCTGGCCAATCCTGCTTTCTTCAATCTTTCACCTCACAGGTGTTGAGACCACGCGCATTTCCCAGTAAACTTCCTGCACGCAAATCTCCATCTCAGAGTCTGTTACCCAGGAAACCTGACCTAAAACAGTTGGTGTCAGAAGTAGTTCAAGGCAGCAAGCTCTAAAATGAGATTTGGAAACCCTGTGGAAATGGGCTGCCATTCTCCCTGACAGTAACATGACCATGGTATGGTGCTGTCTCTGATACATAGAATACATGAACCTGGGAACCCAGGAGTAGACATAAAACTGCCCTGTTCACCGTCACTCCTAGTGACCTATTTTGGGAATCTGTACTTCCTGTCCCTGTCACGTTGAGCTCTATAGCTAAGAGATATTAGTTCTCAGTTCTAGGAAACGTAGTGGGTGTCCCATTAAACTTTAAGCTACAGCTGCAGCTTCACGTTTCTCATGCTAAGAGACTAACAAGCATGAAAGACTCACTATCCCGGAAGGGATGACTAACCCTAATCATCAAAATTAGCGATGAAGAATATGTTTGGCATCCAGGTGATCCATTGTGGTGTCTCTTGGCACTTCCTTGCCCAATTTTTTTTTTTTTTTTTTGAGACAGAATCTCACTCTGTCACCCAGGCTGTAGTGCAGTGGCATGATCTCAGCTCACTGCAACCTACACCTCCTGGGTTCAAGTGATTCTTGTGCCTCAGCCACCCAAGTAGCTGAGATTACAGGTGAACACCACCAAGCCCAGCTAATTTTTGTATTTTTAGTAGAGACGAGGTTTCATCATGTTTTGGCCAGGCTGGTCTCAAATGTCTGACCTCAGGTAATCCACCTACCTTGGCCTCCCAAAGTGCTAAGATTACAGGCGTGAGCCACCATGCCCGGCCTCCTTGCCCAACTATTTTTTTTTTTTTGAGACGGAGTATCGCTCTGTCGCCCAGGCTGGGGTGCGGTGGCACGATCTCCGCTAACTGCAAGCTCCACCTCCCGGGTTCACGCCATTCTCCTGCCTCAGCCTCCCGAGTAGCTGGGACTACAAGCACCTGCCACCATGCCCAGCTAATTTTTTTGTATTTTTAGTAGAGACGGGGTTTCATTGTGTTAGCCAGGATGGTCTTGATCTCCTGACCTCGTGATCTGCCTGCCTCGGCCTCCCAAAGTGCTGGGATTACAGGTGTGAGTCACCGCGCCCGGCCCAACTTTTATTGTAAATTATAAACTCAGCAATTACAACCTGAGAAGGGAAAGGTAACCAGGCTTTCAGAACTTTAAGGATGAAGATCTGAGTCAGACCACAAGGTAAGCCACTAGACTAGCAGCAATACCACTCTAGAATAAGAGGAATCTAGAATGAGTAGTAAGGGACAGGTGCAGCCTAGAGACCAGTTGCAGCAGTGGGAGCTGTAATTAATTCCACTGTTAAATGAAATAACAGAGAGAGACCTTCTAAAAGAAAAAGGTATTTATTTGGCAATAAGCCTTTGCAATGGGAATACATATGCCATAATAAACTATGTATATATTCAGGGAGGTAAAGGAAGACAAAAGTTTTTAAAGGAAAAATGAGGAGGATTATACACAATTGTTTTGAAATTATTGGCAGGGCATGGTGGCTCATGCCTGTAATCCCAGCACTTTGAGAGGCCAAGGTTCAGGCGGATTGCTTGAGCTCAGGAGTTTGAGACCAGCCTGGGCAACATGGCGAAATCCTATCTCTACCAAAATACAAAACATTAGCCAGGCGTGGTGGTGCGTGCCTGTGGTCCCCGCTACTGAGGAGGCTGAGGTGGGAGAATCTCTTGAGCCCAGGAGGCGGAGGTTGCAGTGAACCAAGATCACGCCACTGCACTCCAGCCTGGGTGACAGAGCGAGACCTCACCTCAAACAAAAACAGAAATGAGATGATTATCCTTGGCTATCAGGGTCAATAACAAGGGTGACGCCAGTTCAAGGCTGAACAGACAGTTGCTGGGCAAATGCCTTTGCAGAAGTATTTTTTGTGTAGGTTGCAATGGACTTTGCAAGGTTGTGATTGTTGCCATCTCTTGGGATAGTTCTGTTATCAGGCATACAAACATGAGAACCTTTCTGACAACTTTCACACCACTAAACTTCTTTCAATTTTCCCCATGAAAAGACATCACCAAAATCCTGAAAGAGCTACTCCCAGAGCATATGCAAAGCAAGTGGGTCCAAGCAGCACACAAATGGATTCCAGTGGATGCTACAGTGCACCAACCAGATTCCCTCCACCCCTTTCAGGATTAAAGCAGTGGTTCCCCCAGCTGCTAGGAGAGCTATCTGCTGATAGCACTCAGGTGAATCCCAATCTGAAAATTATTCTCAAAAGGAGAGCCCCTTTGCCTCAGTGAGAGACAAGTCTGCAGGGCCATTTCAGCTCCACAACTCCCCACAAGATTGGCTGAGCACTTTGTTGTGACTGCACCAGAGCACAGCTTGTCCCTGTCACCAGTCCTACTTCCTTCAGCCTCCCACCACCCCACCCCACAAACACACACAGATGTTGATTCCAAAACCACTGTCCAATCAACTTGTACACCAGTCTCCATCGCAGAATGTTTCTCAGGGGAGCCTGACCTGTGACAAAAGATAATCACTGCTTTGTGGAGTTAGATATTCAAAATTAAAATGATGGAAAATAGAAGCATGTAAGTTGGGCAATATTTAGAGTGAAAGTTTCCTAAGGCCTTGCATTCTATAGGGAAATAGTAAAGATAGTAATTCACTTCAGAGTTTATTAAAAGTGCATTATCAAAATTTTCAGGTAAACTAGTAAAATAATAGAAAAACAAAGATTCCAAACCCATATAGAAACAAAATAGAATAAGAAAATAACAAACAAAAAATAGGACTAAAATATCACAAAAGAACTAAAAAACAATAACAGAAAGGTATCTGGAAAATCCCCCCCAAATATTGGGAAGTTAAAGGACATACTTCTAAATAACTAATTGTCAAGGAGGAAACCTCAAGGGAAATTAAGAAATATTTTAAGTGGAATGAAAATGAAAATATAACATATCAAAATTTGTGGGCTGCAGCTAAGGTAGTGCTTAAAAGGAAATTTATAACATTAAATGCCTATATTAAAGAAGAAAAGTATCAAATTAGAAATCTAAGCTTCTACCTTAGGAAACTAGAAAAAAAGAAGAGAAAATTGAACTCAAAGCAAGGGATTAATCTCTCAATAATTGATAAGACAAGATCAAACCAGTCAGTATAAGATTTTAACAATACAATTAATAAATTTGACCTAATAGATGTATATACAACATTATATCAAATAACTGCAGAATATACATTTTTATAATACAACCAGGACATTAGAAATTGTGAACTTAGCAATGTTTCAGACTTAACATCAGTGACTCCATCTTAGGCTACCGACTCCATGTTGAACTGTTTGATGAATGTTGAGACCCACAAAGGAACTATGAAACACGTTTCCTTCACAAACAACCATACTCTTAACAATATACAAGACAAGGAAACTGGTCCTTATCTTTAGGAACACTCTATATGAAATCACCTTTGCAAAAATTATGACAGTGAGAGAAATCTTACATAGCTGACTCCATCCTGCTTCTAACCTTACAAGGTGTCTTTATTCATTCCCGGTGTAGGCCAAGCTAACTATGGGAGCTAAATATATATCCCTAAATGCAGAGGATATTTAAAAAGAAAAGCTGAAAATTATAGTCTAACTTTAGAGACACACGCACAGAGAGAGAGAGAGAGGCTTGCTCTGTCACCCAGGCTTGAGTACTGTGGCACAATCACTGCTCACTGCAGCCTTGACCTCCCGGGCTCAAGTAGTCCTCCCACCTCAGCCTCCTGAGTAGCTGGGACCACAAATGCGTGCCATCATACCCAACTAATTTTTTTTATTTTTTGTAGAGACGAGGGCTCACTGTGTTACCCAAGCTGGGCTCAAACTCCTGGGCTCAAGAGATCTTCCTGCCTCAGTGATAGTGGATGGTTTTGTTATTAGGCATACAAACATCAGAACTCTTTCTGACAACTTTCACACCACTAAACTTCTTTTAAGTTTCCCCATGGAAAAAAAAAAAAAAAAACATCACCAGGGCCAAGCATAGTGGCTCATGCCTGTAATCCCAGCACTTGGGAGGCTGAGGCGGGCAGATCACTTGAGGTCAGGAGTTCAAGACCAGCCTGGCCAACATGGTGAAACCTCATCTCTACTAAAAATACAAAAATTAGTCGGGTGTGGTGGTGTGTACCTGTAATCCCAGCTACTCAGGAGACTGAGGCAGGAGAATCACTTGAACCCGGAGGCGGAGGTTTCACTGAGCCAAGATCACACCACTGCACTCCAGATTGGGTGACAAAGCAAGACTCCGCTTAAAAAAAAAAAAAATCACCAAAATTCTAGAGGAGCTGCTCCCAGAACCTATACAAAGCAAGAGAATCCAAGCAGCAGATATAATCCCAAAGTGCTGGGATTACAGGTGTGAGCATCACACCTGGCCTATGGTTTAACTTTAAAGCAAAGATGATAACAACCCCTTCCCAAAACTAACCCACTCCTTGCTTGGGGACCGAAACCACCTGTATAAAACTAACAAACTGGCTGCAAGGTTAGAATTATGGTTCAGGAGTCATGTAGCTGGAGGTCACAAGATGTAACCTCCCCAATTGCTCCAATAGGTAACATCATTAAAACTGGTGTTTGAGGTATTTTTCAGACCTTGCATTCTAATGGACCAGCTGGAACCACCCAAACTGGTAACCTATACCAAGAAACTGACTCAACTAGTCCTGTGACCTCCACCCAGGAACTAACTCAGTGCAAGGAGACAGCTTCAACCCCCTGTGATTTCACCCCTGACTCAACCAACAAGCCTTCTCCATTCCCTAACCCCCTGCCTACCAAACTATCCCTGAAAATCCCTCCCCTCTAAATTCTCAGGGAGGCAGATTTGAGAATTATCTCTTGTCCTTCTCACTTGGCTGGCTCTGGGATTATTAACCTCTTTGATGCAACACCTGTTGTTCTCAGTGCATTGACTTTTCTAGGCAAAAAGAGATCATCAGGCTGTAGCATGCATATAGGTTTTTCCTAACTGATGCAAATGCACCCTTCTAATAATGGTTAAAGACTTCTTTGCTTAATCCACCAATAAAATAATTTGACAATTTATGTAATCTAAATGAATTCCTATAAATGTGAACCTCCTCACCCCTCTCAGGTGACACAGCCTCTAACTGCTACCTGGGCTACAACCCTCATTTTAGAGTAAATGCTTATTTGCCTCTGACCTGTTGATTCCTCTTTTTTTTTTTTAAGGGGTAATGAAATATTCAGAATAACACAGCAGTTAAAACAGGATATATAAGAAAATATATAGTCCTAAATGCAGAGGATCCTAAAAAAGAAACTCTGAAAGTTAATGAGCTAAGTACCCATCTCAATAAATTTTTAAAAAGAAGAAAATGAACTCAAGTATGAAGACGAAGGAACTAATAAAAAAGCAGAAAATAATGAGAATAGAAAACAGGTATAGATTTTTTTCCTACAGGAGGGAGGACAAGATGGCCAACTAGATGCAGCCAAGAAGTGCTGCTCCCACCAAGAGAGACCTAATTATCAAGTAAACCACCGTAATTTGGACAGATCTCTGGAGAGAAAAAGCCAAGAGTGGATGGAGAGGCAGCATTGATGCCAAGACTGAAGAGGAAGGAAGCTGGGAACCCTGCACAGGGGACCGGAATGCTAGGGCTAGTTCCACCCGGAAGGGCTCCTGGGAAAGAGGTGAGTGAGGAACAGCTCACTCTTGCCGTGGACATCTGGGATCCTAGCTACAGGGGACCTTGCATCACCCATGGACGTGTGATCTCCCTAGGGAACAGGAAGAGATAGGCCTTCAGATAGTGTGGAGCCTGGGAATTTTTGTGTGCTGGGCGGCTCCAGCAAAGAGCAGCCATAGACACCCATCTCCTAGGGCTCCCCATCCCCCTCCAGGAGACACTGGCTCCCACTGACTTCTAGCCTAGAAAGGATAGGGTCAGCTTCCCCATAGGAGTGGGGCAAGTCTGTTCCACAAGCCCTCCTGCCCTCCAGCCCCTCCCAGGGCCCATGCCCAGCTGCCCCAGAGGGGTGGGTACACAGTGCAGCCGCCACAGCCCAGCCTCAATGCATTGTTCCACCTGAGTACATTGCTGGCAAACCAGGAGCACATCGGACCTTTCAGCGCAGCCAGAATCCAACCCTAAGTCGTGGGACGTCAGGTGCTTCCAGAGCAGCTCGAGAATACAAAGCCAAGATCTGTGGCCCAAAATGGAGTGAGGTAGGAGCCCCCACTCTCAGTGCACTGAGACGGGCAAGACGCATAGGTTCCAGGGCTGGGTGGGAGCAGGATGTACCTCCCTCCACAAGGCCGGTCCAGAAGGGGTGTAACATATCTCCCTATCACAGGCTCTGGCCAAGGGGGCCCCCGTGACCCAAAACACCTAACAAAATAAACATGAGTGCTGTACTGGTAATCAGAGGGAACTCCCCCACGGCCCAGGAGCGGACCTGGTGAGGGGGCCGTCACTTCCTGCCAACCACACAGAGCAGGCCTGCAAACGTGAGGAGGTACAAAACTCATGTGCTGGCTGGGCGCGGTGGCTCACGCCTGTAATCCCAGCACTTTGGGAGGCCGAGGCAGGGGGATCACGAGGTCAGGAGATCGAGACCATCCTGGCTAACACGGTGAAACCCCGTCTCTACTAAAAAAATCAAAAAAATTAGCCGGGCGTGGTGGCGGGCGCCTGTAGTCCCAGCTACTCGGAAGGCTGAGGCAGGAGAATGGCGTGAACCTGGGAGGCAGAGCTTGCAGTGAGCCTAGATCGCGCCACTGCACTCCAGCCTGGGTGACAGAGCGAGAGAGACTCCGTCTCAAAAAAAAAAAAAAAAAAAAAAAAAACTCATGTGCCTGGGTATTAGCCTAGCTACTGGCCATTACTCTTAGGCGTCATCCACCGGATTGCAGCCCAAACTACGACAAGAAAAATTATCCTTCCAATATCTACCTGTGAAACCAAGCCCAAGAATTCACCCGCACATAAAGATCCTGTACAGTGCCCTGGCCTTCTGGAAGCATCCAGAAATGAAACCAACTAAATATACTCAATTTATGCCACAATTAAAGGAACATCAACCCTCCCATATGAAAAAAAAATCAGAGCAAGAACTCTAGCAATTCAAAAAGCCAGAGTATCCCCTTACCTCCAAATGAGTCCAATAACTCCCCAGCAATGGTTCTTAAGCAGTCTGAAATAACTGAAATGACAAACACAGAAACATAGAATTCAGAATCTGGATGGCAAGGAAGCTCATCAAGATTCAGGAGAAAGTTGAAACCCAATCCAAGGAATCCAGTAAAGCAATCCAAGAGGTAAAAATGAAATAGCTATTTTAAGAAAGGATCAAACTGAACTTCTAGAGCTGAAAAATTCACTACAATAATTTCATAATATAATGAAAAGTAGTAACAGCAGAATAGACCAAGCTGGAGAAAGAATTTCAGAGCTCAAAGACCAATTCCTTGAATCAACTAAGTAAGACAAAAATAAGAAAAAAGAATTAAGAAAAGTGAACAAAACCTCTGAGAAATATGGGATTATGTAAAGAGACCAAATCTCTCACTCATTGGCATTCCTGAGAGAGGAAAGAGAATAAGCAACTTGGAAAGTATATTTGAGGATACAGTCCATGAAAATTTCCCTAATCTTGATAGAGAAGTTGATGTGCAAGTCCAAGAAACACAGAGAACCCCAGATAGATACTATAAAAAATGGCAATCCCCAAGGTACATAGTCATCAGATTCGCCAAGGTCAACACAAAAGAAAAAATTTTAAAGGCAGCTAGAGAGAAGAGTCAAGTCACATACAGAGGGAATCCCATCAGGCTAGCAGCAGACTTCCCAGTAGAAACCCTACATGCCAGAAGAGAATGGGGGCCTATTTTCAGCATTGTTAAAGAAAAGAAATTCCAACCAAGAATTTCATATCTCGCCAAACTGAGCTTCATACATGAAAGAAAAATAAAATCCTTCTCAGACAAGTAAATGCTAAGAAAATTTGTTTCAACTAGCTAGATTAACAAAGAAAAATAAAAGAGAAGATCCAAATAAGTATAATCAGAAATGACAAAGATGACATTTTACAACTGATGCCACAGAAACACAAAAGATCCTCAGATAATACTATGAACAACTCTATGCACATAAATTAGAAAATCTAAAAGAATGGATAAATTCCTGGAAACACACAGCCTCCCAGGATTAAGTCAGGAAGAGACTGAAACCCTGAACAGACCAATATCAAGCTCTGAAATTGAATCAGTAATAAAAAAAAAAAACCTACCAACCAAAAAATTCCCTGGACCAGATGGATTCACAGACGAATTCTACCAGATATATAAAGAAGAACTGGTACCAATACTACTGAAACTATTCCAAAAAATCAAGGAAGAGAGACTTCTCCCTAACTCATTCTTTGAAGCCACCAACAGCATAATACCAAAATCTGGCAGTGATACAACAAAAAAAGAAAACATCAGGCCAATGTCTCTGATGAAAATAGATTCGAAAATCATTAACAAAATACTAGCAAACTGAATCCAGCTGCACATCAAAGAGTTAATTCACCACAATGGTGAGTTTTAACTAAACCAATGTGGTTTAGTTAAAGCCACAACCAAGCAGGCTTTATTCCTGAGATGCAAGGTTGATCCAACATACATAAATAAATAAATGTTATTAATCACATAAACATAATTAAAAGCAAAACTATATGATCAACTCAATAGACACAGAAAAATCTTTCAATAAAATCCAACATCACTTCATGATAGAAAAAAAAAAACCCTCAGCAGACTAGGCATCAAAGGAACATACCCCAAAATAGTAAGAGCCATCTATGACAAACCCACAGCCAACATCATGCTGAACAGGTAGAAGCTGGAACCATTCCCCTGAGAACTGGAACAGAATGAGGATGCCTACTCTCACTACTCCTATTCAACATAGTACTGGAAGTCCTAGCCAGAGCAACAGGCAAGAGAAAGAAATAAAAGACATCCCAATTGGAAAAGAAGTCAAACTATCTCTCTTTGCTGACGATTGAGTCTATCTTTAGAAAATCCTAGAGACTCTACCAAAAGGTTCCTGGAAATGACAGACAATTTTAGCGAGGTTTCAGGATACAAAACCAATGTACAAAAATCAGTAGCATTTCTGTACACCAATAATGCCCAGGCTGAGAGTTAAATCAAGAACACAATCCCATTTACAATAGCCACAAAGAAAGTTAAATACCTTGGAATATGGCTAACCAAGGAGGTGAAAGACTTCTGCAAGAAGACTACAAAACACTGCTAGAAGATATCAGAGACAGCACAAAAAAACATTCCGTGCTCACGGATTGGAAGAATCAATATCGTGAAAATGACCATACTGCCCAAAGCAATTTACAGATTGAAGGCTATTTCTATCAAACTACTAACATTCAGTCCAGGTGCGGTGGCTCACACCTGTAATCCCAGCACTTTGGGAAGCCGAGAGAGGTGGATCACCTGAGGTCAGGAATTCGAGACCAGCCTGACCAATATGGTGAAACCCCATCTCTACTAAAAATACAAAAATTAGCTGGGCGTGGTGGCATGTGCCTGTAGTCCCAGCTACTTGGGAGGCTGAGACAGGAGAATCACTTGAACCCAGGAGGCAGAGATTGCAGTGAGCCAAGATCACACCGCTGCACTCCAGCCTGGGCCACAGAGTGATACTCTGTCTCAAAAAAAAAGAAAAAAAAACCAACAAACTACTAACAGTCTTCACAGAATTAGAAGAAACTATTCTAAAATTCATATGGAAACCAAGAAAGAGCCCAAATAGTCAAAGCAATGCTAAGCAAAAAGAGTAAAGCTGGAGACATCACTGTACTCAACTTCAGCCTATACAATAAGGCTACAGCAACCAAAACAGCACTGTACTAATACAAAACAGATACATAAACAAATGGAACAGAAAAGAGAACTCAAAAATACAACTGCACACCTACAACCATCTTTTCTTCAACAAGGTTAACAAAAACAAGCCAAGGAGAAAGGAGTCACTCTTCAATAAATGGTGGTGAGATAACTGGCTAGCAGTATGCAGAAGAATGAAACCAGACCCTTACTTTTCACAATATATAAAAATTAACTCAAATGGATTAAAAATTTTAATGTAAGACCTTAGACTGTAAAAATCCTAAAAGAAAACCTAAGAGATACCATTTGTGGCACTGGCCTTGGAAAACAATTTTTGGCTGAGTTCCCAAAAACAATTGCCACAAAACCAAAAATTGACAAGTGGAACCTAATTAAACTAAAGAGCTTCTTCACAGCAAAAGAAACTATCAACAGATTAAACAGACAGCCTACAGAATAGCAGAGAATTTTTGCAAACTATGCACCTGACAAAGGTCTAATATCCTGCAGCTATAAGAAACTTAAATAAATTTACAAGAAAAAAACAAATAACCCCATTAAAAAGTGGGCAAAGGACATGAACAGACACTTCTCGAAAGAAGACATACAAGCAGGCAACAAACATGACAAAATGCTCATCATCACTAATCATCAAATAAATGCAAATCAAAACCAAAATGAGATACCATCTCACACCAGTCAGAATGCCTATTAATAAAAAGCCAAAAAAAATAACAGATGCTGGTGAGTTTGCAGAGAAAAAGGAATGCTTAAACACTGTTGGGAGTGTAAATTATTTCAACCATTATGGAAGACAGTGTGGCGATTCCTCAAAGACCTACAGACAGAAATACCATTCAACCCAGCAATCCCATTACTGGGTATATTACCCAAAGGAATATAAATTGTTCTGTCATAGAGACACATGCACGTGTATGTTCACTGTAGCACTATTCACAGCAGCAAAGACATGGAATCAACCTAAATTCCCACAATGATAGACTGGATAAAGAAAATGTGGTACATATTCACCATGGAGTACCATGCAGCCATAAAAACAAATGAAATCATGTCCTTTGCAGGGTCATGGATGGAGCTGGAGGCCATTATCCTTAGCAAACTAATGCAGGAACAGAAAACAAAATATCATATGTTCTCATTCATAAGTAGATGCTAAATAATGAAAACACATGGCCACATAGAGAAGAACAACACACACTGGGGCCTATTGGAGGGTGAAGGGTGGAGGGTGGAGGGTGGGAGGAGGTAGAGGATCAGAAAAAATAACTAATGATTACTACACTTAATATCTGGGTGGTGAAATAAGCTGTACAACAAACCTCCATGACACAAGTTTACCTATACAACAAACCTGCACACGTAGCCCTGAACTTAAAGGTTAAAAAGAAACCAGGGCCAGGCATGGTGGCATGTACCTGTAATCCCAGCACTTAGGGAGGCCGAGGCAGGCAGATCATCTGAGGTCAGGGGTTCGAGACCAGCCTGGCCGACATAGCGAAACCCTGTCTCCACTAAAAATACAAAAATTAGCCAGGCATTGTGGCTTTCACCTCTAATCCCAGCTACTCAGGAGACTGGGGCAGGAGAATCACTTGAACCTGGGAGACGGAGTTTGAAGTAAGCCAAGATCATGCCGTTGCACTCCAGACTGGGCGACAGAGCAAGACTATGTCTCAAAAAAAAAAAAGAAAAGAAACCAGAATAGTCTTATAAACATTAAATAAATTCAGCTAGTAATTAAAATCCTTCTTCAAAATAAATTCCAGTAAATTCTATTATATCAAATAATTAAGAAATGAATAGTTTTAGTATTATATAAAATATCCAACAAAAAAAGAAAAAGGTTGATTTTCAAACCCTTTTTATGAGATTAGCCTAGCAATGATACCATGATCTCAGGACATTTCAAAGGCTATAAGAAAAAATGGAAACCACAGGTCAATCTCATTAGTGAACATTATTACAAAAGTCCTAAATTAAAAACTAACAAACCAAATCCATCAATAAATGAAAAGAGTAACATGTAATGACACTGTTGGATTTGCTCCAGAAATGCAATCTTTATTTAACATAGTGTGATATTGTGGTAAAATAAGAAATATATATATATTTGGTCTCAGTCTCTTTTTTTATTTTTTGGTCTCAGTCTCCAGTTGCTGGCTCACAGCTCCTAAAATCCTTGGAATCTCTGGAGTTATAAGTGTATCTTTTGTATGCTAACAAGGCATGATTAGAGAGTTGGGACTTTCAACCCCACCCCCCAACCTCCAGGGAGGGGAGAGGAACTGAAGAATGAGTTGATCACCAATGTTTGTACAGAGGCTTCATTAGTAGTCACGAATGATTACATCATAATATACAGTTATGCCTATGTAACAAAGGTAATGAAGCCTCCATAAAACCCAAAAGGAAATATTCAGAGATTCCAGGTTGGTGAACGATGAGGACTAAGTTCTGATTTTTTAATCTTGCCCACATTTCTACCTAAGGAGTCTAGGGAATCATGTCCTACAAACTATAAATTCTCATCAGATGGGTTTTATTTGACCCTATATATTGTGACTTACTTTTCAGTCTGACTCTGGCATAACATTATGAGACAAGGAAAAAATATTTAACCCCAAAATATATTTCCTTGCCATACCTTGAAATTGCCCTGCAAAGTTTCTTGTGGGAAAAATCCACATTCTATAGAGAATCCCCTTTCCCCTTTGTTTTTCTTCCTTCCTTTCCAGATCCAGGAGATAATCAACTAAGAGCCAGGCACCCTTTTAAGTCCCAACATTTTACAACCTGCTCTCTCTGAAGTCCGCTGAGAGCTTCCTCTGTAAAATAAAACTTGGTCTCCACAATTATTTATCTTAACCTGAACATTTCCTTTGATCCCAGGTCTTCAGATAAACTCAACCAATTGTCAATCAGAAAATGTTTAAATTTACCTATAGCCTGGAAGCCCCCTCCACCCTGCCCTCTTTGAGTTGTCCCACTTTTCTGAACTAAAACAATAATTTCTTAAATGTATTTGATTGATGTCTCATGCCTCCCTAAAATATATAAAACCAAGCTGTACCCCGACAACCTTGGGTACATGTTCTCAGGACCCCCTGAGGGCTGTGTCACAGGCCATGGTCACTCATATTCGGCTCAGAATAAATCTCTTAAAATATTTTACAGAGTTTGACTCTTTTCATCAACAACAAGAACACATCCACTTGCTGAGTGAGTGGCACCCCCCAACTCCACTGGACAGAAGCTCCTGCACTTGCGACTCTTCCATGACTCAACCTACGTATCTCCTCATCTGGTTACTCATTTGTATCCTTTAAAATATCCCTTGTAATAAATGGCCAAATGAAAGTAAAATGTTTCCCTGAGTTCTGAGCTGCTCTAGCAAATTAATAAAAAACTAGGAGGGGGTTGTGGGAGCCCCCAATTTATGGCCAGTCATGTAACCACAGGACCATCCAAATGGCCCTACTTTATTGATAACAAAATGTCAAGTTGCCTTGTATGTATAACAGCCAAAACCGTGAATCGTGTAGTCTGGGCATATGGAATAGAAAAGCTTTGACATCTAACAACACTCAGAACCAATGTTTCCTCCCCATGGAACCAAGAACACCAGAGCATTACCAGAACTTGAATACTGGAACCCTTTCAGA
Source organism: Homo sapiens (assembly GCF_000001405.40). Taxonomy (NCBI): domain Eukaryota; kingdom Metazoa; phylum Chordata; class Mammalia; order Primates; family Hominidae; genus Homo; species Homo sapiens. The sequence continues at coordinate 48,594,207 of NC_000012.12, forward strand.
AGTGAGGGGTCTGTTGGCCAGGAATATCCAGACCTAAAATCCACCTAAACATACCTTATCATAAATGGTCAAATTTGAAGCCCTGCAATCAGACCCTGCCAAGCCAACATTCCTCATACTTTTCCTTTGCCCTCCAACCACTTAGGACTTTCCCCAGTCCCCAAATCAAGGACACAAATTTGAGCTGCACTTCCTATCTCCTTGCTGGTTGGCCTTCAATAAAGCCTTTCTTTTCTCAAAAGCTGGTGTTATAGCATCGGCTTCTATGCATGTCAGAAAACGAGCCTGTTCACTTAGTAACAGTCAAAAGTATAGATGACAACCTATTACATATGATTAGCATCTGAAGGAGATGGGGAGTCTCATGGGACTGTACCCTCAACCAGTGGGATCATGATGCCACCTCTGGGTAGAGCATGTCAGAATTGAGGTAAGTTAGAGGCTGCGTGCAGTGGCTCATGCCTGTAATCCCAGCACTTTGGGAGGCCAAAGCAGGTAGATCACTTGAGGTCGGGAGTTCAAGACCAGCCTGGCCAGCGTGATGAAACCCTGTCTCTGCTAAAAATACAAAAAATTAGCCAGGTATAGTAGTGCATGCCTGTAGTCCCAGCTACTTGAGAGGCTGAGGCTGGAGAATTGTTTGAACCCAAGAGGTGGAGGCTGCAGCAAGCTGAGATCACACCACTGCACTCCAATCCAGGCAAAAAAGCGAGACTCTGTCTCGAATTTTAAAAAATAAAGAGGGTCTTGCTCTGTTGCCCAGGCTGGAGTGCAGTGGTGCGATCTCAGCTCAGTGCAACCTCCGCTTCCCAGGTTCAAGCAATTGTCCTGCCTCAGCCTCCTTAGTAGCTGGGATTACAGACACATGCCACCATGCCTGGCTAATTTTTGTATTTTTAGTAGAGATGGGGTTTCACCATGTTGGTCAGGTTGGTCTCGAACTCCCAACCTTGTGATCCATCCGCCTTGGCCTCCCAAAGTGCTGGGATTACAGATGTGAGCCACCATGCCCTGCAAAATTCCCAACAGTTTTTTAATGAAATATGACAATATATTTATAAAATTAAACAAATGCATTAGCCAAGAACATCATTGAAGAACAAAGTAAGAATTCTTGCTCTATCAAATATCAAGACTTAATATAAAGAAATAGTAATTAAAACATGTTAATGATGCAAGTATGGACTAATAACAGACCAATGGAATAACATAGGATAAAAAAGAAACAGACCTACATGTATTTAGACCCTTGAGTTATGATTAAAAATGACAACGAAGAACAGTGGGGAAAGAGTAGACTTTTCAATTAATCATTCTGGAAAATACAAAAATCATATGGGAAACAAAAAGATGTAATCCTTACCTCACAACATCCACACAAATCCATTCCAAATAGATTATAGAACTAAACAGAAAGCAAAATATACTGTTTAGATGAGGCTGGGCACAATAGCTCACACCTGTAGTCTCAGCATCTTGGGAGAATGAAGCAGGCAGATCACTTTAGCTCAGGAGTTCGAGACCAGCCCGGACAACATGGCAAAACCCCATGACTACAAAAAATTAAAAAATTAGCCAGGTATAGTGGCACACCCATGTAGTCCCAGGTAGTTGAGAGGCTGTCATGGGAGGATCCCTTGAGCCTGGGAGGTCAAGGCTACAGTGAGCAGAGATTATACCACTGCACGCCAGCCTGAGCAACAGAGCAAGACCCTGTCTCAAAAAAAAAAAAACAAAGATTTTTAAAAATTGGGGTGCTTTGGAAGGCTGAGGAGGGCAGATCACGAGGTCAGGAGATCGAGACCAGCCTGGCCAATATGTTGAAAACCTGTCTGTACTAAAAATACAAAAATTAGCCAGGCATGGTGGTGGGTGCCTGTAGCCCCAGCTACTTGGGAGGATGAGGCAGGAGAATCACTTGAACCTGGAAGGCGGAGGTTGCAGTGAGCCGAGATCATGCCACTGCACTCCAGCCCAGGCAACAGAGTAAGACTCCATCTCAAAAAAAAAAAAAAAATTGACTGGTTGTGGCGGCTCATGCCTGTAATCCCAGCACTTCGGGAGGCCGTGGCAAGCAGATCACGAGGTCAGGAGTTCGAGACCAGTCTTGCCAACATAGTAAAACCCTGTCTCTACTAAAAACACAAAAAATTAGCCAGTGTGGCAGTATGCGCCTATAATCCCAGCTACTAGGGAGGCTGAGGCAAGAGAATCGCGTGAACCTGGGAGGTGAAGGTTGCAGTGAGCCGAGATCACACCACTGCACTCGAGCCTAGGTGACAGAACGAGACTCCATCTCAAAAAAAAAAGGTTAAAATATAGAAAGATATCTTTATTATTTCAGAATAAGCAAAAATTTCTTTAAAACACCACCAAAAGAAAACACTAGCCATAAAGAAAAATAAAAATAAATTAATCACATTAAAATATTAATTTTGTTCTATAAAAGGTACTAAAGAAGAGCAAGCCACAAAGTGAAGAGAGACATTTGTAACACATATAATGACTAAGAATTTGTATACTTGGTATCTAGAATATATAAAGAACTCATGTGAATCCTTACTCAAAGTTCCATAAAAATGGTCAAAAGCTTGAACCAGAACTTCACAAAGAAGAAGTTCAAGTGGCAATAAAAATATGAGAGGGAATTCAACCTCATTAGTAATCAGGGAAATGTAAATTAAAACCTCAATGTGTTACCACTATGCATCCATAAGATCAGCCAAAAATTTTAAAGTCTGACAAAACTAACATAATGAGGACTTTCATAAACTGCTGATAGGAGTGAAACTGGTGCAACCACTTTAGAAAACATTTGGCAAATATGAAGATATGCAAGTCCTAGGACTCAGCAATTCCACTCCCACATATGCACACTAGAGAAACTCATGCATATGCCCCAGGATAATTGTAAAAAAAAAACTGTTCATAGATGCATTGCTGATAATCCCCAAACCTAATAACCTATTAACCCATTAATATTAACAAATGTCCATTAAGACTATAATAGATAAATTTTGGTACAAGTCCTACAATAGAATATAGCACCAAAATGAACAACAGGCAGCTACACAGGTCACTGATGTATCTTAAAAACATAATATTGAATAAAATAACCCAAGCCAAAAAAGAAAGCATACAGAAAGATTCCAGTTAAGATTAAAAGCAAGAAAAACAAATTATATTTTTATGGATGCATAGTTAAGTGGTACCTTGTAAAGAAATGTAAAGAAGTAATGATTATCTCTAGGCATGGAGAGTTGCAATCAAAAAGGGCTTTCTGGAGGTGTGGCTATACTCCATTAAGTGGCCTGAGAATTTGGGGGCCCATGTGGGATTCCCATTCTCCTCTGGGGAAGGGTCTCTGGTCCCTCTCATAAGGAGACACACCCCGCTGCCTTGTTGCAGTGGCCGCTGGGGCTAGGGATTGAGACCCACCTGGTGTGATGAATAAACCTGGACTCTCAGGAACACAGAAGGAAAAGGCCTACAGATACCACGGTGACCAGGTAACTGTGCACAGACCAATGTGAAAAAAGCTGTGGGGGCGGTGAAGTATTTCCTTGGTGGTCAGGATATCCTTGAGGTTGAAAGTGTGTGAATGAGAGGCACAACTGAGTGCGAAGCGAGTCCAGAGTCTGGATCTGTGGTTCCATGCTCTCCTCATATGACTTATGGCGGTTTGCCTGTTGTGGGGTTTGTACTGACCCATCAGTGCTAAGAGGGACCTGAAAATTCCCGTGAGGGAAGTGGCCAGAGAAGGACAAAGCAAAAGCTGAAGAGTGTGAGAAATCTCCAGTGGGGGGGTTGAGTCTCTAGAGAAAGAGTGCAAGAAATCTCCAGTAATGGGAGTTGAGCCTCTAAGGAAAAGGGTGCAAGAAATCTCTAGCAAGAGAGGTTGAGCCCTGCAAACTCACTTGGGTGCAAGAAATCTCTAGTAAGTGAGGTTGAGCCCCACAGATTCAGAAAGACACCTCCTCCAGGATGGGAAATACACCAAGTAAGACAAAAGATAAGAAAGATTGTAAAAATAATGTACCCTCTGATAGTCCCCTAGGCTTAATGTTAGAATATTGGAAGGATAATTAAAGGATCAAACACAAGAAAAATACAGCAAATGATAAAATACTGCTGTTTCATTTGGACCAGGAAAGCTATCCTTAAACACCCAGTTTTCTGGCCAAAATTTGGATCTGATGAAGACTGGTTCTGTCAACTTTTAATAGAATATGTCAATAACAAAAGTTCAGTCTCCCAAGAAGAGATAGACTATGCCTTGTGCTGGTGACAGGGACCTGTCCTTCTCTACCCGAAGATAGACACAAGCCAGAGAATGCTTCCCCTAAGGAAGCTGAAACTCTTACCTGCAAGCAATCTACACCTTGGGACACACTAGACCATCTTCCCCCACCAAATCTCCCTAACTTTCCTCTCCCTCAAGCAGCTGCTACCCCAGACCCTTTCTCTACTCATGTTATTCCTCCCCTTTATAATCCTGAGTGCCATCCCTTCAGAGGACTTCAATGTGAGATAGAGCAGTGCAAAAAGGATATCCAAAATTTCCCTTTCCCCAGTACCTCCAAGGAGTCTGCTCCAACTCTCTTTCCCTTGAGGGAAGTACCCCTCAGAAGAGGAGGCATTGGTTTTGTAAATGCTCCATTAACTAGTTCAGAGATCTGAAACCTGAAAAAAGATCTTAAGCTGCTCTTGGATGACCCCCATGGAGTGGCCAATCAAGCTGATCAGTTTTTAGGACCCCAGTTATATACTTGGGCTGAGTTAATGTCCATCTTAGGTATCTTATTCTCAGGAGAAGAAAGCAGCATGATACACGGGGCCTCTATGACCATTTGGGACCATGAACACCCTCCCAGTCCAAACATCCCAGCAGCTGAACAAAAATTCCCAGCCCAAGATTTTCAATGGGATAACAACAATATAGCCCATTGAGGAAATACAAAAGATCTTAGAGAGATAATAATAAAAGGGATTCGAGAATCAGTACCCCATGCCCAAAATCTTACCAAGGCCTTTAATATACAATAGGGAAAAGATGAAGGACTGATAGAATTCTTAGAAAGGCTCGAGGAGCAAATGAGAAAATACGCTGGCCTAGAATCAGAAGACCCCCTCGGACAGGGAATATTAAGGCTCTACTCTGTCACCAACAACTGGCCAGACATTACAAAGAAATTACAAAAAATAGAAAACTGGAGGCCAGGCATGATTGGTCACTTTAAAAGACAATGTCCCCAATGGGAAAAAGAAGAGAAAGTCATCCCACTTATGGCTTTCAATGAAGACTAGGGAAATCAGGGGCTCTATCTTTTTTATCTCGAGTCCCACAAAGAGCCCTTGATAAATTTAGAGGTGAGACCTAAACCTGAACTTGTTACCTTTTCAATCAATTCAGGAGCAGCTCGCTCCTCAGTTTGTTATATTCCATCCAGTATAACTTGTTCACAAGAACTTTTTATCTCAGGGGTAAGAGGGGAAGGATTTAAAGCAAAAAATTTAGAGGAGACAAAACTTAAATATAAAAACCGATCAGCTAATATTAAATTTCTGTTAATTCCAGAAGCAGGGACAAGCCTATTAGGAAGAGATTTAATGCTAGAGTTGGGCTTACGTCTGCAAGTTAATCATGGAAAATTTATCCCCTCCCTAAACTTACTCACCACCACAGATGAGGAACACATTCACCCAGAAGTATGGTCAAAAGACAGGAATCAAGGAAAGTTACAAATCTCTCTGATTCATGTTAAATTAAAAACCCCTGGGGAAGTAGTAAACAGAAAGCAATACCTATTCCCTTAGAAGCCAGGATAAATTTAAAACCTGTCATTGAAGGTCTTCTCCGTGATGGGCTTCTCGAACCTTGTATGTCCTCCTATAACACTCCAATACTGCCAGTAAAGAAGCCAGAAGGGTCATACTGGTTACCATGAGACCTTCAAGCTATTAATCAGATAGTCCAAATTACACATCCTGTTATTTCCAACCCTTACACTATTATCAGTAGGAAGGCTAAAGCAGGTTTAACCCTCTTATTCTGTATTTCTTTCCTCCCCATCTCTATCACTAGTCCCTTATTATTAATGTAACCAAGTCAAGCTCACCCCTATTACCTTTCACACTTGCCTTGTTATACCCTGTGGAGATTTGTCAAGTCAAAGGCAACTCTCCACCTCAGAAAAGTATCTCTGTCCTTCCTGGCTCCCCTCGGATTGGGCATTTATTAACTGGGATAAGCTAGTTTGGGAAAATTGTGATGAAGATTCCAGTGTGAACTGGGAATCTTGTCCTCCTAGAGCAGAGCTTCTCTGCCGAAGTTGGTCCAATGTTCTATGGAATACTAAAGAGCAAGTAGGGACCACCTCAACTAGTACTTGCAGTTTCCTAAAACCATATATTCATTTTGCTAAAGGAGTTACTCCTCCCAATTGTCAGCTGAACCAATGTAATCCAGTACAGATTACCATCTCTGCTCCCCAGAGTTCTTTCCCTTCATTAAGCCGTTTCTATTGTATAGGAGCAGAAGTCTCAGGGAACGACTCCATAGGATCCTTTGAAATATGCTTCATTGCTTCCCCACCTCCTGCACCCCCTTCTCCCTCTCCTAAATTCTCCTCTAACCAAACCTTTTTTTGTTATATACTCAGTGATAAAACCAAAGTAGTTGTTGTAGGGGTTAAAGATTTAGAACAAACTATAGCAATTGAAACAGGGTATCAAGATGCAAATGCGTGGCTGGAATGGATTAAATATTCTGTTCACATGCTAAACAAAAGCAACTGTTACGCTTGTATGACAGGCAGGCCAGAGACCCAAATTGTCCCCTTTCCACTTGGGTGGTCTTCTCACGGACTGGGCATGAGCTGCATTGTAGCTCTCTTTCAAAACCCCACTGCCTGGGGCGATGAGTCATGCAAGACTCTCTCACTGCTATTCTCAGAAGCCAAAGGCCCTGCAAGTCATCCTCTGAGAACCATCTGGCCTCCCACTTCTGATGTTAATTTCACCTTGTGTCTCGCAAGACAAGGGGAAAATTTAATGTCCCTCAGAAACCTAACTGGGTGCAGTGAAACTAAGCCCTTCCAAGAGCTTACCCATCAGTCTGCCCTGGTTCATCCCCGAACAGACGTATGGTGGTACTGCGGTGGACCACTACTGGGTACTCTGCCCAGTAACTGGAGTGGCACTTTCGCTCTAGTCCAGTTGGCCATCCCTTTCACCCTAGCATCTCGTCAACACAATAAGAGAGATAATCGGAAAAAAAGAAGTGCCCCTCACAGGTCTTTTGACTCACATGTATATATAGATGCTATTGGAGTTCTGCAAGAAGTGCCAGATGAATTTAAAGCCCGAAACCAAATAGCTGCAAGGTTTGAGTCAGCATGGTTCTGGTGGTCAACTATAAATGAAAATGTAAATTAGATAAATTACATCTACTATAATCAGCAGCGATTTGTCAATTATACAAGAGATACCATTAAAGGAATAGCTGAACAATCAGGCTCCACCAGCCAGGTGGCTTGGGAAAATAGGGTAACCCTTGATATGATGTTAGCAGAGAAAGGCGGAGTCTGTGTTATGATCAGAGTTCAACACTGCACTTTTATTCCTAATAACACAGCCCCCAGAGGAACAATAAAAAAAAAGCCCTACAAGGCCTTACCTCCCTATCAAATGAGTTAGCCAAAAATTCTGGAATAAATGACCCCTTTACAAGCCTCATGGAAAAATGGTTTGGGAAATGGAAAGGAATTATGACCTCAATATTCACCTCCCTTGTAATTGTTATAGGCGTGCTCATTCTTGTAGGATGCTGTATCATACCCTGTATTTGCGGTTTAGTGTGAAGACTTATAGAAACAGCTCTCACCAAAACCTCCTTTAGTTCTCCCCCACCCTATTCTGATAAACTCTTCCTTCTAGATACCCAAGAAGAACAACAGAGCCGGGGTATGCTGAGATGTTTTGAAGAGGAAAAGCTATAAAATCAGAGGGGGAAACTGTCAAAAATGATAAATTCCTCTTCAAAAGGCTTTAGTTCCTTGTCCTTTGTTTTTAAGACACATGCTGTAACATGGGTTTCTAGTTACCCATGTTTCTAGTTACCCATGCTGTAAACAACTCTTCCCATCCTTGCCACACCCTGACATGCCCAGACATGCCTCACACCATAATAGATAGCCTCCCTCTTCCCACCTAGTTAGCTGTATTCAATTTCAATCATTAACCAATCAGGTTAGCTTAGATTGTGCTGTTCAACTCCAGCCAATGGGGAAAGAACACAGCAGTAGGGACTGATTGCATTAGGGATAAAAACCCCTGCCCCACCACACTCGGTGTGCTCTTGCAATTGTGACTGGCACAAGCTGCACCCTTCTGCAGAAGTAAATTTGCCTTGCTGAGGAATTTTCTGCCTACATGTTGGTTTTCTTTGCAGCACCAAGCACTTGTTTCTAACAAGGATTTTAACCTCCATGTTAAAGGCCTTCTTAAATTCTTATAAAGACCACATAGAGTGTCAGTTTTACATGTTTTTCTCCTATAACTTTCTTTGATTACACCAGCCCTTTAGAAGGAATATTGGAAATACTCATCCAGTCTTACATGGACAGTGTTGTGAATAATAAAAAGGTATTAACATGAAAGTTCTTACCCAAGTCAACCTTCCCATAATGCCTGTAGAAAGGGAGCACAGTCCAAATGAGGGAAGTAGCCTGGAAATTCCAGGCTAGAGCCATCAGAGGGGTGAATCAGGACCCAAGTTAGAGACGGAGACGGTGGAGACAGCACCTGGAACAAAGGAAAAACTTCTGAAAACACAACTGTAGAGGAAGGTAAGATAAAACTCTCTCTTTCTTACTCTAGTCAAGAAGAAAAGCCTGATCTTTGGAGGTAGATGGGGGTACAGGTGAACACTTGTATTAAGAAGACTCAAACTGTGATGGATATATGTCAGAATTTATGGAAAAGAGATTATCAGGCCACTAGCTGGAAAGCAAGAGAGGCCACCAAAGTATGGGGCAAGCATTGGAAAATCAGTACCAGGACCCACAGGTTGGGTCAGAAATAGGTAAGAAAGAGAGATCAAAACCCAAAAGAGAGGTAGGGATGAATGGCAAGTAATAACACGTTAGAATTCAGACAAGGTTGGAAACAGGGTAGAACATTACAAAAGTCAAGAGTCTCTGTGCATTTGCTCTTTGTGAGCACCTCTGGAGACAATAACGTGGGTTCCTACTCTTGAAGAAGTTCTTGCTACTTCTTAGTTAACAATCTTGGGGGCTCTGACAGTTCAAGCTTTCCTCAATCCAGGATGACTTTACCACATATATTTTAACACTGTTATTGAGAGAAAATTTGCATATAATTATATTGTACCTACCTTAAGTGTCCAATTTGACAAGTTTTGATAAATATGTACACCCATATAACACCATAATCATGATGTGGAACATTTCCATCTCTCCAAAAAATTCTTTCATATTTCTTAGCAGTCACTGCATTCTCTCCTGCACAGGGTAGCCTCTGATCTTTTTTTAATTTGTTTGCTTGTTTTGTTTTGTTGTTTTGTTTTTTAACTTTTAAGTTGAGGGGTACATGCACAGGTTTGTTACATAGGTGATCTTTTGTCTGGGGGGGTTTGTTATACAGATTATTTCAGTGTGTGTTGTTCCCCTCTATGTGTCCATGTGTTCTCATTATTTAGCTTCCACTTATAAGTGAGAACATGCATATTTGGTTTTCTGTTCATGTATTAGTTTGTGTGATGGTTAATACTGAGTGTCAACTTGATTGGATTGAAGGATACAAAGTATTGGTCCTAGGTCTGTATCTGTGAGGGTGTTGCCAAAGGAGATTAACGTGTGAGTCAGTGGGCTGGGAAAGGCAGACCCACCCTCAATCTGGGTGGGCACAATGTAATCAGCTGCCAGTGCTGCTAGAATATAAGCAGGCAGAAAAAATGTGAAAAGAGAGACTGGCCCAGCCTTACAGCCTACATCTTTTTCCTGTGCTGGAGGCTTCCTGCCCTTAAACATCAGACTCCAAGTTCTTCCATTTTGGAACTCAGACTGGCTCTCCTTGCTCTTCAGCCTGCAGATGGCCTATTATGGGACCTTGTGATTGTGTGAGTTAATACTTAATAAGCTCCCCTTTATCGATATAGATATAGATATAAATATAGATATAGATATTCCATTAGTTCTGTCTCACTAGAGAAACTTGAGTAATAGTTTGCTAAGGTTAATGGCCTCCAGCTCCATCCATGTCCCTGCAAAAGACATGATCTCATTCTTTTTTATGGTTGCATAGTATTCCATGATGAATATGTACCACATTTTCTTTATCCAGTCTGTCATTGATGGGCATTTAGGTTGATTCCATGTCTTTGCTATTGCAAATAGTGCTGCAATGGACATACATGTGCATGTGTCTTTAAAATAGAACAATTTGGCCAGGCACAGTGGCTCATGCCTGTAATCCCAGCACGTTGGGAGGCCAAGACGGGCAGATCACCTGAGATCAGGAGTTCAAGACCAGCCTGACCAACATGGTGAAACCACGTCACTACTAAAAATACAAAATTGGTCGGGCGTGGTGGCTCACACCTGTAATCCCAGCACTTTGGGAGGCCGAGGCGGGTGGATCACCTGAGGTCAGGGGTTAACAACCAGCCTGGCCAACATGGTGAAACCTCGTCTCTACTAAAAATACAAAAAAAATCCCAGGATTGAGCAATCCTTCCACCTTAGCCTCCCAAGTAGCTGGGACTACGGGTGCACACCACCATGCCCAGCCAATTTTTTTATTTTTTGTAAAGACAGGGTTTCACCATGTTGCCCAGGCTGGTCTTGAACTCCTGAGCTTACGTGATCTGCCCAACTCAGCTTCCCAAAGTGCTGGGATTACAGGCATGAGCCATCATTCCTGGCCAATATTTTGATTAATATAGTTTGTTAGTCTGTTCTTGCACTGCTATAAATAAATACCTAAGACTGGGTAATTTATAAAGAAAAGAAGTTTAATTGGCTCACAGCTCCACAAACTTCACAGTTCCACAGTTCCACAGACTTCACAGTTCCACAGGAAGCATGATGCTGGCAACTGCTCAACTTCTGGGGAAGCCTCAGGTAACCTACAAACATGGCAGAAGGCAAAGGGGGAGCAAGTACTTCACATGGCCAGAGCAGAAGGAAGAGAGAGAGGAGGGAAGTACTACACACTTTTAAATGACCAGATCTCATAAAAATTCTCTCACTATGACAGCACCAAGGGGGAGAGTGTTAAACCATGAGAAACTGCCTGCGTGATCCAATCACCTCCCACTAGGCCCCACTTTCAACACTGAGGATTACAATTCAACATGAGATTTGGTGGGGACACAGATCCATACCATATAGTTCTGCCTCTGGCCCCTCCAAATGTCATGTCCTTCTCATGTTGTAAAATACAATCATCCCTTCTCAACAGTCCCCTAAAGTCTTAAATCATTCCAACATTAACTCAGAAGTCCAAAGTCCGAAGTCCAAAGTCTCATCTGAGACAAGGTAAGTCTTTTCCACCTATAAGCCCATAAAATAAAAAATAATTTAGTTACTTCCAAGATACAATGGGGATACAGGCATTGGGTAAGTACTCCCATTTCAAAAGGGAGAAATCAACCAAAAGAAAGGGGCTACAGGCCCCATGCAAGTCTGAAACCCAGCAGGGCAGTCATTAAATATTAAAGCTCCAAAATAATATCTTTTGACTCCATGTCTCACATCCAGGGCACGCTGATACAAAGGGTGGGCTCCCAAGGCCTTGAGCAGCTCTGCCCTGTGGCTTTGCAGAGGTTATCCCCTACATCTCCTCTCATGGGCTGGCATTGAGTATCTATGGCTCTTCCAGGCTGAGAGTGCAAGCTGCCAGTGGATCTACCATTCTGGGGTCTGGAGTATGGTAGCCCTCTTCTCACAGCTCCAATAGGCAGTGTCCCAGTGGAGACTCTGTGTGGGGACTTCAACCTGAAAATTTCCCCTCTGCACTGCCCTAGTAAAGTTCTCTATGAAGGCTCTGCCCCTGCAGCAGGCTTCTGCCTGGATATCCAGGCTTTTCCATACATCCTCTGCAATCTAGGCCGAGGCTCCCAAGCCTCAACTTGCACTCTATGCACCTGCAGGCTTAACATCATATGGGAGTTGCCAAGGCTTACAGCTTGCACCCCCTGAAGCAGCAACCTGAGCTGTACCTGGGTGCCTTTGAGCCATAACTGGAGCTGGAGTGGCTGGGATGGAGGGTGCAGTATCCCAAGGTTGCACAGGGCAGTGGGACCCTGGACCTGGCCCATGAAACCATTCTTCTCTCTTAGGCCTCCAAACCTCTCAAGGGAGGGGCCACTGCGAAGGTCTCTGAAATGCCGTGAAGGACTTTTCCCCATTTCCTTGGCTTTCAACATTTGCCTTCCTTTCAGTTATGCAAATTCCTCCCCAGAAAGTAGGCTTTTCTTTTCTACCACATGGCCAGGCTGCAAATTTTCCAGGCTTTAACACTCTGCTTCCCTTTTAAATATAAGTTCCAGTTTCACGTCATTTCCTTGCTCACACACATGAGCATAGGCTTTTAGAAGCAGCCAGACCAAATCTTGAGTGGTTTGCTGCTTAGAATTTTCTTCTGCCAGATACCATAGATCATCAATCTCAGATTCAAAGTTTCACAGATCCTTAGAGCAGGGGCAAAATGCTGCCAGGTTATTTGTTAACACATAACAAAAGTGACCTTTGCTCCAGTTCCCAGTAAGTTCCTCATCTCCACCTGAGACCTCATCAACCTGAACTTTATTGTCCATATCACTATCAGCATTGGGTCACAATCATTTAACCAGTCTCTAGGGAGTTTCAAATTTCAATCATCTTTCTGTCTTCTTCTGAGCCCTCCACACTCTTCCAACCTCTGCTCATTAACCAGTTCCAAAGTCACTTCCACATTTTCAGGTATCTTCATGGCAATGCCCCACTTCTCAGTACCAATTTTCTGTATTGGTTCATTCTCACATTGCTATAAAGAAATACCTAAGAATGGGTAATTTATAAAGAAAAGAGGTTTAATAGGCTCACAGTTCCACAGACTGTCCAGGAAGCATGATGCTGGCATCTGCTCAACTTCTGGGGAGGTCTCAGGAAACCTACAAGTATGGCAGAAGGCAAAGGGGGAGTGAACACTTCACATTGCTGGAGCAGAAGGAAGAGAGAGAGGGAGGAGGTTTAAATGACAAGATCTCATGAGAACTCACTCACTATGACAGCACCAAGGGGGATGGCATTAAACCATGAGAAACCACCACCATGATCCAATCACCTCCCACCTTCAACACTGAGGATTTCAATTTGACACGAGATTTGGTGGGGACATAGATCCAACCCATGTCATATAGCCTGAGAATAAGTCTAGAAATCGAATACTGTAGTTATCCAACTTTGTTTTCTTTTTCAAAATATTTCTAGTTATGCAAGACACTTTGATTTCCATGTAAGTTTTAGGATTCTCTTGCTAATTTTTACCCAAAAAAAGCCCAATGAATTTTTTATTTGAGGTTATATTAAATATATAGATCTATTTGTGGAGAATTGACTTAACAATATTGAGTCTTCCAATCCATTAACATGGTATGTTTCTCCATTTATTTAGGCCTTCTTTTCTTCAACTTTATTTTATATTAAGGGGGTATATGTGCAGATTTGTTACTTGGGTGTATTGCATGATATTAAGGTTTGGGGTATAAATAATCCCATCACCCAGGTACTGAGCATAGTACCCAATAGTTAGTTTTTCAACTCCTGCCCCCTTTCCTTCCTTCCCCCTCTAGTAGTCCTCAGTTTCCATTGTTGTCTTTATGTCCATGAGTACCCAATGTTTAGCTCTCACTTATAAGTGAGAACATGTGGTATTTGATTTTCTGTTCCTGCATCAATTCACTTTAGATAAGGTAGGCCTTCTTTAATGTCAATGTTTTGTCATTTCCAGTGTATAACTCTTACCCACATTTTGTTATATTTATCCATGTGATATTACGCTATTTTAAATAACTTTAAATTTTATTGTACAGTTGTTTTTGCCAGTTAATAGACATAAAGTTAATTTCTGTATATTTACCTTATATTCTGCAACATTCAAAACTCTTCTAGTTCTGGTATGTATTTGTAGCTTCCTTAGTATTTTCTATATACACGATCATGTCATCTGCAAATAAAGACTAATGTAGTCAGAGTTTTTATTTTAAGTGGGTTTTCAAATTTTCAAATGTTTTGCCTGCATTTATGAGTTTTATCCTCTGTTCTTTCATGTGCTAAATAACATTGACTTATTTTTTAAATGTTAAAACTATTTTGCATTCCTGAAATAAACCACACTTGATCATGATATATGATCATATTTTTACATTACTGGAATTAATTTGTTAAAATTTTGTTAAGAATTTTTTATCTGTGTTTGTGAAGTATAATCTGTAATTTTACTGTTTTCATGTCTTTGTAAGGTTTGGTATTAAGACTATTCTGGTCTCAAAAAACAGGTTAAAGAATGTTCTCTCCTACTCTAGTTTCTGAGAGTTTCTATAGGATTAGTATTATTTCTTCCTTAAAATTTGATAAAAATTTACCAGTGAAGCTATCTGTGTCTGCAGTTTTCACAGTGGGAATCTTTTTAATTGTGAATTTAATTTATTTTCTTTTAATATGTAAGTGTTTTTTCTTCAACTTTCGTTTTACCTTCAGGGGTACATGTACAGGATGTGCAGGTTTGTTACATAGGTAAACGTGTGCCATGTTGATTTGCTGCACGGATCATTCCATCAACCAGGTCTTAAGCCCAGCATCCATTAGCTATTACTCCTGATGCTCTCCCACCCCCCACCTCACCCCCTGACAGGCCCCAGTGTGTGTTGTTCCCCACCATGTGTCCATGTGTTCTCATCATTCAGCTCCCACTTATAAGTGAGAACAGGTGGTGTTTGGTTTTCTACTCCTGCATTAGTCTGCTGAGGATAATGGCTTTCCATCCACGTCCCTGCAAAGGACACGATTTTGTTCTTTTTTATGACCTCATAGTAGTCCACGGTGTATATGTACCACATTTTCTTTATCCAGTCTATTAATGGGATTTAGGTTGATTCCATTACTTTGCTACTGTGAATAGTGCTGCTATGAACATACTTGTGCATGTGTCTGTATAATAGAATGATTTATATTTCTTTGGGTATATACCCAGTAATGGGATTGCTAGTTTGAATGGTATTTCTGTCTCTAGGTCTTTGAAAAATTGCCACAGTGTCTTCCACAATGGTTGAGCTAATTTACACTCCCATCAACAGTGTAAAAGTGTTCCTTTTTCTCTGCAACCTTGCCAGCATCTGCTGTTTTGGGTTTTTTTGTTTTTTTGTTTTTGTTTTTTACTTTTTAATAATAGCTTTTCTGACTGGTGTTTGATGACATCTCATTGTGGTTTTGATTTGCATTTCTCTAGTGATCAGTGATGTTGAGCTTTTTTTTAATGTTTCTTGGCCACATGTGTGTCTTCTTTTGAGAAGTGTCTGTTCATGTCCTTTGCCCACTTTTTAATTGGGTTGGCTTTTGTTTTGTTGTTGTTGTTGTTGTTTGTAAATTTAAGTTCCCTGTAGACTCTCAATATTAGTTCTTTGTCAGATGGAGAGATTGCAAAAATTTTCTCCCATTCTGTAAGTTGTCTGTTTAATGATAGTTTCTTTTGCTGTGCAGAAGATCTTTAGTTTAATTAGATTCCATTTGTCAATGTTTGCTTTTGTTGCAATTGCTTTTGGCTTCTTCGTCATGAAATCTTTGACCATGCCTATGCCCAGAATGGTATGGCCTAGATTTTTCTTCTAGGGATTTTGTAGTTTTGGGTTTTACTTTTAAGTCTTTAATCCATCTTGAGTTAATTTTTGCATATATTGTAAGGAACGGACCCAGTTTCAATTTTTGTCATATGGCTAGCCAGCTCTCCTAGCACCATTTATTAAATAGGGAATCCTTTCCCCATTGCTTGTTTTTGTCAGGTTTGTCAAAGATCAGATGGTTTTAGGTGTGCAGTTGTATTTCTGAGCTCTCTATTCTGTTTCATTGGTCTATGAGTCTATTCTTGTACCAGTACCATGCTGTTTTATTTACTATAGGCTTGTAGTATAGTTTAAAGTTGGGTAGTGTGATGCCTCCAGCTTTATTCTTTTTGCTTAGAATTGTCTTGGCTATTTAGTCTCTTTTTGGGTTCCATATGAATTTTAATATAGTTTCTTCTAATTCTATGAAGAATCTCAATGGTAGCTTAATTGGAACAGCATTGAATCTATAAATTACTTTGGAAAGTATGGACATTTTCACAATATTTATGCTTCCTATCCATAAGCACAGAATGTTTCTCCATTTGTTTGTGTCCTCTATTATTTCTTTGAGTAGTGGTTTGTAGTTTCCTTTAAGAGATCCTTCACCTCCCTTGTTAGCTGTATTCCTAGGTATTTTACTCTTTTTGTAACGATTGTGAATGGGAGTTCATTCATAATATGGCTCTCTGCTTGCCTGTTTTTGGTGTATAGGAATGCTAGCAATTTTTGCACATTGATTTTGTATCCTGAGACTTTGCTGAAGTTGCTTATCAGCTTAAGAAGCTTTTGCGCCAAGACAATGGGGTTTTCTATATATAAGATCATGTCATCTGCAAACAAACATAATTTGACTTCCTCTCTTCCTATTTTGAAAACTCTTTATGTCTTTCTGTTGCCTGATTGCCCTGGCCAGAACTTTCAATACTATGTTAAATAGAAGTGGTGAGAGAGAGTATCCTTGTGTCAGTTTTCAAGGGGAATGCTTCTAGCTTTTGCCTATTCCGTATGGTGTTAGCATGTGGGTTTGTCATAGATGGCTCTTATTATTTTCAGGTATGCACCTTCGATAGCTTGTTCACTGTTTTAAACGTGAAGGGATGTTGAATTTTATTAAAGGCCTTTTCTGCATCTATTGAGATAGTCATGTCGTTTTTGTCTTTAGTTCCATTTATGTGATGAATCATGTTTATTGATTTGTGTATGTTAAACCAAACTTGCATCCCAGGGATGAAGCCAACTTGATCATGGTGGATAAGGTTTTTGATATGCTGCTGGATTCAGTTTGTCAGTATTTTACTGAAGACATTTACATCAATATTCATCAAGGATATTGCCCTGGGGTTTTGTTTTTTTGTTGCATCTCTGCCATGTTTTGGTATCAGGATGATGCTGGCCTCATAAAATAAGTAAGGGAGGAGTCCCTCCTTTTCAATTTTTTGCAGTAGTTTCAGTAGAAATGATACCAGCTCCTCTTCAAACCTCTGGTAGAATTCAGCTGTGAATTTGTCTGGTCCTGGGCTTTTTTTTTCTTTTTTTTTTTTTTTTTTTTTTGGTTGGTAGGCTTATTTATTACTGCCTCAATTTTAAAACTCATTATTGGTCTATTCACAGATTCAATTTCTTCCTGGTTCAGTCTCAGGAGGGTGTACATGTCCAGAAATGTATCCATTTCTTCTAGATTTTTAAATTTTGTTTGTTTGCTTGTTTGTTTGTTTTTTGAGACAGGGTCTTGCCCTGTCACCCATGCTGGTGTGCAGTGGTGTGATCATGGCTCACTGCAGCTTCCACCTTCTGGGTTCAAGAGATCCTCCTGCCTCACCCTCCTTAGTAGCTGGGACTATAGGCATGTGCCACCACACCTGGCTAATTTTTGTATTTTCAGTAGAGATGGGGTTTCACCATGTTGGCCAGTGGAGGCACTGAAAACGTCAGATGCAGAGGTGGATTTTTTTTCTTTTTTTTTTTTTTTGAGATGGAGTTTCACTCTTGTCTCCCAGGCTGGAGTGCAGTGGTGTCATCTTGGCTCATTGGAACCTCCACCTCCAAGTTTCAAGCGATTCTCTTCCCTCAGCCACCCTGGTAGCTGGGACTACAGGCATGCACACTACTCCTGGCTAATTTTTGTATTTTTTGTAGAGACAGGGTTTCCCCATGTTGGCCAGGCTGGTCTCAAACTCCTGACCTCAGGTGATCCACCAGCCTCAGCCACCCAAAATGCTGGGATTACAGGCATGAGCCACTCCAAATGGCATAGATTTTCTAGTTTATATGCATAGTAGTGATTATAGTATTCTCTGATGGTTGTTTGCATTTCTGTGGGGTCAGTGCTGATATCTCCCTTATCACTTCTGATTGTGTTTATTTGAATCATCTCTCTTTTCTTCCTTATTAGTCTATCTATTTTAATAATTTTTTTCAAAAAACCAGCTCCTGGATTCATTGATGTTTTAATGGATTTTTTGTGTCAGTTCAGCTCTCATCCTTCAGTTCAGCTCTTATCTTAGTTATTTCTTGTCTTCCACTAGCTTTGGGGTTTGTTTGCTCTTGGTTCTCTAGTACTTTTAGTTGACATGTTAGGTTGTTAATTTGATGTTTTTCTAGCTTTTTGATGTGGGCATTTAGTGCTATAAATTTCCCGCTTAACATTGCTTTAGCTATGTCCCAGAGATTGTGGTACATTGTCTCTTTGTTCTGATTAGTTTCAAAGAACTTCTTGATTTCTACCTTAATTTCATTATTTACCCAAGAGTCATTCAGGAGCAGGTTGTTCAATTTCCATGTAGTTGTGTAATTTTGAGTGAATTTCTTAATCTTGAGTTCTAACTTGATTACACTGTGGTCTGAGAGGTTGTTATTATTTCAGTTCTTTTGCATTTGCTGAGAAGTGTTTTACTTCCAATTATGTGATCAATTTCAGAGCAAGTGCTGTGTAGCAATGAGAAAGAAGAATGTATACTCTGTTGTTTTGTGGTTGAGTGTGCTGTAGATATCTGTCAGGTCCACTTGATCCAGAGCTGAGTTCATGTCCTGAATATATTTGTTAATTTTCTTTCTCAATGATCTGTTTAATATTGTCAGTGGGGTGTTAACATCTCCCACTATTATTGCGTGGGAGTCTCAGTCTCTTTATAGGTCTCTAAGAACCTGCTTTATTAATCTGGGTGCTCCTATATTGGGTGCACATATGTTTAGGATAATTAGCTCTTCTTTTTGAATTGAACCCTTTACCACTGTGTAATGCCCTTCTTTGTCTTTTTTTATTTTTGCTGGTTTAAAATTAGTTTTGTTAGAAACTAGGATTGCAACCCCTGATTTTTTCTGCTTTCCACTTGCTTGGTAAACTTTCCTCCATCCCTTTATTTTGAGTCTGTGTGTCTTTGCAAATGAGATGTGTCTCTTGAAGACAGCATACCAACGGGTCTTATCTCTTTATCCAGTTTGCCATTCTGTGTCTTTTAATTGGGGCATTTAGCCCATTAACATTTAAGGTTAGTGTTGTTATGTGTGAATTTGATCCTGTCATCATGATGCTAGCTGGTTATTTTGCAGACCTTGTTTATGTGGTTGCTTCATATTGTCACTGGTCTGTGTACTTCACTGTATTTTTATAGTGGCTGGTAGTGGTTTTCTTTTCCATATTTAGTGCTTCCTTCAGGAGCTCTTGCAAGGCAGGCCTGGTGGTGATAAATTCCCTAAGCATTTGCTTCTCTGAAAAGGGTCTTAGTTCTCCTTTGCATATGAAGCTTAGCTTGGCTAGATATAAAATTCCAGGTTGGAAATTCTTTTCTTTAAGAATGTTGAATATTGGCCCTCAATCTCTTCTGGCTTGTATGGTTTCCACTGAGAGGTTTGCTGTTAGTCTGATGGGTTTTCCTTTGTAAGTGACCTAGCCTTTCTTTCTGGCTGCCCTTAACATTTTTTTCTTTCATGTAGACCTTGGAGACTCTGAGGATTATGTGTCTTGGGGTTGATCTTCTCGTGGAGTATCTTACTGGAGTTTTCTGCATTTCCTGAATTTGAATGTTGGTCTGTCTTGCTAGGTTGCAGAAGTTCTCCTGGATGATATTCTGTAGTATGTTTTCCAACTTGGCTCCATTTGCCCCATCTCTTTCAGGTACCCCAATCAGTCATAGGTTAGGTCTTTTTAAACAGTCTCATATTTCTCTGAGGTTTTGTTCATTCCTTTTCATTCTTTTTTGCCTGTCTTATTCAGAAAGATTGTCTTCAAGCTCCGAGATTATTACTATTCTTGTCTGCCTGTCTTATTTCAGCAAGATAGTCTTGAAGCTCTGAGATTCTTTCCTCCACTTGGTCTATTCTGCTACTGATACTTGTGACACATTGTGATGTTCTCATGTTGTGTTTTCAGCTCCATCAGGTCTGTTTTGTTCCGCTCTAAACTGGCTATTCTGGCTATTAGCTCCTGTATTGTTTCATTTTGTATTTTGTAGAGGTGGAGATTTGCTCTGTCACCCAGGCTGGAGTGCAGTGGCCTGATCTCAGCACACTGCAACCACTGCCTCCTGAGTTCACTGGTTCTCCTGCCTCAGCCTCCCAATTAGCTGGGATTACAGGCAAGCACCACTGTGCCCAGCTAATTTTTTTGTATTTTTGGTACAGACAGTTTTCATCATGTTGGCCAGTCTGGTCTCAAACTCCTGACCTCATGATCTGCCTGCCTCAGCCTCCAAAGTCCTGGGATTATAGGCATGAACCACTGCACCCAGCCTCCTATATTGTTTTATCATGATTCTTAGCTTCTTTGCATTGGGTTAGAACATGCTCTTTTAGTTCAGTGAGGTTCATTATTACCCATCATCTGAAGCCTACTTCTGTCAATTCAGCCATCTCAGCCTGAGCCCAGTTTTGTGTCCTTGCTGGAAAAGTGTTGTGGTCATTTGGAGGAAAAAAGGCCCTCTGGCTTTTTGAGTTTTCAGCTTCTTTGCATTGATTCTTCCTCATCTTTGTGGGCTTATCAACCTTGAATCTTTGAGGTTGCTAACCTTTGAACAGACTTCTTGTGGGGTCTTTTTTGTTGATGTTGTTGCTGTTGTTTTCTGTTTGTTTGTTTGCTTGTTTGTTTTTCTCTTAACAGTCAAGCTACACTACTGTAGGGCTTCTGTGGTTTGCTGGGGGTCCACTTCAGACCCTAGTTGCCTTGTTTTTTCCAGTACTTGGAGGTATCACCAGTGAAGGCTGCAAAACAGCAAAGATGGCTGCCAGCTCCTTCCTCTGGAAACTTTGTCCCAGGTGGGTACTGACCTGTTGCTGGCCCAAACACACTGGTAGGAGGTGTCTGGAGACCCCTGTTGGGAGGTCTCACCCAGTCAGGAGGAATGGGATCAGGGACCCACTTAAATAAGCAATCTGTGCCGGGCACAGTGGGCTCATGCCTGTAATCCAACACCCTGGGAGGCCGAGGCAGGTGGATCACGAGGTCAGGAGATCGAGACCATCCTGGCTAACATGGTGAAACCCCATCTCCACTAAAAAAAAACAAAAAAAAAAAATTAGCCAGGTGTGGTGGCAGGTGCCTGTAGTCCCAGCTACTCGGGAGGCTGAGGCAGGAGAATGGCATGAACCTGGGAGGTGGAGCATGCAATGAGCCGAGATCATGCCACTGCACTCCAGCCTGGGGGACAGAGTGAGACTCCGTCTCAAAAATAAATAAATAAATAAGCAATCTGACTGCTTTTTGATAGAGCAGGTGTGCTGCACTGGGGGGAGCCCTTCCTTGTCCAGACTGTTTGTATTCTCCAAAGCCGATAGGCTGGAAAAGACTGAGTCAACCAAACCACAAAGACAGCAGCTGCACCTCCCCCAGGGGCTCTATCCCAGGGAGAGATCAGAGCTTTTTCTGTAGAACCCTAGCTGGAGTGGCTGAAGCTCCCACAGAGAGGTTGCACCCAGTGAGGAAGAATGAACTGGGGTCCCGCTTAAAGAAGCAGTCTGACCACAGTCTGGCAAGGTGGCTGTGTTGCTTTGTGAGGGACTTTTCCTCATCCAGACTTTATATTCTCCAAAACCAGCAGACTGGAATGGCTGAGTCTACCAAACTACAGCAATTATGAGTTTAATTTCTTTTATAGATATAAGATTATTCAGATTTGTATTAATTCTTATGTCATTCTGGTCATTAGCATCTTTCAAGTAATTTAAAAATTTTATTTAAATTGTCAAATGTATTGGCATAAGGTTGTTCATAATACTGCCTTTTAATTCTTTTAATATCTGTAGGGTTTGTAGTGATACCTCTTCTTTTGTTTATTGATATTGATAATTTGTGTTTGTCTGGGTTTAAGTCAATTTAGCTGATAATTTATCAATTTTATTGATTTTTTTCAAAGAGCTAATTTTTTGCCTGTAATCCCAGCAATTTGGAAGGCCAGACCACTTGAGCCTAGGAGTCCAAGACCAGCCTGGGCAACATGGTGAAACCCTGACTCTACAAAAAATCTAAAACATTAGCCAGGCATGGTGGTGTATACCTGTAGTTCCAGCTACCTGGGAGGCTGAGATGGGAGGATCACCTGAGCCCAAGAGGTTGAGGCTGCAGTGAGCCATGATCATATCACTGCACTCCAGCCTGAATGACAGAACAATACCCTGTTTCAAATTTTTAAAAACTAATTTTTGTTTTATTGGTTTTTCTCCTTTATATTCATTGATTTCCATTCTTTGTTATTTTCTCTGTTCTATTTACTCTGAGTCCATCTTGCTTTTCCTGATCTACCTTGTTAAAGTGGAAGCTTAAATTATTGGTTTTAAATATTTATCTTTCTAACATAAGCATTTAAAGACATAAAGTTTCTTCTAAGCACTGATTTAGCAGCATTTCACAATTTTTCATATGTAATTATTATAATTTAGTTCAAAATATTTTCTAATTTCCCTTGTGATTTCTTCCTTTACTCATGGGTTATTTAAACACACATTGCATGCGAGGCACAATGGCTCATGCCTGTAATCCCAGCACTTTGGGAGGCCAAGGCAGGAGAATTTTTTGGGGCCAGGGGTTTGAGACCAGCCTGGGCAATATAGCAAGACCTTGTCTCTACAAAAAAAAAAAAAACTTAATTAAGCAGATATAGTGGCACATGCCTCTAGTCCCAGCCACTCAGGAGGCTGCAACAGGAAGATTATTTGAGTCCAGGAGTTTGAGGTTACAGTAAGCTATGATCACACCACTGCACTGCAGCCTGCGCAACGGAGTGAGACTATGTCTCTCAAAAAATCATAATAATAGGCTGGGCGCACATCTATAATCCCAGCTCACATCTATAATCCCAGCACTTTGGGAGGCCGAGGCGGGTTCATGAGGTCAGGAATTTGAGACCAGCCTGGCCAACATGGTGAAACCCCGTCTGTACTAAAATACAAAAAATTAGCCGGGTGTGGTGGTGTGTCTCTGTAGTCCCAGCTACTCGGGAGGCTGAGGCAAGAGAATCACTTGAACCCAGGAGGCAGAGGTTGCAGTGAGCCGAGATCGCATCACTGCACTCCAGCCTGGTGGCAGAGCGAGCCTCCATCTCAAAAAAAAAAAATCATCATAAAATAAAAGTATGTTGCTTAAATTCTAGATATTTTATTGTTGTTTATTTCTAATTTACTCCCCTTGTGGTAATAGAAAATATTCAGCTTTATCTTAATTCTTTGAAATTTATTGAGTTTTGTTTTATAGCCCAGCATATGGTCTATTTTGGTGAGAAAGTCTTTCTTGCTGTTATACATGAAGTGTACTATAAATGTCAATCATATCAAGTTGGTTGATAGTGTTTTGTAAGTTTTCTACATACATACTGATTTTCTGACTACTCGTTGAATAAATGCTTGAGAGAAGAACGTTGAAATATCCAACTGTAGTCATTTCAGCTCTATCAGTTTTTCCCTCATTCACTTCATTTTGAAGCTCTGTTATTGAGTCCACACACATTTCAGATTGTTCTACCTTCTTGATGAATTTAACTCGTTATCATTATATAAATTCTTATTTATTCCTAGAAAATTTCTTGTTTGGAACTCTATTTTGTCTTACATTAATACAACCACTACAGCTTTCTTTGTTGTTGTTGTTGTTGTTTTACTTTAATCACCTTGACAAGTACAACTTTCTTATGATAATCATTTTCATGACATATTCTCATGTTTATATTTATATTTAAAGTTCATTTATTACAGAACAAAACGCTGGTTACCGGGAGCAGGTGTGAGGAGGAAATGAGGAGATGTATGTCAGAGAATGCAAAGTGGCAGATATATAGGATGAACGAATCTAGAGATCAAATGTACATAAAACATGAGGATCACAGGTAATAAAATTGTACTCTATACGGGATTCAAGCTAAATGAGTATATTTTAGCTGCTCTTGCCACAAAAACAAAAACCATGAGTAACTGCATGAGATGATGGATATGAAAATTTGCTTCACCATAGTCAACCTAAATGAAGATGTTTGCCAGTTTCTTCTACTCAGGAGCTCTTGTGTCTGTCTGCAATGCTGCCGCTTCTCGGGTGCTGTAGAAAGCTGCGGTACTGGAGTTCCACCTAGTGTTTGTCTGTGGTACTGCAGATTCTGGTGCTGGAACAAACCACGTTGATCACCTTTGTCCTTAACCAGCCCCAACCTGAGCACTGTTCCTGTCAGTGCTTAAATTTGGGCAGCTCCCTCAACAGCATCTTCATAAGTCAGAATGTTGGGTGCACATTTCACTCCTTTCCCTTCCCAGGAAGAAGTGGAGAGTTGGAGGTATCCTTCAGATTATGTCATGCCGTGCCAGAGGGAAGGGTGAGTGAATGTCATAAATTTTCCTGCTAAGTTTTGATAGGGTTGCCTTCGCACTCGACTGAGGGGCAAGAACCTATTAACTGATTTCTGGATTCTTCAAACAGGTTTATATATTGTTAAGTTCATGTTCTCATGGAAGAAAGAGGGTCTGGAATTTCTTATTCTGCCATCTTGCTCATGTCTTTTATCATTTTTCTCTGGTTAGTGGTCACATTTATCTGCTTCTTTGTATTTCTACTAATCGTTCTATTAGAGGCTGGACATTATGGATATCCTGTTGTTGCGTGTCTGGATTTTGGGTTTTTTTTTTTGTTGTTTTTTGTTTTTTTTTTTTTTTTGAGATGGATCCTCTGTCGCTCAGGCTGGAGTGCAGTGGCGCGATCTCGGCTCACTGCAACTTCCGCCTCCCAGGTTCAAGCGATTCTCCTGCCTCAGCCTCCTGACTAGCTGGGATTACAGGCGCCCACCACCACGCCCGGCTAATTTTTGTATTTTTACTAGAGAGGGTGTTTCACCATATTGGTCAGGCTGGTCTCAAACTCCTGACCTTGTGATCCACTTGGCCTTGTTCTAGTAGACAGTTAAGATACTTAAGGTTCAGTTTAATCTTTTCAAGCTTTGTTTTTAAGTTTTGTTCGAATAGGTCTAGATTAGCTTTTATTCTTCGACTGATTTATACCTATACCTAAGGTGTGACCTTTCTGAGATATCTGCTGCATACCCCCAGTTTTCAATGAGATCTCTCCAGCCTGAATGGTTGGAGCTCTAACATCTCCCATTCTGTATGAGTTCTAGTGGTTACTTAACTTACAGCTCCTAGTAATATTCAGCCAAAGTCTCATGAGATTCCTACATAGGTTTCTGAAATTCTTTCTCACTATACCTCCCTCCTCTTCTGCCCTACAAATTTAAACAATCTCTGCCTCTCCAAACTCTGATCTCTGTCTCCTCAGCTTAGGCCCTCCTGGATTCCAGGTCTGGAAAGTGAGTCAAGACAGAAAAACTAATGTGATGGTAGGACTTCCCTTCTCTAAGGAATTAAGGTTCTGTGCTATATGTTTTCCAGTAGCTGGAAACAGATATTTTATGTGTTGTCCATTTTGTAGTTGTTTACATCAGGAGGACTAGACTGGTACCAGTCACTCCGTCATGGGTGGAAGCTGAAAACCTTACCCTCATTTTTAACTTTCTTTTTTTTTTTTGAGATGGTGTCTCACTCTGTCGCCCAAGCTGGAATGCAGTGGCACAATCTTGGCTCACTACAACCTCTGCCTCCCGGGTTCAAGCGATTCTTCTGCTTCAGCCTCCTGAGTAGCTGGGATTACAGGCGCCCACCAACAAGCCCAGCTAATTTTTCTATTTTTAGTAGAGGCAGGGTTTCACCATGTTGGCCAGGATGATCTTGATCTCCTGACCTTCTGATCCACCCGCCTTGGCCTCCTAAAGTGCTGGGATTACAGGCTTGAGCCACCATGCCCAGCCCCCTCATTTTTAACTTTCTAAAACCTCTACTGTTTTACATTCTAGTGCATATTCCACTTTCTCCATTAACTTCCCTTAATCCCTTCTCAATAAACTATGCAGCTCTTTTGTAGCAGTTGTCACATATTCCATACTGTACCATAGTTAATCTGCAGGCAGATCCTATGTCTTGATCATCCAATAATGCCTAACATGTGTGGAGCTCCAAAACGTTTATTTATAAGTTAACCCAATTAAAAAATGGGCTAAGGACCTGAACAGACATTTCTCAAAAGTCATATAAATGACCAATAAATACATGAAAAACTGCTCAGCGTTACTAATTATTAGGGAAACGCAAATTAAAACCACAATGAGATATCACTTCATACCTGTTAGAATGACTTTTATCAAAAAGATGAAAGATAACAAGTGTTGGAGAGGATGTGGAGAAAAGGGAACTCATATATATTGATGGTGGGAATGCAAATTAGTAAAGCCATTATGAAAAATGATATGGAGGTTCCTCAAAAAACTAAAATAGAATTACCATACAACTCATTAATCCCACTTCTGGATATATATCCAAAGGAACTGAAACAAATATGTCAAAGGAATAGCTGTGCCCTCCTGTTCATGGCAACATTATTCCCAACAGTCAAGATATGAAAACAACCTAAGTGTCCATCAACAGGTGAATGGATAAAGAAAATGTAACATATATACACAATGGAATACTATTCAGCCTTAAAAGGGGGGACATCCTATCATTTGCAACAGTGTTGATAAATCTGTAGGACATTATGCTAAGTGAAATAAGCCAGGCACAAAAAGACAAATACTTCATGATCTCACTTATATGTAAAATCTAATAAAGTTGATCTCACAGACGTAGAAACTAAAAGGATGGTTACCAGAGTTTGGGGAAAGGGGTGGAGATGGAGGGAATGGGGAGTTGTTGATCAAAGGGTACAAAGTTTCAGGTAGGAAGAATAGGTCTTAGGATCTATTGCAACAGTGGCGTGAATATGGTCAATAATAATGTGTTATTTATTTCAAAATAGGGCATAAATTTCAAATGCTTCACCATAAAAAAAAATGATAGGTAAGTGAGGTGATGGATATGTTAATTAGCTTGATTTAATCCTGCCACATTTATACATATATCATAGTGTATCCCATAAATGTATGCAATAATGATGCATTGCTCAAAAATACTAATGTTAAATAAATGTTTTAAAATTTTTAATTTGTTGAAACACTGAGATACCCTAAAAAGACACTGTCTTCTTTTCAGTTGAAATACATACAAAGAGAATAAATAACCTCCCCTCTTAGTGAAATGTTGGCCTATATATAGCTTACAGTCCCTCCCAACCCAAAGATTCCCTGAAAAAAATGGTTAGGCAAATTGTGCTACAGCTACATAATGAATATTATATTATTATTTTAAATGTGGGATATATAACATGCTTATAATAAAATGTTAGGTGAAGCATCAGGATTCAAATTGTACATATGATAATAATTATAGCTATATAAAAAGTGCATTAAAAACTAGAAATAAATTTTTAATAGCAGAGTTATTATAATGTGTATGTATTGTTGACATTTTTTTTTTCATGATCTAAGATTAGTCTTGAAAGACAGTTGGCTTGGTTTTCCAATTATCTTCATGAAGGATGGCTTAGGATGATCAGTTATTCCAAAGCCAAACTTTATTTTTATTACATATCGTCCAACATCTTACTGGATTTAGCTAACAGCCTTATTGAGAATACTAGTTCATGTAGTTATCTACAAGTACATTTTGAAACTAGTTTATCCTGAAGGACTGACCAGGAAGTTTTACTGCTCATATTGAGGTATTATAAGCTTTATGGAGACTTTGTTTGAGACTGAGTCACCTTTTCTACACCTAAGACTCTCTACTCTGCCTCTCTTCTGCCAATGTCACACACTTGTCCAGTTTTTTCCAGGAAGAGCCATGCCAGTCTGTTCCTAGAAAATCTCAGCCCCAGCCCAGAGCCTGTGCTGTCCTCCTCCTGGCCCAGATCTGCTCTCTGCTTGCTATGGAAGAAACTCGGTGCTATAGTACTGCAGTGGGATTTCCTATTTACATTTGTCATTCAGCTGCATTTTAGTCTGTCTCCATTATCTTGAAGGGATCTGACCTGGTTTTATGTTAATCTGTGATGTTAAACTATCCAACTAAACAGGACAGAATACCTACAGAGTTATATATCAGTTTCTTCTTGCCTCCTCCCTGCTAAGAGATCAAAGCGGGACCCCAGGGTCCTAACCCAGGCCAGGGTAGAAAGACTGTTGATTTAGCCCTTAGAGGTCACACTGTGTCCAGAGTTGGTTCCTTCCAGCAGGCTTTTGGTCTTGCTGACTTCAAGAATGAAGCCGCAGACCTTCACAGTGAGTGTTACAGCTCTTAAAGATGGTGTGTCCAGAGTTTGTTCCTTCAGATGTGTCTGGAGTTTCTTCCTTCTGGTGGGTCTGTGGTCTCGCTGACTTCAAGAATGAACCCGCGGACCTTTGCAGCGAGTGTTACAGCTCTTAAAGGTGGTGCAGACACAAAGAGTGAGCAGCAGCAAGATTTATTGTGAAGAGTGAAAGAACAAAGCTTCCACAGCGTGGAAAGGGACCTGAGTGGGTTGCCGGTGCTGGCTGGGGTGGCCAGCTTTTATTCCCTTATTTGGCCTCTCCCATGTCCTGCTGACTGGTCCATTTTACAGAGTGCTGATTGGTCCATTTCACAGAGTGCTGATTGGTGCATTTACAATCCTTTAGCTAGACACAGAGTGCTGATTGGTGCATTTACAATCCTTTAGCTAGACACAGAGCGCTGATTGGTGCGTTTTTACAGAGTGCTGACTGGCACATTTTACAAACCTCTAGCTAGCCACAGAGTGCTGATTGGTGCGTTTTACAATCCTAGCTACAGAGCGCTGATTGGTGCATTTTACAATCCTCTTGTTAGAAAAGTTCTCCAAGTCCCGACTCGACCCAGAAATCCAGCTGGCTTCACCTCTCAACACTCTTGATAGCTCATCCCAATGCTGCAAGAACAAGTTATAACATACATTTCACCTTGGGGCTCATTCTGAGAATTGAATATTTATTAAATTAGCTAATCAGTTAATATTTGCTTTATGAATTATAAAGTATTCCATAAACGCTGGCTTTCATTGTGGCTATTTTCTTTTTGGTCACCCAGGCTGGAGTGCAGTGGTGCAATTATGGCTCACTGCATCCTCAACCTCCTGGGCTCAAGCGAAGCTCCCACCACAGGCTCCAGAGTAGCTGGGACTACAGGCATATGCCACCATGACTGGCTGATTTTTTTTTTTTTTTTTTTTTTTTGTAGAGATGGGGTCTTACTATGTTTCCCAGGCTGGTCTTGAACTTTTTGGCTCAAGTGATCCTCCCTCTTCAGCCTCCCAAAGTGCTGGGGTTATAGGCATGAGCCACAGCATTTGGCTATTATGGTTATTCTTATGTCTTGCCAGTCTTTCCCCACTCATAAGGGGGAGGTAATTAGGTTTGAATGAAACACATGGATGTGGTCCCTTGTAGACCTGAACATTTCCCTGGAACCAAAAGATAGATGCAGCTGCTCCAGTTGGCTCCAAACTACATCTCCTCTCCAAGGAGGCTCTTCTCCAACCTGCACAAGGGAGGGGCGCTCTCCTCCTCTAGAAAAGGCAGTTGCATCCATAGCAGCACATACGGAATAGGGACAACTGTCTTCTGTGAGCACCCTAGGGTGTAGGGAGTCAATAACATGTGGAGACTCCACAGGAGAGAAGCAGAAAGTCCACAGAGCTGTCAGGTGGCAGAAGAATTTAGTCTAGGGGTAAAGACGTCCAGGAGAGAAGTTGACTCCAAGCCCAAAGCAGGTCCGCCCCCATCTTCACTGAGCTTGAGTATCTGGCGTTCATATGGGTCAACCCTGCTCTCTGCCTACAGAGAGGACCACCACTGACCCAACCTAAACATGCAGAAGAGAGTTTATCATTTTTGTTTGTTTGTTTGCTCTGGGAGGTTCCTGTGGATGAGGCCCATATTTGCCAACAAACTTCTGGAGGCTCTAGGAAGAAATTCCACTTCACCACACTGACCCTGTCCCCCGAGCCTCATCTTATTTTCAAACCCCCCAAAAAATGCAGTAAATAACAATGGTTAACCCCTTAAGAATCACCTCTAGGAAGCCAGCACAGATGAGTAATCATGGGTTTTCCAGCACCACCACACCCTTGGTCCTTGTTCTGTGAATTAAATGTAATTCCTCTTCTTTATAAGAGTCTCTCAAATATTTGAAAACAGTTATCATATTCTTCTATTCATTTTGTCTTTTCCAGATTCTCTACATTCTTCATCTATTCCTTGTATTTCACAGTTTTCAAGCCCTAATTCATGATACTCAGGCCGGGTGCGGTGGCTCACGCCTGTAATCCCAGCACTCTGGAAGGCCGAGGCGGGCAGATCACGAGGTCAGGAGATGGAGACCATCCTGGCTAACACGGTGAAACCCCGTCTCTACTGAAAATACAAAAAAGTAGCCGGGCTCGGTGTTGGGCACCTGCAGTTCCAGCTGCTTGGGAGGCTGAGGCAGGAGAATCAGTTGAGCCTGGGAGGTGGAGGTTGCAGTGAGCTGAAATCATAACCCTGCACTCTAGCCTGGGCGACAGAGCCAGAATCCATCTCAAAAAAAAAAAAAAAGAAAAAATTCATGATAGTCAACAAAAAGCCCAAATTATTTTCACATAATTGGCTACTAAGTTGGGTCTTACCCTTCCTATGCTTGTGTAACCGGTTGTTAAAATCTACATGCAGATTTTATATGTGCCTCTGTTAAATTCCGTCTTGTTTTTAGTTTGGCATTCCAAAAGGCAAGATTATTTTGAATTATAATTGTTGCTTACAATATTGATTTTCCCTCTTTGTTTCATATCATCTGAAGTTTGATGAGCCATGCATGCTTACTATGCCTATTGAAGTCATTGCTAAAATAGGTGACGAAGATAAGATCTACAACACATTCTCCTTTTCACTAGACAGATTTCTCCAGATTTTTAGTCATTAATGAATAATTTTGGTGTATGGTAGCCAAACTAAAAGCGTTATCTTTTTTCTTTTTTTCTTTTTTGAGACAGAGTCTCGTTCTGTCGCCCAGGCTGGAGTGCATTGGCACGATCTTGGCTCACTGCAACCTCCGCCTCCCAGGTTCACGCCATTCTCCTGCCTCAGCCTCCTGAGTAGCTGGGATTACAGGCGCACACCACCACACCTGGTTAATTTTTTGTGTATTTTTAGTAGAGACAGGGTTTCACTATGTTGGTCAGACTGGTCTTGAACTCCTGACCTCGTGATCCGCCTGCCTCGGCCTCCCAAAGTGGTGGGATTACAGGCGTGAGCCACTGCACCAGGCTAAAAAAGCGTTATCTCTAAGCACACAGTCATCATCTTTTTATGAAGCTTTACTGAGATTAACATGCCCTTTCTCTGCTCCTTTCTCCTGATTGTTAAATTATTAGTACTGTCAATAAAAGATATTATTATGAGGTTTTACATTAGGTTCAGCATTACAAAGATCCTGGTGATCCCTTATGGGACTTCCAACTATTCTACATAGCATCTATTTAGGAATTTTACCAGGAACCAAGGTCAAATTCATTGGTTGGCAAGGGCAGTGCTTCTAACTTTATAATCATAAGCATTGGCTCAGAGTGTAGACTTCAGAAGTTTCGGGTCAGTTGACTGGTTGGTTGATTTGGTTAGTTTAACTAGTTTCTTCCTTTGCTCCCTCTTTCTGCTAAACCCAGAGTCCTATTTCACTCTCAATTCAAGTCACTCCTTGGCTCTTTAAGAAATCATTAGTATATAGAAGACAGAATATGTTCAAATACATATGAAAGCATTCAGTTTGTTCCATGTCTGTATCCCCATATGACTGAATGTGGGTCTGCATGATGTAAGCCCAAAGCCAAAGGAAAACGTAGGATCAGGCCAGGAACAGAAAAACCCTGTGTTCTCACTGCCATCGGCTAATGTGAGATGTCGCCTTTCTTAACTTCAAAAGTGAGAAAACTATCACATTGGGCTTTCTGGTTTCTTCCTCCTACGCACACACATATTTTTGACTTCCATATCCATTCTTATTTATGATTCCATCCCAAGCTTCCAATATTCCCTCAACTGTAGGGGATGACCCAATGATTCCTCCTCTATTTTAGTAGTCATTTAAATGTCTCTTTGACTCTAGCGTTAACTGTCAGATGGTGCAATTTTTTCATGGCAATTTGCTTTTGGAAAATTATTGTAATGAATTCATATATTAATTTATTTATTCATTCCACAAAGTCTTCCTATGTGTTTGGTGGAAAGGTAGTGCTGCAATAACTGAGAGAAGGAAACCTACGCCAGAAGAGAAGTTTCTAAAGAACCCACAGTTAGTTAAGATAAACTGAGCATTTGACCTGTATGGAAAATACAAGGCAGGAGAACCAAGATAAATAGAGTGTTTCCAGTTTCCAACAAACTGATCGGAGACTGGGCAAAGTGTGGAAATGGCTTTACCAAGGGTCACCAGGCCACCTGTCCAAAGAGAAAGAGTGGTTTCCCAGGGGGGTGGGATCTGGGTTAATTCAGATCTTTCTGTGTTGCATATCTTGCTGAATAGATGATATAGATTGCTCATCTGGATTTCCAAGTCTCATTTTCTTGGAAAGAAAAAATAGTCTGAGATGAGTGGCAGCCTCAGGAACGTGCATGACTTCAGAGTAGGACCAACTCTCCTAGAGGCGATGCGCACGCCTCCTACCCTTCCACAGTTCACCAGCTGTGGTCCTCCTGTTGGTGCCCAGCCGGGACCTCCAGGTAAATAGCTCCCTGCGGATTGGAAGAACATTATGCTGCTCTCTAATTTTGACATTTCTATCACTTAAAAAACGTTTGGGGCCAGATGCAGTGGCTCACGCCTATAATCCCAGAACTTTGGGAGGATCGCTTGAGCGCAGAAATTTGAGACCAGCCTGGACGATATAGGGAGACTTCATTTCTGTTAAATTTTTTTTTAAGTAGCCAGGCATGGTGGCATGTGCTTGTAGTCCCAGCTACTTGGGAGGCTGAGGTGGGAGGATGGCTTGAGCCCAGGAAGTCGAGGCTGTAGTGAGCTGTGATCGCACCACTACACTCCTGCCTGGGTGAGACCCTATCTCAAAAAAAAAAAAAAAATGTGGGTGGAGCAGGTTGGGAAAGCACTGTAGAACAGTAGACCATTCGGGAGCCTTAGAGTCAGGCAAACCTGGGTTCACATCATGACTCCATCATAATGACCTGGAATAATTGACTTGAACAAACGGGTCTTAGTTTCTCTTCCACATCTGGGAGACAATAAGGCCTGTCTCTGATGCGTGCTGTGATGAGTAAATGGATAAGCCAAGCATGGAGTGTGGCCATAATAGTATCTTTGTTAATATTAACTACCTTCCTCTCTTCTCTTGGGCCCAGACCTGGAAGAAGAAGCAGTCCAGTGGTGACAGTGGGAACCAGACCACCTGGCTGATCCTAGTGGGCTTCGGGGAGCTGCAATACCTGGGCTTCCTTCCCTTCACTCTCTTCCTGGCCATCTATGTGGTGACAGTTGGGGGCAATGCCCTCATCATGCTGGCTGTGGCCTCTAGTCGGACACTGCACCCACCAATGTACTTCTTCCTCTGCCACTTCTCCCTGCTGGAGATTGGCTATACCTCCAACGTCATACTATGGCTGTTGCAGAGTTTCTTGGAGGGGAAGGAAGTCATCTCTCTAGTCAGCTGTCTGGCTCAGTTCTACGTGTTTTCCTCGCTGGCTGCAGCTGAGTGCCTCCTGCTATCTGCCGTGTCCTATGACTGTTACTTGGCCATCTGCTGCCCCCTTCACTATCCTGCCCTGATGAGCACCTGGTTTTGTCACTGCCTGGCCGCTGGTGCTTGGTTCAGTGGCTTCTTCTCCTCTGCCTTCACTATGGCCCTGGCAGCACCTCTGTCCTGGCAGCAGGGAGATTGACCACTATTTCTGTGAGTTTGCTCCAGTAGTCAGGCAGTTCTGCGGGGATGTGGGAGTCATGTAGGGAGCTGAAGTCAGCATCTCAGGCTTCCTGACACTGGCCGCCTTCCTACTGATTGTGGCATCCTCTGCCTTCATTGAGGGCTGTACTGCAAATACCCTCAGGCCATGAGAGGCAGAAAGCCTTCTTCACCTGTTCCTCCCACCTCACCGTAGTTGGGGTATTTTATGGCACCCTCATTGTGGTCTATGTGGCCCCAATAGAACACATGTCCCCTTGCTTCTAAAGGTCTTCTCTGTCCTCTACACAGTGTTCACTCCCATGGTCAACTCCATCATCCACAGCCTCAAGAACCAAGAGGTGAAGGGGGCTCTGCATAGGCTCAGGGGACAGCTCATCCCAGGACACACTCACTAAGGAGGACAGGACAGCTTTTGACTTCTTCCTGGATTGATTTCAGCTTAGCCCCTTCCTCAAAGTCTGATGGACTAGAGACCACTGCAATAAAAAGATGGAGACTGTGGGATTGAAAATGGATGTCTACCAAAATGAGGTAACTGTATTTTCCAATTGGAATTGGCCTCCCTATCCCCAGTGGTAGCAGCTTCCCCAACCCCAGCGACAGCAGCCTCTGTCCCTGTCTGAGGGAATTAATCCCACATTGCCTGAAGAAACTGTAATTGCCTCCCCTGGGGCAGTTCCCATGCAAGACAATGCTGATTCTCCTCAGAACCCATACCCATCACTCCTCTTTGGTTCTAAAACTATAGCTAGACCCAAGTCCCTGCAGGCCTCTAAAGGTGAGCACAAAGTGTGACCCATGAGGACATGCACTACAATCCAAAAGAATTACTTGGGTTTTCTAATTTATACAGACAGAAATCCAGTGAACATGCATGGAAATAGATCTTGAAATTGTGGGATGATGATGGAAGGAACGTAAAGTTGAATAAAGCCGAATGTATTGATATACATTTGTGACAGTGGGAACCAGACCACCTGGCTGATCCTAGTGGGCTTCGGGGAGCTGCAATATCTGGGTTTCCTTCCCTTCACTCTCCCTTCAAGGCTCACTAAAGCAGAAATTCTGCATTTAATGTTGCAGCTTGGGGAACTAGGAAGGATTCTAACAGTTTGTTTAGTTGGTTGACTGAAACATGAACCAAAAGGTGGGATACAGTAAGTGAATTAGAAATGCTGGATCTGCCTTGATTTAATGTAGAGAAAGGATTCAACGGCTAAAGGATATTGAAATATTAGAGTGGATTTGTTACTTAAGACCTACTTACCCATGTGAGAGGGCCCAGAAGACATACTTTTCACTATGACTAAGAAATAGGGAAGCCCCGGCATCCTTGAAGAGCTCTGTAATCTCTCTTCACTGTAGCCCAGACCTTACGGTGAGGACTGCAGTCACTGAATTGGGAAACCTACATTCAATGGGAGTGACTGCATCCTGAGATGGCAGAGGCCAAGTGGCAGCACTCAACCTCCAAAGGCAAGGTGTACATGGTTGCCACAATGGACAGCAGAGTCAAATCAGCAATCAGAATAGCCGGACTCACACAGACCTATGGCATACTGTTTCTAGAAATGCAATAGATAAGAAGCCTACTAAATTCTTACTTGATCAGAAAAGTTCTAAATCAAGTGAACATCAGCTAAGTTTTTATCAGGGTTATTCTACTAGTGCCACAAGAGAGTTAGATTGGGATTGTAAGAATGAAGGGGAAGTGATGATGAGGGTAACAAGAGGGATTGAGAATCTCAGCCATCCATCTTATTGGTTACAAGAAATGAAACTATTTCAACTTCCCTTGAATATCTTTCTTCATTTTTCTCCATGCCAAACCTACTCTTTCTCATGTAGAGAAACCTTCCAAGGATGGTTTTTCTGTGCTGCCTTCCAAGGATTCTCCTCCGCTACCTTTCCACCTTTTCTCTTGCATGTACCTTGGGATATAGAACAAAAGTGAATATATACAAGTGAGTATTTGGCTGGGAGATGAGGCTGGAAAGGTTGATTGGGAAACAGACTGTGATTGATTGATTACTGGTCATTCCAATTTTAATTCCATAAAATGACACCAAATAATTTTGGATTTATTTGGAATAAAATTCCAAATTAATAAATTTATTATAATTATAATTATTATTTTATTTGGAATAAAATTCTAAATTTATTAATAAAAGCATTTAATAAATTGTTGTATATTTTCCATGGGCTAATTATTGCTTAGGACTGGGAGTGCATATGAATTATAAATGATCTCTGACATTGAGGATCTCATAGTTTTTTCAACTCAGTCTTTTTTTTTTTCTTTTCTTTTTTTTTTTTTTTGAGATGGAGTTTCACTCTTATTGCCCAGGCTGGAGTGCAATGGCACCATCCGGCTCACTGCAACCTCTGCCTCTCGAGTTCAAGTCATTCCCCTGCCTCACCCTCCCGAGTGGCTGGGATTACAGGCGCCTGCCATCACACCCGGCTAATTTTTTTTTGTATTTTTAGTAGAAACGGGGTTTCACCATGATGGCCAGGCTGATCTCGAACTCCTGACCTCAGGTGATCTGCCCGCCTTGGCCTCCCCAAGTGCTGGGATTACAGGGGTGAGCCACTGCACCCGGCCTCAACTCAGTCTTAAAAATGGATTTTCATTTCAGATAGCACTAGTACAGCATAAGTTATGTCTCATCTTTCCCATGGCCTATTGGATGACCTCTCATCATGGAGCACTCTCCCTTTTCTATCCATACCTTTTGCTCTCTCTGACACAGGGATCTGCTTGGTTCAGTGTGAGAGTAATTTGAACACCCAGGCCTTTAATGGAAAAAACTGCTGATGGCAGTAGTGACAACGGGATTTTCCAGCTGAACAACTTCTGATACAAAGACCACAAGCATTCCTCAGAAAATGCCTGCAACCTAATGTGCAGCAGTAAGGACTCTATCCCTCTGAGGGCTGGATGAAGTGGGAGCAGGTAAAATAGGTGCAAAACTGAATGCACTGCTCCCTATCACCTGACTGTCAGCCTGTGCTGGGGAAGCTGAATATGGGGAATAAACAGTCCTCACACTGAAACAAGATCCCACAGAGATCATCCTGACAAAAAGAAGGAAGAAAGACTGGCCCCTGGCTAAGCCCCCTGATTCACAATCTCCTTTTCATCTTCCCCATTCATGGGTTCCCACCCTTCAAGACATGTTATCTGCTCCTAGTACACACATCATCCCACATACCAGCACTCCAGACATTCTGAGCAGCTTCCCGAAAACAAAAGCTCTCCCTAGTCCATCATGTCCTAGATGCCTTCTGGAAGGACCAGTGCTCAGAGAAGGAGTCTAAGCAAAAACAAGAAAACCCAGGCAAAATGGAAGGCAAACCCAGAGAGGAGCTCCAGAGAGAAAGGATTTCTGAATCTCAGGATTCACTTTCCTCTGGGAATTCCCCTCTAAAAATGATCAATAATTCAAAATAGAAAAAGAGAGATTTCCCTCCCCACTCATCCACTTGTCCTTTCAGAGTTTATTGATGATAACATTGGTGATGACAAACTGCCAAGAGGACTGTGTAAGATCCTAAAGTGATATCTGCCTGGTAAGAGGAATGTGAAGGGCAGAGAGCAACTGTTCTGCCAGTGGGGTTTGGTGGGAGAGGGGCAGATAATATCTGGGCTACTGATGTTAGTGGCATCTGTGCTGCAGGATTTGCCATGGGCTTTGGGAGAGGGTTGAGAATGTTCCCCTGATGAGAAAATGAGGCAGAGTAATCATGTGATGCATTCATCCCAGGCATCATGGCAGCACCCACATGCATCCTCTTCACCTGGGACTCTCCAACAGCATAAATTGGCTCCAGCCCGCAAGCCCAACTTTCCCTCAGCTGAGCCCCTTTCAGACTTCTGCCCCTGCCTCTGATCTATACTTTATT
The DNA here is from genome assembly GCF_000001405.40 of Homo sapiens. Lineage (NCBI taxonomy): Eukaryota > Metazoa > Chordata > Mammalia > Primates > Hominidae > Homo > Homo sapiens. The sequence goes on from NC_000012.12 coordinate 48,632,327, forward strand.
TCTCTATCCTTAAGGCAGCCTGGGTAAAACACTGCAAAGCCAAAGATTTGTCTAAATACCTGACCAGCTGTAAGCTGTGAGACTGTTTAAACATGGCTCTTGGAGAAGGTAGCCCAGAAGATGGGGTAATTTCTCAAGGTTCTTTGAAGTTCTGAATCTTCCCCCATCTCTGCCTCCAAAATAAAAGTTACTCAAGTTCACCTGTCTCAAGCAGAATGCTTAAGGACTGGGTCAAGATGGAGCCTTTCCTACATGATATAAACAGCTGGATATCCCATTCTCTCCAAGCCCACCACTGAAGTTTCCTATATCTCCTCTGGAAAGATGATTAAGGAAAATTATTGTCTCAGAAATTCCTGAGGGTCATCCAGATTGGGCTAAAATTGACAGCTGAATATGGCATTCTAGATGCTAGCTCTCAAAATGCCAGCTCTTATAAAATTCATTTATTGGAGAGGGTTAATCTTATTCTCCATCACCAGAAGGAGACTCAAGAGGAAACAGAAGGAAATTGTGGGAGAGGTTTGATTTACAGACAGGGAAAGATTGGCAGAATATCAGGGTGATGAGCTTAGGGAAATAACTAAACTGCTGTAAGAAAGTCCCAAAAATATGGTGCTAGACATTTATTTGTCTCTCACAATAGTCTAAGATGGGTAGACAGGCTCCTTTATTCCACAAAGACATTCAGAAACCCAGGTTCTTTCCATTTTGCATCTCCACCATTCTCTTTATTAAAATATATTTTATTTATTTTTTATTTTATTTATTTATTTTTAGATGGAGTCTTGCTCTCTGTCACCCAGGCTGGAGTGCAGTGGCGCGATCTCAGCTCACTGCAACCTCTACCTCCCAGGCTCAAGCAATTCTCCTGTCTCAGCCTCCCGAGTAGCTGGGATTACAGGCGCACACCACCACACCTGGCTAATTTTTGTATTTTTAATAGAAATGGGGTTTCACCACGTTGGCCGAGCTGGTCTCAAACTCCTGACCTCAAGCAATCCACCCACCTAGGCCTCCCAAAGTGCTGAGATTACAGATGTGAGCCACCATGCCTGGCCACTTTACGTTTTACTTTGGAATGTGGCATCTGTCTATTGTCTTTAGGACTCAGCTGAAACTAAAATGAAAAGCGTTTCTCATTTTATCTCCTGATTCATTGTCTTTTAACAGTTTATAAAGCACTTTCAGACACTAGATCTTATTTGACCCTTGCCATACCCTCCGTGTTACAGAAATCATTCCCCAATTGGCACTATCACTGCCTTGCTGCTCCTGCAGCTGCCTCCTTCTCTGATGGATTTCATCATTTCTGCTGCTGTTGCTGTCGCTGCTGTTGCTGTCGCTGCTGCTGCTACAACTGCTGGCTCAAATACTTTCCTTGTCTTGTTGGCAACACACCATGGTTAAGTCCCAGCTGAGGGTTCCCAGTAGGAGAAGGAAGGAGTGGAAGAACAGGAAAATAAAGTGAAGAGGAAATAAAGAGAGGCCAGCTTGTACTATAGCATTAGTGTTACACAGCTCTATACTAGGGCTAATTATCTCCCAAATCTCCTAGAGGAAGTTCTCTATATCTCCACATTCCAGGAAGCAGCAAGGTGGCTCACAACTATCCAGGAATCCTGTCCGGACTGGGCATGGTGGTTCACGCCTGTAATCCCAGCACTTTAGGAGGCCAAGGTGGGTGGGTCACCAGAGATCAGGAGTTCAAGACCAGCCTGGCCAACATGGCAAAACCCCGTCTCTACTAAAAACACAAAAATTAGCCAGGCGTGGTGCTGTGGGCCTATAATCCCAGCTACTCAGGAGGCTGAGGCAGGAGAATTGCTTGAACCCAGGAGGCAGAGGCTGCAGTGAGCCAAGATCACACCACTGCACTCCAGCTTGGGCAATAGAGTGAGACTCCATCTTAAAAAAAAAAAAAAAAAAAAGAATTCTGTCCCCTCCTTGGGTAGAATGAATTATTATTCCCAATTCCTTACCTCCTACGTCAGTGTGATCTTCCAGACCACACATAGGACAGAGTATTATTTCCCCACTACATCAAGGTTGAACTTGGCCATGCAACCTGCTTTAGCCAATGAAATGTTAGCAGATATGACTAAGTTGAAATGAAAAATGTGCTTGCCTGGTGTCATTTGGCTTCTTGTGCTCTGTGATTGCCAGAAGAGAGCTGCACTCTCTATCTACCTACATCCCAGAATGAAACATTTAGAACAGACCTGATCCCAACCCAAATCCTGGCTCCTAAAGTAGAGTCTCCTCCCCAACCCAACCCATCAGCAATCCACCAGACCCAGGAGCAAGAAAAATAAATGCTGTTGTAAGCCACTGAGTTTTTGGGTGGCTTATAACACAGCAAAGACACTGACAAATACTCTTCCTCACTCCTCTACTTCTCCAAAGAGTCCTCTTTACTCTCCCACCACGAACCCTAACCCCCCTTAATTAGCAAGATTCTTCGTTGTGTGCATGCAGATTCTGTACCTCCTTTGGTGATCTGCATTACATTTGGTTAAAATATGTTTACTGATCCCTTACTTTATGGTTAGTTGCCTAGAAAGGGGATTTAGATACGGTCCTATCCTTTGTCCCATTACAAACCCAGGGAGGGAATCTAAAATTCCCACCCAGAATAATCCAACCAGTAACTAATATAAACAGATCCTTAATCAAAATCTAATGCAACTCCTTTCTGCTCCCTACATAAAATCATCAAAGTTGAGAGTGCATACATATTTTTTTGTAGATGTTTACTTTGCACTTAAGAAATAAGGCCAGGCACAGTGGCTCATGCCTGTAATCCCAGCACTTTGGGCGGCCGAGGCGGGTGGATCACCCAAGATCAGGAGTTTGAGACCAGCCTGGCCAACACGGTGAAACCCCGTCTCTACTAAAAATACAAAAAATTAGCCAGACGTAGTGGTGGACGCGTACAATCCCAGCTACTCGGGAGGCTGAAGCAGGAGAATTGCTTGGACCCAGGAGGCGGAGGTTGCAGTGAGCTGAGATCACACCGTTGCACTCTAGCCTGGGTGATGAGTGAAACTTCATCTCAAAAAAAAAAAAAAAAAAGAAAGAAAGAAAAGTTAATTCTTTTGTTTGGGACACTTCTTTTAACAGAGCTTTGGATGTGGAGTGTTTTCATTCAATCCTAGAAGCACAACATTGTTCTTTTTAGTCTTTTAAAAATCAACTAGGGCCAGCACGGTGGCTCACGCCTATAATTCCAGCAGTTTGGGAGGCTGAGGCAGGCGGATTACTTGAGGCCAGGAGTTTGAGACCAGCCTGGACAACATGGTGAAACCCCATGTCTACTAAAAATACAAAAATTAGCCAAGCGTGGTGGTGCATGCCTGTAATCCCAGCTACTCGGGAGGCTGAAGCACTTAAACCCAGGAGGCAGAGACTGCAGTGAGTTGAGATCGCTCCACTGCACTCCAGCCTGGGTGATGGAGTGAGACCCTGTCAAAAAAAAAAAGGGCCAGGCACGATGGCTCATGCCTGTAATCTCAGCACTTTGGGAGGCCGAGGCAGGCAAATCATGAGGTCAGGAGTTTGAGACCAGCCTGACCAACATAGTGAAACCCCGACTCTACTAAAAATACAAAAATTAGCCGGGCGTGGTGGTGCACGCCTGTAATCCCAGCTACTCAGGAGGCTGAGGCAGGAGAATGGCTTGAACCTGGGAGGAGGAGGTTACAGTGAACCGAGATCACGCCACTGCACTCCTGCCTGGGAGACAGAGCAAGACTCTATCTCAAAAAAAAAAAAAAAAAAAAAAAAAATCAACTGAAGAGTAGCTGAGGCAGCTTTTATGAAGAAAAAACCAGACATCTCACATGTCCAGATATCAAGATCTATTACAATGCTATGGTAATTAAGATAGCATAGTATTGGTGAAAAGACAGGTGAACAGATGAGTGGAACAGAATGGTGACTTTCACAAATATGATCACCTGACAGGACAAAGTTGGCACTGTACTGATGTAAGGAAAGCATGGTATTTTCAATAAATGGCAATGATTCGGCTGGCTACCTATGGCTGCTTTTGTTATCTTTTGCTCATCTCAAAGCTGTCTGTGGTATTAGAAGAGCAAGAAACATACACACGTCTATGATTGTAGCCAGCAAGACATGAACTTTTCTGCCCATTTAAAAAAACAAAACAAAAAGCAGTAGCAGAGGTAACAGTGGACTTTTTTGATCATCCCCAAATCTGGATGTAAATTGGACTTTGAAGCAGTTTGCCTCAGAGCGCTGAATTCAAACACATGTCCTAAAAACTTGACCTACCTTTTTTTAATGCTGCATCCAAAGAGCAAGTGCAGAGGGAAGGGGGCTACACTAAAAGAAAAGCAAGCAATCATTTTGCCCCACAGTAGAGACCACCCCAGGGCACAGTGGCCACTAGTAGAAGCGGCAGTTCTCTGGACAGGAAAAACTGCCATTCCATACAGAAGTAATGCTTTGATCTTCCACTGTATTATTTTATTGAAAGCCAATAAGCTTTCTTTATTAGGAAGGAGATGCTGGGCACGGTGGCTCACGCCTGTAATCCCAGCACTTTGGGAAGCCGAGGCAGGTAGATTATGAGGTCAGGAGATTGAGACCATCCTGGCTAACATGGTGAAACCCCATCTCTACTAAAAATACAAAAAATTAGCCGGGTGTGATGGTGGGCGCCTGTAGTCCCAGCTACTCAGGAGGCTGAGGCAGGAGAATGGCGTGAACCCGGGAGGCGGAGCTTGCAGTGAGCCGAGATCGCGCCACTGCACCCCAGCCTGGGTGACAGAGCAAGACTCCGTCTCAAAAAAAAAAAAAAAAGAAAAGGAAAGGAAAAGAAGGAAGGAGATTAGGAAAGATTAGGCTTGTTGCTCTCATTTTTGTTCCAGCAACACTGACCTCACGGTTAAAGGGGAAAAAAAGAAAATCCTTGATTCCTTTGCTGATGACTACGGCCAAGAGTAGGGGAACTTTGAATAGAAACTTCACCAGAGACACATGGATGGCAAATAAGCAGCTGATGAAAAGCTGCTCAACTCATTAATCATTAGGGAAGAGCTAATTAAAACTACAATGGAATATAACCACACCCATTAGAATTGTTAAAATTTTAAAAAGGCTGACCATATATGTGTCCCTCCAAAATTCACATGTTGGAACCTAATATCTAATGTGATATTACTAAGAGATAGGGCCTTTGGGGAAGTGATTAAGTCTTGAGGGCTCCACCCTCATAAACTACTTAGTGCCTTTATAAAAGAGGCTTCAGAGAGCTGCCTGGGCCTTCCTTCTCTTCCATGTGAGGACACAGCATTAGTCCCCTCTTGCCCTTCCACCTTCTGCTGTGTGCCGATGCAACAAAAAGGCACCAACTTGGAAGCAGAGAGCAGCCCTCACCAGACACTGAACCTGCCATCATCTTGATCTTGGACTTCCCAGTCTCCAGAACTGTGATAAATAATTTATTTTATTTCTAAATTACCCTATCTGGCCAAGCACAGTGGCTCACGCCTGTAATCCTAGCACTTTGGGAGTCTGAGGCGGGCGGATCAGAAGATCAGGAGTTCAAGACCAGCCTGGCCAGCATGGTGAAACCCTGTCTCTACTAAAAATACAAAAAATTAGCTGGGCATGGTGGCGCACGCCTGTAGTCCCAGCTACTCAGGAGGCTGAGGCAGAAGAATTGCTTGAACCCGGCAGGCAGAGGTGGCAGTGAGCCGAGATCACGCCATTGCACTCCAGCCTGGGCGACAGAGTGAGACGCTGTCTCAAATAAATAAATATATAAATTACCCTAAAGGTATTTTGTTATATAGCAGTACACTAGACTGAGACCCTAGACCCAAAAAAATGCATATTATATAATTCCATTTATATAAAACTCAAAAAATGTAAACTAATCTATGTGACAAAAAGCAGAGTAGTGATTGCTTTGGAATAGGGAATAGGAATGGGAGAGAGAGGAACTCAAGGAAAGTTTTGGCGTGATGGATATGCTTACTATCTTTATTGTGGGGATGGTTTCGTAAGTGTATATATGTGCCAAAAGGTATCAAGTTGTACACTTTAAATAGGTGCAATTTTTTGTTTGACAATTATGACTCAATAAAGCTGTTAAAAAATAAAATTGGTAACAGTCAACCACAAATAAGACAATAAAATATAAATCTCAAAATTGCTCTATGGCTAAAGAGAAAGAGGTTTGACTAAAACTTTGAGTTATATCCAATGAATGTGGAATAAACACATTACAAGAATATGAACTCATATGGGGCACAACGTAAAAATTATCTCATTGATGAATCTATTTGCATTCTTATGCCAGCTCTTCCATTAATTACTTAGTGCTATGAGTTGAATCGTGTCCCCCAAAGAATGACATGTTGAAGTCCTAACCCCCAGTATCTCAAGAATATGACCTGGAAATAGTGTCATTACAGATGTATTAGTTTGGTGCAAAAGTAATTATGGTTTTTGCCATTTTTAATAATTAGTTAAGATGAAGTCATACTGAAGTAGGGTGGGCCCCTAATCCAATATAACTAGTGTCCTTATAAGATGGCCATGTAAAGATAGAAAAACAGAGAGAACTCCTTGTGACAATGAAGACAGAGATTGGAGTTATGAAGCTGCAAGCCAAGGAATATCAAAAACAGCCCACAAACCAGCAAAAGCTAGGAAGAGGCAAGGAAGAATTCTTTCATTCCTACAAGTTTCAGAGAACATGGCCGTGCCAATACTTTCAGCCATCTAGTCTCCAGAACTGAGACAAATTTCTATTGTTTTAAGCCACCCAGTTTGCTGTTTTGTTATGGCAGCCTTGGGAAACTAACACACTTGGTGTTACTGGTAAGTAGTTAATATTTCTAGGCCTTGATTTCCTCACTTTTACTTAAGAGGGTTGGACCAGATTATATATAAAATTACTTGGGAAAATTCATTAGTCTCTTATGACCTGGCTGCCTCATCTGTAAAATGGAGATAATTATATAACAATGCCTGGCACATGCAAGCACTAACTGTAAGCTGATAATTACACAAACCAGTAATAGCAGTAGTGACTCTTTCAGTTCTGGCAATCTATGGCCTATAACCAATCCCAAAGGATATGAGGTTTATATGTCCAGTGAATTCTAGAAACAACAATTCAACAGGAAGAAAAATACCCTACAGTTTTTGGATGAGGGCAAAATAAGGAGTCAGACAACCAGAAAGGAGTCCTAAATAGCTGTGACAAAGGGTCAGACACAGGAAGGCAGGCATTCTCATAGCAGTAGGTCCTTCCACTTCCTCCACTACTTTACATTTCATGGTAAGCCCATCCCAACTTTACCCGAGCCCCTCCAGGAGTGAGAACACTCTCTCCCATACAGGTTCCTGCTGCTAAGTGGCTCACCCAGTCTGATCATGGTACCACTTTTATTAGATTTTTCTACTAATTATTCAATGCAAATATACACCAGGCACTACACAGGAGAAGGGATACAGCAGGGAGTAAAACAGTAAGTCCCTTATTACAGTTCTAGAGTCTAAAAGGGGAAACAAACATTAAACAAATAATTTTACAAATACTCATATATTACAAATGTGAGGGTACTATGAAGACAAAGGACAGAGAGCACATCCACGTCAGGGGTCAAAGGACAACTCCCTGAGAAAATTAATTCTAAGATGAAACCTGTAGGATAGGTAGAAGTTAACCAGGAATAAGTGTCAAAGATAATTTGGAGGAAACAGGCAGAGAGGAAAGGTATGTGCAAAGCTCTAAAGCAAAGCTTTCCACATTTGTGGAACAGAAAGAAGTCATGAGAGATAAGGCTGGAGAGGTAGGCTGGAGACAGACTGTGTGGCCATCATAGCCCATAGCAAGGAGTTTGATCTTCACCCTAAGTTCAAGGGGGAGTTACTGAAGGGTTTTTAAGCAAAGGAGTAATAGAAGATTTGCATTTCCCAAAGATCACTCTTGCAGCAGTGTGAAAAATAGGTAAGAGGGGTAGGTATGGCTATAAGGATATAATGGAGTGCTACTGTAGCCTTTCAGATGAGACGATTCAATGTCATAGATTAGGATGGTTGTAGACTTGGAAAGAAATGGTTAGAGAAATGCATTGGTAAAATGTGATTGGTGTCAGGGACCTTGGGATGCTGCTTCCAGCAGCTCAAAACCCCACCACTGAGATTCTGCTGAACAGAATTCTTCTGGAGAATGAGAGCCAGACATGTTAGCCAGGAGAACCCAGAGCAGAAGTCTGCTTCAGAAGCTGTGTCATCTAGAGGGAACCTGAGTTTCTGTACTTCATGATGCTTTTTCAAGCAGATCTAGAGGCTACAGACACTCCTAACAATGGGTGATGTGTCACTGATAAATGACTAGGGACTGGGAGCAGGGAAAGATAGAAAATAGGTTCTTGGAAAGGTATGTGATTATTCTCCAGCCTTCTTTTTGTCACTTTTCCTTCTTCACCAGGTTACTGGGGCCCAACTGAGCTGGCTGAGGAGTAACCCCTGCCCCTTTACAGTGCCTCATCCGTCACAGGTTGTTTCTCCTCCACCTTTCCACCTCTGTGCTTTCTTTCCCTCTCATCTCCCCTTTCCACTCTCACCTCACTTCCCCCGCTTCTCATCTTCCCCCCACTGTCTCCGAGTGTAGGGAGATTTCCCCAACCTTAGAGGTCCCCTCAAGAGGGTACTGTCTCCCTAGTCCCCTCTTGTCACTGCAGCCATGGTGGCCTATGCAGACTTGGGCCAGAGGGGACAGACAGATCCTGGTCTGAAGGCAGACTTTTCCCCAGACTACAGTAAAACTGACTGTTGCACCATGCTTCAGCTTTGTGTCCAGCATTTTTTCTGCAGCTGAAGACAGTGACAACAAGCTAGTAATGCTAAAAATTTAACTCAACAAATATTTGTGACCTGCCTGCCTTCCTTCCTTCCTTCTTTCCTTCTTTCTTTCCTTCTTTCTTTCTTTCCTTCTTTCCTTCTTTCTTTCCTTCTTTCTTTCCTTCTTTCTCTTTCTCTCTCTCTCTTTCTCTCTCTCTCTCTTTCTTTCTTTTTCTTCGGTCTCCCTCTGTTGCCGAGGCTGGACTGTACTGCCGTGATCTCGGCTCACTGCAACCTCCCTGCCTCGGGCTCCCGTGATTCTCCTGCCTCGGCCTGCCGAGTGCCTGGGATTGCAGGCACGTGCCGCCACGCCTGACTGGTTTTTGTATTTTTGGTGGAGACGGGGTTTCGCCTTGTTGGCCGGGCTGGTCTCCAGCTCCTGACTTCGAGTGATCTGCCCGCCTCGGCCTCCCGAGGTGCTGGGATTGCAGATGGAGTCTCGCTCACTCAATGCTCAATGTTGCCCAGGCTGGAGTGCAGTGGCGTGATCTCGGCTCACTACAACCTCCACCTCCCAGCCGCCTGCCTTGTCCTCCCAAAGTGCTAAGATTACAGCCTCTGCCCGGCTGCCACCCCATCTAGGAAGTGAGGAACATCTCTGCCTGGCCGCCCATCGTCTGGGATGTGAGAAGCCCCTCTGCCCGGCCGCCCCGTCTGGGAAGTGAGGAGCGCCTCTTCCCGGCCGCCACCCCATCTAGGAAGTGAGGAGCATCTCTGCCTGGCCGCCCCATCTGGGATGTGAGGAGCGCTGCTGCCCGGCCACCCCGTCTGGGAAGTGAGGAGCGCCTCTGCCCGGTCGCCCTGTCTGGGAGGTGAGGAGCGCCTCTGCCCGGCCGCCACCCCGTCTGGGAGGTGAGGAGTGTCTCTGCCCGGCCACCACCCTGTCTAGGAAGTGAGGAGTGCCTCTGCCCGGCCGCCACCCCGTCTGGGAAGTGAGAAGTGCCTCTGCCCGGCCACCAACCCGTCTGGGATGTGAGGAGCGTCTCTGCCTGGCCGCCCCGTCTGGGAAGTGAGGAGCGCCTCTGCCCGGATGCCCCGTCTGGGAGGTGAGGAGCGCCTCTGCCCGGCCGCCCCGTCTGGGATGTGAGGAGTGCCTCTGCCTGGCCGCCCCGTCTGGGATGTGAAGAGCGCCTCTGCCCAGCCACCACCCCGTCTGGGATGTGAGGAGCACCTCTGCCCGGCCACCACCCCGTCTGGGAAGTGAGGAGCGCCTCTGCCCGGCCGCCCCGTCTGGGAGGTGAGGAGCACCTCTGCCCGGCCGCCCATTGTCTGGGAGGTGGGGAGCGCCTCTGCCCGGCCGCCCATCGTCTGGGAGGTGGGGAGCTCCTCTACCCGGCCGCCAACCCGTCTGAGAGGTGAGGAGCACCTCTGCCCGGCCGCCACCCCATCTGGGAAGTGAGGAGCGCCTCTGCCCAGCCGCCCCGTCTGGGAGGTGAGGAGCACCTCTGCCTGGCCGCTGTGCAATCTTCCAAGTGTGAAGTGACAGCCTTTCTGCAGGTGTACCCAACAGCTCTGAAGAGACAGCAACCATCGAGAACGGGCCATGATGACGATGGCAGTTTTGTCGAAAAGAAAAGGGGGAAATGTGGGGAAAAGAAAGAGAGATCAGATTGTTACTGTGTCTGTGTAGAAAGAAGTAGACATAGGAGATTCCAAAAAAAAAAAAAAAGTTGTGAGCATTGGCCATATACATAGCTACCAGGAATTCATTATTTATCAAGGATAAGACCAATGCCATCACAGTTCTGGCACACCATAGGGAATAATACCTAGCATACTTAGAACACTACTAGCTTAATATAATGAATAATATATTCATTCATATCAGGTTCATCTATATGTCAATAAATGCTCAAATACAAGGCAAGTGAGAAGCAGGTGAGGGACTAAAGAAAGAAAAGTCATGAATAGGATATATGCTTAACAGGGATACCTTCTTAAGACATATGTCATTAGGCAATTTCATCATTGTGCAATCATAGAGTACACCTACACAAACCGAGATGGTATAGCCTACCACCCACCTACACTCTATGGTATAGCATATTGCTCCTAAGTTACAAATCCGTACAGCATGTGACTGCACTGAATACTATAGGCAACTGTAACACAATGGTAAGTATTTGTGTATGTAAACATAGCAAAACATAGAAAAGGTACACTAAAAATACCATATTATAACCTTATGGCACCACCATCACATATGTAGTCCATCCGTGACCAAAATGTTATGTGGTGCATGACTATATGCTTTAGGTAGCATGTGGGTGCAAAATGAGTTACTCCACACTAAGACTTGTATAAAACACATGCAAAGTTACTTTAAAAATATAAAACAGCCCTAGGCCAAGATTTGACTGAAACATTTATTGATATTAACATTTTCTTTTGGTTTGTGTGTGTTTTCTTTTTTTTAAGAGGTAGGGCCTCGCTCTGTGGCCCAGGCTGGAGTATAGTGGCATGATCGTGGCTCACTGCAACCTCAAAATTTCTGGGCTCAGGTAATCCTCCCGCCTCAGCCTCATGAGTAGCTAGCACTACAGGTGCACAGCACTGTTGTACCAGGCTAATTTTTTTCTTTTTTTTTTTTTTTTTTTTTTAGAGATGGGGGTCTGTCTCTCTATGATGCCCAAGCTGGTCTTGAACTCCTGGCCTCAAGTGATACTCCCACCCTGGCCTCCCACAGTGCTGTGATTATAGGTGTGAGCCTCCATACCCAGCCAGTTTGTGTATTTTTGATAGCCCTAGCATAACCTTTTGGTCTCCTAGGGTAACGCAGCTAAGAGTCAGACGATTCTGGCTCACAAAATCTCAGGATAGTATATTACTGTATAATAGCTGCTGGACACCATGAAAAATAGGACATGGTCCAAAGTGTCCCCCCACCACCCTTTTCTTTCTTTGAGACGGAGTCTCGCTCTGTCACCCAGGCTGGAGTGCAGTGGCATGATCTTGGCTCACTGCAACCTCTGCCTCCCAGGTTCAAGCAACTCTCATGCCTAAGCCTCCCAAGTAGCTGGGATTACAGGTGCACACCACCATGTCCAGCTAATTTTTGTATTATTAGTAAAGACAGGGTTTCACCACGTTAGCCAGGCTGGTCTCAGACTCTTGAACTCAAGTGATCTGCTTGCCTTGGCCTTCCGAAGTGCTGGGATTACAGGTGTGAGCCACCACACCTGGCCCCAAAGGATCCATTTTTTAACACACACACACTGGTTGCAGAAAACGACATTCCCATTACATCATTTCCACCCTTTTACTATTACCATGACATTCAAGGGTAATAAAGGAAGAAGCCTGATACTGCAACCTTATACCTCATTCAGAGCCTCTAGTCAAAGTCACTTCCCTACCTGTTTCTTGTCACCTGGGCATCCTAAGACATTTTGCTCCACAAGTTAGCATGTGGGAATTCCCTCCATGCCTGTCATCAACAAATCAAAAGAATATCATAGAGTTGACCTATCAACAAGTGAAAGGTAAGGGGATGAGCATTCTAAAACAAAGGAGTACAAACTGTTACTAGGTCCAGTGTTTGAGATAATGAAAATCTACAGGCTTATATTTTTGTAAACAGGAGAATAAATCATAAAATTTATATAAATGGCTACCTACAAGGTAAGGGAAAGAACGGACCAGAAATACAAGGGATAGAAGTTATTCTTTAAAACAAATGAGCACTGAGGTTATATTTTAATTCTATCATCTTACTGTTCTTGAGAATGGAGATGGTCAGCATGAAAAAAATGATGTACAGATATAAGACAGAAGAGGTTATGTTAAAGTCCCTAGTTCTGAATGTGAAATGTCATTATGAAATTATGAGGCATTATATCTATCTCTGTTCACTGAAAAAGTGTAGAAACAATGACGATTATATCTGCAATGGACATCCCTAGCACTGAGATTGTAAACCATCATTTCTTATTAAAAAGAAACCAGAGCTCTTGGCCGGGCGCAGTGGCTCACACCTGTAATCCCAACACTTTGGGAGGCTGAGGCGGGTGGATCACAAGGTCAGGAGATTGAGACCATCCTGGCTAACATGGTGAAACCCAGTCTGTACTAAAAATACAAAAAATTTGCCGGGTGGGGTGGCGGGCGCCTGTAATCCCAGCCACTAGGGAGGCTGAGGCAGGAGAATGGTGTGAACCCAGGAGGTGGAGCTTGCAGTGAGTCAAGATCACGCCACTGCACACCAGCCTGGGGGAGAGAGCGAGACTCCATCTCAAAAAAAAAAAGAAAAAAAAAAAGGAAACCAGAACTCCTTGTAGAAATGGGTGATTCTGGCTTTCAAGTAGGAAATGAACAAGCCTAAAACATATTGACATTTAAATTGCAAAGCCTACTGAGGCCACATCAAAAGGACTCAGACGTGAACTGAAGAACATCTCCTTGGGCAAAAATAGGACAATGTAGGTACTAGTAAGTTTTTTTTTTTTTTTTTTTGAGATGGAGTTTCGCTCTTGTCACCCAGGCTGGAGTGCAATGGCGCAATCTCAGCTCACTGCAACCTCCGCCTCCCGGGTTCAAGCGATTCTCCTACCTCAGCCTCCCAAGTAGCTGGGATTACAGGCGTCCGTCACCACACCCAGCTAATTTTTGTATTTTTAGTAGAGATGGGGTTTCACCATGTTGGTCCAGGCTGGTCTCGAACTCCTGACCTCAGGTGATCCACCCGCCTCGGCCACCCAAAGTGCTGGGATTACAGGCATGAGGCACCGCATCTGGCCTTTCATTATAATTTTTAAAACTCTGATTACTTTTGAAGGTTGCTAATGACCCAATTCATTATTTTGAAAAATAGTCAATAAAGAAAAAGGGTTAAGTATTGTTATGGTTTGAATGTTTGTGACCCCAGAAATTCCTTAATCTTTTTTAAAATTAATTTGTTTGCTAATCTTCTTTTTATCATTCCAATTTTAGTATATGTGCAGCCGAAGCGAGCATCCAAAATTCTTATGTTGAAATCCTAACCCACAAGGTGATATTACTAAGAGGTGGGGCCTTTGAGGAGGTGATTAGTCATGAGGGCTTTGCCTTCATGAATGGGATTAGTGCCCTTATAGAGACCCCAGAGAGCTAGCTAACTAGCCTCTTCCACCATGTGAGGACAGAGCAAGAAGATGCTGCTGGCTAGGCTCGGTGGCTCATGCCTATAATCCCAGCACTTGGAAGGCCGAGGCGGGTGGATCATGAGGTCAGGAGTTCAAGACCAGCCTGGTCAACATAGTGAAACCCCCTCTCTACTAAAAATTAGCCAGGCGTGGTGGCGGGCACCTGTAATCCCAGCTACTTGGGAGGCTGAGGCAAGAGAATCGCTTGAACCCGGGAGGCGGAGGTTGTGGCGAGCGGAGATCGCGCCACTGCAAGACTCCGTCACAAAAAAAAAAAAAAAAAAAAAAAAAAAAGGTGCTGCCTTAAGAAAGTAGACCCCCTTGCCAGACACTGAATCTGCTAATGCCTTGATCTTGGATTTCCCAGTCTTCAGAACTGTGAGAAATAAACTTCTGCTGTTTGTAAACCACCTAGTTTATAGCATTTTGTTACAGCAGCCTGAACAGACTAAGTATTTATCCTGCTTTTCCTATGCAAACTATACCACTGGGTATCCAAATAATGGATAAAGAGAAATTTCTTCAGTTTTCCAAATAATAGATAAAAAAGAAATAAATTCACAATATTGCCATTTTACAACACCTAATGAATCAACAGATCTCAGCAATGAGCATCAAAAGGCTGCTACCAGCACAAAAAGAGACAACCAGACATTACATGCCTACTGACAGAAGACACCACCACCTATGAAGATCACACCTCTGGACCCAACTGCCAACTTGCAGGAAATACCAACAGAATAACATGTTAGACTACAGTATGGAGGTGCAATCTGCTAAATCCAGACTATGAAAACTATACAGGAACAACCACCTATTTTCTCCAAAACAAAATTAGGAGAAAGAGAGCAACCTATAGATTAAAAGAAACTTATAAGGCATTATCATCAAGTCACCATATTGTGTGAACTTCATTTGAATTATAACTTAAATGATCAACCTACATACATATTTACATACATACACACAAAAATATGACAACTAGAAATTGGAAAACTGACTCAATACTTGATATTAAAGAATTATTGCTAATTTTTAAAGTATGATATTTGTGTATCTTTTAGAGATACATAACAAAATATTTACAGATTAAATGATACATCTGAGATGTGCTTCAAAATAATACATACAGGAAGAAAATGGGTGGCCATGAATTGATGTCAGAAGAAACTATCCAAGAAGGCAACAAAAAGATGAAAAATTTCCATGTAAGAGGTATAGAGTAAGAAGATATTTAGCACAGATTTAATCAGAATCTCAGAGGGAGACAGAAGATTCTGGCTTGGACTTCCAGAACAATACTAAATAGAAATGTTAATAGTGGGCAAACTTCTCTTAATCCTGATTTCAAAGAGAAACTTCAAAAAACTTGCTGGAGTATTTTTTGTAGATACTATCAGGCTAACAAATCTTTTCTACTCCTAGCTTCACTAAGTTAAAAAAAAATCACATATGGTTATTAAATATTATTTTTAAAACGCTGCATCTATTGAGATTACTTTTCTTCTTTAATCTCTAATGTGTTGAAACACAGCTATATAAAATCTTTATTTAATATAAACAATTGCCCTACTGTATTAGAGATCTGAAAAATTACAAAAGGAACACTGCAGTATCACAGATTAGTAACTAAAGGAAGCAGCTACCACCCTATGGCAAGGGAAACAAAAGGAAAAGTTTGAAAGAAAGGGCCCTGCAGACCTGAGACTCAAATTTTGAGAAACGGTTGCTGCTTGGCTGCTAAAGGTACCTCAGGATCTCAGAAGAGGAGCTTGAAGGAGGGACCCCACACATCTGGGACTCTGACCTTTGAGAAGGAATGCTGGCTGGCCGGTACTGTACATCTGAAGAGGCACAATGAGGGTGGTTCTGGGAGTGCAGAAAAAAAACTGCAAACTGGAACCAAGTGATGCTGTCAGAATGAGGAGTTGTTACTGAGAGAATGCTGACAGAGACAGAAAGCAAAGAGAAGGAAAGTGTCCCGGGCCAGGTGCGGTGGCTCACGCCTGTAATCCCAGCACTTTGGGAGGTCAAGGTGGGTGGATCACTTGAGGCCAGGAATTCAAGACCAGCCTAGCCAACATGGTGAAACCCATTCTCTACTAAAAATACAAAAATTAGCTGGGTGTGATGGCAGGCACCTGTAATCCCAGCTACTCAGGAGGCTGAGGCAGGAGAATAGCTTGAACCTGGCAGGCAGAGACTGTAGTGAGCCGAGATGGCACCACTGCACTCCAGCCTGGGCAACAAAGTGAGACCCATCTTGAAGAAAAAAAAAAGAAAAAGGAAAATGTCTCTTCTAGCCCTACAATCTGCCTTTAGTAGTCCCTACAGGCCAGCCAGCTGACAAAGGAGAAATGTGATTTGCAGAGTTCTAGTCCCAGCAAACAACAGTGTAAAAACCAGCACAACACTCCTTTAAAAGAACCAAGTAGGATAATTTGCTATACCAGACAGAAATCATCACTTATTATAAAACAAAAGTAATTCTAATAGTGTAATGTTAACAGAGATACAAAAACAGACCAATGGAAACCAACAGAGAGCCCAAAATCAGACCATTTGACAAAATTGGCACTGCATGGGAGCAGAGAAAAACCACGTGACAGACAGTCATATGGGAAAAAAAAAATTGGATCTCTACCTCCCTTATACCCAAAAACAAATTCCAGCTGGGCATCACGGCACACACCTGTATTCCCAACTTCTTGGGAGATTGAGGCAGAAGGATCACTTGCGCTCAGGAGTTCCAGGCCAGCCTGGGCAACATAAGCAAGATTCCCCACCTCAAAAAACAAAATAAATTGGTTAAACCCCTATGGAGAACTAGCTTTACATTATCTAGTAAAGCTATAAATACATCTACCCTATGACCCAAATTACACTGCTGGGCATCCCACAAAGATATGTAGGCACATGTGCAACAGCTATATACATGTTCGGTTTTTTTGTTTTTTTTAAAGCGACAGGGTGTTGGTATCACCCAAGCTGGAGTGTAATATCACCCAAGCTGGAGTTAAGATCACAGATCACTGTAACCTCAAACTCCTGGGCTTAAGAGATCCTCTCATCTCAGCCTCCTAAGTAGCTGGGACTACAGGCACATGCCACCATGCCCAGCTTTTTTATTTTTTATTTTTATAGAGACAGGGTCTCACTATGTTGCCTGAGCTGATCTGGAACTCCTGGACTCAAGCAATCTTCCCACCTCAGCTTCTCAAAGCACTGGGATTATAGGTGTAAGCCACCGTGCCCGGCCCTTAATATACAAAAATATTAATGACTAATTCTTGAAATATCCAAAACTGGAAACAATCGTCTCTCAACATTACAGTGAATAAATAGTGATGTAGTCATATAGTAAAATTCTACACATAGTAGAATAATAGTGTAGTAAGTCCCAGTTACTCAGGAGGCTGAGACAGGGGAATCACTTGAACCCAGGAGGCGTAGGCTGCAGGGAGCCAAGATCGCACCATTGCACTCCAGCCTGGCAACACAGCAAGACTCTGTCTCAAAAAAAAAAAAAAAAAAAAGAAAGAAAAAAAAAAAAGAAAAAAAGTAGTAAATTTCTATATATATAGTAATGAAAATAAATGAAAACATCTTTATGTAGACAAAGAGGATGAATCTTACAACTTTGCTGGGAGGGGAGCAAGGCAAAATAATACAAGCCGTATAGGCACTGCTACTTCTAATAGTAAGTCAGCAGATTAAATATTTAACTGTAAACATGAAGACTGAGTTACTATCTTGTCTACAGAATCGTACTTTTCCCTTACAAATGAATGAACCTATAGACATGGCTGGATTTGCTATTTTACTTGTATTCATTCAATGTCAGCATTAACTCATCATTGAAAAACTTGGGATGAAGTGATGCCTGAGCTGAAAAGAGAGAACTTATACTTTTAAAATAATAAGTTACCATTTTCTGAGGGTTTACATGTTTCTGAGTTTCTAATTCTTTGTTTTTCACTTTATCTCACAATACTTCTAGGTGAGTGTTACCCCTATTACACAGTCGAGAAAACTGAGGTTCAGAGAGGTAGTGATTCAAAGTCACAAAGTTCTCAGAGTAAGTGGCAAAACCAGGATTCAATCCAGGTCCTTCTGAATTCAAACCCCATGTACTTGGCTACATTTCAGTTTCCTTTTCAAATAAATCTAAGAATGGCTGGAGAATAGCCTGTAAGAGAAAGAACATTTCAGGATGACTGCCCATAGATAAATATGATCAGATTATGAAGTCTTAAATGCCATGCTGAAGCAGCTGGTTGTTTTGTTTTTTCCTGACAACAATGAGGTGTAACTGAAGGCTAGGGGTTGCCATAAGCAGTGAGAGACAGGATAAAGTTTTCAAGATCATTCTGGCTGCAGTACGGATTGAAAAAGGGTGAGACTGAGAGACCAACTAGGAGACGACTGCCTTTCTCAAGAGAAAGGATGAGGGCCTAAACCAGGAGTCACACATGAAGCATAAAGGAGTGAAGCAGGCAGGTTTTCTAAGACAGTTCCTTGCTGGCTGTCAGTTTTGGTAGAGGGGTCATCCTTAACAACTAGAGACCTCTCTCCAGTCTTTGCAGACATCCAGAACCAACAGGTCATTGAAACCTTCTCACGCTATTGCTTCTGATCACAGCTGGGAAAGGTTCTCTGCTTTTAAGGAGTCATGATTATATTGGGTCCACCTGGATAATCCAGGCTATTCTCCATCTCAAAACCCTTAACCTTGACCACATCTTAAGTTCTTTTTGCCATTTTACAATAGCATATTCACAGATCCCAGGGATTAGGATGTGGACATCTTTGGGATGATTATTCTGCCTATACAGTTGGTACTCCCTCACACAACTGTAACTGAATTAACACGTGCAGCAACCCTAGCCTGAGAAGGGTATGATTACCAAAGGCTCAAGACTTGCCAGGAATTAAGGTAGGTTCACACCACCAGGCAAACCAAGACCTACCATCGTAATAACTGAGGGAATTTAGAATGTATAGTAGAGTGGGGAGATGTGATTACCAGTTGCAGCCCCCAAGACAAACTGTAGCTATGAGGGCTGTAATTTGTACCCCTAAGTTTCTCCTTTAAAAGGCCCCCAGGAATCATAAACATGCATGGGAGAAGTGGATCTGACAAAAGGCTGCAGCCATGGAGGTATGCCGCCCTGATTTCAAGAGAATGAGCTGCAGTTAACTGACAGCTTCCAGCATCCTAACCTTTGGATCTACCAAGGTATCACACTTCCCTCAGGTTGCTGCCAGTGACTGAGCACAAGGGTATTAGGCCATTTCTTCTAACAGACCTTTGTTTAGAGACTCATTACCAGGGCCAAAACTTTCTCAGTAACATGGTGCAGCCTGAGGCCCCTCCTACCCCCTCTTCCTGTTTTCTCTGCACCTAATGAGAGCCAGAACCTTGGAGAATGGTAGCCAAACATAGCCTTCCCAAAACTCACCACAGCTGAGTCTGCAAGCATGCGTGGCTATCAGAATTTCTGAGGCACTAAGAGTAGATTCCCTGGCCCTCATTCCCCAGAAAGTGCTGACGGGCCTATTAATTTACTTTTTAGCAATCATGCTGGGTGATATATATGCTAGTGGTCTGTAAATTACATTTTTTTAAACAACAGGAAGAGGATATCTAAGCAGTCATGTTTAAGCTCATAGCTGTGTAAGAAGTAACGTTTGTCTTAGCTAGGCATGATGGTACGTAAGTCCCAGATTTAAGAGGCTGAAGCAGGGGAATGGCTTGAGCCCAGTTTGAGACTGCAGTGAACTATAATCATGACACTGCTCTCCAGCCTGGGTGACATAGTCAGATCACATCTCAAATATAAACACACACATAAATAAAAAGTAATGTTTGTCTTTGTGGATAAAGTATAAAATGCACTAGACTAGGCTAGGCATGGTGGCTCACACCTATAATCCCAGCATTTTGGGAGGCTGAGGCAGGCAGATCACCTGAGGTCAGGAGTTCGAGACCAGCCTGGCCAACATGGCAAAACTCCATCTCTACTAAAAATACAAAATATAACCAGGCATGGTGGCACATGCCTGTAATCCCAGCTACTCGGGAGGCTGAGGCAGGAGAATCATTTGAATCTAGGAGATGCAGGTTGCAGTGAGCCGAGATTGAGCCACGGCACTCCAGCCTAGGTGACAGAGCCAGACTCCGTCTCAAAAAAAAAAAAAAAAAAAAGTACTAGACTAGAGAATCAAAAAAGCAGTGGGAACTACAAACTTAAAAAGAGTATCACTGGAAGACCCAGTAAAGGCAATCTCCCCAGTGGTTCATCTGATGGGCCTTTTATGAGTTACTTTCAACCATTCTCTGAATGTAAATGCTTAAAGTTAAGATGATGGTATAACTGTAAGCCATTCTGTGCCCATTTCAGTTCTTATAGAAAGTAATCTTTTGCCCTCCTTGTCATAATGCAGTATAGAAATAGACAATTTCTAGCATAGGTACCTCAACCCTAACTGAACTTCTATTTTAATCCTGCTCTAAGATTCAGTGTCAAAACGATCTTGACAATACCTATCTATGTCTATCTTAGTGATCCAGCATCAGGCCCAATTTCTCTATGTTTTAAGTATATTCCTACCACTAGAGAATTCTGAGATGGTATTAGCATTATTTTTTTAAAAATAATTATTTAAAATTTAAAAATATAGACACAGGGTCTCACCACATTGCCCAGACTGGTCTTGAAGTCCTGAGCTCAAGTGATCCGCCTACCTCAGCCTCCCAAAGTGCTGGGATTACAGGCGTAAGCCACCACGTCTGGCAGAGATGGCATTGGCATTAATCGTGAGAAATGGGAGTGGGTGTAGGAGACACAGAGTGGAGGGTAAAAAGAAGAAAGATATTTGGAACTGATGGGCTTTAATAAGTCCTGCCCCTTTTCATTTACTTCTTCCTTCAAAGCAAAACCAAAATGAGCTACTGAAGATTTATTTACTTCTTGGGATGGAAGTATCATCTGTCCCAACTTCCCTTTCCCATCAGAGACAGGTCCCCAAAACCGCGAAAAAGAAACTATATTCTCAAACAAAACATGCATTCAATTCAGGTGACTGTTTGATATTTTCATAACATTTTCTTTAACATTTAATAGAAACTATATACAATAAATTTTTACTATATTTTACATAAGATAGCAACCACAGAAATTTACATAGGTTAAAAGCAAGACGGATAAGGAGGACCCAGTCCTGTGGGCTGTTTTCTCAGAGGATAAAAAGCCAGAGTTCACCAGGGAAAGGGGTTAAAGACTGCCCAATTAAGTAGAGGTGAAGAAAAGCTAAACTGCAGGTCTTCAGATAGAGATAACCGATATTAGGGCCATCAGTATCTCAAAGACACCACTCACAAAGACAGCTCCCACCTAGCTACTTAAGTGGATTTCTATCCATGACTTGGGAAATCCCATTACAAAGATGTCACTTTCCTTTTAGGTATAGTCCCAAATAATCCCAGAAGCTTTGATAGGGATTATCTCTCTTTCTCTTCCTTGCCCTGAGTGGGAAGAAACCCACGGTCCACGTCCTCAAAATTTGGCTTTACGTTTGACTATAATACTCAATCCAGAAGAAAAACAAGGTAGTCTGGGTTGCCTGTGTTTTGTGAGAGATGATCAGAAATACTTCTTTGAAGAACGAGAAATTTAAATCCACCAAAGTAAAATGGTTCCCCAAACTATCAACTAATAGAAGTGGGTTCTGGCTTCCCATTTGCAGTAGCCAATCCACTCTGAGACAATGGTGCAGAGGCTTTCTCAGAATTTCGAGATCCCTGGGATCTGCACCCATCTCCAGCCATCTGCATCTGGCCCTGTTAAAAGAAATAAAGGCACTTCAGTTAGTAATTCATTCACTGTGGTCTGAAGTATGAATCTGACTTATCAGTGGCCACTTAAACTAGCAATAAGAACAATACAACAGAAATTAATTCTGGACAGATGCTCTTCCCATATTAGCTATCCTAGTCCCTTGGAAGAGCCTATTCCTGAGCCTCTTCCAATGGGATGGTGAGCTGTAGGTTGTTTCTTCCAAATGAAATAGCCATTCCCTACTGAGGTCCCAGAACAGCCAACAGACCACAGGAAGACAGTCCTTTAGGCCTCTGCTTGAAACCAACAGCCACAGTACAACTGCTGGTCTTCAGTCAGGGCCACTGGAATTCTACCCAAGGCTCACGGACAGAACTCAAATCACATTACTTTACTGGTCCTTCTACAATGAGAACAATTTCAGTGATGAACTCTCCCTCAGAAGGTATGATTTCCCTAGATTCCTTGTCTCAAGCTTTTATTTAAATAAATGTATGTCCTACTCTGGGATATGAGGATCACGGGCCATTAGGTGTTCTAAGAGCCCATCTGGAGAACTACAGCAACAAGGGTACACAGGAGCAGAGTAGGGCATTTTTAAAAGTGCTTTGCTTATATGGTATTCAATAAGTGAGAGACATGTGGAGCATCTTTATACTAGTGATGACACCCCACTCCCCTCCAGGAGCACATGCTATCTAGCAGGGAACCCTCTGCCTGGCCAGGTCACTACATGAGGGAAACAGGTGGGACTGTTCTTCACTTGCCAAAATATCCACTGGGTCTTCAGCAATTTCTTTGACTAAATGATCTTCAAGGGTTAGTGAAGGATCAAAAAGCAAAGGTGAAGGAGGACACTGCATACCATCACCCACAACATCCAAGTCCTAGAAAAAAGAGAAAAGCCCATCAGCAATACCAAGGGAAACAGTAATAAAGTTGGCATGTTTTTCAGCAAACTTTAAAGCAATACTCTGCTGTCTCCCTCAACCCTAGCCTACCTTTAATAAAAAAAAAATTTTACAAGAGCGTCCAACAAATGAAACAAGATCCAAAAGCACTGAGAGCTTTTGCTGCCAAGTGTAAAACATAGACCAATACAGTAGATTAAAAAACAAAATTCTGGCCACCACACCTCTAATCCCAGCACTTTGGGAGGCCAAGGTAGGCATATCACTTGAGCCCAGGAGTTCAAGACCAGCCTGGGCAACATGGTGAAACCCCGTCTCTACAAAAACTGCAAAAATAAGCCAGGCGCGGTGGCACACACCTGTAGTCCCAGCTACTCTGGAGGTTGAGGTGGGAGGATCCCTCAAGCTTGGGACGCAGAGGCTGCAGTGAGCCGAGACTGCACCTCTGCACTCTAACCTGGGTGGCAGAGCCAGACCCTGTCTCAAAAAAAAAAAAAATTCTAGGAAAATTCACAGAAACACAAAGTAGAAACGGAGAATAGTAGGGAACAGGGGAAAGGGAAAGGAGAGAGTTACTGTTTAAAAAGTACAAAGTTTCTGTTTGGGTTGATGAAAAAGTTCTGGAACAGAAAATGGTGATAGCTGTACAACATGGTAAATGTTCATAACACCACTGACTTGTACACTTAAAAACGGCCAGGTGCAGTGGCTCATGCCTATGATAACAACACCTTGGGAAGCCGAAGTGGGAGGATCACTTGAGGCCAGGAATTCAAGACCAGCCTGGGTGACACAGCAAGACTCCATCTCTACCTACCCACCTACTTACACACATACATACATAGGTTAAAAGAGTAAAATTTTGTTATGTATGTTTTACTACAATTAAAAAAATATTTTTTAAAAAAGCATATTCTCTGAGGCTACCTGTAATGAACATGTAAGTTCACCAGTGATTAATTTAAATATGAACAATGCTACGTTAAAATTAAATATTGCTGGGTAATACAAGATTGCCTGATTAATATCCTAACAGCCACAAAGCAAGCAAACAAGCTCCAACAAGGGAAAGGGAGAAGGTAGGAAGAAAGGAAGGACAACAGAAAACTCACAGTTCCTCTGAATGGCTAGGAAATATTATTTTGGTTAAGTCCCTATCCCGACAGAGCAACAACCTGGTTTTTTTTGTTTTGTTTTTTTTTTTTTTGAGACAGAGTCTCGCTCTGTCGCCCAGGCTGGAGTGCAGTGACGTGATCTCGGCTCACTGCAACCTCCGCCTCCTGGGTTCAAGTGATTCTCCTGCCTCAGCCTCCCCAGTAGCTGGGACTATGGGCGTGTGCCACCACGCCCAGCTAATTTTTTGTATTTTTAGTAGAGACAGGGTTTCACCATGTTAGCCAGGATGGCCTTGATCTCCCGACCAGTGATTGGCCCACCTCAGCCTCCCAAAGTGCTGGGATTACAGGCATGAGCCACCACGCCCGGCCAACTCCCTGGTTCTTAAGCCTAACATAGTTTTGCTCTGTAAAAAAAAAAAAAAAAAAAATGACATTACATTCTAGACTATGTTTCTTCCAACTGAATTGGCAATTCGCACTGGAATACTGAATAGCCAACAGACCACAAGGAAGACATCACTCTTAGCTCCTGTTTGAAACCAACAGCTACAGCAAACCATTGGTCTTGATTCAGGGCCTAAGGCAATACAAACTCAAACAATATATCAAACTAACTTTCATGCCACTGCTTTTCAAGAGTCTGGTGCTAAATTCTCCTTCTTCCTAAGAATTAAAAATATCCAGGAGGTTTGTACCCCCCTATGTTTAATCCAGTTTATAGATGCTCCGTGTTTCTATTCATCTAGCTTCACGAGAAGCTTAGTTCTACGCTTTTAAATAAATCTAAGAATTTGCAATCCTTTCCCATTTGTTGGTGTGCTAATCACCAAAAATGAGAATCACAACATCTTCACATTAAAGAATATATATAATTTTAAAATCTACTTAAAGCTGCTCAGGCCGGGTGCAGTGGCTCACGCCTGCAATCCTAACACTTTGGGAGGCCAAGGTGGGCGGATCATGAGGTCAAGAGATTGAGACCATCCTGGCTAACATGGTGAAACCCAGTCTCCACAAAAAATTACCAGCCTGGCCAACATGGTGAAACCCCATCTCTACTAAAAATACAAAAATTAGCCAGGCGTCTTGGCACATACCTGTAGTCCCAGCTACTCAGGACACTGAGGCAGGAGAATTGCTTGAACCCAGGAGGCAGAGGTTGCAGTGAGCCGAGACTGCACCACTGCACTCCAGTCTGGGCAACAGAGCAAGACTCTGTCTCAAAAAAAAATAATAAAATAAAGCTGCTCAATTTAAGCAGAAACATAGGGCACAGGATACACTCAACCTACCATTCATTTTCAGGTGAGTTGGAAACTTCTGTACTACCCACAGAAACCAGTGTTCTCACACCATTAAGACTATAAATCTGTTTTCTCCCATTCTTTTACTATGTGCAATTTGTGTGTGTGTGTGTGCGTGCGTGTGTGTGAGACAGAGTTTCACTCTTGTTACCCAGGCTGGAGTGCAATGGCAAGATCTTGGCTCACTGCAACCTCCACCTCCTGGGTTCAAGCGATTCTCCTGCCTCAGCCTCCCCAGTAGCTGGGATTACAGGCGCGTGCCACCACATCCAGCTAATTGTTGTATTTTTGGTAGAGACGGAGTTTCACCATGTTGGCCAGGCTAGTCTAGAACTCCTGACCTCAGGTGATCTACCCGTCTCGGACTCCCAAAGTGCTGGGATTACAAGCGTCAGCCACCGCACCCGGCCCATGTGCAATTCTTACATAAACAATTAGCTTGGAATGGGCACGGTGGCTCACGCCTGTAATCCTAGCACTTTGGGAGGCCAAGGTGGGCGAAACACTTGAGGCCAGGAGCTTGAGACCAGCCTGGCCAACATGGTGAAACCCTGTCTCTACTAAAAATACAAAAATTAGCCAAGCACAGTGGGGCGCACCTGTAATCCCAACTACTCGGAAGGCTTAGACCGGAGAATCGCTTGAACCCAGGAGGCAGACAGTGCAGTGAGCCGAGATCACGCCAATGCACTCCAGCCTAGGTGACAGAGCGAGACTCTGTCAAAAATAATAATGACTAGCTTGGAATTATTTAAACACTGAATCAAAAGGCATCTAAATCTCAAGATAATAATGGAATGTGTATGTTTTCAGAAAAGGCTTTTCTCATATATACAAAGGGTTGTCTTTTATAAGATTTTAAACTGGGAAAAGGATCCTAAAATAAGAAAATCAGCAAAAATGCCTATTAAAACAGGAGTGTTTTAAAAATTGAAGTATCAGGATATAAAGAGAATCCATGTTTTCAGCTGGGCGCGATGTCTCATGTCTATAATCTCAGCACTTTGGGGAAGCTGAGGGGAGTGGATCACCTGAGGTTAGGAGATCGAGACCAGCCTGGCCAACATGGCGAAACCCCATCTCTACTAAAAAATACAAAAATTAGCCAGACATGGTGGCACACACCTGTAATCCCAGCTACTCGGGAGGCAGGAACAGGAGAATTGCTTGAACCCAGATGGTGAAGGTTGCAGTGAGCCGAGATCGTGCCACTGCACTCCAGTCTGGGCGACAGACCAAGACTCCGTCTCAAAAAATAAATAAAGATAAAATAAGAGAATCCACGTTTTGTTACTATCTCCAAAACCAGCAATAGAGAATGAGAGAGAAGGAACTCAAAAGTAGTAAGATTAAGGTGTTAAGTTACTACTTGCCAACCATCCTTGCATCAAAGCACAGAAAACAAGCAAATATCCAGAATGAACGGCTGTGTTTTTACTCATATTAATATCTGATGCCTAGTCTTCCCGCAAGTAAAATCACCAAAGTTATCATTAACAGTTATACGCCAGGAATGGTGAATCATGCCTATAATCCCAGCACTTTGGGAGGCCAAGGTGGGTGGGTCACTTGAGGCCAGGAGTTAGAGACCAGCCTGGCCAACATGGTGAAACCCTGTCTCTACAAAAAATACAAAAATCAGCAAGGCCTGCTGGCGCACACCTGTAGTCCCAGCTACCCAGGAGGGTGAAGCACAAGAATCACTTGAACCCTGAAGGCAGAGGCTGCAGTGAGCTGAGATCACATCACTGCACTCCAGCTTGAACAACAGAACAAGACTCAGTCTAAAAAAAAAAAAGCCAAGTTATAGTGGCCAGGCACAGTGGTTCACACTTGTAATCCCAGCACTTTGGGAGGCCAAGGTAAGAGGATCACTTGAGGCCAAGGTAAGAGGATCACTTGAGCCTAGGAGTTGAAGACCAGCCCATGCAACATAGGGAGATCTCATCTATACAAAAAATAAAAAATTGGCTGGGCATGGTGGCATAAACCTATAGTCCCAGCTACTTGGGAGGCTGAGACAGGAGGATCACTTAAGCCCAGGAGTTCGAGGCTGCACGGAGCCATGATCATGCCACTGCACTCCAGCCTGAGCAACAGAGCAAGACCCCAATTTAAAAAAAAAAAAGTTATAAAAATGATAACTAAGCTGGGCGTGGTGGCTCATGCCACCGACAGAAACTCTGTCTCAAAAGTTCTTAACAGTATATTCCTTAATAGCCAGAAAGTAGAAACAGCACAAATATCCATCAACTGATATATTTTTAAAGCGTGGTATTTCCAAACAATGGAATATTAATTCAGTCACAAAAAGGAATGAAGTATTGATACATATTATAGTATGGATAAACCTTGAAAACATTATGCTAAGTGAAACAAGCAAGACACAAAAGGATACATATACTATTACATTGATATGAAATGTCCAGAATAAGCAAAATCAGAGACAAAAAGTAGATTCATCGTGGCCAGGGGCTGAGGGGAGAAGAAAATGAAGAGTGTCATAATAGGTACTGAGTTTCTTTTGGAGATGGTGAAAACCTTCTGAAATTAGATAGTGGTGGTAGTTGCGTAACTTTGCGAATATACTAAAAATCACTCAATTATACACTTTCAAAGAGTGCAATTTATAGTATGTAAATTGTATCCCTAAAAAGGTATGGGAAGAGTCTGGAAAAAAATATAAGGTAGGGTAGATTTCTCTAAATGAATATGCTAACATATAAATACAACTATACGTATATATCACTTCAAAAACTTTGTCGATTCTCCTAACCACAAAGACTAACCTATTCTCACCATTAATAAATAAGGCTTTGTCTCAAGGGCCTGAACCAAAGCAGAGCTTCTCTAACTTACATCACTGAACTCCAGAGGTAAACTCTCAGTGGGCTGAAGCTCAGCAGCACTCAAGTACAGATCCATGGGGCCGGCTTCCAGATCGTCTGGCACAGACAGTACCTGCTCGGGCTTATACATCTGAGGAGGCAACTGGAAATGCAGTGGGCAGCAGGGATCCTCAGAGAGGCTTACAGGAACAGGTTTGTTGCAGGGTACCTCTTCAGATCCCTGGCAGCACTTGAAGAGAACCTGATTCGTATCCTGACAAATATCTGTAGAAAAATGGTCAAGGGAAATAAAACACAATCTATCGAAAGCATAAAATACAAATAGCATTGTCTGCCACATAAAACTCAAGGTGTGGACTATATAAGATAAATTACAACTACATTTGATACAGAATACCAAATGCAGTTAGCAATTTTTAAAGTTACTTCTCAAAATAAATGTCATTTACTAGCATCAAATTCTAGCTCTACCAGTAATTTAAAACTTGTCCCCAACCTCCTTTTCAGGATCCTGGTCATTTAAACTAGACACCATCCCATTCTCCCTTAAGCAAGTAGCAGTAACACTCCTAGGAACACACACATATTCAGAAGAAACATGTAGTGGCAAATGCAAATAGCCTTGAAAATGCCCCTAAACAGCCCTTCCAAAAGAGTCAAGCGATACAATGTCTCTGCTCCCTTAGCAGACTGGCAAAGTTTGCAACAATTTCTTGGACCTCGTTTCCAAAGATGATTACATGATAAATTCATTTAAAGCACCACTGGAATAGGGGGAAACAGAGCTCTAGTAAAAGTCACTAGGTATCATATCCTAACAAGAAATTAAATATACATGCCTTTTTTTTTTAGGGGAGTGTGCTAGTACAGAGGAATCCTTTTATGATCCTAAAGGAAGAAGAAAATTTTGTGTATGAAGGCCCATTGAAAAAAAAAAGTATTCTAGAAACATTCCAAGGACTCTATTAACAACTTTTGTTAAAGGTAGAAGAAGAAAAGGGCTATATTTCCAAGTTAGCAAAGAAGCTCTGTAGGATGAACCAAAATTGAGATGATTAGATACAATAAAATTCAAGTTACTTTACAAAACACATTTTATGCAAGTGCTACCATTTCTTGAAATCTGTTAACTACCTGGTTATCTTCCTAGATTAATAAACATTATTTTAAAATTTGACTTATTTTTAACCAGAAAACACAATTTTTCTTAAACTGATAGTACCTGAATTATGGAGTTATAATTTTCAACTCAAAACTTTTATGGTAATTTTTTTAAATAAAAAAACTAACATACATTATAATTTTTAAAACCATATGAACTTCCTTGAATAAAGCTATTTCTTTCAATGCATACTTGGAAATAACTAAACTCTCAAGCAGGGTGTGACAACTGTGGCACTACCAACACTGTAGGCCAGGTACATCTTTGTTGGAAGAAGGATGTATAGCAGCATTCCTGGCCTCTATCCACTAGCTGTCAGTAGCACCTCCATCTGAGTTGTAACAACCAAAAATTTCTCCACACATTGCCAACTGGAAAACAAAATGGCCCCCAGTTGAAAACCACTACTCTAAAGAAACAGAAGATAGTACAAGGCAAACAAATATTTATTGAATGATCAAATGAATAAACATATGAATCTAATGGGAATCATCAGATTTGCACTATGCGCTTAAGAAAATCTAAGCAATATCTAATGTGCTTAAGAAGCCCACTCTTAATATTTAAAATATTATCCATTAAATGTTTCAACCAGAAATTTTTTTTACACGAAGTCTCGCTCTGTCACCCAGGCTAGAATGCAGTGGCGTGATCTCGGCTCACTGCAACCTCTGCCTCCTGGGTTCAAGAGATTCTCCTGCCGCAGACTCCAAAGTAGCTGGGATTACAGGCACCTGCCATCACACCCGGCTGATTTTTATACTTCTAGTAGAGACAGGGTTTCGCCATGTTGGCCAGGCTGGTCTCTAACTCCTGACCTCAGGTGATCAGCCCGCCTCAGCCTCCCAAAGTGTTGGGATTACAGGCGTGAGCCACCACGCCTGGCCAAGAACTTTTTTTTATTGGAATTCAAAGGACTTTCACAAGTCTCTTATGTATTTAATACCACAATATCCTAAAAAAGGACTCCCCCCATCATCCTCCACCCGCTTTCCTTTCAGATGGGGCAAAAGAGGTAAAAAGAAGGGAATGGTTAACCTACAACTAGAGTCTGGGTCCTTCACTTTCAGTCGAGTGCTGTCTCCATTAGACCACAGTAAAGAGTTAACAGGTCACCAATGGCAGTCGCATCTTTCTCTGGGATAAGGACTTAAGGAAGGGTAAGTGACTTAGGCAACTATGGAGTGGAAAGGAAAGAGCATAAAAGGAAAAAAAATACTTCCCTTCTCTTTTCAAATACATTTTCAATTTTGCTTTATATTTATATTTTAATAAGCTATTTGACTACAGTATTATAATATCTAAAATAGTCCTTAGTATCTGTAAACTGAGTTTTTTCCCTTATAAAAGTAATTCATGCTCGCCTTAAAAAAACAAAAAATAAAAGAACAGTGAAAAAAGGGCATTCACAACCACACCATGCACAAATTATCACATTTCTGTATTGTTCCCTTCCAGTATTTGGTTTCATGCAATTTCAGACACCGTACAGAATTCCATATCCTGGAATGTCACTATCATTTTGCTGTCATTCATAAATTCTGTTAAATATATTTAATGCCTGAAAATATTCCACACTATGTTGTGTCATTAATTTATCTACCTATTCTCCAGCTCTAAAAATGTTAAGGCTGTCTCAAGTTGGAAGAATATTTCATGTAAAAATATTGGTCTGCATTTGATTATCTCCTTAAAATAAATTCCCAGAGGTAAAAATTACCATATGAGGAAATATGAATTACTGTCAGATTGCTTTCCAAAAAGCTTTTATCTATTTATATTCCCACTGGCAATATTTAGAAGGGTCAATTTCACCATACTCTCACCTACTTTTGAAATTCACTGACTCATTTTTGAAAAATTGTATATTTTAAATTTTATTTTAAAACAAATATATGTACAAATATCAATTTTATAGATTTTTAATTTTCCTTATTTCCTATTTACAGTTGACCTTTAACAACACAAGCTTGAACTGCACGGGTCTACTTACACGTGCATTTTCTTCTGCCTCTGTCATCCCACAGACAATAACACTTCCCCCTCCACTTAACAAAAAGACCATGAGAATAAGGACCTCTATGATAATCCACTTCCATTTAATAAACAGTAAATATATTTTCTCTTATGATTTTCTTAGTAACACTTTTTCCTAGTTTATTTTAAGAACACAATATATAAGACATATAAACATATAAAATATGTGTTAGGAAGCTATGTTGTTGATAAGGCTTCTGATCAACAGTAAGCCATAAGGCTATTAGCAGTTAAATTTTGGGAGAATCAAAAATTATATACAAATTTTCAACTGTGTAGGGGGTCAGCACCCTAACCCCATGAATTGTTCAAAGGCCAACTGTATTTATAGTGAAGATACACACTTTTAACTATTAGCCTTTTTTTTTTTTTTTTTTTTTTGAGACAGAGTCTCACTCTGTCGCCCAGGCTGGAGTGCAATGGCACGATATCGGCTCACCGCCTCCGCCTTCCGGGTTCAAGCGATTCTCCTGCCTCAGCCTCCCGAGTAGCTGGGATTACGGGTGCCCATCACCACGCCTGGCTAATTTTTGTATATTTAGTAGAGATGGGGTTTCACCATATTGGCAAAGCTGGTCTCGAACCCCTGACCTCAGGTGATCCACCCACCTCAGCCTCCCAAAGTGCTGAGATTACAGGTGAGAGCCACTTTGCCCGGCCCTATTAGCCTTTTCTATCTTCTTTTAAATCTGCCCATAGCCTCTGCCCAATTATGTTTTAAGCAATTTTTTTTTTTTTTTGACACAGAGTCTCACATCTGTCGCCCAGGCTGGAGTGCAGTGGCGCAAAACCTCAGCTCACTGCAAGCTCCGCCTCCCAAGTTCATGCCATTCTCCCACCTCAGCCTCTTCAGTAGCTGGGACTACAGGCGCCCACCACCGCACCCGGCTAATTTTTGTATTTTTAGTAGAGATGGGGTTTTGCCGTGTTAGCCAGGATGGTCTCGACCTCCTGACCTCGTGATCTGCCCGCCTCGGCCTCCCAAAGTGCCGGGATTACAGGCGTGAGCCACCGCACCTGGCCTTTTTTTTTTTTTTTTTTTTTTGAGATGGAGTCTCACTCTGTTGCCCAGGCTGGAGTGCAGTGGCGTGAACTCCTCCCACTGCAACCTCCACCTCCCAGGTTCAAGCAATTCTCTGCCTCAGCCTCCCAAGTAGCAAGGATTACAGGAACCCGCCACCATGCCTGGCTAGTTTTTTTTGTATTTTTAGTAGAGATGAGGTTTCACCATCTTGGCCAGGCTGGTCTTGAACTCCTGACCTCGTGATCCACCCATCTTGGCCTCCCAAAGTGCTGGAATTACAGGTGTGAGCCACTGCGCCCGCTTTTTTTTTTTTTTTTTTTTTTTTAGAGACAGGGTTTTCCTCTGTCACCCAAAGTAGAATGCAGTGGCATGATCCTCACTTCAGCTTCAAACTCCTAGGCTCAAAAAATCCTCCCAGGTAGCTAGGACTACAGTCACATGCCATCGTGACCAGATAATTTTTCTTTCTTCTTTTTCTTTAGAGATGAGGTCTTACTGTATTGTCCAGGCTGTAAGCATTTATCTTTAGAGTTTTTCATTACTTTGCACAACCATTTTATATATTAAGAACAATAATCTCTTATCAGACATCTGTTGTAATTAATAAATTAGTAAAATATTTAATAAGCAAAATAAAAATCAGCTTCCTGTCAAAAGACTAAGAAGAGGTTCTCCTTCTCCTCTCCCTATTAAAGAAAATAAGTGGCCGGGCGCTGTGGCTCATGCCTGTAATCCCAGCACTTTGGGAGGCCAAGGCAGGCAGATCACAAGGTCAGGAGATCGAGACCATCCTGGCTAACACGGTGAAACCCCATCTCTACTAAAAATACAAAAATTAGCTGGGCACGGTGGCAGGCACCTGCAATCCCAGCTACTTGGGAGGCTGAGGCAGGAGAATCGCTTGTACCCAGGGGAGTGGAGGATGCAGCAAGCTGAGATCACGGTACTGCACTCCAGCCTGGGTGACAGAGTCAGATTCTGTCTCAAAAAAAACAAATAAAGAAAATAAGTTTTAATTTCCAAATATTTGGCATTTCTTGCCAAGCAAATGAAATCCAGCAATCCTATTTAATTAACAAGTGCTTTTACTGCGAAATTTTTCTCAATGCCTATAATAAATAAGCACTTTCACAATTCAATCAACAACTCAAAAAAGTTTGAAGGCCCAATGCCAAATGTAGTCCTTTAACAGAATCAAGAGACATTATGATGGTTCAAAGGCAAATTAATTGAAAAGAAGAAAAAAAGCATCTCATTTTTGGAAATAGCAAACTTCTAATTTGAATGATGTTTAAAGTATGCAAGTTAGAGGCCAGGCACAGTGACTAAGTGTTATCACAAAAGAGTCAAGAGACTGGGCATGGTGGCTCACAACTGTAATCCTAGCACTTTGGGAGGCTGAGGCGGGAGGATCACATGAGCTCAGAAGTTCGAGACCAGCCTGGGAAACATAGTGACACAACCTCTCTACAAAAATTAAATAAAATTAGCTGGACGTGGTAGCACATGCCTGTAGTCCCAGCTACTCTGGTGGCTGAGGTGGGAAGATCGTTTAAGCCCAGCAGATCACGGCAGTAAGCCATCATCATGCCACTGCACTCCAACTTGGGCAACAGAGTAAGACTCTGTCTCAAAAAAATTAAAAAAAGAAAACTTTTTAAAGAGCCAAGTTTCTTTTTTAAGTTTATAAAGGCCAGGTACAGTGGCTGATGACTGTAAGCCCAGCATTTGGGGAGGAAAGGACTGGCAGACTGCTTAAGCCCAGCAGTTTGAGACCAGCCTGGGCAACATATTGAAAATTGACTCTACAAAAAATAAAAAAAAAAAAAATAGGCCAGGTGCAGTGGCTCATGCCTGTAATCCCAACACTTTGGGAGGCCGAGGCAGGCAGATCACTTGAGGTCAGGAATTTGAGACCAACCTGGCCAACATGGTGAAACCCCATCTCTACTAAAAATACAAAAATTAGCCAGGCGTGGTGGCACGTGCCTGTAATCCCAGCTACTCAGGAGGATGACACACAAGAATTGCTTGAACCCAGGAGGTGGAAGTTGCAGTGAGCCGAGATCACACCACTGCACTCCAGCCTGGGCGACACAGCGAGACTCTGCCTCAAAAAATATAATTAATAATAAAATAAAATAAATAATTAGCCAGGCATGGTGGCACACATACATAGTCCCAGCTATTCAGAAGGCTGAGGTAGGAGAATTGCTTGACCCAGGAGTTAAGGCTGCAGTGAGCTATGACTGAGCCACTGCACTCCAGCCTGGATAACAGTGTGAGACCCTGTCTCAAAAAACACAAATAAAAAAATAAAAGCCGGGCACAGTGGCTTACTCCTGTAATCCCAGCATTCTGGGAAGCCAAGGCGGGTGGATCACCTGAGGTCAGGAGCTCGAGACCAGCCTGGCCAACATGGTGAAACCCCATCTCTACTAATAATACAAACATTAGCCAGGTATTGTGGTACGTGCCTATAATCCCAGCTACTCGGAGAATCGCTTGAACTCGGGAGGCGGAGGGTGCAGTGAGGTGGAGGTTGCAGTGAGCCGAGATCACGCCATTGCACTCCAGCCTGGGAGACTAGAGCAAAACTCCATCTCCAAAAAATAAAAAATAAAATAAAATACAGAAGTGAGGGCCCTAACCACACAAAAGGATAATACTAGAAGTTCACAGTGCAAAATCATCCTTTCAACTGGGGTGGAAAACCCACAGTAATTTTTTAAGTTTATAATTAGATTTAACAGCATTAGGATCCTAATAAGCAAGTTAAATCAGAAACCTTGAGACAATTACAAATATTTTATGTATATTTTGGGACCCAAGTATTAAGGCTATAAATAAATATTAGCCCACATCTATGAAAAACGACTCATGTTTCTTTCTAATGAATTGACCATTACATTTCCAAAGTTATGAAATGGCCAACAGACCATAGAAAGACAATTCTTTAGGCTCCTGCTTGAAACCAACAGCTTCAGCAAACTGCTGGCCTTGATTCAGGGCCAAAGGAAAACAAAATCCTTCAATTAAGCAAACTAGCACAGAGATTCCCACTAGTCTTCAAACTAGCAAACCACAGCCTTAACAGGCAGAGT
Organism: Homo sapiens; assembly: GCF_000001405.40. Lineage (NCBI taxonomy): Eukaryota > Metazoa > Chordata > Mammalia > Primates > Hominidae > Homo > Homo sapiens. Next base: position 48,667,683 of record NC_000012.12, read on the forward strand.
AAAAAGATACGGGTAAGGCAGTGTCTGGTCATTGGAAGAGACTGATTGGAACAACGAACATCATCCACAAAGGCCAAGCACCTCTGACTGGAACGAGTGGTATGGGCCTGAAATGGAAAAAGACAGATAAAATAGACCCACAAAAGAACACACAAACAATTACGATGAAAATAGTTATATAAGAAAAGCACATCCTAAAGGCTAGAAATTCAACATTTAACAAAAATAGATTCACCAATATTATGCAAAAGACAAAAAACTTTAAAACCTAGTGCATAAAGAATGAGTCAACCTCAATCCCAAATACACCTCTCCATATTCTAAAAGTGTGATATAGCCTATTTAACACAAATTTTGTCTTTTACCAACAGAACTCTGAAATTGCAGCCTTAAGTGGAATCTCAACAAATGAAACAAAATTACTCTTACTGAAACAGAGACCAAGGGTCTGAAAAACAAATTTAAGAATGATCACTTAATTCTTCTTCCTATTAACCTTACTTCCTGACATTCAATTGCTCCTATTCTACCTTCCCACCTTTTAAAACAAGATTCCCAAGCAATTTAGGATTAACCTGTGCTTATTTCTGAACTGAAGAATATCTGAACCAAGGACTTAGAAACTTTTCCCAACTACTCAATATGCAGATGAGAATACTGAGGCCCAGAAAATTTAAGCTAACTGTGCAGACACAGAGCTGGTCAGTGGGGACTCACACTAGAATCCATGTCTCCTGACTTCAAGCTAAGTGCTTTCACTATAACCCATGTGCAAAAAGTCAGATTTCAGATCCAAGACTGGACATAGGGAGTTCAAGACCAGCCTGACCAACATGGAGAAACCCCGTCTCTACTAAAAATACAAAATCAGCCAGACATGGTGGCACATGCCTGTAATCCTAGCTACTCAGGAGGCTGAGGGAGGAGAATCACTTGAACCCAGGAGGTGGATGCTGCGGTGAGCCAAGACGGCGCCATTGCACTCCAGCCTGGGCAACAAGATTGAAACTCTGTCTCAAAAAAAGACTGGACATAGTGTTTTGACAATTACTCTAACTTTGTAAATAAAGTGAACATGAACAGGCACGGTGGCTCATGTCTGCAATCCCAACACTTTGGGAGGCCGAGGTGGGTAGATCACGAGGTCAGGCATTGGAGACCAGCCTGGCCAACATAGTGAAACCCCAAAAAATACAAAAACATTAGCTGGGCGCATGGTGGTGGGCACCTGTAATCCCAGCTACTCGGGAGGCTGAGGCAGGAGAATTGCTTGAAACTGGGAGGCAGAGGTTGAGAGATCTCAGTGAGCCGACATCGCACCACTGCACTCCAGCCCGAGTGACAGTGCGAGACTCCGTCTCGAAAAAATAAAAACAATAAATAAAGTGAACGTATATACCTTAAAGGTATACACACAAATTACCTGTTGGGCAGCACCATCTGTGGCCAGCATTCTCCGTTCCTTCAACTGCCTATGCAGTAAGGCTTCCACTCCATAGCGCTGGCGGTATCGTCGCAGACATTTTAATCGCTTTAAGTTCTCTCGTTCTTTGGCCAAAAGTCCCTCTGGGCCAGTCAGGAGACTACTGCCTAGAGTTACAAGAGTCAAGATGTTATTTGCCAAGCAATCCATCAAGGTTACGTCTCCAAGTCAACAAGTAAACAGGAAAATCCTTGGGCATAAGATAGGCAGTTTCAAAAGCAAATGACCCCCAATCCAGGTACCAAGACAGAAATAAATCTAATTATAGTCATGCACTATATAACCACTTTTTAATCAATCATTGACCATACATACTATGGTGGTCCCATAAGATTATAACAAAGCTGGAAAAAAAATTTTTTTTTTTTTTGAGGCACAGTCTCGCTCTGTTGTCCAGGCTGGAGTGCAGTGGCGCAATCTTGGCTCACTGCAAGCTCCGCCCCCCAGGTTCACGCCATTCTCCTGCCTCAGCCTCCTGAGTAGCTGGGACTACAGGTGCCCGCCACCACGCCCGGCTAATTTTTTTTTTGTATTTTTAGTAGAGACAGGGTTTCATTGTGGTCTCGATCTCCTGACCTCATGATCCGCCTGCCTTGGCCTCCCAAAGTGCTGGGATTACAGGCATGAGCCACCGCACCCGGCCAAAGCTGAAAAATTCTTATTGCCTAGTGACATCATAGTTCAACCCACACATTTGTGGTGATGCTGGTGACCAAACCTACTGCACTGCCAGTTATATACAAGTCTAGCACAGGCTGGACACAGTGGCTCACACCTGTAATCCCAGCACTTTTTGGGAGCCCAAGGCGGGCAGATCACCAGATCAGGAGATTGAGAACATCCTGGCCAACATGGTGAAACCCCATCTCTACTAAAAATACAAAAATTAGCTGGGCGTGGTGGCATGCGCCTATAGTCCCAGTTACTCAGGAGGCTGAGGCAGGAGAATCGCTTGAACCCGGGAGGTGGAGGTTGCAGTGAGCCAAGATCACACACTGCACTCCAGCCTGGCGACAGAGTGAGACTATATCACAAAAAAAAAAAAAAAAATCTAGCACCTACAATTATGCACAGTACCTAATACTCGATAATAAACAACTATGTTACTGGTTTATATATTTACTATATTTATCCTTAGAATGTACTCCACTCTATTTATTAAAAAAAAAAAGTTAAATGTAAAACAGCCTCAGGCAGTTCTCTCAGAAAGTATTGCAGAAGACATTGTTATCATGAGATGACAGTTCGCTGCATGAGATTGTCCCCGAAGACCTTCCACTGGGACAAGATGTGGAGGTGAAAGACAGTGACACTAGGCCCATGTAGGCCTAGGCTAATGTACGTGTTTGCATCTTAGTTTTTAACAGAAGTTTAAAAGGATTTTTTTTTAATTAAAACTAGAAAAGCTTATAGGGATATAAAAAAAATTTTTGTACAGCTGTACAGTGTTTGTGTTTTAAGCTAAGTGTTATTACAGAGTCCAGAAGTTTTTCTTAAAAATTTTTTTAAGTTTATAAAGGCCAGGTGCAGTGGCTCATGCCTGTAATCAATCCCAGCACTTTGGGAAGCCACGGTCGGAGGATCACTTGAGCCCAGGAGTTCAAGACTAACCTGGGCAACATAGCGAGACCCTGTCTCTACAAAAATTTAAAAATTAGCTGAGTGTGGTGGTGCATCTGTAGTCCTAGTTACTCAGGAGGCTGAGGCAGGATAGCCTGAGTCCAGGAGTTGAAGGCTGCAGTGAGTGAGGACTACGCTACTGCACTCTGGCCTCAGTGACACAGCAAGATTCTGTCTCTTTAAAAAAAAGCTTATAGGCCAGGCGCAGTGGCTCATGCCTGAAATCCCAGCACTTTGGGAGGCCAAGGTAGGGGGATCACTTGAAGTCAGGAGTTCCGAGAGCAGCCTGGCCAACATGGCAAAACCCCCCCTCTACTAAAAATAAAAAAATTAGCCGGGCATGGTGGAATGTGCCTGTAATCCCAGCTACTTGGGAGGCTGAGGTGGGAGAACTGCTTGAACCTAGGAAGCAGAGGTTGCAGTGAGCTGAGATCATGCCACTGCACTCCAGCCTGGGCAACAGAGTGAGACTCCATGTCCGTCTCAATTAAAAAAAAAAAAAAATGAAAGTAAAAAAGTTACAGTAAGCTAAGGGTTAATTTATTATTGAAGAAACTTTTTTTATAAATTTAGTACAGCTTAAGTGTACAGTACTTATAACGTCTAAAGTAGTAAATAATAATGTGCTAGGCCTTCCCATTGACTCACCACTCACTCACTCGCCCAAAATAACTTCCAGTCCTACAAGCTCCATTCATGCTAAGTGCCCATTTTTAAAATCTTTTATGCCATAATTTAACTGTACCTTTTCTCTGTTTAGATGTGTTTAGGTACACAAATACCACTGTTACAACTGCCCACAGTATTCAGTACAGTAACATGCTTGTACAGGTTTGCAGCCTAGGTATGTTGCAGGCTATACCACCTACGTTAGCGTGAGTCACTCCATGAAGTTTGAATGACAAAAATCACCTAACAAAGTATGTATCCCCATCATTAAGTGACACATGACTGTACTACCAAATTCACATGTTAAACCCACAACAGCTTGTTGGAACTGGCATAAAACTTGCCTAGAGCTTCATGTTCCACTTTGCGATTATGTAAGTATCGGCGCTTCTTCTCCTTGAGCAGATGCTGAAGTCGTTTAAACTGATCAATATACAACGACTGCAAACGAATTAGCTTTTCACGCATAATCAGGGCCACTTCTTCTGCTGTGTAGACACCAGCATGTCTGGAATAAAACAGAATTCAGCAAAGCATAAGAAAACAATAATAATAAAACCCAAGTTTGAAAGAGTAGAGATGTCAGACTAAGTTTGTTATTTAACAAGTGGTGACATAATCACCTTAATGTTTTTGCAAAACATTGTACCATTCAAGTTGTTATTAAATAAAACAAAAGAGAAAATCTCCAAGAAAGAATACTAATCTGTGATTTCCCAAAATGGGGGAAGGAGAAATGTCTTATTTTTCCCAGCTATTTGCATTATGTTGAAAAGAAAGTGAACATGCGGAACACTTTAAACTTTTATTAATCTACATTCTTAATGTTTTGATATGAAATCATCACTTACCAGTCAAGACAGCTTTAAAGTGTTCAATTAACATGTATCTTTCACATATACATATATACATGTATATATACGTATATATATATACATGTATATATATATATACGTATATATATATATATATATATATATTTTTTTTTTGAGATAAGGTCTCACTCTTGTCACCCAGGATGGAGTGCAGTGGTGCAATCAATCACAGCTCACTATAACCTTTGCTTCCTGGGCTCAAGCGATCCTCCCACGTCAGCCTGCCGAGTAGCTGGGACTACAGGTGTGCACCACCCCACTTGGTTAATTTTTGTATTTTTTGTAGAGATGGGATTTCACCATGTTGTCCAGGCTTGAACCCCTGGGTTTAAGCGATGCTCCCGCCTCAGCCTCACAAAGTGCTGGAATTAAACGCATAAGCTACTGCACCTGGCAATATATTTTAATTAAAGCACTAAAGATACCAACATCAAATAATTTTTTTTTTTGAGACAGTCTTGCTCTGTCACCCAGGCTGGAGTGCAGTGGCACAACCTTGGCTCACTGCAACCTCCGCTTCCCAGGTTCAAGTGATTCTCCTGTCTCAGCCTCCCAAGTAGCTGGCATTACAGGCACCTACCACCACGCCCAGCTAATTTTTATATTTTCAGTAGAGATGGGGTTTCTCCATGTTGGTCAGGCTGGTCTTAACTCCTGACCTCAGATCGATCTTCCAGCCTCGGCCTCCCAAAGTGGTGGGATTACAGGCATGAGCCACTGTGCCCAGCCAAAATTTGTAATTGTTTAAAAAATATAGGCCTATATTGGAGCTCATATGGACCCTCAAATAACTAGTCAAAATGGGCTATACCCTGTCCTCAGCTAATTTTCTTGACAATATTCTCAAAATTCAGTACCCTAGGTTAACCCTTAATTGCCAAAGATCTGGCACGGATCCATATCAACTTGATTAAGCTTTGCTGCCAATTATAAACTAAAAGAATATCTGGCCAGGCACGGTGGCTCACACCTGTAATCCTAGCACCTTGGGAGGCCAAGGCAGGCGAATCACCTGAGGTCAGGTGTTCAAGACCAGCCTGGCCAACATGGCGAAACCCCGTCTCTACTGAAAATACGAAAATCAACCAGGTATGGTGGTGGGCGCCTATAATCCCAGCTACTCGGGAGGCTGGGGCAGGAGAATTGCTTGAACCCGGGAGGCAGAGGTTGCAGTGAGCTGAGATCGTGCCACTGCATTCCAGCCTGGGTGACAGAGCAAGACTCCATCTCAAAAAAAGAAAAAAAAAAAAAAAGAACTTCTAAAAGTTTTGCTAGTGATTAATATATGGTAGACTGTTCTCTGGCTCTGATTTATGCAATCAAAATTAAGAGATGAGGCCAGGTGTGATAGCTCACGCCTGTAATCCCAGCACTTTGGGAGGCCGAGGCAGGCAGATTGCTTGAGCCTGGGAGTTCAAGACCAGCCTGGGCTGTAACATGATAAAACCCTGTCAATACAAAAAATACAAAAGTTAGCTGGGCACGGTGGTGTATACCTGTAGTCCCAGATACTCAGGAGACTGAGGTGAAAGGATCACTTCAGCCTGGGAGTGGGAGGCTGCAGTGAGCTGAGATGGCGCCACTGCACTCCAACCTGGGTGACAGAGCAAGACCATGTCTCAAAAATAAATAAATAAATAAATAAATAAGTGAATAACTTTGAATTTTAAAAATTTTGTTTCACTCACCGTCTGATCATTACATAAATACAAAGAACAAGCTATATACCTTAAGTTTCATACTGAGTAAAAATTTTATTGAAAAGGCAAAACACATAAATTATACTAATTTTAAGTCAAAAAATTATGCTTTATTACTTTTTCGTTTTTAAGACAGAGTCTTGCTCTGTTTCCCAGGCTGCACTGAAGTGGCACAATGTTGGCTCACTGCAACCTCCGCCTCCCGGGTTCAAGCAATTCTCGTGCCTCAGCCTCCACAGTAGTTGAGATTGCAGGCGTGTGCCACCACACCTGGCTAATTTTTTTATTTTTTGTATTTTTAGTAGAGATGGGGTTTCACCATGTTTCCCAGGCTGGTCTCAAACTCCTGAGTTCAGGCATTCCACCCGACTCGGCCTCCCAAAGTGCTAGGATTACAGGCGTGAGCCACTGTGGCCAGCCTCTGCTTTATTTTTAAAAACTAGCTGTTAAGGCACTGAAATACACAGAATATACAAAATTAACTTTAGGACTGAGAGCAAGTAATTTCTGCCAAAATTTCTTCATAAATATAAACAAAAGCCAATATTACCTGTGTATAAGAGGTACTTAACTATATTCTGAAGTAAAAGTGAAAAGAAATTAAGAAAAATCAAAACATGGTTAATAAAACCAGCAAAGGGCCAGGTGTGGTGCACAAGGCCAAGGTGGGTGGATCACTTGAGGTCAGGAGTTCGAGACCAGCCTGGCCAACATGGCAAAACAGCCTCTCTACTAAAAATACAAAAATTAGCCAGGTATGGTGGCAAGCACCTATAATCCCAGCTACTCGGGAGGCTGAGGCAGGAGAATCACTTGAACCTGGTAGGCAGAGATTACAGTGAGCCGAGATCGCACCACCGCGCTCCAGCCTGGGCGACAGAACGAGACTCTGTCTCCAAAAATAAAAAATTAAATAAAATAAACAAATTAAATAAATAAATAAAAATAATATATAATAAAATAAAATTAATAAAAAATAAATTTAAAAATAAATAAAATAAAATAAAACCAGCAAATTACAGAAATGACAAAAGCTAACAGACTATCAGAAAATGTGAAAAGGCTTTAAAAATATGTAACAGTTGGCTGGGCACGGTGGCTCAAGCCTGTAATTCTAGCACTTTGGGAGACCGAGGTGGGCATACTGCCTGAGCTCTGGAGTTTGAGACCAGCCTGGGCAACATGGTGAAACCCCATCTCTACTAAAATACAAAAAAAAGAAAGAAATTAGCCGGGCACAGCGGCGTGCGCCTGTAGTCCCAGCTACTAGGGAGGCTGAGGCAGAAGAATTGCTTGAACCCAGGAGGCAAAGGTTGCAGTGAGCTGAGATCGTGCCACTGCGCTCCAGCCTGGCAACAGAGTGAGAGTCCGTCTCAAAAATAAATACATAACGGTTTCACAAGGTGACTAAGTTACATCTTCAGAAAAATGGGTTATGCCTACATTAACCTGTCTGTAACCTAAAATACTGAGGCCTTAACCTAATATAGAGTTTGTTAAAATGAAATTCACTTTTTGAATACTGAAAATGAGAAAAATAAAAATTGTTTTAAAAAATTAATTTCACTGCACCCTGTCAGAAGAGAATTTAACCAATGGTCTGGAACTGAAATGTACCTATCTGAAGCCATTACTATTAGAAGTTATTAGAAATCATTTGGTGGGGGCAGTAAGCAACCTACTAAATGAATGCCGGCTGGTTCATGTAACAGATGGCTCATTTACTTAAAGATGAATGCGCCAGACTTTCAGAGCCGGACATTAAAATTATGTACTAATTCCCCTTGCTCTGGTATGCACAAATTAAAGTCAAGGTTTTATTATTAGCATTCATCTTCAAAAAAGAGGGTCTCACCTTATATTCTACTAAATAGTCTCTCTTATAAAGGGCATTCTCCAAATTTATTTGGAAAACAATGATGAAGATTCAATAATGTGAAATAACCTTCAGCCAAACAAGTTATAGATGTTTATAGAGGTCATATGATACAATTATTATTTAAAAAAGGGAAATGAAAATTTAACAATTACCTTAAGGATAAAATTTCTTAAGTATTAGATGTTGTAGACAAGCTTTTATTTATTTTTTCTGTGTGTATGAGATAGGGTCTCCCTCTGTTGCCCAGACTGGAATGCAGTGGCACGATCACAGAGCCTCAACCTCCCAGGCTCAAGCCATCCTCCTACTTGAGCCTCTCGAGTAGTTAAGACTACAGACCACGTGCACCACCACGTCTGGCTAATTTTTAAATCTTTCGTAGAGACGGTGTCTCCCTATGTTGCCCAGGCTGGTCTCGAACTCCTGGGCTCAAGCAATCCTCCCACCTCGACCTCCCAAAGTGCTAGGATCACTGGGCGCACTGGTTCGTCCCTGTAATCCCAGCACTTTGGGAGGCTGACGGGCAGATCACCTCAGATCAGGAGTTCAAGACCAGCCTGCCAACATGGAGAAACCCCGTCTCTACTAAAAACACAAAAATCAGCTGGGTGTGGTGGCGGGCACCTGTAATCCCAGCTACTCGGGAGGCTGAGGCAGGAAAATCATTTGAACCCGGGAGGCGGAGGTTGCAGTGAGCTGAGATCGCACCATTGCACTCCAGCCTGGGTGACAAGAGTGAAACTTCGTGTCAAAAAAAAAAAGTGCGAGGATTACATGCGTAAGTCACTACGCCTGGCCATAAACAAGCTTTACTTTTAACAAAACAATTAAGTAAGTGGTTACTTTGAGGGAAATCATATATATACTAACAGGAAGTTTAAAAAATCTATGCCAACAATATTCTAGTTAGGATCAAGTCTCTAGCAACATCATAAACAATATAAAATTGCCCTTTGTGTAACAAGCAATTGAAGATAAATGTGGTTAAACTATTAGATGATTCAAAAAGTGATCCTATTGATGACAAAGACACTGGTGCCCTAAGATAAAAATTCTTAATGAAAAGAATTTTACTCAGTGGACATACTACTAAATTACTATATTATTAAATATAAGAAGATAGTAATATGTAATCATAAGGAGACACTGAACAACTCTATTTACATGCCTAAAAATGCATAAATTTAGTGGGTCTAAATTTTTTTAAAAAATAATCTCACTGAGGAAAATTAACGAAAGCCTTATACTTAGTTGCCTAATAGCTGACCATATTTGGGGCTTTATTTTCTCTTCTGAACATGTTTCCTCTAGGAGAGAGTGACATCAACTGCCTAGTACTTTCCACATTTGTATTTCTCATAAAATGACCTGGTATTTTGGTTTATACAGCAGCCTCCTGTAAGTTAAATCAGCATCCATGTGCCTCCTAGAGACTGATCCACTCTAGATTACTAACAAAATCAAGTTTCTCGACCTTAAGCTGAGTGTTTACCACACCAAACGACACTCCCTTTGTAACCCTAGAGAGCATACATCTCTTCAAAGCAGCAAGTTTGGCCATCTAGAACCACAATGGAAAAAAAAGGAATGAAGCTGGGCCTGATGGCTCATGCCTGTAATCCCAGCACTTTGGGAGGCCGAGGCAGGTGAATCACGAGGTCAGGAATTCGAGACCAGCCTGGCCAACATGGTGAAACCCCATCTCTACTAAAAATACAAAAAATTACCTGGGTGTGGTGGTGGGTGCCTATAATCCCAGCTACTTGGGAGGGAGGCTGAGGCAGGAGAATTGCTTGAACCTGGGAGGCGGAGGTTGCAGTGAACTGAGATCATGCCACTGCACTCCAGCCTGGGTGACAGTGCAAGACTCCATCTCAAAAAAAAAAAAAAAAAAAAAAAAAAGGAATGAATATGTTGGTTTAAGTTACTATTTGTGAGAGAATCCTGCAAGAGAACAGTCATTCCCTTTCCAACTACTTAGATGGGTTTTCTAAACTAGTACTTCCTGAATAGTTGACCACAGTGAGATTACTCAATAGAAATGGATGAAATTATTCTACTCAGAAAACGTAACCCTAACATACGGCCATACTATCCGGAACATGCCCAACCTCCTCTGATCTCAGAAGCTAAGCAGGGTCAGGAGAAAATGTAACCCTAAATGACTTCTTATAAACCAAAGAATCCAAAGTAATGAAGAAAATGCTATTGCAAGAACAAAAGCCCAATAGTCAATCTAGAAATTACCCCTTCCACTATTTACAGTCCCTTTACATAAACTGTCAGTACAAAGTGTTAAGACACAGAAGTCAGCAGGCAAACATTTTTAAAAACTACACCCAGACCTTGAGACACAGAAATATGAGACTCCAGAGTGGTAATGTTTTTATGCTTCTACAACTCCTACGGTGATGATGGGTTAAGTGAAGAGCAGAAGCTTACTAAGATATAAACCTGATTAAGATATAATCACTTTTGGGTTTCTAAATCGGTTTCTCTTTCTTAGGCATGAAACCAAACTCTTGAATACCTTTTTATTCTTCTTTTTAAAAAAAAAATCCACACACAAAAAAACACTAAATGCTTGAGCTGATGAATATGCTAATTACCCTGATTTGATCATGACACAAGGTTTACAAGTATCCAAACATCACACTGTACCCCATACATTGTACAATTGTCAATTTAAAACAATATATAACTTTAAAAAATTTATAAATCCCATAAACACGACATTTTGCAGAAGTATTCAACTACAATCACATTATTCCTGAGGTTTAGGCCAAGCACCCATTCACAACCATTTTCTCTTCTCTAAACTGGTCTGACCATTTCTCAATCCACCTCCCACACTCCCATGTCTAAATTTCCTGTTTTCTCCCCTATACTTTCTCATACGTAGAATTTGGTGTTCAAACTTTTTTTAAATTACAAGGCTTCTAAAAAAGAATCATCCTGCCTTGAAGCAAGACGACAATGAACCATGCCACTTTTATATACAGAACCTCTTACTGCTGACAAATAGCTGTCTTCAACCCTCCTAGGTTACTAATTTATTAACAGCATGCAGCACTACATTCCACATACTAACTACATTTCAAATGCCTTATGTGGAGTTACAACTTACTTTAGGGGATCTTCTTGATCACTGTCTATGCTATCAGCTTCACTGTCAGGGTCACCTCTCCATGTCTGATCCACAGTAATGGGTTCCTGCTCCCCATCACTCCAGCTGTCTTCATCTGAGGCAAGGAAGGGAGAGCAGCCATTAAGACTTCCCACCTCTGTAACTCCACCACACAAAACTAGATTACTTTTATCAACCCAAACCTTGAAATTTTAAAAACAAAACAAAAAAAAAAACACTTAGTACAAAGGTACTGGCAAATAAAAACGCTTTAAGAAAATACAACCCAAGTAAGATTACTTACAACATAAATGAGTAAACCATGCCCTCTCAAACAGAAAAATCAACTTAAAATTACTGTTTCCTGAAATTACCTAACAAAGCTGCTGAGCATTAAAAAAGCAATGAAAGAAATGGTCACCAACTCAGGAAAGTAAACCTAGGCAAACACAACTTCAAATTCAAAAGAACTGGTAAACAACAAAGCAATCCCAGCATTCTCACCAAATTCCTGATGAATTAACAATATTGCCAAATAGATCAAGGCATTGTGCTAACCCAAAATAGTTCCCCCTTAACTTTCTTCCTCCTTTTTCATTCCAGGAGAGAAGGTCCTTACCTAGTATTCGGCTGGCTTCACTGCGACTACTTTCTGGAGTCTGAGACCCCAGCTCTGTCTTAGCATATGAGCTCAGCTGGCACAGGAGTGTTTCACCCACAGGCCCTGGGTTGGTCTTCTTCATTTGAGCATGAAGTGCCAGGGCATTCCTACGGACATGTTCAGCACAGAAGGACACCCTGAAGAGACAAAACATTAATATTTTATAAGTTCCTTCTTGAAAGCGTTCAATAATGTTCACAGTCCCTAATCTTTAAATCATTTTTAGGGAATTAAAATGACTATTACATTCATTTCTAAAAATGCAAGTCAGAGGAATTTAACTGGCCCAAGGTCAACTCATTTGACTTTATTAAAGGGAAATAACAGGACGGATGAAGTGGTTCACCCTTGTAATCCCAGCACTTTGGGAGGCTGAGGCAAGGGATTGGGTCTTGCTCTGTTGCCCAGGCTAAAGTGCAGTGGTGCAATCATAGTTCACTGTAGCCTTAAACTGCTTGGTTCAAGCGATCCTCCTGCCTCAGCCTCAAAGTAGCTAGAACTATAGGCATGCACCACTGTGCCCAGCAAATTTTTTTTAGTTTTTTGTAGAAACGAAGTCTATGTTGCCAAGTCTGGTCTGGAACTCCCAGGCTCAAGTGATCCTCCCACCTCAGCCTCCCAAGTAGTGGGGACTACATGTCCACGCCACTATGCCCAGCGAGTTTTTTAATCTTCTGTAGAGACGGGGTCTCACTGTATTGCCTGGGTTGGTCTCCAACTCCTGGCCTCAAGTGATCCTCCTCCCGTGGCCTCCCAAAGTGCTGGGATTACAGGCATGAGCCACTGCGACCAGCCAGGGACACAATTTTAAAACTATAAGATACGTAAAAAATTATCTAGTCAGGTTATGTTTTTGCATGGATACCTTTGCATACATGATGAAAACTATGAAGCCTCTTACAGAAGAATACACACATATATAACTTTGCATGTTATTTAACAAAATTCATGGACAGCCAAATAGAGCCACACACCCCTCCATTAAGAAGAATTTTAGGGGCCAGGTGCGGTGGCTCACTCCTGTAATCCCAACACTCTGGGAGGCCGAGGCGGATGGATCACCTGAGGTCAGCAGTTCAAAACAAGCCTGGCCAACATGGTGAAACCCCGTCTCTACTAAAAAGTACAAAAATTAGCCGGGCATAGTGGCGCACGCCTTAAGTCCCAACTACTTAGGAGGCAGGAGAATCGCTTGAACCTGGAAGGAGGAGGTTGCAGTGAGCCGAGATCTCCACTGCACTCCAGCCTGGGGAATAAAGCAAGAATCTGTGCGCCGCCCCCCCGCCAAAAAATTAACTTTAGGGCCGGGCGCGGTCGCTCACGCCTGTAATCCCAGCACTCTGGGAGGCCGAGATGGGAGGATACCTTGAGGCCAGGAGTTTGAGACCGGCCTGGTCAAAATAGCAAGACCCCATCTCTCTTAAAAAAAAAAAAAAAAAAAAAAAGACTAATTTAGAATATGCCTTTATTTTACAGATAAGGGAAAAGAACCAAAGAGGTGAACTAAGTAATCCAACTCAAGGGTCTTTCCAGTCTTCACCGTTTTTTCAGTTTTCCAAGGATACAACCATAACCCCAAATTTACAAGGACAAAATCTCAAACGCGGCAGCTATGCTGAAGCCCGCATCATATCACATACCCCCTCGCTTTAAGAAAAACGACATATATATCTATACATATATACCCATCTTTCTTCTCTGGCTTTGGGGCAGCATTGGGACATCTTTTTCCATTCTTCGTCGATATATAACTACACTGCTTGAAGGGTGCATTCTTGTCTTCAAGGATATGCTTAATGCAAAACTCCTGCCCCTCCAGACGAGGGTGAGAGCATGGACGATGAGTGAATGCACAAGACAGAGGTTCCTGAGACCTGGGCACTGGAGTGATCCTCCCCCGATTGGTTGGCAAGACGTGAATCCGAATCCTGTTCATAACCAAAACCTGCGGGGTCAAACGAAAGACCAAAAAGCCCTTACCCTTCCCGAAAATTCCTGCTCCACACAGATCGCGCGGACAGTTTCCAAAGGACATGCAGAAGTCGTCCCCGTAAGGTACGCTCCGTAAGTCCCCGCCGCCCTCCCCAAGTCTCCACAGGCATCTGTGGCTTTGCCTCCCTTTAGCGTGTCCCTCCATGCCCGGCCCCACCCCGAACCACACCACGCTGAATGTATCTTCAGGACTCGCACAGCTGCAGCACGAAGGGAAGCGACAACACCAGCCCCACGCGGCGGCCACGCCGCCTCCCCGCACGCCGCCTTTGTCCCGGCCTGCCTCAGAGCGCACGACTGGGCCTGGCCTCGGAAGCCTATGCGAGCGCCATTTTGTCCTACGGCTCCAGTCACCGGAGATCCTGGCTCCTGGAAGCCTGCAGGAAGGAGACTGACTCTGACACTGCTTTGAGGCGGAGTAGCAGCTCTGAGCTGACAAAAAGAGCGAAATAGCAGCCCAACCGCAAGAGCTTAGAGGAAAGAGCACCGCCATCTTACCTCAGGAGCTGCGCTGCGCCGCACTCTGCCGCGCCGCTCGCCCTTCTCTAGTGGCGCCAGCGGCTCTCAGATCGGCCTCGCCCCTTTCCGGACTCCTGGCTACTCATTGGCTACCGCTCGTATGACAGGATGTCGCCATTGGCCGAGACCAACTACCTATCGTGTCTGGGAGGGCGGAGCGCTGAGAAAATGCGAGGTTGGGGTGGCTAAGACAGACTGTCTGTCAGCAACTCCGCCCGGAGGAGAGTGAGCCGGGGAAGGGGGCGGAGAGCGGGCTGCGGGGCGGGTTGCCAGCTAATATTTTTCCACCTTGCAGCGTGGCTCGTTTTCCGGCTACTTTTGGACCCTCAGTCTGTGGTCCTAGGCTGCTGTTCCCTCACCACTGTACACAGCTAGTATAAAATCAGACAGACAGGCCGGGCGCGGTGGCTCACGCCTGTAATCCCAACACTTTGGGAGGCTGAGGCTGGCAGATCACCTGAGGTCGGGAGCTCGAGTCCAGCCTGAGCAACATGGAGAAACGCCGTCTCTACTAAAAATACAAAATTAGCCGGGCGTGGTGGTGCACGCCTGTAATTCCAGCTACTCGGGAGGCTGAGACAGGAGAATCTCTTGAACCTGGGAGGCGGAGATTGCGGTGAGCCGATATCGCGCCATTGCACTCCAGCCTGGGCAACAAGAGCGAAACTCCGTCTCAAAAAAATATATAAATAAAAAATAAATCAGACAGAGGCTGGAGGATCACTGTTTACACATAAAAAGTCTTTAGCTTTCTTTTGTGAACAGTTCAATACATGTACTGAACATTTGGTATAGAGAACACTGAGAAACATTTTTTGGGTGTTTACTGATTCTGGGAATTACATGTATAAAGTCATTGAATTTTTCAAAGCAACCCTAAGAGGTACAGGTTAGTATTATGTCCATTTTACAGATAAGAGGACTGAGGAACAGAATGGGACCATAGCTATTAAATGGGAAAGGAAGACGAATTTGAACCCAGCCCGCATTCTTTATCCCTTATTGCCTCTTATATAGTAAAGAGCATTGGACTGAGAATAAGGAAATATTTGTTCTAGTTTAGGGCTGCTTCTCATAACTGTGTGCCCTGTCTTTAAAATTCCATGCTAAATAATGCAGGTATCATAAAAATGACAGACACAATACCAATCATACCATCCTTTAAGGATTTTTAGTTTAAAAGCATCTTTCTGTCATCTCCACCACTTGTAGAAATGATTCCTAGCTTTCTTCCCATAACCCTTCTAGACATTTTTTGCTTTCCAGCATCTCTTATCTCCTCACTGTCAGTTTAAGAAAGATGTTTTATCCATGCCTAACGAGCAAGTGAGCATGAGTCCCAGTGGAAGTGAACATAAAGATTCCACAGCCCTCAAGAAAAACACTAAGGCTGGGCGTCATGGTTCACCACTGTAATCCCAGCACTTTGAAAAGCTGAGGTGGGAAGATCACCTGAGCTCAGGAGTTCGATCCCAGCCTGGGCAATATGGAGACACCTCATCTCAAATAAATAAATAAATAAATAAATAAATAAATAAATAAATACACTATAGGACCGATAAATTATTAAAAAAAAAAAAAAACCTTGGGGGTTGTGCTGTTTCCAGAGACTAGAGCAGCCCTAGAAGAAGGCCTGAAATTCATTCATTCAACGAATATTTATTGAGCACCTAAGTGCCAGGAGAGAACAAGGAAGATAACCCTGCTCTCTTGGAGTGAACATTCTAGGATAGCTTTGGATTATGGATGCAATACAAACATAATATTAATAACAATGATTTATATACATAAGCAAACAGACCAACCCTCAGGAGTACGAAAAAAGATGTTTTGTTATAAACACCCTATAATTAAAAAACAGCCAGAGGCAGTCATGTCACAGAAAATTTGGGAATCCGAATCTGCAACCAAATGTAGTAATATCAAAAAGCAACATTAAAACTACTGTAGTGAACAATATGAAGAGACACAGGAATAGATGGGGAAGAAACAAAAGACTTTCTTTCAATGAATTTACTGAAGGTCTTAGTTGAAAAAAGAATCCTTCTTGTAAGTCCAAGACAGACAAAACATTACTATTTAGAACCACTTCTTTTTTTTTTTTTTTTTTTTAGCGGGAGTCTTGCTCTGTCGCCCCGGCTGGCTGGAGTGCAGTGGCGCGCGATCTCGGCTCACTGCAACCTCCGCCTCCTGGGTTCAAGGGATTCTTCTTCCTCAGCCTACCCCCCAAGTAACTGGGACAACAGGTGTGCGCCACCATGCTCGGCTAATTTTTTTATATTCTTAATAGAGACAGGGTTTCACCATATTGACCAGGCTGGTCTCCAACTCCTGACCTCGTGATCTGCCCACCTCAGGCTCCCAAAGTGCTGGGATTACAGGCGTGAGCCACCATGCCCGGCCTAGAACCACTTCTAAGTGAAAGGAGGGAGCAGATATTAAGAGCTCAAGATGTCAGCAAATTCTTTGTTCTGTTTAACAAAGTAGATGGCTTTTTTTTTTTTTTTGAGATGGAGTCTTGCTCTGTTGCCCAGGCTGGAGGTAGATGGTTATTTTTAATTCACTGAACACTTTGTAGCTATTGAAGAGGTTAAAGTAGACCAGAAGCTATTTGTAAATAGGGATTAGGAAACTAGAGTTTGGGGGGCTAATCCTAGAGAAAAGTGAGAAAAAAGATGAAAACGGCTGGGCGCAGTGGCTCACGCCTATAACCACAGCACTTTGAGAGGCCGAGGCGGGTGGATCACCTGAGGCGAGGAGTTCAAGACCAGCTTGGCCAACATGGTAAAACCCCATCTCTACTAAAAGTACAAAAACTAGCCAGGTGTGGTGGCATGTGCCTTAATCCCAGCTACTTGGGAGGCTGAGCAGGAGAATCATTTGAACCCAGGAGGCAGAGGGTGCAGTGAGCCAAGATTGTGCCACTGTACTCCAGCCTGGGTGACAGAGCAAGACTGTCTCCAAAAAAAAAAAAAAAAAGTTATCAAAGACCTTCACCTTGCTAATTCTAATGAAGTTTTCAGGCATCATCTTATTAGACCACTTTGCAATGTCTAACACACTTGGCCACTCCTCCTCCTTAGAACTCTATACTCTTTCTAGATCTCCATACTCTTCCTAGTTTCCCATCTACATCAGTCACCCACTCTCTGTCTCGTTTCTCTTTTCCCCAATTCTAAACACTGAACATTTCTATTTTCTACTACTACTTCCTTAGTTATCTCACTCTGTTTCATCCCATTCATAAGCTGTTATCTCCCAAATGCATATATCCAGCCTGGATCCCTCCTTTGAACTTGACTCTCTAGTCATCTGTCCAGTAGGCATCTCCACTTGGATGTCTAATTGGCATTTCAAATTTAATGTTAAAGCCAACCTCCCGCTACTCCCGTAGTCATCTCTACCTGAGTATATGACAACCCCAACCTTCCAGTTGGTCAGGACAAACACTGGGAGTTATCCTTCACTTCCTTCTCTTCCACCTCATAGCAAATCCTATTAGCTCCATCTTCAAGCTGTATCACTTCTCGGCTGAGCAAGGTGGTTCACACCTGTAATCCCAGCACTTTGGGAGGCTGAGGCGGGTGGATCACCTGAGGTCAGGAGCTCAAGATCAGCCTGGCCAACATGGTGAAACCCTGTGTCTACTAAAAATACAAAATTAGCCGGGTGTGGTGGCACATGCCTGTAATCCCAGCTACTTGGGAGGCTGAGGCAGGAGAATCGCTTGAACCTGAGAGGCGGAGGTTGCAGTGAGCTGAGATCACGCCATTCCATTCCAGCCTGGGCAACAAGAGCAAAACTCCATCTCAAAGAAAAAAAAAAAAGATACATCACTTCTCATTACCTTGGGTACTTCCAACCTGTCCAAGCCACCCTCATCTCTTACCTAAATTGTGAGAGCTCCTTGCCCTTGACTCCTATGATCTATTTTCAACACAGCAGCCCAAATGAACATTTTAAAACCTAAGTTGGATGTCATTTCCCTTCTCAAAACTTTCCAATAGCGTCTGTTCCATTCACTGTCTTTATACAAGGTCCTGTTGTATCTGGCTTTCTATTGCCTCTCTAACCTCATATCCTGCTACTCTCCTCTCTCCAATACCCCCTCCCCACTCATTCCTATACCAGCTACACTGGTTTCCTTGCTATTTCTCAAACATACCAGCATATTCTCACCTCAGAACCTTTGATGTCTCACGTTTCCTGGAATGATCTTATCCTAGTTATTCCCATGACTTGCTGTCACCTCCTTCAGGTCTTCCCTAAAGGTCATGAAGCTTCTGGTCATGAAGCCTTCCCTAGCCACCTTTTTTCCAATTCCCACAGCCCTAGTTACCTAAACACACACACGTGCTCACACACACACATGCACACACACATCCCTATCCCCTATTCCCTGTTTTAGTCTCCAAAGTGCTTATTATGGCCAGGTGTGGTGGCTCACACCTATAATCCCAACAAGAGTGAAGGAGGCCCAGACGGGCAGATCGCTTAAGCCCAGGAGTTCAAGACCAGACTGGGCAACATAGGGTGACCCCATCTCTAAAAAAATTAGCCAGGCGTGGTGGTGCACACCTGTAGTCCCAGTTACTCAGGAGATGGGAGGATCACTTGAGCCTAGGGAGGTCAAGGATGCAGTGAGCTGTTATCTCACCACTGCACTCTGGCCTGGGAGACAGTGAGACTTCGTCTCAAAAAAAAAAATTTTTTTTAAGTGCTTATCACCACCTAACATACTATGTTTTACTTATTTGTAAATTCTTTGAAGGCAGAATGTTTGTTTACTGCCATATTCCCATTAGTACAGTCCACAGCACTTAGTTTTTTTTTTTTTAACTTTTTTTTCCCGAGACTGGGTATAGATCTATAGCCCAGCAGGAGTGCAGTGGTCAATCATGGCTCACTGCAGCCTCCAATTGCTGGGCTCAAACAATCCTCCCTCCTCAGCCTCCCTAGTAGCTGGGACTATACACTACTGTGCCTGGCTAATTTGTATGTCTGTGTGCAGAGATGGGGTCTCACTTTGTTGCTCAGGTTGGTCTTGAACTCCTGGCCTCAAGCAATCCTCCCACCTCAGCCTCCGAAAGTGTTGGGAAGTAGGTATTATTTTCTAAAGAAGGAATGAATGAAAAGCAGGGGAGTGCTTCAAACCACACCAGAATTCCTAAACTGTCAGCATCTTCCTATTCTATCAGCAACTTCTGCAAAGATTTCCGATTTCATATTCTTTTCAGGAGCGGTATACAGTTTGTAAAATTAGCTACCTTATTTTAGAAAACAGAAGAAACGACTCAAGTGACTTTTCAGAAGTATCATTATTTATTTTTTTCCTTTTAAAGCTTTCAAACTATATCTATTACTAACTTTGTGTAATAAGTATGGAGTACTTTAGCATAAAAGTTCTTTATTTTCAGTGTGTAATTTACAAGAGTTACCTTGTAAATGTGGTTTTATTACGTCTCAGGATGAGTATTCACTATCAATTTTTCCAGGCACTACCAAGAATGTTTTTTTCTTCGAAGTGTATTTTCCTCCAGATACAATGCTATGTCTGTACTAACATGTCAGGCTTTTCAAAGAACCACGTATACAATTATGAATCATGTTGATAATGCTTGCTAGATAAGCAGTACATGCTGCCATCATCTGTTAGTGCTATAATTTTTTTTTTGTACAAGTTACTCTTCCAGGTATTCATGTAACAATACAGAGTGAGGGTTTTTTTCTTCCCTTTGACTACAACATACTTTATACTACTGGGTTTACTGATCGACAAATCTTGGGTCTTTCCAACGGACTCAATTCCCACAGGATCTTGCACAATAAGAAAACAGACTAATACCAAAATTGAAACAAAATTGTAAACATATCAATAAAATTACAGTTAAAGACTAAGGACTAGGCTGGACGCGGTGGCTCATGCCTGTAATCCCAGCACTTTGGGGGGCCGAGGTGGGTAGATCACCTGAGGTCAAGAGTTCGAGACCAGCCTGGCCAACACAGTGAAACCCCGTCTCGACTAAAAATACAAAAATTAGCTGGGCATAGTGGTGGGTGCCTGTAATCCCAGCAACTCAGGAGGCTGAGACAGGAGAATCGCTTGAACCCGGGAAGCAGAGGTTGCAGTGAGCCGAGATCACGCCACTGTACTCTCCAGCCTGGGTGACAGGGCTAGATTCCGTCTCAAAAAAAAAAAAAAAAAGACTAAGGACTAATTTGAGGACAGTACACATAAACAACAATCAAATGAGTGTTTTACCATTAACATTTATTGATGGGATGGATAAATACAGATTGAGAAACATACTTGACAGCAAGATATCAAACTGATAGCCAGACTATAAAATGTATACATCCTTTTTAAATTTTTTGAATTTTTTTACAAAGAGCCCTTACTATAATGGTCACTTACCTCCTATCATTCACATAACAGCAGTAGATATCCCAGGGGTAGCATCCAGAGCTGAGGTGCCCCAAGGAAGACAGAGGCAATGGCAGAATAATATGCTGAGAAAGGACTCTTAAGAGCAATACAAAGAGAACAGACAAAAATCTCACCACAAAATTGTACCTGAGTGACAGATTGGTAAAGTGTTTTACTTTTTTTTTTCTTTTCGCTCTTTGGTCTGACAAGAAAAGAGTTTTAGGTGTGTGAAGTAGGGTGGGAAAAAAGGTCAGTTTCAAATTCAGTAACATATGGTAACACTAAGTTAGGCTGCTGCATTCTTTTCTTTGGGTACTTAAGCCAGCTGGCACTTCCACTTTGTAACCAATTATATTATGATCAACAACTAATCAGTTAGTTCCTCAGCTTCAACTGAAGAGTTCCTGATTACCTGATGAAGGACATACTTGCTCTGGCTTCAATTAGCATGCTGTCAAGCATCCCTCTCCATGCTTAACATGGCAACACAAAACCCAAGAGTCCTTCTCTTTTTTTCATTAGCCATGAATAAACACTCACAAAGGGGAAGAGTAGACACTGCTTTTAGTAAACGTCCTTTTTCTTTACCTCCCTTTTCCAATGCCAAGTTCATATGAAAAACTTTAGAAACATTAAAATGGAGAACTCTCTCACCCAAAAAGTAATTCTCATTCCAGACTACTCTATCAGGCAGGATTACTGTACCGTGCTTGTTTCAAACTCACATCCACGGAGGGATAAAAAGACAAAATAAAACTTGACAGTGTGATACAACATGAAAATCTCCTAAACCATCAGGAGCAAACACTCAGTTAAAAGCTGGGTGTTAACAAGCAGCAACTCAAGAAACTTGGGGAGGTATCAAAGTCACTGAAAGCTTACTGGAACCTCGGAGGGCTATTTCTCACCATTTGATGAGTTGCATAGACTGCTTAAATTCTCCCAAGACCAAAAGAATAAAATTTGTATTTCAACTGCAAGATGTTCTAGATTCTCTCTTTTCTTAGTATCAAAATAACTCATAAACAAAAAAAATTGTAAATATTAATCAGTTCCCAAAATAACGGAAACACAGATATGTTTAAAATCCAACCATACTGGGATAGACAGGGCCCCTCTACAATTGCCTTTACTTGGAAGCCATGTATGTGGAGGAGTATGCATTTCAATATGGAGAATTAAGTAGCAGAGGTTTAAGATAACTCAGCAGTGATGTCACCATGATTTTATTTCCATATCCTAATCCATTGCTGTTTGCAACTGGAGATTTAAAATTTTTCTGTCAACACTGGTAAAGCCAATAATACTGAACTATGTAGTATACACTAAATCAAAACACTAAAATCATTTTTAAAAAGGAAGAAAAAAGAAGTTGAGGCTCTCTGATATGGACATACACTGATTCATGAATGGGAAGACTAGACTAACACCTAAGTATTTTCTAAACTCAAAAGCATAACTGATACTTCAGAAGACCGATTTGGATCGATGCTTCACTACAGTTCAGCTAACAGCAACACAGGTATCTGATTAAAAGCCTTAAGGACAATCCACAGGTATTTGTTTTTGCCAACACGAGTCTAGCAAAATTTTAGGAATGAGATTTACAGAAGCTGAGGCTCCAGGCCTACTTATCACCATCACTTATTTTTGACAGTCTAGGTTACATGGAGAAACAAAAAGCCATATTTATCAGACTAACTTTGGATGTATAAATCTCATTTCTCACCCTTTGAAGGTACAAGGATAGGAAAGACACATAGAGCTCAGAAACCACACAGCCCTTAAAAACCTTAAGTTTATGGAATTTGGACAATACACATGCTAGTTGACAGGCACATCTGTTAACCCAAAAACAAAGCAGCAGCTTCATGCAGAGCCCACAAGGAGCTTCATGACATATGCATAGATCTAAAAACAGACACTGTACGTATCTTAAGACAGTACCAGGAGGCATTAACACAGAAAGGTCTCTAAACTGACCTATGTCAGCAATGATCTACTAGTGCAAAGGCCGGACTACACGGCACAAAGCAACTCTTAGGCCCTAGTAAGCACTTTTTTCTAGTTCACTCCTGGCAAAGTTCTAAGGAACTTTACTACAGTACGGCCATGGATAACTGCTATGAGGCCAAATGATTATGTGCCTCTGTGGTAAAGGAGTGCATGTGATTAGAAAATATGTGACATTTGATGAGAGTAACTAAAAGCTGGAAAAGACATTTTTCAAAATCAAACCAGTGATCATCAAGTCCACAAAGATACAGATGCAGACTAAATGGCACATTCCCTTTTGGAAACAGACTCCAACAAACAAAATCTAAATAAATAGAAGCCCTAAATGTACTAAACCACAACTATATATCTACCAATTATCTAACACAACATAGAAAATATCAAGGGGAAAGAGGAAAATGTCATCTATAAAGTGAAGTGACACTCTAAGTCAAGAAGTATTAATGATTTACAGGTCAACAGAGAGCTCCTCGTTTTATACCCAGCAATGGCAGGAACTCTAGACAGTTCAAATATGCAAGATGCAGGGCACTAACCCACCGTCAGTTAACGTTTACTCCTGCCTACAAATTCCTTTCTATATTAGGCCAGTACATCATCAATTCCAACAGCCACAATTTTCTTCCCAACCTGTTCCTGGCAAGTAGCAGCATAAGTACAACTCCTGTCTCCCTATGACTTCCAAATGAAAAATAATTCGACCTCTCCCTAAAAAATCCTTGGCATGAAGTAAGCTGCAATCAAATCATGAAAACAAACTCAAATTGAACCACCTTTTCCAGAGCAAAAAAAATGCAATGAAGATCAAAGAATATCTCATTAAATGATCTCTGGCTAGGTAGTTTTCAGTGGTTAGACAACTAACTTAGAATTCTTTCTAGCCAAGATTTTCTGAAAGATTTATTAAAAATGTTCACTCCTAATATCTGGGATAATCAAGCCTCCATAACAACAGGACTCTTGACCTATTTTTATAAAGGACTTAGAAATCTTAAGAACCTCGATCAAGAACCTAAAGCTACCAAAGATGAACAATCTAAACACAATAGTATCCATTGGCTAGGCTTTGCTCATTCTCATGGCACCAGTACTGTTAAATTCACAAGCTCCAATCTCAAGTCATATAGGCTGCAAAAACTTGAGGATGTAGCTGTTTCCCTTCGGATATACACATAAAAAGCATGTCTTACATTTATAATGTAATTTTTAAAACAATGTTCTAAACTTCCAAATCACAATTTCATTGTTTTTAGTATCCTCTAGCTTCTCCCATATGGTTTGGGCTTTCACAGGCAGGATATACATAGCACATTCCCCATCTCTTAGAGACCTTAAGACTGCTCTCATTTGAACACTTTCCCAAAGCCTCACTTGAAAAAAAAGACACACCCAATTCTGTAGGGCAGAAGCTGGCCTTGCTCGCCAACCCTCCTTCCTCAACCCCATCTCTGTTTTGCACAAAAACAAAAAAAGGGGTAAAAAGGAAGTTCTCATAATAAGGTTAAGAGTCAGGGTGTTGGCTGTACTTGCCCAAACTACAAATTAGAGGGCTACTACTCAATTATAACATAAAGAAAGGGAAAAATACCATGTCAAATACATGCCTCTTCCTTTATGTTCTCAAGGCCAACCATGTTTTTCTCTAGTAGACTGTTGGAAAATGAAAACGGTAAGGAACAGGGAGGGAAGATAAAACATTATTTTTAAACACACACACTTAAAAACACACATACCCACACTTACATACACACTTAAAAGTCTGAAAAAAGTGGCCTGAGCCTATTTCAGAACTCCTAGCCAAAAACCTAGCCTCCCACCCACCCTCACACATTCCCACCCTCCAATCCCACCCACCAGGAGTTACTGCTATGTATCATATACACACAGCAAAATCCCTATCCCCTTCCCAATTATATAAAAAAACTAAACAGATAACTTACTTTCTTTAAATTATTAAGTCTATTAAAAGATTTGACGTTTAAATACTTCCTCTCTTCTGATATATTAAACACCGAAAGGATCCACAATTGTCTGATACAAGAAACCCTCCATTTTTCAGCTCTGGCAAGAAGAGGGAAGATATCAACTCCAATCAACCTAATTAGATGGTGGAGAGGCCAAGAATTCAGAATGTGTCCTTAATCCTTCACAGCTTCAACACCTCTCTAATACCAGTAAAAACTGTAAGAAAATAGTTAAATGCATGAGACAGCAGATATATAGCCAAGGCCTTCTACCACCCTCCTAACTATGTCTCAATATCAATTTATTCCCTAGTCCAAGGATGACATATTTCATAAGTAATTTTCTTAGTCCAAAAAAAAAAAAGAAAAATTATGTGTTTTTTTAAAGAAGTTTTTTTCTCCTCTTCTTTTTCTTTTTTTACTTAGGAAGGGGTGGAAGTGGTGGAGGAGGTTCTGATGGCAGAGGTGGTGGCCGGGGTTTGTCTGTATTGCCAGATCTCGAGGAGATTCCACCAGACCGAGGATTCAGATAGTCACTATAAGGACGAACAAATTCAAATGCAGTGGGCTGAGTGGGCTGAACACCCTGGGCACTGAGCAGGGAGTGAAGCATATTCACAGTGTCTTGATAGTCTATTGTCTGGGTCGTGTTGTGACCATTGGCCCCAGTGGGCCCTTTATCCAGTTTCGAATGAGGGACACGAGTTTTACAGCTGGGCTGTGAAAAGGAAAGGCCACTTGTGTCTGAGCTATGCCCAGGCATCTGACCCATTGTAGGAAGTGAAGGGAAGGAGAAATTTAGGGAAGAGGATTTAGTACTCTTGGCAATCTTGGCTGGATGATCAAACACAGCCCCTCCAGTCTCTTCAGAGGGTCCCCTTTTACGAGTAGAACTGGAAGAGGAAAAAGAACTAGACAAGCTATAGGTTTTATGTGCTAAGTTGCTTGTCTGGCTACTATGTTTTGGATCACCAGGACGTTTGTTCCCAGTACCAACTGGAAGTTGGGAATGAGAGTGCTTGTGTGAGTGGTGATTATGATGATGATGATGATTAGATGGGTGAGTCTTGTGCTTTTCTTTGTGCTCTCGGCTCTTTGTAACACTGTCCTCTACAGAATTGTGCTTATCAGCTGCAGCATGGACTTTTATGCGCATTTTTATCTCCTCTGGTTTTGAAGACGCAGCTTTATCTCCACCTGCCACTGGGATTCTCATTTTGAGAGCTGTTTTGTCAGCCTTTTCCAGAAAAGGCCGCTCGGGGTTTTCTGAACCCTCTATGGGCATTTTTAGAATGACTGAAGAATGGCTATCATGATGAGAAAGGAGATTCTGGGCAGCATATGCATATTGTGACTTCACATTGGCTTCCATGTTCTCCAGTTGCCTCTTCTGGGCAGCCAATTCTTCTGCATGCTTCGCGCGGTATTCTTTCAGTGACACTTTAGCTGATGGCACACTCTTACTATTCTGCTTCTGGGAAATAAATGCATTTGAACCATCCTGTGGTAAGGAATGATCAACTCCTGTAAGTGCTAAATTCTCACTAGTCCGATGACCCTGAGTAGGTTCTAGTTTGAAAGAAGGTTGGGAGGACAGCCAACGCTTGCCCGGCAACATCTCCACACTGGTTAAGTTGCTGGATGACTCTTCGGAGACTGGCAGGGAAGGCACTGCACTTGTGGTAGAAGTTGACATGCTCATTAAACCTGCAATGGTTGTGTCTGAAGAGCTCTGGGAAATCATATTGAGGATTGTCTGCTCTGAAGTCTTTTCATCTGTTCCTCGGTCATCTGCTTTTGTTTTCTTGGCAGCCTCGCATGCCTGCAATGAAGCAAATAGCATCTCTTTACTTAGGTAATTTACTAAATAAAAAAACACTGAGATGAGTAGATTGTACTTGCAGCAACACTGGAAGTTCTGGATAGGCCACAGGCAGGAGGCTATCCTAACATGTAATCCAATAAATATTACCATCAAGAGAAGATTTTAAAACCTTCAATTAAGAGTCACAGCAATCTATCCAAACGTTACAAAGCAATAATAACAACAAAGAATCTATGCTTATCTAAAATTCATACATGAACATCCATGCCTTCGCTTATGATTATAGTTAGTCCATAACTGAGTTCTAGAAATTTTGGTGAGGTTTTATGCTAAAGTAAAAGATGTGCTCTCAAGCCTACTTCTTTTTTGTTGTTACTGTTGTTTTTTGTTTGTTTGTTTGTTTGAGACAGAGTCTCACTTTGTCATCCAGGCTGGAGTGCAGTGGCACAATCTCGGCTCACTGCAACCTAACGTCCCGAGTTCAAGCGATTCTCCTGTCTCAGCCTCCCAAGTAGCTGGAACTACAGGTGTGCATCACCATGCCTGGCTAATTTTTGTATTTTTAGTAGAGACGAGGTTTCACCATGTTGGCCAGGCTGGTCTCGAACTCCTGACCTCAGTTGATCCGCCTGCCTTGGCCTCCCAAAGTGCTGGGACTACAGGCATGAGCCACCATGCCCGGCCTCTCAAGCCTACTTCTAATCTCAGGCTTCTAAGAGGCAAACTCACTCTCTGCCACTCACTCAACTCAGGAGAATGAAATTAACTTTTTCTGTCTGGATTTAGGAGAAAACAATGGAAACATTTTAAAACAAGTTTTATATCTGACAGAAAAAAAAGGAATGATTCCATTATTCCTGAATAAGGCTTTGACAAGTATTTGAAATACAACTTCAGACTACAGCCTATATAAAAACAAAATTCTAAAATCCATTTTAAAAGTAGGTAATGTCAAACACAAAACTGTGATACCGGCTCTAACCTTGTAATTCTCTATCTTGCCTCTACCAGAAGCCAATACTCTAACTCCGAGAAGCCATGTTTTTTCCCTACCAGTTTCCACACAGAAAATACTGAACCAGTGTTACTGCTCAAATGATCATATCACAGGAGTTACACAATGAAAAGCAAATCCTGCTATCCCATAGAGACACTGACTTTTACAACAGTATCCAAGGTATGAAGTAGAAGTCATGATTACTGTGTAACTATAAAAAGGGCAATTCCAAACCTAGGGTACATATTCAATACTGGTATATTCACTGGTGCAGTCAAAAGAAATTGATTTTGTTCCACAAGCTGACAGTAATGATTCTTACCCTCCAATTCCAAATGCGTTTGAGCCTGTTGGGAGTTTTCTCCAAAATCTGTAGAAACTCATGTGTCAGTTCTACAAGTAAAACAGAACATTCAAGAAAGACTGAGAGAAACAGAAGTAATGAAACAAGAATAACCTGAACTACTAACTAACTATTTTCATCTGAATCAAGTCACCTTTGGCCAGCTATGTGACAGATCAACAGCAAGTGCTTTTCAAGGTCCCTTACTCTAAAACTTACCATCTAAAAGTTCCAAGGTCACAGTGGCGTCAACATACTCCCACCAGTGCTTCCCGTCAGTTGAGACTGGGATCTCCCAATTGGACCACTTGCAAGCCAGGTGAATGCAGACACAGGCCACCACAGGAGGTGTGTACTGCAGGCTAAATGTGGTCAAATGCAGGCTGACATCAGAGGGAAGAAAACAGAGAGTGTCATGAGCTCTCAATTCTCAGCCCAAAGCTAAAACTCTCCATTATTTAAAAAAAAAAAAAAAAAAAAAAAAAAAGGCTTAAAAATAGACAGGAGAGTAAGAAGGGTAAGAAATATGCAATGCTCTGATCTAGCACTCAATATAATTTCCTATTAACCCACCTGTTCAGGTAACAACATTTTAAAAACTCTTGAATTACACATCACTTAATCTACACATTGACCAGAGCCAAAAAAAAAAAAAAGGAAAAAAGGAAAAAGGCTGGGAATTCAAGTTCTTTAAAACATTGACTTCTGGGCCAGTATTCAAGCCTAGAAGTCAATATTTATTACCTATTATCCTGAGACTAAGCTCAGATCCTAAGGAAAATTGTAAGCTTTTTGGTCTGTGTAATCCGTAAATCAAAAACTTAAGGAAATATCTTAAAAATAATTTGTCTCTCACCAATCATAGTTCTGGTCTATTTAAAATAATAAACAGACAACTACTCTCTCAAGTATAAATATGTTGGTTTATTTCAAAACTTTTTCGTAACAGGCTATAAAAATGAACTTCTTAGCCCTGACAGTTACTAGGGATATCATTGGTTTCCATTAACTAACAATGTTGGGCAAGTCATTTGGTAATACAAGTTATGTACTAATCATTTACTTTTTTTAGACAGAGTCTCTCTCTCTGTCACCCAGGCTGCAGTGCAGTGGGGCAATCTCGGCTCACAGCACCCTCTGCCTCCTGGGTTCAAGCAATTCTCGTGCCTCAGCCTCCCGAGTAGCTGGTACTACATGCATGTGCCACCTTGCCCTGCCAATTTTCGTATTTTTTAGTAAAGATGTGGTTTCACCATGTTGGCCAGGTTGGTCTCGAACTCCTAGCCTCAAGTGATCCACCAGCCTCAGCCTGGGATTACAGGTATGAGCCACTGTGCCCAGTCTCATTTACTTTTTTTAAAAAGGGAAGAAGGAAAAAGACTGAAACTCTTAACATCCATAAGTGCCCATTGATTGATAGAGGGGGAAGAAAAAGGAATATTTTAAAATATAATTATTGGCCAGGCACAGTGGTTTACACCTGTAATCCCAGCACTTTGGGAAGCCAAGGCAGGCGGATCACTTGAGGCCAGGAGTTTGAGACCAGCCTAGTCAACATAGCGAAACCCCATCTCTACTGAAAATACAAAAAAATTAGCGGGGCATGGTGGCGCCAGTCTATAATCCCAGCTTAGTGAAGAGGCTGAGGCCGGAGAATCACTTGAACCCGGGAGGCAGAGGTTGCAGTGAGCCAAGATCGCACCACTTCAGTCCAGCCTGGTAGACAGAGTGAGACTCTGTCTTAAAAAAAAAAAAATATATATATATATATATATATATGCCTGTAATCCCAGCACTTTGGGAGGCTGAGGTGGGCAGATCACGAGGTCAGGAGATCGAGACCATCCTGGTTAACAAGGTAAAACCCCATCTCTACTAAAAACACAAAAATTAGCTGGGCGTGGTGGCGGGTACCTGTAGTCCTAGCTACTCGGGAGGCTGAGGCAGGAGAATGGTGTAAACCTGGAAGGTGGAGCTTGCAGTGAGCTGATATTGTGCCACTGCACTCCAGCCTGGGCAACAGAGCAAGACTCTGTCTCAAAAAATAATAATAATAATTTAAAAAAAAAAAAAAAAATATATATATATATATATATATACACATATAATTATTGCAGAATACTCCAAATTAGATTTTCAGTCACTATCATGCAGAACTGAGTAGGTTATCAAAAAAATCAGTACTAAATAATTACATAACCTTAGAAAATTAAAAAGTACCATGGAAATTTAAAGTACAACATGAAAACTGTGCAGAAAAATCAACATTCACCAGAGAATTATCTATAGCACACTGTATCAAACTCAAGTAAAGTCCTATACCAAAAATCGAAGAGAAAAAAAAATTAAAATATAAACCTGTTGGTTGCCATGAAGTAAGAAGTCTGTGCTAAGTCCTTGCTTGCTAAAGAAAAAAAAAAAAAGTCAGGGGTGGGGGAGGAAAAAAGTTATTAGTTCCATTCATTCTCAACAAATATTTAGTAAGCATTTAATATTTGCAAGGTACTGTGAATATAGTGGCAAATGAGACACACATGGTCCCTGTAAACCTGACGTTTACATTCTGCCAAAGTAGACAGATCAATGATTTTTAATTTTAACATTAATAACTATGCTGCTTCCAGATCTAGGTACTCAAGCTTTATTCTGCACACCACATATCTGAGGTACTTGTTTAAATGCAATTCTTGGACCTGCTCCCTAAAATTTAATTAAATGTTTGGAGAAGGGTGCAAGCATTTTTTAACAAGTAACCCAGAGATTCTGATGTAAGGATTCACTGAGAATCACTAAACTACAGGATGAACTAAGATGATCTAGAAGCAAGATCAGAATCTAGAAGACTTTGACATATTTGGGAAAAGTGACTTTTGCTGTTAAGAAAGTTTTTAATTAAGGCTGGGCACGGTGGCTCACGCCTGTAATCCCAGCACTTTGGGACGCCGAGGTGGGCGGATCACCTGAGGTCCAGAGTTCAAGACCAGCCTGACCAACATGGAGAAACCCCGTCTCTACTAAAAATAAAAAATTAGCTGGGGTGGTGGCGCATGCCTGTAATCCCAGCTACTCGGAAGACTGAGGCAGGAGAATCGCTTGAACCCGGGAGGCGGAGGTTGTGGTGAGCTGAGATCGTGCTACTGCACTCCACCCTGGGCAACAAGAGCAAAACTCCGTCTCAAAAAAAAAAAAAAGTTTTTAATTAAGTAGCCCTAATTAAGATTTAATTAATTAATCCCCAAATCATCAAATAATGTAATATATTACAATGAAAAAATTTAACTTCTTCCAAAACAAACTGTTCTGGGTGACAAAGCAAATTTTTATCTTCCTCAGGACATAGTCTTCTCAATATTAACATACACCCATCTCTAGTCTTATCCTTGTGCAATATAACATTTTAATACTTTCAAATATAAAGAACTCAGGAAAATTTGGGAATTTTCACAGGAAACACATATTAGTAAAATGTAAAATAAGACCAATTATCAGTTTGGCCTAAAAATCATAAAAGGCACTTAAAGGCACAATAGTGTTCAGATATTCTTGATACTAAACTAAATAAGAGAGTTTCATTCAATTATACCTAATATTGTTAAATTAGAATTAAAAAGAAAAGTTCTGCCAAGGGATTGTATATCATGGAAAGTCCAAATAAATTCTGTATGATCCTCTAGGTGGCCTTTAATCAACCCCAGAATTAAAATAAGATCACCCACTCCTCACAACTTTCATAAAATTTCTGTTAAATAACTTCACAAACTGCCCAACTTTGACAAACATTCTCAAGAGGTTAGTTCTCTTTAACTAGAGATCATCTAAAAATATTACTTGTAAGAACCCAACAGAAAAACATCAAGTCAGAACAACTCATTTTGATTTAAGCCAAGTAGGCCTTTAAATTTAGCCAAAGCAGAACTATTATGTATTGTCCACCACAAACCACAACCTCTAAATGGGAAAACAGCTTGAGATAGTCTTCATAAGCTGGGATTCCTTACCTCGAACAAGTTGAGTGCACTTTACTACATGAGTATGTGGGTGATCAATTGTTAGTTCAAAGCCTTAAAAGAAAAAGTAATGGATTAAAAAACTATTAAGAAGTTTACATTTTACAAATTATTGTAAAAGGATAACTGATTGTAAATTACACCTTACTGGTTTCCACACTAAAATATTAATAGAAATTTATTCCACCAGAAAAACATCATTGTCCCATGAAATATAATTTGAAGATATTTTAAGAAAAAAGTTAACTAGAGGCTGGGCGCGGTGGATCAAGCCTGTAATCCCAGCACTTTGGGAGGCCGAGGCGAGCGGATCACAAGGTCAGGAGATCAAGACCATCCTGGCTAACACGGTGAAACCCTATCTCTACTAAAAATACAAAAATTTAGCTGGGCGTGGTGGCGGGCGCCTGTAGTCCCAGCTACTCTGGAGGCTGAGGCAGGAGAATGGCGTGCACCCAGGAGGCGGAGGTTGCAATGAGCCAAGATTGTGCCACTGCACTCCAGCCTGGGCGACAAAGCAAGACTCCGTCTCAAAAAAAAAAAAAAAAGAAAAAGAAAAAAGTTAACTAGAATAAATTGAGAGATAAACTTTGAAGAACTCATCATATATATATATGTACAAAAAAAATTGTGTCTACGCCAATAACTTTGACGTACAACTCATGAAATCTTACCCTACCTAGAAGAGAAAAATGATAGCCCAAAAGAACCAGGAAAAAAAAAATCTGTATTTTCATATTTTCTAAACTTCTAAAGGCAGCCTGTGTGATGAAAATAACAGATAATAACACAATATCATCAGAGTTGCCCATGCAACCACTAAAGCTTAAGTTCCCCCACTTTCACTCTGCTGTTCTAAACACTAGTTACCAATTTTAAAAACAAATGCTGTTACAGGCCATAACAATCCACGGAAGGAAAAACATTCTTTAGATAGTTTTTATAATTTTTGGGGGTAAAAATCACCAAAACTTAAAAAGCAAATAACCCTAGAATGAAAAAAATAATAACCCACTGGCTGCTGTTTCAAAGGTCAGCTGTACTACCTGCATTCACTCTATGGAACAGGTCAAAGCTAAACTCAGGTCTACAACCTCTATCATCTGGAAACAGAGGGACACTACAAAAACTTTCCCAAGAAATATTCTTCCTATATAGCAAATTTTTAGAATCAAATCATTTTATTGCATAATTTAAAAAAATGTTTCAAAGGAAAATAAACTTACCTAAAGTCTGCAAAATTATGCTTTCTAAAATGACCAGATCTTGAACTTGTTGCAAATAAGCCTAAAAGTGAGAAGACAGAAATTATTCCCTACAAAGGCACAATATATAAAGTATAAACAATTCTAACAATCCCTTCCAGGGAAACCAAAACAATAAAAGGCATGAGTGGAGTTAGGAGGTAGAGTTAAGAACTGAAATACAATCTTTTTTTTTTTTTTTTTTTTTTTTTTTAGACAGAGTCTCCCTCTGTCACCCAGGCTGGAGTGCAGTGGTGTGATCTCGACTCACTGCAACCTCCACCTCCCTGGTTCAAGCAATTCCCCTGCCTCAGCCTCCCAAGTAGCTAAGATTCCAGGCGCGCAACACCACGCCCGGCTAATTTTTTTGTGAAATACAATCTTTATCCCTTATGCCCATTCAGTACACATTTTCTTTAAAAAATAAATAAATAAGTAGTATGCTGAGAGGTAACAGTTTATATATGGCTACAGAAAAAGCACCATATATTTGGTTCATTTTCAGGTTAATATTTAAGTTTTATGGTTCATGTGATTTAGAGAAAAGAAAATTAAAAGTATGTATTTTTTGCTTTTCTTTTTTCTTTTTTTTTTGAGTTGGAGTTTCGCTCTTGTTGCCCAGGCTGGAGTGCAATGGCACAATCTCGGCTCACCACAACCTCTGCCTCCCGGTTCAAACAATTCTCCTGCCTCAGCCTCCCGAGTAGCTGGGATTACAGGCATGCACCACCACACCCAGCTAATTTTGTATTTTTAGTAGAGACGAGGTTTCTCCATGTTGGTCAGGCTGGTCTCAAACCCCCAACCTCAGATGATCCGCCCACCTCGGCCTCCCAAAGTGCTGGGATTACAGGCGTGAGCCACCGCACCCGGCCTTTTTTTTTGAGAGGGAGTCTCGCTCTGCTGCTCAGGCTGGAGTGCAGTGGCGCGACCTCGCCTCACTGCAACCTCTGCCTCCCAGGTTCAAGCGATTCTCCTGCCTCAGCCTCCCGAGTAGGTGGGATTACAGGAGCCCACCACCACGCCCGGCTAGTTTTTGTATATTTAGTAGAGACGGGGTTTCACCATATTGGCAAAGCTGGTCTTGAACCCCTGACCTCAGGTGATCCACCCGCCTCAGCCTCCCAAATTGCTAGGATTACAGGCATGAGCCACCGCGCCTGGCCATAAAGTATATATTTTTCAACATCACCAAAATACATTTGCAGAACCTTCCTACAGTACTGTAAGCATTTAATACCAAACATTTGGCTCCTATTAGAACTTCCCCTTTGGGGCCATGTTAGGTTTCTAAAAAGTAACAGAAGAGTTCAAAGGAAAAGGTAATAAGAAAATTCACTCAGATTTGTGCCAGCCAAAGCTATAGCCACTAGCCACATGTAGCCATTCATCACTTGAAATGTAGCTAAATTGAAACGTGCTATAACCATAAAATACACTGGATTTTTTAGACAGTTAAAAAATAAAGAATGGGCCGGGTGCGGTGGCTCACGCCAGTAATCCCAGCACTTAGGGAGGCCAAAGCAGGTGTATCACGAGGTCAGGAGTTCAAGATCAGCCTGGCCAATATGGTGAAACCCTGTCTCTATTAAAAATACTAAAAAATTAGCTGGGTGTGATGGTGGGCGTGAACCTTGGCTTGTTCCATAGAGTGAATGCAGGTAGTAATCCCAGCTATTCAGGAGGCTGAGGCAGAGAATTTCTTGAACCTGGGAGGTGGAGGTTGCAGTGAGCTGAGATCGCACCACGGCACTCCGGCCTGGGTGACAGAGCGAGACTCCATCTCAAAAAAAGAAAAAAAAAATGTAGCTAGGCATGGTTGCTCACACCTGGAATTCTAACACTTTGGGAGGCCAGTATGGGAGGATTCTTTGAAGGCCAAGAGTTCAAGACCAGCCTGGGTAACATGGTAAGACCCCTATCTCTACAAAAAAATAAAAATTAACTGGGAGTGGTGGCACGCAGCTATAGTCCTAGCAACTTGGGAGGCTGAGGTGAAATGATCACCTGCTCTTTATGAGAATCTAATGCCTGATGATCTGTCACTGTCTCCCATCACCCGTAGATGGGACCATCTAGTTGCAGGAAAAGAAGCTCAGGGTGGCCGGGTGCAGTGGCTCACACCTGTAATCCCAGCACTTTGGGAGGCCAAGGCGGGCGGATCACAAGGTCAAGAGATCGAGACCATCCTGGCTACAATCTTGCCACTGCACTCTATCCTGGGCAACAAAACGAGATTCTGTCTCAAAAAAAACAAAGCTGGCTGGACATGGTGGCTCACGCCTATAATCCCAGCACTTTGGGAGGCTGAGGCAGGTGGATAACCTCAGGTCAGGAGTTCGAGACCAGCCTGACCAACATGGAGAAACCCCGTTTCAACTAAAAATACAAAATTAGCCGGGTGTAGTGGCACATGCCTGTAATCCCAGCTACTCGGGAGGCTGAGGCAGGCAAATCGCTTGAACCCAGGAGGGGGAGGTTGCGGTTGGCTGAGATTGCACCATTGCACTCAATCCTGGGCAACAAGAGCAAAACTCCAACTCGAAAAAAAAGTTAAAAAAAAAAAAAATAGTGAAACTACTCATTTAAGGATCCATAATAAAAATGTATAATAATATTTTTCAGCCAGGTGCAGTGGCTCACGCCTGTAATCCCAGCACTTGGGAGGCCAAGGTGGGCGAATTACTTGAGCTCAGGAGGTCGAGAGCAGCCTGGGCAACATGGTGAAACCCCATCTCTACAAAAACTAGCTGGGCATGGTGGCGCACACCTATAGTCCCAGCTACTCGGGATGCTGAGGTCAGGGGGATCACTGAGCCCGGAAGGTCAAGGCCGCGGTGAGCCATGATCACACTACTGGACTCCAGCCAGGGCAACAGAATGAGACCCTGTCTCCAAAAAAAAAAAAAAGAATATTTTTCATAACATTTATAGTGATTTTAAAAGCTAGAAATTATCTAGACTTCTTCATGGAGAATTGTTAAAAATACATACATTCACATATATATCATTAAATACTAGCCAGACATTTTTAAAAAGTAGAGAATCCATCAGATGGGAAAATATTTGGGATATAGTAAGCAAATGAAAACAAACCAGAGACAAAATACATGCACACATAGCTATCTATAGAAAAGAAGCCACAAATAACAGTGGTTCATTAGTATACCTGTGCTTCAGTTGTCTATATAACAGGGGGTCCATGGCCTGTTATGAACTAGGCCACACAGCAGGAGTTGAGCAGCAGGTACGAGTGAGTGAAGCTTCATCTGTATTTATAGCCTCTCCCCACCATACATATTGCCACCTGAGCACTGCCTCTTGTCTGATCAGCAGTGGCATTAGATTCTTATAGGAGCACTTGAACCCTGTGGTGAACTGCCCATGCAAGGGATCTAATTTGCTGCTCTTTATGAGAATCTAATGCCTGATGATCTGTCACTGTCTCCCATCACCCCCAGATGGGACCATCTAGTTGCAGGAAAAGCACCTCAAGGTGGCCGGGCACAGTGGCTCATGCCTGTAATCCCACCACTGTGGGAGGCCAAGGCGGGCAGATCACAAGGTCAAGAGATCGAGACCATTCTGGCTAACATGGTGAAACCCTGTCTCTGCTAAAAATACAAAAATTAGCTGTGTGTGGTGGTGCACACCTGTAGTCCCAGCTACTTAGGAGGCTGAGGCAGGAGAATCGCTTGAAACCGGCAGGTGGAGGTTGCAGTGAGCCGAGATTGCGCCACTGCACTCCAGCCTGGCGACAAGAGCAAGATTCCGTCTCAAAAAAAAAGAGATGCTCAGGGCTCCCACTGATTCTACGTTATGGTGAGTTACGTAATTATTTCATTATGTATAACAATGTAACAATAATAGAAATAAAGTGAACAATAAATGTAATGTGCTTGAATCATCCCAAAACCATCTCCAACCCCACCCCCTGTCCATGTAAAAACTGTCTCCCATGAAACCAGTCCCAGGTGCCAAAAAAGGTCTGGGACCATTGGTCTAGAATATATCTGAGAGATATTTTATTCTTGAATTTTTCTGTATTTTCAAATTTTACTGCAACAAATACAAAACTTTCGCCATAAAATTTATGTGTTTTGTTTTTCAGACAGAGTCCTGGCACTGTTGCCTGCAGTGGTGTGATCATGGCTCACTGCAGCCTCAACATCCCATGCTCAAGCAACCCTCCCACCTCAGTCTCCCAAGTAGCTGGGACTAAAGATGTGAGCCAGCATGCCCAGTTGTTTTTTGTTGTTGTTGTTGTTGTTGTTTTTCTTTTTTTGTAGAAATGGGGTCTCACTTTGTTGCCAGAGCTTGTCTCGAACTGGACTCAAGCAATTCTCCTGCCTCAGCCTCCCAAAGTGCTGGGATTACAGGCATGAGCCACCACATCTGGCTTTTTTTTTTCTTTTTTTTAAATATAGAGACAGGGTCTTGCTATGTTGTCCAGGTTGGTCTTAAACTTCTGGCCTAAAGTGATTCTCCCACCTTACCCTCCCAAAGTGCTAGGATTACAGGTATGGTGAGCCACCATACCTGGCCTGATTTTCTTACTGTTAAGAAAAACACAAACACTAAAATATTCTTTTAACAACACCAATCTAAACTTCAATAAATCGAAGTTATAAAATTAAGTTGCATTGAAATACATAAAGATCCAGGCATGCTTGGGAGTAGGGAAAAAAAAAGAAAGGAAAAAAATTAAGAAAAACAGATGTGTAATTAATCTCCTACCTCACTTCTAGTATCAGGAAGGGATTCCTGAGGATGGAGACAAGTATGTGCTACCTTGATGACATGTTCCAATTTTTTGGGCTGCTCCTCCACTTTAGCTGCTAGAAACAAGGCTGCTGGAGCCACAGACTGAATGGAGAGAAAATAAATCATATTTATTATCAATTTATTCATTCATAGAGTAAGGTAGATCTAAAGAGGAGCTAAGTCTCAAATCAAGTTATTTGCTTGCCTCAACTTTGTCACCTCTTTACCCTTTCCCGCCCCCCCGCTTCTACCATCTTCCCCTCTCCTACCCATTAATCCATCTCCACTTCCAAATACCAATTCTTTGACAAACTGTCATTAAAAGCTGTCTATGGGAGAAGCTACTAGATGTAAGCAGACAGTTTTCTATTTAAAGTGAGATTCTTTATTAAGTTTGTATCAAATCACTCAATACATTTTTTAAGGAGTAAACTGAAATGTCCAGAATACGCAAATCCATATAGAGAAAAAGTTTAGTGGTTGCCAGGAGCTGCGGGGAGAGGAGTATAGGAATAACTGCTAATAGGTGAGGAGTTTTCTGGGGTGATGTAAATGTTCTGCAATTAGACTGTGCTGATGGTTGCACAATTTTGCGCATATACTAAAAACCAGTGAACTATATAATTTAAACAAACGAATTTCATTGTACGTGAATTATATCTCAATTACTTATACATATCGAACCTTTCAAAAATACAAAGCATGGCATTATATGCAAGACATTATTTATAGAAAGCATTAAGAGGGAAAAATTGAAGTCAATATAAAAGTAGATAACAAACTTTATAAAAGATTAAAGCAATATGACATAAATGTAGCCTGGTGATCTTGGAAACTTCAGGAAATAGAACTTTTCTTGAATATTAAGAACATTTCAGTGACTCAAAGATAGTAATGCTAAGAGCTGTATTTCACCAGGAGTCAAAGAAATACATAAATAATTTTACAGAATTTAAATATATATTTCATTTTACTGACTAGAACTGATATTCTAATACTTATTTGTAACCCTGATGTCACCTATGCTATACTTTTCTAGAGTAAGTTTTTCTCCACAAATTCAACTCATAGTATTGATTTCAGACAAGACCATAGGAGACAAAAATAATTTAAAACAAAATTTTTTTAGGCCAGACACAGTGGTTCAAGCCTATAATCTCAGCACTTTGGGAAGCAGAGGCGGGGGATCACTTGAGCCCAGGAGTCCGAGACCAGCCTGGGCAACATAGTGAGAGAGACTCCATCTCCATACACATACGGAAAAAACTGTTTTAAGTAAACACAGTGATTCTTTTCCTTCACATTTGTTTCAGATGAATATGAAGCATACTACATATATATTCCTCAGACTTTAGGATAAACAAAACAGGATCAGAGAAAAATGGATATGAACAAAGGTATGGTGATCTAGGCGTAAAGCACATTTTCAATACTAAACTGAGTAGTTAAATACATTAGATAATCGGATGTGGAACACTAGATTTTTTTTCTTTCTTTTTTTTTTTTTTTTGAGACAGCATCTCACTCTGTCACCCAGCTGCAGTGCAGTGGCGTCAAAATCACAGTTCCACTCAACCTCCTGGGCTCAGGAGATATTCCCATCTCAGCCTTCGAAGTAGCTGGGATCACAGGCACACGCCACCACACCCAGTTAATTTATTTTTATTTTTAATAGAGATGGGGTCTCCCTACATTGTCCAGGCTGCTCAAACTCCTGGGCTCAAGTAATTCTGTCTCTGCCTCCCAAAGTCCTAGGATTACAGGTGTGAGTCACCTCACCCAGCCAAGATTCTTAACAAGAGTGACACTAAAGATTTTGAAAAATATCGTTTAAGAAATGTTTATGATAAATGTATATAACTATTATGTACCCATGATAATTAATAAAAATAAATTTTTAAAACAAAGTAATATTTAGAAGGAGTAATCTGATGGTAGGTAAAACTAGGAGAAAAGGATGGGATACATTAAAAGTTAATTCAGGCTGGGTGTTGTGGCTCACGCCTGTAATCCCAGCACTTTGGGAGGCCGAGGTAGCGGATCACTTGAAGTCAGGAATTCAAGACCAGCCCGGCCAACATGGTGAAACCCCGTCTCTACTAAAAACACAAAAATTAGCCGGGCGTGGTGGCACACACCACCACTCAGGAGTCTTGTAGTAGGGTAGTCCCACCTACTCGGGAGAATTGCCTGAACCCAGAAGGCAGGGGTTGAAGTGAGCCAAGATCATGCCACTGTACTCCAGCCTGGGCAACAGAGCCATACTGTCTCAAAAAATAAAATAAAAGTTAACTTAAATAATAATTTAGGCATTAGGACATAAAGTTTAGAGCACTTTGGGAGGCCAAAGCAGGAGAATCACTTGAGCCCAAAGTTCAAGATCAGCCTGCGTAACACAATGAGACCCTGTCTCTGTTTTTTAAAAATTATTTTAAAATATAGAAAAAAGAATTTTAAAAAGTTTAGAGTAGGCCGGGCGTGGTGGCTCACGCCTGTAATCCCAGCACTTTGGGAGGCCAAGGCAGGCAGATCACCTGAGGTCAGGAGTTCAAGAACAGCCTGGACAACGTGGTAAAACTCCATATCTACTAAAAATACAAAAATTAGCCAGGAGTGGTGGCACACGCCTTTGGTCCCAGCTACTTGGGAGGCTGAGGCAGGAGAATCGCTTGAACCCAGGAGGTGGGGGTTGCAGTGAGCCAAGATCACGCCATTGCACTCCAACCTGGGCCACAGAGCGAGACTCTGTCTCAAAAAAAGAAAAAAAAAAAAGTTTAGACACTAGCAGTAGAAATAAAGGAAAAAAGAAACACAGGCATCACTTTGTAAAACTAATAGGGCTGCACTAAATATATGTACATGTACTTGCATACAAAGAAAAAATTCTAATGGGATATACTCTAAAATGTTAACAGGATTATCTCTTTATTTCCTGTCCGTCCTCTTCCAATTTTTTGATAATTTAAAAAGTACATATTTATAAGGAGAGGGAAAAAATGGTAACATTATAAAATTAGCAAGACTTTATAGGCTGGGTGCAGACTCTTGCCTATAATCCTAGCACTTTGGGAGGCCAAGGCAGGAGGATCCCTTGAGCTCAAGCCTGAGCAACATAGCAAGACCTCATCTCTACAAAAAATCAAAAGGAAAATTCACTGGGCGTGGTGGCACTGTAGTCTTGGTAAGGTGGAAGGATCACTTGAGCCCAGGACATGGAGGCTGCAGTGAGCTATGATTGTACCACTGCACTCCAGCCTAGCCTAGGTGACAGAGTAAAAACCTATCTTGGGGTTGGGGGGGACTATAACTAACTGAACAAAGGGGAAAAGGACAAGTCAAAGACTAAGGTTTTAAGCCTATTAGAAACTAAAAGTATGGCATAAACTAATAAAACCAAAATAAAACTAAACTAAATTATGGCACCACTGCACTCCTGGGCAACAGAGGGGACTCCGTTTCAAAAACAAAGAACTAGATAAATGTTTCTTGAGGTAATTAATATTTGTTGTTTGTTAGGGTGGAAAGAAAAGGACCCTCACCTACAGTGCTGGAAACAATGTATAATCTTTCAGTAGGGCAAACTGACACTACAAAAATTTTTATACATTGTATACTCTGGGCACAGCAATTCCACCTATAGGAACTTGTATTAAAATGCTTATATAAGTGCACTATATATGTACAAGACTATCCCATGAAACATAATGTACAATATAATAAACTAGAACAACAACCCAAATAGCTATCAATAAAAAGCTGGTTAAATAAACTACAGTAACTACACAAATACCATGTGGCAAATTAAAATAATAAGAAATCCAAAAAATAATAAAGGGAAGTATGGAAAGATGTCCAATACATACTGTTACATGATAAAGGCAAGCTGTGCAACAGTAGCATAGCAAGATATGATTTTTTAAATAAAAATACCTCAATGCTAGTTTATGTGCACAGAAAAATGTCTGGGTCACTATAAACCAAACATTTATCAATGGTTATCTCTGGGTGGGATTACAGAGTAGTTTTCACTTTCCACATACATTTCTGTACTGTCTTAATTTTTACCATGGGAATTTATTATAATATCTTTGGGTTTCTTCATTTTTTTTTTTTTGAGATGGAGTCTCACTCTGTCACCCAAGCTGGAGTGCAACGGCACGATCTCAGCTCACTGCAACCTCCACCTCCCGGGTTCAAGCAATTCTGCCTCAGCCTCCCAAGTGAGTAGCTGGGACTACAGGTGCACGCCACCATGCCCGGCTGATTTTTGTGTTTTTAATAGAGACGGGGTTTCACCATGTTGGCCAGGATGTTTTCGAACTCCTGACCTCAAA